>NC_000022.11:42459564-43709564 GCF_000001405.40 Homo sapiens
AATTTCATCAACCCTGGAATTCGCGCATGGAGCCTCCTCTCCCCAGACCATCCTGCTACCATGAATAGACAGCACGTGGCCGCCTTTTATGATAAGGTCAGAGGAAAGGAGTGCATAGAGAGAGGCCGTTTGGAGAGTCGGAGCTGTAAGTTTCAGGTATAAAACCTGAATAGTACCAGTCCTCTTGCCTGGGGCCAGATCAGACAGGAGGGAGGAGGTGGAAGGCAACTGTTCCACCTCCCGAGGTGATTCCTTTGGACGCCTGAATCCTTTGGATTCCCTGGCTCCCAGCAGCGGACTCTGCCCTCAGCCATCTTTATCACTCCTGATTAGGGCTGCAGACGCCTCCCTCCCCACCCTGCCTTGCCAGGCTTTGTGGCTCCCCGGGCTCGTTTTCTGATAGAGCTGTCAGTTTTTACTACTGATAGGAGAAATCATTTTCTTTCTTAGCTGAATGTTAATTGGCTCCCCTCCCCCATTCACTTAGTATATCCCGTCCCCTATTTTTTTTTTTTACCCCAAGGAAAAGGTACCTTAGTAGAGACACATTTCGGAAAGACAAAGAAGGTGTTTCTTGCTAAATTGCTAATTGGTAACTGAAATCAGAGGTTAAGAAAAAGCTAAAGAGGAGAGCGAGGAAGGAATTAGGACCACATGTTTCTGTAGCTTGAGGTGAGCTGGCGCCGCCTAAATGCTCCTCGGATGCAGCACCTGCTTTCTGTAGCGGGCTCAATATTCAATAAGGAGACCCACGAGATCAGCTGGGGCCAGTTGAGCAAACATTGACATCTTGGAGGTACCAGGCACCAAGACAGGTCCTAGAGATGCGGAGGTGACTAAGACCCTTTGACAGTCCTATGGGACAAAGTGTCAGTTTGATGTGATGGGAGCAGTGGCAAAGGTAAACCAGGATACTGCGAGACTCACCGAGGGTCACAGAAACTTCCTGGAGAAAGCGAAGTTAGAGCTAGGCTTTGTACGATAACTAGGAGTTGGCTGGGAGATGGTGGCGGCAGTAACATCCCAGGTAGAAGAGACAGCTTGTGGAAGGTCATGGGCGCCGTGGAGCATGGTGGTGCCTGAGAGGAGCAGTAAGAAGTTTGCTATGGCTAGAGATTAAGGTCACGTGGAGGACCAGCTCCAGCAGGGCTTGGGTGCCTTGCAGGTTTTCTCCCTATAATTCTCATACACTTAAACAGCAAACAAACAGACCAAGCGTGGTGGCTCACCCCTGTAATCCCAGCAGTTTGGGAGGCCGAGGTGGAAAGATCACCTGAGATCAGGAGTTCGAGACCAGGCTGGCCATGATGAAACCTCAGCTCTACTAAAAATACAAACATTAGCTGGGTGTGGTGGCGCACACCTGTAATCCCAGCTACTTGGGAGGCCAAAGCACAAGAACTGCTTGAACCCGGGAGGCGGAGGTTGCAGTGAGCAGAGATTGCGCCACTGCACTCCAGCCTGGTTGACAGAGTGAGACTCCGTCTCAAAACCAACAAACAGCTTTATTGAGGTTGAATTTACATACTGTAAAATGCACCTGCTTAAAGTATGCAAGTCAATGGGTTTTAGTATATTGACAGAGTTGTGTCACCATAACTAACTTTAGGACATCCCACAGAAAAGCCCTTCTGAGGAGGGTTTTTGACAGGGTCATGGCCTGCCCAAATTATGTCTCTCATCGGTTTGGCAGCAGAGCAGAGACGGGCTTGGAAGGGACAAGTGTGGGCCCTCATCGAGCCAAGAACATGAGCAATGGCACAGCAGTGATTGTGCACAAGGGCTAAAGATTTATAGCAGTGACAGGGGGAAATATACTCCATCTCTTAGATTCTTCTTTGCCGGGAAAAGAACTAGGTTATGAAGACGCGGGTCATTTTTTGCTGGCTGGCTATTTAGTGGCAGTTCTACAAATCAGTATTATGGATGATGTTGCTTATTTACAAAGAAAAAAATGACAGAGTGGCTATATCATAGCAAAATCCAGAATGCTGAAGTTTCTGCAAAATGGGAACATGACAGAGCACTCACTGTCCAGCAAGTTTCCTGCAGCAAAAACCGCAGCCGATCTGGACCAAATAAAGGGCACAGGCTCTGTCCTCAAAGGCTCTGCAGGGGGCTGCATTCAGACTGAAGTGTTGAGTCACCTGTGAATCCTGGGTTGTGAGCAGACCTGCCTTTGTCCAGTGCAGGTGCAGGCTCCTTAGCGAGGAAAGGCTCAGAGAGAGACAGGTGCACCTCTGCAGCAGCTTTGCTGGCAGGTGGGTCTGATCTGAGCCTGTTGCTGCAATCATTGATCAGTTAGGTTTTTTAAATTGCAAGGAAGAAATAAAACCAAATTAAACTGGCTTTACCAATGAAAGGAACTCCAGTCTAACATTATATTTGACTAGGGTCATGGGAAAAACCTCTCCCTACAAAAACATAGAAATTCATGATAAAATCTAAGTAAATAAATAAAATGCCAGTGTGTGGCTGAGTTAGCAAGCAAGAAAGGAATATCCCCAGGGGCCAGAAACAAAGAGGGAAAAGCCAGAATGGTAAGCACAGGGTTCTGTCCCACAGCTGCCTCCAGGAGGCACGTAAGAGAAGGCAGGGGTTATCAGAGCCAGCAACCAGGGGCCTTGGTTCTGGTGGCTGTGTTGAGACTGGAGATAAGATCTTCAGCTGACAGGAGTAGAGAGGTGAATCTATGCCTCCTTGCAAAAGCCAGACTCCTCTGAGGGCAAATCTCTCAGTGAAAGATGGGCTAGAAAAAAACCTACCCTCTGGCACAGGGAGATAACAAGAAAGCTTGTTTATCATAGCAGGAGCATAGAGCAGTGGGGGCCTGGGGGACATGCTACAAAAGGATCCCTTGAAAAATCCAAGCCTCATATCTGTGCTTTGAGGGGGTTTGAGGTCCAAATTTGTACTTCATGCATGGCCTGGGATTCCTATGCCAAGAGAAGAAAATTGGTACGAGGCTGGTGTTAACTCTGGGCCACCTGGTGTGGCAGCTGCAAAATGGCTGTGGAGGGGTATTTCTACAACTCCAGCAGCAGGAAATTCCCACGCGAAAAACATGCTCCACTGAAGATGAGCTCACAATCAAATCTCAGTACACACAAGGAAAGGGGTCACCTGGAGCACAGGGACAGACAGTACACACAGAAGGAATAGAGGCCGAGACTCTGAGATAACAGAATAGCAGGCCAAAAGCGAATATCGAATAAGAATGTTCGTGATGATTAAAGGCCAAAATAAAAGATTCAAACTCTCAAGAAGATAGTGAGACATCATGACACCAAGAATAGACCGATTTTTTTTTTCTTTTTTTGAGATGGGGTCTTGCTCTGTCACCCAGGCTGGAGTGTAGTGGTGCAATCTTGACTCACTGCAACCTCTGCCTCCTGGGCTCAAGAGATCCTCCCACCTCAGCCTCCCGAGCAGCTGGGACTACAGGCGCATGCCACCATGCTCAGCTAATTTTATTTATTTATTTTTGAGATAAAGTCTCAATCCCTCACCCAGGCTGGAGTGCAGTGGTGTGATCTCAACTCACTGTAACCTCTGCCTCCTGGGCTCAAGCGATCCTCCCCGCTCAGCCTCCCAAGTAGCTGGGACTACAGGTGCAAGCTACCAACACCAGGCTAATTTTTGTATTTTTTCTAGAGACAGAGTTTCGCCATTTTGCCCAGTCTGGTCTTGAACTCCTGAGCTCAAGCAGTCCACCCACCTCGGCCTCCCCAAATGCTGGGATTACAGGCGTGAGCCACCGCACCTGGCTAGAATAGACAGATTTGAACAATATTTATGGATGAAATGATATGGTGTCTGAGATTTGCCTCAAAATAATCTCAGAGTGGGGAGCTATAGGAAGGATCATGGATGAAACAATATGAGATATGGGTCGGTACTTGTTGAAGGTGAATAATAACTACACAGGGCCAGGCACCATGGCTCACACCTGTAATCCCAGTGCTTTGGAAGGCCAAGGTGGGAGGATTGCTTGAACCCAGCAGTTCGAGACCAGCCTGGGCAACATAGTGAGATGCCATCTCTATAAAAAAAAAATGAGTAAATAAGAAAAAGGTTAATAAGTAGAGAGGTTTATTCCATTGTCTCTAATTTTATATACATTTGAATTTTCTATAATAAAAAGTATGAAACAAAACATAAAGCTCCAAATAGAGCTTCTAGAAATGAACAATATCAATAATGAAATTTAACACTTAGGACAGGCTTAATGACAGATTGGACACAGATGAAGAGAGAATTGATAAACTAGAAGATATGAAAAAAAATATCTAGGCTGGGCACAGTGGCTCATGCCTGTAATCCCAGCACTTTGGGAGGCTGAGGTGGGTGGATCACCTGAGGTCAGGAGTTCAAGACCAGCCCGACTAACATGGAGAAACCCTGTCTCTACTAAAAATACAAAATTAACTGGGCGTGGTGGCGCATGCCTGTAGTCCCAGCTACTTGGGAGGCTGAGGCAGGAGAATCACTTGAACCCGGGAGGCAGAGGTTGTGGTGAGCCGAGATCGTGCTATTGCACTCCAGCCTGGGCAATAAGAGTGAAACTCTGTCTCAAAACAGAAAAAGAAAAAAAAATCCAGAATGCAGAGTGGAGAGAGAAATATACAAAAAAAAAAAAAAAAAAAAAGTCAGGAGAGATTAAGAGACACAGGGAATAAATTGAAAGGCATGCTGCTCATTTAATAGGAATTCTAAAAGAAAAGGGCACAGGCGCAGTGGCTTACGCCTGTAATCCCAGCACTTTGGGAGGCTGAGGCGGGAGGATCACCTCAGGTCAGGAGTTCAAGACCAGTCTGGCCAACATGGTGAAACCTCGTCTCTACTAAAAATACAAAAAAATTAGCCGGGCGTGGTGGTGCATGCCTGTAATCCCAGCTCCTCTGGAGGCTGAGGCAGGAGAATCGCTTGAACTGGGGAGGCGGAGGTTGTGGTAAGCCAGGACCACACCATTGCACTACACCCTGGGCAACAAGAGCGAAACTCTGTCTCAAAAAACAAAAAAAAAAAAAAAAAGAAAAGAAAAGAAAAAAGGGAGAGGTGAGATTCAAAGAAATCGCATGGACAGTTTTTTGAGAATTGGTAGAAGACCTAACTCGTTGGGCTCAAGAAGCAGAAATGGCTCTGAGCAATAAGTAAGAATAAATTTACACCTCGGCACGCTATAGAGAAACTGTAAGCTACAAAAGACACAAAGACAACCATAGGAACAACTAGAAAAAGAAGGCACCTCACCTACGGGTAACAATTCTGCTGACAGAAGACTTCTCAACAGCAACCAAAATCTCCGAAGGCAGCTAAGCAGTGTTTTCAAAGGAATTGTCAACCTAGAATCCTATGCTTAGCATGATTATTGTTCTAGGATGAGGGCAAAAATATATATATTTTAGAATGAAGACAGAGGCTGTTTGCCACACTCACTGGAAATGCTGTACTAGTAAAAATGCACTTTATGAAAGAGAAAAGTCAACCCAGAGGAAGAAAAGACTTGGAAACAATAATAATGTCTCATTTATTGAGTGGTTGTTGTACACCAGGCACTGTTCTAAGGATTTTCTCTACAAAAAATGTAAAAATTAGCCGAGTGTGGTGGTTTGTACCTTTCCTTATTTATTTAATTCTTTTTCTTTCTTTCTTTTTTTTTTTTTTTTAAAGACAGGGTCTTGCTCTGTCACCCAGGCTGGAGTGCAATAGTGCAATCTCGGCTCACTGCAAACTCTGCCTCCCAGGTTCAAGTGATTCTTCTGCCTCAGCTCCCTGAGTAGCTGGGATTACAGGTGCTCACCACCGCAACCAGCTAATTTTTGTATTTTTAGTAGAGACAGGGTTTCACCATCTTGGCCAGGCTGGTCTTGAACTCTTGACCTCAAGTGATCTGCCCGCCTCGGCCTCCCAAAATGCTGGGATTACAGGTGTGAGCCACCATGCCCGGCCTCTTATTTATTTAATTCTCATGTTAACCCTCAGAACTGGGTGTGATTACTATCATACTCCCTTTACAGATGGGGAAACTGAGTCACAGAGGGGTTAAAACTTGCCCTGGTCACAGGTCAAGGTTTGGCTACAACAGTCCACATTCTTAAACACTATGCTATACCAACTCAAGAAGCGGTAGTGGAGAGCCAGGTGTCGTAGCTCATGCTTGTAATCCCAGCACTTTGGGAGGCTGAGACAGGAGGATTGCTTGAGGCCAGGAGTTCCAAGACTAGCCTGCACAACAGAGTGAGACCCCATCTCTACAAAAAATTTGAAAATTAGCCGAGTGTGGTGGTGTGCACCTGCAGTCCCACCTACTCAGGAGGCTGAGTCAGGAGGCTCCCCTGAGCCTGGGAGGTTGAGGATGCAGTGAGCCATGGTTGTGCCACTGCACTCCAGCCTAGCCAACAGAGTGAGACCCTGTCTCAAAAAATTATGATATTACTCCAGCTCTCTTTTGACAGAAAAAAAAATGTTTAATAGAAGCAATGGTGTGCTTTTCAAGTAAGCAACATTGCCTCAATGAGTAAAACCGTTTCCAAATTCTGACAGATATTAAAGTTTAAGATTCAGGCAGGAATAAGAAATCAGAATTCCCAGGAATTCTTGGGAATTCCCCAAATCATAAGCTATTCCTAAAATGCTTCCAACATGATTCATACTCTTAACCCAATCACCTAAAAATGTATTTGACAAATAAGAAACATTAAGCTTAATACTATTTATAAAGAACTGTAGCCTATAGGGCATATTACAACACGGGAAAAACCAGTGACCATTATTGGGTGATATTCAAATAATGTAATTTTTGGATTTCCTAGCAAGGTTAACAGTACTTCATGTGTCACTGCAAATAACACTTCATGTGTCAACATTGCCGATTTTAAGACTTATTTTGATTCCCAAATTTGTTCTTGGAACACCACTGATATGATAGAGTTTATATAAAGTATGTTATGCATATAGACAAGTTGATAATTATTTTATTTGCAAGAATGACTTGCAGCAGCAGACAGGGCCATCCATGGTCACAACATGGAATAGCTGCGGGCAAGATGCCTTCTTTTTTTTTTTTTTTCTGAGACAGGTTCTCACTCTGTCACCCAGGCTTAAGTGCAATGGCACGATCTTGGCTCACTGCAACTGCCGCCTTCCAGGTTCAAGCACTTCTCCTGCCTTAGCCTCCCAAGTAGCTGGGACTACAGGCACGCGTCACCATACCTGGCTAATTTTTTTGTATTTTTAGTAGAGACGGGGTTTTGCCATGTTGGCTAGGCTGGTCTTGAACTCTTGACCTCAGGTGATCCACCCACCTCGGCCTCCCAAAGTCCTGGGATTACAGGTGTGAGCCACTGGGCCCGGCCACCATGGCTCACACCTGTAATCCCAGCACTTTGGGAAGCCAAGGCAGGCAGATTGCTTGAGCTCTGCAACCTGTGAGTTTGAGACCAACCTCGGCAACATGGTGAGACCCAGTCTCTACAAAAATAAAATAAAATTACCTGGGCATGATGCATGGCTGTAGTCACAGCTACTTGGGAGGCTGAGGCGGGAGGACTGCTTGAGCCTGGGATGTCAAGTCTGCAGCGAGCTGTGATCATGCCATTGCACTCCAGCCTGAGTGATACAGTGAGACTCTGTCTCTAATAATAATAATAATAATAATAATAATAATAAGCTGGCCTGATGCAGTGGCTCACACCTGTAATCCCAGCACTTTAGAAGGTCAAGGCGGGCAGATTACCTGAGGTCAGAAGTTCGAGACCAGCCTGGCCAACATGGTGAAACCCCATCTCTACTAAAAATACAAAAAGTAGCCAGGCATGGTGGCGCACACCTGTAATCCCAGCTACTTGGGAGGCTGAGGTGGGAGAACCACTTGAACCTGGGAGGCGGAGGTTGCAGTGAGCTGAGATCGCGCCATTGCACTCTAGCCTGGGTGACAAGAGCAAAGCTCCATCTCAAATACATATATACATACATACATACATAAAAAGCCACAATAAGATAGTATCAGATTGTCAAAAATATCAGAGCCTAATAATACCAAGTATAGGCAAAGATATGGAGACAAGAAAACCCATATCTGTGCTAGTTGTGTGTGAATAAGGACAAACACTGCAGAGAGCAATTGGACATTTTTTCTATTGAAGATGTACATGTGCTATGACCTAGGAGTTTTATTGCCAGGCAAATATCCTAAGGAAACTTTCGTATATGAACACCATGTTCTATGCGTAAGAATGTTTACAGCAGGCTGGGTGAGGTGGCTCACACCTGTAATCCCAGCACTTTGGGAGGCTGAGGCGGGCAGATCACCTGAGGTAGGGAGTTCGTGACCAGCCTGACCAACGTGGAGAAACCCCATCTCTACTAAAAATACAAAATTAGCAGGGCGCATGTGGAAGATGAGCATGCGGGTGGTGGCACATGCCTATAATCCCAGCTACTAGGGAGGCTGAGGTAAGAGAATCACTTGAACCCAGGAGGCAGAGGTTGCAGTGAGCCAAGATCACGCCATTGCACTCCAGCTTGGGCAACAAAAGCGAAACTCCATCTCAAAAAAAAAAAAAGAAGAAAGAAAAGAAAAGATAGTCTACAGTAGCCTTATGTGCAATAGAGAAAATTTGGAAATAAGCTATGTGTCCTTCAGTAACAGAGGAGATAAATAGATCGTATTTTATTCACATAACAGATTAATGTAAAGCAGTAAAAATAAACTGCAACTACACATATCTACATGAATAAACCTCAAAAACATAAATTGGAGAGGAATACTTCAAAACAACTTTAAAGTTGCAAAAATATAGAACAATACTATGTATTGTTCAGGGGCATAGACATTTGATAAAGTGTGCTATTAAGAATTAGGATTATCATATACAATAATAGGAACAATTCATCAGCAATATATAAGAACTTTCATGTACCCCAAAATACGTCAAGAATTGTCAGAATTACAAGGAGAAATGGACAAATTCCCTGTGCTAGTTTGGATTTCAAGAAATAAACACCAAGATGGCATTAGATACACAAGAGATCTGGCGAAGGATGAAGGGGAGAGAGTGCAGAAGCAGGCTAGGGGCTGGGCATGGTGGTTCATGCCTGTAATCCCAGCACTTTGGGAGGCCAAGGCAGGAGGATTGCTTGAGGTCAGGGGGTTGAGACCAGCCTGGGCAACATAGGGAGACCCCCATCTCTACGAAAAATAAAATAATTAGGCACTAAGGCACATGCCTGTGGTCCCAGCCACTTCGGAGGCTGAGGCAGGAGGATTGCATTGGGCCCTGGAAGTTGAGGCTGCAGTGAGCAGTGATCATGCCATTGCCCTCCAGGCTGGGAGACAGAGTGAGACTGAAGCAAAGAAGTAGCAGGAGAGCCTTCAGGCCACAGAGGCAGGTCTGACGTATAAAGGAGGGAGGGAAGAAGGAAGCCTCAGGCTGCAGCAGGACTCTGAGCAAGCTTGGCCAGGCAGATGATGAGTCTCCAAGCAATGACTGTTAGAGGAGTCTTGCACCAGGCAGATGTGGTGGGGCTCCAGCACCCCCTTGGTGATTAGTCATTGCCTGGGAGCAACTGGGGTCAGGTCCCTTTGAAGGGGAATCTGAGCGGTGTAAGTCCATGGCCACCACATGTAATATTACAGTAGAAAGTCATAATCTGCATCCTATCCATCTCTCAGGAATTGACAGACCAAGCAGGCAAAAATGGAGATATTCTCCTAAAGATGAATGGGCAATAAGAGACTCCTATACCCAAGAATTAGAGACTATATCTTTCCAAGCACACATAGTACTTTTACAAAAATTGTACATGTTGTCTTTGAAGAAATAATTTTAAGACTGAAATGAAAAAAAAAGTTTTTTTAGACTGCATGTGTAGCAGGTCGCAGTGTCATGCTCAACACGTACAATAAATTGGTATTTGGCTACAATGCAATCAGGTTAGAAAGACATTATAAAATGATTTTCTAAACCCGTATGTTTTAAAATTTAAATTCATGGATTGCCTAACATAAAAGTTAAAGAAGATATCATAAGGGAAATCAGAAAATATTTAGAACTGAAAGATAATTAAGTCACTGTGTGATAAATCTCGAAGAATATCACTAAAGGAGTATGCAGAGGGAAATTTACAGCCTTAACTGCGCACATTAGAAAAGAAGAAGATTCAGCCAGGCCTGGTGGCTTATGCCTGTGATCCCAACACTTTAGGAGGCCAAGATAGGTAGACTGCTTGAGCTTGGGAGTTC
Source organism: Homo sapiens (assembly GCF_000001405.40). Lineage (NCBI taxonomy): Eukaryota > Metazoa > Chordata > Mammalia > Primates > Hominidae > Homo > Homo sapiens. The sequence continues at coordinate 42,469,811 of NC_000022.11, forward strand.
AAGGCCAGACTGAGCAACATGGTGAAACCCCATCTTTACAAAAATTAGCCGGGCGTGGTGGTGGACACCTGTAGTCCCAGCGACTTGGGAGGCTGAGACAGGAAGATCATTTGAGCCCAGGAGGTTGAGGCTGCAGTGCGCTGTGTTTGTGCCACTGCACTCTAGCCTGGGCGGCATGACAGAGTGAGACCCTGTCTCAAAAAAAAAAAAAAAAAAAAAGGCTGGGCGCAGTGGCTCACACCTGTAATCCCAGCAATTGGGGAGGCCAAAGTGGGTGGATCACTTGAGGTCAGGAGTTCAAGACCAGCCTGGCCAACCTGGTGAAACCCCGTCTCTACTAAAAATACAAAAATTAGCCAGGTGTGGTGGCACTTGCCTGTAATCCCAGCTACTCGGGAGGCTGAGGCAGGAGAATGGCTTGAACCTGGGAGGCGGAGGTTGCAGTGAGCTGAGATCACGCCACTGCACTCCAGCCTGGGTGACAGAATGAAACTGTATCTCAAAAAAAAAAAAAAAAGAATAAGAAGATTCCCAATTCATGAGCTAAGTGTCCAACTCTAAAAGTAAGAAAAAGAGTAGAATAAAACAACAAAAACAAAAGTAGAAGGAATGAAACAAGAAAATCATAAAGATAAAAACAGAAATTAATCAAAGAAAAAAATGAATAGAGGATACACAAAACTGCAGCTGGATCTTTAAGACTCATGAAAAAGGCAGACCTCTGGCAACAGCAGCAGAGCAAATGCAAGAGAAAGCACAGGCTTGTTAGGAATTAACCCAAGGAACTGAACACAGCTAAAGTAGAGAGCCAGAAATAACGATAGCTCACATTTATGAGTCAGTTTCATGCCTCATTCTATAATGCAATATGTATTTACAGTTTAGGTTAAAATACAAATCCTTTCTACAGAATCCTCTGCTTATGTATATTAATAGTCATGGGCTAGCATTTACCCAGAACTTACTAGGAGCCATTCCCTGCTCTCGTTAGGAACTCTCTTGCCTCTATACCTTTGATTAGGCTGTTTTCTCAGCTCCAAATGCCCTTCCTCTCCTTTGCAACCTGTGAGGTTTGGCTAAAATGTAACCTCCTTTGGCTGTTACTGCCAAGAGCACAGCCAGTATCCATTCTGCCCCACTTCCTTAAGAATAGAACCACGATTTTGTTCTAATATGGTCCTTTTAAAATGACTACAACTATCGTATTATATTCCCAGCTCCCTCTGTATCTCAGGGTGGCCAAGTGACACAGTTTTGGACAATGAGATACAGGCTGAAGTTTGCTAGGTTTATTAATTATCGATGCATATCAAAGTATCCCAAAACTTAGTGGTTTAAAGCAATGGATGCTTTTATTATCTCACGATTTTTGTGGGTCAAGAATTTGGGAGTGGCTTATCTGGGTGGTTCTGGTTCAAGATCTTAATGAGGTTGCAGTCAAGGTGTCCACTGGGGCTGCAGTCATCCGAAGGCTTGACTAGATCTGGAGGATCTTCTTCCAAGGAGGTTTACTCATGTGGCTGTTGGCAAGAAGTCTCCTGTTGTCTGGATGCAAGTCATGGTACATGTAAGACGCTTTAAGAGTTTTTATTGTTGGCATCAAGGAAAAAAGTATGACCTCTTCCTTTGCCTATCTCCAATCCCTTTTATCCCCATTTTATTTTTGATCTATCCACCCATGTACTCATCCACTACCCATCTACCCACCCATCCATCCACCCACCCATCCATCCATCCACTCACCCATCCAGCCAACAACTCACTCATCCACCCATCCACTCATCCACCAACCTTTCACCCACCTACCCACCTATCCACTTACCCACCCACCCATCCTTTCACCCATCCACCCATCCATCCACCCACACACATATCCATCCATCCATCCATCCATCCATCCACCATCCACCCACCCATCCACACACTCATCCACCTATCCATCTATCCAATAGTTTCTGGGAGCGTATAAAGTGCCAGGCACAATATTTAGGCACTTGACATAAAAAGTGAGTAAGATTTGTGCCCTTCCTTTAAGTAATTCCTCTCTATTTAGGATGACAGATATGGAACAATTCTAGTACATTTGTGATAAGTGCTATGCTACAAGTAAAAGAGGGATACTATCTTTTTTTTTTTTTTCGAGACAGGGTTTCACTCTGTAACCCAGGCGGGAGTGCAGTGGTGCAATCTTGGCTCACTGCAACCTCCATCTCCTGGGTTCAAGCGATTCTCGTGCCTCAGCCTCCCGAGTAGCTGGGATTACAGGTGTGTGCCACCATGCCAGGCTCTTTTTTTTTTTTTTCTTTTTGGTATTTTTAGTAGAGACAGGGTTTCACTATGTTGGCCAGACTGGCCTCGAACTCCTGACCTCAAATGACCTGCCCACCTCAGCCTCCCAAAGTGCTGGGATTACAGGCATGAGCCACCGCACCTGGCCAGATACTATCTTAGATGTATTAATATTTTTTCCTTCTCTTATTCAGTCAGAAGCTTCTGTTGGCCTCAAGGATAATTATGATTTTCATAGTAGGTAGGTGATGAGAAAGAAAGACGCTTTCACTTTTAAGTATTAAGACTGACTCCAAGTGCATGTGATTCGGTAGTCTTGAAACTGAGCTTTCAGAGAAAAAAGAGATTTTCTAAATTCCAAAGGCTCTGCTTTAAGACGTAAATAACAGAATCCTGGACTTGGATTATAAGCAGTGCACAGGGTCTGAAGGTGTGACTTAGGGAAGTTCCCATCAGTAGGAAGACACAGGAGATCAGATGTCAGCGTCCTGATTCCCTCCTCGGGGTTAACACAGTGGTAGCAAGGCCTGCGGTGAGCATGGCAGCAGAACGACAGGGGCTGCTCAGGCATGCTTTGGAAATGGCCAGGAAAGGGTCTAGGACAGTGGCCTGGAAGGCAGCCTCACAGATCTAGTGTGAGGCTACACCCAGCCTACACTCTCTAGTGTGGAGTGGGAAAAGCAGCCCAGGCCCTGATGAATCAAAAGACTGAGATTGGGGTACAGAGGCCAGGCTGGGAGCCCTGGGCTGGAGGTTGAGAATAATGCATGATGGTATCGCCTCGTGGACACCAGGACGGAAGGTCCAGGAACCGCCCTGGCCATGGCTGAGAGGCAGGAGCCAGGAGGGTGCCCTAGTTACCCCGCACCCTAGCAGCATCTCAGAAAGGAGCAGGGAGAGACACTTGATCGGAACTTGAACCTGAACTTGAACTTTAATCTTGACGCGTTAATGAGGAAGGGAGTTTTGGAAGACTGAAGAGGCTGAGTTAGCTCTGATGAGCATGTTCCTGGTGTTATTTCCTTTCTCTCTTTTGCCGTGAGCAAGAGTGGGGACTTGCGAGCTCAAGGGAATCAGTTATAGACCATTTTTAGTTCTATTTCTGTGCACATCTGCCTGCATACAGCATAAAGATTTTTACCCTGGTTGAGGCGTGCACGGGATGCTGGGATTACAGGCGTGAGCCACCGTACCCACCTGACCCTAAATTATTTTTGGTTCCTCCAATCCAACTTTCTTCCATAGAATACTAAGAATGGGAATTGCTCTGTTCCTAAGGCACTATAAGCTGAAACTAAATGAATTTTAAGGGATGAGTCTTGTGTGTGATCTATGGACCATATAGAAAGTTCACTGGACTGCCTCATGCCATGAGCAGAGACAGTCTAACTGTAAACCAGGACAAGCAGTTGATGGCTTCATGCTGTGGGTGGCTTTTCCCAAGACAACAGAACAAGAGTCCCCATCATGAGCCTCTTGTCCCTCTTAATTCTTCCCTGCTTATGCCAATTTTTTCCACTTGGCAGGATAATGATGCAACTGAAACTTCCCAATCAGTAGCTTCTGCTGGTAACTTGACAGAACCTGACCTAAGAGATCCTTTAGGCCACCTAGTGGGTAACTTTGGCAACATCCCTAATAGAACTGTTGTTCACTCGGCTTTAATGCATCCCAGTTGTGGGATACTAGATGATGAATTTGCTCTATATTATTTATTGGTTGGATAAGGAAATGTCTGTGCTATTGCTAATACTACATGCCACACCTGGATAAATTTCTTTGGGGAAGTTGAGACCCAAATACACAAAATAAGAAAACAAGTCACTTGGTTACAACAGGTCTCATCTAATTCTCCATGGTCATTCGATTTATTCAATGTATTCCCTTTAAGTCTAGGTTCATAGCTCAAAACCATTATGCAAACTAGGGTTACCATTTTTATTTATTTATTTATTATTTATTTATTTATTTATTTATTTATTTATTTATTTATTTTTGAGACAGAGTTGCGTGCTGTCACCCAGACTGGAGTGTAGTGACACGATCTCAGCTCACTGCAACCTCCGCCTCCTGGGTGTGAATCCTCCTGCCTCAGCCTCCCGAGAAGCTGGGACTACAGGCATGCACCACCACGTCCAGCTAATTTTTTTTTTTTTTTTGAGCCGGAGTCTTGCTCTATCACCCAGGCTGGAGTGCAGTGGCTATATCTCGGCTCACTGCAAGCTCTGCCTCCTGGGTTCACGCCATTCTCCTGCCTCAGCCTCCCGAGTAGCTGGGACTACAGGTGCCTGCCACCATGCCCAGCTAATTTTTTGTATTTTTTTTTTTTTTAGTGGAGATGGGGTTTCACCGTGTTAGCCAGGATGGTCTTGATCTCCTAACCTCGTGATCTGCCCTCCTCAGCCTCCCAAAGTGCTGGGATTACAGGCGTGAGCCACCGCGCCCAGCCACGTCCAGCTAATTTTTTGTAGAGACAGGATTTCACCATGTTGCCCAGGCTGGTCTCAAACTCCTGGGCTCAAGAGATCCACCCACTTCAGACTCCCAAAGTGCTGGGATTACAGGTGTGAGCCACTGCACCTGGCTATCCCTTCTCTTAGAAGGATGAATCAGTCTATTCAGTAAATTTAAAAGGTGACTGGGGCTGGGCGTGGTGGTTCACATCTGTAATTCCAGCACTGTGGGAGGCCGAGGCAGGTGGATCACCTGAGGTCAGGAGTTCGAGACCAGTATGACCAACACGGTGAAACCCCATCTCTACTAATAATACAAAAATTAGCCAGGTGTGGTGGTGCACAACTGTAATCCCAGCTACTCTGGAGGCTGACGCAGGAGAATCACTTGAACCCAGGAAGTGGAGGTTGCAGTGAGCCGAGATCGCACCAGTCACTCCAATAGAGTGAGACTCTGTCTCAAAAAAAAAAAGAAAAAGTGACCTTATGAATGGGTAACAATTGCCTGTGTCTTACAGCCAGATCTCAAACAACTTCGTGAACAAATCTACAAGAATCACACATTGTTAAAACACAGCCATCTCACACACAGAATCAAGCTTGTGTTTGACAATGGCATGGAAATCACACTAATTATGATGACCTAGGCTGGGAGAGAAAACCAGTGCACCTGCACTATCTGATCCCAGCCTCCCTCTGAGCCTCACCTGGGGTCACTCTTCCCCTTAGTGTGCTGTAGCCACTCTAGATCCCACCTGCTCCTAAACACACCCATCTCTTCTCTGCCCCGGGGCCTTTGCACGTGGCACTCCCTCTGCCTGAGAAGCTGCCACTTGATGTTGTCAGCTCCTTCTTATGCTTCAGATCTTCCTTTCAATGCCAGCTACTCACAGAAGCCCTCCCTGACCACCCTGTTCAAAGTAGCATCCTCACTGTGGTAGCAGGATGATGCCTCCCCCAAGATGTCCATGTCCTAATCCCTGGTACCTGTGAATATGTTATGTTACGTGGCAAGAGGGAATGAAGGTTGAAGATGAAATGAAGTTTGCTAATTAGCTGACTTTGTTTTATTATATTTTAGTTTTTTTGTGAAGGAGTCTCACTCTGTCGCCCAGACTGGAGTGCAGTAGTGCAATCTCAGCTCACTGCAACCTCTGCCTCCCAGGTTCAAGCAATTCTCCTGCCTCAGCCTCCTGAGTAGCTAGGGTTACAGGTGCCCGCCACCAGGCCTGGCTAATTTTTGTATTTTTTGGTAGAGATGGGGTTTCGCCATGTTGGCCAGGCTGGTCTCAAACTCCTGACCTCAGGTGATCCCCTGCTACCTCGGCCTCCCAAAGTACTGGGATTACAAGCGTGAGCCACTGTGCCCTGCCGAGAGCCCCCTTTAAATCATCAGGCCCAGAGAGGCATTGAAATGTGATGGCAGTTACAAGCCCCCTCCCCCACCCGCCCCTAAAGCCACCTGCTATTGGGACCCTAGACTGACTATCAACACCAACAGCCATAAATTAACCTAACCATGCCATTCGCTGGATACCATAACTCATACTCTAATCAATGTGATTTCAATAAACCAATGAGAATTCCTGTAACATAACTTCTGTAATCGCTTCTCTCCTGTTTCATACTTTTTTTTTTTTCCTTGAGACAGGTTCCTGCTCTATGGCCCAGGCTAAAGTGCAGTGATGTGATTGTGGCTCACTGCAGCCCCCATCTCCCAGGCTCAAGCGATCTTCCTGCCTCAGCCTCCCAAGTAGCTGGGACTACAGGCACACACCACCATGCCCGGCTGATTTTTTTTAAATAGAGATAGGGATCTCACTATGTTGCCCAGGCTGGTCTCCAGCTCCTGAGTTCTAGCAATCCTCCCACCTCAGCCTCCCAAAACTTCTGGGATTATAGGTGTGAGCCACTGTGCTCAGCCTGATTCATCCTTTTTCCTTTCCTTCTTTTTTTTTTTTCAAGACAGAGTTTCACTCTTGTCCCCCAGGCTGGAGTGCAATGGCGTAATCTTGGCTAACTACAACCTCCGCTTCCCAGGTTGAAGCAATTCTCCTGCCTCAGCCTCCTGAGTAGATGGGATTACAGGCACGTGCCACCATGCCCAGCTAATTTTTGTATTTTTAGTAGAGACAGGGTTTCACCATGTTTGGCCAGGCTGGTCTTGAACTCCTGATCTCAAGTGATCCACCCACCTCGGCCTCCCAAAATGCTAGGATTACAGGCGTGAGGCACCACGTCCAGCCCGATCCTTTTTTCTTTAAAAACTCCAGTCTCTCCTTTGTTCTCCAGGGCACTTCCCAGTGTGTCTGAGGCCGTAGTCCTCAGCTTTGGCCCAAAATAAACTCTCTACCTATGTTAATTTGACCTCAGTTTCTTTAGGTTGATGCATCCAAACCAGGGCCATTCAGGAGTGAAAGTGGCACTATTAAGAACTATGCTGGGCCAAGCGTGGTGGCTCTCACCTGTAATCCCAGAACTTTGGGAGGCCGAGGAGGGCAGATCACTTGAGGTCAGGAGTTCGAGACCAGCCTGGCCAACATGGTGAAACCTCGTCTCTACTAAAAATACAAAAATTAGCTGGGTGTGGTGGCGGGCGCCTATAATCTCAGCTACTTGGAGGCTGAGGCAGGAGAACTGCTTGAATCCTGGAGGCAGAGGTTACAGTGAGCTAAGATCACACCACAGCACTCCAGCCTGGGTGACAGAGTGAGACTCTGTCTCAACAAAAAACAAAAACAAAACAAAAAACAAAAAACTGTGCATTACCAACAGACACCAGCCTGGACACAGGTCACCTCTAAACAGCAGGATCCCCAAGCAGCAAGGACAAGTGGCTGGATCACAGTAAATGGGGGGATAAGGATAAGGCCCGAGAGAAGGAAGGGGGCAGGTTTTGTTTGACCTTACAGGCCATGGCAAGAACATTGGCTTTTACTCTAGGGGAGCTCCATGAGGGAGTTTTAAACAGAATAATATAATTGGGCTTACTTAAAAAAAATCAGGGCCGGGTGCGGTGGCTCATGCCTGTATTCCCAGCACTTTGGGAGGCTGAGGAGGGTGGATCATGAGGTCAAGAAATCGAGACCATCCTGGCCAACATGCTGAAACCCTGTCTCTACTAAAAATACAAAAATTAGCCAGGCATGGTGGTGCGCACCTGTAGTCCCAGCTACTCGGGAGACTGAGGCAGGAGAATCGCTTGAACCAAGGAGGCGGAGAATGCAGTGAGCTGAGATCGTGCCACTGCACTCCAGCCTGGGTGACAGAGCAAGACTCCGTCTCAAAAAAAAATCAGAATATTATTTTATCTCATTTTTTAATTGGCATAGAATAATTGTACATATTTATGGAGCACACAGTGATGTGTTGATACATACAGTATGTAGTGATCAGATCAAGATATTTTGCATATCCATCTTCTTGATCATGTCTATCATGTCACTGTGCTGGGAGCATTCAGTACCCTCCTCCCAGCGGTCTGAGGGTTTTTAAAGGATTGCCCTAGCTGGTGTGGGAGGAACCAAACCTAAGGGCAAGAAGGCAGAGGCAGAGAAGCCTCTGAGGGCTCCTAGGACCCCCAAGGACCTTGCTTGGTAGACTCAAGAAATCGAGGTTGACAGCCAGGCACAGTGGCTCAGGCCTGTAATCCCAGTACTTTTGGAGGTCAAAGTGGGTGGATCACCTGAGATCAGGAGTTCGAGACCAGCCTGGCCAACATGGTGAAACCCCATCTCTACTAAAAATACAAAAAATTAACCAGGTGTGGAGGCACACACCTGTAGTCCCAGCTACTCAGGAGGCTGAGGCAGGAGAATCATGTGAACCAGGGTGGCAGAGGTTGCAGTGAGCCGAGATCACATCATTGCACTCCAGCCTGGGTGACAGAGTGAGACTCCATCCCAAAAAGTAAAAAATAAAAGTTAAAAAAGGAAATCGAGGTTGCCATCAAACAGGAAGTGGGGTGAGTGAAAGGGGAGTAGTGATATTGATATGGTTTGGGTGCGTCCTCACCCAAATCTCATCTTGAATTGTAGCTCCCATCATTCCCACGTGTTGTGGGAGATAATTGGATCATGGGGGCAGTTCTCATGGTAGTGAATAATCTCACGACATCTGATGGTTTTATAACAGGAAACCCCTTTTGCTTGGCTCATTTCTCTCTTGCCGCCACCTTTCGCCTTCTGCCACGATTGTGAGGCCTCCCCAGCCACGTGGAACCGTGAGTCTATTAAACTTCTTTTCCAGTCTTGGCTTTGTCTTTATCAGCAGCGTGAAAACAGGCTAATACAGACACAGTGACATATGTATTTAGTCTTCTACCTGATTTCCTGATACATGACTTCTAAAATCCTTGGACCCTCCAAAAGGACAGTGTCTTTTTGTATGCTAATGTTTGGCTGGTGACTGGCAGCCCCCAGTGGTTTCTGGAGGAGGCCTGGTTACCGGGAAGACCGAGACAAGATTAGAGAATTAGGACTTTGAGCCCCATCCTTCAATCTCCCCGAAAGGAGAGGGGCTGAAGTTTGAGTTGATTATCAATTGCCACTGATTTAATCAATCACGCCTGCATAATGAGGCTTCCATAAAACCCCAACAGGACTGGATTCGGAGAGCTTACAGGCAGCCAGACACACGGGGGCTTCCGGGAAAGTGAACAGGAACACATCCACATGCTGGGGGTGGCCCACCCAACTCCACGGGGACAGGAGTTCTTGCGCTCGGGGCCCTTCCAGACCCTCGCCTGTATGGCTCTTCATCTGGCTGCTTTTTTAATTTTTAAATATATTTTTTTGAGGCCCAGACTGGAGTGCGGTAGCATGTTCACGGTTCATTGCAGCCTCAACTTCCTGGGCTCAAATGATCTTTCCACCTCAGGCTCCCGGGTAGTTGGGACCACAGGTGTGTGCCATCACGCCTAGATTATTGATTGATTGATTGAGACAGGGTCTTGCTATGTTGCCGAGGCTGGCTCCTTTATACTAAAGGAGATTTGGGGCTCAGAAAATGATGCCCCAAAATGAAGGCCTCAGCAGCAGCCTCAGAAGCAAAAGTTTCTCTCTGACCTTCTCCTGCCCTCCTGTCTGTGGTCCCTCATTCCGCCCTGAGGCTGGCCATAGAGACTAGAATCTCTCTTCCTCAGGGTGGGTCACAGAAACCAGAACCCCTTTCCCCCAAACCAGCCATACAACCTAAAGTATGACTCTAACTTCCCCTCTGCCCTATCTGTGTAAAAACTGGCCATAAAGAAATTCTCTGGCCTACTTTGTTTGACTGTAGACCAAAAGACCCCCATTCCAGGCCAGGCGCCGTGGCTCACGCCTGTAATCCCAGCACTTTGGGAGGCTTAGGTGGGTAGATCACCTGAGGTCAGGAGTTCAAGACCAGCCAGGCCAACATGGTGAAACCCCATCTCTACTAAAAACACAAAAATTAGCCAGGCATGGTGGCATGCACCTGTAATCCCAGCTATTCAGGAGGCTGAGGCAGGAGAATCACTTGAACCCAGGAGGCGGAGGTTGCAATGAGCTGAGATCACACCACTGTACTCCAGCCTGGACGACAGAGCAAGACTCTGTCTCAAAAATAATAATAATAATAATAAGACCACCATTCCAAAGAGGGTCCTCCCCACACCCAGAAGGAACTCTGCTCAGAGAGACCAAGAGGAATCTAGCCAGACAGGCCCTGCTGGGTTCCCCACTCCATCTGCTAGCATTAGATCAGATCGTTTTTGTCCAATCCTATGTCTCCACAGCTGCCCATACTGTGTTGAACCTCAGTATGAAAATGGACAATTTCCCCTGTATCTTTGGGTCTTCATTCCCAAGTCTCCTGTGACAGGTAAAACTATAATCAAATAAATGCGCATCCCTTTCTCCTATTCATCTGCCTTTTGAGAGTTGATTTTCCATGAACCTTCAGAGGGCGAAGGGGAAGTTTTCCCTTCACCCCTACATGGTAAACCTGAGTAAGTGTTCCCCCGAGTTCTGAGCCTCTCTAGCAAGTGAAGTGAACCCAAAGAGAGGGCTGTGGAAACCCCAATTTATGGCTGGTTGGTCAGAAGCAAACACAAAATAGGCTAGTCAACGGTGGCTCACTCCTGTAATCCCAGCACTTTGGGAGGCTGAGGTGGGTGGATCCCTTGAGGTCAGGAGTTCAAGACCAGCCTGGCCAACCTGGTGAAACACCATCTCTACTAAAAATACAAAAATTGGTGTGGCATGGTGGCGCAGGCCCATAGTCCCAGCTACTGGGGAGGCTGAGGCAGAAGATTCGCTTGAACCCAGGAGGTGGAGGCTGCAGTGAGCCAAGATCTCACCACTGCACTCCAGCCTGGGCAACACAGTGAGACCCTGTCTCAAAAACAAAAATAAAGAAAGAAAGAAAGAAAGAAGAAGAAGCAAACTCAAAATAACCTGGGCTTGGGATCAGCTTTGGGAGTGGGGCTCAGGTCTTGTGGGACGAAGTCCTCAACCTGCGGGACCTGAGGACATCTCCAGGTAGACAGTGTTGGGACTGAGTGGAAGCAGAGGACACCCGACTGGTGTCTACTACAGAATTGACTCTGCAGGAAGTCCGTGCAGGAGTCTCCCCCGCCTGCAGAGGCTGCACTTGGATGGTGCCCGTGCCCCTGGTGGAAGAGGGAGGAGGCATGTGGAGGAAAGGAGACCCTTGGGTGACCATGGCCAAGGGTGTGAGGGGCAGGTGTGTCCCCCAGCTCACTCTGGAGACTTTTTCCTGGGCTTTCTACCACAGCTAAAGTAAAATGACCATGAACTGGGTGGCTTAAAACAACAGACTTTATTCTCTCACAGTTCCAGAGGCCAGAAGTGTAAAATGAAGGTGTCACATCAAGGAAGGGATCCTTCCTCACCTCTTCTAGCTTCTGGTGGTTCCTGGCTGTTATGAACCGAGTGTATGTGTCCCCCCAAAATTCATCTGTTGAACCCTAATCCCCAGTTCGGTATGGTATTAGGAGGTGACATCTCTGGGAGGTAATCAGGGTTAGATGATGTCATGGGGGTAGAGCCCCCTGATGCCATGATGGGATGAGTGCCCTTATAAGAAGAGATGGGGGACGCCGGGTGCAGTGGCTCACACCTGTAACCCCAACACTGTGGGAGGCCGAGGCGGGTGGATAACTTGAGGTCAGGAGTTCGAGGCCAGCCTGGCCAACATGGTGAAACCCCATCTCTACTAAAAATACAAAAATGAGCCAGGTGTGGTGGGGGGTGCCTGTAATCCCAGCTACTCAGGAGGCTGAGGGGGGAAAATCACTTGAACCCGGGAGGCAGAGGCTGCAGTGAGCTGAGATCAAATCACTGCACTCCAGCCAGAGTGAGACTCTATGTCCGAAAAAAAGAAAAAAGAGACAGGGGATCGCGCGCTCTCTCGCGCTCTCCTCTCTCATTCTTCTCCCCCCTCTGCCATGTGAGGTCTGAAGTAGGAAGGCAGCCATGCTTAAAACCAGGAAGAGGCCCTCCCCAGATTGAACCGAATCTTCCAGTACCTTGATCTCTAACTTTCCAGTTTCCAGAACTGTGAGAAACAAATGTCTGTTGTTTGAGCCTCCCAGTCTACCACATCTTTAGCAGCCACAGCAGACGAAGACACCTGCAGTCATTGCCATTGCCGGGCTTGTGGGAGCATCGCTCTGACCTCTGCTTCCGTCTTCATGTGGCCATTGCTCCTCTGGGGCAGTGTCTCTGTGTCAAAATGTTCCTCTTCTAAGGATGCCAGTCATTGGATGAGGGTGTGACCTCATCTGAACTTGATTACAACTGCAAAGACCGTTATTTCCAGATAAGGTCACATTCACGGGTACCAGGTAGCCATGAATTTCTTGGGGGCGCTTTCCAACTCAGAGCACCTGCCATTCCCTAGGCGTCCTCCCTGGCCCAGCCTCCCCCACCCACCCTCACCCGCTGTCTTTGAGCTCCACGAACCAGGAGCCACCTTCTCAGATCCCCTTTGCTTGATCATGGTTCTGCATGCGAGCTGCCCTCCTCCCCATCACCTGCCAGCTCTCCCCCAACCTGCGATGGCAACTGGACCCATTTTTACCCATACACAATTTCAAAGCATACTGAATGCAGTTAAAATTCTCCAGATACTTCCTTTCAGGTCCACATCCCTCTGTAAGTGTTCATCTTTGAAACCCTGGGTAGAATCTGAGTTTGATCTTTTTTTTTTTTTTGACACAGAGTCTCACTCTGTCACCCAGGCTCGAGTGCAGTGGTGTGATCATGGCTCACTACAGCCTTGACCTCCTTGGCTCAAGTGATCCTCCTGTCTCAGCCTCCTAAATAGCTGGGGCTACAGGCATGCACCACCATGCTCAGCTAATTTTTTTTTTTGTAGAGACGGTGTTTCACCATGTTGGCCAGGCTGGTCTCAAACTCCTGGGCTCAAGAGATCCACCCTCCTCAGAATCCCAAAGTGCTGGGATTGCAGGCATGAGCCACCATGCCTGGCCTTGATCTTTATACCAACTAATTGGCATACACACAAGCTCATGCTATGAAATGGGGTATTTCACACTGTGTGCCGCTTTGCCTTGGGCTCTCTAAAATCTCATCACCCCCCAGCGGACTCTCACTGCTGTGGCCTGTGGCCCTACTCAAGGAGCTCAAGGAGGCCACTAGCCATTTGGAGAAGGAGGTAGTTGGGGCCCTGAAAGTTTACAGGACTTCCTCAAGGCCACAGCAGGTGTGTGAGAAAAGGAAGATGGCCAGCCTGCCTCCACTTCTCTTTCCAATCTCCCACTTTGCCTGAGCTAAGCTCAAGCTCAGGGCCACCCACGTCTTGGAAGGGCTTCCTACCAGCTGGTCTTGTGAGATGAGAGCTGCCCTGCATATCATGCTTGTCATCGCCAAGGACCCCAAGCTCCAGTTAGCTCAAGTCCTAGAGAATGTGCCAGCTACATAGAGCTATGCAGAGCGTGGCCCTGGGGATGCGGGATGTTATTGCCCTTGGGATGGGAAGGAGAGATGAGAGGGAGAATTGGCTGGATCTTAAAATTGTGTTGCACCCTTTCAAACACTCTACCATCCTTGCCTCTGTAGTTCAATATTAGTCTGTTCCTATCTTCTAAACTTGCAAATGAACTTGCATGGCAATAAATCTCTGCACACTCAAAGCCATGATTTCCTCAGCAGGTGGATGCAGAATGCTTGGAGACCTATAATAATCAGCCTTTGGCAACAAGCACTTTTTCTTCTGACTCATTATTGCCGCGTTTTAAGAGGAGAAGGGAGCAACTGCTCTCACGGGGCTACAGAGACACGGAAACACGCTGGGGAGGCTGCTCTGTCACCAGGAAAGACAATGGAATCCATTTAAAATGTCTTATTTTCCCTTGCTCTGCCAAGCAAAAGCATCAGAACCCTTTGGGGAATTCACTTTACAAGGAAACAAAATGAGGCCCCGCATCTGCAGCCTGGCCCTCCCCGCCACCTGCACCCCTTCCTCTGAGGTCCCCGGCTCTGCAGGGGCCGAGCGGGCGGCACCCGCTCCTGGTGGTGGCATTGTTGGGACCCGCTCACAAAACACAGTTGTTCTCTGCAATGGCTCATTTCCCTTTCTGAGACTTTTTGTTTATTTGTTTGTTTTGAGACAGAGTCTTGCTCTATTGCCCAGGCTGGAGTGCAATGGCACAATCTGGGCTCATTGCAACCTCCGCCTCCTGGGTTCAAGCAATTCTCATGCCTCAGCCCCCCGAGTAGCTGGGATTACAGGTGACCACCACATTGGGTAAGTTATGTATTTTTAGTAGAGATGGGGTTTCGCCATGTTGCCCAGGCTGGTCTCGAACACCTGACCTCGGGTGATCCACCTGCCTTAGCCTCCCAAAGTGCTGGGATTACAGGCGTGCACCACCACGCCTGGCCTCCCTTTCTGTTTTAAAGGTGCTCTGTTTATTCCCATTGAACCTGGACTTCACAGAGAGGATGGACACAATTACAAAGCTCTGAGAGCTCTGTCCCTCACTTTTCTTTTGTCCTCACTGGGTAGGTCCTTAAGGCTCTGTCGTACCTTTAGGGCACAGCATTGGCAACCCTCACCAGTGCTTGAGGGGTGGATACCTACGCTGTCTCCAGCATGAAGTTCCCAAGGGAACAGAGGTCACCAAAGAGTCCAATCAGCAAGGACTTCAGAGGTGGAGCGCTTGAATTACTTGCTCTGAACTTCTTCAGAGGTGGAGAGCTTGAATTACTTGCTCTGCACTTCTTGCTAAGCCAGCAGGGTCATTCGGATCACTGATCTGCAACCCAGCTGGATCAGGAGTCAATGCCCGGCCTAGTGCACCGGGCAAGTGACAACAGTGACAGAAAATTGGGCCAATTTGGACCATTTGGCAGAAAGCTAGACTCAGTCAGTGACAAGCGTGAATTAAACAAACTAATAAAACATAACTTTAATGTATTTTTACAATGTTCTTTTAAACTATTGCATACTGTAAAGAAAAGTTTTTATTAAGATAAATTTGGGGCCAGGTGCGGTGACTCACACCTGTAATCCCAGCATTTTGGGAGGTCAAGGCAGGAGGATTACTTGAGGTCAGGAGTTCAAGACCAGCCTGGCCAACATGGTGAAACTCTGTCTCTACTAAAAATACAAAAATTAGCCAGGCATGCTGGCACATGCCTGTAATCCCAGCTACTTGGGAGGCTGAGGCAGGAGAATTCCTTGAACCTGAGAGGCGGAGGTTGCAGTGAGCCAAGATCGTGCCATTGCACTCCCGCCGTGGCGAAGAAGCAAAACTCTGCCTCAAAAAAAAAAAAAAAAAAGATAAATTTGGGGCAGGTCCTTGTCTATCAGAATTGAATGAAATGTTATTTTGACTTTTACTATGAATATAATTGGAGACTGGCCGGGCACGGTGGCTCACGCCTGTAATCCCAACACTTTGGGAAGCCAAGGCAGGCAGATCACTTGAGGTCAGGAGATCGAGACCATCCTGGCTAACATGGTGAAACCCCGTCTCTACTAAAAATGCAAAAAATTAGCCGGGTGTGGTGGCACTCACCTGTAGTCCAGCTGCTCGAGAGGCTGAGGCAGGAGAATGCCGTGAACCTGGGAGGCGGAGCTTGCAGTGAGCCGAGATCAAGCCACTGCACTCCAGCCTGGGTGACAGAGCAAGACTCTGTCTCAAAAAAATTATTATTATTGTTATTATTATATATATATATATTATATATATAATTGGAAACCAAAGTAAATAATTTCTACTTCGTCACCACCCAGGAGGAATGAAGATGAAGTATTTATTATCAGACACTCAAGTGAAGAAAAACTTTTTGGCCAGGCACAATGGCTCATGCTTGTAATCCCAGCACTTTGGGAGACTGAGGTGGGTGGATCACTTGAGTCCAGGAGTTAGAGACCAGCCTGGGCAACGCATCAAAAACCCATCTCTACAAAAAATACAAAAAATTAGCCAGGCATGGTTGTGTGTGCCTGTAGTCCCAGTTACTTGGGAGACTGAGATGGGAGGATCACCTGAGCCCAGGAGGTTGAGGCTGCAGCGAACTGTGTAAGGTGAGACCCTGTTTTTTTTGTTTTTGTTTTTGTTTTTTTTTAAAAGCCAGGTGCAGTGGCTCACACCTGTAATCCTAGCACTTTGGGAAGCTAAGGTGGGTGGATTGATTGAGTCCAGGAGTTCGAGACCAGCCTAGGCGACATAGTGAGACTATGTCTCTATGTAAAAACATTTTATTGATTTAAAATTTTTTGAAAAATTAGCCTAGTGTGGTGGCAGTGCCTGTAGAATCAAATCAGCTACTCAGGAGGCTGAGGCAGGAGGATCACTTGAGCCCAAGAGGTAGAGGCAGCAGTGAGCTGTGATCACACCACTGCACTTCAGCCTAGGCAAAAAACCAAGACACTGCCTCAAAAAAAAAAAAAAAAAAAAAAAAAAAAGTGGCCAGGCGCAGTGGCTCACACCTATAATCCCAGCATTTTGGGAGCCTGAGGTGGGTGGATCACCTGAGGTCAGGAGTTCGAGACCAGCCTGACCAACAGAGTGAAACCCCATCTCTACTAAAAATACAAAATTAGCTGGGTGTGGTGGCACATGCCTGTAATCCCAGCTACTTGGGAGGCTGAAGCAGGATGGGAGGCTGAGGCAGGAGAATTGCTCAAACCTGGGAGGCGGAAGTTGCAGTGAGCCGAGATCGTGCCATTGTACTCCAGCCTGGGCAACAAGAGTGAAACTCCGTCTCAAAAAAAAAAAAAAAAAAGAAAGAAAGAAAGAAAGAAAGAGAGGTGGGGCACGGTGGCTCACGCCTGTAATCCCAGCACTTTGGGAGGCCGAAGTGGGCGGATCACCTGAGGTCAGGAGTTCAAGACCAGCCTGGCCAACATAGCAAAATCCTGTCTCTACTGAAAATACAAAAATTAGTCGGGCGTGGTGGTGGGCACCTGTAATCCCAATTACGCGGGAGGCTGAGGCAGGAGAATCGCTTGAACCCAGGAGGCAGAGGTTGCAGTGAGCTGAGATCATGCCATTGCACTCTAGCTTGGGCGATAGAGCCAGACTCCATCTCAAAAAAGAAAAAAGAAAGAAAGAAAAAGAAAAGCTCTTCTTTCATTAACTAAACTTATAAAATAGTAAGATCTATGAAAAGAGAACCAATGGTAAAGAAAACTATTTAGAAGCCAAGTGTCTTCCCAAAACTAGAATATAAGGTTCCTAACTCCAGAAAAATCACTGTAACCATGTCTTCCTCATCTCCTTTGCAGCTAGGACTTTCTGGGAATGTTTAAATCTGGACCTAACTTGTGCGATTCAGAGTTCTGCAGGTTTGTCAGGGCAGAGTCAGGCCTGAATTAAGACCAGGACCCTCACCAAGGCTAACTGAGCTTCCTACTATTAGTTGTGAAATATTTGCTAAGCACCTTTGAGAGAAAACCATTAAGCCCACTGATGTCATGCATAGTAGACAACCTATACAAGGCATATGTGGTTTTTAATTTTTTTTTAAATGTTCACATTCAAAAGAAACATTTTCCAGAATCCTTGTGCCTAATAACTGTAATTACAGAAAATGTGGGGCAACTTTCAATAATTTCAAATTATTACCTTCGGCCAGGCGAGGTGGCTCACGCCTATAATCCCAGCACTTTGGGAAGCCGAGGTGGGTGGATCACGAAGTCAGGAGCTCGAGACCCGCCTGACCAACATGGTGAAACCCCGTCTCTACTAAAAATACACAAATTAGCCAGGCATGGTGGCACGCACCTGTAATCCCAGCTACTTGGGAAGCTGAGGCAGGAGAATCGCTTGAACCTGGGAGGCGGAGGTTGCAGTGAGCCGAGATCGTGACATTGCACTCCAGCCTGGGTGACAAAGTGAGACTCTGTCTGAAAAAAAAAACAAAAATTATTACCTTTGAGGGCCAGGTGCAGTGGCTCACACCTGTAATCCTAGCACTTTGAGAGCCCAAGGCAGGCAGATCACTTGAGGTCAGGAGTCTGAAACCACCCTGGTCAACATGTTGAAACCCCATCTCTACTAAAAATACAGAAGTTACCCGGGCGTGGTGGCGGGCACCTGTAATCCCAGCTACTTGGGGGGCTGAGGCAGGAGAATAGCTTGAACCTGGGAGGCGGAGGTTGTAGCGAGCTGAGATCACGCCACTGCCCTCCAGTCTGGGTGACTCAGCGAGACTCTGTCCCAAAGTAAATAAATAAATAAATAAAATTATTACCTGTGAGGCCAGGCACAGTGGCTCATGTCTGTAATCCCAGCACTTTGGGAGGCCAAGGCAGGAGGATCACTTGAGGTCAGGAGTTTGAGACCAGCCTGGCCAACATGGTGAAACCCCATCTCTACTAAAAATACGAAAAAATTAGGCCACACTCACGCCTATAATCCCAGAACTTTGGGAGGCTAAGGCGGGTGGATCACCTGAGGTCAGGAGTTTGAAACCAGCCTGGCCAACATGGTGAAACCCCGTCTCTACTAAAAATACAAAAATTAGCCGGGTGTGGTGGTGTGTGCCTGTAGTCCCACCTACTTGGGAGGCTAAGGCAGGAGAATCACTGGAACCTGGGAGGCGGAGGTTGCAGTAAGCCAGGATCATGCCACTGCACTCCAGCCTGTGTGACAGAGCGAGACTCTCTCTCAAAAAAAAAAAAAAAAAATCCTCTTCCTCCAAGGTTTAAAAATCATATAAATGTACCTTCCTCTCAATTATGCTGTGAACCTAAAACTGTTTCCTCAAAATAGTGTCTTTAAAAAAATCAAGAATACTATAGGCATGTTCTAGAAGAAAAATGTACAGGTTGCGGGCAGGAGACACCAAGCAAATCATTTCATATCTGGAGGCCTTCATTTATTGCTCCACAAGGTTAAGAGTTCAACTCACACCGGGGTCTATGAGCTAACCTCTCACCAGGGCATTCTGTTCAAACCTTGGGCCTCACTTTGTAAAAGTCCAGGAAATTACTCTCCCTTTCTGTTTGCACTCAGCCTCATGCCACGGGCCTCCTGGGCAGGTGCACTGCTGCTCCACCGGCACTCAACACATTTTTGCTAAAGGAATGGAAACACATACAAGCTGGGCACAGTGGCATGTGTCTGTAATCCCAGCTACTTGGGAGGCTGGGGTTGGGGGATCGCTCAACGCCAGGAGTCCGAGGCTGCAGTGGGCTGGGATCACACCTATGAATAGCCCCTGCCCTCCAACCTGGGCAATGCAGCAAGACCCTGTCTCTAAAAATTAAAAAAAAAGAAAAAAATAATAAACATATGAATAACTATGGCCGGGCACGGTGGCTCACGCCTGTAATCCCAGCATTTTGGGAGGCCGAGGTGGGCGGATCACCTGAGGTCCAGGAGTTTGAGACCAACCTGACCAACATGGTGAAACCCCATCTCTACTAAAAACGCAAAAATTAGCCGGGCATGGTGGCAGGCACCTGTAATCCCAGCTACTCAGGAGGCTGAGGCAGGAGAATCTCTTGAACCCGGGAGGCAGAGGTTGTGATGAGCCGAGATCGCGCCATTGCACTCCAGCCTGGGCAACAAGAGCAAAACTCCGACTCAAAAAAAAAAAAAAAAGACTGATAGGCCAGCGTGGTGGTGTGAAGAAAGATGGAAAGGTGAAAGCTACTGAGAATGGGAACTGAGAACTCCTAACCGTGCCACAAGGTGTGATTAGTGCCATCGACAGGCATCATCCTGAATAGGTATCTACCTGTTCTTTCTTTCTTTTTTAGAGATAGGGTCTTGTTCTGTCACCCAGACTGGAGTACAGTGGTGCAATCATGGCTCACTGTAGCCTCAAAATCCTGGGCTTAAGCGATCTTCCCCCTCAGTCTCCCGAAGTGCTGGATGATGGCTGTGAACCACTGTGCCTGGCTGGCACCACTATTAAAGAGAACGTTAGTCAGATGTTGACAGTGGTTCATCTTTCCCTTTTTTTTTTTTTTTTTTTGAGACAGAGTCTCGCTCTGTCACCCAGGCGGGAGTACAGTGGCGTGATGTCGGCTCACTGCAACCTCCACCTCCCAGGTTCAAGCGATTCTCCTGCCTCAGCCTCGCTAGTAGGTGGAGTTACAGGCGCCCACCACCAAGCCCAGCTAATTTTTGTATTTTTAGTAGACACAGAGTTTCACCATGTTGGCCAGGCTGTTTGCAAACTCCTGACCTCAAAAGATACACCTGCCTCAGCCTGCCAAAGTGCTGAGATTACAGGCGTGAGCCGCCGCACTCAGCTTTCCTTTTATTTACCTATTAATATAGTTTGTAATATCCTATTTGGAGCTGAGGCAGAGTTTTCTAGGAGCAAAGGAGAGAGGAAAAAGCCCATCCTGCTATCTATGGATGTGCCTCTACTAACACCTAGGCTTGTTGTGAAACCAGCACCCCGGGTCCAACCTTGGCTGGCCACAGGGATTATAAAGTCCACACTTGTACTGGATGCCTAAGGGAGGCACATGAGGAGCCGTCCTTAATAGGAAAAGGAGATATGCCAACCACTGAGCAAGTCTTAAATAAAAGTTCACTCCCCATTGTTTCTGGTCTGTGTCTGAGTTTGTAGGTGTCTTTTAGGAGAAGAACATACTAGCAGCCCCCACTGTGCCCTTTCAAAAGCTGTAAAGCGGGAAAGGAATTAATTATGTTGAAAGCAGAGTCACAAACCCTCCACGGGGACAGCAGTAGGGGAGCAGGATGATCTATTTAGGTTCAAATAGATGTCTTCAGCCTTCCTTCTAAAACTTTATATGGGCCAGGGGTGGTAGCTCACGCCTGTAATCCCAGCACTTTGGGAGGCCAAGGCGGGCAGATCACGAGGTCAGGAGATCAAGACCATCCTAGCTAACATGGTGAAACCCCGTCTCTACTAAAAATACAAAAAATTAGCCGGGTGTGGTGATGGGCGCCTGTAGTCCCAGCTACTCGGGAGGCTGAGGCAGGAGAATGGCGTGAACCCGGGAGGCGGAGCTTGCAGTGAGCTGAGATCACGCCACTGCACTCCAGCCTGGACGACAGAGCGAGACTCCGTCTCAAAAAAAAAAAAAAACTTTATATGGACAACCACCATTTAAAAAAATAGCAATAACAGGCTGGGCGTGGTGGTTCATGCCTGTAATCCCACCACTTTGGGAGGCCAAGGCGGGAGGATCACCCACGGTCAGGAGTTTGAGACCAGCCTGGCCAACATGGCAAAACCCTGTCTCTACTAAAAATACAAAAATTAGTTGGGTGTGGTGGCGCATGCCTGTGATCCCAGTTATTCAGGAGACTGAGGCAGGAGAATCGCTTGAACCTGGGAGGCGGAGGTTGCCGTGAGCTGAGATCGCACCACTGCACTCCAGCCTGGGTGACACAGAGTGAGACTCCATTTCAAAAAAAGCAAAATAAAATAAAATAATAAAATAATAACAACAGGCCAGGTGTCCTGACTCATGTCAGTAATCCTGGCACTTTGGGAGGCCAAGGTGGGAGGATTTCTTTTTTTTTTTTTTTTTTTTTTTTTTTGAGACGGAGTCTCGCTCTGTCACCTAGGCTGGAGTGCAGTGGCTCAACCTCGGCTCACTGCAAGCTCCGCCTCCCGGGTTCACGCCATTCTCCTGCCTCAGCCTCTCCGAGTAGCTGGGACTACAGGCGCCCGCCACCACGCCCGGCTAATTTTTTGTATTTTTTAGTAGAGACGGGGTTTCACTGTGGTCTCGAACTCCTGACCTCGTGATCCGCCCGCCTCGGCCTCCCAAAGTGCTGGGATTACAAGCGTGAGCCACCGCGCCCGGCCGGTGGGAGGATTTCTTGAGGCCAGGAGTTCAAGACCAGCCTGGGCAACATAGCAAGACCCCATCTCTACAAAAATAAATAAATAAGTAAAAATAACCAACAGCAAGGTTGGTCCAGGCATTCTAGAAGGGGCACTTAGGTAGGATGCTACCGCCTTGCCATTGATTGCTGACACAAAGACTCACATCTCAGCAGTGCCCATTCCCTGGCTGGTAGCCACTGTCCCAAATGGGCGCCAGTCCTGGTGTCAGCAGGTCTCTTTCTCCCACACAGCTGAAGGCCCCAACCCGTCCTGCCTCTTGTCCTCCTGAAGCTCTGGCCTCTTGTCCTCCTGAAGCTCTGGCCATGGCAGGCCTGGTGCTCACCCATGCCGCCATCTCAGTGGACAGAGCTCCTCTGTTGCTTTTGCAATCCTTTCCAGAAGCCTCCCCATGAAGTCCGAAAACGCTCTTCAGCCGGAAGCAGCTGAAGGAAATCAGAGATGGGGGTGACAGCGCCACACACTCGAGCTAATGGGCAGTCGCGGTCACAGTGGCATTGGCCACAGTAGGAGTCCCAATGTGTGGGACGCTGGGCGAAGGCCTGGGGACGCGATGGGACTCATGCCCGCCCCCAACCCACCTCCCCTGAGCATCTCGCATCACCATTTGTCCAAGGACGCAGCGGCCCTAAACATTGGTGTATCTGTGCTCAGTACCGAGGGCACCACAACTCTCCCGGGCTCGCAGAACAGTGGACGCCACAGGCCGTGAGCCACCTACCAAGAGGTGCTGGCGTGCACATCTGCACAGGCCTGGTCCTTCCAAGTAGCCCCAGGAGGCTTTGCGGTGATGACAGCGGCAATGCCAGTGACCAAACTTTTGGGAACTGTTTTTGGAGCATAGGGTGCATATTCTGGGGAGTTCTTTGCCTTGTCTTTAAACTTTATTTGAGTATCATTTAGGTGGCCGGGCTGATAGCTCATGCCTGTAATCCCAGGAGGCCAAGGCAGGAGGATGGCTTGAGCCCAGGAGTTTAGACCAGCCTGGGTAACATAGGAAAACCCTGTCTCAACAAATAATTTTTTTTTTTTTTTGAAACAGAGTCTCTCTCTTTCACCCAGGTCGGACTGCAGTGGCGCGATCTCGGCTCACTGCAAGCTCCGCCTCCCGGGTTCACGCCATTCTCCTGCCTCAGCCTCCCGAGTAGCTGGGACTACAGGCGCCCGCCACCATGCCCGGCTAATTTTTTGTATTTTTAGTAGAGACGGGGTTTCACCGCGTTAGCCAGGATGGTCTCGATCTCCTGACCTCGTGATCCGCCCGCCTCGGCCTCCCAAAGCGCTGGGATTACAGGTGTGAGCCACCGCGCCCGGCCTACAAATAATTTTTAAAAATTAGCTGGGCATGGTGGCACACACCCATGGTCCCAGCTACTCAGGAGGCTGAGGCAGGAGAATTGCCTGAGCCTGGGAGGTCGAGGCTGGAGTGAGCCATGATTGCCCCACTGCACTCCAGCCTGGGCAACAGAGCAAGACCATGTCTCAATAAATAAATAAATCTGTCTGTATTTCTCTCTATGTATTTTATTGGTTCTGTTTCTCTGGAGGACCCTAATACAGATGCCATCATAGGCGAAGTGATTGTGCTTTCAGAACCAAAATTAAGGCATGTAGTCTGAAAAATGCAAGTATACTTTCCAGAACAAACCAAAACAATGGCCATCCACCCATGCGTCTCACACTGGAATGTGTGTGTAAATTACTTGAGCATCTCATTAAAAGGCAGATTCTGGCTGAGTGGGTCTGGGATTCTGCATTACAAACAAGCTTCCAGCTGAGACAGATGCTGATTTTGCCTGACCACTGTGCGGATAGTTAAGTACCTGGAACTGCACTGTGCAAAACAGTGGCAGTTAGCCACGTGTGGCCATTAAGCTGTGAAATGTGGTTTCTCCGAACGGAGATGTGCTGTAAGTGTAAAATACCAGATTTCAAAGACTTGACATGAAGGGGAAAAAAAGGATGTAAAGCATTCCAATACTTTTTATATTGATTGCATGTTAAAAAGGTAATGTTTTTTGCTGGGCGCGGTGGCTCACGTCTGTAATCCCAGCACTTTGGGAGGCCAAAGCGGGTGGATCACAAGGTCAAGAGAATGAGACCATCCTGGCCAACATGATGAAACCTCATCTCTATTAAAAACACAAAAATTAGCTAGGCGTGGTGGTGTGCACCTGTGGTCCCAGTTACTTGGGAGGGTGAGGCAGGAGAATCACTTGAACCCAGGAGGCAGAGGTTGCAGTGAGCCGAGATCCTGCCACTGCACTCCAGACTGGCAACAGAGCGAAACTCCGTCTCAAAAAAAAAAAAAAAAAAGATAATGTTTTGGAGGCGGGCGGATCACCTGAGGTCAGGAGTTCAAGATTAGCCTGGCCAACATGGAGAAACCCTGTCTCTACTAACATACAAAAATTAGCTGGGCATGATGGCGGGTGCATGTAATTCCAGCTACTTGGGAGGCTGAGATGGGAGAATTGCTTGAACCCAGGAGACAGTGGTTGCAGTGAGCCGAGATCGTGTTACTGCACTCCAGCTTGGGCAGCTGAGAGAGACTCTGTTTCAAAAAAAAAAAATGTTTTGAGTAAGTTGGGTAAAATAAAATGCATACATTATTAAAATTACTTTCACCTGTTTCTTTTTGTTTTTAAATGAGGGTCCTAGAAAATTTTTAATTGCATATGTGGCTTACATTGTATTTCTGTTGAACAGAGCTGCTGCAGAATGTTATAAATTGGGACTCTCTAGAAAGAATTTGCAGCTGTAAGTTTGGGGATGGCATTTGCCAGGACAGGTGGTATTAATAGGAGTATGTTAAAAGATTGGTGGGGCCAGGAGCCAGACTTTGGAGGACTGAGGACTCTGGTGACCTGCCTAGTGTGTAGGCAAGGTCACCTGCAGAGTAGTGTGTGTGTGTGTGTGTGTGTGCGTGCGCACACACATGCATAGGAATGCATGTGTGATAAAACGGGGTATGGGCCAGACATGGTGGCTCATGCCTGTAATCCCAGCACTTTGGGAGACCAAGGCGGGCAGATCACTTGAGGCCAGGAGTTTGAGACCAGCCTAGCCAACATGGCGAAAACCCATCTCTACTAAAAATACAAAAACATTTAGCCAGGCATGGTGGCACATGCCTGTAATCCCAGCTACTTGGGAGGATGAGGCATGAGACTCACTTGAACCTGGGAACTATCATACCAAGGGCCCATGGGCTTTGCTGATCTGAGAGTAGGAGGCAGAGGTTGCAGTCAGCTAAGATTGCGCCACTGCACTCCAGCCTGGGTAACAGAGCAAGACTCTGTCTCAAAAAAAAGAGGGGTATGAAGAGAGAGGTAAAGAATTGTACCAGCTGAGTGCAGAGGCTCACACCTGTAATCCTAGCACTTTGGGAGGCTGTAGCGGGTGGATCGCGAGGTCAGGAGTTCGAGACCAGACTGGCCAACATGGTGAAACCCCATCTCTACTAAAAATACAAAAATTAGCCGGGCGTGGTGGCAGGTGCCTGTAATCCCAGCTACTCGGAGGCTGAGGTGAGACTTGCTCGAACCCTGGAGGCAGAGGTTGCAGTGAGCCAAGATCACACGCCATTGCACTCTAGCCTGGGCAACAGAGCAAGACTCCGTCTCAAAAAAAAAAAAAAAAAAAAAAAAGAATTGTACCAGCCCCTAAGAATCACCAAAGGTAGCAGAGGAGGGCCAAGTCAAAGCCACAGAGTGTAGAAGCCTCAAGATGAAGTTCAAAGCCATACAGTCTTAAGGAATGCTAGGAGTCGGTAACACAGCAAGTTAATATCTTTGGGTAGACACGTGCAGCTACCGTTGTGGAATAAATTTCCTCCTGAGAGTGAAACTCTACAGTGCATGCCACCTACAGTGCATTGAAGCAGACATTATGCAAACACTTCAAGAGAAAGGACACTTGGTCTCGGACCAGCGAAGCCCGTGGGCCCTCGGTGTGATAGTCTCAATGTATCTGTAGAAGAGTAGGTCAGTGGGTGGTCAGCATCAGATAAAACAGTCAACAAAGCCAGCTCTGGCTGTGCCCATAGCTCACGGCAACTCACTTCCTCCAGCTGCTCAGGCCAACACCCGTGGGTCATCCCTGACTCCTCCCACTCTCACAACACCCAGCAGCAAATCCTGCTGGCTCCACTTCAAAATGGATTCTGGGCCAGGTGCTGTGGTTCACCCCTGTAATCCCAGTACTTTGAGGGGCCAAGGAGGGTGGATCACTTGAGGTCAGGAGTTTAAAGCCAGCCTGGCCAACATGATGAAACCCCGTCTCTACTAATAATACAAAAACTTAGCCGGATGTGGTGGTGGGCGCCTGTAATCCCAGCTACTTGGGAAGCTGAGGCAAGAGAATGGCTTGAACCTGGGAGGTGCAGGTTGTAGTGAGCCGAGATCGTGCCATTGCATTCCACCCTGGGCAACAAGAGCCTGGGCAACAAGAGTGAAACTCTGGCTCAATATATAAAAAACCACATCATTTCTATTTGATGTTCTCTCTGGATGTGTATATGCAAATTTCCCTTTTTCCTAAGGACACCTGTCATATTGGAATATGGCCCAGCCTGATGTCTTAATTTTAACTTGTTCACCTCTGAGAAGAACCTATCCCCAGATAAGATGACATTCTGAGGTAGTAGGAGTTGGAACTTCAACATGTGAATTTAGTGGGGAGAACAAGTCACAATTCAATCCATTACAGTCCTACCCAATTGTGAGCTAACAATGTGTGTTATTTGAAGCTACTGAATTTGGTGTAATGGTGTGTGCCTGTAGTCCCAGCTACTCAGGAGGCTGAGGCAAGAGGATGGCTTGAGCCCAGGAGTTCAAGGCTGCAGTGAGCCATGACTGCTCCACGGCACCCTAGCCTGGGTGATCTTGTCTCTTAAGAAAGAAAGAAAGAAAGAAGGAAAGAAGGAAAGAAGGAAGGAAGGAAGGAAGGAAAGAAAGAAAGAAAGAGAAAAAAAAAACAGCTGGGCACAGTGGCTCATGCCTGTAATCCCAGCACTTTGGAGGCCGAGGCAGGCGGCTCACGAGGTCAGGAGTTCAAGACCAGCCTGGCCAACATGATGAAGCCCCGTCTCTACTAAAAAATACAAAAAAATTAGCCGGGCGTGGTGGTGGGCACCTGTAATCCCAGCTACCCGGGAGGCTGAGGCAGAAGAATCGCGTGAAAACCAGAAGGCGGAGGTTGCAGTGGGCCGAGATCCTGCCACTGCACTCTAGCCTGGGCAACAAGAGTGAAACTCTGTCTTAAAAAAAAAAAAAAAAAAAAAAAAGGGCCGGGCGCAGTGGCTTGCGCCTGCAATCCCAGCACTTTAGGAGACCAAGGCGGGCTGATCACCTAAGGTCGGGAGTTCGAGATCAGCCTGGCTAACATGGTGAAACCTCGTCTCTACTAAATATACAAAATTAGCTGGACGTGGTGGCGCATGCCTGTCATTCCAAGCTACTCGGGAGGCTGAGGCAGGAGAATCGCTTGAACCCAGGAGGCAGAGTTTGCAGTGAGCCAGGATTGCACCACTGCCTGGCAACAGTATGAGGCTCCATCTCAAAAAAAAAGAAAAAAATCTGCTAAATTTGTAGTAACTTGTTGCACAGCATAGAAAATTAATATAGTCTCCCTAAATATTATAGTTAGTACTGCCTGCTTTTAAGAGTCTCTTTCAATCTATAGATTCCCCCTGCATCTCTTTATTCTCTCTCAATTTTTTATTGAAAAATTTGGGATGGTTAATTTGTATCGCTTCCCATAGTCTGGATTTTGCTGGTTACATTCCTGTGGTATAGGTTAACAGGTTTCATTTTTTCCTCCTGTAAATTGATCATTGCATCTAGAGTGTTAATCAGATTAAGCTTTTTATGTTTTTGTTAAGACTCTTTCTAAGTACACAGCTACAAGGTGTTTGTGTGTGTGTGTATATGTATATGTGAATTTGTGTATTTTTTTTAAGATAAGATGCCTCATGAAACATACTGATACTTCTGATTCAAATTCAGGAGACAAGATGTTACTCATTCTCTTCTATTTCACATCTGTAACTCCTTTTCCCTACACCAAGAATTCAGTTCTCTGGCCACTGGGGATGATAGAATTTGAATATCACATAATTACTAATTGCTTTGTCCCATGTTCGAAAACATTCTTAGAATAAAAATATAACATTACCAGTCCATATGATCACTAAAAACAGTTCCAAAACATTTTATTTTACTTTAGTATTATTATTACTTTTTTTTTTCTTTGAGACGGAGTCTTGCTCTGTCACCCAGGCTGGAGTGCAATGGTGTGATCTCAGCTCACTGCAACCTCTACCTCCTGGGTTCAAGTGATTCTCCTGCCCCAGCCTCCCAAGTAACTGGGATTACAGGCGCCCACCACCACACCTGGCTAATTTTTGTATTTTAGTAGAGATGAAGTATTGCAGGATCTGGCCAGCAGCCTGCAATGCAACGGGGCTCTCTCTTTGTTCCCAAGCGGATTGGCAGGTTGAGAAATAATAGACACACACAAGATAGTGAAAGCTGGGTCCAGGGGGGTCACTGCCTTCTGGTCCCTCAGTGCCAACAATGCACGGGATATACCAGCATTTATTATTAAGTTTAGTGAGGTCGGGGGTAGGTTAGTGAGGGATTTAGGGTCATTTGATTATGAGGTGAGATGGTCACATGGGGATGAAGCAATTCTTTAACATAACATTTGTATGTAGAAGTACAGTACATTTGTATGTAGAAGTATAGTATACAGAGATAAGAATTTACAACATAGTGTGTGCGTCAGTAATTTCTAACAGAGCCTTAAAACAGAAACACAGTCTTTCCATAACCTATGATTAGCAAGATTTTAATCAGTAGTAAAAACTGCAACAAAAGCTGGTTACAAACAATCCATGGAAACAGGAAGCTAGACAACCGGTTAGACCAGAAATTCTCAGAAGGGAGTATGCCTTAACCCTAAAGAGGCCTAGAAGAGCCACGGCAAGATGAGGGCGTTTATAGCCCTATCTTATCCATATGGACAGGCACCCCCTATGCGTCCATTTATAGGCTCTCCACAAGGGTCGCATTCCATTCCCAGAGCTATGAACATCTGCTTTGCTGGGATACGAATCTTGGTGATGTGAAACTTCCCTGACTGCAAGTCCATTCATAGGCTCTCTGCAGGGGGAAGCACATCACGTGCTATTGGCTCATTCTGGCAGTCCAACCTGGCATTGTCTTTACACAATCCTGCATGCAATTTTGTATTTACAATAATCAGGAGCATTTCATCTTTTATTCCATAGCAATAGTTTCAGGGGGTCTCCCTACAATGAAGTTGCGCCACATCGGCCAGGCTGGTCTCGAACTCCTGACCTCAAGCCACCCACCTGCCTTGGCCTCCCAAAGTGCTGAGACTACAAGCCTGAGCCACCGTCCCTGGCCAAAAAACAAAAAACAAAACACACACACACACACACACACACACACACACACACACTTTAAAGATATGCCCACACCATTTTCTCCCCCTATTTATAGCTGTACTTTGTCTATGTTGTTGGCGAATGTAACCATTACACTCCATCCTCTCCTTTTTACTCCTCATCTTCTCTTGGTTCTCCATGTAAATATATCTTTAATGTTCACACCAGGCTAATGTCAATGTCTTTTTAGTCTCGTTGGTTGTCTGAAGCTTATTTTCTAGTAATTCCTCAGGAAAGGCTTTGGGAACAATATTCTCTGGGTTCCTGCACATTGGTGAGAATCTGCTATTTTTTTTTTCTTTTTAACTCACTCTGTCACCCAGGCTGGAGTGCACTGCCGCGATCTGGGCCCACTGCAACCTCCATCCCCCAAGTTCGAGCGATTCTCCTGCCTCAGCCTCCTGAGTAGCTGAAATTGCAAGCGTGCACCACCACGCCCAGCTGTTTTTCTATTTTCAGTAGAGACGCAGTTTAGCCATTTTGACCAGGCTGGTCTTGAACTCCTGACCTCAAGTGATCTGCCTGCTTTGGCCTTCCAAAGTGTTGGAATTACAGGCGTGAGCCACTGCGTCCGGCCTGACAATCTGCTATTTTTATACTTAAAAGTTAGTTTGACCAGGCCGGGTTGGGTGGCTCACACCTGTAATCCCAGCATTTTGGGAGGCCGAGGCGGGCTCACCACCGGATGTTGAGAGTTCGAGACCAGCCTGACCAACATGGAGAAACCCTGTCTCTACTAAAAATACAAAATTAGTCGGGCGTGGTCGCGCGTGACTATAATTACAGGACTGCCCAGTGGTCGGGACCCTGCTAGGTTCCAGCCAGTGGGAGCGGATGGGGTAGTGGGAAGGCGGGGCCTGGCGGGTGAGGGCGGGGCCTGGCAGGTGGGGCGGAGGCCTTCCGGGGGTGGAGCCGGGGCCTTCCTGGGGTGGAGCCAGCGGCCCTGGGCACAGGGCCCGCCGGGGCTCTGGCAGGGCGGTGGGAAGGCGGGGCCTTCTGAATGGGGGCGGGGACGGCTGGAGTTGCGGGGACTGCTGGAGTTGCGGGGCTTGCCTGGGGTGGGGCGGGGCGGCCTAGGGGTGGGGCGGGGCGGCCTAGGGGTGGGGCCGCCTAGGGGTGGGGCCGGCGGCCCTCGGGATGGGTCCTGCCAGGGCGCAGAGATGGCGGTGGAAAGGCGGGGCGAAGGCGGGGCGTGAGGCGTGGAGGTGTGGCCTGACTGGGGCGGGGCGGGGCGGGGCGGAACAGCCTAGAAGCAGGGCCTGGAACTGCAGGATACACTCCCCTCCTGCTACCTAGGCAGGCGTGAGGGTGTGACGGCCGCGCATTCGCCAGACGAGAGCGATGGCTGAGAACGCCGCACCAGGTCGCCTTAGACTCACCAGGTCGCCTTAGACTTAGATGGGACGGGGAGGCCTCGCGCGAGCGCCCCATTGCCCACCCACCTGGTTGGGACTGTGGAGGAGGGCGGATGGAGTGGAGGGTTCACCGACCGCGTCGCCCTTCTGGGTGTCGCAGCTCCTTCCTCGGCAGTCCCGGGGCGTGAGAGCGCGACCGGCCGGGAGTTGGGGGACCCGGGACACGGCCGCACGTGGCCTCCCAGGGTTCTAGGAGACCCTGAGTTAGCCGGGCGTGCGCGTGGGTGTCGGGGGCGCGCAGGTCTCCAGCCTTGCAGAGACGGAGGAGGCTGCCAGCTGTGGGGGGCGGCGGTGGGTCCTGGAGTCCCACCGCCTGCCCTAAATTTCCACTCCGCCCCTGTCGCCCAGTGTGACCTTGGGCATGTACTGCAGCTCCCAGTGCCTCAGTTTCCTGCTCTGTGGAGGGAGAGTGACAGTGCTCCCACCTGCTGCGTGTGTGAGGGTTTGGCACCCCTCTGGCCTTTGTGAAAGGCTTAGGAAACGGGCTGTTTCTTTACTCCGGTTTTACAGGAAAGGAAACTGAGGCTCAAGACGTTTTAGTAACTTCTCCAAGGTTACCCAGCCAGCAAGTGATGGGGTCCAGGCCTGACCAGCGCCCCCGCCCCAGCACATTCTAGAAGGTTCTGCCCCAGTTTAAATGGGGTGCATGCTCTGAGGCCTGTCACAGCTTTTTCCGGCTTAGCTTCTCTGTCCCTCCTCTGGGAGTCTCCACTCCCATGTCTGACTCTCTCCCCATAACCTTCTGGGGCAGCTAAGGGTCTGAGTCCCTCTGGACATGAGCCCCTGGCTCAAGCACATCAGGGAGAGATAAGGGGCTCAGGGAGCACCAGCTTCATGGGTGAATGAATGAAGGAATGAAAGACCCGGCTGTGTCTTTCAGGTCTGATCTCAGAGCTGAAGCTGGCTGTGCCCTGGGGCCACATCGCAGCCAAAGCCTGGGGCTCCCTGCAGGGCCCTCCAGTTCTCTGCCTGCACGGCTGGCTGGACAATGCCAGCTCCTTCGACAGACTCATCCCTCTTCTCCCGCAAGGTGTGAGGCTGGGGCTGAAGGGAAGGCCAGGGGGAAAGTGGGCAGGAAGGTGAGGGGGGAGGTCTGCAGGGGAATGAGGAGGGCGGGGAGACAGCTGGCATAGACACCTCTTCCTACCCTCCAACCCGCTTCTCTCTGTTTCAGACTTTTATTACGTTGCCATGGATTTCGGAGGTCATGGGCTCTCGTCCCATTACAGCCCAGGTGTCCCATATTACCTCCAGACTTTTGTGAGTGAGATCCGAAGAGTTGTGGCAGGTAAGAAACAGAGTGTGTATTTTCGGCGGTGTGGGGGGTGCTCTAGGGCACCCCCTCTTATCACTGGAGGCGGGGTAGGATCCAGGAAGCAGCGCTGGCCTGAGAGTGGGGCCTGGGCTCTGGCCCCAGGTCTGCCAGCAATTCACGGGAGATCTTGGGAAAGTTGAAGAGTTCGCTTCCTCCAGTGGGTCCCCCAAGCTAGTGTCCTGGGTGGACACCCCAGATGCTGGGAAGGGATTTCCTGAGCCTGGGGACTAGAAGCAAGATCGTGGGCTGAGCCTGTGCCCAGCCGGACCTTCTGGCTCCTTGCATTTCCAGCCTTGAAATGGAATCGATTCTCCATTCTGGGCCACAGCTTCGGTGAGTACAGTGGCCAGGAGCTGACCGGGCCCGGAGTAGGGCTGGGAGGGAAGGATAGGAGCTGCTGCCCCACCCCTTTCCCCTGCACTTATGAGATCTGCAAAGAGAGATGAGAGGGTCAGTCAGAGGTTGACCACTGTACCCTCTGACCTCAGGCAACTGCCGCAAGGGACACAGGGATGAGGGAAATGTGGTCTTTTGAGTGGTCAGGTCTGATGAAGGGGACATCATGGCCCAGATGCTGAGCCCCCAGCCACCCATATGGTGCCCCCCCCCCAACTGGTGGGAAGAAGCTTTAGGGTATGCAGCTGGGGAGGGAGTGAGGGAATGTCACCCACAGCTCTTTTGTCCCCCAGGTGGCGTCGTGGGCGGAATGGTGAGTAGATGGCTTTGTCTGGCCAACTGGGGCTCCCTTGGGTGGAGTGGGGAGGGGAGCACAAAGGAGGAAGGAGAAGGTACCTGGGACAGAAAGTGCCTCCTCCTGTCACAGTGATAGTCCTTATACCAGGAAGTTGGTGTAAACGGTGGAGACTCCTGGTAGAGTTCATGTTTCCACGCCCCCATACCCGGTCCCACCGCACCCTGGAGTCCAGCCATCACCAAGGTCTGGAGCTCAGTGCTGGGTGCAGACTTAGGGGTGGTGGGGGAAGGCACACCATAGATAGAAGATTCTCCTCTGGCCTCTTGGTCAGCACCCTCCCCCCAGCCTAAAAGATGTTTCGGGGAACTCCAGGGTCCCCAGGGAAAGGCGGGAGTGTCCTTTCCTTCTTCATCCTATTCATTCTCCCCTTTTGGCATCCTCACAGTTTTTCTGTACCTTCCCCGAGATGGTGGATAAACTTATCTTGCTGGACACGCCGCTCTTTCTCCTGGAATCAGATGTGAGAAGCGGGCTTTCGTGCATGCTGTCATTAGGGAGGACCTGGGCCCCGGGCAGCGCTCCCAGCCCTGTCTCCTTTGGTGGACACTAGGGAAGCACGAGGAGGCGGCAGAGGGTGGGAAAGGGGAGTCAGGGACCCGCTCCCCAACAGATGACACCCTTCTGCTGCTTATACCCCTAGCAGTGGTCAGGACAAGGGGTGTGGGGGACCCCTTGGAAACTGGATGTGTGGCTCGGGATCTGCAGAATGCCAGGCTGATCACGCAGTGGCAGGCAGTGGAAGAGGGCAGCGGCCATGGGTGGAAGATGTTCTAGGGCACACAGCTGGGCCGGCACACTGCACTCACACCCAGTCGAATGCCTTTGCACTGTGTCCACATTGCACCACCACACATGACAGCCCTAAATGTGAACTGAAGGAACAAGGACTGACCCCTCTGACCACCACTACCCATAACCAGTACTGTCTCTGCGTCTGAGTCCTGGCCTGGTTTACCTGCTGGGTGACCCCTGGCAAGTTACTTTGCCTCTCTGGGCCTTAGTTCCCGCACGTGTAAAATGAGGTTGGGCTCAATGACCTGGCCAGCTCTGACATCCTGTCATTTTCTTGCCAAGGTCTCAGCCTATCAGTTGTGACACAAGTCTCATCAGTTTCAGTTTTCTTGTCCATAGAATGACCACAGATCGGCCAGATGCGGTGGCTCACGCCTGTAATCCCAGCACTTTGGGAGGCCGAGGCTGGCGGATCACCTGAGGTCAGGATTTCGAGACCAGCCTGACCAACATGGAGAAATCCCGTCTCTACTGAAAGTACAAAATTAGCTGGGCGTGGTGGCACATGCCTGTCATCCCAGCTACTTGGGAGGCCGAGGCAGGAGAATCGCTTGAACCCAGGAGGCGGAGGTTGCAGTGAGCCGAGATTGCGCCATTGCACTCCAGCCTGGGCAACAAGAGGGAAACTCCGTCTCCAAAAAAAAAAAAAAAAAAAAAAAAAAAGAATGACGGCAGATCCCATAAGGATAAGGATCATGTCCATCTCTGTCACCACATCCCCAATCCTGGCACCTAGTAAGGGCTCAGTAAATGTTCCTTGCATGAGCTCAGCTAGCTCAGGGGCTATTATAAGGATCCAATTTACAGATGGCAGACAGCAGACACTCCCTTCTTTCTGCATTTCACCCACTGAATTGACAAGTGCAGTGCCCCCAGGGGCTTCCTCCTGGGCGAGTCAAGAGGGGCATTTGGTCCTCTTGTCCTGCATTCTCAGGCATGGGTAGATGGGAGATGCCCCCCTCTGCAGCCCCAGGCAGTGGGCCTGAGGCTGTCCTCACAGAGTGAGCCACACATCATGGGGGAGCTTGGAAGCCCCAGAAATGCGCCCTTTCTGCCAGTCCCTTTCTGCCACTGAGAATGATGGCATTCGTTGAACCAGATGAAACTGCCAACCCCAGATGGTTCGTGGCCTCCGGACCCTAATTTCATGCCTTTGCAAAGCACTTGGCAGTTGACAGAGATTCCCCTTCCTCTCCATCATCCCACCTGATCTCTTCAACTGTCCCTGGCCGCAGGCAAGACCAGGCTGGCTGTGACTGAGGCGAAGCAAAGACTCGTTCAGAATCGTGGGGCTGACTAGCCAGGGCTGGGGCTGTGTGCCCCTTTGCCGAGAGGGGCTCAGCTGAGAGCAGAGGGCAGGGCTAGGAGGGGCAGAGACCTCGTCTGCAGCCTGGATCCCTGCCCACCAGCCAACTGTGCCTCCTTAGGAAATGGAGAACTTGCTGACCTACAAGCGGAGAGCCATAGAGCACGTGCTGCAGGTAGAGGCCTCCCAGGAGCCCTCGCACGTGTTCAGCCTGAAGCAGCTGCTGCAGAGGTGGGTGCCCGGTGTGGACGGGGAGCTGGTGGGGTCCAGGGGAGGACAT
Source organism: Homo sapiens (assembly GCF_000001405.40). Taxonomy (NCBI): domain Eukaryota; kingdom Metazoa; phylum Chordata; class Mammalia; order Primates; family Hominidae; genus Homo; species Homo sapiens. The sequence goes on from NC_000022.11 coordinate 42,505,192, forward strand.
CCCGTGAGACGTGGAGAAGCTTCTTTCTCCCTCTCACCCAACAAGCCTGTTTCTCCCTGGGGTCACGCTGAGCACCAGGCTTCCCAGGGTCTTCAGGGACGTTCTCTCTTTCCCTCTGCCCCTGCTCCAGCCATGCCCCTTACTTCCAATACCCTCCCCACACCTCTCACGCACCCGCCTCTCTCCCAAGCACATGCTGCTTCCACGCCTTCTCTCCCCTCTGGGACTCCAGCCTGGGCTCCCTTACCTGGAATTCTCCCCTGTGCTTGCTCACTGGCTTCCCCACTCCTTGGGGCCTCAGCTGGGAACCCTGCCCTGACACCCCCAGGCAAGCTGTCCCTGCCCTGCAGGTAACCACACTGTCCAATAAGAGCCTATTGATTCCTCTGTTTCCCGAGGCATGTGAACTCCGCAACCCCCACTATGGCTGATTTGGTCATCTTTGTGCCTCCTGCATCTGGCAGTGGGCCTGGTAGGTCAGAGCTCCACACATATTTGTTGTCTGAAGGAGGAGAAGCCCCCCACTGCCCCACCACACGCACGCGCACACACACCCACACACACACACCCTGCCGCTGTAAACATGCAATCGAAACACGGGACACAGGCCAGGCGCAGTGGCTCACACCTGTAATCCCAGCACATTGGGAAGCTGAGGTGGGAAGATAGCTTGAGCCCAGGAGTTAGAGACCAGCCTGAGCGAGATAGCGAGACCCTGTATTTAAAAAAAAAAAAAAAAAAAAATTAGCTGGTCGTGGTGGCACACGCCTGTGGTCCCAGCTACTCAGCAGCCTTAGTTGGGAGGAGTGCTTAGCCCCAGGAGGTCGAGGCTGCAGACAGCCATGATCATGCCACTGCACTCCAGTTTGGGTGACAGTGAGACCCTGTTTCAAAAGGAAAACAAGGGCCGGGCACGGTGGCTCACGCCTGTAATCCCAGCTACTCAGGAGGCTGAGGCAGGAGAATCGCTTGAATGGGAGGCAGAGGTTGCCGTGAGCCGAGAGAGCACCACTGCACTGCAGCCTGGGCGACAGAGCGAGACTCCATCTCAAGAAAAAAAAAAAAAAAGAAATTACATAGGTGACATAATACATAATGATTGTCAATTTAACCGTTTGTAAGTGTGCACTTCAGTGGCATTAAATACAGTCGATGGAGGTGAGGAGAGGAGGGAGACATCCCAGGCACTGGCTGCTGCACAGGGAAAAGCTCGAAGTCAGCTCGGTGCATCTGTTGAGAGGGGGATTCCTGATAGAGGCTGTGAAGATTAAAGAGGGGAGGGGCAGGATGACAAAGGTTCTCAAAAAACAGCGTCCCATCTGGAGGCCTGTGTCACTGGAGACTTGTATTAATAGAAACTTGGCCATCTCTGCCAGTGAGGGGCTGTAGGACCTTGGGCAAGGTGCTTACCCTCTCTGAGCCTTGGTTGTCTCACGTGCAAAAAGAAAGTGCTTTCATTCGCTCAGCTGGTTTATGAGCAGCTTGGCTAGGGGAGCCAAGCCCTGGGCCTGCCTTTGAAGGGTTGTTGTCGAGACTAGGTGAGGTCATGTGTGTTGAGTGGCCTCGCACAGTGCTGTCGCTTCAGGTGCTCATGGCCTGTGCTATTTTGTGATTGTTAAAATATGGTAGAACATTGGACACATGTGAGACACTGTCATTAGAGGTGGGGATGCTCTAACTGCAGGGAGACCGCTGAGAGCTGCTGCCCAGGCCCAGGCCAAGAGATGAGGCTTGGACCAGGGCGTCAGCCAATGGTCTGGGAATGTTAACGTGTTTGTCTTTGATCCGTGTGGGATTTGTTCTTGAGCATGGTGTCAGATAGTGATTCATTTTCTTTTTTTTTTTTCATGTTTTAAAAGTTCTATTTTTCTTTATTATTATTATTATTATTATTATATTATTATTATTATTGATACAGAGTCTCGCTCTTGTTGCAAAGGCTGGAGTGCAATGGCACCATCTCAGCTCACTGCAACGTTCGCCTCCCAGGTTCGAGTGATTCTCCTGTCTCAGCCCCCAAGTAGCTGGGATTACAGGCACCCACCACCACACCTGGCTAATTTTTGTGTTTTTAGTGGAGATGGGGTTTCACCATGTTGTCCAGGCTGGTCTCGAACTCCTGACCTCAGGTGATCTGCCTGCCTCGACCTCCCAAAGTGCTGGGATTACAGGCATGAGCCACAGTGTTCGGTCTATTTGAATTGTAGAGACAGGGTCTCCCTCTGTCACCCAGACTGGAGTGCCATGGCTCAATCATGGCTCACGCAGCCTCAACCTCCTGGGCTGAAGTGATCTTCCCACCTCAGCCTCCCGAGTAGCTAGGACTACAGGTGTGCGCTATCACACCCAGCTAAGTTTTTTACTTTTGTAGAGACAGGGTCGTGCCATGTTGCCCAGGCTGGTCTTGAATGCCTGGGCTCAAGCTATCCTCCCGCCTGTTTCCCAAAGTACTGGGATTATAGGTGTGAGCCACTGCAGCCAGCCATTGTAATTGTTTTTCTAGATGAACAGCTAGTTATTCCAATACCAGCTGTTGGGTGGTCCTCCCTACCCACTAAGGCTCACTCACTGGTGGTTTGTCCCTTGTGTGTGCTGACCTTCGTGGTGGGAGTTTATTGCCAGATCCTAGTCAATCTGACTTTTGGAGATGCCCCTTTCCCTGTCCTTAGGGACCATGTCTTATGTGACCTGATCTGTAGTGGGATCTGTGATCACCCATAATGCTGGAAGGAGGAGGCTTCCCAGGGATGGAAAGACTTCGTTAGGACATAAACTAAATTGCAGAAGATACACATTCCAAGATGGGGCTGGCCCAAAATTCTTTTTTTTTATTTTTATTTTTTAAATTTCTGGCCAGGTGCAGTGGCTCACGCCTGTAATCCCAGCACTTTAGGAGGCCGAGGCAGGCAGATCACTTGAGGCCAGGAGTTAAAGACCAGCCTGGCCAACATGGTGAAACCCTGTCTCTACCAAAAAATACAAAAATTAGCCGGGAGTGGTGACACACACCTGTAGTCCCAGCCACTTGGGAGGCTGAGGCAGGAGAATCGCTTGAACCCGGGAGGCGGAGGTTGCGGTAAGCTGAGATCACGCCATTGCACTCCAGCCTGGGCAACAAGAGCAAAAAAAAAAAAAAAAAAAGGTTCTATAAATTCTTCTCATATTTTTATTTAACATCCACAATGTGATTTAAGATGTAATCAACATAAAGCTTGATTGCATTATTTTGCATGCTGTTTTCCAAATCCAGCTTCGTGTCACACCTACAGCACATCTCACTCAAGCTGGCCACATCCCCGCCATCCAGACGTAAAACAGTCACAAGACAGGGCAGGCAGGGCCGCGGAGGAGGCTGGCTGGGGCCATCACGGAGTGCCCATCCTGCACTGTGGTCCCAGCAAGTTTCTTTCTCCTGGCAAGAAGCCTGTCCCAGGCTGGCAGGGGACAGCGTGAGGTGCAGCCTATGGACTGGGAAAGGGGTGTGGAAGGGCCACACCTAAGTCCTAAAATCCAGGCCCAAAAGTGGCCCAACTCACTTCTCTGACTTTAATCACACAGCCATACCTGGTGGCAAAGGAGTATTGGAAATGGAGTCAGGCTGGGTAGCCACGAGCCCAGGAAGAGGGGAGAACAGACTTGGAGAGGGCAGGAGTCTCTGGCCACCAGGGGCTAAAGAGCCTTCGATGAGGCAGTGATGTGGGGTCCTGGGCTCAGACCCAGGGTGGGTGGCTAAGGTGCCCTCGCCAGGGCTTAGCCACCCCAACAGAGATGGGTTTCGTGCCCACGAGAGTGCCTGTGCCTTGTGACGAGAATTCACCATGTTTTTGTCTCTGCAGGCAGAGAACAGCATTGACTTCGTCAGCAGGGAGCTGTGTGCGCATTCCATCAGGAAGCTGCAGGCCCATGTCCTGTTGATCAAGTGAGTCTGGACCCATCCCCTTCAGTCACCCCCCAAGGAGACATGGGCGCCAGGAATCTCTGGGAGGGGGCCCTGGCATGAGGCTCCAAGTTCTCTGCGTGTCGACCACATCGCTAAGACTCAAGATCTTTTTTGGGAAGCCCCCCTGGCAGCAGGGTCATGGAAGGAGGAAGGTCAGAGGAGGGGAGGGCTCAGGCAGCAGGGGATGGGCCGGGGCTGTCCCATGCCTTTCCACAGGTGTCAGCGGGGGGCATGCCCAGGTAAGGCTCCATAACCAGTGAGCCCAGTCTCGACTCACTGCAACCTCTGCCTCCTGGATTCAAACGATTCTCCTGCCTCAGCCTCCCGAGTAGCTGGGACTACAGGCGCCCGCCACCACGCCTGGCTTATTTTTGTATTTTTAGTAGAGACGAGGTTTCGCCATGTTGGCCAGGCTGCTCTCCATCTCCTGACCTCATGATCCGCCTGCCTCGGCCTCCCAGTGTTGGGATTACAGGCGAGAGCCACCGTGCGTGGCCCACCATAGACGATTTTTAAGCCATAAAAAGAAACGAAGCACTGACATGGGCTCCAGCATGGATGAGCCTTGAAAACATCGCACTAAGTGGATGAAGTCAGACACAACCGTCTACGTGTTGTATGGCTGCATTCACGTTCAAGTCCAAATAGGACACACGGCAGAGACAAAGCCAGGTCATGGTTGCTCAGGACCGGAAGCCTGTTGGGGGTGGGGGGGTGGGGTGTGTGTGTGTGTGTGTAAGCTCAGAGGTTTGCGATTTCTTTGGGGGTGATGAAAATGTAATTGTGACGATGGTCTCACAACTCAATGTATTAAAAACCACGGGATTGTAGACTTTTTTTTTTTTTTTTTTGAGATGGAGTCTGGCTCTGTCGCCCAGGCTGGAGTGTAGTGGTGCAATCTCAGCTCACTGCAAGGTCCGCCTCCCGGGTTCACGCCATTCTCCTGCCTCAGCCTCCGGAGTAGCTGGGACTACAGGCACCCACCACCAAGCCCGGCTAATTTTTGTATTTTTAGTACAGACAGGGTTTCACCATGTTAGCCAGGATGGTCTCATCTCCTGACCTCGTGATCCACCCGCCTCAGCCTCCCAAAGTGCTGGGATTACAGGCGTGAGCCACCATACCCGGCCAGGATTGTAGACTTTCAATGGGAGGATTGTGAAGACATAAATTCTCTCTCAGAGCAAGTGTGGGCTCCAGCGCCTGTTCAGATCCCAGCTCTGCTGTTCAGGGCTGACTGTGACCAAGTCCTGAACTCCCTGCGCCCCAGCAAGGCTGTGCCTTCAGCACTTGCTTGCGCCTGGCTTGTGCCAGCTGAGCGTGAGCTGAGATTAACTGAGCCTCAAATCCAACCCAGGGTCAAGGGACCCAGCTGTGGGAGTTGGGGTAGCCCAGGCTTTGGTTTCTCCTCAGAGGCCTGAACCCAGGGCAGGATGGGGGCACCGCTGGGAGGCGGTTCTAAGATGAACCCCAACAACCCCCAACTCCTCACTTTCCAGAGCAGTCCACGGATATTTTGATCCAAGAGAGAATTACTCTGACAAGGAGTCCCTGTCGTTCATGATAGACACAATGAAATCCACCCTCAAAGAGGTAAGGCGGGGCTCAGGCAGCTGGTGTCCAGCCACTGTCGCCCACTCTGGTCCCACCTCACCCATCTCTTCTCATGCACTGGGAAAGACCCCTGGTCTGCCCCCAGGCCCAACAAGTGACCACCAGGATCTATCAGGCCTCATGCTCCAGTGATCAGTCCCTAGAGGCCTGGGGACACATGTAATCAGAATTTAAGAAACAGAGACCTTTGGTGGGGAGGTTCTTTACCATCCTCAAGTACCCACCCCTCCTTCTTGGGGCCAGGCACAATTAGGTGACCCAACTGCCAGAGACAGTCCCACATTTTTTGAGAGACAGGGTCTCATTCTGTTGCTCAGGCTCAGTCATAGCTCACTGCAGCCTCAAACTCCTGGGCTCAAATGATCCTCCCACCTCAGCCACCTGAGTAGGTGGCACTACAGGCGCATGCCATCATGCCCAGCTAATAGTCACACTTTTTTTTTTTTTTTGAGATGGAGTCTCACTCTGTCGCTCAGGCTGGAGTGCAGTGGGAAGATCTCAGCTTACTGTAACCTCCACCTCCCGGGTTCAAGCGACTCTCGTGCCTCAGCCTCCTGAGTAGCTGGGATTACAGGCACCTGCCACCATGCCCAGCTAATTTTTATATTTTTAAGAGATGGGGGTTCACCATGTTGGCCAGGCTGGTCTCAAACTCCTGACCTCAGGCGATCCGCCCACCTTGGCCTCCCAAAGTGCTGGTTTTGCAGATGGGAGCCACCATGCCCAGCCTAGTCTCACTTTATAGGCTCCCAAACCACAGCAGAACACCTGGCTGCCTCATCCCTCTGCACCCATCACGCCAGTGGGCATGCTGGCTGTAGGTGGGGATGGCCTTTGCCCGGGTTCCTGGGAGCACCTGGTGTTTTATGGTCACCTACCCACTTACACCTGACCCTGGGGCCTCTGCAGTTTTCTTGGCGTTGTCACCACAAAAGGAAGAAGCCCACCTGTGGCTGGCTGGCTGGCCGCCAGGTCAGAGCCAAGGCAGGCAGGGCCTTCCTGTCTGGCTTCTTGAAGGCAGACACAAGTCTGCAGGCTGCTCACGTCATCTCATTATCTTTTCTCACGAGGACTACTTCGGATACAATCACAGCAACCCTGGCCTCGGCCCTGCCCTGTCCCTGCCATGCAACTTCACAACTCAGCTGGCCTAGACCCCTGGGAGGCCTCCAAGTCCCTAAGGTTAGACATCTCCTGGGGTGCTATGGACTGTCGGGGCTCCAAGGAGCCGAGTGTGGGGGAAACTCACTGTGGGAGGCGCTCCTGACCTGCAGGGAGCTGGAATGCTGTGGGAGGGCCCTGACCCCGGGGCCCATGGAGCTCCCTAGGCTCCTCTGGCCACATCTCACTACCCACCCCCTCCCCTCTCCAGCGGTTCCAGTTTGTGGAAGTCCCAGGCAATCACTGTGTCCACATGAGCGAACCCCAGCACGTGGCCAGTATCATCAGCTCCTTCTTACAGTGCACACACACGCTCCCAGCCCAGCTGTAGCTCTGGGCCTGGAACTATGAAGACCTAGTGCTCCCAGACTCAACACTGGGACTCTGAGTTCCTGAGCCCCACAACAAGGCCAGGGATGGTGGGGACAGGCCTCACTAGTCTTGAGGCCCAGCCTAGGATGGTAGTCAGGGGAAGGAGCGAGATTCCAACTTCAACATCTGTGACCTCAAGGGGGAGACAGAGTCTGGGTTCCAGGGCTGCTGTCTCCTGGCTAATAATCTCCAGCCAGCTGGAGGAAGGAAGGGCGGGCTGGGCCCACCTAGCCTTTCCCTGCTGCCCAACTGGATGGAAAATAAAAGGTTCTTGTATTCTCACTGCTTTTGAGGCTTTTTCGTTGCCAGCAAGGGCTTTTGCATTGAGGGAAAAGGAAGCACAGAACGGATTCATCCAGGGTCCTGGAGAGGAGGGTGTGGAGGCAAGAAGCAGGAAGGACAAGTCCTCCTCTCGGCACGCCTGGGTCCCCAGGACTGCTGAAGCACAAGACCCGAGGGGTGGCCTGGTCCTTCCCTCCTGGCCTGTGTGGACTCTGATGGGGCTGTTGGACGCGGTGGCCTTCAACCTGGGGCCCGTTGGCCAGAGCTCGGCCTCTCAGAGACCGCTGCAGGCCCTGCCTCGCCTCCTCCTGGCCCTGCACCTCCAGCCATTCACTGCGGCTCTCACAGCTCAGTACGGTCGGAATTTGCGCTGGGCCCGCAGCAGCTCGATCCTCTGCTTGTCCTCCTCGAACTTCTTGCGCAGCTGCGCTAGATCTGGGGGTGAGAGGAGGCGCGGGGCAGGGTCAGACAGCGCGCCCCGGGGAAGCTGGCTTGCTCATGCCCCACCCCTCCTCCCAGTTACTGTGGGGGTGGGGCTATGTCTCCCCCACCAGCCCATCCCCCTCCCAGCTCTGCTGTGGGGGCAGGGTCTGGATCTTGTCAGGAAACAGAACCGACGGCAGGCCGAGTCCAAGGGCAAGGCCAAAGTGGGAGATGCTGGCACCCCCAGCCTGGAGATGAAGCCCTAGCGACAAAGCAAAGGTACCCGCCCCCACCCCCATCCCTGCACAGGGGGAAGGAAGGAGTCTTGAGCGCTCGGCCTGGAGAACCCTGAGAATCAGTAAAGGCACCCCAGCCCTTGTGCTGGTGAATGCAGATGGCAACCCTGGTCAGTGGGAGGCTGATGGCACTGAGGGGGAAGCTGAGGGTCTAGAGCGAGCACGAGCGGGAGCCAGGAGGGCCAGCCAGGCAGGGAAAGCACCAGTGACTGGGCGGGCGGCTCAGGGCCTGCCGCAGAGCCCGTCCCTGTGCCCTAGCCAGGGCCAGGAGAACCCTCCCCTGGGCCCACAGGGAAGCTGTTCTGTAGACAGGGACACCAGGCAGTGGGGCAGGAGGCTCAGCCGCAGCACCAGGAGTGGGCCACAGGCGATCGGGCCCACAGGCATGGGAGGGTCCTGTGCGGGGCCACCTGACAGACACACACACACACACACCCACCACCAACCCAACACACATACTCTGCAGCACCTTCTCTGCACCCACAGTGGGTTCAGAAGCCCCCTCTGCACTTGAACTCCTCGTTAGCTGGAGGCTGACGAGCGCCAGCACTAAGTGCACAGGGACCCAGAGGTGGGCACTGATGACCTAGGGTCCCCACCCACTGAGCAAATGCATCTGCCCCTAGGGGGTGATGGGGAACCGCCACACAGGGTGCTGCCAGGCTGGGCCTCTTTCCACAGAGTCTGGTGCGAGCCCCGTGCTTAGGGACGCCCTCCCTCCTCGACCACCAAGTCCAGCGCCCGCCCTCAGGAGCACTGGCCACAGGCCTCATCCGTGGCTGGGGCCAAGGCCGAGGGGTCTGAGGATGGACTGGGGGTGGCTTACGCTCCATCTTGCTCTCTCGATGCTGCCAGGCGTAGAAGTTGAGCAGCTCTTTTCGGCTGCGCTTCCGTCTCTCCCTCTCCAGCACCCGCAAGCTGGCTGCCTCAGTCCGGGGGAGCACAGGCCGCCGGCCCCGGCGGGTCACCTTCACCCAGCCCTCCTCGTCAGGGACCCCCTCCTCCTCCTTGGCCTTAGCTTCTTCCTGCAAGGAAGGTGATCCCATCCTCCGGTGGGACCTCCTGCAGCCTCCAGCAGCGCGCCCTCCACGCCCTCCTCCCAAAGTCAGAACTGCCCTGAGCCCCCGCAGGGGAGGGCTGCTCCCCTCCTCCCAGCACAGTGTTGGGGCTAAGGATGGCGGGGAGGGCACGGACCTGCCGGCACTGCCTCCTTCTCCACTGTAGGACATGTGGAGACTACATGTGTCACCCAGCCAGGCAGCCCAGGATCCAGCAGGGAAACAGGGAGCCTGGCCTCTACAGAGTGGCCAAGGACAGGCCACCACTGCCCTCCCTCTGGGGCGCCACCTTCCCACAGCCACACGGGCGATGCGGGGCTCGGCCGACCCCGCGGGGCCTCTACCTCAGCGATCTTCTGGTCATATGCCTCCATGAACGTGTCCACTTCCACCCTCAGGGCCTCAGGGTCGGGCACAGAGTCTGCGTAGTCACTGATCCACTCTGAGGAAAAGGGAGCCAGGGAAACGGGGCTTCCTCAGGCCTGGCATTTGGGCCCCACCCCAGGGCCTGCCAGGCAAATTGGGACCTTTTCCCACAGGGCCCGGGGCACAGGTGCTAAGGAGATCCCAGGGGCTGCAAGCTGCGCCCTCGCTCTGCCTGCCCAGTATGCCTGTGCCGCTCTGTGCCAGGGGCTCAGGCTAATGACTCCCTGGGGACCCAGACACAGCCCCATGGTCCTCCTGCCCAGGCCTCCACATGCTGCTCTCAGGGAGCATGGACTTGGCTTGTGACATTCAGACACTGTCCCCATAGAGTGTCCTGCCAACCCGGAGCCCAGAAAGGAGGCGCCAGACCCCTCCCGCAGTACTAACTGTGAATGCCACTCTTCACAGGGTGGCTCTCTGTGGACACCAGCAGGGGGCCCTTCAGGGCCAAGGCCGCTGACACCCCACTTGGCTTCTGGAACACCACATAGGCTACCTGGAAACCCTGAAGAGAGAGAGATGTCAGAGGTTGGGGGCTCCTTCCCACGTCTGGCACAAGGTCTCCAGGCCTGCCCTCAGCCTAGGTGGTAGCTACACCAGGGGAGATGGTGCTAGGCTATTCCTGAGCCATGAAGAGAACCACAGGCCATCCCATAATCCAGGTCAGAGGCAGCCACACTTCCAGTAATCCTGCTTCTGCGGGAAGTGACGGCTGTTCCCAACTCCTCCCCAGGAAGAGGGGATACAGAGGCTTCTTTTCTTCCAGTCACGGGAGGGATGCGGTGAAACACAGGGGTCGCCCTGGGCCAGGGCAGGTTTTTGGAAGCCAGGCCTGGGCGCACACACCATGCCAGATGCCACTGTGTGGGGAGGAGGTGTGGGCTCCAGGGCCACTGGGAAAGCTGTGAACAACAGTGCTCCTGGAGACCCGGCCCCCAAGCCTGGGGAAGGAGCTCCCTCAGTGGGGAAGCAGGAGGGGAGCCGGGGAAGGCCCTGCAGGTGGCCAGCAGAGACGGTCCGTGAGCTTTAACACGGGACAGAAAAAGCCAGGCAGGAAGTGCAAGGATGTGGCAAATCTGGCAAAGAATCGCAGGCTTTGTCACCCAGACAGTCTCTTACACCACACACGGTGAGGATGGGCTCAGGACCAGAGAATGCTCTGATGTCCCACTGCCAGCTCCCCCAACACACTGGGGACAGTGCCCCACCCCCCTCACTCTAGTGGAACCCCGGGCTTGGCGGCTCACCGGAACTGGCTTGGGATGAAAAAACTTCGACCTTGACTCCTTTGGGCTCTCAGCCAGGTCCGGCTTCTCCTGCAACTCTACAGACTGGACGAGGCCACAGGTGGACAGGAGGCGGGACAGGCTCTCCTGCCGCAGGGAGAGGGAAGCCAAGTGTGAGCATCCGCAGGGCCATCCCAAAGCCTCCCTGCACCATGGGTGGCGCTGCCAGGGGTCCAGCGCCGCTGAAGGACTCAGCCACAGCCACATCTGCCCAAGCCGGGAGACTGTGGGCACCATGGCCTCCGACCTGTTCCCCAGGGACAATATGGAGGTTGATATTCCTGCTCTTTTTTTTTTTTGAGTTGGAGTATTGCTCTGTAGCCCAGGCTGGAGTCCTGCAACCTCCACCTTCGGGTTGCAAGTGATTCTCATGCCTCAGTCTCCCGAGCAGCTGGGATTACAAGCGCCCACCACCACCACACGTGGCTAATTTTTGTATTTTGAGAAGAGACAGGGTTCTGCCACGTTGGCCAGGCTGGTCTTGAACTCCTGACCTCAGGTGATCCGCCCGCCTCGGCCTCCCAAAATGCTGGGATTACAGGCGTGAGCCACTGTGCCCGGCATATTCCTGCTCTCTCACTGGAGACAGGTGGGGACATTCTTGCTGTTATTCTGATTTCCTATGACAAGTTTTACTACCTGAATCAGCAGTAGTGACCCTATGCTATGACAGTTGGGATGGTGGTTGTCTGTGGTGGAGGCAGCGGGGGTTCTGGGATGTGCTGCTGTGTCTCCACCTGGGCGCTGACTACACAGCTATGTTCTGTCTCTGGGATGCAGCGAGCTGGACACTTGCCACTGGGGCCCTTCCAGGCACACATGCTGCACTTCAAAAAAGGTCAGAACTCACACCCCCTCTTCTACATGCTTCTTTTTTTCTCTAAGTTTAGAGGAATCTTTTACAAATTAGGGTTTCTTTTTTGAAAACAAATCCAGCAATTCCCTTGGCCAGGGGCGGTGGCTCACGCATGTAATCCCAGCACGTTGGGAGGCTGAAGGGGGCGGATTACTTCAGGTCAGCAGTTCGAGACCAGCCTGGCCAACATGGTGAAACCTTGTCTATACTAACAATACAAAAATGAGCCGGGCATGGTGGTGGGCGCCTGTAATTCCAGCTGCTTGGGAGGCTGCGGCAGGAGAATCACTTGAACCCGGGAAGCGGAGGTTGCAGTGAGTTGTGAACGCTGTGCTCCAGCCTGAGCAACAGAGGGAGACTCTGTCTCAAAATAAATAAATAAATTAAATAAATAAATAAATAAATAAATCCAGCAATTCCCTTAGCTTAGTTTTTGTAAAAAAAAAAAAAAAAAAAAAAAATTAACAGTTGTGTTTGGATAGAATTAGAGGCACTTTTTATTTTCTTATACTTTCCTACTTTTAAATTATGGACATGTACAATCTGGAAGAAAACACGTAATTCAGACAACTTTGGGTAATATGTAAAAATGCCTTGGGCTACTTAGGATTGTACTTTTTTCTCTTTTTTTTGAGTCAGAGTCTCACTCTGTTGCCCAGGCTGGAGTGCAGTGGCGCGATCTTGGCTCACTGCAACCTACACCTCCCGGGTTCAAGGGATTCTCATGCCTCAGCTTCCCTAGTAGCCAGGACTACCCACACATGCCATCATGCCTGGCTCATTTTTTATTTTTTAGTAGAGACGGGATTTCACCATGTTGGCTAGGCTGGTCTGGAACTCCTCCCTTCAGGTGATCCGCCCGCCTCAGCCTCCCAAAGTGCTGGGATTACAGGCATGAGCCACCGTGCCTGGCAGGATTATACTTTTAAAGACATCTTTAAAAAGCCAGTTTCCTGACTGGAGATCACGGTAGCCCTCCTGACACTCTCCTCTGGGGCTCCCATTAGCTGTGTCCGTCTCACCACCAAGGACTTGGTGGAGGCCATGGGAGCCCCCACCTTGAGCCCACAGGTCTCCTCCCAGACAGACACTAGCTCACCTCTGTGCAGTATGGGGGCACATTGAGGACAAAAAGAGTCCTCTTCTGAGGCCAGGTGGACTTGGTGCCTTGTCGAACGCCGTGTGCTCTCACATAGAGGTAGTGAGAAGCCTGTTGCTTTTCAGAGAACTTGATTGGAATAGCTGGAAAGGAAATGGGAGGGGAGGGATGGCCAGGCTACCCTGAGCTGAGGCCAGCGAGACACTCACACAACTTCCTTTCTCCACATCCCTGTCTAGTCCTATCTGTTCATCGATCCATCCATCCCTTCACCAACCCCCCTTACCCTACTCTTTGGCAAAGCCTGTGCGGGCTCTAAGAGTCTGCCCAGGAGGGCCTCCCAAGGCGGTGCAGGGAGAGAGAAGATAAATGGGCAATGATTACAGATGGGGGCGCAATGAGAGGGAAGCTCGAACCCTGCGGCTCTTGGAGTCAACGCCAAAATCCTAACCATGGCTGGAAGCCCCGTGAGACCCTGCCTGTCACTGTGACCTCTTCTCGTACCATCTTCCCCCAGCACCTTGGATTCTCTGTTCCCCCGGGTACACCAGGGCCTCACACATGCTGGCCTCTCTACCTGGCGTGTCACCCTCTTCCCTCCCGCTCACCTCAGGTTTAGCTCAAACCTCGCTTCCTCAGGAGAGCCTTAGCATCACCTCCGCCCCTCCTGCCAGCTCAGATCCCACTGCCTGTGCCTTCACAGCTTCTCTTAACAGTCTGGAGGCTATATTGATGAGATTCTTTGGTTAATCGCTGGCACACCCATGACTGTAATCCTCATAAAGCTAGGAACTGCTTCTATTTTTCTCACACCTCCGTCACAGTACCGGTTGGCGTAGAGCTGCGGTCCCTGAACTCAGGAAGCTCAGTTGCAATAACGGAGAAGACAATTAACAAGCATACAGCAAACTTGTATCAATTGTGAAAGAAACATTACAGGGTGATGGGGTGGCAGAGGTCTTCTTTCCATAGGCCATCACGGATGGCCTCTTTGAGGAAGCAACATTAAAGCTCAGGCCAGAACGCCACTGTGCAACAAACCGGCACAGCACGTGCAAAAACCCAGAGGGGGGAAAAAGCATGTTCCCTCAGAGGAACAGAAAGAGCTTTAGGTCGGCACCAGCCAGACCACGTGGCCCACACAGGTTAAGAAGTCTGGTTTTTGTTTTAGAAGCTACCTGATAAAGCCACTGGAGGGAATGCAGTAGGTGTGGCGCCTATCGTGGGCGCGGCAGACATGATCGAATCTAAATGTCCTTAAAAGAACATTCTGGCACGTGGGTGGAGAACAGAAGCAGGGGCAAGAGGAGAAGGAGGGCAACCGAGTAGGAGGGCCTATAACAGCCCAGGTAAGAGCTGATGGGGGATGGACTAGGAGCAGAGGCGATGAGAAGGGGATGGGCTCACCTGGACGAGCGGGTGTGGACGGAAATGGGTTTGTCCTGGGTGAGAGTGTGGACAGAGGCGGGCTCACCCAAGGGAAGCGTGGACCAAGTTGGGCTCGCCCCGGGAGAGTGAGCAGGCAGAAGGGCGCCGCCTGGGTCCTCGGGACCCCGGAGCCTCAAGACCTGCGGAGCCTGGGGCCACGGGCCACCGGGGCTCACACCCAACCGTGCGGCCGCTCCTGGGGACCCCCGGCCGTCGCCAACCCCCAAACACCTCCCGGCGATGCCTGACCGCCCCCGGTCTCGCGTCCCGGAGCCCCTCACCTGCGTAGCCCAGTGGGCTGGGGATACGGTCCTCCGGGTCCCGCGCGGCGCACTTCCTCCTGCGCGCCACCATCTTGCCACCCGGGAGCGCGGGGGCCGCCGGGAGTTGCGGTTCGGCGCCGGCGCGAGCGCGTTTTCGTGGCGCCTGCCCCGCCCCCTCACTCCAAGCCCGCCTCCCCGGCCCCGCCCGCCATGGCCCAACCTTCATCCGCTCAGAGATAAATCAGCGCGCGAAAGTGGGAGCGAATGTCAGAGTTGACCCCGGCCAGTCACGAGTGCGAACTCAGCTTTCCACTCATGCATTCACACGTTGAATAGGCAGTGTGAGAGAAATCCAGGATGGCTGCTAGGTTTTCAGTCTGAGCAACTAAGAGGATGGTGTTGCCATTGACTGAGATGGGAAGACTGCAGGAGAGGGGCCTGCTTGGGGGTGAAAATGGAGTAGATCAGTTCTCTGTGAGCCGTGGTGAGATGCCCATTAGGCCACTCAGGGGACATGTCAGGTGGGCACTTAGATATGAGACTGAACAGACTGAACATCAGAGATGTCAGGCCTGGAGCAATACACACGGGACTGGCCATGGATAGGTTATTGACAGTTACGAGAGGAGCCGGGTGCGGTGATTCATGCCTGTAATCCCAGCAATTTGGGAGGCCGAGGGGGGCGGATCACTTGAGGTCAGGAGTTCCAGACCAGCCTGGCCAACATGGTGAAACCCCGTGTCTACTAGGTACAAAAAGTAGCCGGGCGTGGTAGTGCATGCCTGTAATTCCAGCTACTCGGGAGGCTGAGGCAGGAGAATCGCTTGAACCCAGGAGGCGGAGATTGCAGTTAGCCAAGATCGCCCCACTGCAATCCAGCCTGGGCAACAGAGCGAGACTCTGTCTCAAAAAAAAAAGAAAGAGAAAAAAAAAGAAAGTTATGAGAGGGTGTGATCGCCAAGGGAGCAAGTGTAGATAGGGGAGAAATGAAGTCCAAGGACTCCACTTTTCTGGACTCCAAAGGGCCTCTCAGACTGTGTACCCGCCAGCCCTTGATGTATCTACTATTTCTCTTTTCCCAGTGTACAGTTGCTTCTTGGAAATGCTGTCGGCCCCTTTGGGGAAAGATTAGGAGCCTACTACTGCAAATATTTGTGGTCTGGAGGGGACCCAGCCTCCCTTTCAGTCAGTGACCTCTGGTTCTGAGGCCTAGCTTAGGCCTGGAAACTGGATGAGGGGTTGGGATTTTCCATCAGCAGCTGCCATTACTGTCCTGTTCGCTCGTTTTTTGTTTTTGATCTTTCTTTGCTTAGCGCAGTCAAGCAGTGTTGGGGCTTCCGTGGCCCCTGGGAATACCGTGGTCTACTAGCATTCACCAGAGACTCCTGTGCGCCCAGGATCCCTGGCAGCCACTCTGGCCTTGCTCCTGTTCTGACAGTCACATCAACCGAACCTCTGCTCTCTGGAATCCTATCTCCTGCTGACCTTTCCGAGCCCGGCTCCAGTCCTATTTGCCCTCTTCTACCCTGGCCTCAGAGGACGGCCATGCCGATTGCCCATTGATGCCTAGACCCCCCACTAGTCAAAGCAGTCTCTGGTGAACCCTCCAGAAATACGGTCATCTGGCTTCTCAGATGTTGCATAATAAATCTGTGCCTGCACATCCCCCTCCCCGAGGCCTTTGGCTCCTTCTCAGTGCCCTGCCACCATCGTTCTGTTATCTCCCTCTCATGTATTGCTTCCACGCTTCAAGGAGCCATCTCGATGGATATCAGGACTGGCCACACAACATCACTTTTTTTTTTTTTTTTTTGAGATGGAGTCTCGCTGTGTCGCCAGGCTGGAGTGCAGTGGCGCGATCTCCGCTCACTGCAACCTCCGCCTCCTGGGTTCAAGCAATTCTCCTGCATCAGCCTCCTGAGTAGCTGGGATTACAGGTGTGCACCACCATGACCAGCTAAATTTCTTATTTTTGATAGACACAGAGCTTCGCCATATTGGCCAGGATAGTCTCGATCTCTTGGCCTTGTGATCCGCCCACCTCGGCTTCCCAAAGTGCTGGGATTACAGGCATAAGCCTTTTTTTTTTTTTTTTTTTTTTTTTTTTGAGACGGAGTCTCACTCTGCTGACACCCAGGCTGGAGTGCAGTGCTGCCATCTCAGCTTACTGCAACCTCCACCTCCCGGGTTCAAGCAATTCTCCTGCCTCAGCCTCCCAAGTAGCTGGGATTACAGGCATGTGCCACCACACCCAGCTACTTTTTTGTATTTTTAGTAGAGACAGGGTTTACCATGTTGGCCAGGCTGGTCTTGATCTCCTGACCTCAGATGATCTGCCCACCTCGGCCTCCCAAAGTGCTGAGATTACAGGTGTGAGCCACTGCACCCAGCCTAGAATTCAAGACTCTTGAGCCCATCTATCCAGACGTTCCCTGCCCTAGGTGACAGTGTCCGCTCCTTCACTTCTGTGCTCCTTGACTGGAGCACAGCACTTAGCACAGCCGTTCATCTGCCCTGATTCAAACTCCACAGTTCTCATCAGGTTCTAGGCCTTTATCAGCACAATGTGACCTGTCTTTAAACACGTCTCTGGAAGCCCCTCCTGATTTTCACCTTGGGCTATAAGTTGATAAATGGCTGTCCTGAGGCCTGTTGTTTTCTTCCTTCAGCCCACTGATGCCACTCGATCAATTAACTCCACTTTCTTTATAATTACCACTGCCCATGTATTTCATGGGTCAGGAATTTGGGCAATGCTCTGCTAGGAGATTTTGTTTCTCCCTGTGGCACTGACTGAGGGCATTTGATGGTATTCAGCTGGCATATGGGCTGCACTAAAGGTTCCAAGTCACTTCACTCACATCGCAGCATCTCAGCAGATGAGTCCGGCATCTCAGCAGGGATGGCTGGTGATAGAGTTTGAGTATTTGTCTCCGCCCAAATCGCATGTTAAATTGTAATCCCCAGTGCTAGAGGTGGGGCCTGGTGGGAAGTGTTTGGATCATGGGGGCCTCATGGCTTGGCGCCGTCTTTGCGTCTTTGCGATCGCGAGTTCTCGCGAGATCTGTTTGTTTAAAAATGGGTGGCTGCTTCACCCCCCACTTTGTTGGTCAGGCTTTCACCATGTGAAGTGACCCCTCACACTTCGCCTTCCACCATGAGTCAAAGCTCCCTGAGGCCTCCCCAGAAGCAGATGCAGCCATGCTTCCCGTACAGCCTGCAGAACCAATTCAACGTCTTGGCTTTATAAATTCCCCAGTCTCAGGTATTTCTTCATAGCAGTGCAAGAATGGCCGAATATGGCTGGGCTCAAGTGGGACTTGTCAACTAGAGCACCCACCCATGGATTTCCTAGCATGTGGTCTCAGTAGTCAACTTTTTTTTTTTTTCCTGCTTGCTGGGAGGAGGAGGAGGGAGAAGCGACGGGCTTCATTAGGAACGGTGAGTTTGCGACTCTGCCGCTAAGTGGCAGCTCCAGCTCACCCCCCCAGCTCCCTCCCACAGGCCACGGCTGGGCATGGAGAACTGGTGACTTCAGAGGCCCGGAGAGAAAAGACGGGGGAGAGCGAGGGGCCGCCGTGCCTGAGGTCTGGGGGTGACAGCAGAGGATGGCCAAGGAGTGCAGGGCCAGGTTGCCCTGCCCTGTCTAAGAGAGTCTTACCGAATATAGAGGTTGAATTGTGCTCCCCAAGAGACATGTTGAAGTATGTTTTTTTTGAGATGAAGTCTCACACTGTCTCCCGGGCTGGTGTGCAGTGGGCGATCTTGGCTTGCTGCAGCCTCCACCTCCCGGGTTCAAGTGATTCTCCTGCCTCAGCCTCCCGAGTAGCTGGGACTACAGGCGTGCGCCACCACGCCTGGCTAATTTTTGTATTTTTTTTTTTTTTTTTGAGATGGAGTCTTGCTCTGTTGCCCAGGCTGAAGTGCAGTGGCGCGATCTCGGCTCACTGAGAGCTCCGCCTCCCGGGTTCACGCAATTCTCCTGCCTCAGCCTCCTGAGTAGCTGGGACTACAGGCGCCCACCACCACGCCTGGCTAATTTTTTGTATTTTTAGTAGAGACGGGGTTTCACCATGTTAGCCAGGATGATCTCGATCTCCTGACCTCGTGATCCACCTGCCTTGGCCTCCCAAAGTGCTGGAATTACAGGCGTGAGCCACCGCGCCCGGCCTAATTTTTGTATTTTTAGTAGAGACGGGGGTTTCACGTGTTAGCCAGGATGGTCTCGATCTCCTGACCTCGTGATCTGCCCGCCTCAGCCTCCCAAAGTGCTAGGATTACAGGCGTGAGCCACCGCGCCCAGCCATGTTCAAGTATTAACCTCTCCCTTCCCCCACCACTCTTCCATTCCTGTGAATGTGACCTGAATATGGAAACAGGGTCTTTGCAAATGTAATCAGGTCCTTTCAACTCAAGATAAAATCATCTTGGATTTAGGGTGGGCTCTTTGTCCAATGGCTGGTGTCCTTATAAGATGCCTAGGAGACACACACAGGAAAGAGGGCCATAGGAAGATGGAGGCAGAGATGGCAGTGGTGAGGCTATAAGCCAAGGGATGCCTGTGGCCACTGGACGCCGGAGGAAGTGAGGGAGGATTCTTCCCTAGAACCTTCAGAGGGAGCACAGCCCTGCCGACACCTTGGTGTTGGACTTCTCACCTCCAGAAATCAATTTCTGTTGTCTTAAGCCACCCAGTTTATATTATTTTGTTACAGCAGCCTGGGAAAAGGAATACACTGAATAAGAACCCAAGTGAGCTTATTAGAAAGAATATTGAGGCCTGGCGCAGTGGCTCACACTTGTAATCTCAGCACTTTGGGAGGCTGAGGTGGGTGGATCGTTTCAGTCCAGGAGTTTGAGACCAGACTGGGCAACATGATGAAACCCCGTCTCTACCAAAAATACAAAAATTGGCTGAGTGTGGTGATGCACACCTGTAATCCCAGCTACTTGGGAGGCTGAGGCAAGAGAATCCCTTGAACCCGGGAGGTGGAGGTGGCAGTGGGCCGAGATTAAGCCATTGCACTCCAGCCTGGGTGACAGAACAAGACTCTGTCTCAAAAAAGGAAAGAATGTTAAACCTCCTCAAGAGGAGGTAAGCGATTTTAAACACTCTGAAGCCACGCAGGGGTAACCCTTTTACAAGCCAAGAGGAGGAGAAGGAAAAATTGAAGTCACTTTTTTTTTTTTTTGAGATGGAGTCTCACTCTGTCACCCAGGCTGGAGTGCAATGGTGTGATCTCGGCTCACTGCAAGCTCCGCCTCCCGGGTTCACACCATTCTCCTGCCTCAGCCTCCTGAGTAGCTGGGACTACAGGCACCCGCCACCACGCCCGGCTACTTTTTGTATTTTTAGTAGAGACAGGGTTTCACCATGTTGGCCATGATGGTCTCGATCTCTTGACCTTGTGATCCGCCCGCCTCGGCCTCCCAAAGTGCTGGTATTACAGGCATAAGCCACTGTGCCCAGCCTCAATTTTTCTTTTTTAATGGTTAAAAAATACTTTCAAATGTCCACACAGTAAAATTCACTTCTTTTGGTATATAGTTCAAATGCATAGAGTCCTATCACCATGACCACAGTCAAGATAGGGAACATCCCGTCACTCCCAGAACTCCCGTGCTGCCGCTGGCAACCACTGCTCTGTTCTCCCGTTGCTTTTCCAGCGAGTCCTGAAAGTGGAATCGTGCGAGTCCAGGTTCTTTCACTGAGCATCGTGATTTGAGGTTCACCCACATTGTTGTATGGTTCCTTTTCATTGCTGAGAAATGTTCCACTGTCTGGATGGAGTGTGGTCTATTTATCTATTCACCAAGTAAAGGATGTGGGCGATTTCCAGGTTTCGACGATTATGAATAAGCTGCTGTAACATTCACGCACAGGTGTTTGTATGAATGGAAGTTTTCACTTCTCTTGGGTGAATACCTGGGAGTGGGGTTTCTGGGTCCCGATCGGGTTTCTAGTGGTCTGTAAGTCAGACTTGCTAAGAGTTTTCGTTGGGGAGACGCACACAGGTAAGGTCAGCTCTCAGGGTCCTTTCTGCAATGCGGGGATGTCGAGGTCACCTGACAGAGGGGCAAATGCCAGCTGGTCGCCCAACCTGCTCTTGTCCGTTCCTTTTCCCTCAGAAGCTAATAGAGGAAAGTAAACCTGTTGTTTCACTCTCATTTCCTTTTATTTTCATTAATATTAGGAAATGCCAAGATTAGTGAAAGAATGAAAAGATGAGTCAAGGCCAGGCATGGTGGCTCACACCCGTAATCCCAGCATTTTGGGAGGCCGAGGCGGGCAGATCACGAGGTCGAGAGATCGAGACCATCCTGGCCAACATGGTGAAACCCTGTCTCTACTAAAAATATAAAAA
Source organism: Homo sapiens (assembly GCF_000001405.40). Lineage (NCBI taxonomy): Eukaryota > Metazoa > Chordata > Mammalia > Primates > Hominidae > Homo > Homo sapiens. The sequence continues at coordinate 42,526,061 of NC_000022.11, forward strand.
GTAGCTAGGCGTGGTGGCGCGCACCTATAATCCTAGCTACTCAAGAGTCTGGGGCAGGAGAATCTCTTGAACTCAGGAGGCGGAGGTTACAGTGGCCTGAGATCACGCCACCATACTCCAGCCTGGGCAACAGAGCGAGACTCTGTCTCACACAGACACACACACACACACACACACACACACAAAAGATGAATCAAAACAGCCTAGAAAAGGCTTCAGTGATCCTCAGACTGGATGATCGAATCCCGAATAATGGGGAATCAACAGTAATGGCCTAGTAACACTTTTAAAAAGTCTTCTTTCTTTTTTTAAGAGATGGGGTCTCACTGTGTTGCCCAGGCTAGTCTCAAACTTCCAGGCTCAACCAATCCTCCTACCTTGGCTTCCTAAAGTGCTAATATTACAGGTTTGAGCCACTCAGCCCAGCCCCAAATCCTTATTATATCCTATTTGTTTGCTTTGCATGGAAGTTTATACTTACTTCCATCCCACCCTTAACATAACTGCAGAGGGAATTTCTTTTTTTTTTTTTTGAGACAAGATTTTGTTCTGTCAGCCAGGCTGGGGTGCAGTGGTGCGATCTTGGCTCACTGCAAGATCCGCCTCCCAGGTTCATGCCATTCTCCTGCCTCAGCCTCCTGAGTAGCTGGGACTACAGGCCCCCACCATCACCCCCGGCTAATTTATTTTTGTATTTTTAGTAGCGACGGGTTTTCACCATGTTAGCCAAGATGGTCTCGATCTCCTGACCTCGTGATCCACCCGCCTCAGCCTCCCAAAGTGCTGGGATTACAGGCGTGAGCCACCGCGCCCGGCCCAGCAGAGGGAATTTCTAAAGGCAAAGACTCTGCTCCTGAATTAGGAGAAGGCGTGGCAGCTTCACCTCTTACTGCCTGGGGTCAGGCAGTTCTCTGCAGAGCCATTCTCAAGGAGGTGTCTTAGCTTGACTTGCCCCAAAATAGATGAGGAGCCCCATCTGCCCCATCTAATTACCCTGAGCCCTACTTCTGCCTAAATGCAGCCCTGGCTGAGCTCAGGCTGAGAAGTCCCAGGATCTACAGTCAGCAAGCAAAAGAAAACCAGGAGAGCCGACAGTGTCATTGCAGTCCAAGTCCAAGTTCAAAGGCAGGAGAAGACCAGTATCCCAGCTCAGCTCACAGTCAGGCAGATGGAGTGAATTCTATCTTACTTTTTCTTTTTCTTTTCTTTTCTTTTTTTTTGAGAAGGAGTCTTGCTCTTTCACCCAGGAATATGCTTTAGGCAATGCATAGTATTTCACTGGAGCTTGAATCTTCCTGAGTGCTTTAACTGGTATTTGTCTGTAGTGACTTACCAAAAGCAAGCTTGTAGATGGTCCTAGAATTTAAAACTAAGAAGCCAATCTCCAGGCCATCTGCTGAGGGTGATTAGGATACTGAGGAGGTCCGAGGAGCTAAGTGATGGCACCCAGAGTATACCGCTGGAGTGCAGTGGTGCAATATGGGCTCACTGCAACCTCCGCCTCCCGGGTTCAAGCAATTCTCCCTGCCTCAGCCTCCTGAGTAGCTGGAATTACAGATGCCTGCCACCATGCCCGGCTAATTTTTGTATTTTTAGTAGAGACGTGGTTTCACCATGTTGGCCAGGCTGGTCTTGAACTCCTGACCTCAGGTGATCCACCCGCCTTGGCCTCCCAAAGTGCTGGGATTACAGGAGTGAGCCACCACACCGGGCCTTTTTTTTTTTTTTTTAAGAGACAGACTTTTGCCCTGTAGTCCAGGCTAGAGTGCAGTGGTGTGAACGTGGCTCACTGTAGCCTCGATATCCCAGGCTCAAATGATCCTCTTGCCTCAGCCTCCTGAGTAGCTGGGACTACAAGTGTGCCACGTCTCAATTTTTTTTTTTTTTATGTTTTTGTAGAGATGAGGTCTCGCCACGTTGCCCAGGCTGGTCTGCAACTCCTGGGTTCAAGCGATCCTCCTGCCTCAGCCTCCTGCGTGGTCGGGACTACTGGCATGCGTCACCACACTCTGTCTTTTGTTCCCATCAGGCTTTCAATGGATTGGACAAGGCGCATCCACACTGGGGAGGGCCATCTGTTTTACTCAGTCTACTGATGCAAATGCTTATCTCTTCTGGAAACACCTTCACAGACAGACCCAGAATCATGTTGAACCAAATACTGGGCACCTCATGGCTCCAACAGGTTGACACAAAAAATGAACCATTGCAGAAAACGAAGAACAGTCACCAACTCCCACCCATGCAGCTGGCTCATTTGCTGGGCTGCCCTCCCCAGCAGGTGGCACAGGAATCCCTGCCTTGGCAGGGAGGAGGCCTGGGGTGTGTGCAGGTGCCCATGGGAAGTTTCTTTGCCATGAGGAAAGCCAGAGTGACCCCTTGCTGATCCTGCAAGGGAAGAAGCAGGAGTTTCCTGACACTAACCCCAGAGGCAGAGCCCACATCCACATTCGGCTCAGCAGGCACTGTGCCTGAGGGGCACTGTGGGCCCACAAAAACGTCTTAATTTCTATTAAAACCAGAAAAAAACATGTAACTGATTTATAAGCAGCCCAGCCTGGTTATTTTCATCTTTTTAGCCATGCAGGCATAATATACAATTTTTACTTTTTTTTTTTTTTTTTTTTAGTGGACGAAGGCCCCATGACAGTCATAATGTCCAGGGCTCCCTCCAGCCAGCCGTGTCTGCACGGCTGGGCACCACTTCCTCCGGCCTGGCTGCTGGCACTGTTTCTGGGGCATGCTGCAGGACTCCAGGCCAGGGTGGGGAGGAGGGTAGCACCAGCCAGGGACCGGCTCCCGTCAGCTGAAACTCTGTATCTGGTCTGGTCTGCTCCAAGGGTAGACACAAATTTTGCAGCATTGTTCTCATCTGTGCCCCGCTGCCACCTTCTTGAGTGGGGGCTGCTTTTCCTCCTAGTCCTGGTGCTTTCAGGCCTGGAGATGGGGGTCTGTGTCATCCATGCGAAGGAGTTTCTCTGACCTTCTCTTGCCCTCCTGTCTGTGGCCCCTCATTCTGCCCTGAGGCTGGCCATAGAAACTAGAATCTCTCTTCCTCAGGGTGAGTCATAGAAACCAGAACCCCTTTCCCCCAAACCAGCCATACAACCTAAAATATGACTCTAACTTCCCCTCTGCCCTATCTGTGCAAAAACTGGCCATAAAGAAATTCTCTGGCCTACTTTGTTTGACTGTAGACCATAAGACCCCCATTCCAGGCCAGGCGCCGTGGCTCACGCCTGTAATCCCAACACTTTGGGAGGCTTAGGTGGGTAGACCTGAGGTCAGGAGTTCAAGACCAGCCAGGCCAACATGATGAAACCCCATCTCTACTAAAACCACAAAAATTAGCCAGGCGTGGTGGCATGCACCTGTAATCCCAGCTACTCAGGAGGCTGAGGCAGGAGAATCGCTTGAACCCGGGAGGCGGAGGTTGCAATGAGCCGAGATCACGCCACTGCACTCCAGTCTGGGCCACAGAGCAAGACTGTCTCAAAAAATAATAAGACCCGCATTCCAGAGACTGTCCTCCCCACACTCAGAAGGAAGGAACTCAGCTCAGAGAGGCCAGGAGGAATCTAGCCAGACAGGCCCTGCTGGGTTCCCCACTCCATCTGCTAGCATTAGATCAGATCATTTTTGTCCAATCCTATGTCTCCACAGCTGCCCATACTGTGTTGAACCTCAGCATGAAAATGGACAATTTCCCCTGTATCTTTGGGTCTTCATTCCGAAGTCTCCTGTGACAGGTAAAACTATAATCAAATAAATGCGCATCCCTTTCTCCTATTCATCTGCCTTTTGAGAGTTGATTTTCCGTGAACCTTCAGAGGGCGAAGGGGAAGTTTTCCCTTCACCCCTACATGGTAAACCTGAGTAAGTGTTCCCCTGAGTTCTGAGCCTCTCTAGCAAGTGAATTGAACCCAAAGAGAGGGCTGTGGGAACCCCAATTTACGGCTGGTTGGTCAGAAGCAAACACAAAATAGGCTAGGCACGGTGGCTCACTCCTGTAATCCCAGCACTTTGGGAGGCTGAGGTGGATGGATCCCTTGAGGTCAGGAGTTCAAGACCAGCCTGGCCAACATGGTGAAACACCATCTCTACTAAAAATACAAAAATTGGTGGGGCATGGTGGTGCATGTCTGTAGTCCCAGCTACTGGAGAGGCTGAGGCAGAAGATTCGCTTGAACCTGGGAGGTGGAGGCTGCAGTGAGCCAAGATCACACCATTGCACTCCAGCCTGGGCAACACAGTGAGACCCTGGAAGAAGAAAGAAGAAGAAGAAGAGGAAGGAGGAGGAGGAGGAGGAGGAGGAGAAGGAGAAGGAGAAGGAGGAGAAGGAGAAGAAGGAGAAGGAGAGACTCAAAATAACCTGGGCTTGGGATCAGTTTTGGGAGTGTGGCTCAGGTCTTGTGGGACGAAGTCCTCAACCTGCGGGACCTGAGGACATCTCCAGGTAGACAGTGTTGGGACTGAGTGGAAGCAGAGGACACCCGACTGGTGTCTACTACAGAATTGACTCTGCAGGAAGTCCGTGCAGGAGTCTCCCCCGCCTGCAGAGACTGCACTTGGATGGTGCCCGTGCCCCTGGTGGAAGAAGGAGGAGGAATGAGGAGGAAAGGAGACCCTTGGGTGACCATGGCCAAGGGTGTGAGGGGCAGGTGTGTCCCCCAGCTCACTCTGGAGACTTTTTCCTGGGCTTTCTACCACAGCTAAAGTAAAATGACCATGAACTGGGTGGCTTAAAACAACAGACTTTATTCTCTCACAGTTCCAGAGGCCAGAAGTCTAAAATGAAGGTGTCACATCAAGAAAGGGATCCTTCCTCACCTCTTCTAGCTTCTGGTGGTTCTTGGCTGTTATGAATCGAGTATATGTGTCCCCCCAAAATTCATCTGTTGAAACCCTAACCCCCAGTTAGGTATGGTATTAGGAGGTGAGATCTTTGGGAGGTAACTAGGGTTAGATGAGGTCATGGGGATAGGGCCCCCTGATGCCATGATGGGATGAGTGCCCTTATAAGAAGAGATGGGGGACGCCAGGTGCGGTGGCTCATGTCTGTAATCCCAGCACTTTGAGAGGCTGAGGTGTGAGTGGAGGACTGTCCAGGTGCTGAGGCAAGAGACTGAAAGCACAAACTGTTTCAGTATGATAAAAAAAAAACAGAATAAGAATAATTATGATACAAATTAGATACAGAGATGATCATGGACGTTATCAATCATCAGTATAAACATTATTAATCATTAGCTTTTAATGTTACTCTTTGTAGTATTACTAATATAACCAAGGAATAACTGGCGGATATAGGGTCAGGTGCTGAAGGGACATTGTGAGAAGTGACCAAGAAGGCAAGAGGTGAGCCCTCTGTCACGCCCGCATAAGGGCCGCTTGAGGGCTCCTTGGTCAAGCGGTAACACCAGTGCCTGGGAAGGCACTCGTTCCTCAGCAGACCGTGAAAGGGAGTCTCCCTTTCCTTGGAGGAGTCAGGGAACACTCTGCTCCACCACCTTCTTGTGGGAGGTTGGATATCGTCCAGGCCTGCCCGCAGTCATCCGGAGGCCTAAACCCCTCCCTGTGGTGCTGTCCTTCAATGCTCACGCTCCTTGTCCACTTGCATGCTCCTCCCGTACTCCTGGTTCCTCTTGGAAGTTCTTAGAAGATAGCGGTAGAAGAAATAGTGAAAGTCTTAAAGTCTTTGATCTTTTTGATAAGTGCATAGAAGAAAACGCCGACGTATGCTGCCTTCCCTCTCTGCTTCAGCTACCTATAAGGGAAAGGCTCACTGTCCTATGATCACGTGACTTGCTCGACCTTATCAATCACTTGGACGACTCACCCTCCTTACCCTGCTCCCCTTGTCTTGTATGCAATAAATAACAGTGCGCCCAGCCATTTGGGGTCACTACCGGTCTCCGTGTCTTGGTGGTAGTGGTCCCCCCGGGCCCAGCTGTTTTCTCTTTATCTCTTTGTCTTGTGCCTTTATTTCTTACGATCTCTCATCTCCGCACATGGGGAGAACACCCGCCAAGCCCTGTAGGGCTGGACCCTACATCTGGTGGATCACTTGAGGTCAGGGTTCGAGACCAGCCTGGCCAACATGGCGAAACTCCATCTCTACTAAAAATGCAAAAAATGAGCCGGGCATGGTGGGGGGTGCCTGTAATCCTAGCTACTCCGGAGGCTGAGGCAGGAGAATCATTTGAACTCAGGAAGCAGAGGCTGCAGTAAACTGAGATCATGCCACTGCACTCCAGCCTGTGTGGCAGAGTAAGACTCTATCTCCAAAAAAAAAAAAAGAGACAGGGGACATCATCAATCTCTCTGCCTCTCTCTCTTCACCCCCCTCTGCCATGTGAGGTCCAAAGTAAGAAGGCAGCCATCCTTAAAACCAGGAAGAGGCCCTCACCAGATTGAACCGAACCTTCCAGCACCTTGATCTCAAACTTCCCAGTACCTTGATCTCAAACTTCCCAGTCTCCAGAACTAGGAGAAACAAATATCTGTTGTTTGAGCCTCCCAGTCTACCACATCTTCTTTAGCAGCCACAGCAGACGAAGACACCTGCAATCGCTGCCATTGCCGGGCTTGTGGGAGCATCGCTCTGACCTCTGCTTCCGTCTTCACATGGCTATTGTCCCTCTGGGGCAGTCTCTGTGTCCACCTGTTCCTCTTCTAAGGATGCCAGTCATTGGATGAGGGTGTGTGTGGGCGGCAAGCCACCCAGGTGCCGAGGCAAGAGACTGAGGGCACGAGCTGTTCTAGTGTAATAAAATATATAAAATAATAAGAGTTATACTAGATATAGATCATAGATATGATTATATGTGAATATCATTAATCATTGGTTTGTAGCAATTACTCTTTATTCCAATATTATAATAATCCTTGCTCTACAATTATAACCTGGGAAAAACCAGACCGTACAGAGATAGGAACTGAAGGGGCACTGTGAGAAGTGACCAGAAGACAAGAGTGTGAGCCCTCTGTCACGCCCGGACAGGGCCACCAGAGGGCTCCTTCATCTAGCGGTAATGCCAGCGTCTGGGAAGACGCCCGTTGCCAAGCGGACCGTGGTCTAGTGGTAGCATCAGTGCCAAGGAGAAACACCTGCTACTTAGCAGACCGGGAAAGGGAGTCTCCCTTTCCCCGGGGTAGTTTAGAGAAGACTCTGCTCCACACCTCTTGTGGAGGGCCTAACTGATCGCCCACAGTTATCCGGAGGCCTAACCGTCTCCCTGTGATGCTGTGCTTCAGCGGTCACACTCCTGTTTCACTTTCATGTTCCACTCTGTACACCTGGCTCTGCCCTCTAGATAGCAGTAGCAAATTAGTGAAAGTATTAAAGTCTTTGATCTTTCTGAAAAGAGCATAGAAGAAATAATGACGTAAGCTGTCCTCTCTCTCTCCGCCTCGACTACCTAACAGGGAAGGGCCCCCTGTCTGGTGGACACATGACTCACGTGACCTTGTCAATCATTGGAGATGACTCACACTCTTTACCCTGCCCCTTTTGCTTTGTATCCAATAAATAACAGTGCAGCCAGGCATTTGGGGCCACTACCGATCTCCCCGTCTTGGTGGTAGTGGTCCCCTGGGCCCAGCTGTCTTTTCGTTTATCTCTTTGTCTTGTGTCTTTATTTCTACCATCTCTCGTCTCCTCACATGGGGAGAAAAACCCACAGACCCTGTAAGGCTGGCCCCTACAGGTGTGACCTCATCTGAACTTGATTACAACTGCAAAGACCCTATTTCCAAATAAGGTCACATTCATGGGTACCAGGTAGCCATGAATTTCTTGGGGGCGCTTTCCAACTCAGAGCACCTGCCGTTCCCTAGGCCTCCTCCCTGGCCCAGCCTCCCCCACCTACCCTCATCCGCTCTCTTTGAGCTCCGCGAACCCGGAGCCACCTTCCTAGACCCGCTTTGCTTGATCATGATTCTGCATGTGAGCTGCCCTCCTCCCCATCACCTGCCAGCTCTCCCCCAGCCTGTGATGGCAACTGGACCCATTTTTACCCATACACAGTTTCAAAGCAGACTGAATGCAGTTAAAATTCTCCAGATACTTCCTTTCAGGTCCACATCCCTCTGTAAGTGTTCATCTTAGAAACCCTGGGTAGAGTCTGAGTTTTGTTTTGTTTTATTTTGTTTTGTTGGTTTGTCTTTTTTTCTTTTCTTTTTTTTTTTTTTTTTACATAGAGTCTCAGGCTCAAGTGCAGTGGTGTGATCATGGCTCACTATAGCCCTGACCTCCTTGGCTCAAGTGATCCTCCTGTCTCAGCCTCCTAAATAGCTGGGGTTACAGGCACCTGCCACCATGCCCGGCTAATTATTATTATTATTATTTTTTGTAGAGACAGCGTTTCACCATGTTGGCCAGGCTGGTCTCAAACTCCTAGGCTCAAGAGATCCACCTCCTCAGAATCCCAAAGTGCTGGGATTACAGGCATGAGCCACCATGCCTGGCCTTGATCTTTATACCAGCTAATTGGCATACACACAAGCTCATGCTATGAAATGGTATTTCACACTGTGTGCTGCTTTGCCTTGGGCTCCCTAAAACTTCATCACCCCCCAGCGGACTCTCACTGCTGTGGCCTGTGGCCCTACTCAAGGAGCTCAAGGAGGCCACTAGCCATTTGGAGAAGGAGGTAGTTGGGGCCCTGAAAGTTTACAGGACTTCCTCAAGGCCACAGCAGGTGTGTGAGAAAAGGAAGATGGCCAGCCTGCCTCCACTTCTCTTTCCAATCTCCCACTTTGCCTGAGCTAAGCTCAAGCTCAGGGCCACCCACGTCTTGGAAGGGCTTCCTACCAGCTGGTCTTGTGAGATGAGAGCTGCCCTGCATATCATGCTTGTCATCGCCAAGGACCCCAAGCTCCAGTTAGCTCAAGTCCTAGAGAATGTGCCAGCTACATAGAGCTATGCAGAGCATGGCCCTGGGGATGCGGGATGTTATTGCCCTTGGGTTGGGAAGGAGAGATGAGAGGGAGAATTGGCTGGATCTTAAAATTGTGTTGCACCCCTTCAAACACTCTACCATCTTTGCCTCTGTAGTTCAATATTAGTCTGTTCCTATCTTCTAAACTTGCAAATGAACTTGCATGGCAATAAATCTCTGCACACTCAAAGCCATGATTTCCTCAGCAGGTGGATGCAGAATGCTCGGAGACCTATAATAATCAGCCTTTGGCAACAAGCACTTTTTCTTCTGACTCATTATTGCCGCGTTTTAAGAGGAGAAGGGAGCAACTGCTCTCACGGGGCTACAGAGACACGGAAACACGCTGGGGAGGCTGCTCTGTCACCAGGAAAGACAATGGAATCCATTTAAAATGTCTTATTTTCCCTTGCTCTGCCAAGCAAAAGCATCAGAACCCTTTGGGGAATTCACTTTACAAGGAAACAAAATGAGGCCCCGCATCTGCAGCCTGGCCCTCCCCGCCACCTGCACCCCTTCCTCTGAGGTCCCCGGCTCTGCAGGGGCCGAGCGGGCGGCACCCGCTCCTGGTGGTGGCATTGTTGGGACCCGCTCACAAAACACAGTTGTTCTCTGCAATGGCTCATTTCCCTTTCTGAGACTTTTTGTTTGTTTGTTTGTTTTGAGACAGAGTCTTGCTCTATTGCCCAGGCTGGAGTGCAATGGCACAATCTGGGCTCATTGCAACCTCCGCCTCCCGGGTTCAAGCAATTCTCATGCCTCAGCCCCCCGAGTAGCTGGGATTACAGTTGTGCATCACCATGTTGGGTAATTTATGTATTTTTAGTAGAGACAGGGTTTCACTATGTTGGCCAGGCTGGTCTCGAACTCCTGCCCTCAAGCGATATGCATGCCTCAGCCTCCCAAAGTGCTGGGATTACAGGCAGGAGAATCACTGGAACCTGGGAGGCGGAGGTTGCAGTGGGCCGGGATCATGCCACTGCACTCCAGCCTGTGTGACAGAGGGAGACTCTCTCTCTCAAAAAAAAAAATTTCCTCTTCCTCCAAGGTTTAAAAATCATATAAATGTACCTTCCTCTCAATTATGCTGTGAACTTAAAACTGTTTCCCCAAAATAGTCTTTTAAAAAAAATCAAGAATACAATAGGCATGGTCTAGAAGAAAAATGTACAGGTTGCAGGCAGGAGACACCAAGCAAATCATTTCATATCTGGAGGCCTTCATTTATTGCTCCACAAGGTTAAGAGTTCAACTCACACCGGGGTCTATGAGCTAACCTTTCACCAGGGCATTCTGTTCAAACCTTGGGCCTCACTTCGTAAAAGTCCAGGAAATTACTCTCCCTTTCTGTTTGCACTCGGCCTCATGCCATGGGCCTCCTGGGCAGGTGCACTGCTGCTCCACCGGTGCTCAACACATTTTTGCTAAAGGAATGGATGACCCCAGAAAACACATACAAGCTGGGCACAATGGCATGTGTCTGTAATCCCAGCTACTTGGGAGGCTGGGGTGGGGGATCGCTCAACGCCAGGAGTTGAGGCTGCAGTGGGCTGGGATCGCACCTATGAATAGCCCCTGCCCTCCAACCTGGGCAATGCAGCAAGACCCTGTCTCTAAAAATTAAAAAAAGACAAAATAATAACAATAAACATACGAATAACTATGGCCGGGCACGGTGAAACCCCGTCTCTACTACAAATACCAAAAATTAGCCACGTGTGGTGGCGGCTGCCTGTAGTCCCAGCTACTCTGGAGGCTGAAGCAGGAGAATGGCGTGAACCCAGGAGGCAGAACTGGAGTGAGCCGAGATGGCGCCACTGCACTCTAGCCTGGGCGACAGAGCAAGACTCCCATCCCAGCACTTTGGCAGGCCGAGGCGGGCAGATCACCAGCTCAGAAGATCGAGACCATCCTGGTTAACACGGTAAAACCCCGTCTCTACTAAAAAAAACAAAAAATTAGCTGTGCATGGTGGCGGGCGCCTGTAGTCCCAGCTACTCCGGAGGCTGAGGCAGGAGAATGGCATGAACCCGGGAGGCGGAGCTTGTAGTGAGCCGAGATCGCACCACTGCACTCCAGCCTGGCCAACAGAGCAAGACTCTGTCTCAAAAAAATAAAACAAACAAACAAAAAAAAAGAAATTGTACCAGCTTCTGAGAATCATCAAAGGTAGCAGAGGAGGGCCAAGTCAAAGCCACAGAGTGTAGAAGCCTCAAGATGAAGTTCAAAGCCATACAGTCCTAAGGAATGCTAGGAGTCGGTAACACAGCAAGTTAATATCTTTGGGTAGACACGTGCAGCTACAGCTGTGGAATAAATTTCCTCCTGAGAGTGAAACTCTACAGTGCACACCACCTACAGTGCATTGAAGCAGACATTATGCAAACACTTCAAGAGAAAGGACACTTGGTCTCGGACCAGCGAAGCCCGTGGGCCCTCGGTGTGATAGTCTCAATGTATCTGTAAGAAGAGTAGGTCAGTGGCTGGTCAGCATCAGATAAAACAGTCAACAAAGCCAGCTCTGGCTGTGCCCATAGCTCACGGCAACTCACTTCCTCCAGCTGCTCAGGCCAACACCCGTGCGTCATCCCTGACTCCTCCCACTCTCACAACACCCAGCAGCAAATCCTGTTGGCTCCACTTCAAAATGGATTCTGGGCCCAGTGCTGTGGTTCACCCCTATAATCTCAGTACTTTGAGGGGCCGAGGAGGGTGGATCACTTGAGGTCAGGAGTTTGAAACCAGCCCGGCCAACATGATGAAACCCCGTCTCTACTAAAAATACAAAAACTTAGCCGGGTGTGATGGTGGGCGCCTGTAATCCCAGCTACTCGGGAGGCTGAGGTAGGAGAATGGCTTGAACCCAGGAGGCGGAGGTTGCAGTGAGCTGAGATCGTGCCATTGCACTCCACCCTGGGCAACATGAGTGAAACTCTGATTCAATAAATAAATAACCACATCGTTTCTATTTGATGTTCTCTCTGGATGTGTATAATGAAATTTCCCTTTTTCCTAAGGACACCTGTCATATTGGAATATGGCCTAGCCTGATATCTTGATTTTAACTTGTTCACCTCTGAGAAGAACCTATCTCCAAATAAGATGACATTCTGAGGTAGTAGGAGTTGGAACTTCAACATGTGAATTTGGTGGGGAGAACGAGTCATGATTCAATCCATTACAGTCCTACCGAATTGTGAGCTAACAATGGGTGTTATTTGAAGCTACTGAATTTGGTGTAATGGTGTGTGCCTGTAGTCCCAGCTACTCAGGAGGCTGAGGCAAGAGGATGGCTTGAGCCCAGGAGTTCAAGGCTGCAGTGAGCCATGACTGCTCCACGGCACCCTAGCCTGGGTGATCTTGTCTCAAAAACAAAACAAAACAAACCACCACCACCACCCACAACAAAAAACAGCTGGGCGCCGTGGCTCACGCCTGTAATCCCAGCAATTTGGACACCAAGGTGGACAGATCACGAGGTCAGGAGTTCAAGACCAGCCTGGACAACATGGTGAAACCCCGTCTCTACTAAAAAATACAAAAGGCCAGGCGCAGTGGCTCATGTCTGTAATCCCAGCACTTTGGGATGCCAAGGCGGGCGGATCATGAGGTCAGGAGATCAAGACCATCCTGGCTAACATGGTGAAACCCCGTCTCTACTAAAAATACAAAAAATTAGCCAGGCATGGTGGTGGGTGCCTGTAATCCCAGCTACCTAGGAGGCTGAGGCAGGAGAATCACTTGAAAACTGGAAGGCGGAGGTTGCAGTGGACCGAGATTGCACTGCTGCACTCCAGCCTGGGCAACAAGAGTGAAACTCTGTCTCAAAAAAAAAAAAAAGGGCCAGGCGCGGTGGCTCATGCCCCTAATCCCAGCACTTTGGGAGACCAAGGCGGGCGGATCATCTAAGGTCAGGAGTTCGAGATTAGCCTGGCTAACATGGTGAAATCCCGTTTCTACTAAATATACAAAATTAGCTGGATGTGGTGGCACATGCCTGTCATCTCAGCTACTCGGGAGGCTGAGGCAGGAGAATCGCTTGAACCCAGGAGGCAGAGGTTGCAGCGAGCCAAGATCACACGCCGTTGTACTCTAGCCTGGGCAACAGAGCAAGACTCCGTCTCAACAACAACAACAACAACAAAAAAGAATTGTACCAGCCCCTAAGAATCACCACAGGTAGCAGAGGAGGGCCAAGTCAAAGCCACAGAGTGTAGAAGCCTCAGATGAAGTTCAAAGCCATACAGTCCTAAGGAATGCTAGGAGTCGGTAACACAGCAAGTTAATATCTTTGGGTAGACACGTGCAGCTACCGTTGTGGAATAAATTTCCTCCTGAGAGTGAAACTCTACAGTGCACACCACCTACAGTGCATTGAAGCAGACATTATGCAAACACTTCAAGAGAAAGGACACTTGGTCTCGGACCAGCGAAGCCCGTGGGCCCTCGGTGTGATAGTCTCAATGTATCTGTAGGAAGAGTAGGTCAGTGGCTGGTCAGCATCAGATAAAACAGTCAACAAAGCCAGCTCTGGCTGTGCCCATAGCTCACGGCAACTCACTTCCTCCAGCTGCTCAGGCCAACACCCGTGCGTCATCCCTGACTCCTCCCACTCTCACAACACCCAGCAGCAAATCCTGTTGGCTCCACTTCAAAATGGATTCTGGGCCCAGCACTGTGGTTCACCCCTGTAATCCCAGTACTCTGAGGGGCCGAGGAGGGTGGATCACTTGAGGTCAGGAGTTTGAAGCAAGCCTGGCCAACATGATGAAACCCTGTCTCTACTAAAAATACAAAAACTTAACCGGGTGTGGTGGTGGGTGCCTGTAATCCCAGCTACTCTGGAGGCTGAGGTAGGAGAATGGCTTGAACCCAGGAGGCGGAGGTTGCAGTGAGCTGAGATCGTGCCACTGCACTCCAGCCTGGGCAACAAGAGCGAAACTCTGGCTCAAAAAAAAAAAAAAAAAGGGCCAGGAGCAGTGGCTCCTGCCCCTAATCCCAGCACTTTGGGAGACCAAGGCGGGCTGATCACCTAAGGTCAGGAGTTCGAGATCAGCCTGGCTAACACGGTGAAACCCCGTCTCTACTAAATATACAAAATTAGCTGGATGTGGTGGCGCATGCCTGTCATCCCAGCTACTCGGGAGGCTGAGGCAGGAGAATCACTTGAACCCGGGGGCAGAGGTTGCAGTGAGCCAGGATCGCGCCACTGCACTCCAGCCTGGCAACAGAGTGAGGCTCCATCTCAAAAAAAAAAAAAAAAAAAAAAGCTGCTAAATTTGTAGTAATTTGTTGCATAGCATAGAAAATTAATATAGCCTCCCTAAATATTATAGTTAGTACTGCCTGCTTTTAAGAGTCTCTTTCAATCTATAGATTCCCCCTGCATCTCTTTATTCTCTCAATTTTTTATTGAAAAATTTGGGATGGTTAATTTGTATCACTTCCCATAGTCTGGATTTTGCTGGTTACATTCTTGTGGTATAGGTTAACAGGTTTCTTTTTTCTTCCTATAAATTGATCATTGCATCTAGAGTGCTAATCAGATTAAGCTTTTTATGTTTTTGTTAAGACTCTTTCAAAGTACACAGCTACAAGGTGTTTGTGTGTGTGTGTGTGTATGTGAATTTGTGTATTTTTTTTAAGATAAGATGCCTCATGAAACATACTGATACTTCTGATTCAAATTCAGGAGACAAGATGTTACTCATTCTCTTCTATTTCACATCTGTAACTCCTTTTCCCTACACCAGGAATTCAGTTCTCTGGCCACTGGGGATGATAGAATTTGAATATCACATAATTACTAATTGCTTTGTCCCATGTTCGAAAACATTGTTAGAATAAAAATTTAACATTACCAGTCCATATGATCACTAAAAACAGTTCCAAAAAATTTTATTTTAGTATTATTATTATTATTTTTGAGACGGAGTCTTGCTCTGTCACCCAGGCTGGAGTGCAATGGTGCGATCTTGGTTCCCTGCAACCTCTACCTCCTGGGTTCAAGTGATTCTCCTGCCCCAGCTTCCCAAGTAGCTGGGATTAGAGGTACCAACCACCACGCCCAGCTAATTTTTGTATTTTAGTAGAGATGAAGTTGCGCCATGTTGGCCAGGCTGGTCTCGAACTCCTGACCTCAAGCCATCCATTCGCCTCGGCCTCCCATAGTGCTGAGATTACAGGCCTGAGCCACCATGCCTGGCCAAAAAAAAAAAAAAAAAAAACAACATTTTAAAGATATGCCCACACCATTTTCTCCCCCTGTTTATAGCTAAACTTTGTCTATGTTGTTGGCGAATGTAACCATTACACTCCATACTCTCCCTTTTACTCCTCATCTTCTCTTGGTTCTCCATGTAAATGTATCTTTAATGTTCACACCAGGCTAATGTCAATGTCTTTTTAGTCTCTTTGGTTGTCTGACGCTTATTTTCTCGTAATTCCTCAGGAAAGTCTTTGGGAACAATATTCTCTGGGTTCCTGCACATTGGTGACAATCTGCTATTTTTTTTTCTTTGTAACTCACTCTGTCACCCGGCTGCAGTGCAGTGGCACGACCTGGGCTCACTGCAACCTCCATCCCCTAAGTTCAAGCAATTCTCCTGCCTCAGCCCCCTGAGTAGCTGAAATTACAAGCGTGCGCCACCACGCCCAGCTGTTTTTGTATTTTTAGTAGAGATGTGGTTTAGCCATGTTGGCCAGGCTGGTCTTGAACTCCTGACCTCAAGTGATCCGCCTGCCTTGGCCTCCCAAAGTGCTGGAATTACAGGCATGAGTCACTGCATCTGGCTTGACAACTGCTATTTTTTTTTTTTTTTTTTGAGACAGAGTCTTGCTCTGTCGCCCAGGCTGGAGTGCAGTGGCACCATCTCAGCTCACTGCAAGCTCTGCCTCCCAGGTTCATGGCATTCTCTTGCCTCAGCCTCCCAAGTAGCTGGGACTACAGGCGCCTGCCACCACGTCTGGCTAATTTTTTGTATTTTTAGTAGAGACGGGGTTTCACTGTATTAGCCATGATGGTCTCGATCTCCTGACCTCATGATCTGCCCACCTCAGCCTCCCAAAGTGCTGGGATTACAGGCGTGAGTCACCGCACCCAGCCGACAACTGCTATTTTTATACTTAAAAGTTAGTTTGACCAGGCCGGGTGCGGTGGCTCACGCTTGTAATCCAAGCACTTTGGGAGGCCAAGGCAGGCTGACCACCTGACGTCGAGAGTTCGAGACCAGCCTGACCAACATGGAGAAACCCCGTCTCTACTAAAAATACAAAATTAACCGGGCATGGTGGCATGTGCCTATAATCTTAGCTACTCGGGAAGCTGAGGCAGGAGAATCGCTTGAACCTGGGAGGCAGAGGTTGTGGTGAGCCAAGATCACCCCATTGTACTCCAGCCTGGGTGACAAGAGAGAAACTCCGTCTCAAAATAAATAAATAAATAATAAATAAAAAGTTAGTTTGACCAGATATAAAATCCTGGCTTAGCTGGTGTTTGTCTTGAGTATCCTAAATGTATTATTCCAGTTTTTTCTGACAGAAAGTATTGCTGTGTCTCTATCAGTTCAGGCTGCCATAATGAAAACCGTGGACTGAGCAGATTTTAAAAACCCTAAATTTAATTTCTCACAGTTCTAAAGATAGAAGGTCCAAGATCAAGGTGCCAGCAGGGTCAGGTTCAGGTGAGGACTCTTTCCCTGGCTTGCAGACTGCTGCCTTCTTGCTGTTTCTCCACGTGGGGGAGGTGAGGAGAGACGGAGATCTTCTTCTTCCTATAAAGCCACAGTCCTATTGGATTAGGGCCCCACCATGATGACTTGATTAACCTTAATTACCTCCTAAAGACCGAGTCTCCAGATACAATCACACTGGGGATTGGGGCTTCAACACCTGAATTTGGGGGGGGTGGGGGGTCACACACAATTCAGTCCATAGCCCTATGAAAACCTTGAATGGCCATTTTTCCCCATTATATGCCACTTGATCTAGATAGCAAGATGACTAGATAACTGTATCATTCCAGGTTCTCCAGAGAAACAGAACCAACTGTGTGTGTGTGTGTGTGTGTGTGTGTGTGTGTGTGTGTGTATTATATATATATATAGAAAGAGAGAGACAGAGATTGAGATTTATTTTGAGGAACTGGCTCACAGATTGTGGGGTCTGGCAAGTCTGAAATCTGTAGGCAGGCTGCAGGCTGGACACTCAGGCAGGATCTCTATGTCACAGTCTTGAACAGACTTGAAGCAGAATTTCTTCTTCTCCAAGAACCTGTGCTTTTGTTCTCTCTCTCTCTCTTTTTTTTTTTTTTTTTTGGAGACAGGGTCTCACTCTGTCACCCAGGCTGGAGTGCAATGGTGCAATCATGGCTCAGTGCAAACTCGATCTCCCAGGCTCAAGTGATCCTCTCACCTCAGCTTCCTGAGTAGCTGGGACTGCAGGTGTGCACCACCATGCCAGCTAATTTTTGTATTTTTTTTTAGCGACAGTGTCTCACTATGTTGTCCAGGCTGGTCTTGAACCCCTGGGCTCAAGTGATCCACCCACCTTGGCCTCCCAAAGTGTTGGGATTACAGGTGTGAGCCACTGCACTCGGCCCTGTTCTTAAGGTCTTCACCTCACTGGATGAAGCCCACCATGTTAGGAAGGGCCATCTCTACTTAATGTCTACTGATTGGAAACTTTGATCAAAGCTATCAAATACCTTCACAGTCTTAAAAGAAGAACTTTGGACAAAATAAATGTAACAGTTTATTTGAGCAAAGAACAAATTCATGAATCACGAAGCACCAAACCAAAAGGAAGGTATGGGCTCCACTCCAGCAACACGAGTAGTGAGCTTATTTTTTTATGGTTTATTATTTATTTATTTATTTTATTTATTTTTGAGACGGAGTTTCACTCTTGTCGCCCAGGCTAGAGTGCAATGGTGCAATCTTGGCTCACTGCAACCTCCGCCTCCCAGGTTCAAGCAATTCTCCTGTCTCAGCCTCCCAAGTAGATGGGATTACAGGCATGCGCCACCACGCCTGGTGGATTTTTTGTATTTTTACTAGAGGCAGGGTTTCAACATGTTGGCCAGGCTGGTCTTGAACTCATGACCTCAGGTGATCCACCTGTCTCAGCCTCCCAAAGTGCTGGGATTACAGGCAGAGCTTGCAGTGAGCTGAGATTGCGCCACTGCACTCCAGCCTGGGCAACAAAGCGAGAACTTGTCTCAAAAAAAAAAAAAAGTTCTAAGAAATACAGGGGGGAAACAAAGAAAAAGTAGGGAAAGGACATTACAAATACAGCTGATCCTGGGCCGGGTGCGGTGGCTCACGCCTGTAATCCCAGCACTTTGGGAGGCCAAGGTGGGCGGATCACAAGGTCAGGAGATCGAGACCATCCTGGCTAACACGGTGAAACCCCTTCTCTACTAAAAAAAAAAAAAAAAAAAAAAAATTAGCCAGGCGTGGTGGCGGGCGCCTGTAGTCCCAGCTACGCGGGAGGCTGAGGCAGGAGAATGGCGTGAACCCGGGAGGCGGAGCTTGCAGTGAGCCGAGATCGCGCCACTGCACTCCAGCCTGGAGAACACGGTGAGACTCTGTCTCCAAAAAAAAAAAAAAAAAAAAATACAGCTGATCCTTAAATATATAAAAAGATGATTAAGCCAATTTATAAAAAGAAAAAAAATTCCAAGCACTGTAAGATACAATTTCTCACCTATCAAATTGACACAATTTCAAAAGCTGGATACTGTCATCTGTCAAGGCCATAGGGAAGGAGGCAGGCTTGTCTAGTGCAGGAGGGAGGCAGAATAAGACAGTCTGGTGATGTGGAAACATCTAGAAAATGACAAACGTGTTTAGCCTTTGCCCTGGCTCTCCCACCTCTGGGAAGTTCTCTCATGGTTATCTCTGACCATGCTAGTCATTGGAGCATTGTCTGTAAAGCAAAACATGGGCAAGATTCCAATATTCTCTCTGTAGAGGATAGACAAATACAACCGTGGAATAGTCACCCAGCAGAAGACTTCACAAGTATAAAAAAGAGTGAGGCAGCTTTGTGATTTTTTTTTTTTTTTGACAAATATAGGAGAAGCTCAGGAATATATTGCTAAGGTGCAGAACAGTGTACACAGCCAACCTCCTTTTTTTCTTTTTTTTTGAGATGGGGTCTCGCTCTGTCACCCAGGCTGAAGTGCAGTGGCGCAATCTCGGCTCACTGCAACCTCTGCCTCCCGGGTTCTGGTGACTCTCCTGCCTCAGCCTCCCGAGTAGCTGGGATTACAGGCATGCGCCACCACACCCAGCTAATTTTTGTATTTTTTATTAGAGACAAGGTTTTGCCATGTTGGCCAGGCTGGTCTTGAACCCCTGACCTCAGGTGATCCGCCTGCTTTGGCCTCCCAAAATGCTGGATTACAGATGTGAACCACCACATCCAGCCAAAGAGGAAGTTTCTTAAAGCAGGTGGTGAAAATAGGGTGGACAGGGACAGGGTAAAAACAAAGTAGCCCTGTTGGGCGCGGTGGCTCATGCCCGTAATCCCAGCACTTTGGGAGGCTGAGGTGGGCAGATCACTTGAGCTCAGGAGTTTGAGACCAGCCTGGGCAACATGGTGAAACCCTGTCTCTACCAAAAATACAAAAATTAGGCCAGACACAGTGGCTCACACCTGTAATCCCAACACTTAGGGAGGTGGAGGCGGGCAGATCACTTGAGATCAGGAGATCGAGACAAGCCTGGCCAACGGGGTGAAACCTCATCTCTACTAAAAATACAAAAATTAGCCAGGCCTGGTGGCACGCACCTGTGATCCCAGCTACTTGCGAGGCTGAGGCAGGAGAATTGCTTGAACCTGAGAGGTGGAGGTTGCAGTGAGCCACAATCACACCACTGCACTCCAGCCTGGGCAACAGAGCCAAACTCTGTCTCAAAAATAATAAAATAAAATAAAATAAAATAGCTCAATGAAAATGCAAATACAGCATGTCAAATTATATGGAACACAGCTACAAATTTTTTGAAAAAGAGCATTAGGCCCATGTGGCGGCTCATTCCTGTAATCCCAGCACTCTGAGAGGCTAAGGTGGAGGGATTGCTTAAGCTCAGGAGTTCAAGACTCAATCTCTACAAAAAAGTCAAAAATTAGCCAGGTGTGGTGGTGCATGCCTGTAGTCTCAGCTACTTGGATGGCTGAGGTAGGAGAATCATTTGAGCCCAGGAGATCAAGGCTACAGTGAGCCGTTATTGTGCCACTGCAGTCAGCCTGGGCAATAGAATGAGACCCTGTCTCAAAAGAAAAAGAAAAGAAATTTAGAGCATTAAATGCATGTGTTGAAGCTGGGTGTAGTGGCACATGCCTGTAGTTCCAACTACTCTGGAGACCGAGGTGGGCGGACTGCTTGAGCCCGGGAGTTTGAGGCTGCAGTGAACTGTGATTGTGCCACTGCACTTCAGGCTGGGTGACAGAGCAAGAACTTTTCTCTAAAAAGAAAAAGAAACTAGCCAGGCCCAGTGGCTCACACTTGTAATCCCAGCACTATGGGAGGCCAAAGCAGGCGAATCACTTGAGGTCAGGAGTTCGAGACCAGCCTGACCGACATGGTGAAGCTCCATCTCTACTAAACATACAAAAATTAGCTGGGCTTGATGGCACATGCCTGTAATACCAGCTACTTGGGAGGCTGAGGTGGGAGGATTGCTTGAGCCCAGGAGGCAGAAGTTGCAGAGAGCTGAGATTGCACCACTGCACTCCAGCCTGGGCAACAACAGAGCGAGACTCTGTCTCAAAAAAGGAACGAGAGAGAGAGAAAGGAAAGAAAGCAAGAAAGAACGAAGGAAAGAAAGAAAGAAAATTGAATATAAAAATGTTTTAGATAAATACATGACTGGGAAATAAATTTCTTCTTTTTTTTTTTGAGAAGGAGTTTCACTCTTGTTGCCCAGGCTGGAGTGCAATGGTGCTCACCGCAACTTCCGCCTCCCAGGTTCAAGCAATTCTCCTGCCTCAGCCTCCCGAGTAGCTGGGATTACAGGCATGCGCCACCATGCCCAGCTAATTTTGTATTTTTAGTAGAGAAGGGGTTTCTCCATGTTGAGGCTGGTCTCGAACTCCTGACCTCAGGTGATCCGCCTGCCTCGGCCTCCCAAAGTGCTGGGATTACAGGCATGCGCCACCATGCCCAGCTAATTTTGTATTTTTAGTAGAGAAGGGGTTTCTCCATGTTGAGGCTGGTCTCGAACTCCTGACCTCAGGTGATCCGCCTGCCTCGGCCTCCCAAAGTGCTGGGATTACAGGCATGCGCCACCACGCCCAGCTAATTTTGTATTTTTAGTAGAGAAGGGGTTTCTCCATGTTGAGGCTGGTCTCGAACTCCTGACCTCAGGTGATCCGCCTGCCTCGGCCTCCCAAAGTGCTGGGATTACAGGCATGAGCCACCGTGCCTGGCCAAAATTTATTTTTTTAATTAAAGTAGGCCAGGCACGGTGACTCATGCCTATAATCACAGAGCTTTGGGAGGGTGAGGCAGGAGGACTGCTTGATGCCAGGAGTTGGAGACCAGCCTGGGCAACGTAGTCAGACCCCCATCTCTACAAAAAAAAAAAAAATTATTGAAAGATTAGCTGGGCATCGTGGTCCATTCCTGTAGCCCTAGCTGCCTGGGAGATTGAGGTGAGGATCCCTTGAACCCAGGTGTTCAAGGCTACAGTGAGCAGGGATTGAGCCACTGCTCTCCAGCCTGAGTGACAGAGCAAGATCGTGTCTCAAAAAAAAAAAAAAGGTAAAGCAAAGCAAAACATGCTCATTAACACTCTCATTAATGACTGTACATTTGTTGTACTTGAGCGAGTTAGAAAAACGCCACACTTTGAGATGAATTTAGAGTCCTTTATTAGCCGGTGACCGAGAGACGGCTAACGGTCAAAATTCTCTCAGCCCTGAGGAAGAGGCTTGATTAACTTTTATATCTTGGTTTAGGAAGTGGGGGGGGGGGTCTAGTTAAAAGAATTTTACAGAAGTTAAGTAGTCAAAAAGTTAAAAGGATAAATGGTTACAGGAAAGTGAACAGTTCCAGGTGCAGGGGCTTTAAGACTATTACAAGGTGATAGACGCGGGGCTTTGGGCGTTATCAATCAGATGAATTCTTGGCGACTGCGGATACAGCTTGCCACAGTATCTTATCAGTTAATTGCATTCTTGGATGTGCTGGGAGTCAGCTTGCATGAGTTAAGTGCTTGAGGAAGGGGCTGCCAGTGAAAGAGTCAAGATGGAGTTTGTCTGGTTCTCTTAGCTAAGGGAGAAACAAGGCCAGGTGAATAAGGAAAAAACAAGGTTGGGCATTACACATTTTGGCCGGGGGCGGTGGTTCACATCTATAATCCCAGCAATTTGGGAGGCCGAGGCAGGTGGATCACCTGAGGTCAGGAGTTTGAGACCAGCCTGGCCAATATGGTGAAACCCCATCTCTACTAAAAATACAAACATTAGCTGGGCGTGGTGCAGGGTGCCTGTAATCCCAGCTACTCAGGAGGCTGAGGCAGGAAAATCACTGGAACCTGGGAGGCGGAGGTTGTAGTGAGCCGAGATCGCGCCACTGCACTCCAACCTGGGCGACAGAGAGAGATTACGTCTCAAAAAAATAAATAAATGACTGTACGTTTCACAGTACACATATTTGCTAACCCCCTGTGTATGTTTGTCTTTAAATCTAATGTTCTTCACAGTGAAACCCTGTCTCTACTAAATTAGCCGGGCGTGGTGGCACATACCTGTAATCCCAGCTACTCGGGAGGCCAAGGCAGGAGAATCGATTGAACCTGGGAGGCGGAGAATGCAGTGAGCGAGATCGCGCCATTGCATTCAAGCCTGGGCAACAACAGTAAATGTCCGTCTCACCAAAAAAAATAAATAAACCTAATGTTCTTGGCCATGTCTGTTCCAGGGTCCAGTCCAGAATACCACATTGCATTTAGTGTCAGTTTTTATTTCACCGACGTAGCTTAGGGGCCTTGTCTTGCTGATGAAGGAGGAACTCCTGGGAAACCTTTGTCTCTCACAAGTGTTTATGTGAACACTTCATACACTCCTGTGTCTCTGGATGTGGCTACCATGTTAACATAAAAAAGGGGTGAGAAGATAACATCTTAAGAATTCCCGCCAGAATCCATGCCCTCCAGAATCCACGCCCTCCCCCACCCCCGCTTGCTGCTGCTTTTGTGAGCCCTTTTAGGGAGACTGGGAGAGGATGTTCTTAGCAGTTCTCAGCCACTTCAACCCGCAGACATTGATTGAGGCCCTACTGTGTGCAAGGTCCTCTGGTAGACGCTATGGGGAAAAACAAAGTTGAATGAGACCTTTTTCCACTTTTTAGGGCAGACATCCAGCCAGAGAGGCAGCCAGACCCAATGGACTGCAACACCACATAGGGGTGAGAGGCAGGTGGCAGCAGCAGTAATGGAGATGGGGAGATGCATTTCACCTGGGAGGATCGTAGAGCGCTTCCTGGAGCAGGTGATTCTGAACTATGCCTTAAAAGAAGGGTATGATTTCAATGGTAAAGGCAAAGGGGAACTGTGTTCTGGGCTGAAGGAGCAGTGTAAGCAAAGATACAGAAGTGTGAAAACTGGGGGCAGGTGCATAGAATGAGCAGCCCAACATTCCTGGAGTTAAATGTGGTATAAAAGAGAGAGGGGCTCCAGAGAAGGCTTTCCATGCTGGGGCAGGAATCCACCTCCCTCCAGCAGGCGGTGAGAAGCAGCGGAGACTCCCACACAGGGAAGTAAGATCGGAGCTACAGCTGAGCTCCAGGGGGGTGCTGGTGGCATGGCACAAAGTGATTTCTCTTGTCTTCTTGGGGTGACGACGAGCTAGCCAGCCCAGGGGGTGGGAGGTGGGGAGGGTCACAGGAATGAAAGTGAAGAGAGGCAGGTGGGGAAAGGCTGAGGTGTGATAACAGGATGTGAGTGTGAAGATGAGGATGGGGGCGGGGGGGGGCGGTGGAAGTGGGGGACTGAGGCCGCGAATCTGCTGGACAGAGGGGGTGGGTGCCTCTGTGTTGAAGGGGCTGGTAGAGCCACAGCAGGTTGAGATGGAGGTCAGGTCCCCACCCCTGAGTCAGGCTGGAGCCTGGCGCCCAGGCATAAATTTGGTGTCATCAGTGAAGAGGGTCTGCCAATGGGTCCTCAGGGCAGAAGAGGAAAGAGACCAACCCACCTCATAGGGGTCATGTCCTCAATGCCTCTGTTACTCCAGGATCTTTGACCCCTTGTATAACTTGTAAAAGGGTCCAGGCCCATAGAAAGCCAAACTGTTTACTGAGCTGATGGACTGTACCGTGCATGGACCTTTCTAGAAGCAGTTTTGTCATCTCCCAGCCCCTAGCCTCCCCAGGGCCCCACCACTCAGAATAAGGGCCAAGCTCCTCGGCCCCACATGCAAGGCCTGTTGTAACCTAATGCCACACCAAGCTCCAGTCCATCATCCGCCCTTGCCCACTTTTTCTAGCCATTGACAACCTTCCCTGCATTGCGGCTCCACCGGGAAGCTCCCTTAACTTCTGCAGCCCAAGGTCTTCTCTGTCTCCAGGGGTTGGCTCCCCTGTCCCGGTCTAGGGAGAACTCGCTGTAAAGATCTTTCCCCACCTTAGCGTGCTGTACTGTAGCTCGCCACTCATGAGCGCTGCTGGACTGGAGCCCGAGGGACCACATCCCATTTACTCCCAGAGCTTCCAACTAGCAAATGGTAGTGAAGGAACAGGAAGTCCTGTTTTGAGAGCCCCCAGCTAAACTGGGCTTCCAGTACCAGAGCAGCCAGCAACCTGCCCTAAGCAGAAAGGTAGGGGGCTAGACGTGGATGTGTGCAGTGCACCTTTCACAGGATACTTCTTGTAACTAGTGGACAACCTCATGCCTAGTGTCTGACCTATGACCAGAGGCCCCTCACATGGGAAAGGCCCTAGTGGCTCTGGTGAGACCCATGTCTGGTTTATGCTGCCTGACCATTGCTCTGGCACCGGGAGCCCGGCCTAGGGCAGCCCCTGGTTGTTCTGATGGAAAGTGCAAATTCAACCCACCACCGCGGGAGGAAACAAGTCCAAAGATTTTTAATACAGAACCTGGGCAAGGGAAGTGTAATGAGACTGGAGGGAAGTCCTCGTCCCTGGTCACGGGAGGCAGGAGTGAAGAGTCAGGCAGAAAGAGCACGTGGCAACTAACAGCAGATAGAAGGGAATGATCATGGGTCAATAAGTTTGCTGACCAAATGCCTGACTGTTCTTTTTAAAGGAAGCATCAGAAAAGCAGGAGTGCAGTCTGCTAGGCAGAAGAGATGCCTCTAAGCGTTATTTTATTTTTGAGTGGTTGTGGTAGTGGGGGTGGGTGGGTCTCACTATGTTGCCCAGCCCTGGTCTCGAACTCCTGGCCTCAAGCAATCTTCCTGCCTTGGATTACAGACCTGAGCCTATTCCCACCCTGTCAGGCCTCTGACTTCTTATCTCTGCAGTCCTTTGGGTGTGGTGTAGACCTGGAAACTGCCAAGGGTGACTGTGTAGGGACCAGCCCCACAGGGTCAGTGGGTTTTTCTCCCCATGTGCAGAGACGAGAGATTGTAGAAATAAAGACACAAGACAAAGACATAAAAGACAGCTGGGCCCAGGGGACCACTACCACCAAGACGCAGAGACCGGTAGTGGCCCCAAATGCCAGGCTGTGCTGATATTTATTGGATACAAGACAAAGGGGCAGGGTAAGGAGTGTGAGCCATCTCCAATGATAGATAAGTTCACGTGGGTCACATGTCCATGGGACAGGGGGCCCTTCCCCGCCTGGCACCCAAGGCAGAGAGAGAGGAGAGAGAGACAGCTTACACCATTATTTCTGCATATCAGAGACTTTTAGTACTTTCACTAATTTGCTACTGCTATCTAGAGGGCAGAGCCAGGTGTACAGAGTGGAACATGAAAGTGAAACAGGAGTGTGACCGCTGAAGCACAGCATCACAGGGAGACGGTTAGGCCTCCGGATAACTGTGGGCAATCAGTCAGGCCCTCCACAAGAGGTGTGGAGCAGAGTCTTCTCTAAACTACCCCGGGGAAAGGGAGACTCCCTTTCCCGGTCTGCTAAGTAGCAGGTGTTTCTCCTTGGCACTGATGCTACCGCTAGACCACGGTCCGCTTGGCAACGGGCGTCTTCCCAGACGCTGGCATTACCGCTAGACCAAGGAGCCCTCTGGTGGCCCTGTCTGGGCATAACAGAAGGCTCGCACTCCTGTCTTCCGGTCACTTCTCGCTATGTCCCCTCAGCTCCTATCCCTGTATGGCCTGATTTTTCCTAGGTTATGATTGTAGAGTGAGGATTATTATAATATTGGAATAAAGAGTAATTGCTACAAACTAATGATTAATGATATTCATATATAATCATATCTATGATCTATATCTAGTATAACTATTCTTATTTTATATATTTTATTATACTGGTACGGCTCGTGCCCTCGGTCTCTTGCCTTGGCACCTGGGTGGCTTGCCGCCCACAGACTGAGCCCTACTTCTGGTAGGAAAAATTTGAATCTTATCAAAATGGATGCCAAGGCAACATAAAATTATAAGAAATCACTATCAGTACTTGGCCAGGCGTGGTGGCTCACGCCTATAATCCCAGCACTTTGGGAGGCCGAGGCGGAGGGATCACGAGGTCAGGAGATCGAGACCATCCTGGCTAACACGGTGAAACTCCGTCTCTACTAAAAAAAATACAAGAAAAATTAGCCGGGTGTGGTGGTGGGTGCCCGTAGTCCCAGCTACTCGGGAGGCTGAGGCAGGAGAATGGCGTGAATCCGGGAGGCGGAGGTTTAAGTGAGCCGAGATCGCGCTACGGCACTCCAGCCTGGGCTACAAAGCGAGACTCTGTTTCAAAAAAAAAAAAAAAAAAAAAAAAGAGAATTCACTACCAGTACTTGTTCTTATTTGTCCTAGACTTGCCACTGTTTCAGACTCAAAGGGTGCACTTTCCCTCTTTCATTGTAGGATTTAGTGCATGAATCTGCTCACCCCAAACATCCTCTTCATAACTTGGGGTTTTCGATCCTTTCCAGGCAGATATTGTTTATAATCCCTCACCTGGAGGGTTCCTCCACGTCCCCAATTTATACATTCATTTGTTCACCTGTACAATTTTTTTTTTTTTGAGACGGACTCTCGCTGTCGCCCAGGCTGGAGTGCAGTGGTGCGATCTCGGCTCACTGCTGGCTCCGCTCCCCCGGGTTCACGCCATTCTCCGGCCTCAGCCTCCAGAGTAGCTGGGACTACAGGCGCCCACCACCTCGCCCGGCTAATTTTTCGTATTTTTAGTAGAGACGGGGTTTCACCATGTTAACCAGGATGGTCTCGATCTCCTGACCTTGTGATCCGCCCACCTTGGCCTCCCAAAATGCTGGGATTACAGGCGTGAGCCACCGCGCCCGGCCTGTACAACAATTATTAAGACTGGCTTGTGCCAGGCTCTGCTGAGAATCCCAGGACACGGTGGGGACACGGTGGACGCAGGCTGTCCGTCAAGGGGGCTAGTAAGCCACTAAACAAAGGGTAGCCTTCAGCCCTGCGGCGCGGGCCAGCGAGCATTCAGAGGCCCAACTCGCTGTGGTTGCTCCCCGGGTCTGGTCCCGCGCGGACGTGGGGGCGGCCATCAGGACTGCCCGGGGGTTGGCGCCCTGCTGGGTTCCAAGCCGGTGGGCGCGGACAGTGTGGCGGGAAGGCCGGGCCTGGCGGGTGGGGGCGCGGCCTGGCGGTGGGGGTGGACCTTCCTGGGGTGGAGCCCGCGGCTGTGGGAGCAGGGCCCGCCGGGGCTCGGGCAGGGCGGTGGGAAGGCGGGGCCTTCTGAGTGGGGGCGGGGACTGCTGGAGTTGCGGGGCCTGCCTGGGGTAGGGCGGGGCAGGACAGCTTGGAGATAGGGCCCGGAATTGCGGGCGTCACTCTGCTCCTGCGACCTAGCCAGGCGTGAGGGAGTGACAGCAGCGCATTCGCGGGACGAGAGCGATGAGTGAGAACGCCGCACCAGGTCTGACGGGGAGGCCTTGTGCGAGCGTCCCACTGCCCACCCACCTGGTTGGGACAGTAGAAGAGGGCGGGATGGAGTGGAGGGTTCGCCGACCGCGTCGCCCTCCTGGGTGTCGCAGCTCCTTCCTCGGCAGTCCCGGGGCATGAGAGCGCGACCGGCCAGGAGTTGGGGGACCCGGGACACGGCCGCACGTGGCCTCCCAGGGTTCCAGGAGCCCCTGAGTTAGCCGAGCGTGCGCGTGGGTGTCGGGGGTGCGCAAGTCTCCAGCCTTGCAGAGACGGAGGAGGCTGCCAGATGTGGGGGCGGTGGGGGTTCCTGGAGTCCCACCGCCTGCCCTAAATTTCCACTCCGCCCTTGTCGCCCAGTGTGACCTTGGGCATGTACTGCAGCTCCCAGTGCCTCAGTTTCCTGCTCTGTGGAGGGAGAGTGACAGTGGTCCCACCTGCTGCGTGTATGAGGGTTTGGCACCCCTCTGGCCTTTGGGAAAGGCTTAGGAAACGGGCTGTTTCTTTACTCCGGTTTTACAGGAAAGGAAACAGGCTCAAGACGTTTTAGTAACTTCTCCAAGGTTACCCAGCCAGCAAGTGATGGGGTCCAGGCCTGACCAGCGCCCCCGCCCCAGCACATTCTAGAAGGTTCTGCCCCAGTTTAAATGGGGTGCATGCTCTGAGGCCTGTCACAGCTTTTTCCGGCTTAACTTCTCTGTCCCTCCTCTGGGAGTCTCCACTCCCATGTCTGACTCTCTCCCCATAACCTTCTGGGGCAGCTAAGGGTCTGAGTCCCTCTGGACATGAGCCCCTGGCTCAAGCACATCAGGCAGAGATAAGGGGCTCAGGGAGCACCAGCTTCATGGGTGAATGAATGAAGGAATGAAAGACCCGGCTGTGTCTTTCAGGTCTGATCTCAGAGCTGAAGCTGGCTGTGCCCTGGGGCCACATCGCAGCCAAAGCCTGGGGCTCCCTGCAGGGCCCTCCAGTTCTCTGCCTGCACGGCTGGCTGGACAATGCCAGCTCCTTCGACAGACTCATCCCTCTTCTCCCGCAAGGTGTGAGGCTGGGGCTGAAGGGAAGGCCAGGGGGAAAGTGGGCAGGAAGGTGAGGGGGGAGGTCTGCAGGGGAATGAGGAGGGCGGGGAGACAGCTGGCATAGACACCTCTTCCTACCCTCCAACCCGCTTCTCTCTGTTTCAGACTTTTATTACGTTGCCATGGATTTCGGAGGTCATGGGCTCTCGTCCCATTACAGCCCAGGTGTCCCATATTACCTCCAGACTTTTGTGAGTGAGATCCGAAGAGTTGTGGCAGGTAAGAAACAGAGTGTGTATTTTCGGCGGTGTGGGGGGTGCTCTAGGGCACCCCCTCTTATCACTGGAGGCGGGGTAGGATCCAGGAAGCAGCGCTGGCCTGAGAGTGGGGCCTGGGCTCTGGCCCCAGGTCTGCCAGCAATTCACGGGAGATCTTGGGAAAGTTGAAGAGTTCGCTTCCTCCAGTGGGTCCCCCAAGCTAGTGTCCTGGGTGGACACCCCAGATGCTGGGAAGGGATTTCCTGAGCCTGGGGACTAGAAGCAAGATCGTGGGCTGAGCCTGTGCCCAGCCGGACCTTCTGGCTCCTTGCATTTCCAGCCTTGAAATGGAATCGATTCTCCATTCTGGGCCACAGCTTCGGTGAGTACAGTGGCCAGGAGCTGACCGGGCCCGGAGTAGGGCTGGGAGGGAAGGATAGGAGCTGCTGCCCCACCCCTTTCCCCTGCACTTATGAGATCTGCAAAGAGAGATGAGAGGGTCAGTCAGAGGTTGACCACTGTACCCTCTGACCTCAGGCAACTGCCGCAAGGGACACAGGGATGAGGGAAATGTGGTCTTTTGAGTGGTCAGGTCTGATGAAGGGGACATCATGGCCCAGATGCTGAGCCCCCAGCCACCCATATGGTGCCCCCCCCCCCCAACTGGTGGGAAGAAGCTTTAGGGTATGCAGCTGGGGAGGGAGTGAGGGAATGTCACCCACAGCTCTTTTGTCCCCCAGGTGGCGTCGTGGGCGGAATGGTGAGTAGATGGCTTTGTCTGGCCAACTGGGGCTCCCTTGGGTGGAGTGGGGAGGGGAGCACAAAGGAGGAAGGAGAAGGTACCTGGGACAGAAAGTGCCTCCTCCTGTCACAGTGACAGTCCTTATACCAGGAAGTTGGTGTAAACGGTGGAGACTCCTGGTAGAGTTCATGTTTCCACGCCCCCATACCCGGTCCCACCGCACCCTGGAGTCCAGCCATCACCAAGGTCTGGAGCTCAGTGCTGGGTGCAGACTTAGGGGTGGTGGGGGAAGGCACACCATAGATAGAAGATTCTCCTCTGGCCTCTTGGTCAGCACCCTCCCCCCAGCCTAAAAGATGTTTCGGGGAACTCCAGGGTCCCCAGGGAAAGGCGGGAGTGTCCTTTCCTTCTTCCCCCTATTCATTCTCCCCTTTTGGCATCCTCACAGTTTTTCTGTACCTTCCCCGAGATGGTGGATAAACTTATCTTGCTGGACACGCCGCTCTTTCTCCTGGAATCAGATGTGAGAAGCGGGCTTTCGTGCATGCTGTCATTAGGGAGGACCTGGGCCCCGGGCAGCGCTCCCAGCCCTGTCTCCTTTGGTGGACACTAGGGAAGCACGAGGAGGCGGCAGAGGGTGGGAAAGGGGAGTCAGGGACCCGCTCCCCAACAGATGACAGGCTTCTGCTGCTTATACCCCTAGCAGTGGTCAGGACAAGGGGTGTGGGGGACCCCTTGGAAACTGGATGTGTGGCTCGGGATCTGCAGAATGCCAGGCTGATCACGCAGTGGCAGGCAGTGGAAGAGGGCAGCGGCCATGGGTGGAAGATGTTCTAGGGCACACAGCTGGGCCGGCACACTGCACTCACACCCAGTCGAATGCCTTTGCACTGTGTCCACATTGCACCACCACACATGACAGCCCTAAATGTGAACTGAAGGAACAAGGACTGACCCCTCTGACCACCACTACCCATAACCAGTACTGTCTCTGCGTCTGAGTCCTGGCCTGGTTTACCTGCTGGGTGACCCCTGGCAAGTTACTTTGCCTCTCTGGGCCTTAGTTCCCGCACGTGTAAAATGAGGTTGGGCTCAATGACCTGGCCAGCTCTGACATCCTGTCATTTTCTTGCCAAGGTCTCAGCCTATCAGTTGTGACACAAGTCTCATCAGTTTCAGTTTTCTTGTCCATAGAATGACCACAGATCGGCCAGATGCGGTGGCTCACGCCTGTAATCCCAGCACTTTGGGAGGCCGAGGCTGGCGGATCACCTGAGGTCAGGATTTCGAGACCAGCCTGACCAACATGGAGAAATCCCGTCTCTACTGAAAGTACAAAATTAGCTGGGCGTGGTGGCACATGCCTGTCATCCCAGCTACTTGGGAGGCCGAGGCAGGAGAATCGCTTGAACCCAGGAGGCGGAGGTTGCAGTGAGCCGAGATTGCGCCATTGCACTCCAGCCTGGGCAACAAGAGGGAAACTCCGTCTCCCAAAAAAAAAAAAAAAAAAAAAAAAAAGAATGACGGCAGATCCCATAAGGATAAGGATCATGTCCATCTCTGTCACCACATCCCCAATCCTGGCACCTAGTAAGGGCTCAGTAAATGTTCCTTGCATGAGCTCAGCTAGCTCAGGGGCTATTATAAGGATCCAATTTACAGATGGCAGACAGCAGACACTCCCTTCTTTCTGCATTTCACCCACTGAATTGACAAGTGCAGTGCCCCCAGGGGCTTCCTCCTGGGCGAGTCAAGAGGGGCATTTGGTCCTCTTGTCCTGCATTCTCAGGCATGGGTAGATGGGAGATGCCCCCCTCTGCAGCCCCAGGCAGTGGGCCTGAGGCTGTCCTCACAGAGTGAGCCACACATCATGGGGGAGCTTGGAAGCCCCAGAAATGCGCCCTTTCTGCCAGTCCCTTTCTGCCACTGAGAATGATGGCATTCGTTGAACCAGATGAAACTGCCAACCCCAGATGGTTCGTGGCCTCCGGACCCTAATTTCATGCCTTTGCAAAGCACTTGGCAGTTGACAGAGATTCCCCTTCCTCTCCATCATCCCACCTGATCTCTTCAACTGTCCCTGGCCGCAGGCAAGACCAGGCTGGCTGTGACTGAGGCGAAGCAAAGACTCGTTCAGAATCGTGGGGCTGACTAGCCAGGGCTGGGGCTGTGTGCCCCTTTGCCGAGAGGGGCTCAGCTGAGAGCAGAGGGCAGGGCTAGGAGGGGCAGAGACCTCGTCTGCAGCCTGGATCCCTGCCCACCAGCCAACTGTGCCTCCTTAGGAAATGGAGAACTTGCTGACCTACAAGCGGAGAGCCATAGAGCACGTGCTGCAGGTAGAGGCCTCCCAGGAGCCCTCGCACGTGTTCAGCCTGAAGCAGCTGCTGCAGAGGTGGGTGCCCGGTGTGGACGGGGAGCTGGTGGGGTCCAGGGGAGGACATCCCGTGAGACGTGGAGAAGCTTCTTTCTCCCTCTCACCCAACAAGCCTGTTTCTCCCTGGGGTCACGCTGAGCACCAGGCTTCCCAGGGTCTTCAGGGACGTTCTCTCTTTCCCTCTGCCCCTGCTCCAGCCATGCCCCTTACTTCCAATACCCTCCCCACACCTCTCACGCACCCGCCTCTCTCCCAAGCACATGCTGCTTCCACGCCTTCTCTCCCCTCTGGGACTCCAGCCTGGGCTCCCTTACCTGGAATTCTCCCCTGTGCTTGCTCACTGGCTTCCCCACTCCTTGGGGCCTCAGCTGGGAACCCTGCCCTGACACCCCCAGGCAAGCTGTCCCTGCCCTGCAGGTAACCACACTGTCCAATAAGAGCCTATTGATTCCTCTGTTTCCCGAGGCATGTGAACTCCGCAACCCCCACTATGGCTGATTTGGTCATCTTTGTGCCTCCTGCATCTGGCAGTGGGCCTGGTAGGTCAGAGCTCCACACATATTTGTTGTCTGAAGGAGGAGAAGCCCCCCACTGCCCCACCACACGCACGCGCACACACACCCACACACACACACCCTGCCGCTGTAAACATGCAATCGAAACACGGGACACAGGCCAGGCGCAGTGGCTCACACCTGTAATCCCAGCACATTGGGAAGCTGAGGTGGGAAGATAGCTTGAGCCCAGGAGTTAGAGACCAGCCTGAGCGAGATAGCGAGACCCTGTATTTAAAAAAAAAAAAAAAAAAAAAAAAAAATTAGCTGGTCGTGGTGGCACACGCCTGTGGTCCCAGCTACTCAGCAGCCTTAGTTGGGAGGAGTGCTTAGCCCCAGGAGGTCGAGGCTGCAGACAGCCATGATCATGCCACTGCACTCCAGTCTGGGTGACAAAGTGAGACCCTGTCTCAATTA
Organism: Homo sapiens; assembly: GCF_000001405.40. Taxonomy (NCBI): domain Eukaryota; kingdom Metazoa; phylum Chordata; class Mammalia; order Primates; family Hominidae; genus Homo; species Homo sapiens. The sequence goes on from NC_000022.11 coordinate 42,559,411, forward strand.
GAATACAAGGTCCAGGCACGGTGGCTCATGCCTGTAATCCCAGCACTTTGGAAGGCGGAGGTGGGCAGATTACGAGGTCAGGAGATTGAGAACATCATGGCTAAGATGGTGAAACCCTGTGTCTACTAAAAAATACAAAAAATTAGCCAAGCGTGGTGGTGGCGGGCGCCTGAATATCTATCCAGAAGAGGCGTTAGACATTCTCTAGATGTAACGAAGAATGGCATGAACCCGGGAGGCAGAGCTTGCAGTGAACCCAGATTGCGCCACTGTACTCCAGCCTGGGCAACAGAGCAAGACTCTGTCTCACAAAGAAAAAAAAAGAAAAAAAAATCACGAGACACATGCACGCTTTGTGGGTGACCTCCCTTTTGCTGCCCTTGTCTCCATTTTTTTGTTGTTGTTGTGTTTTGTTTTTGGAGACCAAATCTCGCTCTGTTCCCCAGGCTAGAGTGCAGTGGCACAATCTCAGCTCACTGCAACCTCTGCCTCCTGGGTTCAAGTGATTCTCATGCCTCAGCTTCCCAAGTAGCTGGGATTACAGGCACATGCCACCATGTCCAGCTAAGTTTTGTATTTTTAGTAGAGATGAGGTTTTACCATGTTGGCCAGGCTGGTCTCAAACTCCTGACCTCAGATGATCCGCCCATCTTGTCCTCCCAAAGTGCTGGGATTACAGGCATGAGCCACCGTCCCCCCCGGCCCTCCTCTCCTTTTTATCTGACCTCCTTTTTATTGGCCTCCAGGCACCCAGCATCCTTCTGTCTCCCCCCAGGTTACTGAAGAGCAATAGCCACTTGAGTGAGGAGTGCGGGGAGCTTCTCCTGCAAAGAGGAACCACGAAGGTGGCCACAGGTAAGGGACTCTACTGTCCAAGGCCATTTTATATTTGTCACTATTCTTACCGAGGATGTCAAGGACTTGCCTTAGACCAGGCAGGATACTAAGCGCTTTGCAAACAGCATCTCACTGAATCCCCCTCCTGCCTCACCCTCATCCCATTTAGAGCAGGAGAAACCAAGGCTCAGCATTGCCAAGCAACCCGGGTGAGGCCATACAGTTACTGCACATCCCAGAAAGCCACGCTCTGGGAGAGTTTGGTCAGGTGTCTTGGACTAAATGTTGGTGAATGTCACGGCCATGCTCTGCTGGATCTGGGGTGGGTGCCCAGCGCCAGAGGCAGGCTGTGAGGACGTCCCAGGGGCTGAGTGACTTGGGAGAGGCTTTTCACAATGGAGAGGTGGAGCTGGTATGTCTTGGTTTCAGAGCAGCTTCTGGCACAAGCGATTTGTGTACTTTGCTTTTTACCCAGGAATTTTTTTTCTTTCGTTCTTTTTTCTTATGAGACAAGGTCTCGCTCTGTCACCTAGGCTGGAGTGCGGTGGCACCATCATGGCTCACTGCAGCCTCCACCTCCCGGGCTCCAGAGATCGTCCCACCTCAGCCTCCTGAGTAGCTGGGACTACAGGTGTGAGCTACTGTGCCTGGCCCAGGAAATCTTTTGTAAGGGCCTGCTACAGGCCCGGCTCAGTGAGGCTGCAGTGAGCAAGAGCCGACTGTCCCTCTCTCAGTGGGGCCAGACCTCCCGCACCACAACTCCAGGGGCTGCTGTGCACAAATGGCGCCCCCTGGAGTTGAGTAAGGAAGAGTCTGGGCAGAGGCCTAGATTCTTGGAAGAGAAGCAGATGATACACAGGTGAACAGGCACATGAGTGGTTAGACATTCTCTAGATGTAATGAAGGAAATACATGGTGCTCTAGAAGAGACTCATGGCGGGGCCTGCTTCAGAGCAGTGGTCCAGGAAGCAGCTCTCCCAGGGTGAGGGAACAGCTGGAGGGAGATGGTGTCGTCGGATGGAAAATGTGCTAAGCTGGGCAACACAACTTTGCTTCCTGACACTGCCAGCTCAGTGATCTTGGGACAGTCCCTTCCCTTTTAGACTCCCCTTGTTTGCTCAGGTGACAAACAAGGTCTTGGGTTTTTTGCGCTCATTGGACCAGGTGAGGTGGGCATGTGCCTTCCCTTTATAAAGTGCTGAGTGAGGCAGGGGGTCAGAAACTCCAGCACCTGGGGGCGGGGGTGGGGGCGTGTTGTGGAGTTGAGGGTGCAGGCCGGGAGGGAGGCTATGGGCTGTGTAGGGACTTTGGAGCTGGAGGCAGCCCACCCTGGTAGGCAGCTGGGCCGGTGCTAATCAAGTGGGAATTCAGTCTCGTGTGGCCAGAATTACCAGTTGCTCAGCTCTGCAGTTGATCTGCTGAGGTGAGTATTTTTAGTTGTCTTGAGTCCAGAAATGGACAGCATCCCCCGAGGGTCTAAGGAGCGGCACCTGTGGGCTGTTTTGGCCTCGGGTCGCCAGTTTGGGACCAGTTGGGTCTTCGTGATCATCTTGGCTGAACCTTTATCTTGCCTCCCTGGAAACCCATCATGGGGAGGGGAGGTCAAGGACCCCGGGCCCAGGCTTCCTGGACATGCCTCACGGATGGCTGACCTAGGGAGCCCCAGGCACAGAAGTGAGCTAATCTGGAATGAGGCCGGGGAATTCGATTAGGCCCAGGTCACAGGAAACAGTGAATGCAGGATGCTGACCAGGCACCCCTATGTGGGTGTCAGGGGGGTGAGGGAACAGGCAAGAGGGAGGGCTGAGAAAGAGGTGAACCCTGGGTCTGGGGGAAGTGGTCAGCTGGCTGGAACGTTGTGTGCAGACAAGCCCTCTGCAGCAGTTGTGGCCTTTTGGGACCCAGCATTAACCTAAAAGAAGACAGTACCCAGCCAGAACCCCCCACCCAGTGCCTCAAGGACAATGTAGGTTCCTCCCAAATGCTTCCCTCCAACCCCAGGGCCCCTGAGAGTTCACATTCTATTCTGAACTGGGATAACTTCCCTTCCCTGCCCCCATCATCCAACCTGATTCCTCCAGAATCTGGAGCTTAAACAACCAAGACACATTCCCCCACAGTTCCGGAGTTCAGGGTCCAAGGTCAAGGCCTCGGCAGGGCTGGTTCCTTCTGAGGGCTGTGAGGGAGTATCTGTTCCCACCTCTCTGGCTGCTGGGAGCCTCAGGAGCCCGTTGGCTTGTGTGTGAGGTTCTCTGGGTGGGTTACAGAGTGCGTGAGAAGGGGAGGGCTCGTGGAGGACGCAGAGTGGGGAGGGCAGCGAGCATTGTTGGAGAGGCTGCAGCTCCACTTCCTCTTTTGAATAGGAAGGTCTGGGTGGGCCTCATGAGAAGGTGACTTTTGAGCAAAGCAGTGAAGGTACGGGAGCTGCTCCTACGGACTCCAGGAGGAGAAAGGAGCTGGCAGGACAGGCCTGGAGGTGTGAGCTGGTGGTGCAGGATGGGGAGAGAGCAGCAGAGATGAGCTCTTTATCTTCTCATCTAAGTTTAAGCCCCACAATACTGGCTTTCTGGAAACCATCTTGAGGTGTTCCCATGAAGGAGGGAGGGGCCCACTCTGCCTGGGGTGCCCTAAGGACAGAGGGACAGTCTGTGTCAGTCTGGCCCCTGGCCAAGCGTATTCACACATGCCTGTAATCCCAGCACTTTGGGAGTCCAGGTGGGAGGACTGTTTGAGGCCAGGAGTTCAAGACCAGCCTGGGCAATATAGGGAGACACCCCCATCTCTACAAAAAATTCAAAAATAAACGGCATGGTGGCACACCTGTGGTCCCAGCTACTTAGGAGGCTGAAGTGGGAGACTCACATGAGCTCAGGAGTCGGAGGCTGCATTGAACCTTGATTGTGCCACTGCACTCTAGCAAGACCCTGGCTTTTTCTTTTTTTCTTTTTTTTTTTTTTTGTTGTTGTTGTTGTTTTCAACAGGGTCTTGCTCTGTCACTCAGGCTGGAATGCAGTGGCGTGACCATGGCTCACTGCAGCCTTGGCCTCATGGGCTCAGGCGATCCTCCTACCTCAGCCTCTTGAGTAGCTGGGACCACAAGTGTGCAGACCACACCTGGCTAATTTTTGTATTTTTTTGTAGAGATGGAGTTTCGCCATGTTGCCCAGGCTGGTCTCGAACTCCTGAACTCAAGCGATCCTACTGACTCGACCTCCCAAAATGGTAGGATTACAGGTGTGAGTCACCATGCCCAGCCAACCCTGTCTTAAAAACAAAACAAAAATATCTGGCCCCTGAAGCCCCGTGCTGTGGGGGAGGCTCAAATCTTTCTCATAAGCTGGACTGCATACAGGTTGCAGATAATAATTTGTTTAACTTGTGCAGTTTAATCAAAAACATTTGGCATGGGGGGAATTTTGAATAGATTGCCCACATTTTATTTTTTATTATACTCTTTTTATTTTTTGGAGGAAGGGCCCAAGGACCAGAGCAGAAGGGCTATTATTTTAAATAGAAAGATTTTATGTAAAAATACAGATTTCTAGACCAGGCACAGTGGCTCATGCCTGTAATCCCAGCGCTTTGGGAGGCTGAGGTGGGTGAATCACCTGATGTTGGGAGTTCGAGACCACCCTGACCAACATGGAGAAACCCCGTCTCTACTAAAAATACAAAAGTAGTTGGGCGTGATGGCGCATGCCTGTAATCCCAGCTACTGGGGAGGCTGAGGCAAGAGAATCGCTTGAACCGGGAGGTGGAGGTTGCAGTGAGCTGAGATCATACCATTGCACTCTAGCCTGGGCAACAAGAGTGAAACTTCGTCTCAGAAAAAAAAAAGACAAGAAAAAACATGTCTTTTGTATGGCTTCTGGAATTTGAGTCATAGTTAAAAGGTCATGCTTGACACTAATATTATTTTGGGTCTAGCACTAGCATTTAAATATTTACTACATTGGATCCTTATCTAGTATACAAAGTGAGGTTTGCATCTGACTTCATCTTTTTCCAGATGGCTCCTCAGGTGCCTAATGCCATTTTTAGACAAGTCTATCTTTACCCTGTTCATGTAAGGGGCTGCCTTGGTCAGACAGTGAATGCCCATCTGTACTTGGGTCTGTCTCTGACTGCCTGTCTATGATCTTACTGTACCACACATTTTAAACTGAGGCCCGACACAGGATTTTTTTTTTTCTTTTTTTTTGAGACGGGGTCTTGCTTTTGTCGTCCAAGCTGGAGTATAATGGCACAATCTCGGCTCACCGCAACCTCCACCTCCTGGGTTCAAGTAATTCTCCTGCCTCAGTCTGCCAAGTAGCTGGGATTACAGGTGCCCACCACCATGCCTGGCTAATTTTTGTATTTTTAGTAGAGATGGGGTTCACCATGTTGGCCAGGCTGGTCTCGAACTCCTGACCTCAGGTGATCCACCTGTCTTGGCCTCCCAAAGTATTGGGATTTCAGGTGTGAGCCACCGCACCCGGCCTGAGGATTTTCGCATCTGACGGGACCGTCTCCCTTCATGGCTCTTTTACAGAGTTTTTCTACTAGTCTTTTTTCTTTTCCTTTTTGAGACAGGGTCTTGCTGTGTTGGCCAGACTGGATTGCAGTGGCAGGATCTCGGCTCACTGCAGCCTCTGCCTCCTGGGCTCAAAGAACCCTTCCACTTGAGTCTTCCCAGTAGCTGGGACTACAGGAGTGTGCCACCATGCTCGGCGCGCGCGTGTGTGTGTGTGTGTGTGTACACGCAACAAGGCCATTTATTTCACCTGGGTGCAGGCGGGCCGAGTCCGAAAAGAGAGCAAAGGGTGATGGGATGACTACGCTACGTTCTCCTACAAATGGACCTTGAGAGCTTGTTTGGAGGTTCTAGCAGGGGAGCGCAGCTACTCGTATACCCTTGACCGAAGACCGGTCCTCCTCTATCGGGGATGGTCGTCCTCTTCGACCGAGTGCACAGTTTCGGGAGGGACGCACATGGAGCGGTAAGGAAGGGAGGGGACACCCGCCTAGCCGCCAGATCAGCTGAATCAACCCTGGCGATCAATGGGGTGACAGATGTCGCAGCCAGATCACCCTCACATCTTTTTTTTTTTTTTGAGACGGAGTCTCACTCTGTCACCTGGGCTGGAATGCAGTGGCTCGATCTCGGCTCACTGCAACCTCTGCCTCCCGGGTTTAAGCGATTCTCCTGCCTCAGCCTCCCGAGTAACTGGGATTACAGGCACCTGCCACTACGCCCAGCTAATTTTTGTATTTTTAGTAGAGACCAGGTTTAACCATATTGCCCAGGCTGGTCTTGAACTCCTGACCTCGTGATTCGCCTGCCTCGGCCTCCCAAAGTGCTGGGATTACAGGCTTGAGCCACCATGCCTGGCCTTGGCTAATTTTTTAGTTTTTTTGTGTAGAGATGGGGTCCTGCTCCATTGCCCACGCTGGTCTCAAGTGATCCTCCCACTTCGGCCTCCCAAAGTGCTGGAATTACAGGTGCCTGACCTCCTGCTATTCTTACCTGTGTAATTTTTCCACGTGAACTTGAGAATCAGGTGGTTTAGGCCCCCCACCAAGAAAATCTTGTTGGTATATCATATATGTATGGTTTTTTAGTGGTTTTTGTTTGATTTTTTGAGACAGAGTCTTGCTCTGTCGCCTAGGCTGGAGTGCAGTGGCACGATCTCAGCTCACCACAACCAGTGACACCATTGGTACTTATTTGCTTCTTCCTAGTGACTAAAGGAATGAATGAGTTTCTCAGAGACTAGAGCTCCACCGTCCACGAGGCTATTAGCCTAAGCTCCCGCCCTCATTCTGCACCGGCCCTTTGGGGTGGCCGGTGAGGGCCCATGTGGGCTGACAGGTCTGTGGCCAGGTGGCTGTGGTCTAGCCCTGCTCCAGCTGGACCCCAGGACAGGGAGTCCTGGGCAGCTGAGGACGTCGGGGGCAGGTGGGAGAAATGGGCCCTGGCTGCAAAGGCCTGGAGGGTTCCAGCAAAGTCACGGAGCGTCCCCTGACCCTGATGGACAGCATTGACGCTGCTGTCTTTGTGCTTCCGCCTCCAGGTCTGGTTCTGAACAGAGACCAGAGGCTCGCCTGGGTGAGTACCACTGCCTCCGGGTCCCCCGCCAAGGTTTGCCTGTTAGCGTCTTTGTCGTTTTTGAAAATTACAGGCCAGGCGTGGTGGCTCACGCCTGTAATCCCAGCTACTCAGGAGGCTGAGGCAGGACAATCGCTTGAATGGGAGGCAGAGGTTGCATTGAGCCGAGATAGCACCACTGCACTGCAGCCTGGGCGACAGAGCGAGACTCCATCTCAAGAAAAAAAAAACAAAAGAAATTATATAGCTAACATAATACTTAATGATTGTCAATTTAACCGTTTGTAAGTATGCACTTCAGTGGCATTAAATACAGTCGATGGAGGTGAGGAGAGGAGGGAGACATCCCAGGCACTGGCTGCTGCACAGGGAAAAGCTCGAAGTCAGCTCGGTGCATCTGTTGAGAGGGGGATTCCTGATAGAGGCTGTGAAGATTAAAGAGGGGAGGGGCAGGATGACAAAGGTTCTCAAAAAACAGCGTCCCATCTGGAGGCCTGTGTCACTGGAGCACTTGTATTAATAGAAACTTGGCCATCTCTGCCAGTGAGGGGCTGTAGGACCTTGGGCAAGGTGCTTACCCTCTCTGAGCCTTGGTTGTCTCACGTGCAAAAAGAAAGTGCTTTCATTCGCTCAGCTGGTTTATGAGCAGCTTGGCTAGGGGAGCCAAGCCCTGGGCCTGCCTTTGAAGGGTTGTTGTCGAGACTAGGTGAGGTCATGTGTGTTGAGTGGCCTCGCACAGTGCTGTCGCTTCAGGTGCTCATGGCCTGTGCTATTTTGTGATTGTTAAAATATGGTAGAACATTGGACACATGTGAGACACTGTCATTAGAGGTGGGGACGCTCTAACTGCAGGGAGACCGCTGAGAGCTGCTGCCCAGGCCCAGGCCAAGAGATGAGGCTTGGACCAGGGCGTCAGCCAATGGTCTGGGAATGTTAACGTGTTTGTCTTTGATCCGTGTGGGATTTGTTCTTGAGCATGGTGTCAGATAGTGATTCATTTTCTTTTCTTTTTTTCTTTTTTGTGTTTTAAAAGTTCGATTTTTCGGCCGGGCGCGGTGGCTCACGCCTGTAGTCCCAGCACTTTGGGAGGCCGAGGCGGGTGGATCACAAGGTCAGGAGATCGAGACCATCCTGGCTAACAAGGTGAAACCCCGTCTCTACTAAAAATGCAAAAAATTAGCCGGGCGCGGTGGCAGGCGCCTGTAGTCCCAGCTACTCGGGAGGCTGAGGCAGGAGAATGGCGTGAACCCGGGAAGCAGAGCTTGCAGTGAGCCGAGATTGCGCCACTGCAGTTCGCAGTCCGGCCTGGGCGACAGAGCGAGACTCCATGTCAAAAAAAAAATAAATAAATAAAAAAAATAAAAGTTCGATTTTTCTTTAATTTTATTATTATTATTATTATTATTATTGATACAGAGTCTCGCTCTTGTTGCAAAGGCTGGAGTGCAATGGCACTATCTCAGCTCACGGCAACCTTTGCCTCCCAGGTTCGAGTGATTCTCCTGTCTCAGCCCCCAAGTAGCTGGGATTACAGGCACCCACCACCACACCTGGCTAATTTTTGTGTTTTTAGTGGAGATGGGGTTTCACCATGTTGTCCAGGCTGGTCTCGAACTCCTGACCTCAGGTGATCTGCCTGCCTCGACCTCCCAAAGTGCTGGGATTACAGGCATGAGCCACAGTGTTCGGTCTATTTGAATTGTAGAGACAGGGTCTCCCTCTGTCACCCGGACTGGAGTGCCATGGCTCAATTATGGCTCACACAGCTTCAACCTCCTGGGCTGAAGTGATCTTCCCACCTCAGCCTCCGGAGTGGCTAGGACTACAGGTGTGCGCTACCACACCCAGCTAAATTTTTTACTTTTGTAGAGACAGGGTCTTGCCATGTTGCCCAGGCTGGTCTTGAATGCCTGGGCTCAAGCTATCCTCCCGCCTCAGTTTCCCAAAGTACTGGGATTACAGGTGTGAGCCACTGCAGCCAGCCATTGTAATTGTTTTTCTAGATGAACAATACCAGCTGTTGGGTGGTCCTCCCTACCCACTAAGGCTCACTCACTGGTGGTTTGTCCCTTGTGTGTGCTGACCTTCGTGGTAGGAATTTATTGCCAGATCCTAGTCAATCTGGCTTTTGGAGATGCCCCCTTCCCTGTCCTTAGGGACCATGTCTTATGTGACCTGTTCTGTAGTGGGAGCTGTGATCACCCATAATGCTGGAAGGAAGATGGTTCCCAGGGATGGAAAGACTTCGTTAGGACATAAACTAAATTGCAGAAGATACACATTACAAAATGGAGCTGGCCCAAAATTCTCTTTTATTTTTTAAGTTTCTGGCCAGCTAAGTTTTAAGTTTCTGCAGTTGCTCATGCCTGTAATCCCAGCACTTTGGGATGCCAAGGCAGGCAGATCACTTGAGGCCAGGAGTTAAAGACCAGCCTCGCCAACATGGTGAAACCCTGTCTCTACCAAAAAATACAAAAATTAGCCGGGTGTGGTGGCACACACCTGTAGTCCCAGCTACTCAGGAGGCTGAGGCAGGAGAATCGCTTTAACTCGGGAGGCGGAGATTGCAGTGAGCTGAGATCGCCCAGGCTGGAGTGCAGTGGTGGGATCTCAGCTCACTGCAACCTCCACCTCCTGGGATCAAGGGATTGTCCTGCCTCAACCTCCCAAGTAGCTGAGATTACAGGCGCCCTCCACCATGCTGGGTTAATTTTTTGTATTTTTCATAGAGACAGGGTTTTGCCATGTTGGGCAGGCTGGTTTCGAACTCCTGACCTCAGGTGATGTGAATTTTTTTTTTTTTCTTGCAAAGGAACATTTCACAATTTTCGTATCACGCTTGCACAGGGGCCACGCTAATCATCTCTTTGTTGTTCCAATTTAGCAGTATATGTGCTGCTGAAGCAAAGCACCTACCTTCTATTTATTTATTTATTTAGAGACCAAGTCTTACTCTGTCATCCAGGGTGGAGTGCGGTGGCCCGAGTTTGGCTGCCTGCAACTTCTGCCTCCCGGGTTCAAGCAATTCTCCTGCCTCAGCCTCCTGAGTAGCTGGGATTACAGGCGCCTGACACCATGCCCAGCTAATTTGTTGTAATTTTAGTAGAGATGGGGTTTCACCACGTTTGCCAAACTGGTCTCGAACTTCTGACCTCAGGCGATCCACCTGCCTCAGCTTCCCAAAATGGTGGGATTACAGGCGTGAGTGACTGTGCCCAGTCTAATTTTCATATTTTTAGTAGAGACAGGGTCAAGTTTGCCTGTTCACCTTGTGCCCAGGAAGCCCCTCCTGTGTGCAGGCCCAAAAAGCTTGGTCACACCCTGCTGTGAGATGTGGCAGCTGACATATGAGAACACGCAGGCCTTGGGAACAGTATGGGAACCCCTGTTTCAGGGAAGGCACTTCAGGTCATTTTAGTCTGAGAAGCAGAAAATAGCTGGAGGGCCAGGGTGGAAACAGGGCAGTGAGTTTTCACTGGTGTGTGTGTGTTCATAGCAATTTGTGTGTGTGTGTGTGTGTGTGTGTGTGTGTGTGTTCATGGCAATTTTATATTCACAATGGTGCAGGAGTATCGGGTGTAACTTAGGGGAGCTGGTCCTTACGGGAGCTTCCCGGAATTAATCCACTCAGCTGCATTTATGAAGCTTCTCCTCTGTACTCCACGTGCTGAGAACTAGGGATAGAGAAAATGCTGAGAGCTCCTGCCCTTGGAGTCCCCAGATCAGAGCAGCACAGTGCAATGGAAGCAAAGCCTCACAGAACTTGACATTTCTCTAGCAGCTATATTAAAACAGGCCCAAGGCTGGGTGTGGTGGCTCACACCTGTAATCCCAGAACTTTGGGAGTCCGAGGCAGACAGATCACCTGAGGTCAGGAGTTCAAGACCAGCCTGACCAACATGGTGAAACCCTGTCGCTACTAAAAATACAAAATTAGGCCTGGTGGCGCATGCCTGTAATCCCAGCTACTCGGTAGGCTGAGGCAGGAGAATCGCTTGAACCCAGGAGGCGGGAGGTTGCGGTAAACTGAGATCGCGCCATTGCATTCCAGCCCGGGCACCAAGAGCAAAACTCGGTCTCAAATAAATAAGGCTCTAACAATTGTTCTCATATTTTAACATCCACAATGTGATTCAAGATGTAATCAACATAAAGCTTGATTGCATTATTTTGCATGCTAAGTTTTCCAAATCCAGCTTCGTGTCACACCTACAGCACATCTCACTCAAGCTGGCCACATCCCTGCCATCCAGACGTAAAACAGTCACAAGACAGGGCTGGCAGGGCCGCGGAGGAGGCCGGCAGGGGCCATCACGGAGTGCCCATCCTGCACTGTGGTCCCAGCAAGTTTCTTCCTCCTGGCAAGAAGCCTGTCCCAGGCTGGCAGGGGACAGCGTGAGGTGCAGCCTATGGACTGGGAAAGGGGTGTGGAAGGGCCACACCTAAGTCCTAAAATCCAGGCCCAGAAGTGGCCCAACTCACTTCTCTGCCTTTAATCTCACAGGCATACCCGGTGGCAAAGGAGTATGGGAAATGGAGTCAGGCTGGGTAGCCACGAGCCCAGGAAGAAGGGAGAACAGACTTGGAGAGGGCAGGAGTCTCTGGCCACCAGGGGCTAAAGAGCCTTCGATGAGGCAGTGATGTGGGGTCCTGGGCTCAGACCCAGGGTGGGTGGCTAAGGTGCCCTCGCCAGGACTTAGCCACCCCAACAGAGATGGGTTTCGTGCCCACGAGAGTGCCTGTGCCTTGTGACGAGAATTCACCATGTTTTTGTCTCTGCAGGCAGAGAACAGCATTGACTTCATCAGCAGGGAGCTGTGTGCGCATTCCATCAGGAAGCTGCAGGCCCATGTCCTGTTGATCAAGTAAGTCTGGACCCATCCCCTTCAGCCACCCGCCAAGGAGACATGGGCGCCAGGAATCTCCGGGAGGGGGCCCTGGCATGAGGCTCCAAGTTCTCTGCGTGTCGACCACATCGCTAAGGCTCAAGATCTTTTTTGGGAAGCCCCCCTGGCAGCAGGGTCATGGAAGGAGGAAGGTCAGAGGAGGGGAGGGCTCGGGCAGCAGGGGATGGGCCGGGGCTGTCCCATGCCTTTCCACAGGTGTCAGCGGGGGGCATGCCCAGGTAAGGCTCCATAACCAGTGAGCCCAGTCTCGGCTGACTGCAACCTCTGTCTCCTGGATTCAAACGATTCTCCTGCCTCAGCCTCCCGAGTAGCTGGGACTACAGGCGCCCGCCACCAGGCCTGGCTTATTTTTGTATTTTTAGTAGAGACGAGGTTTCGCCATGTTGGCCAGGCTGCTCTCCATCTCCTGACCTCATGATCCGCCCGCCTCGGCCTCCCAGTGTTGGGATTACAGGCGTGAGCCACCGTGCGTGGCCCACCATAGACGATTTTTAAGCCATAAAAAGAAACGAAGCACTGACACGGGCTCCAGCATGGATGAGCCTTTAAAACATCGCGCTAAGTGGACGAATTCAGACACAACCGTCTACGTGTTGTATGGCTGCATTCACGTTCAAGTCAAGTCCAAATAGGGCACACTGCAGAGACAAAGCCAGGTCATGGTTGCTCAGGACCGGAAGCCTGTTGGGGGCGGGGGGCGGGGGGTGGGGTGGGGTGTGTGTGTGTCCGCGTAAGCTCAGAGGTTCGCGATTTCTTTGGGGGCGATGAAAATGTCCTGTAATTGTGACGATGGTCTCACAACTCAATGTATTAAAAACCACAGAATTGTAGACTATCAACGGGAGGATTGTGAAGACATAAATTCTCTCTCAGAGCAAGTATGGGCTCCAGCGCCTGTTCAGATCCCAGCTCTGCTTTTCAGGGCTGACTGTGACCAAGTCCTGAACTCCCTGTGCCCCAGAAAGGCTGTGCCTTCAGCATTCACTTGTGCCTGGCTTGTGCCAGCTGAGCATGAGCTGAGATTAACTGAGCCTCAAATCCAACCCAGGGTCAAGGGACCCAGCTGTGGGAGTTGGGGTAGCCCAGGCTTTGGTTTCTCCTCAGAGGCCTGAACCCAGGGCAGGATGGGGGCACCGCTGGGAGGCGGTTCTAAGATGAACCCCAACAACCCCCAACTCCTCACTTTCCAGAGCAGTCCACGGATATTTTGATTCAAGACAGAATTACTCTGAGAAGGAGTCCCTGTCGTTCATGATAGACACGATGAAATCCACCCTCAAAGAGGTAAGACGGGGCTCAGGCAGCTGGTGTCCAGCCACTGTCGCCCACTCTGGTCCCACCTCACCCATCTCTTCTCATGCACTGGGAAGACCCTGGGTCTGCCCCCAGGCCCAACAAGTGACCACCAGGATCTATCAGGCCTCATGCTCCACTGTGGTCAGTCCCTAGAGGCCTAGGGACACATGTAATCAGAATTAAGGAAACAGAGACCTTTGGTGGGGAACCCCTGCCAGGTTCAAGCTACTCTCGTGCCTCAGCCTCCTGAGTAGCTGGGATTACAGGCACCTGCCACCATGCCCAGCTAATTTTTATATTTTATATTTTTAAGAGATGGGGTTTCACCATGTTGGCCAGGCTGGTCTCAAACTCCTGACCTCAGGTGATCCGCCCACCTTGGCCTCCCGAAGTGCTGGTTTTGTAGATGGGAGCCACCATACCCGGCCTAGTCGCACATTTTACAGGCTCCCAAACCACAGCAGAATACCCGACTGCCTCATCCCTCTGCACCCATCATGACAGTGGGCGTGCTGGCTGTAGGCAGAGGTGGCTTTTCCCCCAGGTTCCTGGGAGCACGTGGTGTTTTATGGTCACCTACCCGGGAACACTGACCCTGGGGCCTCTGCAGGTTTCTTGGCATTGTCACAAAGGGAAGAAGCCCACCTGTGGCTGGCCGGCTGCCAGGTCAGAGCCAAGGCAGGCAAGGCCTTCCTGTCTGGCTTTTTTTTTTTTTTTTTTGAGATGGAGTGTCGCTCTGTTGCCCAGGCTGGAGGGCAGTGGCCCGATCTCGGCTCACTCCAAGTTCCACCTCCCGGGTTCATGCCATTCTCCTGCCTCAGCCTCCCGAGTAGCTGGGACTACAGGCGCCCGCCACCACGCCCGGCTAATTTTTTGTATTTTTAGTAGAGACGGGGTTTCACTGTCTTAACCAGGATGCTCTTGATCTCCTGACCTCGTGATCCGCCCACCTTGGCCTCCCGCCTGCCTTGGCCTCCCAAAGTGCTGGGAATACAGGCGTGAGCCACTGCGCCCGGCCCTGTCTGGCTTCTTGAAGGCAGACACAAGTCTGCAGGCTGTTCACGCCCCCATCTCATTATCTTTTCTCACGGGTACCTCTTCTGATACAATCACAGCAACCCTGGCCTCGGCCCCGCCCTGTCCCTGCCATGCAACTTCACAACTCAGCTGGCCTAGACCCCTGGGAGGCCTCCAAGTCCCTAGGGTTAGACACCTCCTGGGGTGCTATGGACTGTCGGGGCTCCAAGGAGCCGAGTGTGGGGGAAACTCACTGTGGGAGGCGCTCCTGACCTGCAGGGAGCTGGAATGCTGTGGGAGGGCCCTGACCCCGGGGCCCATGGAGCTCCCTAGGCTCCTCTGGCCACACCTCACCACCCACCCCCTCCCCTCTCCAGCAGTTCCAGTTTGTGGAAGTCCCAGGCAATCACTGTGTCCACATGAGCGAACCCCAGCACGTGGCCAGTATCATCAGCTCCTTCTTACAGTGCACACACATGCTCCCAGCCCAGCTGTAGCTCTGGGCCTGGAACTATGAAGACCTAGTGCTCCCAGACTCAACACTGGGACTCTGAGTTCCTGAGCCCCACAACAAGGCCAGGGATGGTGGGGACAGGCCTCACTAGTCTTGAGGCCCAGCCTAGGATGGTAGTCAGGGGAAGGAGCGAGATTCCAACTTCAACATCTGTGACCTCAAGGGGGAGACAGAGTCTGGGTTCCAGGGCTGCTTTCTCCTGGCTAATAATAAATATCCAGCCAGCTGGAGGAAGGAAGGGCAGGCTGGGCCCACCTAGCCTTTCCCTGCTGCCCAACTGGATGGAAAATAAAAGGTTCTTGTATTCTCACTGCTTTTGAGGCTTTTTTGTTGCCAGCAAGGGCTTTTGCATTGAGGGAAAAGGAAGCACAGAACGGATTCATCCAGGGTCCTCAAGGGTGTGGAGGCAAGAGGTGGGAAGGACAAGTCCTCCTCTCGGCACGCCTGGGTCTCCAGGACTGCTGAAGCACAAGACCCGAGGGGTGGCCTGGTCCTTCACTCCTGGCCTGTGTGGACTCTGATGGGGCTGTTGGACGCGATGGCCTTCAACCTGGGGCCCGTTGGCCAGAGCTCGGCCTCTCAGAGACCGCTGCAGGCCCTGCCTCACCTCATGTTCCTCCTGGCCCTGCACCTCCAGCCATCCACTGCGGCTCTCACGGCTCAGTAGGGTCGGAATTTGCGCTGGGCCCGCAGCAGCTCGATCCTCTGCTTGTCCTCCTCAAACTTCTTGCGCAGCTGCGCTAGATCTGGGGGTGAGAGGAGGCGCGGGGCAGGGTCAGACAGCGCGCCCCGGGGAAGCTGGCTTGCTCATGCCCCACCCCTCCTCCCAGTTACTGTGGGGGTGGGGCTATGTCTCCCCCACCAGCCCATCCCCCTCCCAGCTCTGCTGTGGGGGCAGGGTCTGGATCTTGTCAGGAAACAGAACCGACGGCAGGCCAGGCCGAGTCCAAGGGCAAGGCCAAAGTGGGAGATGCTGGCACCCCCAGCCTGGAGATGAAGCCCTAGCGACAAAGCAAAGGTACCCGCCCCCACCCCCATCCCTGCACAGGGGGAAGGAAGGAGTCTTGAGCGCTCGGCCTGGAGAACCCTGAGAATCAGTAAAGGCACCCCAGCCCTTGTGCTGGTGAATGCAGATGGCAACCCTGGTCAGTGGGAGGCTGATGGCACTGAGGGGGAAGCTGAGGGTCTAGAGCGAGCACGAGCGGGAGCCAGGAGGGCCAGCCAGGCAGGGAAAGCACCAGTGACTGGGCGGGCGGCTCAGGGCCTGCCGCAGAGCCCGTCCCTGTGCCCTAGCCAGGGCCAGGAGAACCCTCCCCTGGGCCCACAGGGAAGCTGTTCTGTAGACAGGGACACCAGGCAGTGGGGCAGGAGGCTCAGCCGCAGCACCAGGAGTGGGCCACAGGCGATCGGGCCCACAGGCATGGGAGGGTCCTGTGCGGGGCCACCTGACAGACACACACACACACACACCCACCACCAACCCAACACACATACTCTGCAGCACCTTCTCTGCACCCACAGTGGGTTCAGAAGCCCCCTCTGCACTTGAACGCGTTAGCTGGAGGCTGACGAGCGCCAGCACTAAGTGCACAGGAACCCAGAGGTGGGCACTGATGACCTAGGGTCCCCACCCACTGAGCAAATGCATCTGCCCCTGGGGGGTGATGGGGAACCGCCACACAGGGTGCTGCCAGGCTGGGCCTCTTTCCACAGAGTCTGGTGCGAGCCCCGTGCTTAGGGACGCCCTCCCTCCTCGACCACCAAGTCCAGCGCCCGCCCTCAGGAGCACTGGCCACAGGCCTCATCCGTGGCTGGGGCCAAGGCCGAGGGGTCTGAGGATGGACTCGGGGTGGCTTACGCTCCATCTTGCTCTCTCGATGCTGCCAGGCGTAGTTGAGCAGCTCTTTTTGGCTGCGCTTCCGTCTCTCCCTCTCCAGCACCCGCAAGCTGGCTGCCTCAGTCCGGGGGAGCACAGGCCGCCGGCCCCGGCGGGTCACCTTCACCCAGCCCTCCTCGTCAGGGACCCCCTCCTCCTCCTTGGCCTTAGCTTCTTCCTGCAAGGAAGGTGATCCCATCGTCCGGTGGGCGCCTGGGACCTCCCGCAGCCTCCAGCAGCGCGCCCTCCACGCCCTCCTCCCAAAGTCAGAACTGCCCTGAGCCCCCGCAGGGGAGGGCTGCTCCCCTCCTCCCAGCACAGTGTTGGGGCTAAGGAGGGCGGGGAGGGCACGGACCTGCTGGCGCTGCCTCCTTCTCCACTGTAGACCATGTGGAGACTACATGTGTCACCCAACCAGGCAGCCCAGGATCCAGCAGGGAAACAGGGAGCCTGGCCTCTACAGAGTGGCCAAGGACAGGACACCACCGCCCTCCCTCTGGGGCGCCACCTTCCCACAGCCACACGGGCGACGCGGGGCTCGGCCGACCCCGCGGGGCCTCTACCTCAGCGATCTTCTGGTCATATGCCTCCATGAACGTGTCCACTTCCACCCTCAGGGCCTCAGGGTCGGGCACAGAGTCTGCGTAGTCACTGATCCATTCTGAGGAAAAGGGAGCCAGGGAAACGGGGCTTCCTCAGGCCTGGCATTTGGGCCCCACCCCAGGGCCTGCCAGGCAAATTGGGACCTTTTCCCACAGGGCCCGGGGCACAGGCGCTAAGGAGATCCCAGGGGCTGCAAGCTGCGCCCTCGCTCTGCCTGCCCAGTATGCCTGTGCCGCTCTGTGCCAGGGGCTCAGGCTAATGACTCCCTGGGGACCCAGACACAGCCCCATGGTCCTCCTGCCCAGGCCTCCACATGCTGCTCTCAGGGAGCATGGACTTGGCTTGTGACATTCAGACACTGTCCCCATAGAGTGTCCTGCCAACCCGGAGCCCAGAAAGGAGGCGCCAGACCCCTCCCGCAGTACTAACTGTGAATGCCACTCTTCACAGGGTGGCTCTCTGTGGACACCAGCAGGGGGCCCTTCAGGGCCAAGGCCGCTGACACCCCACTTGGCTTCTGGAACACCACGTAGGCTACCTGGAAACCCTGAAGAGAGAGAGATGTCAGAGGTTGGGGGCTCCTTCCCACGTCTGGCACAAGGTCTCCAGGCCTGCCCTCAGCCTAGGTGGTAGCTACACCAGGGGAGACGGTGCTAGGCTATTCCTGAGCCATGAAGAGAACCACAGGCCATCCCATAATCCAGGTCAGGGGCAGCCACACTTCCAGTGATCCTGCTTCTTCGCGAAGTGACAGCTGTTCCCAACTCCTCCCCAGGAAGAGAGGATACAGAGGCTTCCTTTCTTCCAGTCACGGGAGGGATGCGGTGAAACGCAGGGGTCGCCCTGGGCCACGGCAGGTTTTTGGAAGCCAGGCCTGGGCACACACACCATGCCAGATGCCACTGTGTGGGGAGGAGGTGTGGGCTCCAGGGCCACTGGGAAAGCTGTGAACAACAGTGCTCCTGGAGACCCGGCCCCCAAGCCTGGGGAAGGAGCTCCCTCAGTGGGGAAGCAGGAGGGGAGCCGGGGAAGGCCCTGCAGGTGGCCAGCAGAGACGGTCCGTGAGCTTTAACACGGGACAGAAAAAGCCAGGCAGGAAGTGCAAGGATGTGGCAAATCTGGGAAGGAATCGCAGGCTTTGTCAGCCGGACAGTCTCCTACACCACACACAGTGAGGATGGGCTCAGGACCAGAGAATGCTCTGACGTCCCACTGCCAGCTCCCCTACCACACTGGGGACAGTGCCCCACCACCCCCCTCACTCTAGTGGAACCCAGTGCTTGGCGGCTCACCGGAACTGGCTTTGGATGAAAAAACTTCGACCTTGACTCCCAGCCAGCTCCAGCTTCTCCTTCAACTCTACAGACTGGACAAGGCCACAGGTGGACTGGAGGCAGGACAGGCTCTCCTGCTGCAGGGAGAGGGAAGCCAAGTGTGAGCATCCGCAGGGCCATCCCAAAGCCTCCCTCCACCATGGGTGGCGCTGCCAGGGATCCAGCGCCGCTGAAGGACTCAGAGCCACAGCCACATCTGCCCAAGCCGGGAGACTGTGGGCACCATGGCCTCCGACCTGTTCCCCAGGGACAATATGGAGGTCGATATTCCTGCTCTTTTTTTTTAATTTTTTTGAGTTGGAGTATTGCTCTGTAACCCTGGCTAGAGTGCTATAGAGTGATCTCGGCTCACTGCAACCTCCATCTCCAGGTTTCAAGTGATTCTCGTGCCTCAGTCTCCCGAGCAGCCAGGATTACAGGCACCCACCACCATACCCAGCTAATTTTTGTATTTTGAGTAGAGACAGGGTTCTGCCATGTTGGCCAGGCTGGTCTTGAACTCCTGACCTCAGGTGATCTGCCCGCCTCGGCCTCCCAAAATGCTGGGATTACAGGCGTGAGCCACTGTGCCCGGCACATTCCTGCTCTCTCTCATTGGAGACAGGTGGGGACATTCTTGCTGTTATTCTGATTTCCTATGACAAGTTTTACTACCTGAATCAGCAGTAGCGACCCTATGCTGTGACAGTTGGGATGGTGGTTGTCTCTGGTGGAGGCAGTGGGGGTTCGGGGGTTCTGGGATGTGCTGCTGTGTCTCCACCTGGGTGCTGACTACACAGCTATGTTCTGTCTCTGGGATGCAGCGAGCTGGACACTTGCGACTGGGGCCCTTCCCGGCACACATGCTGCACTTCAAAAAAGGTCAGAACTCACACCCCCTCTTCTATATGCTTCTTTTTTTCTCTAAGTTTAGAGGAATCTTTTACAAATTAGGGTTTCTTTTTTGAAAACAAATCCAGCAATTCCCTTGGCCAGGGGCGGTGGCTCACGCATGTAATCCCAGCACGTTGGGAGGCTGAAGGGGGCGGATTACTTCAGGTCAGGAGTTCGAGACCAGCCTGGCCAACATGGTGAAACCTTGTCTATACTAACAATACAAAAACGAGCCGGGCATGGTGGTGGGCGCCTGTAATTCCAGCTGCTCGGGATGCTGTGGCAGGAGAATCGCTTGAACCCAGGAAGTGGAGGTTGCAGTGAGTCGTGATCGCTGTGCTCCAGCCTGAGCAAGAGAGAGACTCTGTCTCAAAAAAAAAAAAAAAAAAAAAAAAAGAACAAAGAAAAAAGAAAAGAAAATCCAGCAATTCCCTTTAGTTTCTGTAAAAAAAAAAAAAAAGAAAAGAAAAATTAACAGTTGTGTTTGGATAGAATTAGAGGCACTTTTATTTTCTTATACTTTCCTACTTTTAAATTATGGACATGTACAATCTGGAAGAAAACATGTAATTCAAACAACTTTGGGTAATATGCAAAAAAGCCTTGGGCTACTTAGGATTATACTTTTTTTTTTCTTTTGAGAGTCTCACTCTGTTGCCCAGGCTGGAGTGCAGTGGCACGATCTTCGCTCACTGCAACTTCCGCCTACCAGGTTTAAGCAATTCTTGTGCCTCAGTCTCCCAACTAGTTGGGATTACAGGCGTGCGCCACCACGTCCGGCTAATTTTTGGGGTTTTTTGGGTTCTTTTGAGATGGAGTCTCACTCTGTTGCCCAGGCTGGAGTGCAGTGGCATGATCTTCGCTCACTGCAACTTCCGCCTACCAGGTTTAAGCAATTCTTGTGCCTCAGTCTCCCAACTAGTTGGGATTACAGGCGTGCGCCACCACGTCCGGCTAATTTTTGGGGTTTTTTGGGTTCTTTTGAGATGGAGTCTCACTCTGTTGCCCAGGCTGGAGTGCAATGTCGCAATCTCGGCTCACTGCAACCTCTGCCTTCCGGGTTCAAGGGATTCTCATGCCTCAGCTTCCCGAGTAGCCAGGACTACCTGCACACACCATCATGCCTGGCTCATTTTTTATTTTTTAGTAGAGACGGGATTTCACCATGTTGGCCAGGCTGGTCTGGAACTCCTCCCTTCAGGTGATCCGCCCGCCTCATCCTCCCAAAGTGCTGGGATTACAGGCATGAGCCACCATGCCTGGCAGGATTATACTTTTAAAGACATCTTTAAAAAGCCAGTTTCCTGACTGGAGATCACGGTAGCCTTCCTGACACTCTCCTCTGGGGCTCCCATTAGCTATGTCCATCTCACCACCAAGGACTCGGTGGAGGCCATGGGAGCCCCCAGGTCCCATGGGACCTTGAGCCAACAGGTCCCCTCCCAGACACCAGCTCACCTCTGTGCAGTATGGGGGCACATTGAAGACAAAAAGAGTCCTCTTCTGAGGCCAGGTGGACTTGGTGCCTTGTTGAATGCCGTGTGCTCTCACATAGAGGTAGTGAGAAGCCTGTTGCTTTTCAGAGAACTTGATTGGAATAGCTGGAAAGGAAATGGGAGGGGAGGGATGGCCAGGCTACCCTGAGCTGAGGCCAGCGAGACACTCACACAACTTCCTTTCTCCACATCCCTGTCTAGTCCTATCTGTTCATCGATCCATCCATCCCTTCACCAACCCCCCTTACCCTACTCTTTGGCAAAGCCTGTGCGGGCTCTAAGAGTCTGCCCAGGAGGGCCTCCCAAGGCGGTGCAGGGAGAGAGAAGATAAATGGGCAATGATTACAGATGGGGGCGCAATGAGAGGGAAGCTCGAACCCTGCGGCTCTTGGAGTCAACGCCAAAATCCTAACCATGGCTGGAAGCCCCGTGAGACCCTGCCTGTCACTGTGACCTCTTCTTGTACCATCTTCCCCCAGCACCTTGGATTCTCTGTTCCCCCGGGTACACCAGGGCCTCACACATGCTGGCCTCTCTACCTGGCGTGTCACCCTCTTCCCTCCCGCTCACCTCAGGTTTAGCTCAAACCTCGCTTCCTCAGGAGAGCCTTAGCATCACCTCCGCCCCTCCTGCCAGCTCAGATCCCACTGCCTGTGCCTTCACAGCTTCTCTTAACAGTCTGGGGGCTATATTGATGAGATTCTTTGGTTAATCGCTGGCACACCCATGACTGTAATCCTCATAAAGCTAGGAACTGCTTCTATTTTTCTCACACCTCCGTCACAGTACCGGTTGGCATAGAGCTGCGGTCCCTGAACTCAGGAAGCTCAGTTGCAATAACGGAGAAGACAATTAACAAGTAAGCATACAGCAAACTTGTATCAATCGTGAAGGAAACATTACAGGGTGATGGGGTGGCAGAGGTCTTCCTTCCATAGGCCATCACGGATGGCCTCTTTGAGGAAGCAACATTAAAGCTCAGGCCAGAACGCCACTGTGCAACAAACCGGCACAGCACGTGCAAAAACCCAGAGGGGGGAAAAAGCATGTTCCCTCAGAGGAACAGAAAGAGCTTTAGGTCGGCACCAGCCAGACCACGTGGCCCACACAGGTTAAGAAGTCTGGTTTTTGTTTTAGAAGCTACCTGATAAAGCCACTGGAGGGAATGCAGTAGGTGTGGCGCCTATCGTGGGCGCGGCAGACATGATCGAATCTAAATGTCCTTAAAAGAACATTCTGGCACGTGGGTGGAGAACAGAAGCAGGGGCAAGAGGAGAAGGAGGGCAACCGAGTAGGAGGGCCTATAACAGCCCAGGTAAGAGCTGATGGGGGATGGACTAGGAGCAGAGGCGATGAGAAGGGGATGAGCTCACCTGGACAAGCAGGTGTGGACGGAAATGGGTTTGTCCTGGGTGAGAGTGTGGACAGAGGCGGGCTCACCCAAGGGAAGCGTGGACCAAGTTGGGCTCGCCCCGGGAGAGTGAGCAGGCAGAAGGGCGCCGCGTGGGTCCTCGGGACCCCGGAGCCTCAAGACCTGCGGAGCCTGGGGCCACGGGCCACCGGGGCTCACACCCAACCGTGCGGCCGCTCCTGGGGACCCCCGGCCGCCGCCAGCCCCCAAACACCTCCCGGCGATGCTGGCCGCCCCCGGTCTCGCGTTCCGGATCCCCTCACCTGCGTAGCACGGTGGGCTCGGGATACCGTCCTCCGGGTCCCGCGCCGCGAGCTTCGTCCTGCGCGCCACCATCTTGCCACCCGGGAGCGCGGGGGTCGCCGGGAGTTGCGGTTCGGCGCCGGCGCGAGCGCGTTTTTGTGGCGCCTGCCCCGCCCCCTCGCTCCAAGCCCGCCTCCCCGGCCCCGCCCGCCATGGCTCAACCTTCATCCGCTCAGAGGCAAATCAGCGCGCCAAAGTGGGAGTGAATGTCAGAGTCGACCCCGGCCAGTCACGAGTGCGAACTCAGCTTTCCACTCATGCATTCACACGTTGAATAGGCAGTGTGAGAGAAATCCAGGATGGCTGCTAGCTTTTCAGTCTGAGCAACTAAGAGGATGGTGTTGCCATTGACTGACATGGGTAGACTGCAGGAGAGGGGCCAGCTTAGGGAAAATCGAGTAGATCAGTTCTCTGTGGGCCGTGGTGAGATGCCCATTAGGCCACTCAGGGGAGATGTCAGGTGGGCAATCAGATATGAGACTCAATAGTCAACTATTTTTTTTTTTCTGCCGTCTCACTGTGTTGCCCAGGATGGAGTATAGTGGCATGATCACAGCTCACTGCGACCTCTGCCTCCTGGGCACAAATGATCCTCCATTTCAGGCTCCTGAGTAGCTGAGCTAATTTTTCGTTTTTTGTAAAGATAGGGCTTCACTATATTGCCCAAGCTGGTCTCGAACTCCTGAGCTCCAGTAATCTTCCTGCCTCAGCATCCCAAAGTGCTGGGACAAGAGGCATGAGCCACCATGCCAAACCGACAGTCAACTATTTTTTTTCTTTTGAGACAGAGCCTCGCTCTGTTGCACAGGCTGGAGTGCAGTGGCGTGATTTCACCTCACTGCAAACTCCGCCTCCCGGGTTCAAGTGATTCTCCTGCCTCAGCCTCCTGAATAGCTGGGATTACAAGCGCCCACCACCGCGCCCCTCTAATTTTTGTAATTTTTAGTAGAGACAGGGTTTTACCACGTTGGTTAGGCTGGTCTCAAACTCCTGATTTCATGCGATCTGCCTGCCTCGGCCTTCTGAAGTGCTGGGATTACAGGCGTGAGCCACCATGCTGGCCCCAATAGGCAACTTCAAATGTGGTGTCAAGGCTCCCAGAGAATGTTCCAGGCACAGGAAATGGAGAAGTGACCATCTTTAAAAGCCTAGGCACAGAAATGGCAGAGTCACATCTGGTCAAAGTAGTAACAGAGCACACTTGGGTTCAGGAGGGGCACAGGACCCCACCTTCTGGAGAGGAGTATCAAGTAATTTGCATCCCTGGTGGGGAGCAGTGGCTCATGCCTGTAACTCCAACACTTTGAGAGGCTGAAGCAGGAGGATCACTTGTGCCCAGGAGTTCAAGACCATCCTGGGTATCATAGCAAGAATCTGTCTCTATTTTTTAAATAATTAAGTTCCACCCCAAATGTTGAAATCCCTGCAAGATTAAAACCCTTGGCTGGGCGTGGTGGCTCACGCCTGTTAATTCCAACTTTGGGAGGCCGAGGCAGGCAGACCACCTGAGGTCAGGATTTCAAGACCAGCTTGTGCAACATGGTGAAACCTCATCTCTACAAAAATTAGCCAGACATGGTGATGCACGCCTGCAGTCCCAGCTAATTGGGAGGCTGAGGTGGGAGGATTACTTGAGTCTGGCTGCGGAGGTTGCAGTGAGCTGAGATAGTGCCACTGCACTCCAGCCTTGGCAACAGAGTGAGACTTTGTCTCAAAAAAAAAAAAAAAAAAAAAAAAAAGATAACTCAAAGGTAGGAATAACAAATGTTTATTCAGAAATGGATAAGTAATACATAATCACCCTTCATCTCTTAATGCCCCTTCCTCTCCTTCTGCACAGGAGACACAGATGGGTAACATAGAGGCATGGGAAGTGGAGGAGGACACAGGACTAGCCCACCACCTTCTCCTCCCGGTCTCCCAAGATGACTGCTTATAGAGTGGAGGAGGCAAACAGGTCCCCTCAATGTACCAGATGGTCACCTATAGCACCAGCTCCAGATGGCCACGTGGCTGCAGCTGGACTCAATGAAACTCTGTGACAACCAGAAGATACCTGCTTTGGGATGAGAGGGAGGATAAAGCCATGCAGGGAGGATATTTACCATCCCTACCCTAAGCACAGTGCAAGCAGTGAGCCCCCGGCTCCCAGTACCTGAAAAACCAGGTCCTACTGCCTTCTGGATGCTCTCTTGGGCCAGGAAGGGAAAAGTGTGGGAGGAATGTCTTCCAGCTGCTAACGAGAAGTCTGCACCCACTTGAAAGGGTTAGGAGAATAAAAAGCAGCATTCTTTAAAGAACTGCAAGTGGAGCACCACCAGGCCCCTTCCTTGGACTTTCCCGTCCTGGGCAGCCTCAGAGCCTGCACACTGAAGCTGGGTTCAAATCCTGGGTCCTTCCTGCCTGACAGACTGACCCCTGGAAACATGAGTCTCTGGTTTTTTTCACTGGGCTAGCCTCAAGCAAATCTTGGGAGCTCTTGAGTATCTTCGGCATGTGCCTTTTCCAGCACTTGCTACTGATTTTGCAGAGCTCCCAGAACCGTGCTCCCCAACTGGCTCCAGCTCTGCCAGCCTGGATTCTCTTCACTCCCAACCAGCAGGGGACCACTCAGTGACAACACTGGCCTGGTCATTCAGGGACTGCCTGGGCTCTGAAGTTTCGTCCCAACTGTCTGCGCCTATGCTGGGGAAACACCTTGCCTGGTAGAGCTGCCCTGCTCCCTTGACTCCTCCTCCTCTGCCAAGGCAGGAAAATAATCCTCTGGTCATGGATGGATGGGGTCACTCACATAAGTGGGAACAAACAGTGCCCCTTGGTGGCAGCTGGATATATGCCTCCAGGCATCCCTGACCACTGTCCTGTAGACAACTGAGGCCAGAAATGGAGAGCCAGGAACAAACTGACCTCTTCCATTCAAATAAGCTCCAAACCCAAGCACTGCACAATGGGAGGCTGAGCCTTTCAAAGGCCCAACCAGAAGAGAGCTGGCGGCTACACAAAACCAGGGTGTGGTTAAGTGCCAGGCGAGGTGAGAACCGGGAGGGCTCACAACACAGCCCCCTCCCAGCAAAGACACCCAGAAGGGAAAGAGAGCTGGGGTGGGGCATTCAGCACAACTCAAGGAAAAGGGAAAGGTGAACTCTGGAGAACTTCCTCTGGGTGGAGACGACACGGGACTCCAAGCCAAGAGCTTAGATAGACTCTTCCCAGCGGTGCAGCCTCATCCTGCCCTTGCCACTAGTGAGGCCTGGAGCCACTGGGGAGAGGACAAGAGGCCTGAGACCTGCTCCCCACCCAGGCACCTCCACTGACAAGACAGAGGAGCGGCACAGCTCTCAGGCCGACCTGGCTCCCGTCAGGACACCAGGGCTCTCCATCCCCTCCATTGTTTGAAAAGCTTAATACACACAAAGGAAAGGCAGCCCCTCGGCCCCTGGAAAAAGCAGGGTCCTTCAGACAGCCCCCACGCTGCATCCCATGGGGCCACAAGAAAGCCACCCAGAGAATTCAGTGTACCATTTCCAGATAAGAAATCAGCTTGGGGCTGAGGCTCGGGGAGGCACACACTGAAAAACACAAGCCTACCTTGGCGATGAGATGAAGAAACATACTACAGGAAACGTTAACGTAGAGAGAAGAGCACAGGGCAGAACACAACACAGAAAGGCGGGTCCCATCCAGTGAGGAAGCTCTTTATCCCTGGCAACCCTTCCCACAATCAGGGGTCTCCAGTCCGATGGCCCATTGGTCATAAGCTTTGCCTTGGGGAAACAGAGCCACCCTCCTCTGCCCCCACTTCTGGCTGCCTCACTCCCCTGCTCAAAGCTTGATTTTGAATTCTGTGGGCTGCGTGGTCACAGAGGCCCCTGAGGACTTGAAGAGTGCCTTCAGGATGGTGTCAGGGTCCACTTCGGCAGGGGGGTTGGAGGAGGAGGCAGAGTTCACCCTGCGAGGCAGCTCGCTCTCCTTTTTCATTGATGGGCTGTCACTCAGCCGCCTGTGGAGAGCAGAGAAGAGTCAAAAATTCTTGTCAGTTTTTCCTTAGATGGGGAGGGGACCCACCATTTACTGGGCATCTGTCATGAGCTAGGCACTGGGTGTAACACTTTCCATACCCCTTCATCTCATTCCACCTCGCAGCAAACTCAATCACAGCTCACATCAGCCTCCATCTCCTAGGCTCAAGCAGTTCTCCTGCCACAGCCTCCTAAGGAGCTAGGACTACAGGCGTGTACCACCATGCCTGGCTCATTTTTAAAATTTTTTGTAGAGACCAGGTCTTGCTATGTGGCCCAGGCTGTGTTTTTCTTATTTACTGATGAGAAAATGGAGACGCAGGCAGTGCTGTATGTTCTAGGGTTTTGTGGGGTTTTTTTGAGACAGAATCTCACTCTGTCACCCAGGCTGAAGTGCAGTGGCATGATGATGGCTCACTAGTCTCGATCTTCCAGGCTCAAGCGATCCTCCCACCTCGGCCCCCCAAGTAACTGGGACTATAGGTGCATGCCACCACACCTGGCTAATTGTGGTTTTAAGTTTAGGAAACACTGCATGTTCCTTCTGGATGGTAACATCCATTAGCATATTACACAATCTGAGAAGCCCGAAAGTGAAACAGATGTAACTCTGTTTAGCCCAGTAGTTCCCAAACTTATTAGGTTACAAAACCCTAAGAAATATTTCTTATTCCTTGAACACAGTTTAAGAACTTATCCAAATCACATAATTCATTACCCAGGGTTCAAATCCTAGTCTTTTTAAATCTCAAAGTCTATTTCAGCCCTGCCCCACACTATCCCACTCACCCTGGCAAGTCTAACCTCCTCCCTGGTATCTGCTTCCTTATCTAGAAGGTGAAGTCCTCACAGTCTCAACATTTTATGCATCTCAGGCTTCAAAACATCCCTCAGTCCTGGGCCAGGCATGTATACTCAGCTGTGTGCAACAAAAGCCTTCAATGGCTTCCCACTGTACTTAAAAGCCAAATCCAGCTGGGCGTGATGGTGTGCGCCTATAGTCCCAGGTCCTCAGGAGGCTGAGGGGAGAGGGTTGCTTGACCCCAGGAGTTTGAAACCAACCTGGGCAACACAGTGAGACTCTCAAAATAACTGAAAAAGCAAAAAACAAACAAACAAACAAACAAACAAAAAACCTCACTGGGGAACAAAATAAGGGGTAGCATCTGGCACTGTCTCCATCAGAGCCAATCATGCAGTGGAGTTCTCTGTTCCCGGGATGATGCACACAGCTAGGAGACCCAAGCAGCCTCCCCCTCCAACTTCCACTCAGATATTTCTAAATCAGAAAGCTGAGAACGAGATCATAATGCTAGTCCCTATAGGGTCAAGCCCTGGGGAAATAACAAAGCAAACCATTTTGGTCAAGTTTAAGCATATGAAACGGCCAGCTGCCATTAGAACAGAGGAAACGGAATGGGGGGATGAAGGGGAGCTGTGATGCAGGCAGTTTACCCATTAGAACAAAAAGAGATGGACGGAGCTGCCTCTCCCCAGCACCCCGCCTTTGGAACTCACAGCAGGATGGGCTGGTCTGAGGTGATAACATTCCCATTCATGTGAAGGTTGCACTTCATCGGCTGCCCTGAAAAACCAAAGAAAGAAAAAGGCTCTGCTATGAGACCTCGGCTCCTCACACAAGAGGACAAGGGCTGTACCTCCATTATCAATGGTCAAAGCACCCACCACTGGCAGTTCTGGCTCCACAGATGGAGATGGGGCTGCTAGGTTCCAGTCAAGCCAGACACTAAGAAAATCCCAGGGCGTGAGGAAACCTCAGCAGTGGAGCACCAAGAGGCAAAGTGGCCACAAACCTTGCTTCATACAGGAAGAGATGAGTGGGAAGTGAGGGAGAAACGAGACTCAATGTGAAGCCATCCAAGTAGTAAGGGAAAAGGTTTATGCTATCAAATTCAGTGAAAAGATGATCAAAAGCATTATGTACAGGCTTCTACTCTGTCTACAAAGGATGAAGCACTAGGAAGACCACACTCCCACTGTATACAAAGCATAACATGTGTAACGGTAATAGCACAAAAAAGAGGAAGAAGGAACAGGGCCATGTGGGAGTAACATTTCCATATCTTACTCGAGTTAAGTTAGTGAATACATCATTAAAGGAATTAAAATATTGGGGAAAAAATGTGAAAGAAAAGCCACTGAAGAGGAACAAAAAAGTAAAATGGGGCCGGGCGCGGTGGCTCACGCCTGTAATCCCAGCACTTTGAGAGGCTGAGGCGGGTGGATCACGAAGTCAGGAGATCGAGACCATCCTGGCTAACATGGTGAAACCCCGTCCCTGCTAAAAATACAAAAAATTAGCTGGGTGTGGTGGCGGGCGCCTGTAGTCCCAGCTACTCAGGAGGCTGAAGCAGGAGAATGGCGTGAACCTGGGAGGTAGAGCTTGCAGTGAGCAGAGACCACATGCCACTGCACTCCAGCCTGGGCAACAGAGCGAGACTCCACCTCAAAAAAAAAAAAAAAAAAGTAAAATGGAAGAAATAAACCTAATTATCAATATTAAATATGAATGGATTAAATAATCCAATCCAAAGACAGATTGTCAGATTGAATTCAAATAAAAAAAAAACCAGTAAGATCTAACTATACACTCTCTATAGGTGACACATTTTTCTTTCTTTCTTTTTTTTTTTTTTTGAGATGGAGTTTCGCTCTTATTGCCCAGGCTGGAGGGCAATGGTGCGATCTCGGCTCACGGCAACCTCCGCCTCCTGGGTTCAAGCGATTATCCTGCCTCAGCCTCCGGAGTAACTGGGATTACAGGCATGTACCACCACACCTGGCTAATTTTGTATTTTTAGTAGAGATGGGGTTTCCTCATATTGGTCAAGCTGGTCTCGAACTCCCAATCAGGTGATCCGCCTGGCGGATTACAGGAGTGAGCCATTGTGCCCAGCCTAGGAAACACATTTTTACAGTTGATGAGAGAAAAAGATTGAAAGTAAGAGTGGGCCAGGCTTGGTGGCTCATGCCTGTAATCCCAGCACTTTGCAAGGCTGAGATGGGCAGATCACTTGAAGCCAGGAGTTTGACAGCAGCCTGGCCAACATGGCAGAAACCCCATTTCTACTAAAAATACTAAAAATTAGCTGAGTGTGGTGGTGCACACCTGTAGTCTCAGCCACTCAGGAGGCTGAGGCACAAAAATCGCTTGAACCTGGGAGGAAGACGTTGCAGTGAGCCAAGATCATGCCACTGCATTCCAGCCTGGGCGACAGAGCGAGACTCCGTCTCAAAAAAAAAAAAAAAAAGTGAACAAAGATATATCACTCAAATAGCAACCCTAAGAAAGCTGGTCTTTTACTTATTAGCTTATTAGCTATTAGTAATATAAAATGAAATATACTTTAAAACAACAAAAAAAGTGACTAGAGGTAAAGAGAGATTTAAATTTGACTGAAGGGTCAATTCATCAGGAAGAAAACAATCAAACATATATGCAAGTAACAACAGAACCTCAAATATATAAAATAAAAATACACAGAAGTGAAAGGAACAGACCAACAGTAATAAAGATCTCGCCGGGTGCAGTGGCTCACACCTCTAATCCCAGCACTTTGGGAAGCCCAGGTGGACGGATCACTTGAGGTCAGGACTTCAAAACCAGCCTGGCCAACATGAGGTCAGGAAATCAAGACCATCCTGGCTGACACAGTGAAACCCCATCTCTACGAAAAATACAAATATTAGCTGGGCGTGACAGTGGGCACCTGTAATCCCAGCTACTTGGGAGGCTGAGGCAGGAGAATTGCTTGAACCCGGGAGGCAGAGGTTGCAGTGAGCTGAGATCATGCCACTGCACTCCAGCCTGGGTGACAGAGGGAGACTCCGTATCAAAAAAAAAAAACAGAACCTCAGTATTTCACTTTCAATACTAGATAGAACCAAGCAGATCAACAATGAAACGCACTTAAACATTACAAAGCAACAAGACATAATAGACATGTACAGAACATTCCACCTAACAACAAGAAAATACATATTTTCCTTAAACACTCATAGAAGAAAAGAAAATCTGGAAAATTCATGAATATATGGAAATTGAAACAATCCTAAATAACCAATGGGTCAAAGGAGAAATCACAAGGGAGATTAGAAAATAATTCAAGATGAATGAAAATGAAGGCATGATATACCAAAACACGGAATGCAGTTACAGCCATGCTTAGAATATATAGCTGTAAATGCACATACAGTCATGTATCATTTAACCATGGGAATACATTCCAGAGTGCAGTGGCACGATCACAGCTCACTACAGCCTCAACTTCCCAGGCTCAAGTGATCCTCCCACCTCAGCCTCCCCAGCATCTGGGACTACAGGCACACGCCACCACGCGCCCAGCTAATTTATTTTTTGAGACAGGGTCTTGCCACGTTGCACAGGTTGGTCTCAAGTTTCTAGGCTCAAGCGATCCTCCTGCCTCAGCCTCCCAAAGTGCTGGAATTACAGGCTTCAGCCACCACACCCGGCTGTACAGCATGTTACTCTACTGAGTAGAGTAGGCAACTGTATTTGTACATCTAAACGTAGAAAAAATACAGTAAAAATATGGTATTATAATGTTATGGGCCCACTGTCATATATGTGGTCTGCTGTTAACCAAAAAGTCCTTATACTGCATATGAATACATTAAAAAGCAGAAATAAACCTACAGAATGGGAGAAAATATTGGTAAATCACTTATCTGATAAGGGACTTAAGAATATGTAAAGTACTTCTACAACTCAGTATTTAAAAAGCAGACAAAGATTCTGTACAGGCATTTCTCCAAAGATAGCTGGGCACAGTGGCTCATGCCTATAATCCTAGCACTTTTGAGAGGCCGAGGTGGGCAGATCACCTGAGGTCAGGAGTTTGAGACCAGCCCGGCCAACATGGTGAAACCCTATCTCTACTAAAAATACAAAAAAATTAGCTGGGCTTGGTGGCGTGCACCTGTAGTCCCAGCTACTTGGGAGGCTGAGGCAGGAAAGCCGCTTGAACCGGGGAGGCGGAGGTTGCAGTGAGCTGAGATCACGCCACTGCACCCCAGCCTGGGCAACAGAGAGAAACTCAAAAAAAATAAAAAAATAAAAAAATAATAAAAAATAAAAATAAAAAAAAGAAAGAAAAAGGAAAATAAGTATCTTTCCACATCCAAACATATGACAAAAAATAAGAAAAAACAAAAAAAGAACAGAAATTCAAAACAAAATTAATTTCTTTAATGACATACAAATGGCCAATAAGCACATGAAAAGGTGCTCAACATCATTAGCCATGGGGAAATGCAAATCAGAACTCCACTGACTCACCCAGGGGAGTTCACCCAGGTGCCAAGATTTAGCCAAGGCTCCAGGTCTTTTATTTGTAATTTTTTTTATTGTTGTATTGTTTTATTAGTCTCTGCTTCTCCACTTCTAGCACAGGGCCTTGGTCCACAGTAGGCACTCAATACATACTGAAAGAACAAATGAGTGGAAAAGGAGCATGGCAGACAGAATTCTTCTCTACAGGCTGTCTGGAGATGAAAAATATGAACCTCAAGTCAATAAAGTCTGTTGTTTACCCACCAGGAGCAGCTCTCACCCAGGTGTCAACATTCAGACAAAACTCCAGGGCTGGGAGGAACTTCTGCCCTAGCACTAAACAGATCAACATCTGGGAGGCAACAGCTGTGCCTCTTGGCTCCCCTGGCAAGACCCCTTAAGAGAACCATCCATGGAGAAATGCTGTTTTCCTTTTTGCTGGGCTCAAAAGCTTAAGGGCTGGGTGAAAATCCAGGGCCCTGTGTAACCCACAGCTCAGGACTACTCAGAGACTGCACGGCAGTTCCTGGTGCAGACGAGGCCCCAGAGATGGGTTCCACCCATCTCACAGAGACTTCCCCTGGAAGGCCTGCTACCTGACAGCAAGTAGAGATGAGTGGGAGGGTCAGGGGACTGCTTTCTCCCTAACTTACCGTCCAGACACCGGTTGTTGTACTTCTTATATGCGGTGATGGCATCGTCCTTTTTCACAAACACCACCTCCGCTACCCCAGGATGGACCAGTCGAGCTCGCTTGAGGGCCCCACACACACAGAAAAGCTCCTGCACACAACAAGAGGGGTTGGGATTGGGGAAGGATTTCTCAGCACCTGCCGCTCACACACTCTGAAGGCCCTGGGGTGTGGTGGTTCCGCTGCAGCTAAATGCGCCCTGCGCCTGAGACTGCGGGGAGGCTCCACGCGAGGTGGTGCTCTGGAGACATCCACAGGCTTCAACACAGCACCAGATGAGGTCAGCAGTGGGAAAGGGGCTGGGTTTACAAGCCTTGGATCACCTGGGATCTCCCAGCAAGCCACCACCAAAGTCTTCAGTGCCCACCTCAACAGGGATAAAACAGTTATGAAAATTTTCGCAAAGAGCCCTGTCATTAGAATACATGTATACAAAGAAAGACAGCTGCTAATATGTCACCTGAGAATCTGTTACAAATACAAATTCTGGAGTTCTACCCAGAGTCCTGGTTTGGCTGGACTGAAGGGTTTCCCTGGACATGAGACTTTGAGTGATGAAACCAGGAGAGTCCCCAGCAAAACAGGGACAGTTGGTCACTCTAAGTCAGACCTGAGTTTGATCCCCCAGGCTCTGCTTTCTATCTGCTATGAGACGTCTAGCAAATTACTTAACTTCTCTGAGCCTGTTTCCTCCTCTGAAAATAAAAAGGACTAGCTTACTTCCCAGCTTTACTGGAAAGCTCAACTGAGATAATTTTTAAGGCAGTGCTTTGCACACATCATTGAGTCCGATCTCCACCTCATTTTACAGACAAGACGACTAAGGCCAGAGAGGGAGCAAAATGTGAAGATGGACAGAGGCTGACTAGCACTCACGCCATTTCTTCACCTGCAACTGCCTTCACAAGGTTGCTGTGAGGGCCAAAAGAAGGTTTATGAAAAGGTCCTTGACATGGTTTGTTTTTAATGGTAAATATCAAAACAAGATGCCCCTCTGCACCTGCAGGAGACTGGTTCCAGAACCGCTCGCAGATACTAAAATCTGTAGATGCTCAAGTCCCTGCTATAAAATGCTGTAGTATTTACACATAACCTATGCACATCATCCACTATACTTTAAATCATCTCTAGATTACTTATAATACCAAATACAATGTAAATGCTATATAAATAGTTATACTGTATTTCTAAAATTTGTATTATTTCTCATCATACTGTTATTTTTAAAAATTTGAGTATTTTCATTCAGTGGTTGGCTAAATCCACAGATGCAGAACCGACAGATATGGAGGGCCAACTATAAATAGTAGGTGTAATTCCAATTTTATTACCATTGTCCTTTTAACATTGCCTATTTGGGTAGAAGAGAAGCGAGGGTGATTATTACTAGCAATTTCCCCTGAGCACTGATCATGACTGGTGTTTAGTTTTCCACCATTATGTATCTTCCAAGAGTCTGCCTAAAGTGACTGGCACATAGCAAGTACTCAGTAAATGGCAGTTGTTATTACGCTCCTTAACAGCTTTAATTCTTTTCTTTTTTTGAGAGAGTCTCACTCTGTCACCCAGGCTGGAGTGCAATGGCGTGACCTCGGCTCACTGCAACTTTCACCTCCCAGGTTCTAAGTGATTCTCCTGCCTTAGCCTCCTGAGTAGCTGGGACTACAGGCACGTGCCACCACGCCTGGCGAATTTTTCTGTTTTTAGTAGAGACAGGGTTTTGCCATGTTGGCCAGGCTGGTCTCGAACTCCTGACCTCAGGTGATCCACCAACCTTGGCCTCCCAAAGTGCTGGGATTACAGGCGTGAGCCACTGCACCCGGCAATCAGCTTTAATTCTTAATGACTTGTCAAGTATTACACAAAATAGGCTACAATTTCCATCCTCACGTGCACCATTCACAGTACTGTCCCTGCTAAAGGAGAAGGAGATACGAGTGACCCATCTCACGGCATGCGTGTGTTTCACAATTAAGATTTAACCTCAGCTGGGCACAGTGGCTCACACCTGTAATACCAGCACTTTGGGAGGCCAAGACAGGCAGATCATGAGGTCAGGAGTTCAAGACCAACACGGCCAACATGGTGAAACCTCGTCTCTACTGAAAAATACAAAAATTAGCCGGGTGTGGTGGCACACGCCTATAATCCCAGCTACCAGGGAGGCTGAGGCATAAGAATCACTTGAACCCAGGAGGCGGAAGTTGCAGTGAGCCAAGATCGCACTACTGGCACTCCAGCCTGGGCGACAGAGCAAGACTCCATCTTTAAAAAAAACAAATCGAGGTGGGTGGATCATTTGAGGTCACGAGTTCGAGACCAGCCTGGCCAACATGGTGAAACCCTGCCTCTACTGAAAATACAAAAATTAGCCAGGCGTAGTGGCAGGCGCCTCTAATCCCAGCTACTCGGGAGGCTGAGGCAGGAGAATTGCTAGAGCCTGGGAGGCAGAGGTTGCAGTGAACCGAGATCACACCATTACACTCTAGCTTGGGTGACAGAGTGAGACTCCATCTCAAAAACAAAACAAAACAAAACAAAAAGATTTAACAAATGTAGTGACCAGTGCAGTCTGTTAGTCTGGGACTTAACTGCAGGGAGAGGCTGGATTCTCCAAACGTATTCATTTTGTGATCTGACAGTTCAAAGGATGCCTGGATTTCTAAACTAATGGCTCTTTTGGGTGCCTGAATGAAAATGATGTTGAAAAGAAGTCCTAGCTGCATCCAGAACCCCGCTCACAGACATTTGACAGGTTTTGCCCATGACTGCCATGGGTGGGACGGGATGGACCAGGAAGGTGGATACCACCAATCCATCTCACTTCTTTCACTTTGGAATCATCTTGTAATACCTCCAAAGGACACAGGAAAACACAACTATTGGATACTGCCCAGTGGGACTAAAGGATCCCATTTAGGACCCATTATAGCATAGATATCCCCTGACTCTGAGATTCAGGCCAGGCACCTGGCCTTGGCTAGAAGCTGTGCAGAAGAGTGAAGCAGCTGGGCTGACTGCTATTGTTTGAAAGGTCCGATTCCAGGGGTGGCCCTTGGCTGGCATCTGAGAACTCGGATCTCAGGAGGGCTCCTGCCACCCCACAGTTCACTGTGCCTGGACTGTGCAAACAACATGGTTTCTGCTCAACAGCTGCTTTCCCTCTGGGAGTCTGGAATTTTAGTACATGCTACACAGAGAATGCCGAAGTGACCAGCCCCCAGTAAAACCTTTGGGTACTGAGTCTTTAATGAGCTTCCCTGGTGTCACATGTATTGTCACAACTTGCTGCGAGTTGCACCCAGCATCCTGTGCGACTCTGCTGGGAGGGGCCTCTGGAGGCTTGTGCCTCGTTTCCCCCCGACTTCACCCCATGAGCCATTTGCTCTGCATCCTTTTGCTGTCATTAGTCTCAGCCCTGAGCGTGACTATATGCTGAGTCTGGTGAGTCCTAGCAGTCATCAAACCTGAGGGTGGGTCTTAAGAGACCTTTGCCACAGAGGCAGTTTGAGATTTAAATGTTTGGTAGGTCACAGTACTTACAACAATGTCCTCCTCAGTGACTCGAGGGTGCAGATTATTCACAGTCATCTTGGTGCCTTCCAATGGGCTGAGAACAGGCTGCCACACAGACAAGAGCATTACCAGAAGCCAGATGGCTGATAAGCATTCCCACAACAGAAATTCCTCCAGGCACGTGACTAGGAAGGCCCAGAGGAAAGCTCCATGGAGAGTTACCACAAATGGGCCCCCTGAACTTCAGTGTCCACTACACCCCCCATCACTCTATGCTAAAAGCATGGACCCTCTCCCATCTCCCAAATACGCAAGCCTCTCAGGCCCTGAGCCTCTACCTGGAAGGCTACTCATGCTTCCAGACCCACTCAGCTAAAAGAGCCCTTTTTCCCAGACTTCCCAACTGGAATGAGATAATCTGTCCTCAGCCCTCCTAATAGCTTTCTTCTGAGAGAGTCTAACATATCACCAGATACCGCAATCTCTCAGCAGGTCTGCCGTCCCCACTAGCCTGCAAGGTCTTTGAGGGTAAGAGTCCCTAGGTCTTGGTTTGCTCATCTGTAGAATGGGGGTGGCAATGCCCACCTCACAAAGGCGTTGTGGGGAACACAATGAGGTACATATAAGCATACAGCCCTCCTGACCCCAACTGCTGCAGTCACCACCATCACCTCACCTCAGCAGCTGGCAGCTCTTTGGGGGGTTCTTCCTTGTTCACCAGTGTCCGGGACATGTTGGTCAAGGCTTTTGTTCGAATAGAGGAAGGGAGAGCAGGAGCTGTGTATGCATCATTCTGAACCACTTTGGTGAGAGGGAGGGCCTTGGACATGGAAAGCTTGGAACTGCTTAGCCCAGCCTAAACGAAGAGACAGAAAAGAATCTGAGAAGCCAGACCTGCAATGTTCTGAAGAAGCCCCAAGAGGTTGACAACTTGCTGAGAGCATGAACCCTCGATGCCTCCCAGCTCTCTAATTCTATTAGAGGTCTGGAGCCAAAAAGGCTGCCGGCTGCCAGTGACATCCCATAGGGAAGGGGCAGGGGGAGAGAAAAACACACAGCCTGAACGCGCACTCACAGAAGCCACTCCCCACAGTGCTAGAAGCTCTTGGCAGGAAGCTTCCATACAGCCCTGACCTGGAAAATTACCCAGGAGCCACAGGCTCACCCACACCACTTAGACTTTCTAAAAATTCTACAATATGAGGCTGGTCAGAAGGCCAAAAGCTTGGCCAGGCATAGTGGATCACATCTGCCATCCCAGCACTTTGGGAGGCTGAGGTGAGAGGACTGCTTGAGGCCAGGAGTTCAAGACCAACCTGGGCAACACAGTGAGACCTCATCTCTATAAAAAATGTAAAAGAGCTGCTCTGCCTGTGGAGTAGCCATTCTTTTATTCCTTTGTTTTCTTAATAAAGCTGCTTTTGCTTACAAAAAAAAAAATTAAAAGGCCAAAAGCTTGAGGCCAAGTTCATTCCCAGATATGCTTCTATCACAATGTGCTGATCACCACTCTTAAGAAGGCCCAGAATTCAGTGTTTTGGTTCCTCTTCTGGCCATCCAGAGGAACCACACACAGCCTTGGCCTCATCAGCTCCGACTGTCAGGGACACTCGGGCATTTGGCAGTGCAGATCACCAAAAACAGCCCCTCCATCTGGATGTGGTCCCTTGGAAACAAAACTCCCCTGTATTAATGTGTCTGAGGAAAAAGGTGCATAAAGCAGAAGTGACGGGGGCCCTGCTGATTTAGGGCAGTGTTTACAGGCACTGACCCAGGGCAGGGAGAAAGGAGGAACGCAGCGGCCAGAGAGGCACATCAGAGCATGGGCACGGGCAATTCACCACGCTCCTCCAAGTCTGGGTGAAGCAGCGTCATCCCCATGCTGAATTCCACATTCCTCATGTGGAATTCTGCGTCTCCAGAGCTGGGACAGCACAGTGACTCCACACAGGGCCCTGAGAGCGAGACTGCTCGGGCTCCATTCCTAGATCCACTGCTTCTCATCAGCTGGGTGATGTTGAACAGGCTTATTTCACCTCTCCATGCCTGTCCCTCATCCATCAACGAGGGTAATCAACAGTACCCATCTCACAGGGTACAAGACGCATGAGTATAAATATGGCATTTATTCAATTAGGGTATCAAATAGGGATAGAGACTCACTGAGCAAGCTGATAGTTCCCTTGATAGCAGACTTGAGCAGTCTAATTACTGGAAAGGCCTGGTCCCTTTGTAAAGAAACAAACTGGCATCATTCAGCTTCACGACCTCTTTTTTTTTTTTTTTTTTGAGACGGAGTCTCGCCCTGTCACCCAGGCTGGAGTGCAGTGGCGCAATCTTGGCTCACTGCAACCTCCACCTCGGGGTTCAAACAATTCTCCTGCCTCAGCCTCCCGAGCAGCTGGGATTACAGGCACGCGCCATCATGCCCAGCTAATTTTTTATTTTTAGTAGAGACGGGATTTCACCATGTTGCCAAGCTGGTCTCCAACTCCTGACCTCAGGTAATCTGCCCACCTCAGCCTCCCAAAGTGCTGGGATTACAGGCGTGAGCCACCACGCCGAGCCAGCTTCATGTTTCTTTTTTTTTTGAGACAGAGTCTCACTCTGTCGCCCAGGCTGGAGTGCAGTGGCACAATCTCGGCTCACTGTAAGCTCTGCCTCCCAGGTTCACACCATTCTCCTGCCTCAGCCTCCCGAGTAGCTGGGACTGCAGGTGCCCGCCACCACACCCCGGATATTTTTTTTTTTTTTTTTTTTGAGACAGAGTCTCGCTCTGTCGCCCAGGCTGGAGTGCAGTGGCGCCTCTTGGCTCACTGCAAGCTCCACCTCCTGGGTTCGTGCCATTCTCCTGCCTCAGCCTCTAGAGTAGCTGGGACTACAGGCGCACACCACCACGCCTGGCTAATTTTTTGGTATTTTTAGTAGAGACGGGGTTTCACCATGTTTGCCAGGATGGTCTCGATCTCCTGACTTCGTGATCCACCCACCTCGGCCTCCGAAAGTGCTGGGATTACAGGCGTGAGCCACCACGCCCGAACTTTTTTGTATTTTTTAGTAGAGACGTGGTTTCACCGTGCTAGCCAGGATGGTTTCCATCTCCTGACCTTGTGATCTGCCCGCCTCTGCCTCCCAAAGTGTTGAGATTACAGGCGTGAGCCACCGCACCTGGCCCATATTTCTCTTAATTACTAACCAGGAGGCTGGTCCACATACTCAGGACAGTAACCAAAACTGAGTCTTTGAGCGTCTGAAGGAAAAACAAAAGAGGTGGCTGCCACAAGGACCCACCTAGGCAGCCCACTGGCCTCCCTGTCTGACACTTGGCTGTACCACTGAGCTGAGCAGCATGGACCTCCCTGATGATCCCAGATGTTGTTTTCTTTCCTTCTCTGCATGATGTCTGACCAACACTCTAGCCTAGCAAGCTTTCCCTGCATGCAGGCTGCACCTGGTAGAGCCCACAGATCAGGTGAGATGTATTCCTGCTAATGTTAACCAACGGAATCCAGACTCCAAGAGCAGCGCCAGAGCTGCTGACCACAAAGGGTTACGAAGCATGCAGAATGGCCAGCCACCAAGGAAAGAACACAGACTCCCCACTGTGGGATCACTCACACTTTCCCTATAGTGTCTCAAACACAGCACCTAGGAGCTGCAGCCCTGTACTTCACTTGCTGTGGGACCTTGAACAAATCAGAAGGCACCCCAGTGTCTCAGCGTTTATAAAACTAAGGGAATGGACTAGTTCCAGCTCTGAAAATCTTACGGCCCAAACAAAGAAATATTTCTGCATTGAAAGGCTCTATTCACGCCGGGCGCAGTGGCTTACGCCTGTAATCCCAGCACCTTGGGAGGCCGAGGCGTGCGGATCACCTGAGGTCAGGAGTTTGAGACCAGCCTGGCCAACATGGTGAAACCTCATCTCTACTAAAAATACAAAAATTAGCTGGGCGTGGCGGCAGGCGCCTGTAATCCCAGCTACTAGGGAGGCTGAGGCAGGATAATAGCTTGAACCCAGGAGACGGAGGTTGCAGTGAGCCAAGATTGCGCCATTGCACTCCAGCAGCCTGGGGGAGAAGAGCGAGATGTCGTC
This sequence comes from Homo sapiens, assembly GCF_000001405.40. Taxonomy (NCBI): domain Eukaryota; kingdom Metazoa; phylum Chordata; class Mammalia; order Primates; family Hominidae; genus Homo; species Homo sapiens. The sequence continues at coordinate 42,599,606 of NC_000022.11, forward strand.
TCAAAACAAAAAAAACAACAGGTTCTATTCAACACGACCTCTCCCACCTGCCTGATCAGACACGCAGTGTAAGAAAACATGAAATGCCATACCATGTGGTGGAGAAAGCCGCCTGAGGCTGCAAACTTCATCTGTTTAGTAGGAACGGAAGCTATACCATCATCATCTTCATCCAGGTCATATAAATTCTGAGAATATAACATAAAGAAATATAAGCAAATGTGGCATCTGGGCCCTCAACAGACATCTAGAACAGGCATGGCAAGGAAATGGCTGCTGGAGAAACAAAGGGACCAAGGAGAAGTGGGCACAGGGGTGACGGTGCCTGGAAAGACTGGGGCCCAAGTCTTCACAGGCTAACTCCCTGTCAGCAAGGACCCAGTGAAAGTCCTACAACTTCCAGATACATCAGAAGTCCCTTTTTCCCAGTGGGCAGTATGTACCAAGAGTCCCTAAAATGTTTCTTTATATCCTTTGGCTTGGAAAGTCCATCCTTGTTAATATGACCTACAGAAATAAATCCAAACCCTAGAAAGAGCTTTATTTACAAAGATGTTCACAGCAGAAGGATTTCTAACAGTGAAAATGACAGGAAAATGGTTTAAATAAAACTGGAATGCCAACTATATAGATTTTGCAGTTACTAAAACATGTACAGTAAATATGAAATGTCACAGAGAAATGCTTGAGTTACAAAGTGAAAAAAGAATGATACAAAATTGGATAAGAATATAACCATGGCTGGGCTCAGTGGCTCAAGCCTGTCATCCCAGCACTTTGGGAGGCCGAGGAGGGCGGATCACGAGGTCAGGAGATCGAGATCATCCTGGCTAACATGGTGAAACCCCGTCTCTACGAAAAATACAAACAATGAGCCGGGCATGGTGGCATGCGCCTGTAGTCCCAGCTACTCGGGAGGCTGAGGCAGGAGAATGGTGTGAACCCGGGAGGCGGAGCTTGCAGTGAGCCGAGATCGTGCCACTGCACTCCAGTCTGAGTGACAGAGCGAGACTCGGTCTCAAAAAAAAAAAAAGAATATATAACCACAACCACAACTATGAGTTAAGTAAAAAACAGACTGGGGCTGGGCACAGTGGCTCACGCCTGTAATCCCAGCACTTTGGGAGGCCAAGGTGGGCGAATTACCTGAGGTCAGGAGTTCGAGATCAGCCTGACCAACATGGAGAAACACCGTCTCTACTAAAAATACAAAATTAGCCAGGCGCGGTGACTCATGCTTGTAATCCCAGCTACTTGGGAGGCAGAGGCAGGAGGATCGATTGAACCCAGGAGTTCGAGACCAGCCTGGGCAACATGACAAGACTCCATCTCTACAAAAATTAGCCAGATGTGGTGGTATGCACCTGTGATCCCAGCTACTCAGGAGGCTGAGGTGGGAGGATCATTTGAGCCCAGAAACTCAAGGCTGCAGTGAGCCATGACTGCACCACTGCACTCCAGCCTGGGGGACAGAGTGAAACCCTGTATCAAAAAAAAAGAAGCGTACATGTAAGGAACTATGGCAAAATTTCAACAGTGACTGGCTTTGGAGAATAGGAACTTGAGGGACTTTTTGGCAAGTTTTCTATATTAAGCACATAGAACTTTTATTTAAAAAAATTAGGCCGGGCGCGGTGGCTCACACCTGTAATCCCAGCTCTCAGGGAGGCTAAGAGGCGGGAGGATAGCTTGAGCCCAGGAGTTCGAGACCTGCCTGGGCAATATAGCGAGACCCCGTTCTCCAGAAAAAGGAAAAAAAAACAAAACAAAAGACAAAAAAAAAAAAAGCGTAAAAAAATTAAAAAAAACAAACAAAACTTTTTTTAGCCTCTCTGCCCCCTATGCCTCCCTTCCTCTATTAAGAAGTTTCTTCTTGGCTGGGTGTGGTGGCTCACGCCTGTAATCCCAGCACTTTGGGAGGCTGAGGCGGGGGGATCACAAGGTCAAGAAATTGAGACCATCCTAGCCAACATGGTGAAACCCCATCTCTACTAAAAATACAAAAATTAGCTGGGTGTGGTGGTACGCGCCTGTAGTCCCAGATACTCAGGAGGCTGAGGCAGGAGAATCACTTGAACCCGGGAGGCAGAGGTTGCAGTGAGCCGAGATTACGCCACTGCACTCCAGCCTAGCGACAGAGCGAGACTCCGTCTCAAAAAATAAAAAAATAAAAAAAATTTCTTCTTTAAACTCAAATTGCAAAAAGTTCGCTGTAACCCTGCCTCCAATACTACCAACTGGGAACTACCAACTGAGCAAGCCTCAGTCCATCCACCCAAGTAGGCCTCATCAAAACACGTGCACACCTACATGTTCGCTATGTACACACAGATTCTCTCTCTCTCTCTCACTCACTCACTCTACCTGTTTGGCCTGGTGGTTATTGACAACATTGATTCTCATTCCGGCAGGATGGGGATGAAGTGGTGCCATGGCTTTCTGCTGTGGAACCTGGAAACACTCAGTGGTCAGAATCCACCCCACAGGGTCCACATGCATTCTCTAGAAGAAGGGGGTTACTGAACTTGATACATGGTGGGCATGCAGCTTTGGTCTTTGGTAAAAGGCACTACAGAGGGCCTTATCCTCCACAGTAGGAAGTAACAGAAGAATCATCAATCCAGAGACCATGCCGGTAACGCACATGTAGGGCTTAATGGACTTGGCTCAGTAAATGTTTGCTGTGGCCGCTGCTGTTCCTATTACCAAAGCTGCTATGAAGGTTAAATGACATTGTTTCCTTTCCCTCTGTGGTGGCAGCTGTGAAGGGTGGCCAGGGCCTTGGACTAGGGGCCAAATCCCACTGGGCCTGGGGGTGGAGTGAGGACTGTAAGGTCACAGATATTAAGGGCCTGCCACATAGCATGTGCTCAATAAATCTTTTGTCCTTTCCTCTCTCTTTCTTCCACCAGTATCTCACCTGGGAAAGTCACCAAATTTCTATGGGCCTCCTTTTTCTTTTTTTTTAGAACTGAGATAATACCTTTCCTTCCTTGTATAGTTCCTTGGCTATAACGTACTTAAAGCCTCTGTAAGGAGCAAAGTCTGTATTATGCCAACACTTGAGAGGATAGTATTTTTGCCCAGTCACTCCTGGCACCTTGCCTCTAAATCTACCTTTGTTACTAGCTTTCTGGGAATTCATGACAAAAGCCACAACTCACCTGGATGGTTTTGGTGAGCTTCAGAGCAGGGGTCACTGTCCCAATGGGTGGGTTTATGAAGGCAGCAGGGGAACTCCTCTTCAAGCTGATCTTCTCCCGGGCATCAGCAACCTGGCGGGGCTTCTGGGGCACCGTGGTCTGCTGCTTGCGAGAGTTCAACATCTCTCTGGCATCCTGCACTTTCCCTTTGATTCGAAATCGGGCATCTTTCTGCAAAAGCTTCTCCCGGGCATCCTTGACTCCCAGTTTGAGCCGGGCATCTGAGAGGCCAATCTTCTGCCGGGCATCAAATCTCTGCTGGAAGGTGGCTGTGCGTGTTGACTGGCTGAGAAGGCCTTGCTGGATCCCAACTCGAGATCGGACACCTCCAACTCCCGGTCTGGCATTAAGCCTGTAAATATAAATTGCAATCAATATTAAGTGGATCTGGGTATCTACAGCAGTCTATGAAAGCGGAACTGTGGTAACACTGGGGACAGAGGAGGCCCTGGAGAATCAGAAAGCGGCTCCTTGCCTGTGATTGAATAAACGATTATGCCTACATGATGACTCCTTTCCTGGTTTCATGATGGCTTTTAACTTTGCATTTTAAGCAAAATTAAGAGAGAGGGGCTGGCAAGTTTTATTCCTAGTTAAGAGTGTTTTGCTTCCTAGACCACGTGTCTTGAGACACCAACATGGACAATAACTTCCCAACAATGCCAGTCAAATAAAATAAACATCCACCAAATCTAATCCCACTCATCTGAGGAGTAACTTTAGTTTCCAAGGCCCATCCCCATCCATGTTCTCACTCAGCCCTCTCAGCACCCTGAGAAGTACTTACTATGCCCACTTTACAGTGGGAGAAGCAGGTTTGGAGAGGCTCAATGATTAACAAAGAGTGTCTCTAAGGAAGGCAGACACCATCTACTGGGCTAAGACCAAGAGAGCAAACATATGGGTCTGGCTTAGAGCTAGAGGAAAACAGAAAACACAAAGACTTGGTAGGAAAGAAAGAAAAAATTGCAATAGCAAAAATATCAAATACAGAAACCACTGAAATTGGAAATGATCGGGTACAGGGTTCGCTATTTGGGTAATGGGTACACTAGAAACCTAATCCTCACCAGTATGCAATATAATCCATGGAACAAACATGTACATGTACCCCCTGAATTTAAAATAAAATATTTTTTTTAACTGGAAATGAATGAAACTCCATAAACAGGCCCCGGTCTCTTTCTTGGGTTCCTCTGTTGGCCTACAGTGGCTTGAAAGTGAACAGAAGGCCCTCCTGAGTATAGCGCTGGAGATCCTCCCCAAGGTCTTTGGGCTTCTTCTGTCGCCTCCCACCCTCAGGCCTCTCTACAATAGCTACCCTCAACGGCCACTCATGCGGCAGACGCTCTGCCTGCGGACTCCTATGTCAAGGGGTGCTCTTTGGGAAACCCTCCCGGATTTCTCCAGGCCAACTCTCCTCTGTGCCTATTATTATACCTGCTTGTTTCCTTTTTTCTCTCCCTACCCTGGGTGGGGCGGGGGGAGGAGAATGGGGTTCAGTCCTTTTGCAGGGCCCAGCACCTCCTAAGCAGCATCGAGCCCTGGCTGAGTGTCAGAAACTCCTGTGGAGCTTCTTAAATACAGAGCTGTCCAGATCCCACCCTAGATGCTGAATCCAAAATCTGGGGCGAGGCCTGGCCATCTGCATTTTTAACTCCATGGGTGATTCTGGAGAAGAGCCATGTTGAGGATCTCTGACCTGCTGTTAGAGGGTAAACTCTGCTGCATAAACGAGTTCCTGTATTGCCTCCCACTTCACTGCCTGGACCTCCCAGGAGGCATCTCTCATACTGGGTCAGTCACTGGCACTCTCCCACTGCTGCATTCCAGTGGCTGGAGTGAGATTGGCTGTCAGTTCCTCTGCTAATGAATACCAGAAGTGCAGCCAAAGGTGAGTCTACCTGGTACCAATAAAAGCAAACGTGGACCTTCATCTTGTTATCCCTCAAATAATGGAAAAACACCTGCTGCCTCCAATATGCCAGTACCAAACCTAAGGCGGTAATACAGACTGAACATCTGTGTCCCCCCAAAATTCCTCTGTTGAAGCCTAATCTGCAATGTGATGGTGGTAGAAGGTGGTGGCCTTTGGGAAGTGATTAAGTCATGAGGACAGAGACTTCACAAATGGGATTAGTGCCCTTTATAAGGAAGAAGCCCCAGAAAGCTCCTTGGCCCCTTCCACCATGTCAGGACTCAGCAAAAAGACCATCTACAACCAGGAAGCAGGCAGGCCCTCATCAGACATGGAATCTGCCAGCATCCTGATCCTGGACTTCCCAGACTCTCTGTGACAAGGAAGTTTCTTTTCTTCAGTTTTGTTTTGTTTTGTTTGAGATGGAGTCTTGCTCTGTCATCCAGGCTGGAGTGCAGTGGCGCAATCTTGGCTCACCGCAAGCTCCGCCTCCCGGGTTCATGCCATTCTCCTGCGCCAGCCTCCCAAGTAGCTGGGACTACAGGCGCCCGCCACCACGGCCGGCTAATTTTTTGCATTTTTAGTAAAGATGGGGTTTCACCGTGTTAGCCAGGATGCTGTCGATCTCCTGACCTCGTGATCCGCCTGCCTTGGCCTCCAAAGCGTTACGATTACAGGCGTGAGCCACTGCGCCCGGCAGTTTCTGTTTTTTATAAGTTACCCAGCTTAGGGTATTTTCTTATAGTAGCCTAAACGGACTAAAACAGGCAGTGATGCATGCTATCATTTTTCTCTTTGGAGTGGCAAATTCAGATTTAAAGATTTTCCAGTGGGTTCTGGGTAGAAGGGTCATTTATACAATTAATCAGATAAGGCTTAAGGTTTACTTGGCCATTCCTGTCCTATTTTTTTAATGTGAGGACTCTGGGAGATGGAGGCACTAGAGAAAGCAGGGCCAAAGGAAGGGAGTGTTCAGGGGGTCGGCATGCACGATTAGAAAGAAATGGTTGTATGTGGTAGATGGCATCCACCCTCCCTAGGACTGGGCTACCCTAGGCTTCGTGTTCCATGGCCTACAAAGCCATAGACAAACTGGGACTATGCTTTGGGGTGACCTCAGAAACTTGCAGCTAGGCCAGGCACAGTGACTCACACCTGTAATCCCAGCACTTTGGGAGGCCGAGGCTGATGGATTACTTGAGGTGAGGTGTTCAAGACCTGCCTGGCCAACATGGTGAAACCCCGTCCCTACTAAAAATACAAAAATTAGCCAGACGTGGTGGCACGCGCCTATAATCCTAGCTACTCGGAAGGCTGAGGCAGGAGAATCAGTTGAACCCAGGAGATGGAGGTTACAGCAAGCCAAGATCACACCACTGCACTCCAGCCTGGGCGACAGAGCAAGACTCTGTTTCAAAAAAAATAAAGGACATGATCAATGAAAACTTCTGAGTATTACTCACTACAGGTTGACAATTTTTCACACAGACTTTTTTTTTTTTTTAAGAAACAAGGCTGGGCACAGTGGCTCATGCCTGTAATCTCAGCACTTTGGGAGGCCAAATGGCAGGATGGCTTGAGCCCAGGAGATCGAGAACAGCACGGGCAACATAGCGAGACTCCCTGGGCATGGTGGCTCACACCATGTAATCTCAGCACTTTGGAAAGCTGAGGCAGGAGGATGGCTTGAGCCCAGGAGTTCAGGACCAGCCTGGGCAATATAGTGAGACTCCATCTCTATAAAAATGAAAGCAGAAAATTATCTGGGCATGGCAGCATGAGTCTACTCCACAGGCTGAAGCAGGAAGACCACCTGAGCCCCAGACTGCAATGTTGCCGTGAGCCAGGATCGAGATACTGTCCTCCAGGCTGGACAACAGAGCAAGACCCTGTCTCAAAAACATATTTTAAAAAATTTAAAAGGACAGAATCTCATTCTGCTGCTCAGGATGGAGTGCAGTGATCATAGCTCACTACAGCCTTGACCTCCTGCCTCAGCCTTCTAAGTATGGAGCCACCATGCCCAGCTTTAGACGTCCTTTAAATGTTACAACCCCGTGAATCAGGTTATTGTTCACATCTTATAAATGAGGAAACTCAGAACCAAGGAGATTAACTATCCCAAGAGCTACTAAGGGGTGAGGAATGGACTTGAACTTCACTGTACCTGGTTCAAGCATCAATTAAATAAGCATGGGTCAAGAGTAAACAGCAGAGCTGGAAGAGTTAAGAAAAAAACTTCTAAAAAATAAAAAACACCAGGAGCAGTAGCTCATGCCTGTAATCCCAACACTTTGGGAGGCCAAGGCGGGCAGATCGCTTGAGCCCAGGTGTTCGAAACCAGCCTGGGCAACATGGCAAAACCCTGTCTCTACAAAAGATACAAAAAAAATTCCCTCCCCCTCCCCCTCTCCCCAGTTTCCCTCTGATGCCGAGCCGAGGCTGGACTGTACTGCCGCCATCTCGGCTCACTGCAGCCTCCCTGCCTGATTCTCCTGCCTCAGCCTGCCGAGTGCCTGGGATTGCAGGCGCGCACCGCCATGCCTGACTGGTTTTTGTATTTTTTGGTGGAGACGGGGTTTCGCTGTGTTGGCCGGGCTGGTCTCCAGCTCCCGACCGCAAGTGATCTGCCTGCCTCGGCCTCCCGAGGTGCCGGGATTGCAGACGGAGTCTCGCTCAATCAGTGCTCGTTGCCCAGGCTGGAATGCAGTGGAGTGATCTCGGCTCGCTACAACCTCCACCTCCCAGCCGCCTGCCTTGGCCTCCCAAAGTGCCGAGATTGCAGCCTCTGCCCGGCTGCCACCCCGTCTGGGAAGTGAGGAGCGTCTCTGCCTGGCCGCCCATCGTCTGGGATGTGAGGAGCCCCTCTGCCCGGCCGTCCAGTCTGGGAAGTGAGGAGCGCCTCTTCCCGGCCGCCATCCCATCTAGGAAGTGAGGAGCGTCTCGGCCCGGCCGTCCATCGTCTGAGATGTGGGGAGAGCCTCTGCCCCGCTGCCCCGTCTGGGATGTGAGGAGCGCCTCTGCCCGGCCGCGACCCCATCTGGGAACTGAGGAGTGTCTCTGCCCGACCGCCACCCCGTCTGGGAGGTGAGGAGCTTCTCTGCCCGGCCACCCCGTCTGGGAAGTGAGGAGCCCCTCCGCCCAGCAGCCGCCCCGTCTGGGAAGTGAGGAGCGTCTCCGCCCGGCAGCCGCCCCGTCTGGGAGGGAGGTGGGGGGCAGCCCCCGCACAGCCAGCCGCCCTGTTCGGGAGGTGGGGGGCGCCTCCACCCAGCCACCACCCCGTCTGGGAAGTGAGGAGCCCCTCTGCCCGGCCGCCACCCCGTCTGGGAGGTGTACCCAACAGCTCATTGAGAACGGGCCATGAAGACGATGGCGGTTTTGTCGAATAGAAAAGGGGGAAATGTGGGGAAAAGAGAGATCAGATTGTTACTGTGTCTGTGTAGAAAGAAGTAGACGTGGGAGACTTCATTTTGTTCTGTACTAAGAAAAATTCTTCTGCCTTGGGATGCTGTTAATCTATAACCTTACCCCCCCCCCCAAAAAAAAATTAGCTGCAAGTGATGATGCACATCTGTAGTCCCAGCTACTCAGAAGGCCAAGGCAGGAGGATCAACTAAGCCCAGGAGGTCCAGGCTGCAGTGAGCCAAGATCACACCACTGGACTCCAGCCTGGGAGACAGAACAAGACCCTGTCTCAAAAATCAAAACAAAACAAAACAAAAAAAAACCACCACCACCAAAACAAAAAGAAACAATCTTCCTTATCATTATTGTCTGGTATTTCAGTTTCAATATGTTGTTAAACCCTTAAAAATTTATACATATATATAAAGGAAGGATAAACAGTCCGCAGGCTGAAGAAATCTTAGGACTCCGGTCATGCCCAGGGATACGGAGCACTCTCTAGCGACCAAAGGGTGAGCACAAGCAGCGAGGCGAGCGGGTGGTGCACGCACTGAGAACTCGCATACCACAATGCCTGCCTGGCAGGAAGGACCACCAAGATGCTTTGTGCTGGCATTTTTATCTATTTGAACAGCCTAAAAGGCACATTTAGGGGTGGGAGTTAACGGTAGTTGAGGATGTAGTAGGAGCTCCTCACGGTGGGAGGGAGTAAGCTATTTCCCTCAATCTGATGCACTCAGTTCCCTGGTTCCACCAGTGCTTTCAACTTCTTTCGTGAACAGCTTGAGGGGGCTTCAGTGTTCAGGCTTTTTATAATCACAGCTGCTCTTCCTGCATGAAAAGACAGCTATTCATCCCAGCAGGCAGCAGTACTGGTTTCAGGCAGGCATTAGTCATCGGAAATTTTTCAAATCAACACTCCTGCCAGGGGTAGGTCTCTAAAACACAGACTCAATTATGTTACCCTCCCGCTTCTAGAACTGCTGGGGGCTCCTTTACAAAGCCCAACCCCTGGGGGGGCCTCGGCTCTGGCTCCAGCTTATGGCTGCAGCCTTACTCCCCACTGCAGTGACTACTGACGTTCCCAAAACACATCCTGCACTTTTATCCTCAGTAAATGTTTGGGAGGGCGAAGGAGGAAGGTTTTGACTGAGTCTCGTAATGCCCCACCTCCATCGCACCGAAACTACAGCTCTGCAACTGCTTCCAGGGCTTCACCAGGTATTCCGCGAGGTCCTGGCAAGAGCGCTGCTGGCAGGTGAGAAGGCAAACGTTCCCTGGACCCCAAATTCTCTCCTCTATACCCCCTACGGGAACCTGGCATAGGTGTGATGACCAGGGAGGGTCTGTCTGGGCTATAGGAATATTTCACCCTCCTGGCTCTGTCTGGGGAGGGCAGGGCTACAGCCCATTCTGGACAGATGTCCAGTCCAAAAGATTCAGGCCCATGAAGTGGGGCCCTGGATTATTATAAAGCAGATTTTAACCCATGGGTTTAAAATCCTCTGGGTTATGGGAGGCAGAGGTTGCCATGAGCCAAGATCGCACCACTGCACTCCAGCCTGGGTGACAGAGCAAGATTCCGTCTTATAAAAACAAACAAAAAAAGCTTCTGGGTTAGGGGGTGTTCGTTTAGGTGTGTGTTTAGGTCATTTTTATAGAGAGAAAACAGCTTAATTCTAACTATGACTGAGGGTCAACTCTGAATTAGGTGTTTAAGAGACACAAAGAAAAACAAGACACTAAAATACTATCCCCTGCTGGGCGAGGTGGCTCACGCCTGTAATCCCAAGCACTTTGGGAGGCTGAGATGGGCGGATCACTTGAGGTCAGGAGTTTGAGACCAGCCTGGCCAACATGGTGAAACCCTGTCTCTACTAAAAATACAAAAAATTAGCCGGGCGTAGTGGCCCATGCCTGTAGTCCCAGCTACTCAGGAGGCTGAGGCAGGAGAATCGTTTGAATCCAGGAGGTGGAGGTTTCGGTGAGCTGAGATCGCGCCATTGCACTCCAGCCTGGGCAGCAAGAGCAAAACTCTGTCTCAAAAATAAATAAATAAAATAAAATACTATCCCCTTACCCAAGAGTCTTGTGCAGATGTTTCATTTTAAAACATAATTCGTTCCCTAGAGTTATGTAATAACTCATTTCCTCCCTTTTGTGTTTAGGTCTTTATTTCCTTTATCTTATTTCAACAAGGAAACAAGCAGTCAGTACCAGGACCAGAGTCCTGGGCTGAACTGCAAAGTTTACAATCCACCCTGTCCCCCAACAACCTCCCACTTCCAGCTCCAAGGACTCCCCAGATGAGGCGTCTGGCCCAGAGAGCTGCTCAACTCCAGCCTCCAGCACATTCAAGGCTGCCACACTGAACTGCTTGGAGGCAGCTGACAGAAAGCTATCCGCTGAGGGTTAAACTCATCGAACTAACAAAAGCGGACATGTCAACTGACTTAACTGGGGATGCCCTCATATCTAAAGGAAGAAACTGCTGGGCACAGTGGCTCACACCTGTAACCCCAGCACTTTGTGAGGCAGAGGCAGGAGGACTGCTTGAGTCCAGGAGTTCGAAACCAGCCTGGGCAACATGGCGAGACCTTGTCTCTACAGAAAATACAAAAATAATTAGCCAGGCATGATGGCATATGCCTGTGGTCCCAGCTACCTGGTAGGCTGAGGCAGGAAGACTGCTTAAGCCCAGGAGGCAGAGGTTGGAGTGAGCTGTGATCTTGCCACTGCACTCCAGCCTGGATGACAGAGCAAGATCCTGTCTCAAATAAATAAAGGAAAAAACCAACATGAGGGGCAGGCCAGCACTGCAACTGGTACCTAATGCTATCCTGAGGAGACTCTCTACGGATCTTTCACAACTAAAGTCACTGGAGATGTGCTGTGGTGAGGAAAGATAGCACCTCACCATGGAGGAAGGTATCACTCAAAACCACCCTCTTCTGGTTCAATCATTTCCCATTAGTCAAGGAATCTTTTAATAATTAATTGGAGGCCTAGGTAATAATAATGGTAATGACTTTTTTCTTTCTTTTTTAAAGAGATGAGGTCTTGCTCCGTCAACCAGACTGGGGTGCAGTGGTGCAAGCATGGCTCACTGCAGCCTTGAACTCAGGCAATCCTCCTGCCTTAGCCTCCCACACAGCTGCAGTTACAGGCATGAGCAACCACTGCATCCAGCTATGACCCTTTTCTTGACTCACAAGGTGTGAGGAACACAAAACAGAATGGCTGCTTTTGAGAACAAGCACATTCCACAAATGTGATCCTTGGGATCACAGGAAACAAAGTGAGCAGAGTGGTGGGGAAAGAGGTTATTTACACTTCCACAAGCTGGATCTTTGGCTATTTCTACTAAGAGGAAAAAAGCTTTCTTAAACAACAAAATTCTTCCTGGAATATCCATGCAACATTAAAACCAAAGTTCCAAGTACGCAGATTCTTCTAGGCAGTATGTAAAATAGCATGTATGGCCAGGCACGGTGGCACTTTGGGAGGCTGAGACGGGTGGATCGTTTGAGGTCAGGAATTCAAGACCAGCCTGACCAACATGGTGAAACCCCACCTCTACTAAAAATACAAAAAAATTAACCAGGCGTGGTGGCGCATGCCTATGGTCCCAGCTACTTGGGAGGCTGAGGCAGGAGAATCGCTTGAACCTGGAAGCCAGAGGTTGCACTGAGCTGAGATCATGCCATTGCACTCCAGCCTGGGCAACAGAGTGAGACTCCATCTCAAAAAAAATAAAGAAATAAAATAAAAATAAACTTACTGCAGGAAATGACATCTGTTCATTGAATTTGTTCAGATCTTTCACATTATCTTAACAGGGACCACTGGATCTAGTTTTTCTTTGTTGGCTGTGCAGGTGAGATAAAAACGGAGTTTCCAGAAGATTTAACTCAAACTCAGCATGCACTCCAGGTTCTTCCATGCTAGTCTCTCTGCCTGCACTCTTTGCCCCAATCCAATCCCCATACAATGGCAAAGAAATATTTTCAAGCTAAAAATTGAATCATGTTACTCCTTTACTTTAAGAAGCCTTCAATGACAATAACGAAAGCTAACGTCTATCAAGCACTTAAGTACCCGTTGTCAGGAACTTTTCAATGCACTTCAGGTATATTAATTCACTCAGTCCTAACAATAACCTAATAAAGTAGATATTACTCAGGTTTTATACATAAGGAAAGAAAGGCAAGGAATGGTTAAGTAACTTGCAGACGGTCCTAGGGAAAGTGGGAGAAGCAGGGATTGGAAGCTTGGTGGTCTGCGTCTAGAGTCCCAGTGCTCACCTATGCTCCAGGGGCGTTGTGTGCTTCTATGCCTTTAAGGAAAGGTCCAAGATAATTACCAGCCTTTGCTGAACACTTGCCACATGGCACAAACTTTAAAACATACCTTCTGGCCCGGCGCAGTGTCTCATGCTTGTAATCCCAGGACTTTGGGAGGCCGAGCGGGTTCGGCCTGAGGTGAGGAGTTCGAGACCAGCCTGGCCAACATGGTAAAACCCCATCTCTACTAAAAATACAAAAATTAGACAGTCGTGGTGTCGGGCACCTGTAATCCCAGCTACTTGGGAGGCTGAGACAGGAGAATCACTTAAACCCAAGAGGCAGAGGTTGCAGTGTGCCAAGGCTGTGCCACTGCACTCCAGCCTGAGCAATACAGTGAGACTCCCTCTCAAAAAAACAAACAAAAAAAACCCTTCTCACATTTAATCCCGCTCAACCAGGAATCACCATTCCAAGTGAGGAAACTGCCTAGTTCAGAACTCCCCTGGCCAGGGAAACAGAACCCAACAGTGGCAAGTGCCAGGTGTATCCAGCTGCAAGGCCCCTGTTCCTGTGGATCCACACATAACCACCCCCCATTCCTGCAGCCCCACCTACTGCCCAACACAAAACTCTGCACACACTAAAACCAAAAACATAGAGATCAAATAGACTACAGTGCAGTCCACCTGCAGTCAGAAACTGGCGGAGTGACCTCAGAGAGAGAAGAACCTGGGGTGGATCATTCTGTCGTTTCCAAAGGAACCTACAAAACGTGGATGGACTTAGAAGTGGCCAGAGGAGCCAGCACCAGCTTCACATCAGTCACTAGATGGAGATCTGAGAGAGCTTTCACAGTCAGTAGTTGAGGAAACAAATACTAATGTGTGCCCGTTACGAACCACAAGCCAGGTAAGTGCTGGCTGCGAATTATGAGGTGGTGGTGGCAGTTGTAGTTGATACAAGTGTCCAGGATGGGGAAGGAGGTGAGGGATACATTTCAGACATCAAGAGAAAAACCTAACCACAGGCATACGGGTGGTATTAATAAACATCTGCGGAATGGCCGGGCCGGTGGCTCACGCCTGTAATCCCAGCACTTTAGGAGGCCGAGGCGGGAGGATCACCTGAGGTCAGGAGTTCGAAACCAGCCTGACCAACACAGTGAAACTTCCATCTCTACTAAAAATACAAAAATTAGCCGGGCGTGGTGGTGCACACCTGTAGTCCCTGCTACTTGGGAGGCTGAGGCAGGAGAATCGCTGGAACCGGGGAGGCGGAGGTTGCAGTGAGCCGAGATGGCACCACTGCACTCCAGCCTGGGCGACAGAGCAACACCCCGTCTCAAAAAAAACATAAAAATAAAAATAAACATCTGCTGAGAGAACAAATGTCTGAGAAAACAATATCTAACATATTTACATCCTGGCTATTTACAAAGACATTTAAACTTAATGTGTGTTGGGAAACTATTGGGCAAAGTTCTCACTTCTTCATACAGATGAACTCAGCTCACGAAGGCTTGAAATGACTAACAACATTTAAGGGTCTAGGGGAAGTTTGGGAGACATGACTGCAAATCACCTCCATGGCTCCTCAGCCAGCTCAAGCACTTTCTTCTCCCTAAGGAAATAACCAATCTCCTGCCCAACACACCAGTTTTTCAAGCCCATGTAGGAGGCCAACTCAGCCAGCAATTAAATCGCGCTCAGCCCGCCGCTCAGTTCTCCGTGGCCTCGGGCAAGTCACTCTACCACTTCCAGCCTCAAGTTCCCCATCAGTAAAAGGTGGGTAACATGAATAGCTAGCAGACAACAGGACTGTAAAAGATTAAATGAGGCATCGTGTATATGAAAGGGCTCAGAAAACTTAAAACGCCGCACAAAGAGAGGCGAGTGTTAACAGGGGCCGCGTGCAGGGGGATTTGGGCTTGCGCCTCAGCTTCGGCGGTCGGAGCAAGTCACTTCCCCGCTACTAAACTTCGGTTGTCTCAACTCTAAGATGGGTGGAGACCAGGCAGCGCCGAGATCACGGAGCGGGGCCCAAATGCCAGTCCACACAGGCAAGGAGGCTGCGCCGCCGAGACCCCAGGACCCCGGAACGCGGGGGCCCCAGGGGGCAGCCCCTCAGGTCCACGAGGCGGCACCCTGTCCCCGCCGCGGCCCCGTCGGCCTCCCAGGGCCGCCAGAGGGACTGCGCCTCGGCCAGTGGGCGGGCGGTCGGGGCCACGGCGGGGACGGCGGCAGCCGGCCAATGAGGAGCGCGGCTGTGGTCGGGGGCGGGCGCACCCGGTCCTCCGCGTCGCTCCCGGATCGCTACCTCCCCCGCCTCGAGCTCCACTAGGCCGAGGACCCTAAACCCCGAAGAAAGGAAAGGCCTCTCACCGTCCTTTCGCCGCCGCCCCGCGCTTCCTGATGAGTTCGTCCAGGGAGATGTCCGCCATCTTGCTCCGCCGAGCAAGCCGAAAGCAGTCGAGACCCCGCGAGCCCGCCCCTTCGGCCGCTAGGGAGCGACGAACTACTTCCGGCGTCCGCGGACCAACTCTCGCGACAGCCAGCTCAAAGCAGGCAAGAACCGGAAGGGGCGGGGACGTTCCCCGTGAGCCTTCGCGGTGCTGGCTGCTCATCTGCATACGGAAGTTCGGCACATTATGAATTATTTATTTTCCTCGAGGGAAAAAATTAAATGAAAAGCAACAAAATACATTATTAACAAGTGAGACAAACTTCAATGGAACTGGATCATGACCTCAACAGTCAACTACGATAGTCATCATACGCCTAATGAGAATAGAATTCATTACCTAGGAAATAAACTAAAAACGTCCTTATGCCTTAAACTTATGAGTAAGGAAAATAACGATTCGGGGTGACGCCCGAATCCTCACTGCTAATGTGAGACGAATTTTTGAGCGGGTAAAGGTCGCCCTCAAGGTGACCCGCCTACTTTGCGGGATGCCTGGGAGTTGCGATCTGCCCGACCTTATTCACGCCTAAAAAGTAGACTGACTGTGGGGTGGTCGTGTTTTTTGTTTCTTGTTGGTAGGTGGTGAATGCGTTTTTTTCGTTGTTTTCTCCGTTACTCAGGCTGCCAGTTGCTTGGCAGTCTTGTCGCTGGCTGTGGACGCTCTGCACTTCATCACCGTCCCCAGCTGCGCTTTGAGCCGGTCTAAGGTTGCCCACAGTATTGACGTTGGGACCCACGAAACTGGCAATTTCCATGTGTGCGGCCTTACCCAGTTCTCCCAAACTTCTGCGTATAACCGCTTCTCTGTGCTTCAGAAAGATAAGTCCGGCCCCGGCCTCACACAGCAGCTCAGTTCGTGACAGCGTTTAATATGTAAAATGGAGCAAATAATTTATAGGGCGTTGGGAGAGTTAAAGAGACTAATTCATTTACGTGTTAAATACAGGGAATGGCTTTTGCATTGATATAACCCCAGCCTCCAGCATGCGCCAGACCTGACGTAGGTGTTCGGCACATATTTTGTCCAATCACTCTAAAAATACACTCCATGCCCTTAGAACAGGTGGGGTTATGTCCTCTTGGCCATCAGGCATCAGGAGCTCCGTGCAGAAACTGGGTAAGAGGCCAGGAGCGGTGGCTCATGTCTGTAATCTCAGCACTTTGGGAGGCTGAGGCGGGTGGATCACCTGAAGTCAGGAGGTCGAGACCAGCCTGGCCAACACGGAGAAACCCCGTCTCTACTGAAAAAAAAAAAAAGAAAGAAAAAAATTAGCCGGGCGCGGTGGCACGGCCTGAAATCCCACCTACTCAGGAGCCTGAGGCAGAAGAATCGCTTGAACTCGGGAGGCGGAGGTTGCGGTGAGCCGAGATCGCGCCATTGCACTCCAGCCTAGGCGACAGAGCAAGACTCCGTTTCAAAAAAAAAAAAAAAAGAAAGAAAGAAAGAAACTGGGTAAGAGCGATCCTGCAATCCTCCTGCCTCAGCCTCCTGAGTAGCTGGGATTACAGGCCCGCCCCACCACGCCGGGCTCCTTCCCAGACCTCTTTTCCTCACCCATAGAACGGGACCATTAAGCCTTTCCTCCCTTCCAGGCGTGCCAGGAGGAACGCGCAAGAGGTGGGAGGAGGACAGGCTGGCCAGTGGGGTCAGCTGGGCAGTGTAGGGCAGATGCGGAGGACAATTTTATTTTTATTTTTGAGACGGTGTCTCGCTCTGTCGCCCAGGCTGGAGTGCAGTGGCACAATCTCAGCTCACCACAGCCTCCGCCTCCCGGGTTCAAGCGATTCTCCTGTCTCAGCCACCCGAGTAGCTGGGATTACAGGCGCACGCCACCACGCCCGGCTAATTTTTGTATTTTTAGTAGAGACGGGGGTTTCACAATGTTGGCCAGGCTGGTCTCGAACTCCTGACCTCAGGTGATCCACCTGCTTCGGCCTCCCAAAGTGCTGGGATTACAAGCATGAGACACAGCACCCGGCCTCCTTTCTTGTTCTTTTACAACTCATTTAGAGCTGTGTTGATTTTTAAAATTCTTCGTATAGGTAGGTGATACTGCCTGTGAATTCTGCAGCGTAAAGGGCCCGTTACAACTGTTATTTTAAAGGTGTTGGCCAGGCATGGTGGCTCACACCTGTGATCCCAGCACTTTGGGAGGCCGAGGAGGGTGGGTCACCTGAGGTCAGGAGTTTCAGACCAGTCTGACCAACATGGTGAAACCCCATCTCTACTAAAAATACAAACAAATTAGCCGGTGTGGTGGTGCACGCCTGTAATCCCCAGGTATTCCGGAGACTGAGGCAATAGAACCGCTTGAACCTGGGAGGCAGAGGCTGCAGGGAGCCAAGATCATGTCACTGCACTCCAGCCTGGGAGACAGAGCGAGACTCCGTCCCAAAAATAATAAATAAAGGTGTCGAGTCTGTATGGAGAATCGCTGCCTTAGAGCCCTCTCCCATTTTCTGAATGGGGAAACAGACCTGGAGAGGGTGGGAATCGGGTCCAATTGATCCCCTTTTCCCACGTCCCCTTTCCCAGGAGGCAGCCTCTTGTGGGCTCAGGCAGGCCTGTGTTCAAATCCTGTGCCTTTCAGCCTCAGACAGGGACAGAAATGAGGATGAAACCTAACGCGTGTCCATTGCTAGCAGTCCCCCGCCACAGTGTGAAGGCCATTTTGGGTCTGAGATTCCTTTTCCTGCCACTGTAGGTAGTGAGGTGGCCAGAGACAGAATGGAAAATGCGAAGTGAGAGGAGACAGGGCTCTCCTAGTCCCCTAGGTTGGTCTTGGGCCCTCCTTCCTGTGAACCTGCCCCGTCCCCTCTTCTTCCCCACTCCCCTCCAGCCACACTGGCCTCACTGTGCTCCTAGGGCCACCCAGCAAGTCTCCGGAGCACCAGCCTAGCCCCGCCTCCCTCTCCAGCCTCATCGTTGCTGCCCCTTCCAGCCACCTATCTTCTTCGATCTGTTTCTGAAAGTTTATTCCACAAGCTGGTTCCAACGGCAGGGCCTTTGCGTCTGCTGTTTCCACCATTTGAACACCCACCCACCCCAGCATGGCCAGCTCTCTCTTCCCGTCCCAGCCCAAATCCATCTCCTTGGGGCCTTCCTGCTGCCCCGTTTTAAGAACAGCCCCACACCCACCTTGCCTCATCACCTCTGTAATTTACCACCATGCAGATGGCATCCTCTGACTTTCCTGAGCCTCGAGGCTCATCTGACCCTGACAGGAGGCAGCAGCCTCGCGGTGCATTGGGGTGACTGGGGTTGCGTGGTTTCAGCTGGTTTGCCTCTGGGGGTTGGGAATTTTTCTTCCTGTGTATACTTCTCTGCACTTTCCAAATTTTCTACCACAAAGATACATCAGAAATAAATGCTGGAGCCGGGCGCAGTGGCTCACGCCTGTAATCCCAGCACTTTGGGAGGCCGAGGCGGGCGGATCACGAGGTCAGGAGATCGAGACCATCCCGGCTAAAACGGTGAAACCCCGTCTCTACTAAAAATACAAAAAATTAGCCGGGCGTAGTGGCGGGCGCCTGTAGTCCCAGCTACTTGGGAGGCTGAGGCAGGAGAATGGCGTGAACCCGGGAGGCGGAGCTTGCAGTGAGCCGAGATCCCGCCACTGCACTCCAGCCTGGGCGACAGAGCGAGACTCCGTCTCAAAAAAAAAAAAAAAAAAATACAAAAACTAGCTGGGTGTGGTGGTGGGCACTTTTAGTCCCAGCTACTCGGGAGGCTGAGGCAGGAGAATCGCTTGAACCCGAGAGGTGGAGGTTGTAGTGAGCTGAGATCATGCCACTCCAGCCTGGGTGACAAAGGGAGACTCCGTCTCAAAAAAAAAAAAAAAAGAAAAAAAAAATGCTAGGTCTTCCCCAGCCCTTTCCTGACCCCACCCCTTGTGTTGCAGGTCACAGACCCTCGAGGAGCTAGAGAAGGGTTAATATTAGCAAAGTTTTACTTTTTTTTTTTCTGCTCATAAATGACTCTGAAAAAGCCAATACGCAAGAGGCTAACACAACTGTAGTCTAAAGGCAACGTCGAGGTCACTGATATGTCCCTCAGACAAGAGGCACTGCTCAGAATCCCCCTGTGCTGGGGGTGAGGGAAGGAGGGGACGGTTTAGGACAGAGGAATAAATACATGTGGTTGTGGGAGTTCTGCCATCAGGGATGGTGGCCCCAGCCCAGGACCCCAAAACCCTGAGGCGGTGCAGTGGGCTGCCAACCCCCCAGCTCGGGGTTCCCCAAGGCTGCCTCAGTGTTTGGATGGGCTGGAAGGAAATGCTGAGGTTCTGGGAGGGCCCCATGGCCAGCCCCCTCTTCCCACTCTAGCCAGAGGAGAGCCAAGCTCCCGGCTGGCCAGGGCCCTGGGGTAGGGAGCAGTGCCCCCAAGAGGGCTTTCTGGTGTCAATGTCTCATGCAGCGTCAGGTGGTGAGGCCTGGGCCTGGCCCTGAGGCGGGAGTGGGGGTGACAGGCGAGGCTGGGGTGGGCCCTGGCACCTGCAGCTTTGGGCTGCCCATGTGTGTCTGCTGACATCCCGACTATGGTCCACGGCCGGGAATGGTGGGCAGACGGGGCTGCTGGCAGCCCTCAGCCTTATAGTGTGTGTGGGGGGTGGACGAGGGGTCATGAGGACAGGGATGGGGCTGGGCGTCTCTGGTAAGGACCAGTAAGTGCCAGGCAGGACGTACTCTGAAGGCTCAGCCGTGGCCCATCTGGGACACAGCCCTGCTCCCGAAGGGGCTCCAGGGGAACTGCTCAGCCAGGTGATTCACCAGGGCACGGGCAGGCCAGGCTGAACCCGGGGCCCCAGTGTGCGATGTGGGGAGGTGACTGGGTGAGCGTGAACAGGGCGTGGGGTGCGCGGGGCGGGTGGCCGTGTGACCGTGCCCGGCCCTCAGAAGACGAAGCAGCGCTCCGTGGGGTGGCCCACGTGGTCCAGGTTGGGAAGGCAGGCGTACTGGATCATGGGTGGGGGGCCACACATCAGCACCAGCGGCTCCTCCTCTGGGGGTGGAAGGTGGTCCCGGATCATCTCCTCATTCACGAAGCCCTGGCCGTAGTCCCAGGCTGTGGGGTGAGAGACCAGGTAAGCTGACGTGTGGCTGTGTGGTCACCAACCTGCTGACCGACCAACCCTAGGCGGTGAATTCCTTAAATGCTGAAGAATGGAGAGGCTGATCCCAGCAAACTGTCACCAGGACCCCCTGCCCCCAACCCTGACTCAAGCCTATGGCCTCAGGCCCTGCAGCCTGAAACCAGTGTACAAAGCCCATCATGGTTCCCCTGACTGCACTTTACAGTTTGCAAAGCCTTTTGCTTCCATTTGGCCTCCGGGGTGTCCCTTGGAACAACCCAGTGGGTGGACAGGGCGGGGAATATGAATCCCATTTTACAGATGTGGCAACTGAGGCCCAGAGGACCCAGAGTTGAGTTGCTCAAGATCACACAATGAGGCAGGGACACGACTGAGATGTACCTTCCAGGATCCAGAGGTCCCCAGGCTGGTGCTCTGCCCCAGGCTGCTCAGGGTGACAGTCTCTAACTGCCCCCACCTCCATGAGCCCACTGTGACTCCCCAAGAATGTCGGCCCATGAGGAACTGAGTCTCATCCACAGCTGTGTGTCCTGCCCCCTCGAGCCCTGAGCGCCCACGATGATATGGCTGGTCTCTATCCTTAGTAACCAGAAACAACCACCCCACAGCCCTCAACACCAAGAGAAAAGCTGCTGAAGCCTCAGGCCAGGAGGGCTGGCACTGGCTGACACAGACACCCTGCCTAGATGGCCCAAGTTTACAGCATACACTCCACGCTGTGAAGGTCCTGACGGGGAGGGGCCAAAGCAGTCCCGCTTGCCCTGGAACCAGGAAGAGTCTACTGTGCTGAGCAAGGGGGTCCTCTTTATCTCATGGACTCCATGAGCTAAGTCACTGACCACATTTCCCTTTTCACCTTGGCTGCTGGGAAGCCTGGAGTGATACGTGTGGCCCATTCACAGCAAGCGTACATTATAGTCCGTTTTTGTACAAATCCCAGTACTGATTCCATTCATTTTATAGCCCTGCACTTGTTTTTCTTTCACTCCCACTTTCCATTTGTGCCACTCTGACTCACCAGATGAGTCTTTGTAAGCCTCCTAAAATCCCTCTGGAACAAGGCGAGGCACAGAAAATAGTTTTATAGCTGGGCAATGGATCTGAAGTGGATCTGAAAGTACCTTGTAAAAACTGCATGGGCATAAACTGCTAGTGTACAAAATGTGCAGGTATGTAAGACACCTTTCAATTTCACAGCGATTTCTTTTTAGTGTGTGTGTGTGTGTGTGTGTGTGTGTGTGTGTGTTTTTAAGAGACAGGAATTGGCTATGTTGCCCCAGCTGGCAGGCAGTGGCTATTCACAGGTGTGATCATAATGCCCTCCAGCCTGGAGCTCCTGGGCTCATGTGATCCTCTTGCCTTAGCTTTGAATAGCTGGGACTACAGGTGCATGCCACCGTGCATGGCTTAATGTATTTTTCCCTGTACCTGTCCTGAAAGTGGCTCTGTGGGGGAAATACTCACTGCCCCTGCCTGGAGTCCTTGGGGCTCTCCTCATCCTTCGCTTAGCTACGGTACAGCCAGACTGGCCTGTTACCACTTTCTTTCTCAACCTCTGGAATTTCAGCTTACATTTAATGCTACAGCAGTACCTCAACTAATCTTGAATTGTGGGTCACAGTGGCAACAAATGTACACGAAAAATGCTAGGAGATCACCCAACTATTCCTCTCATTGGCAGGTAACTGTCCCGTGGTGGTGGTGCAGGTGCTGCTGCCTGTTGCCACCAGGGGTCAGCACTGGCCCCTCCCTGGGGGACCAGGCCTCGCTCTGGCCACAGGGCAGGGGCTCCTGCACGCACCAGGGATCTGGATCACTCATCTGGAATTGGGATGGGGCTAAACCCTGCCTCGCAGCAAGCTGGCCCCGCCCATGCCATTAGAAACTGCAGTCAGAAAGGAGCAAAGCAGCCTATCACTTCCTCCCTTTAGACTGACACATGGGTACAGGATAAAACGCTCTTTTCTTTGAGACGGAGTCTCGCTCTATCGCCAGGCTGGAGTGCAGTGGCACCATCTCGGCTCATTGCAACCTCTGCCTCCCGGGTTCAAGCCATTCTCCTGCCTCAGCCTCCGAGTAGCTGGGACTACAGGCACGCGACACACGCCCAGCTAATTTTTGTATTTTTAGTAGAGACAGAGTTTCACCATGTTGGCCAGGATGGTCTCGATCTCTTGACCTCATGATCTGCCTGCCTCGGCCTCCCAAAGTGCTGGGATTACAGACGTGAGCCACCGCGCCCGGCCTGCTCCTTTCGTTAGTAGAAGAGAAACAGCAGCTAGACTCCCAGAGCCAGTGCCCTGGCTGACCTCCGCTCCAGCCGCTGCCTGGCTCTGCTTGGCCCCCCACATCACAGGAACCCCGCCACCATAACCGCGCTATAATTTACTAAGAAACCTGCTCCCATTAGTCCTCTGCCTCCCCCACTGGAAGGTCAGCTGCGGGGTCAGGTTGGCTTCCTGAGCATACCAGGTGGAGCAGCCGACCTGGAGGGGGTGGGCTGACCCAGGACAGCAGGTCCAGCCAGAGGCCGGACACGGTGACAACCCACACATCCACCACCCCCTCCAGGCCTGGGTCTCTCAGCCTGGAGGCCTGGAACCCAAGCTGGTCATCTGAGAAGGGCGGCTGCTCCCTCAGGGATGGGCCCAGGTGACCCAGCTCCTAGGTGCTAGCCAGGTGGTGCAAGTCCCAGAGCCCATGTGCTCCTTTCTGGGAGGAGCAGAGGGTGGTGTGGACAGAGCTCCCTCATCAGTAGAGGGCATGCACCCCCTGACATGGATCATCAGCAGAGGGTGTGCGCCCCCCACCATGGATTAGTCCTGAGGAAACTGTGGGGCCGTAGGAGGTGCCGGAGGCAAAGCAGGGGCAGATGGCAGGACATGAGACCCCAAACTGGTGCTCACACGGGTATTCAAAAATGGTGCTTCCAACACTTAGAAATTTCCCAGAAAATGCAGGTCCCCAGCTTCTCTTGAAAAGCAGAGGCCCTGGCCACACAGGGCTATACTCCACAGCGGGATTGCCCACGGCGGATGGGGCTGTGTCCTCCGGACCAGGCAGATGCGCTCCAATTTACCGCAGTTGCCGCCACTCCCTAGTCTCTCAGCCCTGAAGCTAAACATCACCAGAATGTTTCCTGGGGAAGGCTGAGCTCTGCTTTTCTTACAGCAAAGAAGAAATTGAGATATTACTTATACCTACATCTCTATCTGAAGCCGAAAAGGGAAGGGCGCTTTAACTCCCAGAGGCAACCTCACTGCAAGTGGTGGAGGTGGGGCGGCCCTCACTCGCTGCCTCCAGCTTGGCTCTCCCACAACTCCCTTGGCAAGCAGCTCAGCCACTGGACAGGTGGAACAAGGGTAACCCCAACGTCGGCCCAGCCCACTCCCCAGGGCTGACAATGGGAGAGAAGATGGCCTTGGTGTAACTCGGCAGCACCTGAGAGTATGCACGCTGGGATGTGGAAGCAGCAGCCGCCACCGCTGCCCCGAGACTTGCCCCGAAGTGAGCCCCGCCCAGGGAGGGGACGCTGGCCTTCTCTGCCCAGCTGGGCAGTGCAGTGCGCCCGGGAAAGGACTCTGCCTCTGGAGGCGAGGACCTGGGTTTCAGGCCGGGCTGTGGTGGTTTCCGGCTGTGTGGCTTCAGTGAGCCCTTGTTCCTCATCTGTGAGACGGGGCCACACCACCTGCCTCCCACAGGGCCATAGTGAGTGCCAGATGTCGTCCAAAGGCTCAACGCCACAAACAGCTGGGCAAAGGTGAACTGTGGGCTGGCACCTCCCACCCACCCAGTGAGGGGCCTCCCTCACTCACCTTCAGGGGCTCTGTCCAGCGTGTACCAGAGCTTGAAGCGTGCAGAATGTTTGTTCCTGAGTTCCTCCAGCTCAGGTCGCAGCAGGATGTCCTTCTCGGTCTGCAGGGGACAGGGCCAGGCAGTCAGGAAGGATGGGTGGCAGACTGCCCCTGGAGACACTCAACAGAGACGCGCCTCGTCATCGCGCCCGCCTGCGGGCCACACGCTTGCGGAGCTTTCAGGAGGGGACTCGGCCAGAGATCACCCTGGCACCCCTCTCTCCTTGTCTAGCCTAAGGAGCCCCTCAAAGCTGCTGCTGAAGGGGCGAAGGCGTTCGCTAGAAACTCAGTGTGTCAACTGCTTCTGCTGTTGTGAGGAAATGGGCTCGATGTCCCGAGAGTGGGAAAAATGGAAAAAACTAAAGGCGGCCAAGCTGCGCGACAGCAAAAAGGGAAGAGACGGGAAATGTGCCAAGATACTCCAGGGGGTCAGCCCGGGAGCGGGTGTAACACATACAATAAGCAATGGCCCCGTGAGAAGGCTCAGGATTTGCACCCTCAGCCCTCCGGCAAGTCTTTTTGCGTTCTGGGATCTCATTCAGGTTGTACCTCCAGAAACCAGGAAGTACAGACACCACTCCCCACCCAACCTGGCCCCCTCGGGCCTTGCCCACACCCATCCTCCTGGCTGGCCTGCGGCTCCCCCACCCCCACCCGGCTGTCACAGAGCCCTACAGAACTCAGTCCAGCGTCATCCCTTCCAGGAAAGCTTCCTGGACCCTCCAGGGGCTATCAGGGATCTCCCCCTGAATCCCCCACCCGACTCCCCGCCCCCCACCCCCGTTCCACCTCTGATCACATCACAGGCTGCTGCCCAGCGTTTGCAGGTCACACAGGGACAGAAGGGGCTCCTTAGGTCAGTGTGCAGTGTCCCTGACCTCAGGGAACTCAAAGAAACCAGGGGCCAAAGAGCGCTGCCACCCAGAAAGGGCTGCCCACTAACAAATCGCTACTGAGCTCCCAGGCTGGGCAAGGGCGGGGTGGACTCTCCCCAGGAGGCAGCCACAGACGTGACTCCTCTGTTCCCAGGGCTGGGGAACTGCACCCACCCTCCGCGTAGCCCAAGGGTGCCTGAATACGGGAATCACCAGCTCCTTGGTGCTCCCCTCCAGCAGATGAGCTGTGTGAGGGGCATAAGCCTCAACACATCCCAGGGAACACGGGGTGTTGAACAGTTTTTCCAGTTTCTGAGGGTGGGAGGCTGAGGGCCCTTTCTGCCCTAATGGGGTGAGGACAGGGACAGGGACAGGCTTTGGGCTAGATGAACTCAAGGAAAAAAATACAGAAAATATGGAAGAAAAAGTACCTGAAACCCTTCAGAAATAATGACTGTTAGGATTTTTGTGTGCATCTTTTCACTTTTCTTTTTCTATTAACTATGTGTAACTTTCTTTTTAGGCCAGGCATGGTGGCTCATGCCTGTAATCTCAGCACTTTGGGAGGCTGAGGTGGGTGGATCACTTGAGCTCATGAGTTCGAGACCAGCCTGGCCAACATGGTGAAACCCCGTCTCTACTAAAAATATAAAGAATTAGCTGGATGTGGTGGCGGGCACCTGTAATCGCAGCTACTCAGGTAGCTGAGGCAGGACAATCGCTTGAACCCGGGAGGCGGAGGTTGCAGTGAGCCGAGATTCACGCCATTGCACTCCAGCCTGGGCAATAAGAGTGAAATTCCGTCTCAATTTTTTTAAAAAAAGTTATGTCTTCCTCTCTGAGCTAAAGTGTGTCTCATGCTTTAATCCTCACCACCATCCTTTGAGGTGGCCACCGCCGCGACCCACCTGACAGATGAACAGAGGGATGGAACCTTGGGGGGCTGCTACTCGAGGGTAGGGGGCTCCCAGCTCAAAACCAGGCACTGAGGTCACGGAGGAAGGTAGGAGAGGAAACGAGCAGCAATGACCCGACTGGCACGGTTCTCGGAGTGTAGCATGGGGACCCCTGGGGTTGGGACCCTGGAGAGGATCCCTGAGGCCAAATGGTTTTCATATAATACTGAGACACTGGTATTTTTCACTCTTCCTCTCTCAGTAGATGGGGCCACTTTCCAGAGGCTGCGTGACTGGCAACATCACACAGATGGGATGTAGAAACAAACACAGGAATCTAGCTGTCCTATGAAGCCAGACATTCCAAGGTTTGCAAAAACGTAAAACAGAATGATGTTTTCTAAAATAGTTTTTTAAAAATAAAAATAGGCTGGGTACTGTGGCTCACGCCTGTAATCCCAACACTTTGGGAGGCTGAGGCGGGTGGATCACCTGAGGTCAGGAGTTCGAGACCAGCCTGGCCAACATGGTAAAACCCCATCTCTACTAAAAATATAAAAATTAGCCGGGCATGGTGGCACACATCCTGTAATCCCAGCTACTCGGGAGGCTGAGGCAGGAGAATCACTTGAACCCGGGAGGCGGAGGTTGCAGTGAGCCAGGATTGTGCCATTGCACTCCAGCCTGAGGGACAAGAGCGAGACTTTGTATCAAAATAAATAAATAAATAAAACCCTGGTTTGCATCCTGGTTTCAGCACTTCCCACGAGACATGCACAGTCAAGCCCCTCCCGGAGCCTGTGTTCGGAGGTATGAGATGAGGCGACCACACTGCCCTCGCTACCAGCTGCAAAGATGGCCTGTACAGGTGACAGACGGTCTGACGGCCTCCACAGACTCTGAACCAGCACCACCAAGTCTCACTGCTGCCCTCTCTCCCTCCACACCAGCCAGCTTAGAATTTCTGGCTCTTTCTCCCCTGGGCCTGGCAAGGCCATCTTGGTTGGCCTTGCGGCAGTTTTCTGCAGCTGCGGGGAGGCAGGGTGGGGCAAGGACCCACATCCAAGGACCTCAGGCAAGCATCTTCTCCCCCAAATCTACGTCATCAGTCACAAAACACTAACCTGAAAAGACCTTGCAACAACCCAGTTTCATCAGCTCATTCTACAGATGAGGGAGTGAAGCTCAGAGAGGGAAAGTAGCTCGTCCAAGACCACACAGCAGGCCAGGGCGGGCAGGCAGGCAGTGGGCTCGTGGACAAGGATATGAATCAGGAGCCAGAGACACCAACATTCAAATCCTGCCCTGACACCCTGTAGCTCAGGGGCTTCGTGCAAATGTCTGGTCATTTGTAAGATGGGCCCCTCCATGTCCAGGCCAGCATTCTTCCCACTCTACCAGTGGGTTCCACACCGTGCTCATGGTGAAGGGAGTTCTGAGTTTTGGAGGAAGCAGCCAGGGGAGGGGGTGCTCAGGGAGCTCCCCGCAAGGCAGCCCCCTCAGCCAGACACAGGCGCTGCACCACAAAGCCTGCCCGCCGTGCTGCTGCCAAGGCCGCCAGTGCACAGAACATTCAGGGCCCCCCATCCCGGTCATCCCCAGAATCTCAGCAGAGCTGTGCAGACCCCTGGAACAGCACCTGACCAGGCCCGAAGTCCCCTCTCAGGGTAAGCTGAGTTTCCCCATCATGGGGATGCCCACTGACCTGGTTGGCAAAGAGCAGGTGGCACACAGTGTGGTCATCAGGGTCCTTCATGATGGCGCGGATCACCTGCAGCATCGGGGTGATGCCTGCAAAATAGCCGGCCGGGCCTCGCACGTGCTGAGCGAGGCCTGTTCACAGGCACCGCCCCGCCCAGGTGTACTGGGGTGGAGGGGCCAGGACCACTGGGCCTGGGCCCCTGACCTCTGGTAGCTCCCAGGCACTCAGAACCTGCGCCTCACCCACACCCCAACCCCACCCTTAACATGAGCCGCCGGACGCCTCAGTGGGGGGTTCCGTGTACCTGTCCCTCCCGCGATCATGCCCACAGACTTCACTGTCCTGATGATAGGGTTGGACTTTTTGTCAGGTCGGATGGCGAACTTCCCTGGGGAGAGAGAAGGGGTGAGGCCCGGCCATCAAACATGCCATGTGTGGTGGCTGGAGAGGCTGGAGAGGGGGCTGGAGAACCTGCCCCCACTGTGAGGTCCGAGGTAGAGGCAGCTGCCATTCTAACGCGAGCCATGAGGAAGGTGCAGGAGCAGTGGAGAGGCTGGGAACCCGGAGGCTCAGCTCTGTCCTCTTGCTTGCTTGTTTCAGATGCTGAGAAAGCCAAATAGAGGCTGGCAGTGGGTGAGACGTGGCCCCCAGGAGTGGCCTGTCTGCAACCCCTGTGCCAGCAACTTACCCCCTCTACAGCCAGGGAGACTCAGTTCCCAGAGAGGGACAGCTGGCCTGACGAGAGTCACCCATCCACACAGAGCCAGGGGCCTGCACCCTGCACCCAGCACGCCCAAGCTCTCCAATTCTCTGAGCCTGCCGTGTAACCAAGGGATTCCGACCCGAATCACCTTTGCCCTGGTAGACCAGCAGCCCACTGGGGCCCCGGAACTCAATGGTGTCTCCAATCTGCATGCTCTCCAGGTACTGAGACATCTTCCCTCCAGCGGGAAACTTGGGATGGGTGTCCTTGAAGTAAACCTGCAAGACACCCCCGCAGCCCTCAGTCCCCAGCTCCAGGTCTCAGGGGCGAGCTCTTGCCCACAGTGGGAGACAAGTGCCTCTTCTGCAGCTTCTTCTGAGGCCCACACATGGCCTTCTCCCGTGGAGCCCCATCCACCCAGCCGTCAAATCCTACCTGTCCTGCACCCCGTCCTTCACCCCGTCCTCCCAGGAGTCAGCCTCCACCTGACATATCCGGGGAAAGCAAACCACCAGCCTCGTGTACAAGGCCGACCAACTCCAGGGCTGGATGCACTCACATTTCACCAACTGTCTCTGGGGCCCCCTCCCAACGGGAGACACTGAACCCGTCAGCAAAGTCAAGGCTCTGGGAGGCCCACTAAGCCACACTCCTCCTGGTGGACACTCAGTCCCTTCCGTTTTGTGCTGTCGCTAAAAACCTCCCTCACTCTTGGGACTACTTCCTGCCCTGCACTCTCTAGGATTACTGTCTTGGGAAAGAGAAGGGCCTCAATCCGACACCTACAAAGAAATGGGGAGACAGAGGAGGAGCGGCTCACCCTGCCCAAGGAGTCTGATGGATGGAGAAGGGGAAGGTGGCTGGGGGAGGGACAGCGTGTACACAGTGCCTCAGGGAGGGGAGCCTGTTGTGGCTTCAGCACAGAGGGTGGCTATGGGGTGTGGAGGCAGAGGGGAGTGGAGGGCCACGGACAGGCAGGCAGAGCACACTGTCCTGGGCCCTGGGTGCCAGGCCAGGACTCTAACCTTTATCAAGGACCAAGGGAGCCAGCCAGGTCTCCAAGCCAGGAGAGGCCTGGTCACCTGTGAGTTTTTCATCCTCAATTTGAATCCTCCTAATAGCTTCTCCACATTTGGCCAGAGAGACTTCAACGTGAACAGATGCTTGAGCCCTCATCACCTCCTCTGTGCTTCTGGACAAAGCCCCAAACCTTACTGGGGCCTCCAAGGCCCCGTCTGGCCCCACTGACCTCTCCCACCCCTTGCCCCAACCCTCCAGCCACTTCAATCCTTGAGCCTGCTGCTGACTTCAGGGCCTTTGCACCTGAAGCTCCTTTTCTTCCTTCTTCACCTGGTCAGTGCCTACTCAGCCCCAGATCTCACCTTCACTGTCACCTGCTAGGGAGCCACTCTCACCAGCCAACCCCACCCATCCCTGGTGGCCCTTCTGGAAGCTCGGTCGCAGGTACCTGTCCCCTGCAGGGAGCACTGGCTTCCCCATGACTATGTGTCCAGTGTCCGTCCTCCAGCCAAAGACGGGCTCCTGAGGCCAGGCCTGGGCGCCCCAGCAAGGAAGGAGCCCGGGCCAGGGCCCTTCCCACCCTTCAGATCCAGTGCCTGCCCCCAGACCTGGCAAGGTAAGGGCCTCAGCTACGGCCCAGTAAGGGGGCTCCAGGGGTACCTGAGGGTGCTGGGCTGGGGAGGCTATAGGGCTTTGGCCTTGATTGGGGAGGGTCTCCAACACCCCACATACCCACTGGTCTAGGCTGCTTCTCACCCTCTGTTCTGCAGGAAAGCTTGTATTTCTTTTTTTTTGACTGGCTCTCATTCTATTGCCCAGGCTGGAGTACAGTAGCATGATCTTGGCTTACTGCAACCTCTGCCTCCCAGCTTCAAGTGATTCTCCTGCCTCAGCCTCCCAAGTAGCTGGGATTACAGGTGCGCACCACCATGCCCAGCTAATTTTTTTGTATTTTTAGTAGAGACGGGGTTTCTCCATGTCGGCCAGGCTGGTCTCTAACTCCTGACCTCAGGTGATCCACCCGCCTTGGCCTCCCAAAGTGGCTTACAGGTGTGAGCCACTGTGCCTGGCTGAAAGCTTGTATTTCTAATTTTCATAAAAACGTCCCTGCTGGGGCCGTCATGCTGCCTCTTACTTCCCACTCGGCATGTGTGTTTCAGGTTCCGGGCTGCTGCCCCTAACGCCTGCATCTTCTCCTGTGAACCTCCACCTCGAACCCCGCAGCAGACCCCAGAAAGCCCATCACCCCAGCTCCCAGACAACACCACACGAGCCCCTCACATGTTTCCCTAGCAGGCCTGAGGGACATTTCTTAGGGAAACGGGTAAGAACAGGGCCTGCGTGTCACAGAGGCCCGGCCGCTGACCACGGTGGAGTGGCTGCCTCACCCCGCACACTCGGGACCCAACTCCCAGGGATCTCCCAGCGTGAGAGCAGGGACGGGACTGCGCCGTCACACCTCGCAGCAGGGGCGTCTGTACCGCCAGCCGGCCTTCCTGGAGCCTCTGCTGCAGGTACCTGTCCTTGTTTGAAGGCACTTGCCCTGAACCCTGGCCCCTGTTCTCTGCCAAGACCCCCTTCTTTGGCTTTTGTTGGTAAAGATGACGTGCTATTTACTCAGAAACCAGGCACAAGGGAGCACTGGGTCTTTGGAGTCCGGGCTGCGGGGGGACATGGACTCGAGAGGGGCTCTAGAAGCCACTGCCCCTGCAAGCCCCTGAGGAAGTGGGGCAGCCATGACCGAGGCTGGGCTGCACAGGGCAGGAGCGGGAGACTTCCCTGTCCAGGGGGTCCACATGGGCTGTTGCCATGGCCACCCACCCACACCCCCTCCACAGTCATGACCCAGAGGCTTCACCTTGATGACCAGGTCCACGAAGCCCTTGTCATCATCGCTGGAGATGGGTGTATAGGGCCGGACGACCAGGTTTCCATCAATTCGAGCCGAGAGGTAGATGTGCTGGCCTGCAGGACAGAACGGGGTCACTCTGGGCCAGAGATCATCCTGCGGGTGACCCCTGGGTCTTGTCAACCCACTCCCCTGCACCCCACCCGGCATTCAAAGCCTGGCCTGGCGTCAGCTCCCACGGCCCCCTCCCACCCCTCCCGGGGATTCCCCTCACGTCCCAGCTTCCTGCCTCCATGCCTTCACTCCTGCTGGTGCCACTGCCAGGGACTCTGGGCCTTCCCACTCTCATTCCAACAGACTCGCCCTCAAAGGCCCAGGGCAGCTGTCACCTCCTCCTGAAGGCTTCCCTGCTCTCCCTGGTGGAAATGTAAAGCTTCCATCTCTCTGATCTAGTGCCCCAGCAGCCTGCCGGGCTCCGAATGGGCCCAGCAGGGGCGTGACTCACCGACAGGGAGGCCCAGGATGTGCTGGGGTGACGGCAGGGCAAAGCGGAAGCGCCGGGTGTCATGGCTGATGATCTGGAGAGAGGCCCAAAGCTGCTGAACGGTCCCCAGGGCAGAGGCCTCCCAGGGCGGCTCCCAGGCCTCGGAGCCCCCATCCCATTCCTCCTTTGTGTCCCCACCCTTCCCCAGTGCCTGCTTGTCCTTGTAAGACGTGACGCCGACGCCAAGCACAGATGCACACACATGCACGCTGCGTGTGAGGTGCTGAGGCCAGGCGCACGCTGGGTGTGTCTGTCCTGCTGGCCTAGAGGGGCCACAAACAAGGTGGCCAGAACAGGGAATGAACCCAGGGTCCCAAAGGGAGGATGCCAGACAGGACGGGGAGGGAGGAATCCATCTCTGCCATCAGCTCAAGCAGTGGCCTGAAGGGGCAGGAAGAACTTGAGGGCTGGATGGGCAAACTGGGGCAGAGCTAGACAAGGCTGCACGTGCCCAGGCCTGCATCCCAAGAGAGGGGCTGCAGAAGCCACTGCACCTGAGAGCCCCTTGGGAAATGGGGCAGCCAGGACTGAGGTGGGCTTCACAGGGCAGAAAGTGGGAGCCTTCCCTGCCCAGGAACTCCAAGAGCCCAAAGCCAGGCTTCCACCCTGCACAGGGTGGGCACCCAGGGCATGGTCAGTGGCTGGGACAGTGGCAGAGGAGGAGGGGGGCTGGCTAAGAGCCAGATTGGGCCAGGGAAGGAGCTGAGACTAAAACCCCTGAGGTCTTGTTAAGTGGGTCTTACGCTCAGGCCAGGGACGATCACATAATCAGTTCCAGTCGGAGCTGGAACCAAACCCAGCGTCCTGAGGGTGCACTCCCTGTGGGGTCCCCAGTACCCAGCATGGCCAGGAGAGGGAGTGTGAAGAAGCCATGCGGAAGGTCGGCGCTGCAGAGGCGCTTACATCCAAACGTGGCAAAGTCCACATGTGGATGGTGTCATCACTTAGAGGGGGACAACAGACCTCTCCAACAGGGCAGGACATCACAGATGCCCATCTCGGCTCAGTACGAGAACTCTCCGACCTGAGCAGTGTTCCAGCACAGAGCAGCTGCCTCAAGGAGAGACCCGTCCCTACACGTGTGAGCAGAGGCAAATCGCAGGAAAGACGGTGCAAACGCCACTCAGGATCAGGTGTGCAGGGGGCCCACCAACCTCTCCCAGGCAGCCCAGGCCTCAAAGCTGCCTCTACCAGAAGCTTCTGCATTAGGGGCAAACAGAGCCCCAAGGCCTTCTGGAAGTGGATTCCAGGACTATCAACTGGTCCTAAGGGTCAAGGTCAGACACCCATGTACCAGAAAATATTTGGAGGAAGAATAGAAATGAGATGGCCAGGCGTGGTGGCTCATGCCTGTAATCCCAGCACTTTGGGAGGCCGAGGTGGGCGAATCATCTGAGGTCGGAAGTTCGAGACCAGTCTGAACAACATGGAGAAATCCCGTCTCTACTAAAACTACAATGTTAGCCAGGCGTGGTGGCGCATGCCTGTAATCCCAGCTACTCAGGAGGCTGAGGCAGGAGAATCACTTGAACCTGGGAGGCAAGGTTGCAGTGAGCTGAGATCGCACCATTGCACTCCAGCCTGGGCAACAAGAGTGAAACTCTGTCTCAAAAAAAAGAATAGAAATGAGGACAAGAGATGAACAATTATGGTGCTGGCCAACCTCTAGTAGGGCAGCAGGGTGGGGCAAAGCACAGAGCACCCAGAGCAGGCCCGCTGCGGACCCCGCAAAGCCACCATGGGCACAATGAGGGGGCAAAGCTGCAATCCTAGGACATCTGCCACATGCTCCCTTGTGTAACATCCCTATGATGAAATACTAAAAGGATCCATGTTGTATGGCTGGCTACAAAACCAGGTTATCAAAAAAAGAAACTGAGTGTGCACACACCCGCACCTCCACACACCCGTGTATGAACGTGATACCCACATAGGGTCTGGCAGGCTCACGCTGAGCTGTGACCTGGGCCCTCTGCACGGGGCCCTGGGATGCGGCAATGGGGCAGGGGTGGAGGTCATACCTTACAGAGTTTTTGCTGTGAGCACATATAAATCATACATTATTTCTGGAATTAAGAAACAGTAGGGTCAGACGTGGTGGCTCATGCCCGTAATCCCAGCACTTTGGGAGGTCGAGGCGGGCGGATCACCTGAGGTCGAAGTTCGAGACCAGCCTGACCAACATGGAGAAACCCCATCTCTACTAAAAATACAAAATTAGCTGGGCATGGTGTCGCATGCCTATAATCCCAGCTACCTGGGAGGCTGAGGCAGAAGAATCACTTGAACCTGGGAAGTGGAGGTTGCGGTGAGTCGAGATTGTGCCATTGCACTCCAGCCTGGGCAACAAGAGCGAAAGTCCATCTCAACAACAACAAAAAGGAACGACAGTAACAGAGCCAGGCATAGTGGTGCATGCACATGGTCCCAGCTACTCAGAAGGCTTGTGCCCAGGAGTTTGAGGTTGCAGAAAGCAGCCTGGGTGACAGAGCGAGACCTTGTTCTAAAAAAACACAAACAAAAACAAAACAACCCACCAATAACAATAACAAGGGAAAATACCGTTAAAAAACAGGTTTCAAAATGTTATTATTTCATTTGGGTAAGAAAAAAACATGTGTGCCTGCTTACATAAGTATAAAACATATCACAGGGCCAGGCACGGTGGCTCACGCCTGTAATTCGAGCACTTTGAGAGGCCAAGTCGGGTGGATCACCTGAGGTCAGGAGTTCGAGACCAGCCTGGCCAACATGTTGAAACCCTGACTCTACTAAAAATACAAAAAAAAAAAAAATTAGCAGGGCGTGGTGGTGGGCACCTGTAATCCTAGCTACTTGGGAAGCTGAGGCAGGAGAACCGCTTGAACCTGGGAGGCAGAGGTTGCAGTGAGCCGAGATCACACCATTGCACTATAGCCTGGGCAACGAGAGCAAAACTCCATCTCAAAAACAAACAAACAAACAAAAAATCATATCGCAAGGTTAAGTGTGGTCTCATCTGGGAGGTGGTGATTTACTTTTTTTTGCTTTTTATTTTTTATTTTTTTGAAACAGAGTTTCGCTCTTGTCACCCAGGCTGGAGTGCAATGGTGTGATCTTGGCTCACTGCAACCTCTGCCTCCCAGGTTCAAGCGATTCTCCTGCCTCAGCCTCTCAAGTAGCTGGGATTACAGGCATCTGCCACCACGCCCGGCTAATTTTCATATTGATTGATTGATTGATTGATTGAGACAGCGTCTTGCTCTGTAGCCCAGGCTGGAGTGCAGTGGCACGATCTCGGCTCACTGCAAGCTCCACCTCCCAGGTTCACGCCATTCTCCTGCTTCAGCCTCTGGAGTAGCTGGGATTACAGGCATCTGCCACCACGCCCGGCTAATTTTCATATTGATTGATTGATTGATTGATTGAGACAGCGTCTTGCTCTGTAGCCCAGGCTGGAGTGCAGTGACACGATCTCGGCTCACTGCAAGCTCCACCTCCCAGGTTCACGCCATTCTCCTGCTTCAGCCTCTGGAGTAGCTGGGACTACAGGTGCCTGCCACCACGCCCAGCTAATTTTTTTTTTTTTTTTTTGAGACGGAGTCTTGCTGTCACCCAGGCTGGAGTGCAGTGGCGCAATCTCGGCTCACTGCAAGCTCCGCCTCCCAGGTTCACGTCATTCTCCTGCCTCAGCCTCGCCAGCGGCTGGGACTACAGGTGCCTGCCACCACGCCTGGCTAATTTTTTGTATTTTTAGTAGAGATAGGGTTTCACCGTGTTACCGGGATGGTCTCAATCTCCTGACCTTGTGATCCGCCTGTCTCAGCCTCCCAAAGTGCTGGGATTACAGGTGTGAGCCCAGCCACGCCCGGCCAATTTTTTGTATTTTTAGTAGAGACAGAGTTTCACCGTGTTAGCCAGGATGGTCTCGATCTCCTGACCTCATGATCTGCCCTCCTCGGCCTCCCAAAGTGCTGAGATTACAGGTGTGAGCCACCACGCCTGGCCTAATTTTCGTATTGTTAGTAGAGATGGGGTTTCACCATGTCGGCCAGGCTGGTCTTGAACTCCTGACCTCAGGTGATCCACCGGCCTCGGCCTCCCAAAGTGCTGGGATTACAGGCATGAGCCACCGTGCCTGGCCAATAATTTACTTTTCATTTTGTATTTTTTTGCTTCTCTCTGGTTGTCAACTTCTCTGTGAGCTCCTGGGACAATTACAGACACTTGCCCCAACAGTTACAGGAAACGGCCAGCTCCGTGCCATGGAAGCCTGAGATTCCTGTGAAGCCTGAGTCAGAGGCACCAGGCACAAGCCCAGGGTGGAGACTTGGGCCCTGGCAGATGATGTTCTCTGCTGTGACTCAGTTTTCCCTGCCACACCCCTCCTGTGCCTGCTGGGGGTGGCCAGAAATAGAGCAAGGGAGGGGCTCTGAAGAGGGCAAGTGACCGATGGAAGCAGCCTTTACTGGGGGCAAGGCAAAAGAGGGAGAGGATGGTTTTAAATCATAATCAGAGCTTTGAAAAAAAGGAGTCAGGCCGGGCACCACGGCTCATGCCTGTAATCCCAACACTTTGGGAGGTGGAGGTGCGGGGATCACTAGAGCCCAGGAGTTTGAGACCAGCCTGGGCAACAGGACGAAACCCCACCTCTACAAAAAATACAAAAATTAGGCTGGGCGCGGTGGCTCACGCCTGTAATCGCAGCTACTCAGGGGGCTGAGGTAGGAGAATCACTTGAGCCTGGGGAGGCAGAGGTTGCAGTGAGCGGAGATCGCACCACTGCACTCCAGCCTGGGACACAGGGCAAGACTCTGTCTCAAAAAAAAAAAAGTATGAACTCACTAATGAAAGAAAGTAAGAATCAAACAGGGCAGAGGAAGCCCACACAGCTCAGAGCACCCAGGGAATCTGCACAGATGTGAAAGGTGTCCAGGTCCAGTAGTACCAGGCTGTGGGGAATGACTCTGGGGGAGGGGGAGGAGGGAGGAGACCTTATCTTCAAATCTCTCACCCCCTGCATTCCTACCCCATAAATGGGGGATTGAACCTAAAAGTTCTGAGGGGTTCCTTCCATTCTGACCTTGCATGAGGCAGTGAGTGTGGTTCAGAGAAGGGGCTCTGTGGACAGAGAGACCAGGGTTTAAATTCCTCTGCTACTTCCTGGTGGCCTTAGCAAGAGACATCACCTTGCTTTCTCCATCTGTAAAATGGGTGGACAACAGTATCTACTTCAGAGCAGGACCATGCCCTGAGCACAGAGTAGGTGCTGGGCAATGCTGTGATGCTGACGAGGCAGCGGCGGCGGCCGGCACTCACCTCCCGGTCGATGAGCCGCAGCGGGTACTTGATGTCCGGGCTCTCGAGGGTGATGGCTGGCGTGGAGCGCTGGAACAGCTTCATGAGCAGACTGTACAGGAACCAGACTGGGAAGAGCACCATATGGCCCAACTGAAACGACAGGACCCGCGGGGTCAGTGCAGGAGCCTGCCTTTCCCCAAACACACCGGCTTGTCCACACTACCAGGCCTCTGCTCACGCTGCCCCCTCTGCCAGGAGCACCCTCTCCCCACCACCCTCATCCAGAAAGCTTCATCATCCATTTTGGTGCCCACTAGGAGAAGCTATAAAGACCAGCCTCATGACACCTGTCACTGAGCATTACCTGGGCTTCTATGCTCAGTACCATGAGAAAAAGCTCCATTTCCTCTGAAGAGCCAGGACCAAAAAGAGCTGTGGGTCTAAGCACATATCCTTTTTCACTTTGGCTACTAGGAAGCTCAGAGTAAAATTAATCTTGAGCATAATGTATTTGTGCTCCTTCCTTCTCTTGCTTCCTTCAGTCAACTTCCCTGGTCTTATTAAGTGATGTCAAGTTCTAGCTTGATTTAGACAAACAGACAAATAATAACCCCAACTCAGAATCTATCTGAAAGGCCTACACTGACCA
This sequence comes from Homo sapiens, assembly GCF_000001405.40. Classification (NCBI taxonomy): domain Eukaryota; kingdom Metazoa; phylum Chordata; class Mammalia; order Primates; family Hominidae; genus Homo; species Homo sapiens. The sequence continues at coordinate 42,637,346 of NC_000022.11, forward strand.
AATGGCTCTATGGCACCTTTAAATCCAGTCCCTTGGGGCCACTGGGATTGATGCTCTCCTCTTTGCTCTCCCACAGAGCACACTAGAACAAGCCAGTGAAGCTGAGTAAACTGAGCCACTTCCCCCAAATGACATCCATGAGTGTCCCTGAGCCCTGGGGTTCTGCCATCAGGTGTAAGGGGAAGCGAAGCACTGAGCCAGGCACTGGGAAGGTCACTGGCTGTGTGACCCCGAGAAAGTCCCTTCCCCTCTCAACCTGAGTGGACCAGGTGATCTGCAAGGCCCCCAGAGCTGAGACCCTACAGCTCAGATCACCAAAGCCAACAGCCTCTGGGATCCCAGGGCCACGTCGGGTACCACACGGGCACGGCTCTCGCAGCAACCCCGTGTGGTAGGCACTGTCATCACCACCATTTCGCAGATGAGGAAACAGCCCAGAAAGGCAAAGCGACTCACCCAGTCACACAGCTGGCAGGTGAGGAGCTGACCCAGAGTCCACCCATCCCTTATACCACGCTGGGATACCTCATGACCAAGTGGACCCTGCCACACGGCCCTGAGGGGCTGTTCCTCCCCAGCCCCTGCCCCCGACATCTCAGTCTCCTGAAGGCCCTAAAAGGGGGCTGGGCATAGTGGCTCCAGCCTGTAATCCCAACACTCTGAGAGGCGGAGGCAGGTGAACAGTTTGAGTCCACGAGTTCAAGACCAGCCTGGGCAACAGGGTGAAACTCCATCTCTACAAAAAATATAAAAAGTTAGCTGGTTGTAGGCCCGGTGCAGTGGCTCACGCCTATAATCCCAGCAATTTGGGAGGCCAAGGTGGGTGGATCACCTGAGGTCAGGAGTTCGAGACCAGCCTGGCCAACAGGGTAAAACCCCATCTCTACTAAAAATACAAAAATTAGCCGGGCGTGGTGGCAGGTGCCTGTAATCCCAGCTACTTGAGAGGGTGAGGCAGGAGAATCGCTTGAACCTGGGAGGCGGAGGTTGCAGTGAGCCAAGATCATGCCATTGCACTCCAGCCTGGGCAACAAGAGTGAAACTCCATCTCAAAAAAAAAAAAAAAAAAAAAAAGTTAGCTGGTTGCAGTGTCACACGCCCGTGGTCCCAGCTACTCAGATGGCAGAGGCAGAAGATTGCTTGAGCCCAGTAGTTCGCGACCAGCCTGGGCAACATAGCAAAACTCTGTCTCTGTTGAAAAAAAAAAAAAAAAAGACCCTAAAAGTTGGTTAGAAAACCTGAATCCCTGGGCGGGCACAGTGGCGCATGCCTGTAATCCCAGCTACTCAGGAGGCTGAGGCAGAAGGTTGCCTGTGGAGGAGGTTGCAGTGAGCCAAGATCACACCACCACACTCCAGCCTGGGAGACAGAGCAAGACTCCATAAAAAAAAAAAAAAAAAAAAAAGGCCGGGCGCGGTGGCTCACGCCTGTAATCCCAGCACTTTGGGAGGCTGAGGCGGGGGGATCATCTGAGGTCAGGAGTTCAAGACCAGCCTGGCTAACATCGTGAAACCCAGTTTCTACTAAAAATACAAAAAATTAGCTGGATGTGGTGGCGCATGCCTGGAATCCCAGCTACTCAGGAAACTGAGGCAGGAGAAATGCTTGAAGCTAGGAGATGGAGGTTGCAGTGAGCCGAGATCGTGCCATTGCACTCCAGCTTGGGCAACAAGAGTGAAACTCCATCTCAAAAAAAAAAAAAGGCCAGGCGCTGTAGCTCACACTTGTAATCTGAGCACTTTGGGAGCCCAAGGCAGGCAGATTACTTGAGGTCAGAAGTTCGAGACCAGCCTGGCCAACATGGTGAAACCCCGTCTCTACCAAAAATACAAAAATTAGCTGGGTGTGGTGGCAGGCTACCCCAGCTACTCAGGAAGCTGGAGCAGGAGAATCATCTGAACCTGGGAGGCGGAGGTAGCAGTGAGCTGAGATCGTGCCACTGCACTCCAGCCTGGGTGACAGAGCGAGACTCTGTCTCAAAAAAAAAAAAAGTGGGGGGGGACCGGGCACGGTGGCTCACGCCTGTAATCCCAGCACTTTGGGAGGCCGAGGCAGGTGAATCACCTGAGGTCAGGAGTTGGAGACCAGCCTGGACAACATGGAAAAACCGCGTCTCTACCAAAAATACAAAAATTAGCCAGGTATGGTAGCGGGCGTCTGCAATCCCAGCTACTCAGGATGCTGAGGCATGAGAATCACTTGAACCCAGGAGGCAGAGGTTGCAGTGAGCCGAGATCATGCCACTGGACTCCAGCCTGGGTGACAAGAGCCAAGACTCCATCTCAAAAAAAAAAAATTGAATAAGGCTTGTGGATTAGATAATAGTGTTGTACCAATGTTACTTTCCTGTAATTATTCTGTGGTTACGCAAAGGAATGTCCTTGTTCTTAGGAGATACACACTGAAATATTTAGGGGCAAAGGGGCAACTTACTCTTAAATGGTTCAAAATATAGACACAGTTGACCCTTGAACATGGGTTGGAACTGCTTGATTCACTTTTTTTTTTTTTTGGAATTTCTGACAAATCTTATTTTATTCAGATAGCAGTCTGATCACACCTGGTCCAACAACACTCAAATAATAAATCAAATATAATCAGATGTTAAGACTGGTCTTCAAACATTCTAGCCAATGATGCCACGCTTGCCTGTGATCTCTCTGACATAAAACCACGTCGACACCTCAGTGGCCACCAAACCGTTCAGCAAAGCTTCCTTAACTGTGAGCTGTTTGAAGCTACCAGTCTGAGCACTACTGACTATTTTTTTCAGGCTCTGAATAGCTCTAGGGATCTCAGCAGGGGTGGGAGGAACCAGCTCAACCGTGGTGTAGTACCAAAATGCGGCCAATCGAGGCTTCAAGTAAGTCACAGCAGCATTCACCAGTGCTGGGGTCTTCTCCACAAGGTTACGGACAAATGGAGCCATGGTTCTGGGATGGAAAGTCCATCATCCCGAATGGCCAGCTGAAGGTCACCCCCCGGAAGGACCCTGCGTGGTTCACTTATTTATTTATTTATTTATTTATTTATTTATTTATTTATTTATTTGAGATGGAGTCTCACTCTATCACCCAGGCTGGAGTACAGTGGTGTGATCTTGGCTAACTGTGACCTCCGCCTCCCGGGTTCAAGTGATTTTCCTGCCTCAGCCTCCCGAGTAGCTGGGATTACAGGTGAGCACCACCACGTCTGGCTAATTTTTGTACTTTTAGTAGAGACAATGTTTCGCCATGTTGGCCAGGCTGGTCTTGAACTCCTGACCTCATGATCCACCCACCTCGGCCTCCCAAAGTGCTGGGATTACAGGCGTGAGCCACTGTGCCCGGCCAGGACCCTGAGTGGTTCACTTATACAAGGATCTTCTTCCTCTTCTGTCACCCGAGACAGCAAGACTACCCCCTGCCTCCTCCTCAGCCTTCTCAACGTGAGAACAAGGATGAAGACCTTTATGATGATCCACTTCCTCTTAATGAATAGTAAATATGTTTTCTCTTCCTTATGATTTTTTTTTCTCTTTATTTATTTTTTGAGACGGAGTCTTGCTGTCACCCAGGCTGGAGTGCAGTGGCACGGTCTCAGCTCACTGCAACCTCCAACTCCCAGGTTGAAGCAATTCTTCTGTCTCAGCCTCCCGAGTAGCTGGGATCACAGGCGCACGTCACCACTCCTGGCTCATTTTTGTATTTTTAGTAGAGACAGGGTTTCACCATGTTGGCCAGGCTGGTCTTGAAGTCCTGACCTGGTGATCCTCCTGCCTCGGCCTCCCAAAGTGCTGGGGTTACAGGCGTGAGCCACCACGCCCGGCCCCTTATGATTTTTAAAATAACAGTTTTCTCTAGCTTACTTTACTGTAAAAATATAGTATATAATACATACAATATACAAATATGTTATTGGTAAGGCTTCTAGTCAATAGTATATTAGTAGGAAAGTTTTGGGGGAACCAGAAGTTATACATGGATTTTCTTTTTTTTTTCTTTTATTTAAGACAGATCTGGCCCAGGCTGGAATGCAGTGGCGCGATCTTGTCTCACTCCAACCTCCGCCTTCTGGGCTCCAGCGATTCTCCTGCCTCAACCTCCCAAGTAGCTGGGATTACAGGCGCACGCCACCACACTTGGCTAATTTTTATTTTCTGTTTTGTTTTGTTTTTTTGAGATGGAGTCTGGCTCTGTCACCCAGGCTGGAGTGCAGTGGTGAGATCTCAACTCACAGCAACCTCCACCTCCCGGGTTCAATCGATTCTCCTGCCTCAGCATCCCAAGTGGGTGGGATTACAGGCGCCCACCACCACACCCAGTTAATTTTTGTATCATTAGTAGAGACGAGTTTTCATCATGTTGGCCAGGCTGGTCTCGAACTTCTGACCTCAGGTGATCTGCCTGCCTTGGCCTCCCAAAGTGCTGGGATTACAGACATGAGCCACAGCGCCTGGCCAATTTTTGTATTTTTAGTAGAGCCGGGGTTTTTTCTCATTGGCCAGGCTGGTCTCATCGAACTCCTGACCTCAAGTGATCCACCCGCCTCAGCCTCCCACAGTACTGGGATTACAGGCATGAGCCACTGCACCCAGCCTATACGTGGACTGTCAACTATACAGGTCAGCCCCTAACCCCCATACCATTCAAGGGTCCACTGTATGGATATGCACACATGTAGTATCTAATATATTTAACATACATTAGATATATACTGTATAGAGAGAAATAAAGCAAATGTAGCAAATAATAACATTAGGTACATCTGGGTGAAGAGTACATAAGAGCTCTTTTTTTTTTTTTGAGACAGGGTTTCACTCTATCACCCAGGCTGGAATGCAGTGGCGTGATCTCAGCTCACTATAGCCTTGACCTCTTGTACCCAAGCAATCCTCCCAGCCCAGTCCCCGAAGTAACTGGGGCTACAGGCACGTACCACCAGGCCTTGGTAATTTTTTTGTATTTTTTGTAGAGATGCGGTTTCACCATGTTGCCCAGGCTAATCTCAAACTTCTGAGCTCAAGCCAACAGCCAGCCTCAGCCTTCCAAGTTCTAGGATTGCAGGTATAAGCCCCTGCGTCCAGCCCATAAATGTTCTTTTACAGTAACTTTGAAATTATTATTTTTTTTGAGATGGAGTCTCGCTCTGTTGCCCAGGCTGGAGTGCAGTGGCACGATCTCAGCTCACTGCAAGCTCTGCCTCCTGGGTTCACACCATTCTCCTGCCTCAGCCTCCCGAGTAGCTGGGACTACAGGCGTTCGCCACCAAGCCCAGTTAATTTTTGGTATTTTTAGTAGAGACGGGGTTTCACTGCGTTAGCCAGGATGGTCTCGATCTCCTGACCTCGTGATCCGCCCGCCTCAGCCTCCCAAAGTGCTGGGATTACAGGCGTGAGCCACCTCGCCCGGCCAGTAATTTGAAATTATTTCAAAATAAAAAGTGTGTGAAGCCCATACTGGTAGTTCAACTAGAGAGGCTGAGAAGCCAAAGTTCATATAAAACACTGGCTCTCAAGAAAGCTGTTTCAGAGCTTGTTTATACACCCTCCCCATATACCTCCCTGATTGTAGTTCTCCCAGCAAATGTGCATGTGTGTTCTCTTATCATTACCCTACAAGTTCCCTTTTCACTTTGAGTGCCAGGAAGCTGAGAAACAAGTTCCTTGCATGCGTGCAGGCCTCTCTACTTGCTTTGTGGGACCTGCTACGGGCCCCTTGAGGTAGTATATCCTGCAGAACACAGACAAGTGCCTCTGCTCTATTCAGAGCCAGGTAAGATGCTCCTAACCTCTCAAGGCCTAGCCCCATTGCCCCTCCCCTTCTGGAAACACTACCAGGAGTCCCTACTCTCCAACAATTTGAGGAGGACGCTCTGGTGGAGCCACGTGTCCTGTCTGTAAAAAGCGAGGGCCACTGCCTGGCCTATCTCCTTGAAGCGATGTGAGATGAGATGAGCTGGGGCCCAGGTCACGTAGGGGTCTATAACCTGGGAAGTCCCGGCTCACACACAGGAGCTTTTCCTGCCACCCTCACGGGGCCACTACCAACTGAGAGGAGTGGAATAGCCAAGTGAAGGAAGGGCAGGGTGCTACAACCTCACACCAGGCCTGGCCCCCGCCCCCCCACCCCCCACCCTGCAACGGCCCAGCAGCTCCAAGCTGCCCAGCTACAGTTACAGGTCCTTTGTTGGGCTTAAAACAAAAGGCCTCTCTCCCAGGCAGGGCCTCCATGCTGGGTGCAGCTGAGGCCTCGCTCCATGGGGCCCTTGGTATTTGACCCATGGGTCTAAAGGAAGGGCTGTGGATGCCTAGCCCACCCCTCACCCATGCCCAGGGCCACCCAGCTGGGGTCTCTGGCCACCACCCATTTAATCAGCATGGCCCAGGTGTTTCACTCATCCCAGGCCTCCTTTAAGGCCCCAGTTGGCAGCTGTGGACTTGGGTCAGAGAGACCAGGGTTTGAGTCCCAGCTAAGGATGGCAGGAGAGTCGCTTCACTTCCCCGGGCCCTACCTGGAGGATGGGGAGGGTGGGGAGGAAGGAGGCACACAGCGGTCAGCGCCCCTGAGCTGGCACTGTTCTGAGTAGGGGCCGCGGGTTTCCTGGAATACTCCCCACCTCAACCCTAGGCTGCGGGCACTGTGATCATCCCAGCACGTGAGGAAACTGAGGCCAGGAAAGGGGAGTGACCTGCCCGGAGTACACCAAAGCCAGCCCTCCAAGCATCGCTCACCACATGACACTGTTATCTATCCCTCAGATAGATGAAGTGACCTGCCAAGGTCATATAGCCATTCAGGGTGGGCCGGGAGTGGACTCTCAATGTCCAGCCCAAAGTGCTGCTCTTCCTGAGCCACCTCCCAGGACAGGGGCACTCTTTCTGCTCCAGTCAAAGAGCTCACAGCCCAAATCTGACATCCTGCCTCCCACAGTGAGGCCTGAGCACCTGCCCCCAGCCCCGGGGGTCCGAACCAACAGGCGGCTCCACCCCTCCTCAAATACCCACCATAGCTCCCCACTGCCTACCTGAAGGCACCCTCTCTATGGCCCCAACTCTGGACTCACCTCCCAGCTCTCTGCTCTTTCAACATCAAGCCCATCTTGCTTCAGGCGTTCGCATATGCTCTCCTCTCTGCCCCAAATGTCCTTGCTCTGCATGCATCCAACCAGCAAACTCCTATTCATTCCTCAGAGCCTAGCTCAAACATCAAATCTTCCCTGATGAGCCCTTCCCTAGCTAACCAGGCCCTTGGTAGACTTTTCACAGCCCCTGGTCCCTTCTGGAAACTCCCTGGGGCAAGTACTATTCCGAGGATTCCTCTGCTATCGACCTCTCCCTCAGTCACAGAAACCACGCCCACGTGGAATAGAGTCTAGGGAAAAAGTTGGCCGAAGTTACATTCACAGGAAATCACCATTGTTGGGGGCCCTGGCAATGAACTTGAATGACATTAGGAGCTGGGGTTGTGCTTGGTGCTCCCTGGAGTTCTGTTTTTCCAGCACAGCTGCGTCAGTGCACAGCCCAGCTTAAGGCCCCTCCGCGGGCAGCTGGCTTCACGGGCTGCGAGGCACCTTCCCCCATTTCCTCCCCGGCCCTCCCACAGTGGTGCAAGGTGGGAACAACCAGGCTCCCCGTGTGACAATGAGGGGACAAATGTAGCTCAAGGAGGCCCAGGGTGGAGCCTGGTTTCTGATTTTCTGTTGCTTTCCCACTTCCCTCCCTTGCCCTAAACCTAAACCCATGGAAGTGAGCCTGGGTGGGCGCTGGGCCAAGAAAAAGACACCCGCGTATTAGTGGCTCCGATGGCAAGTCCCCGAATGCTGGCCTCCAACCCCAGGCTGCCGGCTCCCCACAAGTCTCCAGAAGTGGCCCTGGAGCAGACCGCAGGATCTGTGTCTGTCGTCACCACTGTATCCCCAACACTCCACACAGAAAGCACTCAACAAATATTTGTGGAATGAATTAGTGAAGGGACAACAGGCTCCCACCCTCCCAGTGTTTTTATTTTGCCTAGAAGTTTCCAGAACCAGGACAAGAGCCCAGACTCCTGGATGAGGGCGCGGCACAGCCTGTCCTGTTTGTCAGAAAAGCCCGCTTGTCCTCCAAGAGCACAGGCCTCAGAGGTGGGCTTAGGATCCGGCTCCAGGCTGTTTCCACGCCTGTTCCACACTCAGAGAGGACATACGCAGCTCCCGTGGCTGAGCTGGGAGTCAAGCACTGCTCAGAAGGCCAGGCTCGCCGTGGGCAGCAGATGAGAGTCAAGGACCTTCCTTCCAGTGTCTGCTCCCAACAACAGGGGCTGCCCGGAGCCAGGCGGGCAGCCTCTGCTCACGCCACCTCATTCAGTCCTCAAGCCTGTTCATGACTCCTCCCACTTCAGGTGAGGAAACCAAGCCTCAGGGGACAGACTTGAGCCCGGGGACACTTTCTGGCCACTAAAGAGAAGGGGTGGGCTTTTTATAGGTAAAAGTTCTTATCTGGGGAGGCAGCCACAGGCAGACCATCACCGTCGGTCAGTCGTTTAGTCCACAAACCCCAGTGGGCACTGAGGTGGCAGGTCCCATGTGCAACGCAGGGGACACAGGCCAGGAGGCCCCGCCCGAGTTCAAGCCAGACGGGGAGACAGACACCGGCAGAGAGGGCGCACCACAGCCAGGAGCAGTGGAGGGGCGAAGGTTTCACCTCCAGAAAGCCAGAGGCCCTGCCAGACTCACACGGTGGGGTGCACTCTCTTCCTACCCACACGGGTTGGAACAGGCTCTGCCCCGTCCTCGTCCACAGCACCACCCCAACCCTCACCAGCAGTGGGCCAAGTAAACAGAAGGCAGGTGGCTGAGGCCAAGGTCCCACCCCTGTGCCTCCTCACCTGTGCTGCGTGCACACTCACACACACACTCACACACACAGACCACCTCACCCCAGCCACCTGGGGGCCCAGGAGACAGCTGCCTCCCAGCCCCTGACCTAATGCCCACAAGCCATGCTCTGCCCCACCAGGGAACCCATCACCCGCCTCTCCTTGCCTCTAATAACACAGAGGGGAAGAGGGACACAGGGTGCCAGAGTCCCAGGGAGCCCCCAGCTCATGCACCATAGCTGAGGGGCTGCGTAGCTCTGCTCCCCACACATAGAATGCCCTGCGCAGCTGCCCACCCCTGGAATTCCCCACTGGGACCCTGGCCTCCACTCTGCCCAGGCCAGGTTAGGGGTGGGCAGAGAGAGCTGCCAGGGCCCCCGACCTGGCAGGCCCGGTCCTCCCCAGGTGCCAGCTCCCTGCCCTGGAGCTTAGACAAGCCAGTCGGGTGACTTGCTTACCTGTCCCCTGCCTGCCCGCCAGCGGTCCTGCCAGAATCTGAGCGGCACCTCCCTCCTGGTCCTGTTCTAACCGGGAGGAAGTGGGAGGGAGTGGAGGAAGTTCTGCAGTGGGGGGCTCTGGCTTGGCTGGGAACTGTGGGGGAAGGGAACCCAGGAGAAGGAACAGGTGGACACAGAGCTGGGATCTGGGCCGCAGAGTAAGCATGGGGCTGCCAGGGACAGTAGGAAAGCCCGGCAGACTGTACCTGTCAGCCTGTCAGGGTCGCTGAGCACTCACAGCCGGGCTGGGAGGCAGGGGAACCACAGTTCAGGATGGCAGACCAAGCTCCAATGTTTTCCCAGTGTGGCTGGCAGACTCCAGGGCCAACCCCTGGCCTGGATCCCACAAAGTGTTGGGAGAGGCCTCCCATGGGGCCTGCATGTCTTAGATAAGACACCTAGAGCACCAGGCCCCCAGCCAGCCTCCTCCAGACTGTGGGGAGCCCGTAAGCCAGGAGGCCTGGCTCAGAATGTGCTGGAGACATTCTGGGCCAAGCGAGGATCCCAGCAGCACCCACAAAGGGTAATCCCCACCCACCCTTGGAGAGATGGGGCTGGGCGGGGGAGGGTTGGTGGAGGTCTCCCGACTCCCAGGCAGTGCTCTGCCCCTTACAGAGGACTGCTCAGCCATTCAACAGAAATATATGGAATGAGGCCAAGAACGGCGTTCACACCTGTAATCCCAGCACTTTGAGGAGCTGGGATGGGAGGATCACTTGAGCTCAGTTTGTGGCCAGCCTGGGCAACATAGCAAGACATTGTCTCCATTAAAAATACAAAAAATTAGGCCAGGCACAGTGGCTCACTCCTGTAATCCCAGCACTTTGGGAGGCTGAGGCAGGTGGATCATCTGAGGTCAGGAGTTCGGGACCAGCTTGGCCAAGATGGCGAAGCCCAGGTGTGATGGCGAGTGCCTGTAATCCCAGCTACTTGGGAGGCTGAGGCAGGAGAATTGCTGGAGCCCAGGAAGTGGAGGTTGCAGTGAGCTGAGATCATGCCACTGCACTCCAACCTGGGTGACAGAGAGAGACTCCATCTCAAAAAAAAAAAACTTAGCCAGGCATATTGGCACGTGCCTGTACTCAGGACACTGAGGTAGAAGGATCACTTGTGCCCAAGAGGTTGAGGCTGCAGTGAGCTATGATCGCGCCACTGCACTACTGTCTGGGTGAGAGACTCTTCTCAAAAAAGAAAAAAGAAAAAAGAAATGTATGGAGCAGCCAGGTGCAGGGGACGTGGCCATAAATCCAACCACCAGCTGGAAGGTATGGAACACCACCAAAAACAGCAGGGAAGGGTTGGGTGGAGACCAGGGGAAGCTTTAGAGACACAGGCAGGACATTTCAACAATAAAGGAGGCAGATGCTTTCTGGGGAAAAATGGGCCGGGTGTTGCATGGAGGTTGGGGTGATGCCCACAGGTTCACCCTGGCCAAGGTTGCCTGGGGTCTGAACATCCCGAAGTTCTGGGTTGGGCCACACTTTCCTTAGCAACCACCCAAGCCAAGAGGCCTTTTGCCTGGATCCCCAAGGAGGAGACTCCAGGTCCTCCCCAAGGAGGGAGGACCCAGGTGCCCTCCAAGTGGCAGATGCCAGGCATAGAGGTAGAGGTGGAGGTGGAGGAGCACTGGGCTGATTCCTCCTGTGCCAGCCTCCCCACGCCTAGCGGGTCACAGTTGACAGGAGAGCTGCCCTCTGCAGCCGCAGCCTCCACATGTCCACACAGACTCAAGCCTCCAGCCTCACCATGGTCAACTTTTGAGAAACTGGGGAGAGGAGGTGGCCTGGGGGGAAGGGAAGGTGGCTCTAGGCCAGCCCAGGAGTGACAGCAGCAGAGTGGACTTTGAAACCCCATGGAGCAGGCTCCTTCCGGCGGCAGCGTTGTGGGACGGTGGCCAAGACTAGTTTGCATTTCCCCATCTGTGAAATGGGGCAAACAGCACTGACACCGCAAAGTGTGAGGTCCCCAGCACAGCTTGCAGGGTCAGTGGGAGCCTGGCCTTGATGGGAGCCTGGCCCACTGAGCATTGGGAGGATGCCCCCGTGTCATCCGGGTTCTGTTCCTTGTTGCTAAACGTGCAAAACCCTCTGACATAGTGACATCGCACACACACACACGTTCAGTCGCAGTCAGTGACATCGCCCATTCACATACTCCCGTACACACACACACACCCCATCACACGTTTCCATGCCCGCCCTTCACACCCACGGTCACACTCACACACACATTCACTCTCAAGCCATTCACACGCTCGCTCACACACTCACACTCAGCGGCACACACGCTCACAACCACGGGTCCCTCCAGCAGCCAAGGCCCCACGGCGGCCAGGGCAGGGCCCAGGTGCCCCCGGGTGCTGGGCTCTGGCGCGCCCCCCGGGCAGGAGGGCTGGGTCCCCGCTGCAGACTGCCAGGGCGTAAGTAGCGGTCACCACGTAGCTCGCCCAGGCCCTTGTGGGGTGGGGTGGGGCGCGGCGGGCTGGGCGGGCGAAGTGGGTGCGGCCGGGTGCGGCCCGGGTCCCGCGTCACCTCCCGCAGGCCAGCCCGCCCCCTCGCCGCCGGGTCCCAGTCCCTCGCGACGCCCCGCGGCCCCGGCGCCCCCTCCCCGCCTACCGTGCTGAGCTGGGCCCCCATGGTGGCCCCGCGCCGCGCTCGCTCTGTCGCCGCCGCCGCCGCCGCCGAGACCGTCGCGCCCGGGCCCGCGTCACTCCGGAGCAGGGGCGGGGCCGAGGGGCCAGGCGGGCGCGCGGGGCGGGGCGGGCGCGGGGGCGGGGACCGGGTCGCTCCGCCTGCTTCTGCCGGGGATGGAGACTGGGAACTGGGGATGCGGCCCTCTGCGCTCCGAGCTCTCCCGCCGCTGTGCTGCCCCGCGCGGGACGGTGGCCTCTCTGGGCCTCGTTCGCCGCCATAAAGGAAGCAAGATGGCGCCCCCCGGATGGGAGCGAGAATAAGAGGCGGAATCTTCCCCCGGCCTCCGAGACTGCAGGGGCCGGTCCTGCCTGGCCTGGCCTGGGCCTGTGCCTGCAGCTGCTCAGCGCGGCCCTTCCCCGGGCCTTTGAATTTGTAGTTCCCTGGGCAGCACTGTTCCCAGCTGCCTCGGGCCGGGTTAAATGCTGCGGTCTCAGCACGGCCCGCCCGGAGCCTCCTCGCCGGCGGCGCCTCCGCTCCCCACGCCATTGTCCCACTGTGGAGTGATCTTTGTCCCACTTAGCTGAAGGCCTCCTGCGTGTTTCCCCCACTCCCACCCCATCCCAGTGGACTGTGCGCTCCCGGAGGGCAAGGCCCTATCTGGTTTGAAGTCCCGTACATCCCCAGAGCCTAGCCACACAGAGCCTAGCATATAGTAGGTGCTCAATAAATACCTTTTTTTTTTTTTTTTTTTTTGGTAAAGCAGGGTCTCACTCTTGCCCAGACTGGAATGCAGGAGCCTGATCACAGCTCACTTTAGCCTCAACCTCCCAGGCTCAAGTGTTCCTCCTGCCTCAACCTCCTGAGTAGCTGGGCACATGCCACCACGTCCGGCTAATTGTTTTTTTTTTTGAGACGCAGTTTCGCTCTTGTTGCCCAGGCTGGTATGCATTGACGCGATCTCGGCTCACCGCAAACTCCGCCTCCAGGGTTCAACAGATCCTCCTGCCTCAGCCTCCCGAAATTACAGGCATGTGCCACCACATCTGGCTAACCAGCTAATCTTTTTTTTTTTTTTTTTTTTTTTTTTTTTGAGACAGAGTCTCGCCCTGTCCCCCAGGCTGGAATGCAGTGGCGCCATTTCGGCTCAATGCAAGCTCCGCCTCCAGGGTTCACGCCATTCTCAGCCTCCCGAGTAGCTGGCACTACAGGCACCCCACCGCGCCCGGCTAATTTTTTGTATTTTCAGTAGGGACGGGGTTTCACCGTGTTAGCGAGGATGGTCTCGATCTCCTGACCTCGTGATCCGCCCGCCTCGGCCTCCCAAAGTGCTGGGATTACAGGCGTGAGCCACCGCGCCCGGCCTAATTTTGTATTTTTAGTAGAGACGGTGTTTCAACATGTTGGTGAGGCTGGTCTCGAACTTCCGACCTCAGGTGATCCACCTGCCTCGGCTTCCCAAAGTGCCGGGATTACAGGTGGGAACTACCGCGCCCGGCCATTTTTGCATTTTTTTGTAGAGACGGGTTTCACTATGTTGCCCAGGCTGGTCCGGAACTCCTGGGTTCAAGCCATCCTCCCACCTTGGCCTCCCAAAGTGCTGGGATTATAAGCGTGAGCCACGATGAGCAGCCTAAATACTTGTTGAATGGATGAATTTGACAGACAGTGGGCACCTTCTCTGTGTAGGCTCATGCTGGGCCTTAGCGTCATTCTCTTGCCTTGCTCTCCTGGTAGGGTCTTGGACCCAGATGTGAGCTCCTGGTGCTCTGAGGGGATGGGGTGGGCTGTGTGTTCAGGCAACGTGGCACAGACCAGGCAGAGAAAGGGAGAAGCGCCTTGCTGGCAGGGCCTGGAGGTGGAGACAGGTGAACAGAGGCCTGATGGGCAAGGTTAGAGGGGCTGATACAGCCGAGCTGGGGTGTGATGTGACGTTGGGGAGGCAATGTGGAGCCCCGGGTGGAAAGAACTGGAATGTCAAGGAGAATGGGGAGCCCTGCAGGATCTAGGTAGCTGAGGGAGTGACTCACTGGGTTTATTTACCCAGAGAAGAGATCTCGCTCTGATGCCCAGGCTGGAGTGTAGTGATGCAGTCACAGCTCACTGCAGCTCAAGCCATCCTCCCACCACAGCCTCCCGGAGCACTGGGATTACAGGCATGAGCCACCATGCCCGTCTGCCTACCCACCCACCTGACCTACTGTTTTTTTTGTTTGTTTGGTTGGTTGGTTGGTTTTTCTTTTTTGAGACGGAGTCTTGCTCTGTTGCCAGGCTCACTGCAATCGCGGCTCACTGCAACCTCCGGGGTTCAAGCGATTCTCCTGCCTCAGCTTCCCTAGTGGCTGGGACTACAGGTGCGTGCCACCATGCCCAGCTAATTATTATTATTATTATTATATTTTTTGAGACGGAGTTTCGTTCTTGTTGCCCAGGCTGGAGTGCAATGGTGCGATCTCGGCTCGCCGCAACCTCCGCCTCTCAGGTTCAAGTGATTCTCCTACCTTAGCCTCCCGAGTAGCGAGGATTACAGGCATGCGCCACCACACCCAGCTAATTTTGTATTTTTAGGAGAGACAGGGTTTCTCCATGTTGGTCAGGCTGTTCTCGAACTCCTGACCTCAGGTGATCTGCCTGCCTCGGCCTCCCAAAGTGCTGGGATTATAGGCGTGAGCCACCACGCCCAGCATGTCCAACTAGTTTTTGTATTTTTAGTAGAGACGGGGTTTCACCATGTTGGCCAGAATGGTCTCGATTTCATGACCTCATGATCCACTCGCCTCTGCTTCCCAAAGTGCTAGGATTACAGGCGTGAGCCACGGTGCCCAGCTCACCTACTGGTTTTAAAGAGGGAACTCTGGGGGCAGTGTGGAGGGAGGGACCTACTGCCATAGAATACAAACGTAAATCTTGACTTGGGATCAGCTAAGCATTATTTCAATTTTATTTTATTTATTTTGGTATAACTTTTTGCTGAAAGTATCTTGGATTCATGATGGATCTTTCTGGGTTTTGCCACATATTTTCATGCTAAAGGTTAAATTATTTTTTACGTGCAAGTAATCTGAATAGTTTTACCCCCATGGGAACACTGGTTGTAGAAAGATGACACTACATGGGTTAGGTGTCTTTTTTTAATTGAAAAACTAACAAAAAGAGGAAAAGAAAAACACACAGGCCAGGCGCAGTGGCTCACGCCTGTAATCCCAGCACTTTGAGAGGCTGAGGTGAATGGATCACCTGAGGTCAGGAGTTTGAGACTCAAAAAAAAAAAAAAGGAAAAGAAAAGCTAGCCGGGCACGGTGGCTCACGCCTGTAATCCCAGCACTTTGGGAGGCCGAGGCGGGTGGATCATGAGTTCAGGAGATCAAGACCATCCTGGCTAACACGGTGAAACCCCGTCTCTACTAAAAATACAAAAAAAATTAGCCGGGCATAGTGGTGGATGCCTGTAGTCCCAGCTACTCGGGAGGCTGAGGCAGGAGAATGGCGTGAACCCGGAAGGCGGAGGTTGCAGTGAGCTGAGATTACACCACTGCATTCCAGCCTGGGCCACTGAGAGAGACTCCATCTCAAAAAAAAAAAAAAAAGAAAAGAAAAGCTAACAAATTGTCCAGTTGCATATTTCTCTCTCTCTCTCAAAAAAAAAAAAAGATGGGGTCACTGGAGACCCCTCATTGTCCATACCCTCCAGCTGGCTTGGTCCCCAGTTCCAGCAATCCTGTCCTCTGGCTGCCCCCAACCCTGGCACAGGACTGTGCCAAGGGTGTTTATTTTGCCCATTTATTGATCTGGGCCTCAGCTCCCAACACATTTCCTTTCTGGGGTTTGGATCTGCTTGCAACAGCCAAGTGAGGCCCCAGAACTTGCTGCTTTCCAGGGGACACTGTTAAAATGTCCTTTTTTCTGCCAAGCTTGGTGGCTCACACCTGTAATCCCAGCACTTTGGGAGGCCAAGGCAGGCAGATCACCTGAGGAGTTCGAGACCAGCCTGGTCCAACATGGTGAAACCCCGTCTCTACTAAAAATACAAAAATTAGCCAGGCATGGTGGAGGGCGCCTGTAGTCCCAGCTTCTCAGGAGGCTGAGGCAGGAGAATTGCTTGAACCCGAGAGTTGGAGGTTGCCGTGAGCCGAGATTGCACCACTGCACTCCAGCCTGGGCAACGGGGCGAGACTCTGTCTCAAAAAATAAAATAAAAAAATAAAATAAAATAACATATCGTTTTTGCTCTGAGCCCTCCTTTTTACCCTGAGGTCTAATCCTGCCTGCACCCAGGGAGGTAGGGATGTCTCCCCAGTGTGGTCAGCAGAGCAGGTTGAGGGAAGTTGGGGGTCCAGTTTCTTTGGAAAGGGAGGGGTAGGTTTCTCCCCTGAAGCTCATGGGGGCTGCTCACCTCCTGCAAGGTGCTGACTGTGAGGCAGCCCCGGGGAGCAGGGAGACGAAACAGGAAGGACATTGACTAGAGGCTCGCCTGCTGTTCTTGGGAGCTCTCAGACCCTGGGCTGGGGACTCGTGTTTGCAGCTAGCAAGGTTGGGTCTGGCCAGCTCTGCTACGGCTCATGGAGTGACCGCAGGCCAAGACCTTTCCTTCTCAGGGCACTTGTCTGAGAGAGGGTGGGCAGACCTCGAGGTCTTTAAAGCTCCTTCTGCTTCTGATATTTTATATTTATTCTCCCTCAGACTTTTGTTCGGGAAAAATATTTAACGTACAGAGAAGTTGCAAGAATAGTATAAATACAACAATCACATTCACCAGTGGTTATCATTTCAGCTCTTTCTCTTTCTCCCTGCTTTTCTCTCTATCTCCCTATCTCTCTATTTGGTTTTGGTGAACCATGTGACAATTAGTTGCAGACACTTGACCCTTCACCCCTAAACACTTCCCCATACTTCTCCCAAGAACAGGGTCGCTCTCCTACATTGTGTGATTATCAAATTCAGGAAACTTAACATTGACCCGATGCTATTATCTGTCCATATTCCCAATTACCCCATAAAGTCCTTTCTAGCTATTCTTTTTTTTTTCTGACTCAGGCTCTAATCCCAGGTCAAGCATTGCATTTACTTGGAAAGTCTCTTTAGTCTCCTTTAATCTGGAGACCGATGGGATCGGGAGGTACAGGTATGTGATGTCAGCTTGTCCCATTGTTGGTGGCGCCTGCCAGGCCTCCCCGATGTAAGATAACCTTTTGCTTTGATACCCTGTGAATGCCCTGATCCCCAATAAACTTCATATAATGGTTTCTGCATCTAGCCAGGATCCTGGCCTGAGTCAGTTATCATTGAGTGGTTTAACTGGTTTACAAACTGCTTCGGGAAGAAAAAAAAAAAAAGAAAGACCCTTGTCCTATTCCCTCAAAGTCCTGCTGTGATTCAGAAACTCCCTACAAACCCCTTTTACTTTGGGCATGTTAGCTGAGGATCTCTGACCCATCCTGCTGAGGAGTTTGATCCTTGGGAAAGGCTGGGAGGTAGACGGGGCAGAGAAACAGTCATTTTCTAGAGGAGGAAAATGAGGCCCAGAGAGAGCAGAGAATCAGGAGGGTAGTGGAGCAACTCCCTCAGGAATCTCTGAGCTCCAGCCCTTCTATGGCTAAGAGGAGGAGTTTGGGAAGGAGGCTCCTAGGCAGATGCAAGGGCAGAGTTTTGGGCCTGGGTTGGAGCTATATTACTCAGGCAGTCCCCTAAGTCCCTGTCAGAGGTGCAGGAACTAAGTTGCCAGATTGAGTGAATAAAAACACCGGGCACGGCTGGGCGCAGTGGCTCAGGCCTGTAATGCCAGCACTTTGGGAGGCCGAGGCGGGTGGATCACCTGAGGTCCGGAGTTCGAGACCAGCCTGACCAACATGGAGAAACTCAGTCTCTACTAAAAATACAAAAAATTAGCCAGGCATGGTGGTGCATGCCTGTAATCCCAGCTACTCGGGAGGCTGAGGTAGGAGAATCGCTTGAACCTGGGAGGTGGAGGTTGCAGTGAGCTGAGATCAAGCCACTGCACTCCATCCTGGACGACAGAGCAAGACCCTGTCTCAAACAAAACAAAACAAAACACAACAAAAAACAAAACAAAAACAGGGACGGGTGTGGTGGCAGTAATCCCAGCACTTTGGGAGGCCGAGGTGGGTGGATCACCTGAGGTCAGGAGTTCAAGACCAGCCTGGTAAACATGCTGAAACCCTGTCTCTACTAAAAATTAGCTGAGCATGGTGGCGTGCATCTGTAGTCCCAGCTACTCCGGAGGCTGAGGCAGGAGAATGGCTTGAACCTGGGAGGCAAAGGTTGCAGTGAGCTGAAAGCACCACTACACTCCAGCCTGGGAGACTGAACAAGACTCTGTCTCATAAATAAATAAATAAATAAATAAAACCACACACACACACACACACACACACACACACACACACACGAGGTATCATTAACTGAGGGTCAACAGTGTGCCCAGGGCTAGACTGGGAAACCAGAGATGAATGAGGCTCAGTCCCCAGAGACAGACACCAAGCTGAAAACGGTGGGGAGGAACACCAGGCTCTTCACTGATGTGAAATCAAGGGAGGTGACATCTGAGCTCTGAGGACCTAACACGCTGTTGTGATTTTATGCAAACGATGGAGGAAGGGCGGCGCCCTGTGATGAGCTACACGGAGCTTCTGACAGGTGCCAGGTGCTTTGCCTGTGTGGAGAGATAGGATCATGATGTTCTCTCTGTTTTCTCCTGTATTTTCCGCTTCCCTTTCCCTGTGTTTGCTGCCCCAGGGAAATGGCGTGGTGGGGCAGAAAGCTGCAGCCTGCCAGGAGTGAGCCAGAGAAAGTTCCCTGGCCTGGGCAGAGCTCCTTGAGAACATGTGGAGGAAGAAGGGCTCCCACCTCTGACCAGATAACCCCTCAGTGGATTCTTGGTGCCCACTGAACAGGCAAAACCAATTCACTGAGAGTAGGGCATTGCAATAAAGAGAGAGTTTAGGCCAGGCACGGTGGCACATGCCTGTAATCTCAGCACTTTGGGAAGCTGAGGCGGGTGATCACAAGGTCAGGAGTTCGAGACCAGCCTGGCCAATATGGTGAAACCCTGTCTCTACTAAAAATACAAAAAAAATAGCTGGGCATAGTGGTGGATGCCTGTAATCCTGGCTACTCGGGAGGCTGAGGCAGGAGAATTGCTTGAACCCATCCCAAACCAACCACGCCACGTGGGAGGTATAGTTACGACTCAAAACAATCTCTCTGAAAATTCAGAGGCGAGGGTTTTTCAAGGATTGCCTGGTCAGGGAGTCAACTTCTGAGTGTGGCCATGGAACTAGTCTGTGGGTGTCAGGGTCTGGGCGGAGTCATCGGTCACAAGAAACGCAAAAGCCTGAGAAGACATCTTGAAAGGCCAAGTCTTAGGTTCTGCAGTAGGGATGTTATCTGCAGAAATAACTGGGGGAGTTGCAAATCTTGTGGCCTCTGGAATGATGGCTGGTAATGATTTATGTCTACACGTTAGCAAAATTCAGGCTCCTCATCCTCTTAACCTGGTGGGTCTTTCGTCTGCTTTACAAAGGTGGTTCAGTTCTGGGGAAAGGCTACGATCATTTAAACCAAGCTTGTCCAAACCTTGGCCTGCAGGTCGCAGGTGGCCCAGAACGGCTTTGGATATAGCCCAACACAAATTCATAAAGTTTCTTTTTTTCTTTTCTTTTTTTTTTTTTTTTGAGATGGAGTTTCGCTCTGTTGCCCAGGCTGGAGAGCAGTGGCGCGATCTCGGCTCACTGCAACCTCCGCCTCCCAGGTTCAAGCGATTATCCTGCCTCAGCCTCCCTAGTAGCTGGGACTACAGGCGCCCGCCACCACGCCCAGCTAATTTTTGTATTTTTTAGTAGAGACGGGGTTTCACCATGTTAGCCAGGATGGTCTCGATCTCTTGACCTTGTGATCCACCCGCCTCGGCCTCCCAAAGTGCTGGGATTACAAGCGTGAGCCACCGCGCCCGGCCAAGATTTTTCTATTTTTAGTAGCAACCGGGTTTCACCATGTTGGCCAGGCTGGTCTCGAACTCCTGTCCTCAGGTGATCCACCCACCTCAGCCTCCCAAAATGCTGGGATTACAGGCATGAGCCACCACACCCGGCCTTCACTGTTACAATTTTCAAAAAGACCGTCTCACCAGGACTGGGGCAATTAGGGGGAGGCTAAGGGAGGTCTATAGATCCTGGAGTCCAGGGGCCTTCCCAACCATGCCACGTGGGAGATGTAGTTATGACTCAAATAAATAAAACCACACACACACACACACACACACACACACACACACACACACACACACGAGGTATCATTAACTGAGGGTCAACAGCGTGCCAGGGCTAGACTGGGAAACCAGAGATGAATGGTTTCCTACTGGCCTGTAGCATACCTTTCTGCAATTAGAGAAAGATGCCCTCTCTGGGGAACTGCCCCCCTCTGCCCCCCTGTTCCCTGGGCCTGACGTAGTCACACTGTTTCAAGCTCCACTTCCCACCTCTATGGGTTATTGTGCAACAAGGGAAAGATTTTTGCTGCACTTGTTTCCTGGGTGGGGTAATGCTGAAAGACAGCAGGGGTCTTCCCGGTATATATGGGCTATTAGGATCCAGGGGGATGGGAGGACAGTGGGGAGCTGCTCAATGTGAGCTGTCCCAAGCTGATTTGTGAAGATGGGCAGCCCTGCAGAAACTTGGGAGGACCAGTGACCAAGAACCAGTCCCACCTTGTCCTTCCCCTTGAAACTCCTGAGCCTCTAGAACTGAAGTCATGTTTCCTGCCAGCCTGGCTAAGAAGGGTCTTCAAGACGGAAATGCCTTTATTTTTATTTTTATTTATTTATTTATTTATTGAGACAGAGTCTCACTTGTTCGCCCACTCTGGAGTGTAGTGGCGCGATCTCAGCTCACTACAACCTCTGTCTCCCAGATTCAAGCGATTCTCCTGCCTCGGACTCCCAAGTAGCTGGGATTACAGGCTGGCAAAACCACACTCGGTTAATTTTTGTATTTGTAGTAGGACAGGGTTTCACCATGTTGGCCAGGCTGGTCTTGAACTCCTGACCCCGTGATCCACCCACCTCGGCCTCCCAAAGTGCTGGGATTACAGGCGTGAGCCACTGTGCCCAGCTGAACCCAGGACCAGCCTGGGCAAC
Source organism: Homo sapiens (assembly GCF_000001405.40). NCBI lineage: Eukaryota > Metazoa > Chordata > Mammalia > Primates > Hominidae > Homo > Homo sapiens. Next base: position 42,658,461 of record NC_000022.11, read on the forward strand.
AGGGCGAAAACTCATCTCTACAAAAGACACAAAAATTGCTGGGCGCGGTGGCTCATGCCTGTAATCCCAGCACTTTGGGAGGCCGAGGTGGGCGGATCACAAGGTCAGGAGATTGAGACCATCCTGGCTAACACGGTGAAACCCCGTCTCTACTAAAAACACAAAAAATTAGCTGGGGATGGTGGCGGGTGCCTGTAGTCCCAGCTACTCAGGAGGCTGAGGCAGGAAAATGGCGTGAACCCGGGAGGTGGAGGTTGCAGTGAGCCGAGATTGTACCACTGCACTCCAGCCTGGGCGACAGAGCGAGACTCTGTCTCAAAAAAAAAAAAAAAAAAAAAATTACCCAGTTGTGATGACACATGCCTGTAGTCCCAGCTACTAGGGAGGCTGAGGTGGGAGGATGGCTTGAGCCTGGGAGGCAGAGGTTGCAGTGAGCCAGGATCACACCACTGCACTCCAGCCTGGGTGACAGGGTGCCATGGTGTGGATATATACTTTATTTATTTGTTTATGGGTATTTAAGTTGTTTTCACTTTCTGGCTATTATGAATCATGCTACTGTAAACATCTGTGTACCTTTTGTGCTGACATATGTTTTCATTTCTTTGGGGCATATATACTTAGAAGTGGAATTGCTGGGTTCTATATATTGTATGTCTACCTTATTGAGGAACTACCAAAATGTTTTCCAAAGTGGCTACACCATTTTACATCCCCACCAGCAACACAGGAGGGTTCAAATTTCTCCGCATCCTCACCAACACTTATTATCTGACTTTTGATTATAGCCATCTCGTGGGTGTGAAGCATCTCACTGTGCTTGGTGTTGGTTTTTGTTTTTTTTTTCTTTTTTCTTTTGAGATGGAGTTTCACTCTTATAACCCAGGCTGGAGTGCAGTGGCGCAATCTTGGCTCACTGCAACCTCCGCCTCCCAGGTTCAAGTGATTCTCCTGCCTCAGCCTCCCCCATAGCTGAAACTATAGGCGTGTGCCACCATGCCTGGCTAATTTTTGTATTTTTTGTAGAGACAGGGTTTCACCATGTTGGCCAGGCTGGTCTAGAACTCCTGACCTCAGGTGATCCTCCCATCTTGGCCTCCCAAAGTGTTGGGATTACAGGCGTGAGCCACCGTGCCTGGCCCTATTCTCCTTTCACAACCCTATGAAACAGGGGTCCCCAAACCCCAGGCCATGGACTGATACCAGTTTACGGCCTTTAGGAACTGGACCACACATCAAGAGGTGAGTGGGGGGCGAGTAAGCAGAGCTTCATCTGTATTTACAGCCGATCCGCATCGCTTGCATTACTGCCTGAGCTCGCCTTCTGTCGGATCAGCAGCAGCATTAGATTCTCATAGGAGAATCCTATCGTGAACCCTATTGTGAACGGTGCATGTGAGGGATCTAGGTTCCATACTCTTTATGAGAATCTAATGCCTGATGATCTGTCACTGTCTCCCATCACCCCCAAATGGGACCGTCTAGTTGCAGGAAAACAAGCTCAGGGCTCCCACTGATTCTACATGATGGTGAGTTGTATAATTATTTCATTATATATTACAATGTAATAATAATGGAAATAAAGTGCAAATAAATGTCATGTGCTTGAATCATCCTGAAACCACCCCCTCAGCCCCCCATCCGTGGAAACGTTGTCTTCTGCAAAACTGGTCCCTGGTGCCACAAAGGCTGGGGACCACTGCTATAAAACTAACCCACACAACACCCCTGGGGAGCAGCCCGTTCCTTTTCCTTTCTCAGTGCTGGCTTCCTTGTGCACAAGCTAAAATAAACTTTCTTTTTGCTGCTATGTCTGGTGATCTCTCTTGATTTCTATCCTGGAAGATTACAAGAACCCAGTGTGCTGGTAACACTTCTGACTGTCCAGCTGTAAGTTGGAGTTCCCAAGACCCGCCACTTACGTTTGATTAATTTGGTAGCATGGCTCACAGAACTCAGAGAAACACTAACATTTACAGGTTTATCATAAAGGATATTCAGGGGCCGGGTGTGATGGCTCACGCCTGTAATCCCAGCACTCTGGGAGGCTGAGGCAGGTGGATTGCTTGAGCTCAGGAGTTCAAGTCCAGCCTGGGCAACATGACAAAGCTCCATCTCTACTGAAAATACAAAAAATTAGCTGGGCATAGTGGTGTGTACCTGTAGTCCCAGCTACTTGAGAGGCTGAGACGGGAGGACCACTTGAGCCTGGGAGGTGGAGGTTGCAGTGATCCAAGATCCTGCCACTGCACTCCAGCCTGGGTGACAGACTGAGACCCCATCTCAAAAAAATAAAATAAAATAAAATAAAGGATATTCAGAAGGATACAGAAGAACAACCAGATGGAAGAGATCCATAGGGCAAGGGAAGGGGAAGTGTGTGGCACCTCCATGCCCTCTCCAGGCACACTACCCTCCAGGCACCAGCAAGTGTTCAGCTGTCCAGAAGCTCTCCCAACCCCGTCCATTATTTCTTTCTTTTTCTTTTCTTTTCTTTTCTTTTTTTCTTTTTTAAGACGGAGTCTTGCTCTTGTCGCCCAGTCTGGAGTGCAATGGCATGATTTTGGCTCACTGCAACCTCTGCCTCTTGGGTTCAAGTGATTCACCTGCCTTGCCTCCCGAGTAGCTGGGATTACAGGTGCCCGCCACCATGGTCAGCTAATTTTTGTATTTTTAGTAGAGACGGGGGTTTCATCATGTTGGCCAGGCTGGTCTTGAACTCCTGACCTCATGTGATCCACCCGCCTTGGCATCCCAAAGTGCTGGGATTACAGGCATGAGCCACCGCGCCCGGCCTATTTATTTCTATATATATTTATTATATTTAATAATATATATTATTATTTATATACATATTTTTAATTTTATTTTTTTGGCTGGGTGGGGTGGTACACGCCTGTAATCCCAGCACTTTGGGAGGCCGAGGCGGGTGTATCCCCTGAGGTCAGGAGTTCGAGACCAGCCTGACCAACATAGTGAAACCCCATCTCTACTAAAAATACAAAATTAGCTGGATGTGGTGGTGCACGCCTGTAATCCCAGCTACTCAGGAGGCTGAGGCAGGTGAATTGCTTGAACCCGGGAGGCAGAGGTTGTAGTGAGCAGAGATCGCGCCATTGCACTCCAGCCTGGGCAACAAGAGTGAAGCTCCGTTTCAAAAAAAAATTATTTATTTTTAAAAATTGAATTAACTTGGCTGGGTGTGGTGGCTCACCCCTGTAATCCCAGCACTTTGGGAGGCCGAGGGGGGAGGATCACCTGAGGTCAGGAGTCCGAGACCAGCCTGGCCAACATGGTGAAATCCCTGTCTCTACTAAAAATGCAAAAATTAGCCTGGAGTGGTGGCGCATGCCTGTAATCCCAGATTGCTTGAACCCGGGAGGCGGAGGCTGCAGTGAGCGGAGATCACGCCACTGCACTCCACCCTGGGCGACAGAGCCAGACTCTGTCTCAAAAAAAAAAAAAAAAAAAAAAAAAAAAAAGGAGAGTTGTATTATTATTTGTAGATGAAGAAAACTGGTTCTGTCCAACCAATGCAGAATAGATCTCAATGGATCTTTGAGCGTCCAGAAATAGACCTAAGTGTAAAAGGGGGCATTTGCAGTTGAGTAGGATGGGCTGGGTACTGTCGCCAGGTCTGTAGTCCCAGCAATTTGGGTGCGCTTGATGTCAGGTTCCGGCCTCCAGGGGGCGCGCCCGAGCCAGGAAAAGGCTCCCGGCGCCCGGGGCGCGGGTCCAGCCGGCTCCATCCGAAATCTCCACTCCCACCGGCTTCGGCTGGGGGTTCTGCCGCTGCTCTGCTCCAGCCGAGCCCCAAATCCTGCCTCCTCTACCCCTTCCTCGGACCCAGCCCGTGCCCACCTTGGGTCCCGGCAGCCTGGGAGGGGTGCGCCTCTTGGGGCTCATCCCCCACAACCTCCACGCTCTGGAGGTGTTCAGGTTCCTTCGAGTCCGTGTCCCCGAGCCCCGCGCCGCTACGGGGAGCCCTGCAGACGCCTCGGTGGGGAAGAGAGGCCGCTGTCCCGGGATAGGTGCTGCCCCTTGGGCTGCGGGGCTCCGCGGAGAGCGGCCGAGAGAGCGGGAGCCCGGGCCGGGCGGGCCGGGGTGGACGGTCGTGGGGGCTGCCGGGGAGGCCCGGGAGCGGGAGGAGGTGACGGTCGGAGACGGGTGATTCTTGTGAGGGCACGCGGAGCCGGGGCGGGATGGGGGCCCTACCTTGTCCAGGCGCCCTCTGGATCCGGGTCTGCCTCGAGGCGGCGGAAGCCCCACGGGGCGCTGGGCGGCGCCCTCCCCTGCCTTGCCCTCGTGGGGTTACTCCCCGCAGAGCTCCCAGCTGGCCCCCCAGGACTCGTGGGGGTGAGGGGAGGGGGATGTGAAGCTCCCGAATGGAGGCCGAGAGGGCAGCGGGGCAGGGGATGCTCAGGAGTTCAAGTCCAGCCTGGGCAACATGGCAGGGCCCATCCCAGGGTGTCCAGGGCAAAAACAGTTCCCGCTCATGGGCTCAGAGAGGTCACGCCTGCCCCTGCCGAGGACAGAGCCTGTCACAAAGAAAACGGCACGCTCTGGAAGTTTCTTCCATCCCTTTCCACCTCCTCCTTCAAAACAGAGTCTGCGTCCTTTTGGCCGGGCTCGGTGGCTCACGCCTGTAATCCCAGCACTTTGGGAGGCTGGGGCAGGCAGATCACGAGGTCAAGAGATCGAGACCATCCTGGCCAACATGGTGAAACCCTGGCTCTACTAAAACTACAAAAATTAACTGGGCGTGGTGGCGCATGCCTGTAGTCCCAGCTACTTGGGAGGCTGAGGCAGGAGAATCGCTTGAACCCTGAAGGCGGAGGTTGCAGTCGACAGAGATCATGCCACTGCACTTCAGCCAGGTGACAGAGCGAGACTCTGAGACTCCGTCTCAAAAAACAAAACAAAACAAAACAAAACAAAAGAAAGACAGGAGCTCCTCCCCTTCTATAATTACAAACTTTTAACAGTTTTCCCTCAGGTTATCATTTTTATTTCATGAGAAAGTTCTGGCTAATGAGAACCCAAAACCCAAAGGAGGTGTTGATTTCAGGCACAGTGCCAGGTGCCTCTAATCCAGCCAGGAGCTAGGGGCTGCTCTGGGAGCTGCTGGGTGAGGAAGGGGTGTTGGGGGTCTACGCGTTTAAATCCCTATTAATGCCAGGCGCAGTGGCTCATGCCTGTAATCCCAGCACTCTGGGAGGCCAAGGTGGGCGGATTACCTGAGGTCAGGAGTTCGAGACCAGCCTGGCCAACATGGTGAAACCCCATCTCTACTAAAAATACAAAAATTAGCTGGGCTTGGTGGCACATGCTTGTAATCCCAGCTTTCAGGAGGAAGAGGCAGGAGAATCGCTTGAGCTCAGGAGGCGGAGGTTGCAGTGAGCTGAGATTGTGCCACTGCACTCCAGCCTGGCTGACAGAGCGAGACTCTGTCTCAAATGAATAAGTAAATAAATAAATAAATCGCTGTCAGCCATGGAGCCAGGCCTAGGTGCTGAGCCCAGTGGCGGTGGGAAGATGGGTTTTCTGAGCACAAACTCTGGGTTGAACCGTTTCCCAGGGAGCTTCCTGCAGAGTCTGAGCAGGTGAGGACCAAGGAGGTGAGGCCCAGGCCGATTCAGCTGGAGGAGTACACGCTGCTGCAGGACCTCAGCCATCTCAGGCCACCTGTCCTCCTGGGCCTTTCCCGTCACTGAGGCCACCTGTGCCTTCTGTGAAACACTGCCCCATTAGTTCAGAGTTCAAAGAGGGGGCTGTTACTGAGGCCGGAGGGGCCTGGGCCTGGGCTCTGACACTGATACTGACCTTGAGCTGGTGACTTAACTCCCTGAGCTTCAGTCTACTTGTCTATAAAGTGGGAATAATTCTACCTACTCTATTCCCAGCAACCTTTTTCAATGGCCCAAGCCTCAATTGTTCTCATCTGTAAAATGGGCTTAACCATGGCCTTTCCTGTGTATCTTACAATTTTGTAATTAAATCCATCCATCAGTTATCAAATAATAGTAATAAAGAAATGAGAGGCTGGGGCAGTGGCTCACGCCTGTAATCCCAGCACTTTGGGAGGCTGAGGCAGGTGGATCCCTTGAGCCCAGGAGCTCAAGACCAGCCTGGGTAACATGGTAAAACCCCATCTCTACAAAAAAATACAAAAACTAACCGGGCACGGTGGTGTATGCCTGTAGTCCCAGCTACGTGGGAAGCTGAGGTGGGAGAATGGCTTGAGCCTGGGAGGCGGAGGTTGCAGTGAGCCAAGATCGCACCTCTGCACTCCAGTCTGGGTGACAGAGCCAGACCCTGTCTCAAAAAAAAAAGAAAAAGAAAAAAGAAATGAGACTGCTTGCTATATGACTGGCACTGTGTACGTGCCTTAACTCATCCATTTCTCCTGGCCACCCTGGGAGGAGAAAGCCTATGTTACTGCCATCCCACAGAAGAGAAAACAGACCAGTAATTCACACACTCAGCATCACACAGGTGAACGTGCTGCAGATGCAGGCAGTCTGGCCTCACTGGCTGCCGCCCTCTACCCAGGCTGCCTCCCTGTACACAGGCTGCCTCCCTGTGCCCAGGCTGCCTCCCTGCGTACAGTCCACCATGCCAGGGCCCGGAGCATGGTGGCCCTCAATAAATAATGGTTGAATGAATGACACTGCAAAAGTGCCTGTAGGGTGGAGGTCCAGCACAGCTGCTCCGACGTACCCAGGTCAGACTGGAGTGGTCTGAGGGCATCCACACACCATCCTGCTTGCTGAAGCAGGTGAGTACCACAGGTTTTGCATTGTAACATGCAAATGATGGCATGTATTTCTATCCTCATCTGAGATCTGGGACTTTTATGGGTTTCCTGGTATTCACAGGGCAAGGCCTTTGGGAGAAAGCTTGAAACCCCCTGATGTAGTTGACAGAGCATGAGTTTATCCTCAGAGAGACCACAGTTCAAATCTTGGCTGGGTGACTACTTTTATGAGCCTCACTTGCTTCGTCGTGGCAGCCCGAATTGGCCTGACGATTTCCTGCAAGTTCCTTGACACCTGGAGGAAGATCATAGTACCCAGCCCTGAGCATCACTGACTTGGCATCACAGATCACCTCTTCTAGGGAGCAATCTGTGGCTGATGGAGGAGAGTGGGGATACCAGAAGAAAAAATTTAACTGCCTGGAAAGTACCTTCCTGGTGGCTTTCAGTCATCTCAGCTCCCCAGATGCCCTACTTTTTGCTGGAGTCACATGCTCTGCTCTTGCTCTCTTCAAGGTAACAGATTCTTGTCCGTTTGCAGGCAGCAACTTGAGAAATAGAAGAAGAACAGGTCTCAGACCGCATTTATTCAGATGTCAGTGTGGATAAGCACCATGCCAGTTTCTGTCCTAGGCGCAAAAACTGCCAAGATATTTTTTAAAATCTTTTACTGCGAGGCTAAGTTTATAATAAAAGAAACTAACCTCATTGCTTAAAAAATGAAATTAGGGCCAGGCAGAGTGGCTCACGCCTGTAATCCCAGCACTTTGGGAGACTGAGGCAGGTGGATCACTTGAGGTCAGGAGTTCGAGACCAGTCTAGCCAACATGGTGAAACCCCATCTCTACTAAAAATACAAAAATTAGCCAGGCATGGTGGTGCACACCTGTTGTCTCAGCTGCTTGGGAGGCTGAGGCAGGAGAATTGCTTGAACCCGGGAGGCAGAGGATGCAGTGAGCAGAGATCGCGCCACTGCACTCTAGCCTGGGCGACAGAGCGAGACTCGGTCTCAAAAAAAAAAAAAAAAAGGAACAAACAAACAAAAACTGAAATTAGGTGGGGTGCAGTGACTCACGCCCGTAATCCTAGCACTTTGGGAGGCTGAGGCGGGAGGATTGCTTGAACCCAGGAGCTGGATACCAGCCTGGGCAACAGGGCGAAACCCCATCTCTACCAAAAATACAAAAATTGGCCGGGCATGGTAGTTTGCACCTGTAGTCCCAGCTACTCAGGAGGCTGAGGTGGGAGGATGGCTTGAGCCGGGGAGGCAGAGGTTGCACTGAGCCAAGATTGTGCCACTGCACTCCAGCCTGGGTGATAGAGCTGGAACCTATCTCAGAAAAAAAAAAAAGGAAGAAGGAAAGAAGGAAAGAAGGAAAAAAGGAAGGAAAGAAAGAAAGAAAGAAGGAAAGAAAGAAAGAAAAAGAAAGAAAGAGAAAGAAAGAAATTACATGATAGTTTATATGTTTGAAACCAGCAAATCCTGGCTCCTTTATATGCCCTCGTAATTCTACCTGAGACCTGAATCCTTCCTTTTTCACTCATTATAATCTTGAATTTTATCATAAGCAGCTAAAAGAAAATAGCTGGTTGGCCGGGCGCGGTGGCTTACGCCTGTAATCCCAGCACTTTGGGAGGCTGAGGTCAGGAGTTCAAGACCAGCCTGGCCAAAATGGTGAAACCCCGTCTTTACTAAAGATACAAAAATTAGCCGGTGGTGGCAGATGCCTGTAATCCTAGCTACTCAGGAGGCTGAGGCAGGAGAATCGCTTGAACCCAGGAGGCAGAAGTTGCAATGAGCCAAGATCGCGCCATCGCACTCTAGCCTGGGGGACAAGAGTGAGACTTCATCTCAAAAAAAAAAAGAAAGAAAATAGCTGGCATTTTCAACATTTCAACATAACGTACTCTAGCCAAGTGCCAAGCAATCCTCCTTATCAGGTGGACCGGGTACAATTCCTGCTTCCCCCTGAGTAGCTGGTTTCAGTTCCCTGCCAGCCCATGGAATTATAAAAACAAGCCAATCACATACACCACGAAACCAGAGGACACCTCAACTTTTTTTTTTTTTTTTTGAGATGAGTCTCGCTGTGTCACCCAGGCTGGAGTGCAGTGGCACGATCTCGGCTCACTGCAACCTCCATTTCCAGGTTTCAAGTGATTCTCCTGCCTCAGCCTCTCAAGTAACTGGGATTACAGGCACTCACCACCATGCCCGGCTAATTTTTATATTTTAGTAGAAATGAGGTTTCTTTTTTTTTTTTTTTTGAGACAGAGTCTCACTCTGCCGCCCAGGCCGGAATGCAGTGGCGCGATCTCCGCTCACTGCAATCTCCGCCTACTGGGTTCACGCCATTCTCCTGCCTCAGCCTCCCAAGTAGCTGGGAATACCGGTGCCCGCCACCACGCCCGGCTAATTTTTTGTATATTTAGTAGAGACGGGGTTTCACCGTGTTAGCCAGGATGGTCTCGATCTCCTGACCTCGTGATCCACCCGGCTCAGCCTCCCAAAGTGCTGGGATTACAGGTGTGAGCCACCACGCCCGGCCAGAAATGGGGTTTCACCATGTTTGGCCAGGCTAGTCTTGAACTCCTGACCTCAAATGATCCACTCACCTCAGCCTCCCAAAGTGCTCGTATTACAGGCATGAGCCACCACGCCCGGCCACCCTTACCCTCTTGATACTACAAAGCCTCTTGTGGTCCACTGGTACCAGGCACAAGCCCTGTGTGGCCCTGCAGAGTGTGTCCTCCTCTCCTGAGCTGTGAGTACATGTGACTCATAAACTGCTCTGGATCTCTTCTGTCCAGATTCGGGTGTCCTGTGTTCAGCCATTGCCATAATCCTAGGTCAGGAATCCCTCCTGCACTGATGAAGTCAAGAGAGGTGATTAAAACAAGCGTTCCAGTATATCTCACTTGGGTTACATAACTGGGCCTTGTTTTCTTCAGCTTCCAATAGTAATTTCCTGGGCTGGGCGCTGTGGCTCATGCCTGTTATCCCAGCACTGGGAGGCCGAGGCAGGCAGATCATCTGAGGTCAGGAGTTCGAGACCAGCTTGACCAACATGGTGAAACTCCATCTCTACTAAAAATACAAAAAAATTAGCTGGACATGGTGGTGCATGCCTGTAATCTCAGCTACTCAGGAGGCAGAGGCAGGAGAATTGCTTGAACCCGGGAGGTGGAGGTTGCAGTGAGCTGAGATCGCACCACTGCACTCCAGCCTGGGCAACAGAGTGACACTCTCTCAAAAACAAAACAAAACAAAAAATAAAAAAAATAAAAATAAAAAAACTCTATATTGGGCCAGATGTGGTGGCTCATGCCTGTAATCCCAGTGATTTGGGAGGCCGAGGCAGGTGGATCACCTGAGGTCAGAAGTTCGGGACTAGCCTGACCAAAATGGTGAAACCCTGTCTCTACTAAAAATACAAAAAAATTAGCCGGCCATGGTGGCAAATGAGCAGTGAGTCAAGATGTGCCACTGTACTCCAGCCTGGACGACAAGAGTGAAACTCCATCTCAGAAAAAAAAAGAAAAAAGTAATTTCCTCACTGTTCTTTAAGCTTTCACTAACAGTTTTGTCAAGGTCCTTTCTACTCTCTGGTCCCCAAACCAATGCCAGGTGTATTTTTTGTTTCTGTACCACCCTACTTTTACGTGTCACACTGTCTTCCGGTCATTGATCATAACAAACCACCCCAAAATTCAGTAGCTCAAAACAATAGTTGTTCATTGGCTTACAATATTGCTATATATGTGTGTGTATATATATATTTTTTTCTTTTCTTTTCTTTTCTTTCCTTTTCTTTTTTTTTTTTCTCTTTTTTTTGAGACAGAGTTTTGCTCTTGTTGCCCAGGCTGGAGAGTAGTGGCATGATCTCACCTCGCTGCAACCTCTACCTCCCGGGTTCAAGTGATTCTCCTGTCTCAGCCTCCCCAGTAGCTGGGATTACAGGCGCCTGCCACCACTCTCGGCTAATTTTGTATTTTTAGTAGAGACGGGGTTTCTCCATGTTGGTCTCCTGGCTAGGAGACTGGTCTCGAACTCCCAACCTCAGGTGATCCACCCACCTTGGCCTCCCAGAGTGCTGGGATTACAGGCATGAGCCACCGTGCCTGGCCTATATATATTTTTTAATAGAGATGGTGTCTTGCTGTATTGCCCAGGCTAGTCTCTAACTCCTAGGCTCAAGTGATCCTCCCACCTCAGCCTCTCAAAGTGCTGGGATTACAGGCATGAGCCACCGCACCTGGCCACAGTATTGCAATTTTGTGGGCTCAGCAGGGCCATCTCTTAGCTCCATGTGGCATCAGCTGGGATACCTTGACTGGGCTGGAAGGCCCACCTCCAAGATGGCTCATTCTCCTGCCTGGGAGACTGCGGGGTGGCTGGGAGCCACTGTTACCCTCCGTGTGGACCTATCCATGGAGCTGCTTGTGAAATTGCCTGAGGAGTTCGTCTTGTCCGCTGCACAGATAAACCCAATTCACTGAGACAGCATTGTTGCAGTAAAGAAAGTTTAATTGGCCGGGTGCGGTGGCTCACGCCTGTAATCCCAGCACATTGGGAGGCCAAAGTGGGTGGATCATGAGGTCAGCAGTTCAAGACCAGCCTGACCAACATGGTGAAACCCCGTCTCTACTAAAAATACAAAAAAATTAGCTGGGCATGGTGGCAGGTGCCTGTAATCCCAGCTACTCAGCAGGCTAAGGCAGGAGAATCACTGGGTGGTGGAGGTTGCAGTGAGCCGAGATCGTGCCACTGCACTCCAGCCTGGGTGACAGAGAAAGACTCCACCCCCACCCCACCCCCCAAAAAAGATGAGAAAGTTTAATTAATGCAAGGCTGGCCAACTGGAAGGACAGGAGTTTATGATTGCTCTGATCAGCCTCCCCAGGAACTCAGAGGCTAGGCTTTTAATGGATAATTTGGTTTGCAGTTGGGGGGTGGGAGTGAAGGGGGGTGAGGAGGGTGTAGTAGGGAATGGGTGCTGCTGATTGGTTGGGGATGCACTCAGAAGTGGGTGGGAACAATCCTTGTGCTCTGAGTCCACCCCTGGGTGGGGGACACGGACTGGTTGAGTCATGAGTCGTCATAGATCCAGGTGGGGTCAGTAGGTTGTCAGAATGCAAAAGTGTGAAAAACATCTCAAAAAACCAATCTCCGTTTCTACAATAGTGACATTGTCTATAGGAGCCATTGGGGACGTCATGAATCTTGGCCATATGACTCCTGAGCAGTAAGGGATGATGGAAACTAGGTCTACATTTTAGCAGAATTCAGGCCCCTCTGTTATCCGAATCTCATGGACTTTTCTTTAGTTTAGCAAAGGTGGTTTCAGTTTCCAAGCAAGGAAGGAAGCAGTTTTAGGGAGGGACTATTACTGTCTTTGCTTTAAACTATAAACTGGACCTAAAGGCCAGGTGCAGTGGCTCACGCCTGTAATCCCAGCATTTTGGGAGGCTGAGGCGGGTGGATCACTTGAGGTCAGCAGTTTGAGACCAGCCTGGCCAACATGGTGAAGCCCCGTCTCTACTAAAAATACAAAAATTAGCTGGGCGTGGTGGCGCATGCCTGTAATTCCAGCTACTTGGGAGGCTGAGGCAGGAGAATCCTTGAACCCCGGAGGTGGAGTTGCAGTGAGCCGAGATCGCACCACTGCACTCCAGCTTGGGCAGCAGAGCGAGACTCCATCTAAAAAAACCCACAAAACAATGGGCCAGGCATGGTGGCGGGTGGCTGTAGTCTCAGCTACTCCCAGCTACTTGGGAGGCTGAGGCAGGAGAATGGTGTGAACCCAGGAAAGCGGAGCTTGCAGTGAGTTGCGATCACGTCACTGCACTCCAGCCTGGGCGACAGAGTGAGATTCCATCTCAAAAAAAGAAAAACAAGCAAAGAAACAAACAAAAAAAAAACCAAAAAAACCCACAAAACAACAACAAAAAAATTAAACTGGGCACAAAGAGAGGAACAACCGACACCAGGGCCTACTTGAGGGTGGAGGGTGGGAGCAGGGTGAGGATGGAAAAGCTACCCGTCAGGTACTGTGCTTGCCACCTGGCTGATGAAAACATCTGTGTAGGAAACCCCAGCCACATACGATTTACCCACGCAACAAACCTGCACATGCACCCCCTGAACCTAGAATAAATGTTGAAAAAGAAAACAAACAAACTATAAACTAAATTTCTCCCAGGGTTAGTTTGGCCTACGCCCAGGAATGCCTAAGGCCAGCCAGCCCGTGAGGCTGGAAGCAGGATGGAGTCAGCTGCGCTAGACTTATCTGGCCGTCATAATCTTTGCAAAGGTGATGTCAGTCGGGCTTCCTCGCAGCACGGTATTTGGGTTCCGAGAAAGGAAGTGGAAACTTCCTGTTCTCTTAATGGTCAGGCCCCGAGTGGCACATCCTTACTTCTGCCACTGTGCCAGGTCCAGGCTGGACCCAGGGAATTCGATGTAAGTTCCATGTTGTTCTGTGGTGAGCAGGTCTGTGCAAACCTACTCCCAAAGGCCCAGGAAGCTGAGAGATTCAAAGAAAGCCTCAAAGAAAGAGGCTGCCAACTGGGTGCGGTGGCTCACACCTGTAATCCCAGCACTTTGGGAGGCCAAGGCTGGTGGATCACGAGGTCAGGAAATCGAGACCATCCTGGCTAACACAGTGAAACCCCGTCTCTACTAAAAATACAAAAAAATTAGCCAGGCGTGGCGGCGTGCACCTGTAGTCCCAGTTGCTGGGGAGGCTGAGGCAGGAGAATGGCGTGAACCTGGGAGGCGGAGCTTGCAGTGAGCCAAGATTGCGCCACTGCACTCCAGCCTGGGTGACATAGCAAGACTCCGTCTCAAAAAAAAAAAAAAGAAAAGAAAAGAAAAGAAAGAGGCTAACAAATGCATTTTCTCAGAAAGAAACATTTACTAAAGACTTACACACAGAAGCCATGTCTCAGGAGGCCACGAGATTAGATGGATCCCTGTGCCCCTACCCCCAAGACCCAGGGCTTTAAATACCATAGAGAAATTGTATACATACTTTAGAAGAAGTTTGTAAGACAATTGAAGTAATTTGACTAAGGGCAGGATAATGTTGTTTTGACCTACGGGCAGGATTTACACTACGTGCACACTCTTTTTTTTAGACAGGTTGTTGGCTGGGTGCGGTGGCTCACACCTGTAGTCCCAGCACTTTGGGCAGCCAAGGCAGGTGGATCACCTGAGGTCAGGAGTTCGAGACCAGCCTGGCCAACATGGCAAAACCCTGTTTCTCCTACAAATACAAAAATTAGACAGTCGTGGTGGCAGGCGCCTGTAATCCCAGCTACTCAGGAGGCTGAGGCAGGAGAATCGCTTGAACCCAGGAGGTGGAGGTTGCAGTGAGCCAAGATCACACCACTGCACTCCAGCCTGGACAACAGAGCTCAACTCCATCTCAAAGGAAAAAAAGACAGGCCCTCGCTCTGTTGCCCAGGCTGGAGGGCAATGATGGGATAATAGATCACTGCAGACTCAAACTCCTGGGCTCAGGCAATCCTCCAGCCTCAGTCTCCTGAACGGTTTGGGACTACAGGCACACGCACCATGCCCAGCTAATTTTTAATTATTATTATTATTTTTTTGTAGAGATGGGGTCTCACTATGTTGCCAGGGCTGGAGGTACGTGTTTTTAACAGTAGATAAAGTAGTCCTGGAACTGAGGGTAATCAGAAGTCAACATGGCAGCTTAGCATCTAAGACGGAGTGGCTTTGGCCTCCAGATACCTCTTGTTAGGACTGGTGTATGTGTGCAGAAAGGGGAAGAATTATTTGAAACCATCTTTGGAGATCAGCTACCACACCCCTGATTACACAAATGAAGAAGCTGAGATTCAGAGATGGGACTGGTGGCTCAGGGGACAGAGGATTCATTGAGCTGTTTCTATGTGCCTGTGCTGTGCTGGGTGCTCCCAGACGCAATCTCTTTTTTTCTTTTGAGACGGAGTCTTGCTCTGTCACCCAGGCTGGAGTGTAGTGGCCTAATCTTGGCTCATTGCAACCTCCACCTCCCGGGTTCAAGCGATTCTCTTGCCTCAGCCTCCCGAGTAGCTGGGATTACAGGCGTGCGTCACCTTGCCCGGCTAATTTTTTTTATTTTTAGTAGAGTCGGGATTTCACCATATTGGCCAGGCTGGTCTTAAATTCCTGTCCTCAGATGATCTGCCCGCCTCGGCCTCCCAAAGTGCTGGAATTACAGGCGTGAGCCACCGCACCTGGCCACCCACATGAAATCATATGAGGTAGAAGCAATTGTGTTTTTTGTTTGTTTGTTTGTTTGTTTTCTGAGATGGAGTCTCACTCTGTTGCCCAGGCTGGAGTGCAGTGGCATGATCTTGGCTCACTGTGACTTCTGCCTCCTGGGTTAGAGTGATTCTCCTGCCTCAGCCTCCTGAGTAGCTGAGATTACAGGCGCACCCCATCATGCCTGGCTAATTTTTGTATTTTTAGTAAAGACGGGGTTTCACCATGTTGGCCAGGCTGGTCTCAAACTCCTGAGCTCAAGTGATCCGCTCACCTCGGCCTCCCAAAGTGCTGGGATTACAGGCATGAGCCAATGTGCCTGGCCAGAAGCAGTTGTTATCCCCATTTTACAGGTGAGGAAACTGAGGCACAAGCAGGTGGGTAACTTGCCTACAGCCACACAGCTGTTGGAAGAGGGCCCAGAGTTAAATCTGAGCAGTCTGACTCTGAGCCAGTAGCAAAGTCCAAAAACCGTTACATTTTTGCCTTGGGAAGTGGATTTGGCATTAACAACAAAGTGGAATTGTGCCCAAGATGCTAGGGAGTTCAAATAAAACAAAATGTGACATTCTTCATGCTGCAGCATAGTGCATTCTGGGAAATCATGGCATACAATGACTTGGATTTTTCCCAGAGGAAACCTCTCTAGCAGACCTGGCTAGTTCCTCCCCAGCACCCACTCCACTGTCATACACCACAATGGGGTTTTCAGGTCAGCACCTGGCTCCCTACCTAGCAACTGTTTTTCCCAGATCCTCTTGCAAGGACGGGCAGTAAGGGCTGGCCAATGGGATAAGAGAAGAAAGAAGTGACATAATGATCTCTGGGTCAAGTCAGCTGGCTCAGTGTGGGTGCAACAGCAGGAGCTGGAGCAGCTGCTTTGGACCATGAGATGAGAGCTGAGTGTTAAGGAACAGAGCAGGGTTGCAGGAGTCTGGGGTGTTTGGATGACTTTGGGGGAGAAGATCAATCTTTGGGCCCTGACTGCCCACCTCTGGTCTCTTACCTCAGAGGGAAATACAGTTCCACCTTCTTTACGCCATTATTTTATTTTATTTTTTATTTTATTTTTTTTTGAGACAGAGTCTCGCTCTCGCCCAGGCTGGAGTGCAGTGGCCTGATCTCGGCTCACTGCAAGCTCCGCCTCCCGGGTTCATGCCATTCTCCTGCCTCAGCCTCCCAAGTAGCTGTGACTACAGGTGCCCGCTACCATGCCTGGCTAATTTTTTTGTATTTTTAGTAGAGACGGGGTTTCACTGTGTTAGCCAGGATGGTCTCAATCTCCTGACCTCGTGATCCGCCTGCCTCCACCTCTCAAAGTGTGGGGATTACAGGCGTGAGCCACCACGCCCGGCCCTTTAGGCCATTATTAATGGAGGGTGTTTGCCTCCCTGTGTGGGTCTCCTGGGTATTCTGTATGGTACTGTGTGGTAACTTACAGATTGTCTTTTTTTTTTTTTTTTGAGACAGTCTCGCTCTCTCCCCCAGGCTGGAGTGCAATGGCGCGATCTTGGCTCACTGCAACCTCCACCTCCTGGGTTCAAGCAATTCTCCTGTCTCAACCTCCTGAGTAGCTGGGACTACAGGCGTGTGCCACCACGCCCAGCTAAACTTTTTTAGTAGAGATGGGGTTTCACCGTGTTAGTCAGGATGGTCTGGATCTCCTCAGCTCATGATCTGCCTGCTTTGGCCTCCCAAAGTGCTGGGATTACAGGCGTGAGCCACCGTGCCCGGCCCAGATTGTCTTAAAGTGGGAGATGTGTGCTTCTCTAGGGATGTGCCAGCTGGACCAGTAAATCTCTATGGTCTATGGTCCCTCACAGTTTGTTTGTTTGTTTGTTTGTTTGTTTCTGTTTTTTTTTGTTGCTGTTGTTGTTGTTGTTGTTTTAGATGGAGTCTTGCTCTAGCTCCCAGGCTGGAGTGCAATGGTGCCATCTTGGCTCACTGCAACCTCCGCCTCCTGGGTTCAAGCAATTCTCCTGTCTCAGCCTCCCGAGTAGCTGGGATTACAGGCGCCTGCAACCACGCCTGGCTAATTTTTGGATTTGTAGGAGAGACAGTTTCACCATGTTGGCCAGGCTGGTCTCGAACTCCTGACCTCAAGTGATCCACCCACCTTGGCCTCCCAAAGTGCTGGGATTACAGGTGTGAGCCACCGAGCCCAGCCCCTCCCAGTCTTGAAATTCAGTGGTTATAGGATAGGACAGGTTTTGGTTAGGCTGAGGAAACCCAAAGTTTCAAGGCTCTGGACTGGATTCGGAGTTTTCCTTTCCTTTCTTTTCTTTTAGACAGAGTCTCACTCTATTGCTCATGCTGGAGTGCAGTTCATCATTGTTCATCACAGCCCTGATCTCCTGGGCTCAGGTGATCCTCCCGCCTCAGCCTCCTGTGTTGCTGGGACTACAGGCTCATGCCACCATGCCAGCTAATATATATAGATTTTTAAATACAGACAGATCTTGCTATGTTGCCCAGGCTGGTCTCAAACTCCTGGGCTCAAGTGATCCTCCTGCCTCACCCTTCTGAGTAGCTGGGATTACAGGTGCTTGGCTAATTTTTTTGTATTTTTTGTAGAGACGGGGTTTTGCTGTATTGCCCAGGCTTGTTTCTAACTCTTGGACTCAATTGATCCACCAGCCTCGGCCTCCGGAAGTGTTGGGATTACAGGCGTGAACCATCACACCCAGCCTGATCTTTTCTATCCTTCCTTCTTTCATGTGAACTCTTTTCCCTCGACCTCAGTTCTGACCTTCTGTAATTGAACTAGGAGATGGACTGCACTTAACGGAAAATAAAAAAGTAAGAAGCTCTGGGAATTTTCCTTTCAGTCTCTTGGGAAGTTGGGAGAGTTGATGACCATTTTGCAATGCCAAAAATCCAGTTTGTGAAATCCTGTTTTTTTTTCCCCTCTGTCAAAACAGAACAGAGTCATTTGGGGATTTTTATTGCCTCTCATTTTTTTTTAAGCCTTGTTTTCCCAGCGTGGCTGGGATGTTGAGTTTCCTGTTGAAGAAATATTTGGGTTGATTTGGCTCTGAGGCCTGTTAGGCAGGTGGGGGACTTCCCTGGGACAGGGAACAGGATGAGGGGGCTCAGAGGCTGGAGTTTACAAAAGTAGAGCTGAAGTTGGGAGGGGTTTCTGGGGCAGGAGTGGGTGGGGCTCAAGCCCAAACCCTGGAGAGGCTCGAGGCAGGGGCAGAAATGGAGGAGGGGGCCAGGCACAGTGGCTCACGCCTGTAATCCCAGCACTTTGGGAGGCTGAGGTGGGCGAATCACCTGACGTCAGGAGTTCAAGACCAGCCTGACCAACATGGAGAAACCCTGTCTACTAAAAATACAAAATTAGCCGGGGTGGTGGCACATGCCTGTAATCCCAGCTACTCGGGAGGCTGAGGCAGGAGAATCACTTGAACGTGGGAAGTGGAGGTTGGGGTGAGCTGAGATCGTGCCACTGCACTCCAGCCTGGGCAACAAGAGTGAAACTCCGTCTCGAAAAAAAAAAGAAAAGGTTTTGTCATGAGGAAGTTTCACACTGCTATTAAAATATTGAATTGCTAAAGGCAAAGAAGGAAGGTGCTGACATTCTCCTGAAATCTGAGGAACTTTAGGGTTGGCATTTGTGTTTTTTAAGCACAATTAGTGTTGACACATATTTGTTGGATGGGTTTCAAGTTCAGACACAGATTTTGTCACAGTGGTCCCTAGTTGATATGGTTTGGCCCTGCGTCCCCACCCAGATCTCACCTTGAATTGTGATAATCCCCACATGTCAAGGGTGGGACTAGGTGGCAGTAATTGTATTATGGGACCAGTTTTCCCCTATGCTGTTTTCATGATAATGAGTGAGTCTCATGAGCTCTGATTGTTTTATAAGCGTTTGACATTTGCCCTGCTGGCACTCATTCTCTCTCCTGCCACCCTGTGAAGAGGTGCCTTCTGTTAAGATTCTAAGTTTCCTGAGGCCTCCCTAGCTATGTGAAACTGTGAGTCAATTAAACCTCTTTATAAACTAACCAGTCTTGGCCAGGTGCAGTGGCTTATGCCTGTAAGCCCACCACTTTGGGAGGCCAGGGTGGGTGGATCACTTGAGTCAGGAGTTCGAGACCAGCCTGGTCAACATGGCGAAACCTCATCTCTACTAAAATACAAAAATTGGCCAGGTGTGGTGGCAGGTGCTTGTAACTCCAGGTACTCATGAGGCTGAGGTAGGAGAATTGTTTAAACCTGGAGGTAGAGGTTGCAGTGAGCCAAGATCGCACCACTGCATTCCAGCCTGGGTGACAGAGCGAGACTCCCTCTCAAAAACAAACAAACAAACAAACAAAAAAACAAACAAAACAAAACCCAGTGTCTTGGGTATTTCTTCATAGCAGAATGAGAACAGACCAGTAAATTGGTAGCAGGAGTTGGGTGCTGCTATAAGCATAACTGAAAATGCGGAAGCAACTTTGGAACTGGGTAACAGGCAGAGGTTGGAACGGTTTGGAGGGCTCAGAAGAAGACAGGAAAATGTGGAAAAGTTTCGAACTTCCTAGAGACTTGGAGGGCTCAAAAGACAGGAAGATGTGGGAATGTTTGGAACTTCCTAGAGACTTGTTGAATGCCTTTGCCCAAAATGCTGATTGTGGTATGAACAATGAAGTCCAGGCTGAAGTGATCTCAGGTGGAGATGAAGAACTTGTTGGGAACTCGGGTAAAGGTCATTCTTGCTATGCTTTAGCAAAGGGATTGGCAGCATTTTGCCCCTGCCCTAGAGATCTGTGGAACTTTGAACTTGAGAAAGATGATTTGGGGTATCTGGCAGAAGAAGCTTCTAAGCGGCAAAGTGTTCAAGAGGAAGCAGAGCATAAAAGTTCAGGAAATTTGCAGCCTGACAATGTGATAGAAAAGAAAAAGCCATTTTCTGGGGAGAAATTCAAGCTGCCTACAGAAATTTGCCTAATGAAGAGCTGAATGTTAACCACCAAGACAATGGGGAAAATGTCTCCAGGGCATGTGAGAGACCTTCACGGCTGCCCCTCTCATCACAGGACCTGAGGCCTAGGAGAGAAAAATGGTTTCCTGGGCTGGGCCCAGGGTCCCACTGCTCTATGCCACCTTGGGACATAGTGCCCTGTGTCCCAGCTGTTTCAGCTCCTGCCATGGCTAAAAGGAGCCAAGGTCAGGTCAGGCCATTGCTTCAGAGGGTGCAAGCCCCAAGCCTTGGTGGCGTACACGAAGTGTTGGGCCTGCAGGTACACAGAAGTCAAGAATTGAGGTTGGAGAACCTCTGCCTAGATTTCAGAGGATGTATAGAAATGCCTGGATGTCCAGGCAGAAGTTTGTTGCAGGGGCAGAGCCCTCATGGAGAACCTCTGCCAGGGCAGTGCAGAAGGGAAATGTAGGATTGGAGCCACCACACGGAGTCCCCACTGGGGCACTGTATAGAGCAGCTGTGAGAAGAGGGCCACCATCCTCCAGACCCCAAAACAGTAGATACACCAACAGCTTGCACTGTGTGCCTGAAAAAGTCACAAACACTCAACACTAACCTGTGAAAGCAGCCAGGAAGAGGAGCTATATGCCACAAAGACACAGGGGTAGAGCGGCCCAAGGCCATGGGAGCCCACCTCTTGCATCAGCATGACCTGGATGCAAGACATGGAGTCAAAGATCATTTTGGAACTTAAAGGTTCAGTGACTTCCCTATTGAATTTCAGACTTCCATGGGGCCTATAGCCCCTTTATTTTGGCCAGCTTCTCCCATTTGAATGGGTGAATTTACCCAATGCCTGTACCTGCATTGTGTCAGGAAGGAAATAACTAACCTGCTTTTGATTTTACAGGCTCATAGGCAGAAGGGACTTGCCTTGTCTCAGATGAGGCTTTGGACTTGGAGTTTTGGGTTAGTATTGGAGTATGTTTAGATTCTGGGGGACTGTTGGAAGGGCATGATTGTGTCTTGAAATGTGAGGAGATGAGATCTGGGAGGAGCTAGAGGCAGAATGATATGGTTTGGCTCTGTATCCCCACTCAAATCTCACCTTGAATTGTAATAATCCCCACATGTCAAGGGCGGGACCACGTGGAAGTAACTGGATCATGGAGGGCGGTTTCTCCCATGCTGTTCTCATGATAATGAGTGTGTCTTATGAGATCTGATGGTTTTATGTGTCTGGCATTTCCCCTGCTAGTGCTCATTCTCTCTCCTGCCGCCTTGTGAAGGGGTGCCTTCTGCCATGGTTGTAAGTTTCCTGAGGCCTCTCCAGCCATGCAGAACTGTGAGTCAATTAAACCTCTTTTCTTTATAAATTACCCAGTCTCGTGGATGGCTGTACCACCCTGAATACGCACAATCTCATCTGATAAATTACCCAGTCTAGGGTATTTCTTCATAGCAGTGTGAAAATGGAGTAATACACTGACCTTACCTCACACTTCCCATCTCATTATTATTATTTTAATTTAGTCATGGTAAAACAAGCCTGGTGCAGTGGTTCGCTTCTGTAATTTCTACACTTTGAGAGGCTGATGCCAGAGGATTGGTTGAGGCCAGGAGTTAGAGACCAGCCTCAGCAACATAGCAAGACCCTCTCTCTATTAAAAAATAATAAGACCGGGTGCAGCGGCTCATGCCTGAATTTCAGCACTCTGGGAGGCATTTTGAGCCACTGCACTCCAGCCTGGGTAACAGAGCGAGACCCTGGCTCAAAACACAAAAAAATTGTGGTAAAATATACACAAGATAAAAATCGATCCTTCTGGCCATGTGTAAGTGTACAGTTCAGGAGTGTTCAGTGCATTCACATTGTTGTGGGGAGTCATGCTCTTTATTTTGAATATTACCCTGCAGGGTTGTGGAGGTGTGCATTTCTTGTTTCTCACTGAGCCTTCACTGTGATCAATCCCTGTTGTTTCCTCCCAGACTCAAATAGAATGAACGCCCCCTGATATTTTAGCCTGGAGGGGATCACATTTGGGGACTTTAGACCAAGCTGGGGTCAAAGGTGATGTTCCACCACCCTTTGCCTTCAGCCCCCAGCCTGGCTCAGCAGCACAGGAGAGGACTGCTGGGTGGGCTTCCTCCATGACCTAGTGGAGGATCTTCCAGGGCAGAGTAGGCCCTTATTGTCTCTGAGATACCCCTCCACCCAGAAACAGCTGGTCCAGCAGCATGGTGGTGGCATGACCTCCTGAAGGCTCAGGTACAACCCCAGTTGGGAGGAAACACGCTGAAAAGATGAGGCTCTGTCTTGTAGGATACAGTGTGTGGTGACTCAGAGACCCGCACATTCCATGACAGAACACACAGCCAGGAATCATGACTGCACTGAGTCATCACCCACAGAATTGTCATTTCCGGTTCCTGAAACTTGGAGCTCTGCTGGGGTAAAGGTCTTGGTCCCCAAGAGAGGAGTGTTTCTACCAGCAGACAACAATGGTTCCACTTAGTCAGAAGCTGAGATTGCCACCTGGCCATGTTAGGCTCCTTATCCACTGAACCAAAAACGCATGCACACACACGCAAAAGAAAATAATGCACGCACACTCACAAACGTATACGTATTTTACTCATACATACATACATTTCTTCCTTTCCTCCTCCTCACTCTTCTCCCCTCCTGTCTAACTTCCTATTGTCTTCTCCTCTCTTCCTCCTTCCCCGGATTTATTTCAGCATTGATGTTGGTGATTAAGTTTAAAATGTATTATATAAATATTTTATATATATTTAACTACTTAATTTTTTTTTTGAGACATGGTTTTGCCATGTTGCCCGGGCTGGTCTCGAACTCCTGAGCTCAAGGGATCCGCCTGCCTTGGCCTCCCAAAGTGCTAGGATTATAGGCATGAGCCACCATGCCTGGCCTATACATCTATACATTTTCTTTGCTTTTCTTTCTTTCTTTTTCTCTTTCTTTCTCTTTCTTTCTTTCTTTCTTTTCCTTCCTTCCTTCCTTCCTCCCTCCCTCCCTCCTTTTTTTTTTTTTTTTTTTCTGGAGTCTCGCTCTGTCACCCAGGCTGGAGTGCAATGACGTGATCTCTGCTCACTGCAAGCTCTGCCTCCCGGGTTCACGCCATTCTCCTGCCTCAAACTCCCAAGTAGCTGGGACTACAGGCACCTGCCACCACTCCCAGCTAATTTTTTTGTATTTTTAGTAGAGACGGGGTTTCACCGTGTTAGCCAGGATGGTCTCGATCTCCTGACCTCGTGATACAACTGCCTCGGCATCCCAAGTGCTGGGATTACAGGTGTGAGCCACCGTGCCCGGCTCTCCCTTCCTTCCTTTTCCTTCTTTCTTTCTTTTCTTTCACTTTCTTCTTTCCTTCTTCTCTCTTTTTTCTTTCTTTTCTTTTCTTCTTTTCTTTCCCTCCCTCCCTCCCTTCCTTCCCTTCCTTTTCCCTCCCTTCCTCCCTTCTCTCTCTCTCTCTTTTTATTTTTGAGATGGCGTCTTACTCTGTCACCCAGGCTGGAATTGTCAACCAGGCTGGAATGCAGTGATCTCGGCTCACTGCAACCTCCGCCTTCTGGGTTCAAGCAATTCTCATTCCTCAGCCACCTGAATGGCTGGGATTACAGGCATGCACCACCATGCCCGGCTAATTTTTGTATTTTTTGTTGAGATGGGGTTTTGCCATGTTGCCCAGGCTGGTCTCAAACTCCTGGGCTCAAGTGATCTTCCTGCCTCGGCTTCCCAAAGTGCTGAGATTACAGGCACGAGCCACATCGCGCCCAGCCTAAAATGTATTCTTTAGATTGCAGAACACACAGGTGAGGTTGTGGTTGACTTGGAAGAGTAATTAACCTTTCCCAGAGATGGACACAGTGATCCTTTGGACTTTGTGTCTCCTCTGGGGGAAGGGAGTGAAAGTATCTTTCTAGGAAGAGAAGGTCCATCACTCGAAGCAGAAGGATGACATGCTTGTTGCTGTTGATGGAGGTGCACCTGTGTTAGTGGGGCCGCCCATGCTATGGGGCTGGGCTCCCGGCCCCCTGCTTGGGTGGGAGCCTCTGCACACTGCGTGTCTCCTTTGCCATCTGGCAGCCTGTTGTGCTCTGCCAACAGGAGAGACTAGAGAGAGACTGGAAGGCTGGAGGAGAGAGGAAAGACTTATTCCTTATTTGCTCAGTGTCCTGCCAAAATCACCCTGCTGATGGCTCTTCAGTCAGCAGCAGCACACAGTTCCAAAGTTCTCTCTGTGCTCCGAGAACCAGCTGCTCAGAGGCTCTGGCACTCCCTCCTTTGAGGCCTGGGTGCTGCCTCAGGGGGGTTCCCTTCTCCAAGATCCTGAGGCTGGGCAGCCTCTCCTCCTCCTCAGAGGTGTGACTTCTTTTTCGAGCCAGAGTGTCACTCTGTCACCTAGGCTGGAGTGCAGTGGTGCTATCTCGGCTCACTGCAACCTCTGTCTCCCAGGTTCAAGCGATTCTCCTGCCTCAGCCTCCCAAGTAGCTGGGACTGCAGGCGCCTGCCACCATGCCCAGCTAATTTTTTGTATTTTTTTTTTTAAGTAAAGACGGGGTTTTACCATGTTAGCCAGGCTGATCTTGAACTCCTGGGCCCAAGTGATCCACCTGCTTCGGCCTCCCAAAATGCTGGAATTACAGCTGTGAGCCACTGTGCCCTGCCTAGAGGTGTGACTTCTAGCCCCGGGCACCCCCTCCAAGCTTCTAGGCTCTAGTAGCTCCCACCTCTTCGTCTCGCCTCCTCTGGTGTGGTAGCTGCTTCTTGGAGATGGCCTTTTCTGCTGCCTTCAGGGTTCTCTTTATGGCTTTGTCAATGCCTCTTTAGCTAACTCCCTACACATTAAATACTTTATGGTAAAATAACTCATAAGGTTCCTGTTTTCCTAACTGGACCCTGGCTGATTCATGGAGACGATGCTTCATCCATTCATTCCTTCACTCATTCATTTAGCAGTCACCTGACACTTCCTTTGTGCCAGGTCCCAGGCAGGGCGATGCTGGCAGCTCACAGATAAATCAGACACAGTTCTTATCCTGGAGGAGCTCGGTCTGATGGGGGAGATGCTTACAGGCAAAACAGAGCAGCAAGTGCAGTGCAGGGGGATTCGGGGCCGTGTCCACCGGTCAGCATGGGATCCCCGTCCAGCCCAGGGCCTCTAGACAACCCTCCCTGAGGATTCACACTCTCCATCCCTGGGAGCTGCTGTGGGCTGGGGACAGATGGGAGTTGCATCAGTGCAGCCAGGGGTGAGGGGGGCTCTCTGGGGGCTGTTGAGGCCATTCTGCTCAAACCAGCTCATGACAAGCTTATGGGATCCAGATGCCTCCGCTGGCTCCAGCGCCTGCAGAGCCCGGGCCAGGCCTCTCAGAGCAGCCAGGGAGGCCGAGCCAGGCACTGGGCATGGTTGCCAGCAGCAGGGCGAGCTAGGGGAACTTACTCCCCAGGGCTTCACTCTGCCTGGATGCCCACATTACACTCAAGTTTCTTGGCTTCTAACAGTCTGCACTTTCCCTGACAAAATGGACCTGACTGTAGCTTGCATGTGACTGTGTGGAAAGAGGGGTGGTCTTGTGGCCCTGCCTGCATTTCCCCATTAGCAAGTTGGCCCTTCTTGGTTTATCTGAGGGAGGGTGGAGCACAACATAAGCCCAGGCTTGGGTCAGACAGATCTGGACTGTGGCCCTGTCTCCTAGGAGCTGTGAACTTCGGGCAAGGCCTCCAACTTCTCAGGGCCTTGGAGTTCTCCTGGGTCACACGGGGCTCATGTCTGCCTTTCAGAGTTCTGTGCAGAAGAGGGAGAGGGAGTGCTTTGTGAAAGGTAAAATCCTGTAGCCGGTGAAAGGGGTTATTCTACAACCTGGTCTTGTCCTTGAGATGCTTGCAGCCTGCAGGGAGACAGAGGTGCTCTATGGACAGAGGACAGAAGAGGACCATAGGGCCAGGCTGGAGGTGGGAGTCATTCTGGGCTCAAGATTGAGCTGCTGCCACTGTTCTGGATGGCAGGAGCTGAAGATGCCCTAGACACAGCTGTGTGACTCTGAAAATACACTTGCCCTCTCTGGGCACTCCTCTTTGGCAAAATGACAATCATGATACCCATGTCAGAGGGCTGGGTGAGGTAGCACGTGGTGGGCACTTTCCCCTGGACCATGCCTGCCACCCAGGGACATCACATGGGCCTCCACTGCCCCTGGACTTTGGGATGTGGCCTCCTGGCATGGATGCCCTCTCGTGGCTCTGCGGGCTGCACCTGGACCATTCCTCCCAAGCCCTGACACAGGCAGCTTCCAAGGTAGCTGGGTCCAAACCCCCAATCCCAGATCCCACCCATGCGTCACAAAGGGCCTGTGGCCACATTCCAGCTCTTACCCCAAGACCCCTGAAGATCTTCATCCAATCAGGAATTCTAGGGCCAGAAACTGGGCAAAGGCTCCCCGGTTCCCTGCCCAGCTTTGCAGATGGAGAAACTGAGGCTCCAAGAAGATGTAACTTGCTCAGATCTCACAGGGAGTTTGTGGCCGGTTCTATCAGCTGCTAGAAAAACATTCTGTCCATGACACTGCAGGGCAGCCCTCCAAGGGATCTCTCAAGTGTGGTTTACACATCCTCAATTAACTCTCTCGAGTTTCTTTTTTTCTTTTTCTGAGATGGAGTTTTGCTCTTTTTGCCCAGGCTGGAGTGCAATGTCAAGATTTCGGATCACTGCAACCTCGGCCTCCTACGTTTAGGCGATTCTCCTGCCTCAGCCTCCCAAGTAGCTGGGATTACAGGCGCCCGCCACCACACCCAGCTAATTTTTTTTTTTTTTGAGGCGGTTTCTTGCTCTGTTGCCAAGGCTGGAGTGCAGTGGTGCGACCTCGGCTCACTGCAACCTCCACCTCCTGGGTTCAAGCAAGTCTCTGCCTCAGCCTCCCGAGTAGCTGGGATTACAGGCACTCGCCACGCCCGGCTAAGTTTTGTATTTTTAGTAGAGATGGGTTCTGACCATGTTGGCCAGGCTGGTTTCAAACTCCTGACCTCAGGTGATCCACCTGCCTCAGGCTCCCAAAATGCTGGGATTACAGGCGTGGGCCACTGCGCCTGGCCCTCTCTTGAATTTCTAAGGTAATTTTTGAGGTGAATTTCCCAGGGGCCCCAAGGCTCTAAATTCCAAGGCCCAGCCTGGCCCCTCCCCACTCCCTGGTCTGGAGGCCTAACTCACCCTATCAGCAGCCCCTGCTGTTGGGGGCACTGAGGGTTTTTTTTTTTTTTTTTTTTTTTTGAGATGGAGTCTCGCACTGTTTCCCAGGCTGGTGTGTGCAGTGGCGTGATCTCGGCTCACTGCAACTTCTGCCTCCTGGGTTCAAGCAATCCTTCTGCCTCGGCCTCCTGAGTAGCTGGGATTACAGGTGCCTGCCACCATGCCTGGCTAATTTCTGTATTTCTAGGAGAGATGGGGTTTTGCCATGTTGGTCAGGCTGGTCTTGAACTCCTGGCTTTAAGTGATTCACCCACCTTGGCCTCCCAAAGTGCTGAGGCTACAGGTGTGAGCCTCTGCACCTGGAGGCCCTGAGGTCTTTAGGGCAACATCAGAGGGGTGTGAGTGGCCAGGAGAAGGCCTGGGGTTTGTGCAGGTCCCTCAGCCTCTGGGGACGTGAGTTTCTCATTTATTCATCCCTCAGTAAGCAGGCATGTCCTGTCCAACCCTGGATTGGGCTGGGGCCAAGAGGGAACCCCACCCTGGGCTCCAGGAGGAGTACATGGTCTCATGGCATAGACAAATGGGGTCTCCTATACCACAGGAAAGGACAGCAAGGCCAGAGAAGAAAAAGCTCCCTCACTCCACAGAGCACAGATGGACAAAAGCCCCTGCTCCTAGGCCCAGCTGTGCCTGCAGGGTGCAGTCGGCCTGCATCTGTCCCAGATCTCCTTGAACTCTGGCCTGGCCTCTGCTCTGAGGGTATGGGCGGGGCTGGCAGAGACCTGGCAGAGCCTTCATCATCCCCTGCCAGTGCCCCCTCCCCCAGGGCCCCTGTAAGGCTCCCCTGATCCCTGCCAGCTGCCTTCTATAAATAGGTGGGTGTGGCCACTTGCCTTTGTCCCAGACCAGGGTGCCTGGCGCTGCTGACACAGGGGGCTCTGAGGGCCCCAGCTTTTGGTTCTCTTTCCTGAGGCCACGTGTCAGCAGCAGCTCCAGAACTTCTCCATGCTACCCTGCTCACTCCTTGGATGCTGCTGGCTCTGGTCCTCTCCCCATCTCCCCCAGGCCCTCCTCCAGAACCCACTCTCTGGGGGCAGGCAGCCCCTAGAATGGGTGCTCAGGTTCCATGCCCCTCATTCAGCTGCCTCACCCAGAACCAGCCCTCCTTCCTACGGCACCACTTCCCATCACCTTAAGGTCAGCTTCTCAATCTGGGTCCCCGGGAGCCACATCTCTGGGGGGCCCCTCACATTCAGTCTCAGCTGCGTGTCTCATCTGCTCATCCTCCCATCTCTCCAGCCACTTGGCCAGAAGCCAGGCTGCACCCTAAATCCCCAACATCCAGCCCTGTTCCCTGGCCCAAGTGCCTCTCCAACTGCCCTCTCCTCCACCCTCACGGCCTCTGTCTTGTTGTTCATGTCAATGTTCTTGAAGTCCACAAACTCTAAATCTAAAATCGGTGAATTTTCACCAAATTACACACCACTTAACCAGCACCAGATCAAGAAACAATAACCAGCCCGGGCGCGGTGGCTCATACCTGTAATCTTAGCACCTTGGGAGGCCAAGGCAGGTGGATCCCTTGAGGCCAGGAATTTGAGACCAGCCCAGGCAACATGGTGAAACCCCGACTCTACAAATAAAGTTAAAAATTAGCTGGGCGGGCGTGGTGGCCCATGCCTGTAGTCCCAGCTACTTCAGAGGCTGAGGGGGGAGGATCTCTTGAGCCCAGGAATTTGAGGCTGCAGAGAGCCATGATTGCACTACCGCACTCCAACCTGGGTGGTGGTGCAATGGCACCATCTCGGCTCACTGCTACCTCCACTTCCTGGGTTCAAGCGATTCTTGTGCCTCAGCCTCCCAAGTAGCTGGAATTACAGATATGCGCCACCAAGCCCAGCTGATTTTTGTATTTTTAGTATAGATGGAGTTTCACCATGTTTGCCAGGTTGGTCTTGAATTCCTGACCTCAAGTGATCCGCCCGCCTCGGCCTCCCAAAGTGCTGGGATTACAGGCGTGAGCCACCACACCTGGCCTCAGCCCAGCCTCTTAATGCAACTATGTAAATGGGCCAGGATCCAGCTGGCCAGAAATAAGAGTAGGATCCAGCTGGCCAGAAATAAGAGTAGCATCCTGGAGAACACAGAGGCAGTGAGGACAGGCACAGGCAGGGCAGAGGTAACAGCAGAAAGGCTGCAAGGCCAGAAGATGCCCGCTGCCACCACACCACCCGGCCAGGTGAGGACCCCAGCCTCTGCCCATCACAGTGCTGTGTTCTTGCACCTCTGGGCTGGGAGCAATGGGTCTAAGGCCCGGGGCAGGGCAGGGGTCCCAAAGATCCTCCGTTCCTGCCTCCTGGCCACCGACCCCTGGCCAGAGTTGTGCATCTCCTCTTTTGCAAAGAGATGGGTGGTGCCCCCTCCCAGCATGGTTGTAATGATCAAATGAGCCAGCCCAGCCCCTGGCACAGAACACATTCTCTACGACACAGAGTGGTGTTATCACACCTCCACTTTCCACACAGAGAAAGAAGCTCAGCAAGTAGGTGGCGGTGCTGGGATTTGAACCCAGACCTTCACTGTTCTGTGCACAGGGTAGGAAGGAGGCTGGCTGGGGAGCCGAGAAGGGGTCCAGTGCCTGCCTCGGGGGGCAGCTACCACTCTTCACCTCCCTGCGCCAACAGCCACAGACCAGAGTCTAATGTCCCCTTCCGAGCCCCCACAGCTACCGGAGGAGTCTGGCTCCTGCCCTCTGCCTTGGGGGATTCCAGAGGGACCTTGCACTTTGTCCTGCCCCTGCCTAACAGAGCCGGCTGTCGCCTGAGGCCCTGGTTTCCTCAGGCTGCCCCCGCCTCAGGAGCAGGAGCTGGAACAGTTGTTGGGCAACGGAGTTCTGGGAAAGGAGGAGGGAGGGGCGCTCGCTCTGGTGGAAACCTGCCCTGGGGAAATGTAATCAGATCCTCAGAGCAGCGGTTTGTTCCTGGCTTGTTTCTAGTGGGTGTGTTCACAGACGTTTTTGGCCAGGACTGAGAAAGACGTGGACCTATCCTTTACTGGGGGAGCACTGCGTGGCCTGGGGCCGGTGTCCAGTCGGTTATTTAAGAATCTTCCCAGCTGGCCAGGCATAGGCAAGCAGGGAGTCGTTTTCCCAGCAGCTCTAGGGGAAGGAAAATAATTCCCCCTTGCTGGTGTATCAATATTCAACTTCTTGTTTAAATATTAAATTGTAATGTCCTCTGAGTGCCCAACAGAGATCGGGGATGAGTGAGCCCCCGTGTTCCTGGAAGTCTGGTTTCATGGTTCACTTGTTCCTAAATCTCTGCTTGTTCTAACTTGGACTAGCCCAGTGCAAGGCGTGCTCGGAATTCTGCTGTGAGGTTGGGGGTCAGGGTGGGACCAGGCTTCAGGCCCTGGACTCAGGTGTGATCTGTGCTGCGGTGGGGTTGGGGGAGGAGGAGCATCCCCTTCCAGGGTGGGTGTGGCGGCAGCAGCAGCAGCAGCAGCAGGAAACCAAGGGGAGGTGAGACGTGAGACATTCCTCCCAGCTTTAGTCCACTGCCAAAAATCAGAACCCAGCCCCGGTCCCCACCAACTTCCAAGGAGAGAAACGAGACCAGGCCAGGCACGGTGGCTCATGCCTGTAATCCCAGCACTTTGGGAGGCCAAGGTGGGCAGATCACCTGAGGTCAGGAGTTCGAGACCAGCCTGGCCAACACAGTGAAATCCTGTCTCTACTAAAAATACAAAAATTAGGCCAGGCACGGTGGCTCATGCCTATAATCCCAGAACTTTGGGAGGCCGAGGCGGGCTGATCACCTGAGGTTGGGAGTTTGAGACCAGCCTGACTGACCAACATGGAGAAACTCTGTCTCTACTAAAAATACAAAATTAGCTGGGTGTAGTGACGCACACCTGTAATCCCAGCTACTCGGGAGGCTGAGGCAGGAGAATTGCTTGATCCCGGGAGGTGGAGGTTGCGGTGAGCCGAGATCGCGCCATTGCATTCCAGCCTGGGCAACAACAGTCAAACTCTGTCTCAAAAAAAAAAAAAGAAGATTGTTTCTGTCTCACATTACAGTCCCAAGGTGAGTGCTCCAAGGCCACT
The DNA here is from genome assembly GCF_000001405.40 of Homo sapiens. Classification (NCBI taxonomy): domain Eukaryota; kingdom Metazoa; phylum Chordata; class Mammalia; order Primates; family Hominidae; genus Homo; species Homo sapiens. The sequence continues at coordinate 42,689,724 of NC_000022.11, forward strand.
GGGGCCACTCTGCCACCCCCAAAATGTGCCCTGCAAAGCACTCCAGCTGCTGCCATGCTCCAGCCAGTGGGAAGCGGGTTAGAGTGCCCAAAGCAAATGTCTTTAAGATCATCCATGAGTTGCCCGCATCACTCCTGTTCACATCCCATTGGCCTGGACTTAGTCACATGGCCACAGCCAGCTGCCAAGGGGAGGTGCTATGTCTGCCTAGAACTCGCTGTGTTCTTTTTCTAAGGACCACAAGAAGAATGGACACTTGAGGATGGTAAATAGCATCTAACACACGAGACAAGGAGTCGGGATAGGGCGCTTTCAGGGTTGGTTAATTCAGCAGCTCGCTGAGGTCTTCATGTCTTCAAGGATGCAGTATGGTGACATTTGATCTCAGACTTGTCCCCTCACGGCCTCAAGATGGCTGCCATTGCTTGGAGCATTACACCCTTTTGCCAAATGCAGAAATGTTGCTTTCTTGTCTATGAACATTTTCTCAGAGCCCTCTTTTCCAGCTGACTTGCCCTCTCATTGGCCAGAATAGCATTATATGCCCATTTCCACTCAAATTACTAGGAAGGGACTGGAATGACTAGGACTGGCTTAGACCAAAAGAGATTCACCCCCAGGCCTAGGGAGGGCCCACTTCCTCTACAGCCCTAAGCTACCTGAGGGTTGAACAAACTTGGGGTTTCCTTAGCAAGAAAGAAGCGGGAGGAGAATGGCCGTGGATAAGGAGTCAACAGCATCCTCCCTGGGAACTGGCACTTCCTACCCACCTCTCTGCCCTAAGCAGACATTTATGCACATAATTTCATAATTTCCTTTTTTTTTTTTGAGATGAAATCTCAGTCTGTCACCCAGGCTGGAGCGCAGTGGTGCGATCTTGGCTCACTGCAAACTCCGCCTCCCGGGTTCAAGCAATTCTGCCTCTGCCTCCCGAGTAGCTGGGACTATAGGCGCCCCAAGTCATGCACAGCTAGTTTTTGTATTTTTAGTAGAGATGGAGTTTCACCATATTGGCCAGGCTGGTCTTGAACTCCTGACCTTATGATCTGCCTGCCTCAGCCTCCCGAAGTGCTGAGATTACAGGCATGAGCCACCGTGCCCGGCCTTTTTTTTTTTTTTTTTTGAGACGGAGTCTCGCTTTTGTCAGCCAGGCTGGAGCACAGTGGTGCGATCTCGGCTCACCACAACCCCTGCTTCCCAGGTTCAAACAATTCTCCTGCCTCAGCCTCCCGAGTAGCTGGGATTACAGGTGCCCACCACCACACCTGGCTAATTTTTGTATTTTTAGTAGAGACGGGGTTTCACCATGTTGGCCAGGCTGGTCTTGAACTCCTGACCTCATGCTGGCACCGAGTAGGCACTCACTGTATGATGGTCAAATGACTAAACAATGCTGGACTCTAAAAGGTCATCTCACTTGTTCACATACATATATAGTTAGGATATGATTTGTATTATTTAAGTAAAACCTGCTCATTTGAAATGCTGCTGTGGCTGGAGAAATCACTGACTTAACAATCCTTTGTATTCATCAAAAACAAAACCTGGGCCAGGTGCAGTGGCTTACCTGAGGTCAGAATCGCTTGAACCCGGGAGACAGAGGTTGCAGTGAGCCGAGATGGGGCCACTGTACTACAGCTTGGGTGACAGAGCGAGACTCTGTCTCAAAAAAAGAAAGAAAGAAACCCAAGAAAACGACACATAACCTGCTCTTGAATACTCCTAAGAGCCAGGGAGCTCACCTCCTTCCCACGCTGCTCAAGACGGTCTGTGGGCAGAAAACGGAGGCCAATGAATGCCTCCCCCTTCAGCTGCCAAAAAGCAGCCTGCTGGGCCCCAGTGTTCCTGGCAGCACCCCCAGTCCTGGTGGGGAACGCCTAGGCAGCTTCCACAATGCAAACCAGCTGGGGTCTCGCCCTGCGGGGAGCAGATATTCCTATGGCCCAGTCCTGGAGCCGCCCACAAGGCACTTCAGGTCCCTCCCGGGATTTCAGCCACAGGCCCTCACAGCTCCCTCACTGGGACCTCTCCCTGGATGGGTGGCAGCTCAGCCCTGCTCCGGCGGTGGGCTCCTCAGTGTCCACATTTGGTCCCATTTATGTTAAACAGATTCAGGCTTGTCATGGGGGGAGTTGTGCTGGTGGGACCCAACCTTCCGTGTTTGTGAGCCTTGAAAAAGGAGGAGGGAAAAACAGGCTCCCCCCATTCCCCACTGCGGGGGCTCTCCATCACCAGGGACACTGGGGCTATGAGCCAGGTCCCGAGCCCTTCCGTGCTGGGCAGGTTGTGAGACCTTGGCAAAGTCACCACCAGTCCACCCAGTGGATTCCCCGTCAGAAGAATGGAGCGGAGGAGGCTGTGAGCCTGAACACACTTCACCAATCACAAGGCCCGAAGTGACAGTCGGTCACTTTTATTCTATTGATTATTCTCCTGTGTTTATAATGCGGGCGGCAGGGTGGGGGTTTCTTTAAAATGCTTCTCCTGAGCCTAAAGAGCCTCCCCACCCAGCCCCTGTCTGAGGGAAGGGGCAGAGCATACACGCCCCCCTGGCATCTCTGGAGAGGAAGAAGGATGGGGTGGGCAGAAGGGGCTGCCCCCAAACGGCTCCCCAGGCTGGCACTTCTGGGCCTCTGCCCCACTCAGTCCCTGTTGACCTCCCCCACCCCCCGCGAAAGAGGAACCAAAACCAGAAAAGAACAAAGCATCCTCCGCCCCGGACCCTTGGGGCTGGGTCTCCCCCAGCCCTGCCACTTTCCTACCAACAGCCTCCTCTCCTCTCTGGGAATCTTGTCCCTTCTTCCCCATCCCCTTAGCACCGGCCTCTGCCCTCGTGGGCACCTCTGTCCCAACTGCCTGGCTTTCCGCACCACCTGGGGGTGCCCTGAGGTTCATCCTTCCTGCCTGTTGTCTAGAAGGCCCGGGGCACTCACTGAGCGCCCTCCGCTGGCTATGGCACCATGTGTCAGCCCTGCCTCGAGACAGGACACTGTCCTCGGGGTGTCCACAGCCTCCCACTGGGCCTGCTCCCACAGCTCCTCAACAGCCTGCCTAAGCCCGGTGGCAGCTCGGGCCTCCCTCTCCCGGGCCCTCAATCTTGCCTCCCCGGGAAGGGCGGCCCAGTGCCCCATCAGGAGCAGGTTGGGGAGGTGACCTGGCGGGCCCCTCACAAGTACATTTTCATGGCCTCGTGCGTCGTGGGGCAGTAGCGGGCATGCAGCTGGGCCAGCAGTGCCCTGGACGTGGCCTCGAACCGCGTGCCCTGGCTCTTCTTGTTCCACACGTGGACAGCATAGGTGGCACTGAGCAGCCGCGGCAGCTCCTCGGGGTTGATGTCCTCAAAGTACTTCTTCCAGTCCTGCCAGGGGATGGGGTAGAAGGCCTCAGGGGGCAGGGTGGTGACGCCGCGGCAGGCGCGGCTCTCGGCCAGGCTGCGGATGGAACACCACTTCTTGAAGACCCGCGTGAGCAGCTGCGGGCCCTGGTGACCCCAGATCCAGCCGTTGTAGTGGTCCACGAAGTCCCGCATGCACAGCGCCATGAACTCGTGCCGGCGCTCGAAGGCCAGGAACGCGCCGTTGAGGACGTAGCGGGACTGGGTGCCCAGCACGTTGGTCAGGTTCCGCAGGTTCTTGAGAACAATGAAGTCCGTGTCCAGGTAGATGCCGCCGAACTTCCACATGAGTGCGATCCTGGAGGCGTCGGAGAGCACGGGCAGCAGGTAGGGCTCCCAGCGCCCCTGCACGGCCGCGTACCAGTCGGCCAGGGGTGTGTCCCGGAACAGCTCCCGCAGGTCCAGCGGGAGCATCTGGACATTCGGGAAGCAGCTCAGAAGTGAGATGCCCAGGTGCCGGGGCAGAGAGGCGTTGCCACCCGGAAGCCCTTTCATCAGGACCAGCACGTGGGATTCGGGGTGAGTTCTGGCGGCCGACTCCACCGAGCACATGAACAGGAAGTTGGGGTTGGTCCGGTCTGAAGTCTCCAGGAAGAAGATGTTGCCTGGAGTGGGGCCGTGGGAGGGTGGGGTGGGGGGTGTCAAGGTGGGGCAGGGGATCTCTGCTGGCAGGTTATAGAGCTGCCCTTTCTCCTTGGGCTCTCCCACAACGTGCCAGTAGATCATGATGGAGACGAAAAACGTGAACTTGAAGCCGATGATGAACAGGGTGCAGACCCGCTGCCTTGGGGCGCCCCGGAGCAGCCGCAGCAGGAGGTCGGGGGGCTTGGACATGGTATCCCCAGATCAGACCAGGAGCTTCCAGCAGGAACCGGCTGGTCTGCAAGAGATGAGCACCCGCCATCAGGGAGGCCGTTGGCATTCCCGATCCACAAGGAAAACGCTTCCTGTGAACATCAGCCAGAGCCAAGGCTGGCTTCCAAGCCCATGGGCTCCTGGGCCCACAGGGGCCAAGGCTTGAACCCCAGCCTGCTGGCTGCTCACCTACGAAATGGGAGCACAGTGGGCCATGGACTGGGGTCTGAGCAGGGTCCCTTCCACTCTCTGCGACACACCTGTGAGCTCACCCAAGGACCAGGCCAGTGCCACCCATGGTGTGTAACCATCACAGGCCCAGGCCAGAGTCTGGTCTGCGTAAGGACTGTCAGAAGTGATGGCTTCGCCATGTGACACACAGGGCTCTGTGAGGATTGGCAGCCTGGGATTTGAGGCCCAGCTCATGCCCGCCTCAGCTCCATAAACCAGGCCTGGGGTTCGTCTAAGGACAGGCCACTGAGGGGCCCTGAGGATGTTCAGCATGAGGTCTGGGGCTCCGGCAGGCCCAGGCGTTGGTTTGCTAAGGGCTGGCCCAGCAGGTGCACTCACAGGGCACTCGCTCCAGGCACATGACGCTGACTGGTACTACTGCCATTAGACCTCTCTTTCCTGGTGGCCAGGAACATGCCCAGGTGCCTCGCAGGTGGTTGGAGGAGCAGCAGGCTTGGACCCTGCTCCTGGGGAAAAGACTGTGGGAACACCTGGGAGGCATGAGACCCCAACTCTGCCTGAACCGGCTGTGTGACCTGGGGCAAGTTACGGAGCTCTCTGAGCCTCAGTCTTCCCACCGACAGGATAGGACGCTGGAACCCACTAAAGGGTAACATTCATTCATTCATAGTTCGATAAATACTGGCTGTCCATCCTGTCCATGCCAGGTGACTTTCTCAGCATCTCACACATAGGAACATGTGTGGCCCCTTATAACCACCCTATGGGGTGGCAATCACCACCCCCACCCTACAGATGAGGAAATTGAGGCACAGAAGTGCAGTACCTTGTGCAGAGTCCCACAGCCAGCAATGACAGTGCAGGGGGTTAGGACCCAGGCCACCTGGCTGGGGTCCCTGCTCTCACCACTGCACCGCCCTGCCTGGGAGAGGTGGCTAGCCAATGTACCTGGTGTGTTGGAGGAACTTGGTGCATGCTGACCTGAACTGTATCGATGTTAACAGCCAGCGGGATCACCATCGACTCTGACTTCTACGCTCCATGACAAAGTCACACCCCCTTTGACCCTCAGCAAGCCCGAGGGGCAGTTGCATCGTTTCTACTTTAGGTGCCAGGAAACCTGGGCATAAAGTCAAGGGACTGGGTGCAACCTGATTGCTAAGGGGAGCTAAGAGTCGGTCCCCTCCCAAGGACAGGCAGAAGGTGGGGTGGCAATCCACATAGGCTGAGGGTGGTACTGGGAGCCTGGGGCTTGGTAACTTAGGCTGGGCCCTTCCCAGGGTAGAGAGCAGGGAACCTCGCTGATGTCACTGGCTGGTAACTGACCAGCCTGGGCAGCCCATTGCAGAGAGGTGGGGATCCTGGCAGCCCACAGGCCTCCGGGAGACACGCCCTGGCTCAGCAGCCGACCTTCTTTGCCAACACGAACACGGCCCTTCCACACACTTGCAGCGGCTGCAAATCCATCTGCAAAAGATGGCAAGAAGAGAGTGAAACAGGTCGCTGGCTCTCAGAGGCCTCGTCCCCCTGGCCACACAGGCAGGTCAGGCCTGGGGCTCATGTGTTCACTGATTCATTCACTCGCTCCACCTCTCAGGGGACACTCAGGGAATAGGGGCAGGCCCTGCACTGGTACCCAGGAGAAGGGGAGAATCAGACACAGCCTTTCCCTAAAGGAGTTCTCAGTCTGGTGGGGGCATCATTTAGAAACAGACAAAGAGGCCAGGCGTGGTGGCTCACTTGAGATCAGGAGTTCGAGACCAGCCTGGCCAACATGGTGAAACCTCGTCTCTACTAAAAATACAAAAATTAGCCAGGCGCGGTGGTGTGCGCCTGTAATCCCAGCTACTCAGGTGACTGAGGCAGGAGAATCGCTTGAACCAGGGAGGCGGAGGTTGCAGTGAGCCAAGTTGTGCCACTGCACTCCAGCGTGGGTGACAGAGCCAGACTCTATCTCAAAAAAAAAAAAAAAAAAGCCAGGCGCGGTAGCTCACGCCTGTAATCCCAGCACTTTGGGAGGCCAAGGTGGGCAGATCACTTGAGGTCGGGAATTCGAGAACAGCCTGACCAACATGGAGAAACCCTGTCTCTACTAAAAATACAAAATTAGCCGGGCATGGTGGCGCATGCCTGTAATCCCAGCTACTCAGGAGGCTGAGGCAGGAGAATTGCTTGAATCCAGGAGGCGGAGGTTGCAGTGCGCCGAGATTGCACCACTGCACTCCAGCCTGGACATCAAGAGCAAAACTCAGTTTCAAAAAGGAAAAAAAAAAAAAAAGAAAAAAGGAAACAGACAAAGATGGTGACTCCCTTGGGGAGGTGACACATGGTTAAGCACCAAGGATGAGCAGGTCAGATGGAGGAGACAGTGGTGGCTCCAGACCTCTGCAAGCACCATGGGAATAAGCATCTAGGGTTCACCTGCATCTTCTCTCCCCGGCACCCAGCTAGGTTCCCAGCACGCAGCAGGCACATGGGAAAATGGCTCACTCTGACCCATTCACTCAACAGCCAGCAGGATGCTTTACAAGTATATCAGCCACGTCATTCTCAGCTCAGACCCTGAATGACATGAGGCCCTGATCCACTGGGCCCCATGTGTCCCCCTGACCTCACGTTCTGCTTCTCTCCCCGCCACCTGTGCCCCAGCCACACCTGGCCGCCTGTTTTTCAGGCCTCAAACGGCTGCTAGGGCCTTGGCACCTGCTGTTCTTCTGCTTGGAGGGTTCTTCTCTCAGATGCCCACTCAAAAGTCCCCTTCCCACCAGGTCCTCCCTGGGCCCCCTGAAATTCCAACTCCCCCCATCACCTCAGAGCCCCCTCGTTTCCTCATCCTTGCATTTATTCTAACACACGGTACATCCTACTTATTTGCTTTGGTTGTCTGTCTAGAACATAACCCCATGAGGATAGGTATGTTTTGTGTTTTGTTCAGCTCTGAAATGGTAGAACGGTGTCCAGCTCTTAGTATGTGGTCAATAAATAGGCAGTGATTCCATGAGTTAACCAATGAGTGAATTAATGAATGATCAGTAAATGAATGAATGAGTGAACGAGTGAGTGACCAGTAAGAGTGAACCAATGAGTGTGTAGATCGCTGTGTGACCAAGTGGGCCAGTGCGAAAGGTGGGGGGCAGAGGCCGGGTGAGCTCCCTGGGATGCGGGTAGCAAGGACAGGGCTGTGGTGTGAACCAAGACATGGTGCCCCCTGCCCCTGTCTTTCTTCTGCAGGGAGAGGGGCTATTTTGGTCCTGAGTACTTTTAACCCCATGTGAACCACGCGGACGGGTGGACAGTTGGAGGGCCAGTAGCAGCAGCAGGAGCCTCTGCCCACTTGGGGGCCCCGAGTGCTGGCATGATCTGACTCCATGGTGTGGGCGGGGTCCGGGCCCACTTGGAGGAGCAGGATATGTCGTCGGACCACAGTTGGGGGTGCCAGACTCAGGCCACGCCATATTTGGTGTCAGAGCCCAAGACCCAGGAATAGAAACTGTGTATGGGGCCAAGTTGGCCGCAGCCCAATATCCAGGTGACCTCAGGCCCAAAGCATGCTCCTGGCCCCCGAGACGGGCCTCGCAGTTGCAGCCTATGTCCTGGACCTTGTCAGCTGGGCCTGGCACACCCCTGCTGCCTGCCCCTGCCTCCAGGCTCACTACTTCCCGCCCTGTCACCAGGGAGCTACTCCCAGTTAGCCTGTTACTGTGGCCACTCCCCTGCTCTAAGCCCTTCCATGGCTCCCATCGCCAGGATTCCCCATGACTCATCTTAGGCAGGAAGTGAGGAGAGAGGAGAGGTGCAGGGCATGGCCGGGCGCGGTGGCTCACGCCTGTAATCCCGGCACTTTGGGAGGCTGAGGTGGGCGGATCATGAAGTCAGGAGATTAAGACCATCCTGGCCAACACGGTGAAACCCCATCTCTACTGAAAATACAAAAATTAGCTGGCATGATGGTGCACGCCTGTAGTCTCAGCTACTCAGGAGGCTGAGGCAGAAGAATCGCTTGAACTCGGGAGGCAGAGGTTGCAGTGAGCTGAGATCGTGCCACTGCACTCTAGCCTGGCAATAGAGCGAGACTCCGTCTCAAAAAAAAAAAAAAAAAATCGAGAGGTGCAGGGCAATGGAGACAGAAGGCCAAAGGCTGGGTCAGACCCCTACCAGCCAGGTTCTTGGCACCAGCTCTGCAGACCCCAACTAGGGGCATCAGCATCAGGGGCTAGGCCCAAGGGCCTAGAAAAGGCCCTCCAAGCTGGTGCTTTTCATCCCTACACAAATTGCACCCCCACCTGTCCCTACAGTAAGGGCGCTACCCCTCCAGCCCTGTGTCCAGCCCAGCTCAGCCTAGCACTGGCCAACCATGACCCAACAAAACGGAGTCCGCACTGAGCCCTCCATCCAGGCTGAGTGCTGACAGAGAGGCTCCCAGAGCACCAGGGTTATGCCCTTGGAGATTCCGATGTCCTGACGGGAACACAGAGGCCCCGAGAGGCAAAGGTGTCAGAGGCGTGTGAGCCAGACCAACACCATCTTAAATAGGAGCTGAGTAAAATGAGGCTGACACCTACTGGGCTGCATTCCCAGACGGGTAAGGCATTCTAAGTCACAGGGTGAGATAGGAGTTCAGCACAAAATACAGGTCATAAAGACCTTGCTGATAAAACAGGTTGCAGTAGAGAAGCCGGCCAAAACCCACCAAAACCAAAATGGCCATAAGAGTGACCTCTGGTCGTCCTCTCTGCTACACTCCCACCAGCACCGTGAGTTTACAAATGCCATCGCAACGTCAGGAAGTTACCTTGGGTGGTCTAAAAAGGGGAGGCATGAATAATCCACCCCTTGTTTAGCATATCATCAAGAAATAACCATAAAAATGGGTAAGCAGCAGCCCTAGGGGCTGCTCTATGCAGTAGCCATTCTTTTATTCCTTTACCTTCTTTTTTTTTTATGAGTCTTGCTCTGTCGCCCAGGCTGGAGTGTAATGGCCCGATCTCGGTTCACTAAAACCTCTTCCTACTGGTTTCAAGCAATTCTCCTGCCTCAGCCTCCTGAGTAGCTGGGATTACAGGCATGTGCCACCATGCCCGGCTGATTTTTTGTATTTTTAGTAGAGATTTGGTTTCACCAAGTTTGCCAAGCTAGTCTTGAACTCCTGACCTCAAGTGATCCGCCCACCTCGGCCTCCCAAAGTGCTGGGATTACAGGCATGTGACACTGCGCCCGGCTCCTTTACAATCTTAGTAAACTTGCTTTCACTTTGCACTGCGGACTCATCCTGAATTTTCTTGCCCCCTGGTGTGAGTGGCCACGACCCTCCTGTCACTCTCGGTCACATCACTCGACATTTCCTTCAATGCCCTTGGTCATGGGCCTGGCCCGGGGAGCTGACTGAGGACTTGGAGAGCCCCATGCAGGGCAAGGGGAGGGCTCTGAGTTCCTGTGAGGGCAAGGGACGCAGGACTGCACAGAGGGAGATGTTGAGCTGTGAGGCTGTCATTGCCACAGGGGCCTCGGCCAGTCCCATAGGAGCTCTGCAGCTGGGGTGGCCATCAGAGATGTTTGTTCCAAACCACAGTCGGGGCTATGATGGTTAATTTCATGTGTCAACTTGACCAGGACACAGGGTGCCCCAATTAAACGTTACTCCTGGGTGTGTCTGGGGGTGTTTCCAGATGAGATTACCATTCGAATGGCAGACTCAGGAAGCAGATGGCCCCCAGTGTGGGTGGGCCCCCAACCCTGAGTAGAAGGAAAGGCTGAGGACGGAGGAATTCGCCCCCGTTCTCCTGCCTCACTGCTGAGCTGAGAGAGGATGTCTTATTTCATCTTCTCATCGACTGGTTCTGTTAATTTGGAGAACCCCGACTAACCCAGGGGCCTACACCAACACTGGCCCGCAGTGGGTCACTGGGGATGGGCTGCTCCCGAGGTAGGGGGCAATCTACCCAGGAGACGGGGGCTCCAGGGCTCAATGGTGGGACCAGATGGGGCCACCGCGCCCAGCGCAGCCCTCGTCCCCTGGAAATGATTGTATGTGTTTTCCGTTGTGTCAGTCCTAAGGGGCAGGGGCTCCTCGCTCTCATTCTGTTCCTGGTGCTGACACAGGTTCAGCCGACAGCAGGAGCTCAACAGATACTGATGAGATGAGGAATGGCCCTCCAGGAGAGCCAGAGGCTATTTCCACTCTTCTCATGTTCTTGGGGTCTCAACAAGAGGGCCCAGGAACTGGAACTCCAGGAGCAAAGCCACGGTCGGGTGGTGGGAGGCCAGCAGCTCATTCAAAGGTGGGAAGTGGGGAGAAGCAGGCCCAGCAGTGGCCAAGGTGGGGCGCATCAGTGACCACGACTGGATACTGCTGTGGCTTCCAAGCCTCTCCAGATAAGGAGCTGGCCCCTGTGCGTGGCCAGGCTGGGGTGTGGCCACCCCTGCTGACCTGTGATTGTGACCCCAGACCCCTGAGGTGTAAGACACCAGCGCCAGGGTCACACGGGTGCTCCCACTGTGTCACCAGCCATGTGACTGCAGTCAGGCCATGCTCCTCCTCGGAGCCTCAGTCTCTCTGCCCACAAAATGGGATTAACTCCACTTTGGAGGGATGGAGGGAGGCAATGCATCTCCAGGGCCCAGCCCACGGAACAGGCCCTCAACAGATGTGGCCACGGCCATCGCATTATAGGCCTTTCCTCCGGCAGGGGAACTGGTGGGTATCTGTGTGCAGAAGTCTCTGATGGGGCTGGAAGTGAAGGACCACTCAGGATAGTGTTTAAGGTCAGGAAGCAGGGACATGCAGCCAGGACGTAGCATGCTCTTTATCATGCTCCCAGTCCCACAGCTGTCACCAACTGGATGGTGAGAGCCTGCCATCCCTGTCCCATGGTCATACTTGCCTCTAGTGGAGCCAAATCGGGTCCCCTCCCCACCCACCTCCACCCTTGCCTGGTCAGACAGGGACCAAGGTGGGCTTCACCCCCAGGGTCTCCCAGCTCGTTGCCTCACGGCTTCCTTCCTGAGCAGGACTTTATGTGGCCAGGCCTGGAGGACAACGGCCTGCACCAACATACCTGAGCTTCCTTCCTGGCCCTGCCACGTGCCCACAAGACAGGCCACCTCTCTGAACCTGTCTGTGGACAGGGGTAACACCAGCACCCAGGACACAGGTTGCTGTGGGGATTAAGTGTGGTCAGGGCTCAGCTGGATCCCAGACTCAGACAGGAGCCCGAGGTGGACCCCTGGCCAGGGTGAGGTAGAAAGGAAACTTCTCCCACTACCTTCTCCAGAGTCCCCATGACCCTAAGGTCACATGTGGCTTTGAACATCACTAACATAGCAGCTCCATAAAGAATGCTCCCGCCGCAGCAGGAGAAAAAGGAGAAAAGTCACATGCACTGCTGTTCTGCAGTGGAGGCAGAGGGGTCATCTAGGTTTACCTACCCTGCACCCATTCATCCTCCTGAGAACACCTGCTGTCCTGTGGGGAGCCACCCCTGCCTGTGGGCCCTGCTCCCTGGCTGTTGCCATAAGCACTGACTCAGGTCCAGCTAATGATAGTACCACATTCCCCTGGCCGCAGTGGTCCGGCTGAGGCACACAGAACCTAGTCAGGTCCAAGCAGAGGTATGTGCTTCCCATGGGGTCACTAGGTGTGAGCCAGGAACCGTCAAGGTAGAGGCTGCCTGGTAATGAAGCCAGCCCTGAGGCAAGCAGAGCCAAGGGAAGGAGACAGAGACCCACGTGACACTGTCATGACACGTGGATCCCACCCTACGTAGTCCACACAAGAGGAAAGGATAGCCCAGAAGTCAATGACGGAACCTTCTGATGACCTCCTCAATCGACCAATGAATGTCTCATCCCCCTGATCAGTGTCTTCTTCCTGCTTTTTCTCCCTGGGACTCCTTGTCCCTCCCCTCTTTCTCTCCCTCCTGCCACTCCAGGTTGGTGTCTCTCTCTCTCTTTCTCTCTCTCTCCTTTCTCTCTCCTCATCCCCCTCAGCAGACACCGGGATGCCTTTCTTGGTCCCTGACCCCACAACATCATATCAGGGGTGGGGCTGCAATGGCAGGAGACAGAGAGGGCCAGGGCCGGGCTCACAGGACTGAAGGCACCTAGATGTGCAGCCGCTGTTGAGGACTTGTGTCCCCCCCCGGAAAAAGGGGCTCCCCCACCAGAGGAACACACTCTTTTTTTTTTTTTTTTTTCACAGATGGAGTCTTGCTCTGTCGCCCAGGCTGGAGTGCAGTGGTGCGATCTCGGCTCACTGCCAACTTCCGCCGCCCGGGTTCAAGCGATTCTCTTGCCTCAGCCTCCCAAGTACTACAGGAGTGCGCCACCATGTCTGGCTAATTTTTTTGTATTTTTAGTAGAGACGGGGTTTCGCCATGTTGGCCAGGATGTTCTGGAACTCCTGACCTCGGGTGATCCGCCCACCTCGGCCTCCCAAAGTGCTGGGATTACAGGCGTGAGCCGCCGTGTCCGGCTGAAACACACTCTTTACCCCCAACTGGCATGGGAGCCCCCTTGCCAGGAAGAGGACACCTGGACTCACTGGAACTGGGTGGTTTTGGGGAGGGGACGTAGTGGGAGACAAAGGGTCCGGAGCCTTCGTGCAGATAAGGTGGAACGCCCACCGGGTTCCTTCACTTGCCGAGGACGCACCTGGTGGAGTCAGGCGGTCCTGGCCCAAATAATGGGGTTGGCAGGTTGTCTTAGCTCAGCCTGACCCCCAGTGAGGGATGCGGGGATTACTCCAGCCAATCCCGGTCCCTGCTCCCCTGTTTAACTTTCAGAAAAGTAAAGGGGCCACAGTGGCACTCAGGCCGGGGTACATCACAGTGTGGTCCGCTGGCCGCAGCACCTCTGCCCTCCACACTGCAGCCTTGGCTGGCACATGCTGCCCTGCTGTGTGTGTGTGTGTGTGTGTGTGTGTGAGAGAGAGCATGCTGCCCCACTGTGTGTGTGTGTGTGTGTGTGTGTGTGTGTGTGTGTTGTCCCCACCAGGCTGTGAATGCCTTGGGGGCAGAGACTAGGCCCAGCCTAGGGCTCAACCACATGTATTAAATAAATAAGTAGTGGGCTTTTTTTTTGTTGTTTGTTTGTTTTTGTTTTTTTTTTTTTTGAGACAGAGTCTCACTCTATTGCCAAGACTGGAGTGCAGTGGCACGATCTCAGCTCACTGCAACCTCTGCCACCCGGGTTCAAGTGATTGTCCTGCCTCAGCCTCCCGAGTAGCTGGGATTATAGGCACCTGCCACCGCGCCTGGCTAATTTTTGTATTTTTAGTAGAGACGGGGTTTCACCATCTTGGCCAGGCTGGTCTTGAACTCCTGACCTCGTGATCTACTGGCCTCGGCCTCCCAAAGTGCTGGGATTACAGGTGTGAGCCACTGTGCCCGGCCTGCAATAAGGAGTGTTTTGCAAACTCTGAAAGTGCAGAACTAGGAAGCTGTCCTTGGCCCACTCAGCAGTGATGTCGGGAAGATGACTTGCAGTGTGACCTTAGACAGGTCACTTTCCTTTTTGGGCCTCAGATTCCCTTCTGCACAGTGCGGGGAAGGGAGGGTGCAGGCTAACCAAATGCTCTAACCTTGGCGGGACACATGGGCACCTGCTGCTAACTGCATGGGATAAGTAACACCTTAGCACAGACCTGAGGCGCCAAGAACTCTGAGGGATCTGGGGCAGAAGGCCACAGAGCCAAGAAACAGCACCGAGTACAGAATTCAAATCCAGGCCCTGCCTGACAGCTTCCGCACCTGCTAAGATTTGGCAACGTGACCTTGGACCCACCTCTGCCCCTCCCTGGGCCTTCACTGCTTTGTCCATCAAAGGAGGGGGTGGGCTCCTTGGTCTTGGAACTCAGACCCCCCTTGATGTGAAAACTCAATGCCCAGAGCTTCCAAACCCTGCTTGGAGGACCAAGTGTCCTGTTCCCCATCCCTAGCCCCACAATCTTTCAAGGCACAAATAAATATAATATTTCTACCCAAGAAGTAAGAATGACAGTTTTTAGGAGGAAGTAATTGGTATAAGAAGGACTGTTTGTGCCCAGGCGCAGTGGCTCATGCTTGTAATCCCAGCACTTTGGGAGGCCAAGGTGGGCAAATCATGAGGTCAGGAGTTCAAGACTAGCCTGCCCAATATGGTGAAACCCCATCTCTACTAAAAAATACAAAAATTAAATTAACTGGGCATGGTGGCACATGCCTGTAATGCCAACTGCTCAGGAGGCTGAGGCAGGAGAATTGCTTAAACCTGGTAGGCGGAGATTGCAGTGAGCTGAGGTTGCACTACTGCACTCCAGCCTGGGCAACAAAGTGAGACTCTGGACTCAAAAAATAAAAAAAATAATAAAAAAAATTAAAAAAAAAAGAAGGGCTGAAGGGCTGTTTGTAAGAAGGGCAGAAGGGCTCTTTTCGGAGCAGAGGTTACAAAATATTCTTCCTCCCAGGCCTTTAACACCTCAGAAGCCAGGAATCAAGCAGGCGGTCTTGCTGTCTGGGTGGACGTTACAAACAGAAAACTCAGGGAGGTGGACTTCATTCCAGGAGGAATAAGGCAGCAGCTTAGTTCTGAATTTTCCCTCTTCTACCAAATTATACAAAGCAACATGGGTAAAGACAAATGAGAGAAACTAAGAGGCAGGGAAAACCCGCAAACTCCCAACCACAGTTGAGTGTGGCCCAAAGCACCTGCGGGCAGCAGACATGGCAATGGGGGGGGGCGGGGGGGGGCGGCGGAGGCGGGGGAGCTCAAGAGTGGAAGACCCCAGAAAAGGCCACTTCTAAAAGGGAGATGGCAGAAGGCATGAGCTACGGCCAGAATGAACTGGGAGTACTCAGGGCTGGAGGCAAGTGACCTCTTGAGACAGGTTAGGTTCTGGAGGTGAAAGAGGAGTGGATGCAGAGAAAGGCCATACTTTAAAAAGCACAACCCATTACCATGGCAACAGAGGAGGGAGCCTTTCACCAGAGAAACCCAGAGAACTGTCCTGGCTTCTCTCCCAATTTCCACCAAAACCTCCTGTTAATTGCCACTCCAGGAAAATTCAACTAATTCAAATATGGAAAAAAATTTAAAGGCATAAAACAAAATGGAAACGGGGGTGAGGAGCACAAATACTCGCTTATATATAAAGAAAATTCACTATGAAAATATTGCCACAGCCGGGCGCAATGGCTCATGCCTGTAATCTCAGCACTTTGGGGGCCCGAGGTGGGTGGATCACTTGAGGTCGGGAGTTCGAGACCAGCCTGGCCAATAAGGGCGAAACCCTCTCTCTACTGAAAATACAAAAAATTAGCTGGGCATGGTGGCGCGTGCCTGTAGTCCCAGCTACTTGGGAGGCCAAGGCAGGAGAATCATTTGAACCCAGGAGGTAGAGGCTGTGGTGAGCTGAGATCGTACCACTGCACTCCAGCCTGGGCGACAGAGATTCTGTCTCAAAAAAAAAAAAAAGAAAAAGAAAAAGAAAAAGAAGAAAATACTGGCACAAGACAAATACAAATTCGAATCCAAAATTACAGCATGAATTTAAAAATAAAAACACTTTAAAAAGTAATTCCAGGCCAGGTGCGGTGGCTCACACCTGTAATCCCAGCACTTTAATAGGCCGAGGCTGGCAGATCGTTTGAGGTCTGGAGTTGGAGACCAGCCTGCCCAACAAGGTGAAACCCCATCTCCATTAAAAATACAAAAATTACAGCCCGACCAATATGGTGAAACCCTGTATCTACTAAAAATACGAAAATTAGCCAGGCGTGGTAATGTGTGCCTGTCATCCCAGCTACTCGGGAGGCTGAGGCAGGAGAATCGCTTGAACCTGGGAAGTGGAGGTTGCAATGAGTCAAGATCGCACCACTGCACTCCAGCCTGGGTGACACAGACTACATCTCAAAAAAAAAAAAAAAAAAAAAGTTGGCCGGGTGCGGTGGCTCACGCCTGTAATCTCAGCACTTTGGGAGGCCAAGGCGGGCGGATCACGAGGTCAGGAGATCGAGACCATCCTGGCTAACACGGTGAAACCCCGTCTCTACTAAAAATACAAAAAATTAGCCAGGCGTGGTGGCGGGCACCTATAGTCCCAGTTACTCGGGAGGCTGAGGCAGGAGAATGGTGTGAACCCGGGAGGCAGAGCTTGTAGTGAGCTGAGATCACACCACTGCACTCCAGCCTGGGTGACAGAGCGAGACTCCATCCCAAAAAAAAAAAAAAAAAAAAAAAGTTTCACCCACTAATCTTGAAGGAGAAAAAGATTTTTAGATTAGATTTCAAGCATAACCTGTAACCTATCTCTATTCTCTATTCAAGAGACATACCTTAAACGAAGTAACTTAGAATGGTTAAAAATATAAGAACAGCCGGGTGCGGTCGCTTACGCCTGTAATCTCAGCACTTTGGGAGGCCAAGACGGGTGGATCACCTGAGGTCAGGAGTTCGAGACCAGCCTGACCAACAAGGTGAAACCCGTTCTCCACTAAAAATACAAAAACTAGCTGGGCATGGTGGCAGGTGCCTGTAGTCCCAGCTACTTGGGAGGCTGAGACAGGAGGATTACTTGAAACTGGGAGGCGGAGGTTGCAGTGAGCCAAGATTACGCCACTGCACTCCAGCCTGGGTGATGGAGTGAGACTCCATCTCAAAAAAAAAAAAATTAAAAAAAGAACAAGCAAAGATATAAAAGCAAATGCAAACAAAATGCTGGGGCAAAAATCTTAATATAAAATGATGCAAAATCACAACAAACCTCACTAAATTAGCCAAAGAAGGGCAATTTATTATGCTAACGGTATAATTCATAATGCATCAAATAATACTGTAGCAATTTTCAGAATAGAAAAATTACAGATACTAGGATAAATATATCAAAACACTAATAAGAGATTTTAATTTACCACTTTCAGTTCAAGAAACATTAAGTAGCATGAACAGAAATAAGAATTCAGAAGACCCAAATAAGATAATCAGTAAGGTACTATAATATTTCAAACTCTCTACCCTAGTGATAGATACTGTGCTTTCTTTTCAAGAGCTGAGCTGATGGAACAGTCATGAAATCTGACCATATTCAGTCCAAAGAAAATGTCAATAACATCCAAAAAATATTTTAAAAATTTATGATTATGAAGCAATATGACTAGAAATTAATTTAAAAATCGGGAATTTTTTAAAAAATTTTATCTATGGGATTCCTAGCAAATAAAAATAATAAAAACACCAGGCTGGGCATGGTGGCTCATGCCTGTAATCCCATCACTTTGAGAGGCCGAGGCAGTCGGATCAGTTAAGGACAGGAGTTTGAGACCAGCCTGGCCAACATGGTGAAACCCAGTCTCTACTAAAAATACAACAAATTAGCCAGGCATGGTGGCACATGCATGTAGTCCCAGCTACCTCGGGAGGCTGAGGCACGAGAATTGCTTGAATGGGAGGCAGAGGTTGCAGTGAGCTGAAACTGCATCATCATTTTCTACCCTGAATGACTGAGTGAGAGACTCTTTCTCAAAATATAACACCACCACCACCAACAAATACCAAAACACCAAGTATCCATATCTACAGGATACAGCTACAGCAATGATCAGGATATTTTTAGCCACCAGTGTATGTAACAATTAAAACAGAAAGGATAAAAATAAATAAAGCACCAGTTTAAAAATGTTAGAAAAAGAACCACAAAATAAAACACAGAAACATGGCTGGTCATGGTGGCTCCTGTCTGTAATCTCAGAGCATTTTGGGAGGCTGGGGTGGGAGGATCGTTTGAGACCAGCCTGGGCACCACAGTGAGACTGTCACTACAAAAAAAAAAAAAAAAGGCTGGGTGCGGTGGCTCACGCCTGTAATCCCAGCACTTTGGGAGGCTGAGCCAGGCAGATCACCTGAGGTTGGGAGTTCAAGACCAGCCTGACTAACATGGAGAAACCCCATCTCTACTAAAAATACAAAATTAGCCGGGTGTGGTGGCACCTACCTGTAATCCCAGCACTTTGGGAGGCTGAGCCAGGCAGATCACCTGAGGTTGGGAGTTCAAGACCAGCCTGACTAACATGGAGAAACCCCATCTCTACTAAAAATACAAAATTAGCCGGGTGTGGTGGCGCCTACCTGTAATCCCAGCTACTTGGGAGGCTGAGGCAGGAGAACCCAGGAGAAGGAGGTTGCAGTGAGCCGAGATCGCGCCATTGCATTCTAGCCTGGGCAACAAAAGCGAAACTCCCTCTCAAAAAATAAAAAAATTTAGCCAGGTGTGGTGGTGTGTACCTGCAGTGCCAGCTACTCAGGAGGATCACCTGAGCCTGGGAAGTTAAGACTGCACTGAGCCATGATGGTGCCACTGCACTTCAGCCTGTATGACACGGCAAGACCCTGTTTTGAGAAGAGGAAAGAGAGAAGGAAGGAAGGAAGGAAGGAAGGAAGGAAGGAAGGAAGGAAGGAAAAGAAATCAATTAGGGAAGAAATAAGCGGTAGAACTAATAAATAAGGTAAAAAGCTGGCTTGTTGGAAAAAAGCCAATAAAATATACAACCACCAACTAACCTAATCAAGATAGGAGGGTGGGGAGAAAGCTTCCCATACAAACTAGGAAACGCTAAATGGGAAAATAACCAAATAAGCAGATAATTGTTTTAAAAAATAAGATAGTACTTAGCAAATAAAATTTAAAACCTGAATAAAATAATTTCTGGACAAAAATAATAAATCAAATGGATCCCAGAAGACATAGCTAATCTACACAGGACAACTTCCACATTAGAAACAGAATTATAAAAGGACTACCATTACAAAACAAAAGCACCAGGGCAAAACATTTTGGGAGGGAATCCTGGAAAACTCAGAAATAACAGATAATGTTTAAACTGTTAAACAGGAACATATAGAAAGGAAAATTTAAATATATATATATATATATATTTTTTTTAAGACAGGGTCTGCTGTCACCCAGGCTGGAATGCAGTGGCACGATCATGGCTCACTTACAGCCTCTACTTTCCAGGCTCAAGTACATGATCCTCCCACCTCAGCCTCCTGAGTAGCTGGGACTACAGGCACATGCCACCATACCAGGTTCATTTTTAGTAGAGATGGGGTTTCACCGTGTTACCCAGGCTGGTCTTGAATTCCTAGGCTCCCACCTGCCTTGGCCTCCCAAAATGCTGGAACTACAGGCACGAGCCACTGTGCCAGGCCAAAAAAAAAAAAAAAAATTTAAGTAAAGCAAATACTTAAACCAAAACCTGACAACGGCTTCACAGAATATCCTTCTGACCAATTTCACTTATGAATATTATTGTAAAAATCCAAAATAAAATATAAGCAAATAGAATTCAGCAGCACATTAAAATTAAATGGAGGCCAAGTACGGTGGCTCGTGCCTGTAATCCCAGCAGTTTGGGAGGCTAAGGCAGGTGGATCACTTGAGGACAGGAGTTTGAGACCAGCCTGGCCAACATGGCAAAAACCCATCTCTACTAAAAATACAAAAATTAGCCCAGTGTGGTGGGGCACAACTGTAATCCCAGCTACTTAGGAGGCTGAGATACGAGAATCGCTTGAGCTTGCGAGGGACAGGTTGCAGTGAGCCAAGACTGCACCACTGCATTCCAGCCTGGGTGGCACAGTGAGACTCTGTCTCAAAAAATAAAAAAAATAAAAAAATGGGGGTGATTCAGGAATGCAAGTGGGGTTTATTCAAAGAATGCAAGGATGGTTCAACATAATTAGGAAATCATGAATATAATTCATCATATTAAATAGATCTAAGCAGAAAAATCATCATCCCCAGTGACACCAAAAAACATTTAACAAAGTAGCCAACACTTAGTAAATTATGAATCAATGGACACTTCCTTAACAAAATTATATAGATTAACACAGAAGCCAGGAACCAGCTTCATACTCCAGAGAGTACGAATACACAGTTTCATACCTGGGCACTAATACTAAGCTCAGGGAAGACACAGATGCTGCCACCACCATCACTATACTGGGTGTATTTATCAGAGGAATTTGACAAAAGAAAGAAAACGCAATAGAAATAGTTAAAACTATTGCTATTTTCATATGATATTATTGTATACCTGGAAAAGTCAAGATAAATAATTGAAAAAGTAAAAACTAAAGATGGTAGTATAAACACACACACTTAAATATAAATAACAAGTCACTAGAAGGTATGGGAAAAGAGAAGACCCCGCTTACAACAACAGTCGCGATACTCAGGGTTAAACTTAACAAAAGATATTAAACATCTATGTGAGGCTGGGTGCAGTGGCCCACACCTGTAATCCCAGCACTTTAGGAGGCTGAGGCAGCCAGATTGCTTGAGCCCAGGAGTTCAAGACCAGTCTGGACAACATGGTGAAACCTCATCTCCACAAAAAATTACAAAAATTAGTGGAGCATGGTGGTATGCACCTGTGGTCCCAGATACTTGAGAGGCTGAGGTGGGAGGATAGTTTGAGCCCAGGAGGGGGAGGCTGCAGCAAGCCAAGATGGTGCCATCTCACTCCAGCCTGGGCAACAGAGCAAGACTCCAGCTCGAAATAAATAAATAAATAAATAAATAAATAAATAAATAAGAACAATGCAGCCTTGTGGCTGACGCCTATAATCCTAGCACTTTGGGAGGCCAAGGCTGGTGAATGGCTTGAGCTCAGGAGTTTGAGACCAGCCCAGGCAACATGGCAAAACCCTATCTCTACTAAAAATACAAAAAAAATTAGCCAGGTGTGGTGGTGCACACCTGTAACCCTAGCTACTCAGGAGGCTGAGGCGAGAGAATTGCTTGAACCTGAGGGATGGAGGTTGCAGTGAGCCAAGATCACACCACTGCACTCCAGCGTAGATGACACAGCAGGACTCTGTCTCAAAAAAAAAAAAAGAAGTGACAACCTGGGACAACTTAAATGCAGCTCATATCACATAAGTCGAATTTTTCTAATATATAAAGAGCTCCCAGAAATCAATAAGAAGACTAACACCCCAAAACAAAATGGGCCAAAGACAATTCACACACATACAAAATATGACCTCTAAACAAGTAAGCTAGAGCAAGGATCTTTTTATAAGTAATAGAAATGCAAATGGACATACTCAGATAGCATCTCTCACATATCAGATCAGCAAAAATCCAAAACACTTAACACATTATTTTGGCAAGGCTGTGAGCAAACAGGCATGCTCATACACAGCCAGTGGGCATGCAGACAGTGCTCAGCCGCAATTTAACAACATCTATCTCACTCTGGGGCTTTATCCTACAGATGAATGACATTTGCACAAGGTCACAGGTTTGCAGTTGCAAAAGATTAGAAACAACCCAAGGTCTTTCTTGAAGAGGCTGATTAAATAAACAATGATATAATGATAGCATGGAAATGGGCAGAGACCAATGCTGTTTTTACTCAGTCATCTCCCCTGGGGCCAGCACAGATCCTACCACATAGTAAGTGCTCAATACATATTTTCTGTATTTTGTTTTTTGTTTTTTTTTCCACCCCCGAGTCTCGCTCTGTTGCCCAGGCTGCAGTGCAGTGGCATGATCTTGGCTCACTACAACCTCCACTTCCTGGGTTGAAGAGATTCTCCTGCCTCAGCCTCCCGGGTAGCTGGGACTACAGATGCGTGCCACCACGCCTGGCTAATTTTTGTATTTTTAGTTTTACCATGTTGGCCGGGCTGGTCTCGAACTCCTGACCTCAAGTGATCCACCCACCTCGGCCTTCCAAAGTGCTAGGATCACAGGCGTGAGCCACCGTGACTGGTCTCAGTACGTATTTTTTTGAAAGGATGAGTAAATGATACCAGTCCTGCCCACAAAGCCGGGATCAAATGTGATAACTAATCCTGGGAAATGCCCTTTGCAAACTATAAACTCTACGCAGATGCAAATTACAGCTGCCTCATTATTTGAAGGTACAAATCAAGTCACATGCCTTTAGCTCTTCATGGTAAAGTACCTGACTACTTGCCAGTCCCAAGAGCGCCTTTCTTCCTTCCCTGAGGCCACCCTTCCCTCCCAGGGTCACTCTAGCTCCCCACAGGAAGCTGGATCTGGCTGGGTGGGGCTGGCTTCTCAGGGGCAGAGTGAAATTCCCCGCAACCCCTCCACCGGGTTTTATCTCAGTTCCGAAAGCACTGAGTGACCTTGAATCTGGGCTCTTACACCTTCGCTCTGGACACACGCACATGCACACGTGGGGATATCCTGTTGTGCCAGGCTGCCTGGATGTGGATAAGTTTTCTGACTTGGTCACTTGCTATGCGCAGAGATCCCAGAGATGCAAATCGCAGGGAAAGCTCTTCACAGGGAAATCTTGCCTGGCAAATGCAATGCCCATGGAAAGGGCATCTAGAAATCTTGGTCTGAGTTAGAAGAGTCCTGAGTTCGTTCTATTTGAAAGAAAGTTTCCATATTGCTTCACTTTCACCTGTTTTACTGTCTTAAAGATTAAAAATAACCAGTAGCAAGGCCGAGTGTGGTGACTCACACCTGTAATCCCAGCACTTTGAGAGGCCGAGGTGAGTGGATCACTTGAGGCCAGAAGTTCAAGACCAGGCTGGCCAACAGGGTGAAACCCTGTCTCTACTAAAAATACAAAAATTGGCTGGGCGTGGTGGCGGAAGCCTGTAATCCCAGCTACTTGGTAGGCTGAGGCAGGAGAATTGCTTGAACCCAGGAGGCAGAGGTTGCAGTGAGCCACTGCACTCCAGCCTGGGCGACAGAGTGTGACTCCGTCTCAATAAAACAACAACTACAACAAAAATAGTAGCAAAAGAGAGTGCTCATTCTCCCCCCGCTCCCCCAGCATCACCTACTGCGTGTTCTTGTCATTAACCACCTTTGCTAACTGGATACTGCCTGAGAAGGGGCCTGTCTATCTTCTACACCCTGCTCTGTAGCCTCCCCCTCAATTCTAAGCCTCAGTTTCTTCATCTGTAAAATAAAGAGCTGAGAAAAGACAATCTCTTAGGACCCTTCTAGAAAGGCCTTCCTAATCTGGTCTCCTGGCACCACCTCTGTCCATTCCATCAGAAGCCAACATCACTGACCTCTTAGAGCGGCTCCATGCCACCCGCCCCCTTGGGTCAAGGCCAAGGGTGCAGAAGACCAAGTCAGGAGGTGACAATTCACAGGTGAGAGTTTCTGCTCAACCTCGTGCAAGAAGTCATCCTGGAAAGAAACCAGACAAGTCCCCAGCACTGCCCTTCGCACCTTGACTGTTCATCCAACAAGTGCCTGGGCGCCAATGTTGTGGCGGCCCCTCTCCAAGGTCAGGGAATATGTACAACAGGGAAGAGAAGGATTGTCTTTGGCTTCATGGAGCTGACATTCTAGTAGGGGAAAATTAGTGAAGAAACACATTAGGTGCTGGCCGGGCACAGTGGCTCACACCTGTAATCACAGCACTTTGGGAGGCCGAGGCGGGTGGATCACCTGAGGTTAGGAGTTCGAGACCAGCCTGGCCAATCTGGCAAAACCCCACCTCAACTAAAAATACAAAAATTAGCCAGGCATGGTGGTGGGCACCTGTAATCCCAGCTACTTGTAAGGCTGAGGCAGGAGAATTGCTTGGACCCAGGAGGTGGCGGTTGCAGTGAGCCAAGACCGTGCCATTGCACTCCAGCCTGGGCAACAAGAGCGAAACTCTGTCAAAAAAAAAAAAAAAAAAAAGACAGACAGACAGACAGACAGACATCAGGTGCTGACTGGGCGAGGTGGCTCACACCTGTAATCCCAGCACTTTGGGAGGCTGAGGTGGGAGGATCTTGAGGCCAAGAGTTCAATACCAGCCTGGGCAACGCAGGAAGACCTCATCTCTACAAAAAATAAAAATAAAAAAATTAGCCAGAGGCCAGGCACAGTGGCGCATGCCTGTAATCCCAGCACTTTGGGAGGCTGAGGCAGGAGAATCTTGAGGCCAAGAGTTGCGTGGGAAACATAGGGAGACCACATCACTACAAAAAATAAAAATAAAACAATTAGCCAGGGGTGGTAGTCCTAGCTATTCAGGAAACTGAGGTGGGAGGACTGCGTGAGCCCAGAAGGCTGAGGCTGCAGTGAGCTATGCTCATACCACCGCACTCCAGCCTGGGCAACAGAGCAAGACTCTGTCTCAAAAAAAAAAAAAAAAAAAAAAAAAAAAAAAAGGCAGGAATGGTGGCTCCCTCCTGTAATTCCAGAATTTTGGAAGGCCAAGGCGGGAGCATCACTTGAGCCCAGGAGTCCGGGACCAGCCTGGGCAACATAGTGAAACCCCGTTTCTTCAAAAAATACAAAAATTAGCATGTGCCTGTAGTCCCAGCTACTTGGGAGGCTGAGGTAGGAGGATGGTTTGCGCCCAGAAGACTGAGCCAGGGTTTCATAACTGCACACCAGGTTGGGCAACAGAGCAAGGTCCTGTCTCAAAAAAAAAAAAGATCAACCTAGCCAACATGGTGAAACACTGTCTCTACCAAAAATACAAAAATTAGCCAGGCATGGTGGCTGGCACCTGTAATCCTAGCCACTCGGGAGGCTGAGAATCGCTTGAACCCAGGAGGCGGAGGTTGCAGTGAGCCGAGATGGTGCCATTGCACTACAGGCTGGAAAAAAGAAAGAAAAGGAAAGAGAAAAAGAAAAGAAATAAAGAAATACATCAGGGGGTAAAATGTGCCAAGAGAAAAATGCACTCAGGGAGATGGGCTGCGGGGCAGGGGCTACTACATACAGTTGGGTTAGGGGGTGCTGCTCTGAAAAGGGGACATTTGCGCTGAGGCCTGAAGGAAGCCAGGGAACACACTGTGGGGCCCTGGAGTAAGTGACTCAGGGAGGAGGAAGATCAGGGATTGCAAAGATCCAGGGGCGAGTGTGGCTGAGTTCTGAGCAAACAGCAGAGTATGTGGGGTGGGGGGGTTCCAGGACAGGAGGTCAGAAAGATAAGGGGAGGGTGGGCCACAGGGGGCCTTGAGAGCTGCTGAAGGACTTGCCTTTTGATTGGGATGATTTTGGGAGTGCTACAGTGTGACTTACGTCTTAGAGATCTAAGAGAGCAATACAGCTTCATACCATAAATTCCAAGGCAACATTGTCTCCCACCTTAAGGTAGTTCCTGCCTTCATTTCATACATTTCCTATCTTGACCACCAGAAATGTGGTCAAGATAGGAAATGTTTTGATCTTTTTGGCTTTTATAAACAACACCATGGTAACCATCACTTACATCTTTGAGCATGTCCTTAATTACTTCTATAGGATTGGTTCCTAGAAGTGAGCCCTCTGGGTCAAAGGAAATGTAATTCAGGGCTGGGCAAGGTGGCTCATGCCTGTAATCCCAGCACTTTGGGAGGTGGAGGTGTGAGGATCACTTGAGCCCAGGAGCTCCAGACCAGCCTGGGCAACATAAGTGGACTCCTTCTTTGCAAAAAATTAGCAGGGAATGGTGGAGGGTGCCTGTGGTCCCAGCTACTCAGGAGGCTGAGGTGGGAGGATCGCTTGAGCCCAGGAGGTTGAGGCTGTAGTGAGCCATGATTGCACCAGTGCACTCCAGCCTAGACAACAGAGCAAGAACCTATCTCAAAAATTATATTTAAAAAAAAAGGTAACTCCTGGAATCAAGCAATCCACCCCCTTCAGCCTCCTAAAGTGCTGGGATTACAGGTGTGAGCCACCACACCTGGCCGGAAAGATACAATCTTTTTTTTTGTTTTTTTTGAGATGGAGTTTCGCTCTTTTTGCCCAGGCTGGAGTGCAATGGTGCAATCTCAGCTCACTGCAAACTCCGCCTCCTGCGTTCAAGCGATTCTTCTGCCTCAGCCTCCTGAGTAGGTGGGATTACAGGAATGCACCAGCACACCCAGCTAATTTTGTATTTTTAGTAGAGATAGGGTTTCTCCATGTTGGTCAGGCTGGTCTCGAACTCCCGACCTCAGGTGATCCGCCCGCTTCGGCCTCCCAAAGTGCTGGGATTACAGGCATGAACCACTGCGCCCGGCCTCAGAAATATAATTTAAATCTTCAGATATGGAGCCCTAACCTGCTCTCTCCCACTCCTACTCCAGGCTCAGGGCACACTTGCCTCACCACAGGCTCTCCCAGGGCATAGGAGGGCGAGTGGGGTGCATGACCATCCTCTCCACCACTGGGGTGAGTGGCAAATGTGATCTCACTGTTGTTTCTGTTTGCACTGCTGACGGGGTGAGAAGGCTTCTCCAGTGTTGAGTTAACATTTATTAAAAGCTCACTGTCAGGCCTGGAGCTGTGTGGTTTAATAGTAACAATGGCGTGTATTTTCTGAGCACTGACCATGTGCAGCCGTTGGTCAAAGTGGTTTCCTGCTTTGACTTGTTCAATCCCTCACCATCCTGTGTGGCAGGTCCTCTTATGATTAACTACAGTGTAAGTGTAGAGGAAACCAAGGCCTGCTGGGCAGCGGCAGAGCGGGGTTCAAACACCCTTTGCTGGGGGAAAGGGGTCTGTCTACCTGTGGCCCAGCCTCATTTGCCTGGGGCTGCACCAGGGCTAGGGGCTCAATCTCACTGTGGCCAAGAGGAGGTGCTTGACTCTGAGACTCAGTCTCCTTGTCTGTAAAATGGGAATAACAGAGCATGGTGGCTGAGAGGGTCTGGTAAGGTCAGGTAACAGTGTCTGGCTTAATGGGTAGAGGCCTACCCCCACCTGAAGGGGAAGGAGCAAATGATGGTCACAGATGATCAGGGCTCTCTGGGTCCCGTAACTATATCTGGGACAATGACTTTCAAACAGGTGAAGACAGACACTCTTCCTGTTTCGCTCTCATGTGCTGGTCCACCTGGCTCCCTGTCTGCCAGCTGACTGCACAGCGTGACCGCAGAAGGCTGTGGTGCTCCTGCTGGAGTAGGCTTGTGGTGGGTGACAGTGCGGGCACAGGGGAAGGTGTGTGGGCACAGGGGAGGGTATGTGGACACTGGTCTGGAAGGGAAGGGGGCTCCCCTAGTCCTGTGGCCAACTGCACAGCTGGAAGCTCCTGAACCCCCAGGATATGTCCAGAGGGAAGACAAAGGTGGCAGATGGGAGAGGAAAAGGCACTTATTCAAAGAGCTGCCACTTCCTGATAGCTACAAGAAACAGAGCCTCGGAGAGAAGAGCAATTCCCAAGGGCTTGTGGTTGGTATGTGGACAGCCTGCTTTGAACCTGGCCCTGCATGGACTCACCCTGAACTAGGCTCTCTCCTCCCTGCGTAGTCATCAATGGGAGTGTTCACACCTGCTCCCTCCCAGGGAGGAAGCACCAAAGACTGGGGCCCTCCCCTCCGCTGACTTCCAACTCCCTCTGGGGAAGATCAAAGCCAATTCATCAAGTGTCCCCCAAGCCCCTCCCTCTTGCCTCCTGTCCTCACCAGCCCGGGAGGATCCTTGGGAGCAGCACTGCATCCTCCCACCTCCTCAGTCCTCGGAGACCTCAGCCTATCAACCTGTCCCTCCTTCTCCTGGGCCTGAGGGAGCTGAGCTCTCTCTTCTAGCTTTCCCATCAGCTCATAAATGCAGCCAAGTCTCCCTCATCAGAAAGCACACACACAGATAAAGTAAAACAAAAAACTTGCTGCTCCTCTCTATCTCTCTGTCTCACAGACATACACCCACACACACACCCACGCACGCACAAACACACCCACAAATAAGAGCCAAATGATAAACTGGGGAAAGATCCTTGGCACACAAAGACCAGACAAGGGGTAAAACCTTACTGATGAGCTCAAACCAATCAATAAGCAACACACAAAGAACCTGGCTTCTCGTACTCTGACCCAGGAGTTTCATTTCTAGGAAATACGAAGAAATATCTAGCTGGGTCCAGATACAGCCATTCTAGAAGTTCATACGCACTGATTACCAGGTTAATTCCTTCCCAGGAAAGATGTGGCCATGTATAAATGTATGCAGAAATTCAATGTAACATTATCAAAAAGAGCCAAATATATTTTTAAAAAGTCAAGAGATCCAATAACTCAACATGACATAGCAAAATGCAAGCATTGAAAAATATAAAAAATGTCTGCGATGAGGAATGCTCGTGAAATTATACTAATGGAAAAATATTTTATATAGACAAGATATGCAAATACAGAAAAACGTGTTATTTTATTATTTATTTATTTATTTTTGGAGACGGAGTCTCGCTCTGTTGCTCAGGCTGGAGTGCAGTGGCGCCATCTCGGCTCACTGCACTCTCTGCCTCCCAGGTTCAAATGATTCTCCTGCCTCAGCCTCCTGAGTAGCTGGGATTGCAGGCACGTGCCACCACGCCCAGTTAATTTATTGTATTTTTAGTGGAGATGGGGGGTTTCACCAAGTTGGCCAGGCTGGTCTCGAACTCCTGACTTCAAGTGATCCACCCGCCTCAGCCTCCCAAAGTGCTGGGATTACAGGCGTGAGCCACCTCGCCCGGCTGGAAAAACGTGTTTTTAAAGGTCTGGCAAAAAAAAAGGCAAATGTTAACAATAGTTGTCTTCAAGTATGCAAACAGGAATTGTTTTTCCTACTTCTTTCGGTTAATTCATTCAAACAATATTCAGGAAGCACCTGCTAGGTGCCAGGCCTGGCACTAGGCTCTGGGATCTGGACAAGGGTCCTTCCCTCCAGGAGCTTCCAATCTGGAGGGAAGCATGCGGTGAGCCAATGAAAATGCAGGGTGATCAACAGGAGTTTGTGAGCACGCCTAGCAGGTCCCCAAAGAAGGAGGCAGCTGGGGAGAGTGAGAGGAGGTGCACTTCAGAACTCAGATGGCTGGCTTGGTGGTGGAGGCCGTCCACCTGCCACCACCTTCCGGGACCTGCATCCCCAGCTGAACTGCATCCTTGGAGGTCTGAACCCAGTGGCCCCGTGGCCAGGTGGGCTTGGGAGTTGCTAGCTGGGGCTGATGTGGTAGTTCACAACCTCCTGGTGTTCCACACAAACCACCTGGAGATTCTGCCAATCCTGCTCCACACTGGGGTCCCAGGGCCCATCACACGAACTGGAAATTAATGGACCCATTAACCTAGCAGCTAGAGGGCTTCAATTAGTACAAGGAAACAAAACATATTTTGTAGATGGCTGTCCATTTTGGAGTTTATCCTCTAATACTGAGCTGTCCTAGCAGACAAGAAACGACAGGCACCCAAGGCATTAGAAAAATGTTTGAGAGAAAAACTAATGACAACATTGGGTGTAGTGGTGTGTGCCTGCAGTCTCAGCCACTAGGGAAGCTGGGGTGGGAGGATCGCTTGAGCCTAGCAGTTTGAGACTACAGTGAGCTGCCACAGCATTCCAGCCTGGGTGACAGAGGGAGACCCTAAAAAACAAACAAACAGAAAACTAATGACAGAGAGGATTCCATCTCTCCTCTTCCTTTCTTTTCCTTTCTATTTTGTTTTCCTTTGTATTCCTTTGATTTGGGGACCCTCTTTTGGGGGGTTGCAGCTATGGAAACACAGTGTAGCAGGGTTTCGGGTCCTGGAGAAGGTTTGAGGCTGGAAGAGGGCTGTGGGAAATCTTGAGGGAGGCCTGGCTCCATCCGCACTCTGCTATGGGACCCTGGGCAGGGTGGCTCCCTCATTCTTTGGGAGGAGGTGACAAAGGGGAAGTCTTTGGGCAGCTGGTGGCGGGAACGGGAAGGCCAGACCTGGCCTGAGACCCACCAGGTGCTCGGGGTTATTTGCTGAGTGCAGGGTACGTGACCCCAAGGGGCCTTCGCGGAACAATCACTCGACGTTGGCGGAGGGGAGGAAGCCGCAGAGAGGGTGTCGTGAGGGAAAGGTGGGTGCAGGGGAAATGGCGCTTTAACCCACTCAGGGCCAGAGGCTCAGCCGAGACTATCCAGGTGGGAACTTGTCCCTCCGGATGACAGGTGATGAAACTGAGGGAAGGGGACTCGCCCTGGCAGTGAAACGGGATGGGCGCTGGGACCAGGTGCCCCGGCAGATCCTCTCCCAAGCCCAGTTCCGCTCCCGCTCAGTCCTCAACCTTCCCCAGCTGGAGAGGAGGGAGGGGCGCCTGCGGATCCGAGGCGAGCGCGGAGGCCGGGCGACTCCAACCGGCTCGCCCCGTGCCCAGCTCGTACCCAGGCCGTTTCCCGCACGGGGAGGGCCCTTCCCGCTTCTGGGCAGGTCCAAATCCTCACCCTCCCTAAGGCCGGCGCCGACGCTGCCAGCCCGGCAGAGCCCCCTCCTGCCGGCCGCTCTCCATCCCCGTCCCCGGTCGCATCCGCTCCGGGGCGAGCACCGCCCGACGCCCAGGCTTCCCCCGGACGGAGGAGCGCGACTCACCCACGGTGGCCGGGCAGAGCCTGCCTCGAACCCGGCTTCTCCCCGACGCCCTCTCTCCAGCCCCGGGACCCAACCGGGTGGGGCTGCCCTCGAGGGCTCCGGAGCCAGGCGCGTCCTGCCCGCGAGGGCCGGGGCTCCGGGTCCCGCCGCCGCGCTCCACTTCGGGGCGCAGTTGGGGTGGAGGCGGTGGCCGGGACCGCCGCGCGGGGTTCGTGCGCGCACAAATGTCGCCTCCAGAACAGGTGGCCCGGGCTAGGGCGGCGGCCCAGCCCCTCCGCCCCTGCCCCTGCCTTCCCGAGGCGCCTCCTCCCCACTGCGAGCCGCAGGATCCCCCTGGAGCCCCCGTCCCCCGCAACATCGGCGCGGCCCCTCGTACCTCTAGCTCCAGCGGCGGCGGGCGGCGGACAGCGGGGCCCCGGCGGGCGGGCGGCGCGGCGGCCGGAGGGCAGTGCCTGGGGCCCGGCGGGAGGCAGCACCGCCCCTCCGGCCCGGGGCGGGGTCAGGCCGCCCCGCCCCGCCCGTCCCGACCTACCCTGCGGGTCCCGGTCCCCAGAGCCCTTGCGGGGTCCCCGCGACCCCGCCCGCGCGCCCTCGCTGCTCCCCGGGGCGGGTGCGGACAGTCCCCAGTCCGCCGGCCAACAGGTAGGGAGCGCTCCCCGGCCTCCGCGCCGCCAGTATTACGGGTTACCATCCCGTTTTCCCCATTGAACTGATGAGAAAACTGAGGTTCAGAGGGTTGAGTACCTCGATATTCTGCAGTGGAGAAGGGACGCTGTCACCCCTGGGACCCGGGTCGGCCTGATCCCACCGCCTCCTGCCGGGACCGTGCTAAGGGCATTGCCTGCATCACCCCAGTGTTTGCGGAATTCCAGTTATTTGCTGTATCCTTAACGCCGCCCCGTCCTTTCTCTACTCCTCCTCCTCACTCTCACCTCGCCCCATCTTCACACATATTGCTATTGGTAATTTGTTCAATGTGAGAAATTGGAATGTATCACACACAATTCGTGTATCATAAAACTGTATTTTATTCTCTTTGGAACATGCCATGTTTCCAGCATGTCACAGTCCTGGTGCTTTTAGTTCTTACTCCTCTGGGACAACAAAGACTGCAAAAAATGAAACCATTGGGTGACTTCTTGAGTGCTGACGCCCATCCTCTCACTCAGCTGATGACCCAGTGCCCAAGCCACTGAGAAAATGGAACCTCTATCCTAGCCCTGAGAAAGAGCCTGGCACTCAATGGGTGCCCAATAAATACACTTCGAATGAAGGAATCAGTAGAAAATTCCCACCAGCTCCCCCACCCACCCGCTGAGGTAGCACCCAGTCCCTTCCCTCTTGGGACCGGGCTGAACCCGTCCAGCTCCTGGCCACGACCACCCCCTCCAGAAGATCCCGACCCTTCACGCCAACACTGATCCCGAAACCCTGCCCTCTCTCCATTCTCCCTGGGTCATTCCCATCACAGGCTGTTACTTCTCCCATCTTAAAACGGAAACAAGAGGCCAGGCAAGCACTCACGCCTGTAATCCCAGCACTTTGGGAGGCCAAAGCAAGCAGGTCACCTGAGATCAGAAGTTCAAGACCAGCCTGGCCAACATGGTGAAACTCCATCTCTACAAAATACAAAAATTAGCTGGACATGCTCACTTGAACCCAGGAGGTGGAGGTTGCAGTGAGCCTAGATCATGCCACTGCACTCCAGCCTGGGTGACAAGAGCCAGACTCTGTCTCAAAAAAAAAAAAAAAAAAAAAAAAAAAAAGAATGAATGCGGACCCTTTCTCCACTGGTAATACTCATTTTTTTTTTTTTTTTTTTTTTTTTTTGAGAAGAGACTCACTCTGTTACCTAGGCTGGAGTGCAGTGACACCATCTCGGCTCACTGAAACCTCTGTCTCCTGGTTTCAAGTGATTCTCCTGCCTCAGCCTCCTGAGTAGCTGGGACTACAGGCATGCACAACCATGGCTAATTTTTGTATTTTTAGTAGAGACAGGGTTTCACCATGTTGGCCAGGCTGGTCTTGAACTCCTGACCTCAAGTGATTCACCCGCCTCAGCCTCCCACAGTGTGGTGATTACAGATGTGAGCCACGGCACCTGGCCCACTTGTAATACTTTTAATGCTTTTGCTTTATGTTGGCTTTTCCATGATCACAAATGTATTTTTCAGAGAAACTTTGTATTGCTACCCTAAATGGAACACCAGTATCTCAGAGACTAGAAGGCAACAGTAAAAATAAAACTAAAACAATGTTATAAAGCCCGGGTAGGTCCTGTTGCCCCTCCAAGAGCTGAGTTCCTCCTGCCCTCTCCTTGTTAAAAGGAAGATTCATCCCAGCACTTTGGGAGACCGAGGCGGGCAGATCACAAGGGCAGGAGATCGAGACCATCCTGGCTAACAAGGTGAAACCCCGTCTCTACTAAAAATACAAAAAAATCAGCCAGGCGTGGTGGCGGGCACCTGTAGTCCCAGCTACTCAGGAGGCTGAGGCAGGAGAATGGCGTGAACCCGGGAGGCGGAGCTTGCAGTGAGCCGAGATCGCGCCACTGCACTCCAGCCTGGGCGACAGAGTGAGACTCCGTCTCAAAAAAAGAAAAAAAAGGAAGATTCGAAAGGTGTAGAGAGATATTCAAGGCAGGCCAGCACCCAGCAAAGACTTGCCCCTGGACTTAAGCAAAGGGATTAAAGAGAATTGAGAAGGGAATGGCTTTCTTAGAATAGCCATCGCTGGAGCTGTGCCCAGACCCACAAGCTCTTCCTGGCTATGTCTGGGGAAACGGTCTCCTTGCAGCTTGTTAATCTCACAACCCTCTGAGGTCACCCTGTTATCCCCATTTTACAGATGAAAAAAACGGAGGCTGGGCCAGGCGCAATGGCTCACGCCTGTAATCCCAGCACTTTGGCAGGCCAAGGCGGGCGGATCATGAGGTCAGGAGATCGAGACCATCCTGGCCAACATGGTGAAACCCCGTCTCTACTAAAAATACAAAAATTAGCTGGGCGTGGCGGCGTGCCCCTGTAGTCCCAGCTCCTCGGGAGGCTGAGGCAGGAGAATCACTCGAACCTGGGAGGCAGAGGTTGCAGTGAGCTGAGATCATGCCACTGCACTCCAGTATGGCGACAGAGCGAGACTTCATCTCAAAAACAAACAAACAAAAAAAAACGGAGGCTGTTGGCTGGGTGCAGTGGTTTAAGCCTGTAATCCCAGCACTTGGGTGGCCGAGGCATGCGGATCACCTAAGCTCGGGTGTTCAAGACCAGCCTGGCCAACATGGCAAAATCCCATCTCTACTAAAAATACAAAAATTAGCCAGATGTGGTGGTGCCTGCCTGTCATCCCTGCTACTCAGGAGGCTGAGGCAGAATTGCTCGAACCTGGGAGGCAGAGATTGCAGTGAGCCGAGATCATGCCACTGCACTCCAGCCTAGGTGAGAGCGAGACCCCGTCCCAGAAAAAAGAAAAATACTGAGCCCAAGATGGAAATTAACCTAAGCTCACAGAGGCTGAGGCAGTAGGATCATTTGAACCCAGGAGTTCAAGACCAGCCTGGGCAACATAAAATGATCCTATCTCAAAATAAAGGTAAGAAAGGAAAAAACAAGCAGAGGTTGGAATTCAAATTTGCCTGACCCCCAAAGCCCCAGCAGCCTTTGAGGCCAAATTATTTTCTAGCCTGACCTGTCCCGACTGCAGGGAGAGCTTCAGAGGCCAGGGCGTGAAGGAGGAAGCAGGGGACAAAAGAGCCTATGTGTCTGACCTGCCCTGGCCTCAGTTCACTCATCTGTGAAACTCTGCCCTGGAAGCACAGCCTGGCCCATGTTGCCCTGGGCTCTCCTGACCCCCGGAGCACCCCCTCCGCCTCTGAGCCCAGTGCTCCCCTCTTCCCTCCCTCCTAGCACCCTGGCAGGTCCCTTTCCTCCTAAGGTTGAGCACACAGGCTCTGAGAGGAAGGGAAGGCATGGCTCGTGGCTGGCTTTCTGGTTGGAGATGGAGAGGGCTGGGATGCTTGTGAAAGAAGAGAGTGATCTGCCTGGGGTTGAATCTGCCTCTCTTAGCAGGGTGGGTGTGGGCAGATTTTTTTTTCTTTCTTTTTTTGAGACACTCTTACTCAGGCTGGGATTTATTATTATTATTATTATTATTTAGAGACAGGGTCTCACTCTGTTGCCCAGGATGGAGTGCAGTGATGTGATTCCAACTCACTGCAGCCTTGACCTCCCAGGCACAAGTGATCCTCCTGCCTCAGCCTCCTGGGTAGCTGGGACCACAGGTGTGCACCACAATGCCTGGCTCTTTTTTTTTTTTTTTGAGATGGAGTTTTGCTCTTGTCACCCAGGCTGGAGTGCAATGGCGCAATCTCGGCTCACTGCAACCTCTGCCTCCTGAGTTCAAGTGATTCTCCTGCCTCAGCCTCACGAGTAGCTGGGATTACAGGTGCCCGCCACCACACCTGGCTAATTTTTTTATATTTTTAGTAGAGACAGGGTTTCACCACGTTGGTCAGGCTGGTCTTGATCACCTGACCTCTAATGATCCTCCCGCTTTGGCCTCCCAAAGTGCTGGGATTACAGGTGTGAGCCACCTCGCCCAGCTTCTAGGCTGAATTTCTTTTTTTTTTGAGACGGCGTCTCACTTTGTCGCCCAGGCTGAAGTGCAGTGCAGTGGCGCGATCTCAGCTCACTGCAAGCTCTGCCTCCCGGGTTCACGTCATTTTCCTGCCTCAGCCTCCCAAGTAGCTGGGACTACAGGCACCGGCCACCACGTCCGGCTAATTTTTTTTTTTTTTTTGTATTTTTAGTAGAGACGGGGTTTCGCTGTGTTGGCCAGACTGATCTCGAACTCCTGACCTTGTGATCCGCCCGCCTCGGCCTCTCAAAGTGCTGGGATTACAGGCGTGAGCCACCGCGCCCAGCTAGGCTGAAATTCTTAAACTCTTTGAACCAATGGGTTTCTCTCCCATCAGTAAACTGGAGCTGGTCATCTGGTTGTGAATGTTGAATAGAAAGCCTGTGGCCACTTTGGTCTACCTGCAATAAGGGAAGGATAAAGCACTGGCATAGTTACTGTTGGGGTGAACTCCTACCACTTGCTAAGCCCTTTCCAGGGGCACCCCTTACCCAGGAGGACCCTGGGGCTTAAGGAGCCAGGCACAGCCTTGCCTAAGGGCCCTCAGTTAATAGGTCTCAGTCCATAACTCTTAGTCCTGGCTAAGACAGTAGTGGTCCTGGAAGGTGGTGGGCTCCCTGCAGCCCCACTGGGCCCATGCTCCAAAGCAGATTTCATATCCACATGGGAAAGAACAGTCTGACAATTTGCACGGTTCGTGGTGTGGTGGCTTTCCAGCAATTTATTTCAACAGGCATTTCCTGGGCCCTAGAGAAGAAAGGCAGGATGTCAACATCTAGACCACTGCTTACACGGGAGGGGAGGTTCTGTCAATTACTCCATAAGGCTCTCCTGGCAGAAGGAACAGCACAGGCAGAGGCAAGGCACAGGGTCCGTCTCCTCTCATCCCCTGTGTGCCTGCTCTCATTGATCACCCCCTGTCTGGCCCCTAGCTCCAACTTTCTGGTGGACAGGGATCTTTCTTTCTTCTCTCTGCCAACTGTCTGGTAACAGCACACTAAATACTTCCTGAGGAATTCCACCTGGGTTTGGTGTGGTTGACCTGTCCCCAGCTCCAAGGCGGGCCTGTGAGCCAGTTTAAAGCAGTGGCTCCCTTGACATAAGTAACTCCATCTTTTTTTCTTCTTGAGACAGGGTCTTGCTCTGTCTTCACTGCTGCAATCTCTGCCTCCCAGGCTCAAGCAATTCTAGTGCCTCAGCCTCCTGAGTAGCTAGGATTATGGGCACTTGTCACCATGCCTGGCTTTTATTTTTTTTTATTTTTTTGGTATTTTTAGTATAGACGGGGTTTCATCATGTTGGCCAGGCTGGTCTCGAACTCCTGACCTCAGGCAGTCTGCCCGCCTCAGTCTCCCAAAGTGCTGGGATTACAGACGTGAGCCACCGCACCCAGCCTCTCTTTCCTCTTGATGTTAAGTGTGACTTTGTTGTGGAATGTTTAATCTGTAACATTTATATATAGACTAAGCACACTACTGTGTATGGTTTGCAGTATTGACTGACTTGTGGAGTGGCTTGAGCCTGTGTGCCTGTGGCTCTGACTACTGAGTAAATGGGAAGCAATGAGAATGCCTCCTTGGGAACCCCATGGAGCTCATGGCTTTTGTGATTGAAACACAAAAAAATCTGCTAAAATCCTGACATTGTGGAAAGACACAAACGTGGGCCTGGTTATTTCTGACCCTGGACTGTTCACAACACCCAGCCAGAGACTGGTCCAGAGATGATGTGACCCACATGGTCTTAATGATAGAAGTCTGGGACAGAGGTGTGTCCTCTTCTGGATGGCTTCTAGGTGTGTTGTCTTTTTCTGGACTCGGTGATATCTCATTGCCACATGAGGGGAGGGCCCATCTCAGAATAGAGCCCAGTCCCCCATGAATGGAGCTAGTTACACACACAGAACTGAGTCAGGGCATCCCTGGAGCCATGTCCAGCTGGGCCTGACCTGGTGATCTCCCTGCTTCCATCCCCACCTGGGCTTTCCTGTTACACGGTTTGGTTTAACCAGACAAGCTGGATTCTTTCACTTTTCTTTTTTTTTTTTTTTTTTAAGACAGAGTCTCCCTGTCGCCCAGGCTGGAATGCAGTAGCACGATCTGGGCTCACTGCAACCTCGGCCTCCTGGGTTCAAGAAATTCTCGAGCCTCTGCCTCCCTAGTAGCTAGGACTAAAGGCGCACATCACCACATCCAGCTAGTTTTTGTATTTTTAGTAGAGACAGGGTTTCGCCATGTCTCCAACCCTGGACCTAAGGTGGTCCGCCCATCTTGGCCTCCCAAAGTGTGGGGATTACACACCCAGCTTCTTACTTTCCCTTGTACAAGCAGGAATTTTGATTGATACACTCTTATGGGTACTGGCACTTTCCACTCCACCCATGAGCAAGCTTGAGCCTCTCCCATCCCAAGAAAAGGACAAGAAAACAAAAAGCAAAGCAAACACTCCTCCCTCCACCCTGTGACTGCCAGCTCTCTCCTCCTGTCAACCAGATTTCTCAAACAAATCACCTCCACTCGCTGTTTCTGACCCTTCCTTCCCTGTCTTCTTCATCCCTTTCCTGTCCCCTGCTGAGCCAGCCAGTGTCACAGTGACTGCTGTGGCTCGCCCTTGTCAATACAGAATTAACAATAACAATGTTATTAATGTCTGTTAACAAAACCACAGACTGAAGGAACTTACTGTCCATTTATGACCTTAAAAGTATGAGTTATTTCCGGCTTTGGTTTTTTTGTGTTTTTTCTTTTCTTTTCTTTCTTTTTTTTTTTTTGAGACAGAGTCTCGCTCTGTCGCCCAGGCTGCAGTGCAGTGATGTAATCTTGGCTCACTGCAACCTCCGCCTCCTGGGTTCAAGCGATTCTCCTGCCTCAGCTTCCCGAGTAGCTGTGATTACAGGCATGCACCACCACGCCTGGCTAATTTTTTGTATTTTTAGTAGAGACAGGGTTTCACCATGTTGCCCAGGCTGGTCTCGAACTCCTGAGCTCAGGCAATCCACCCACCTTGGCCTCCCAAAATGCTAGGACTACAGACGTGAGCCACCGCGCCTGGCTTCCGGCTTTGTTTTTGACAAGAGTTGCCTGAAAGCCACAATAGCTCCTTGCCCACCCCCAGTCTCATGGGCACCTTGGTACCCAGATATAAGTCTCTTAGACCCTTATCCACTAAAGGAAACCAGTATCCCTTGGAGCATATAAAAAAAAAAAATTAGGCCGGGCGCGGTGGCTCACGCCTGTAATCCCAGCACTTTGGGAGGCTGAGGCGGGTGGATCACAAGGTCAGGAGATCGAGACCATCCTGGCTAACACGCTGAAACCCCGTCTCTACTGAAAATACAAAAAATTAGCCGGGCGTGGTGGCGGGCGCCTGTAGTCCCAGCTACTCAGGAGGCTGAGGCAAGAGAATGGCATGAACCCAGGAAGGCGGAGCTTGCAGTGAGCTGAGATGTTGCCACTGCACTCCAGCCTGGGTGACAAAATGAGACTCCGTCTCAAAAAAAAAAAAAAAAAAAAAAAATTAGAATGACCCAGAATGGCCTGGGGTGGCCAGAAAGGAAGGCCACACTCACACATGTTAGGGGAATATGGGACAGGCAATGGAAACAACCAAAGTCTCCCCAGCATCAGCCAAGCTGTGATAATATGAGCATAAAAAATTATTCCCTGGCTGGGCACAGTGGCTCACGCCTATAATCCCAACACTTTGGGAGGCTGAGGCAGGAGGATCGTTTGAGCCCAGGAATTCAAGACCAGCCTGGGGAGCATAGTAAGACCCTACCTCTACAAAAAAAAAAAAAAAAAAAAAAAGCCGGGCACAGTGGCTCACACCTGTAATCCCGGCACTTTGGGAGGCTGAGGTGGGTGGATCATAATTGAGGTCAGGAGTTCGAGACCAGCCTGACCAACATGGTGAAAACCCATCTCTACTAAAAATACAAAATGTAGACCGGTGTGGTGGCATGCACCCGTAATCTCAGCTACTCGGGAGGCTGAGGCAGGAGAACTGTTTGAACCCAGGAGGCGGAGGTTGCAGTGAGCTGAGATCATGCCACTGCACTCCAGCCTGGCATGACAGAGACTCTATCTCAAAAAAAAAAAAAAAAAAAAAAAGAGTTGTAATATAAGAAAGATGTCTGTGGGACTAGGTATGGAAAAAAATAAATACGAAAGATGATTGTCATATGACTTGAATTTTTACTGAGCTTAATATGTGGGGGTGTGTTAGTCCACGCATTTTGTTTCTTTTATTATTGTTAACATATTAGGCCGGGCGTGGTGGCTCACACCTGTAATCTTAGCACTTTGGGAGGCTGAGGCGGGCAGATCACCTGAGGTCGGGAGTTTGAGACCAGTTTGACCAACATGGAGAAACCCCGTCTCTACTGAAAATACAAAATTAACCAGGCATGGTGGTGCATGCCTGTAATCCCAGCTACTCGGGAGGCTCAAGTTTATAATCCCAAGGAGGCAGGAGAATCGCTTGAACTCGGGAAGCGGAAGTTGCAGTGAGCCGAGATCACGCCATTGCACTCCAGCCTGGGCGACAAGAGCGAAACTCCATCCGAAAAAAAAACAAAAACAAAAACAAACAAACAAAAAACAGTAAAGAGATCTGTTTGCTTTCTTTTTTCTTTTTTTTGAGACGGAGTCTCACTCTGTTGCCAGGCTGGAGTGCAGTGGCGCGTTCTCAGCTCACTGCAACCTCTGCCTCCTGGGTTCAAGGGATTCTTCTGCCTCAGCCTCCCAAGTAGCTGGGATTACAGGCACGTGTGACCACGCCCGGCTAATTTTTTTGTATTTTTTTTTAGGAGAGATGGGGTTTCAGGGTGTTTGTCAGGCTAGTCTTGAACTCCTGACCTCATGATCTGCCCGCCTCGGCCTCCCAAAGTGCTGGGATTACAGGCGTGAGCCACCACGCCCGGCCTGATTTGTTTGCTTTCTATCTGTGTAATCAGAAAAGAATAAACACAGAGCTCTGGGCTGGAGCCCTGGAGAGGCAGAAACTGCACCAAGGAAAGCAAGCACAGACTCATGGGCACTGGTAGCTGCACACAACTACCAGGCAGACAAGGCTCTGCCAGGTATTCAGGACAGGGGCCACCCCTAGTTTGCAAGGACAAGGAGGATTCAACAGAGAATGTCCAAAATGACTAAATAGGTCATTGCAATCCCAGCAGAGGCAGTCAAGTCCTATGTTCCAGCCAAGGACCAGCAGTCAAACATCCAGATGCAGTGACCTCAGCTTGTCTTGGAAAATTATTCCAAACATGGGAAGATACCAAAATCCCATCACTGGCCAGGCAGGGTAGCTCACCCTGTAATTCTAGCACTTTGGAAAGCTGAGGCAGGAGGATCACTTGAGCCCAAGAGTTCAAGAGCAGCCTGGGCAACATAGCAAGACCCCTGCCTCTACAAAATATAAAAATTTTAGCCAGGTGTGGTGGTGTGTGCTTGTAGTCCCAGCTTCTTGGGAGGTTGAGATGGCAGGATCGCTTCAGCCCAGGAGGTTGAGGCTACAGTGAGCTGTTAGCCATTGCATTCCAGCTTGAGTGATAAAGCAAGACCCTGTATCCAATAAATAAATAAATAAATAAACTCCCATCACCAAAGTCCTAGGGAGAAATCAAAAGATCCCTAAGAAGATAAAAGCAATGATAGAAATGAGAAACCATTGGCTGGGCGCGGTGGTTCACACCTGTAATCCCAGCACTTTGGGTGGCCAAGGCTGGCAGGTCAGGAGTTCGAGACCAGCTTGACCAACATGGTGAAACCCCATCTCTACTAAAAATACAAAAATTAGTTGGGCATGGTGGCAGGCGCCTATAATCCCAGCTACTTGGGAGGCTGAGGCAGGAGAATTGCTTGAACCTGGGAGGCGGAGATTGCAGTGAACCGAGATCATGCCACTGCACTCCAGCTTGGGCAACACAGCAAGACTCCGTCTCAAAAAAAAGAAAAAAAAAAAGAAAAAAAGAAAAACGAAGTGAGGAAGCACTAAATGATCCCCGGGCCTTGATGTTTCAGAAGAGTGTTAAGTGTAAAAGTATTCTTATGGAAGTCAGCCATACAAAATCTGTCATTGCAGTTTAGATCATGTATGGGAGTTTAGTAAATTGTTTGTAATCAAGGTTGGAATACTCAAGAAATTGGATTTTGAAGTTTTGCTTTTGAGATAGAAGAGCCCAGCTGGTTACAGTGGCTCAAACTTATAATCTCAAGACTTTGGGAGGCTAAGGTGGGAGGATCACTTGAGGTCAGAAGTTCGAGACCAGCCTGGGCAACATGATGAGAACCTCTCTCTATAAAAAAATTTTTAAAATTAGCCAGGTCTGGTGGCGCACCCCTGTAGTCCCAGGTGCTTGGGAGGCTGAGGCAGGAGGATTGCTTGAGCTCTAGA
This sequence comes from Homo sapiens, assembly GCF_000001405.40. Classification (NCBI taxonomy): domain Eukaryota; kingdom Metazoa; phylum Chordata; class Mammalia; order Primates; family Hominidae; genus Homo; species Homo sapiens. The sequence continues at coordinate 42,731,449 of NC_000022.11, forward strand.
GGTCAAGGCTGCAGTGATTCATGATTTTATGCCACTGCAATCCAGCCTGGGCAACAGAGCAAGACCCTATCTCAAAAAAAAAAATGGTTGTTGTTGGTTTATTGGTGTTTTTATTGTGGTTATTGGTTTGTTTTGTTCTTTGTCTTGTATGATTCAGAAGGTTTTTGTTGGTTTGTTTTTAAGAGACTGAATCTCACTATGTTGTCCAGGCTGCTCTCAAACTCCTGCTGTCAAGGAATTCCTGCCTCATTCTCCTGAGTAGATGGGACTGACTACAGGCATGAACCACTGTGCCCAGCAGTTGTTTTTTATGACACAAATAAGTGGATACATTTTCTTGGTAAAAGCAAATTATACTCTTGTTTTTTTGAGACAAGGTCTCACTCCAGCCCAGGCTGGAGTACAGTGACATGATCACAGCTCACTGCAGCCTTGCACTCCTGGGCTAAGTGATCCTCCCACCTCAGCCTCCCAAGTAGCTGGGACTATGGGTGTGCACCACCACACCTGTCTTTTTTTTTTTTTTTTTCTTTCAGAACTGGGGTTTCACTATGTTGCTCAAGCTGGTCTCAAATCCCTGGCCTCAAGTGATTCTCCTGCTTCAGCCTCACACAGTACTAGGATTACAGGCTTGAGCCACCACGCCTGGCCTGAGATCTCTCAATAGCAACAACTCCATCAGCAAACGCAATGGTGGTTCACAGGCTGTCCCTCTGACCTGCTCGTGTATTTGACAGTTGGTCACGAATTCTGTGTCCTTGGCCTCCTGCCTCTCTGACTGGTCGAGGACTCCTCTCAACCCACCCTTCCCATGCTGGAGCCTCGGCCCTTTGCCAGCCCCCTCTCTCCTTGCCTCATATTTCCTGGGTGGTCTCCTACATAGGTGGTCTGGCCTCCATCCCACCCTGGCCTCCTTCCAAAGCTGAGCCCTAGTCCAGCCCACAAAGGAGTTGCTGGTGCCCAGAGCCATGGTCTGCTTGACTTTTTTTTTTTTTTTTTTTTGAGACACTCTCACTCTGTTGCCAGGCTGGAGTGCAGTGACGCTATCTCAGCTCACTGCAACCTTCGACTCCCTGGTTCAAGCAATTCTCCTGCCTCAGCCTCCTGAGTAGCTGGGATTACAGGCTCACACCACCATGCCCGGCTAATTTTTTTGTATTTTGTTAGTAGAGACGGGGTTTCACCATGTTAGCCAGACTGGTCTCGAACTCCTGACCTTGTGATCTGCCCATCTTGGACTCCCAAAGTGCTGGGATTACAGGCGTGAGCCATCGTGCCTAGACTTTTTTTTTTTTTTTTTCCAGTTTTAGAAAGATCAGGCTGGGCATATACACTGGGTATATACACAAAGGAATATAAATCAATCTACTATAAAGACGCAAGCTCACGTATGTTTATTGCAGAACTGTTTACAATAGCAAAGACATGGAACCAGGCCTCCATTTGGGTCTGGGCGCGGTGGTTCATGCCTGTAATCCCAGCACTTTGGGAGGCCGAGGCTGGCGAATCACCTGAGGTCGGGAGTTCAAGACCAGCCTGACCAACATTGACAAACCCTGTCTCTACTAAATCCAAAATTAGCTGAGTGTGGTGGCGCATGCCTGTAATCCCAGCTACTTGGGAGGCTGAGGCAGGAGAATCTCTTGGACCTGCGAAGTGGAGGTTGTGGTGAGCCGAGATCACGCCATTGCACTCCAGCCTGGGCAACAAGAACAAAACTCCATCTCAGGAAAAAAAAAAAAAAAAAAAAAAGACATGGAACCAACTCAAATCCCCATCAGTGAAAAACTGGATAAAGAAAATGTGGTGGCTGGGCGCGGTGGCTCATGCCTGTAATCCCAGCACTTTAGGAGTCCCAGGCGGGCAGATCACGAGGTCAAGAGATTGAGACCATCCTGGCCAACATAGTGAAACCTGTCTCTACTAAAAATACATAAGTTAGCTGGGCATGGTGGCGTGGGTCTGTAGTCCCAGCTACTCAGGATGCTGAGGCAGGAGAATCACTTGAACCCTGGAGGCGGAGATTGCAGTGAGCTGAGATCACGCCACAGCACTCCAGCCTGGTGACAGAGGGAGACTCTGTCTAAAAAAAAGAAAAGAAAAGAAAATGTAGTACATATACACCATGGAATACTATACAGCCATAAAAAAGAATAACAGGCCAGGCTCAGTGACTCACACCTATAATCCCAGCACTTTGGGAAGCTGAGGGGGGTGGAACACCTGAGGTCAGGAGTTTGAGACCAGCCTGGCCAACATGGTGAAACCCCATCTCTACTAAAAATAAAAAATTAGCTGGGCATGGTGGTGGGCACTTGTAATCTCAGTTACTCAGGAGGCTGAGGCAGGAGAATCACTTGAACCCAGGAGGCGAAGGTTGCAGTGAGCCAAGATCATGCCACTGCACTCCAGCCTAGGCAACAAGAGTGAAACTCCGTCTCCAAAGAAAAAAAAAAAGAATGATGTAGTGGCTTACGCCTGTAATCGCAGAACTTCGGAAGGCCGAGGCAGGTGAATCACCTGAGGTCAGGAGTTAAGACCAGCCTGACCAACATGGTGCAACCCCATCTCTACTAAAATACAAAAATTAGCTGGGCGTGGTGGCGGGCACCTGTAGAGGCTGAGGCAGGAGAATCACTTCAACCCAGGAGACGGAGGATGCAGTGAGCTGAGATCGCTCCACTGCACTCCAGCCTGGGTGACAGAGCCAGACTCTCTCTCAAAAATAAAATAAAATAAAATAAAATAAAATAAAATAAAATAAAACAAAGACATCTCTTTTGTGTCATTTTGGTGGAATTTCGGGAGAAAGTGGAGGTGGCTGCTTCGTATCTGACCTCCATCTCTGCTGGCTGTGTGGGAGGGATTATCGTCCCATTTTACAGATGAAGAAACTGAACTCTGGAGAGATTGCCTGACCCATCCGATGTTGTGTGACTTGGCGCTGAGTCCACTTGCCTCTCCTTTCTCTCCAGTTTGCTCGGCAGGCCCTGGCTATAACTCATTGGCTGTTCAGCCCAGCAAAGCGTGCAGCCACTGTGCCTTGCTGGAGCCCCTGGGAGATATACTGAACAATGACAACAGGTATGAGGAGGCGTTTTGCAACCACCAAGTGCTGTGTGGGTGTTGACTGCTGCACAGATTCTGCCTGATAACTGAAGCCCAGGCCTTGGGGTCACAGTGACCTGGGGTTGGATGCTGATCCAGCCCGGGGCTAAGCCTGTGACTCTCTTGAGCCTGGAAGGATGACACGGGCCCCTGCTGCATGCACTGTTGGAAGCATTACCTGAGATGATGCAAAGCACCCAGCACATATGTGACTTCCATTATTGTCTTCTTAGACGGTCCTCAGAATTCTAGGATGGTGGCTTAGGCTCTGGCATGCATCAGGGTCTTCCACGAGGGCTTGTTAGCACACAGATGGCTGGGTGACATCCCTGGGGCTTCTGATTCAGGTCTAGGGTGGAGCCTGAGAATTTGCATTTTTTTCTTTTTTTTTTGAAACGGAGTCTTGCTCTGTCGCCCAGGCTGGAGTGCAATGGCGCAATCTTGGCTCACCGCAACCTCTGCCTCCCGGGTTCAAGCGATTCTCTTGCCTCAGCCTCCCAAGTAGCTGGGATTACAGGCGCCCACCATCATGCCTGGCTAAGTTTTGTGTTTTTAGTACAGACGGGGTTTCACCATGTTGGCCAAGCTGGTCTTGAACTTCTGACCTCAGGTGATCTGCCCACCTCGGCCTCTCAAAGTGCTGGAATTACAGGAGTGAGCCATGGTGCTTGGCCTGTATTTCTTTTTTTTTTTTTTCTTTTCATTTTTTTTGAGAAGGAGTCTTACACTGTTGCCCAGGCTGGAGTGCAGTGGCGTGATCTCGGCTCACTGCAACATCCGCCTCCTGGGTTCAAGTGATTCTCCTGCCTCAGCCTCCTGAGCAGGTGTGATTACAGGCATGTGCCACCACGGCCGGCTAATCTTTTGTATTTTTGTAGAGATGGGGTTTCACCATGTTGGCCAGGCTGGTCTTGAACTCCTGACCTCAAGTAATCCACTCGCCTCGGCCTCCCAAAGTGCTGGGATTACAGGCGTGAGCCACCACATCTGGCTGAGAATTTGCATTTCTGACAGTGCCTAGTTAATGCCGGTGCTGCTGGACTGGGCAACCTCGCTTTGAGAACCACTAGCTAGGACTTTCTGGTGTGCAGCAGGGTGAGCCAGCCTGGCACTGGGCACTGTTGGACTCTGTCCTTATAAGTACCCCCAGCCCACGTGGACTGTGAGAGGGTGGGAGGGATCAGCAGAGAGCTGGCAGCCTCTGTCCTCACCCCTCCAGGCCGCTGCCTGATGGGGGTACCTCTCCCACAGAACGGAGACCCAAGGCCTTACTCCCAATCTGTCCTAACCCCGGGAGCCCCTGAGTCCCAGTCTGTCCTAACCCTGGGACAGCCAGGGTTAGGATGCTGAAACTTGGGTTTGCCTTCCAGTTCTGCCCCTCCCGATGCAGGGACAGCAGTGGGTCAGCCTCCATGTCCATCTCAGAGCCCACAGGCTCTGTCTGTCTGCTCTGTCCCACTATTCCCTGCCCTTCATCATGACTTGATCATATGACAGGGGCATGGCCTGTTTTTGCCTCTCAGCCCCACTGACCAGGAGTTCCTGGAGGGCAGGCTGGGGTTCCATTCAAGCCCAGGACCTGGAAGATACTAGGTACTCAGTGTTTGATGAATTAATGAATGAATGAGTGAGTGAGTGAACGTGTAACTAGGCAGTTATTTTTAACTGCCTAGTTATAATTAACTTCAAAATGCATTTATTTTTATTTTTTTGTTTGTTTTTGAGATGGAGTCTCGCTCTGTCGCCAGGCTGGAGGGCAGTGGCGCGATCTCAGCTCACTGCAACCTCCACCTCCCAGGTTCAAGTGACTCTCCTGACTCAGCCTCCTGAGTAGCTGAGATTATAGGTGCGTGAGCCGCTGTGCCCCACACCAAAATGCATTTTTAAATTTTCTTTATCTTTCTCTTGGGTTTCAAGATGTAACCTTGTAACAAATTGCAGAAGCCCCTTTTCCCTTAGCCGTGAAACAGACTCCGGGTCTCTCCTCTTTCCGCCATCTATACTCCCCTCACATTTACCTAACTGCATGTTAGTATCTGATTATAAGCCTTCTTAGAAGCTCCAGGGCTGATCTTGAGACAGGCAGACCAAACCTGGAGATACAGCTGCAAAATTCCAGAGAGGACCTCAAGACGGCTAATTAACAACCCGCCCATTCTTGAGATGTTGCCAGCCCATGCTCCAGGTGGGCTGGGACCCAAGATAGCCTCAGGAATAGGACACATAGATGTTGTACTCAGCACGTTCCTGCATATACCTTCCTTATCAAATTTTCTCTTTTCTTTATTTTTTGAGATGGGGTCTCACCGTGTTGCCCAGGCTGGAGTGCAGTGGCGTGATCTCTGCTCACTGCAACCTCCACCTCCTGGGCTCAAGTGATGACCCCCCCGCCTCACCTGCTCCAAGTAGCTGGGACTACATGTGTGCACCACCACGCCCTGCCAATTTTTTTGTATTTTTGTAGAGACAGGGTCTCTCCATGTTGCCCAGGCTGGTCTCGAATGCCTGAGCTCAAGCGATTTGCCCACCTCAGCCTCCCAAAGTGCTGGGATTACAGGCATGAGCCACCACTCCTGGCCAGTTTTCCCTTTCTAAACGCTTGCTTTCCCCCTCCAAATTTGAAGTGGTTGCTTTGGATGGGAGTCCGGCTACTTCCCCATTACTAGTTTTGGGAGTTCTGAGTAACAAGATCACTTTCTTCCTTTTTTTTGAGACAGAGTTTCGCTCTTGTTGCCCAGGCTGGAATGCAATGGCGGGATCTCAGTTCACGGCAACCTCCGCCTCCCAGGTTCAAGCGATTCTCCTGTCTCAGCCTCCCAAGTAGCTGGGATTACAGGCATGCGCCACCACACCCAGCTAATTTTGTATTTTTAGTAGAGACAGGGTTTTGCCATGTTGGCCAGGCTGGTTTCGAACCCCTGACCTCAGGTGATCCACCTGCCTCGGCCTCCCAAAGTGCTGGAATTATAGGCATGAGCCATCGTGCCTGGCCAAAATCACTTTCTTTCTGCCAGAACTCTCACTCTTGTAAATTGGACTCTGTGGGCATCCGGACCTGTGTTTGGTTACAAATGAAGTGAGCCTTCTTCAAAAGTCAGCTCACATGTGGCTTTCTACCTCTAAGTGGTTTTGTCAGAGGCATGGAAACCAGAGCAACTCCCATCTTTAATAGGACCTGGGTAAAATGAGGCTGAGACCTACTTACTGGGCTGCCTTCCCAGATGGTTAAGGGATTCTAAGTCACAGGGTGAGATAGGAGTTCAGCACAAGATACAGATCATAAAGACCTTGCTGATTAAGCAGGTTGCAGTAAAGAAGCCAGTCAAAACCCACCAAAACTGCTGGGTGCAGTGGCTCACGCCTGTAATCCCAGCACTTTGGGAGGCCGAGGCGGGTGGATCACAAGGTCAGGAAATTGAGACCATCCTGGCTAACATGGTGAAACCCCATCTCTACTAAAAATACAAAAAATTAGCCGGGCGTGGTGGCAGGCGCCTGTAGTCCCAGCTACTTGGGAGGCTGAGGCAGGAGAGTGGCATGAACCTGGGAGGCGGAGCTTGCAGTGAGCCGAGATCTCACCACTGCACTCCAGCCTGGGTGACAGAGCGAGACTCTGTCTCAAAAAAACCAAACCAAAACAAACAAACAAAAAAACCCCACCAAAACCAGGATGGCAATGAGAGTCCTCACGACTACACTCCCACCAATCCATAACAGTTTACAAATGCAACGGCAACGTCAGGAAATTACCCTATATGGTCTAAAAAGGGGAGGCATGAATAACCAACCCCTTGTTTAGCATATAATTAAGACATAACCAGCTGGGCGTGGTGGCTCATGCCTATAATCCCAGCACTTTGGAAGGCCGAGGCTGGTGGATCACTTGTGGTCAGGAGTTCGAGACCAGTCTGGCCAAAATGGTGAAACCCCATCTTTACTAAAAATACAAAACTTAGCCGGGTGTGGTGGCAGGCGCCTGTAGTCCCAGCTACTCGGGAAGCTGAGGCAGGAGAATCGCTTGAACTCAGGAGGCGGAGGCTGCAGTGATCTGAGATCATACCATTGCACTCTAGCCTGGGCAGCACAGTGAGACTCCGTCTCAAAAAAAGAAAGAAAGAAAGAAAGAAAAAAAAACATACAAATGTGCAACCAGCAGCCCTTGGGGCTGCTCTGTCTATGGAGTAGCCATTCTTTATTCCTTTACTTTTTTTTTTTTTTTCTTGAGGAGTCTCACTCTGCTGCCCCAGGCTAGAGTGCAGTGGAGAGATCTCGGCTCACTGCAACCTCTGCCTCCCAGGTTCAAGCAGTTCTCCTGCCTCAGCCTCCTGAGTAGCTGGGACTACAAGCGCGCATCACCATGCCTGGCTCTTTTTTTGTATTTTCACTAGAGACGTGGTTACACCATGTTGGCCAGGCTGGTCTCAAACTCCTGACCTCAAGTGATCCGCCAGCCACAGTCTCCCAAAGTGCAGGGATTACAGGCATGAGCCATTGTGCTCAGCTCCTTTACTTTCTTAATAAACTTGCTTTCACTTTATGGACTCGCCCTGAATTCTTTCTTCCGGGAGATCCAAGAACCCTCTCTTGTGTCTGGATCGGGACCCCTTTCCTGTTAACAGTTTCTTTTTCTTTTTTTTCTTCAGACGGAGTCTCCTCTGTCGCCCAGGCTGGAGTGCAGTGGCGCGATCTCGGCTCACTGCAAGCTCCGCCTCCCAGGTTCACACCATTCTCCTGCCTCAGCCTCCCCAGTAGCTGGGACTACAGGCGCTCATCACCACACCCGGCTAATTTTTTGTATTTTTTAGTAGAGACGGGGTTTCACCCTGTTAGCCAGGGTGGTCTAGATCTCCTGACCTTGTGATCCACCCACCTCGGCTCCCAAAGTGCTGGGACTACAGGCTTGAGCCACCGCGCCCAGCCAATCCTGTTAACAGTTCCAACCCCCTTTTTGGTCTCTTAAAACAGACCAGGCTCCCCACATGAAACATTCAGGGTCTAGTCCTCACTTGAGCTTAGTTCAACCCTTGAAGCAGGTGAGCTGGCTACTGTTCCTGGTCCACAGATGAAGGGATTGGCGTTAGGGGGGTTGGGGGGTCAAGAGCTGTAATCACTGATGTGAGGCAGATTGATTCACAGCACAAAAGGCACACAGGTTCATCAGGGGGGCATGCATGGGAGCACTCACAATGAAGACCCAACCTCCCAATGCGGTGCAGAAACTTCCAAACCACCTTGAGGTTGCAGAAAGAATGGGGGCTTAGATCCTGGTAAAATGGGAAGGGAGAAGAGAGGAATTCTGTTGTGGGGCAATAAATGACTGCCAGGGAGAAGGATTAAATGGGGAACCAATATTAACTTTTTTTTTTTTTTTTGCATATTAGTAGAGATGGAGTTTCACCATGTTGGCCAGGATGGTCTCGATCGCCTGACCTCGTGATCCGCCCACCTCAGACTCCCAAAGTGCTGGGATTATAGGCACCGAGCCCGGCCTCAGAGATTAATTTCTAAATCGTTCTCTTTGGAATTTAAACGACCCCTGGAGACAGTCATTGTCTTGGAAAGAATGTGTTCAGTGGGCAGGCGAGGTGGTTCATGCCTGTAATCCCAGCACTTTGGGAGGCCGAGGCAGGTGGATCACCTGAGGTCAGGAGCTCCAGACCAGCCTGGCCAACATGGTGAAACCCCTTCTCTACTAAAAATACAAAAATTAGCCAGCTGTGGTGGCACGTGCCTGTAATCCCAGCTACTCAGGAGGCTGAGGCAGGAGAATCGCTTGAACCTGGGAGGTTGAAGTTGCAGTACGCTGAGATCGAGCCACTGCACTCCAGCCTGGGTGACAGGGCGAGACTCGGTCTCAAAAAAAAAAAATAAAGAATCTGTTCAGGTGTGGCTGCATTTTTGGATAATGACATAACAGGGAGGGAAAAATGTCAGGCCTCTGAGCCCAAGCTAAGCCATCATATGCACTGTGACCTGCAGGTATACATCCAGATGGCCTGAAGCAACTGAAGATCCACAAAGGAAGTGAAAATAGCCTTAACTGCTGACATTCCACCATTGTGGTTTGTTTCTGCCCCACTCTAACTGTTCAATGTACTTTGTAATCTCCCCACCCTTAAGAAGGTTCTTTGTAATCTCCCCACCCTTAAGAAGGTTCTTTGTAATCTTCCCCACCCTTAAGAAGGTTCTTTGTAATCTTCCCCACCCTTAAGAAGGTTCTTATTATCTTCCCCACCCTTAAGAAGTTTCTTTGTAATTCTCCCCACCCTTGAGAATGTACTTTGTGAGATCCACCCGCTGCCCGCAAAACGTTGCTTCTAACTCCACCGCCTATCCCCAAACCTGTAAGAACTAATGATAATCCCACCACCCTTTGCTGACTCTCCTTTCGGACTCAGCCCGCCTGCATCCAGGTGAAATGTGAAATAAACAGCCTTGTTGCTCACACAAAAGCCTGTTTGTTTGATGGTCTCTTAACAGGGACATGCATGACAAAAAGAACAGCTGTTCTTGGCGGGTGAGTCCCATCTTTAGGTAGATGGGGTGGTGGGGGGAAGCTCTTCCTGCATTGCCGATCTCTCAGGGTTGTTAATTTTTATTTATTTATTTATTTATTTATTTATTTATTTATTTATTCATTCATTCATTCATTCCGGAGTCTCCCTCTATCGCCCAGTCTGGAGTGCAGTGGCGCGATCTCGGCTCACTGCAAGCTCCGCCTCCCGGGTTCACGCCATTCTTCCGCCTCAGCCCCCCGAGTAGCTGTGACTACAGGCGCCCGTTACCTCATCCGGATAATTTTTTGCATTTTTAGTAGAGACGGGGTTTCACCGTATTAGCCAGGATGGTCTCGATCTCCTGACCATGTGATCCGCCTGCCTCGGCTTCCCAAAGAGCTGGGATTACAGGTGTGAGCCATTGCGCCCAGCCATTATTTTTATTTTTATTTTTTTGAGACGGAGTTTCACTTTTGTTGCCAGGTTGGAGTGCAATGGCATGATCTCAGCTCACTGCAACCTCCACCTCCGGGGTTCAAGTGATTCTCCTGCCTCAGCCTCCGGAGTAGCTGGGATTACAGGCCTGGGCCACTACCCTCAGCTAATTTTTTTTTTTTTTTGAGACAGTCTCGCTCAGTCGCCCAGGCTGGAGTGCAGTGGCTCGATCTCCGCTCACTGCAAGCTCCGCCTCCCCGGTTCACGCCATTCTCCTGCCTCAGCCTCCCGAGTAGCTGGGACTACAGGCGCCCGCCACCATCCCCGGCTAATTTTTTTTGTATTTTTAGTAGAGACAGGGTTTCACCGTGTTAGCCAGGATGGTCGTGATCTGATCTCATGATCTGCCCGCCTCGGCCTCCCAAAGTGCTGGTATTACAGGCGTGAGCCAGCGCGCCCGGCCACTCAGCTAATTTTTGTATTTTTAGTAGAGACGGGGGTTTCACCATCTTGGTCAGGCTGGTCTCGAACTCCTGACCTCAGTTGATCCACCTGCCTCAGCCTCCCAAAGTGGTGAGATCAAGAGTGAGCCACGGCACCCAGCCTAAGGGTTTTTAATTCAAATGCTCATTATAGCAGGGAGTCATATTTTGGGGTATATTTTGATTTCCTTCAGTGGGGACGTCACAACTCAGACCCTCCCCCTACCTGGCTCCTCAAGCTTGGGCAATAAGCTTTGCAGGGGGTGGGCTGATGCCAGGGAGTCCGGAAGCCGGAAAGGCAATTGGTTTATAGTGGATCAGGGTGGAGAGGGCACACCGGGCAGAGGGAACATCTTGTACAAAGGCCGGGGGGTAGGAGCAGCCGTGCAGGGAAAGATGGTGAGTTTGATTTTGACATGTCGTACTAAGGTGCCTTGAGCAACCTCCAGGCAGAGGGCTGGGCCAGTGACAAGGATTTAGGTGGCTGTGATTGGCCTGCGAGGCCCCCAGAGGAGGAGAGGAAGAGAAGGGGTGAGAGGCCAGGACAGAATCTTGAGGGAGAGGAGAGTATCGGGCAGCATCAGGCCCTGGCAGGGTTTAGGAAGATGATGGCTGAGTGTGTCCCTCAGGCTCGGGGACTCGTAGGTCTTTGGCCTCCTTGTGGGGGTAGTGGTGGGGGCGGTTTCAGTGGGCAGCATGGAGAGATCAGACCTCGGAAGGAGAGACAGCAGGTATAGACCACTCTCCTGAGAAGCTCGCACGGCTTGGAGCCCAGGGTGATGGGGCCCAGGTTTTTGCTGTTTGTTTTGTTTCCAGATGTAAATATCCTTGAACACTGAATGAATCAGGATTCTCTTAGTTGCAAATTTCAGAAATCCACTTCACATTCACTCACCCACAAAGAAGATTCACTGGCTTGTGGAATTGCCAAGATTCCAAACCGAATATTCGGACAAGCAGGAACTCCCCAAGCCTAGTGCTCCAATGCCCCCACTACTCTCTTCCTGTCCACTCCTCATCTCTGTTCTTGACAGACTGGCTCTCCGTGGGACTGGGAAGACAAAGTTCTCTTCTGCATTTTGTTTGCAAAATCCCAACTCTGGGTTCTGATTGGTTCTCCTTGAGCCAATCAGCTGGGTGCAAGGTAGCAAAATCCCCGATCTGGACTCGGATTGGTCCCCCTGGGTCTGCTGGCCCTCGCGCTCTGGGTAGGGGCTTCTGCATGTCCCGGGTAGCGAAGTGCTGTGTGGATCAGAGCATCCTCTCTCTCCTAGGGTCCTGGGAGGACCCTGCAGGCCCAGCAGCGGCCATCCTGGGTGGCAGGAGATTGAAAAGCTGTGAGGGCTGGGGCAGGGGACATTCAGACTGGACTTGGACTGGGCTGGGGGCCTGAGCACCCTCTGTCATGGGTTCCAACCCCTACCCCCAGAGGACAGACACTTCATTCTTCAGTTTTGTCTGTGGCTTAGGGGGGTTCCAGCCCTGCCCCCAACCTGCGCCCTCTCACCTTCCCCGCCAGGGGATCAGTAGTGTGTGGGGGTGGGGAGAAAGAGCCTCTGGGGTCCCCCTAGTGATTGAATCTTCAGAGCCTGAGGCAGGAAGGCTCTGGTGGGGAGGAGGGCAGGCATTTGGAGCAGAGCCCAGGCCCAGCCCCGGGGACAGCCCATGGCGGCCCCTTTGGTCTCTCCCTCTGGGGGCCTCTATTCTTTCCATTGTTTGGCCTCTGTTTGCCCTAAAGTTACCTAGGAAATTTGCTTTGGGGTAGATTCCAGCTGTTCTCAGCTGAACCCAGAGAACACTCACTTCAGCCTGGCAGGCTGGGCCTTGGAACATCCCTGGAGGCCGGGTGGGGCCCTGGCAAGGCCTGGAGCGTGAGAGGGAAGCCAGGAAGTGGCGGGGAGGACGTGGAGAAGGAAAGAGGATGAAATATTAATAGCAATAAAGAGACACAGAGGCTGGGAGCCCTGGCTGACGCCTGTTATCCCTGCACTTTGGGAGGCCGGGCGGGAGGATCACTTAAGGCCAGAAGTTTGAGACCAGCCTGAGCAACATAGTGAGACTTTGTCTCTAAAAAAATTAAAAAATAAAGGCCAGGCGCGGTGACTCACGCCTGTAATCCCAGCACTTTGGGAGGCCAAGGCGGGTGGATCACGAGGTCAGGAAATCGAGACCATCCTGACCAACATGGTGAAACCCGTCTCTATTAAAATACAAAAAATTAGCCGGGCGTGGCGGCGGGCACCTGTAGTCCGAGCTACTCCGGAAGCTGAGGCAGGAGAATGGCGTGAACCTGGGAGGCGGAGGTTGCAGTGAGCCGAGATTGCGCCACTGCACTCCAGCCTGGGCAACAGAGCAAGACTCCATCTCAAAAAAGATAAATAAATAAAATTTAAAAATAAAATAAAAAATTAGACGGGCACGGTGGTGCATGCCTGTAGTCCCAGTGGGAGGATCACTTGAGCTGGGGAGGTCGAGGCTGTCAAAGCAGCTCCATCTTGGACGCTAATCTGCCATGTTGACTTCTGAGTAATCCCAGTTCTGGGAGGCCTCTAACATTTCCAGTTTGGCCGGGCGCGGTGGCTCACCCCTGTAATCCCAGCACTTTGGTGATTCTCCCCGGGGCCTGAAAGCTTGAAGGGATGGGTAACGCCTCCCTTCTCAGGCCCAGTCCCAAGGCGCAAGGCTACTTAAGCGCCAGCAGCATGGCCGAAGCAGGAAGAGAGCCGGGCAGAAAACACCTACCTGGCCGGAAGACACATACTCGCTGAAGATCGAGTGGGAGGCCGTCCGGGTACCATGTAGCAGTCACGTCAGACTGGGACACTTCCTGTTTACAGGAGACTATAAAACCCCCACTCCGTCCTCATTTGGTGCTGACGCCATTTTAGGTCTCGGCCCACCTGCACGTAATCGCTCATTAAAACAGCGTGTTGCCCCCACATTGCCTCGTGCTGTCTGTTGGCGCGCTCTCGGGGTTGGAACCGATACGAGAACCTTTAATTTGGGAGGCTGAGGCGGGTGGATCACCTGAGGTCAGGAGTTGGGCACCAGCCTGGGCAACATGGCGAAACCCCGTCTCTACTAAAAATACAAAAATAAGCCGGGCGCGGTGGCCTGTGCCTGCTACTCGGGAGGCTGAGGCAGGAGAATCCCTCGAAACCCGGTGGCAGAGGTTGCAGTGAGCCGAGATCGTGTCACTGCACTCCAGCCGGGGCGACAAAGTGAGACTTCGACTCAAAAACAAAAAGATTTCCAGTTTCTCTATTGTTCCTTGTGTAAGAGCACACACTTACTATAAATCCTGCCCTAAGGTCAAACAATCTTAATGTTATCATACTTCAAGTGGCCTGCTCGTCCCTCTGACTCACCCTTTCCCAGGCTATGTAAGCCCTGGGTCTGGGAGTGAGAGTGTGGCGATCCACCTCTTGTCTCGCTGCTTTACACACAGACATGGCTTCTGTTCATAAGGCCCTATTAAACGTTTTTTCCTGAGAAGCCAGATTTGTCAGCCTCTTTTTTCAGCCTCTTAGCTTCCTTAGACTTTTGGGGCAGGTTTGTCTAGACCTGTCCACCACCCACCAGGGGACATTCACGGAGCCTAATCTTGAGTCCCAGGAGTTGAGCGAGGAGAGGCAGCAAATAAAGAGCTAATGGCCGGGCATGGTCACAGCTCACGCCTGTAATACCAGCACTTTGGGAGGCTGAGGCGGGCAGATTGTCTGAGGTCAGGAGTTCGAGACCAGCCTGGCCAACATGGTGAAACCCCATCTCTACTAAAAATAAAAAAATTAGCCAGCCTGGTAGCAGGCGTCTGTAATCCCAGCTACTTGGGAGGCTGGGGCAGGAGAATCGCTGGAAGCTGGGAGGCAGATGTTGCAGTGGGCCGAGATCACACCACTGCACTCCAGCCTGGGCGACAGGGGGAGACACAGTCTCAAAAAATAAAAAATAAAAAACCAAAATTGGCCAGTGTAGTGGCACATGCCTGTAATCCCAGCTACTCAGGAGGTTGAGGCAGGAGAATCGCTTGAACCCTAGGCAACAAGAGCTAAACTGCCTCTCAAAAGAAAAAAAAAAGCTGCTGGGGGTGGTGGCTCATGCCTGTAATATCAGCACTTTGGGAGGCTGAGGCGGGCGGATCACAAGGTCAGGAGTTCGAGACCAGTCTGGCCAATATGGTGAAACCCCATCTCTACTAAAAATACAAAAATTAGCCGGGCGTGGTGGCAGGTGCCTGTAGTCTCAGCTACTCAGGAGGCTGAGGCAGGAGAATCGCTTGAACCCGGGAGGCGGAGGTTGCGGTGAGCAGAGATCTCACCATTGCACTCCAGCCTGGGCAGCAGAGCAAGACGCCATCTCAAAAACAAAACAAACAAAAAAAACCTCTAATGACTGAGAATTTTCTAGAAATGGTGCAAGTCAGGAATCTATAAACATAGAGTCACAACATACATTGAGCAGGATAAATAAAAAGAATCTAAACCTAGGTATGCTTTTGGAAAGCTGCAGATCATGGCAGCGTGATGAATGGGAGACTTTTTTTTTGAGACAGGCTCTGTCGCCCAGGCTGGTGTACAGTGGCATGATTTCCACTTACTGCAGCCTCTGCCTCCGGGGTTCAAGCAATCCTCCCACTTCAGCCTCCCCGGTAGCTGGGACTACAGGCACGTGCCACCATGTCTGGCTAATTCTTTTGTACTTTTAGTAGAGATGGTGAGGCAGGAAAATAGGGTCCGGAGGCAGGGCACATAAGGCCAATTCACACTTCAGCTATGACAGGAAGTATCCTCTCCACAGGGCATAGGCCAAGTAAATAACCTTATAACTTTACTTCATCCTCTTCATTTACATAGGGCATACCCTAAGTAACCAATGGAATCCTCTAGAGGGTATTTAAATTCCCAAAAATTCTGTAATGGGGCCCTTGAGCCCCTATGCTCAGGCCAGCTCCCACACCGTAGAGTGTATATTCATTCTCAATAAATCCCTTTATTCCTTCCTTGCTTTGTTTGTGCATTTTGTCCAATTCTTTGTTCAAGATGCCAAGAACCTCCACCGGTGACAACAGGGTTTCACCACATTGCTGGTCTCAAATTCCTGAACTCAAGCAATCTGCCAGCCTTGGCCTCCCCAAGTGTTGGGATTACAGGCATGAGCCACCGCAGCTGGAGTCTTGAGATGGAGTCTTGCTCTGTTGCCCAGGCTAGAGTGCAGTGGCATGATCTCGTCTCACTGCAACCTCCGCCTCCCAGGTTCCAGCAGTTCTCCTGCCTCAGCCTCCTGAGTAGTTGGGATTACAGGCACACACCACCATGCCTAGCTAATTTTTGTATTTTTTAGTAGAGACGGGTTTCACCATGTTGGCCAGGCTGGTCTCGAACTCCTGACCTCGCAATCCGCCCGCCTCAGCCTCCCAAAGTGTTGGGATTACAGGCGTGAGCCACCACGCCTGACCAATTTAAAAAAACAAAACAAAAACACAAAACCACCAAACCTAGAGGACAATAGGGAGGCTTTCAATGACAATGGAAGCTGGAAGACAGTGGAATAATATTTCCAAAATGTGAAGAGAAAACAACTATTAATTTGCAATGTGTACCAAGGAAAACAGTCTTTTAAGAACAAAGCTTAAATATAGCGTTTTCCAAAAAACAAGATGTAAAGATTTTATTATACTCATTAAAAGGAACTTCCGGGCCTGTAACCCCAGCACTTTGGGAGGCTAAGGCGGGCGGGTCACCTGAGGTCAAGGGTTCGAGACCAGAGACCAGCCTGGCCAACATGATGAAACCCCATCTCTACTAACAGTACAAAAATTAGCTGGGCCTGTAGTCTACAATGCAAAATGGTCCCTGCTGACACTCTTCTTGTCTAGACCTCTAGGGTGTGACTCTCCTGGGCCTAGGGTTTGGCTAAGGCTGGTGTCATAGGACCGACATATTTGCATGCCTGTTGCTCAGTAGCAGACCAGGACACTGAGACAGCAGGGTTTGCAGCAAAGAAAGAGTTTAATGATTGCCGAGCACAGAGCAAGGAACTGGGAGGGGACCCTCAAATCCACCTCCAGAGGAGTTCCGGGCTGGGGCTTTTACGGGGATCCTATAAAGAAGTCAAGGGGTTGGAAAACTGGAGTCATTGATTGGTGGGGGCAGGGAGATGAATTCGTCAGGATGTGGAAATGGCTTTTTTTTTTTTTTTTTTGTGAGTCAGTTCTTTGTGGGATCTTTCAGACTAGCTGGCGTCAGTAGTTTCATCCGGATGCAGGCCCTGAAAGAATATCTCAAATGCAAAAGTGAACGTTTCATGACATACAAGTGGCTGTCTACAGAGCAGTTAAGGGGTGTTAGCATCCTGCGACAGGGTCTGTGTGATTCTGAGGCCGCCACAGGCACTGCATGGCTGTGAGGCAGCTGGTCAGAGAGCAGGCTGCTCTCAGAGCTCATGCTGAGTAGCTTGCAAGCTTGGCTTGTTTCCGTTTTTCCCTCCTCTTCCCTGATTACTTTTTTTTTTTTTTTTTGAGATGGAATCTGGCTCTTGTCGCCCAGGCTGGAGTGCAGTGCCGCAATCTCAGCTCACTGCAACCTCTGCCTCTTGGTTCCAGCGATTCTCCTTCCTCAGCCTCCCGAGTAGCTGCAATTACAGGCGCCCATCACCACACCCAGCTAATTTTTGTGTTTTTAGTAGAGACAGGGTTTTGCCATGTTGACCAGGCTGGTCTCAAACTCCTAACCTCAAGTGATTTGCCTGCCTCAGCCTCCCAAAGTGCTGGGATGACAGGTATGAGCCATTGCACCGAGCCCCTGATTAATTTTATAAATTTTATAAGGAGTTTCCCTGGGACCCCTATCTCCAGGGTTTGGCTATCCTGGGCTCCCCTGCAGCTACATTCCCAGGGTCCTCCCATCTGAGGCTAGGAGGGGCCTCATCCCTTCCGAGGCTTAGGTGGGGAGGCTGCCAATCCCTCCCCTCCGCCTGCACCTGCCTCTAACCCACTGCCCTCCTGCTTGCCCCAGCCTAATCCTCTGAGGGAGCCCCAGTTTCTGCCACTCCAGGGTGTGTGGGTGCTGGCCAGGGAGGCTGTGATCTGGTTGCCCGCTCTGTCTGCTTTCCCAGAGACAAGCGAGCCGAAGGCCTGGCCTCTTTGTTGGGATGGGAAAGAGAGATGCCCCCACAGCAATGAGAAGCGCTTGGTTATTATCCCAGTCGGCACCAGCTACTCCAGGCAACTGCGCTTTGCAGCCTGCAGGATGCAGGCTCAGGGACTCGAAGAGGACATTCTGTGGCCTCCCCAGTGGCACCACCCTCTCCTGGCAGCTAGGGATCCACCCTCCCCAGCCATGTAGGCCTGGTGGCTGGCTCTTAACCTCCCATGCCAGGTGGGGGTGCCCCTGCACTACTGTCCGTCCTCAGGCTGGCTGCTCCCACTCCCATGGTCCCTGTGTTCGCAGCCTCACCACTGGCAGAAAAAATAAGCATCACTGGTTGGGCGCGGTGGCTCATGCCTGTAATAACAGCATTTTGGGAGGCCGAGGCAGGTGGATCACTTGAGGTTAGGAGTTCGAGACCAGCCTGGCCAACATGGTGAAACCACGTCTCTACTAAAAATACAAAATTAGCCAGGCATGGTGGCACATGCCTTTCAAAAAAAAAAAAAGCATCATTTCATCATTGCATCATTGCTGGGCACAGCTCCTTCCCAGGCAGGTCTGAGCTTGTTGCCCAGGGTAGGTTCCCAATACTCAGCAAAGCCTTTGCTACTTCTGTGCTTCCTTACAGTGTGGGCCTCACAGAGTTGTTTTTTTTTTTTTTTTTTATGGAGTCTCACTCTGTCACCCAGGCTGGAGTGCAGTGGCACAAACTCGGCTCACTGCAACCTGTGCCTCCCAGGTTCAAGTGATTCTCCTGCCTCACCCTCCCGAGTAGCTGAGATTATAGGTGCACAACACCACGCCCAGCTAATTTTCTTTTTTATTTATTTATTTATTTATTTATTTATTTTTATTGATCATTCTTGGGTGTTTCTCACAGAGGGGGATTTGGCAGGGTCAAAGGACAATAGTGGAGGGAAGGTCAGCAGATAAACAAGTGAACAAAGGTCTCTGGTTTTCCTAGGCAGAGGACCCTGCGGCCTTCCGCAGTGTTTGTGTCCCTGGGTACTTGAGATTAGGGAGTGGTGATGACTCCTAACGAGCATGCTGCCTTCAAGCATCTGTTTAACAAAGCACATCTTGCACCGCCCTTAATCCATTTAACTCTGAGTGGACACAGCACATGTTTCAGAGAGCACAGGGTCGGGGGTAAGGTCACAGATCAACAGGATCCCAAGGCAGAAGAATTTTTCTTAGTACAGAACAAAATGAAAAGTCTCCCATGTCTACCTCCCTCTACACAGACACGGCAACCATCCGATTCCTCAATCTTTTCCCCACCTTTCCCCCCGCTCCATTCCACAAAGCCGCCATTGTCATCCTGGCCCGCTCTCAATGAGCTGTTGGGCACACCTCCCAGACGGGGTGGTGGCCGGGCAGAGGGGCTCCTCACCTCCCAGCAGGGGCGGCCGGGCAGAGGCGCCCCTCACCTCCCAGACGGGGCGGCTGGCCGGGCGGGGGGCTGACCCCCCCACCTCCCTCCCGGACGGGGCGGCTGCCGGGCGGAGGGGCTCCTCACTTCTCAGACGGGGCGGCCGGGCAGAGACGCTCCTCACTTCCTAGATGTGACGGCGGCCGGGAAGAGGCGCTCCTCACTTCCTAGATGGGATGGCGGCTGGGCAGAGACGCTCCTCACTTTCCAGACTGGGCAGCCAGGCAGAGGGGCTCCTCACATCCCAGACGATGGGCGGCCAGGCAGAGACGCTCCTCACTTCCCAGACGGGGTGGCGGCCGGGCAGAGGCTGCAATCTCGGCACTTTGGGAGGCCAAGGCAGGCGGCTGGGAGGTGGAGGTTGTAGCGAGCCGAGATCACGCCACTGTACTCCAGCCTGGGCGCCACTGAGCACTGAGTGAACCAGACTCCGTCTGCAAACCCGGCACCTCGGGAGGCCGAGGCTGGCAGATCACTCGCGGTTAGGAGCTGGAGACCAGCCCGGCCAACACAGCGAAACCCCGTCTCCACCAAAAAAATACGAAAACCAGTCAGGCGTGGTGGCGCGCGCCTGCAATTGCAGGCACTCCGCAGGCTGAGGCAGGAGAATCAGGCAGGGAGGTTGCAGTGAGCCGAGATGGCAGCAGTATAGTCCAGCTTCGGCTCGGCATGAGAGGGAGACCGTGGAAAGAGAGGGAGAGGGAGACCATGGGGAGAGGGAGACCATGAGGAGAGGGAGAGGGACAGGGACAGGGACAGGGAGAGGGAGAGCTACTCCCTGTGTTTGATTCCCCTCCAAGAGCCCTAATTTTCATCTTTTAATAGAAACGGGGTTTCACCATGTTGGCCAGGCTGGTCTCGAACTCCTGAACTCAGGTGATCTGCCCGCCTAGGCCTCCCAAAGTGCTGGGATTACAGGCGCATGACACCATGCCCAGCTAATTTTTGTATTTTTAGTAGAGTCAGTTTCACCATGTTGGCCAGGCTGGTCTCGAACCCCTGACCTCAAGTGATCCACCCGCCTCGGCTTCCCAAAGTGCTGGGATTACAGGCGTGAGCCACCGTGCCCGGCTACGCCCTGCTGATTTTTGTATTTTTAACAGAGATGGGGTTTCACCATGTTGGCCGTGCTGGTCTTGAACTCCTGACCTTGTGATCCGCCTGCCTCTGCCTCCCAAAGTGCTGGTATTACAGGCATGAGCCACCGCGCCTGGCCACGCCTGGCTAATTTCTTTTGTAATTTTAGTAGAGACATGGTTTCACCATGTTGGTCAGGCTGGTCTTGAACTCCTGACCTCAAGTGATCTGCCCGCCTTGGCCTCCCAAAGTGCTGGGATTACAAGCATGAACTACTGTGCCTGGCCCCAAGCCCTTCTTCTTAACCCCAGTGGACTGGGACCCGAAGAAGGCCTCCACGCCCCACGTTTCCTGTTAGGAAACTGTGAGACTTCGTATCTGCCCATGGAACACCCCCACCCCAGATGCTGAAACACAGTGCAAGGCCAGGTGACGAGGGGTGGGGGCCTGTCCCAGCCGTGTCCTCAGATGGCCCTGAAACCTAGCCAGTCTGTGGGAGACCTCAGGGTGGGGGGCCGCCCTGCAGGGCCGCTGCCCCGGGATTGCCTCTGACTTCCTTTCACGCCCCTGTTCAAGCTGCCTTGACCTGTTATTTGAAATAAAGCAAAACAATCTGGAGCTAGGACGAGTTCCCAAATCAACTTACAAGTGGTTCCCCCAGGAAAGCAGGACAAAGGACCGTGCTGCGCAGGGTGGGGTCAGCCTTTTGGGAGCTGAGAGAGGACTTAGAATTATCCCTTGAGTCATGGACACAGGTGACAGGCATCCCCCACAGCTCTCGGATAGCACTAACAGGCCACATCTGTGCCTGGGTGCCCATGGGGAGCAGAAGGAGGGGCGGAAAGGCCAGGGCCAGGCTGGAAGGGGAAGTGAGGAGAGGGGTGGACGCCGTGAAGGCTCCCCCAACCCCGTGGTCCTCCTCCTTGACATTTCCCAAGCCCCCTCCCTGCTGTCCAGCTGGGGGGGTCAGCTAAGGCAAGTCCCCAGGAAGTGACCTGGGCAGATCCTCTGCCGGACTCCAAAGGCTGGCTCTGGAAAGGGAGCTTCCTGGCATGCGAGGGACCCATGGGAAAGAGGTATTGGGGAGAGGGCACCCCGGATCAGCTCAGCCACCTCGTTCAGTGGCAGCACCTGTCCCGAGAGGCAGACGAGGCTGTGGACTCCAACAGGCCTGGTTAGCATCTTTCAGCTGCTCATTCTTTGTGAGACTGTGGGCTGTTCAGAGCCTCAGTTTCCTCGTCTGTAAACTAGGAAGAGTAATCATCCTTCCCTCCCAGGCTTGGGGTGACACACTGGTTACTGGGGGCTGTGCAGGGAGGGGGTCTCTCCCAATCCCCCTCCAGCTGTGAGGGCTGTGGTTCTGGGAACCTGCAGCCTCCTCCTGTCACCCTCCCAGGACCCAGGACAAGCTGTCTGTGTCCACTGAGCTTCGGCCTTAACCAAATTACTCCAGTTCTGGCAAAGTCCCTCTGCAAACGCACAAGACCAGCAGATTAAAAATCAGCCACAGCCCCATGACGCATGGCTCGGGGGTTCTGGACTGAAGGGGATTTTTCAGGTTTTTTTTTTCTTTACATTTTTTTTTTTTTTAAAGACGGGATCTCATTCTGTCTCACAGACTGGAGTGCAGTGGTGCGATCTCAGCTCACTGCAACCTCTGCTTCCCGGGTTCAAGTGATTCTCCTGCCTCAGCCTCCCCAGCAGCTAGGATTACAGGCACATGGCACCGTGCCCAGCTAATTTTTTGTATTTTTAGTAGAGACAAGGTTTCACCATGTTGACCAGACTGGTCTCGAAATCCTGACCTCAAGTGATCCACCCACCTTGGCCACCCAAAGCGCTGGGATTGCAGGCATGAGCCACCGCGCCTGGCCTTTCTTTACATTTTTTTTGAGACAGGGTCTCCCTCTGTTGCCCTGGCTAGAGTGCAGTGTTGCAATCATGGCTCACTGCAGCCTCAACCTCCCAGGCTCAGGTGATCTTCCTGCCTCAGCCTTCCAAGTAGCTGGGACTACAGGCACATGCCACCATGCCTGGCTAATTTTTTTGATTTTTTGTGGAGATGAGGTCTTACTATGTTACTCAGGCTGGTCTTGAACTCCCGGGCTCAAGCGATCTGCCCACCTTGGCCTCCCAAAGTGCTGGGATTACAGGCGTGAGCCACCGTGCCTGGCCTAAAAATAAATATATAAATAGAATGACTAATTCTGAACGGGACACAGAATCTGCCAGTGCCTTGACTTTTGGACTTTCCGGCCTCTAGGACTTTGAGAATGAAGTGTCTGTTGTTTAGAAGCCTCCTGGTCCTGGGGTATTTGTCACACCTGCCCAGATGGGCTAAGACGGGACCCTTCTGGGTGTTCGGGTAAAAGCTGGCCTCAGAAGCTGGTGATGTTTCCTCAGGAGGCTGCCCATGGTGTGGTCCTGGCGACGCACCAGCAGCACGTCACCCTCTTGACCCGGGCGTGTGCCTGGCTAGCTGAGTTTTAAGCCTCTCTCTGGTGACATTTGGCTTTGGAGAAGGTTCTTTCTCTGGCAAAGCATTTAGATGTAGCTAAAAATACATTATTGGCCAGGTGAGGTGGCTCACGCCTGTAATCCCAGCACTCTGGGAGGCCGAGGCGGGCGTATCACGCGGTCAGGAGATCGAGAGCATCCTGGCCAACATGGTGAAACCTTGTCTCTACTAAAATTACAAAAAAATTAGCTGAGTGTGGTGGTGTGTGCCTGTAATCCCAGCTACTTGGGAGGCTGAGGCGGGAGAATCGCTTGAACTGGGGAGTCGGAGGTTGCAGTGAGCCAAGATCGTGCCACTGCACCGCAACCTGATGACAGAGCAAGACTCTGTCTCAAAACAAACAACAAGAACAACAAAAAACTAAAAAAAACGAAAAATGCAAAAATTAGCCAGGCGTGGGCACCTGTAATCCCAGCTACTCGGGAGGCTGAGGCAGGAGAATCACTTGAACCTAGGAGCCAAGATCTCACCATTGGAGATCTCACTCCAGCCTGGGTGACAAGAGCAAAACTCTGTCTCAAAAAAAAAAAAATCATTGACTTGATCCTCAGCCTGGTCAAATCGAGAAGCAGCACTCATGCTGGAGGGGCCACATAGCCTGGGCTCCTGATTTGCAGGGCCATGGATAAACACACACACGCGCACACACACACGCACGCACAGCCCTTCCCTGAGCTTGGGTGCTCAGTGATAAGCAGAACAAAGTCATCAAACATTCCTCCCTCACTCCTGCTCTGCATAGGGGCTGAGAGCCAAGACATTGGTAGCTTTGTCAAAATGTCAAAATATTGCTAGTCATTGGGCTGGGCACTGTGGCTCATAGCTGTAATCCCAGCACTTTGGACTGATGACTTTCTTTCTTTTTTTTTTTTTTTCTTTTTTTGCGATAGAGTCTTGTGCTGTTGCCCAGGCTGGAGTGCAGTGGTGCGATCTTAACCTCCGCCTCCCGGGTTCAAGCGATCCCTCTGCCTCAGCCTTGCAAGTAGATAGGAATACAGGCGCCTGCCCCACCACCATGGCCAGCTAATTTTTTTTTGTATTTTTAGTAGAGGCGGGGTTTCACTATGTTAACCAGGCTGGTCTCGAACTCCTGACCTCAGGTGATCCACTCGCCTCAACCTCCCAAAGTGCTGTGATTACAGGCGTGAGCCACTGCACGTGGCAAATCCCAGCACTTTGGGAAGCTGAAGCAGGAGGATTGCTTGAGCCCAGGAGTTCGAGACCGGCCTGGGCAACATAGCAAGACCTGTCTCAAAAAAAAAAATTTGCTGCCGGGCACGGTGGCTCACGCCTGTGATCTCAGCACTTTGGGAGGCCGAGGCGGGGTGGATCACCTGAGGTCGGGAGTTCGAGACCAGCCTGACCAACACGGAGAAACCCCGTCTCTACTATAAAACACAAAAATTAGCTGGGCGTGGTGGTGCATGCCTGTAATCCCAGCTACTCGGGAGGCTGAGGCAAGAGAATTACTTGAACCTGGGAGGCGGAGGTTGTGGTGAGCCAAGGTCACACCATTGCACTCCAGCCTGGGCAACAAGAGCAAAACTCCTCTCAAAAAAAAAAAAAATTTGCTAATAGAACATCATACTTTCTGAACATAATATCTGAGATGAACTCTGGGGCACTGTATGAGTCAGCTTAGGCTGACGTAACAAAATACCACAGACTGGGTAGATTAAACAACAGTTTACTTTAATATTTATTTATTTATTTATCTTTTAAAGAGACAGAGTCTTACTGTTTTGCCAGGCAGGAGGGCGGTGGGGATATTCATAAATGCAATCACAGAGCCCTACAGCCTCAAACTCCTGGGCTCAAGCGATCCTCCTGCCTCAGTCTCCTGAGTAGCTGGGACTACAGGTGTGCACCACTGTGATAATAGAAATTTATTTTCTCACAACTCTAGAGGCCAGAAGTCTAAGATCAGGGTGTCAGTGGGGTTGGTGTCTTTTGAGGCCTCTGTCCTTGACTTGGAGATGGCCACCTTCTCATTCCCGAGTCTTTGTGCTGCCTTCCCTCTGTGTGTGTTTATGTCCTCATCCCTTCTTCTTCTTTTCTTGGGGGGACAGGTTCTCGCTCTGTCACCCAGGCTGGAGTGCAGTGGTGCAATCTTGACTCACTGCAGCGTTGACCTTCCAGGCTCAAGCCCCTCCCGCCTTAGCTCCCCTAGTAGCAGGGACCACAGGCACATGCCACAGTGCCCAGTTAATTTTTTTTTCCTTTTTTGAGATGGAGTCTCACTCTGGTGCCCAGGCTGGAGTGCAGTGGTGCAATCTTAGCTCACTGCAACCTCTGCCTCCCCGGTTCAAGCAATTCTCGTGCCTCAGCCTCCCAACTAGCTGGGACTACAGGCACCTGCCACCACGCCCGGCTAATTTTTGTATTTTTAGTAGAGACAGGGTTTCACCATGTTGGCTAAGCTGGTCTCGAACTCTTGACCTCAGGTGATCTACCCGCCTTGGCCTCCCAAAGTGCTGGTATTACAGGTGTGAGCCACAGCACCCAGCCCTAATTTTCATATTTTTTTGTAGAGATGAGGTCTTGCCATGTTGCCCAGGCTGGTCTCGAACTCCAGGGCTCAAGTGATATGCCTGCCTTGGCCTCCCAAAGTGCTGGGACTACAGGAGTAAGCCACCACGCCCAGCCTAATCTCTTCTCATAAGGATAGTATGGCCTTTTTTAAAAAACTTAAATACTCACCCATATGACCTTATTTGAACTTAAATACCCCTTTACCCTCTCTCCAAATACGGTCCCATTCTGAGGTACTGGGAGTTAGGGTTTCAGCCAGTGGATCTGGAGGGACATAATTCAGTCACAACAAGCAGGTTTTCCTGCCTTCTCAGCACAGTGTGACCTGTTTCTCTTTTCTTGCCAGAGGGAAGGGGACATTGAATGGTGTCTCTATAATTTGGACATCTCTGCCTTTAGTGTAAAAATTAATCCGTTTTCTGCTGCAAATAATTATTTTTTGCTTGTTCTGGAAAAAAAAAACCCCTATGAATTTAGAGAAGACAAAGCGCCCACTTCGAAAAAGAGCTCCTGGCCGGGCACAGCGTCTCACGCCTGTAATCCCAGCATTTTGGGAGGCCAACGCAGGCTGATTATGAGGTCAGGAGTTCGAGACCAGCCTAACCAACATGGTGAAACCCCGTCTCTACTAAAAATACAAAAATTACCCGGGCGTGGTGGCACATGCCTGTAATCCCAGCTACTCAGGAGGCTGAGGCAGGAGAATCACTTAAACCCAGGAGGCAGAGGTTGCAGTGAGCCGAGATCGCACCATTGTACTCCAGCCTGGGCGACAGAGCGAGACTCTGTCTCAAAAGGAAAAAAAAAAAAAGAGCTCCTGGCCTCTTCTGCACTCACAGCAGCATCACAGCCACTGCCAGGAGCTGGGGTTAGGTGGGAGCCAGTCAGTCCCTGCTGTCCCGCCTGTCCAGTCAGGCTCCTGGCTGTCCTGCCTGCTTACTCTTTCCAGTTGCACCTGCGGATTAGCTGGCAGGGGACCCTCTCTGCATTTGCATGGCTCCCCTGCCCCTTGTTTATGTTTACAAGATCGTTCCACGTGGTGGGATCACATGACTCCTGCATGCCTCCGTGAATCACTTTGAGCCATGTATTCTAGCTCTGAGTATTGGGAATAAAACCTAATATCGTAATAACAAGGGAAATGCAAATTTAACACATGGAGACTTTAACCGGCAAATCAGATGCAAACACCGCATCTGAGGTGAGCTGGCTGGCGCAGTCCTGGGGCTCACGCTCAGCCCCTGAGGATGTAAGGATTGTTAAGAACATGGGGCTAAGCCGGGCTCACACCTGTAATTCCAACACTTTGGGAGGTGGGAGGATCACTTGAGGCCAGGAGATTGAGACCAGCCTGGGCAACATAATGAGACCCTGTCTCTACAAAAAAAATCTAAAAACCCGGGTGTGATGATGCTTGTCTATAGTCACAGCTACTCTGAAGGCTGAGTTGGGAGGATTACTTGAGCCCAGGAGTTCGAGGCTGCAGTGAGCCATTATCGTACCACTGCTCTCTAGCCTGGGTGACAGAGTGAGATATGTCTCTAAAAACAAAAACAAAAAATAAAAGAACATAGAGAGATTTCTATGAATCATCAGGACCACTCTGACATTGCACATCTGGGAAATTTAGGTGACAAATGGGTTTGTGGCTCCTTCTCCATCACTGCAGACTCCTCGGAGGAGCCCTTGGTAGCAGCCAGGGACTACCCAGATCCAGCCTGGAGAAACGAGCTCTGGGGATGAGAGAAAAGATCCAGCGTGGTTTCTGTCTTCAAGGCCTTAAGATCTGGCAAGGACAGGCCAGGTGCAGTGGCTCACGCCTGTAATCCCAGCACTTTGGGAGGCCAAGGCGGGAGGATCACCTGAGGTCAGGAGTTTGAGACCAGCCTGGTCAACATGGCGAAACCATCTCTACTAAAAAGAGAAAAAATTAGCCGGGCGTGGTGGTGGGCACCTGTAATCCCAGCTACTTGGGAGGCTGAGGCAGGAGAATCACTTGAACCCGGGAGGTGGAGGTTGCAGCGAGCCAAGATCCCGTCACTACACTCCAGCCTGGGCGACAAGAGCGAAAGTCCATCTCAAAAATAAAATAAAAGATCTTGCAAGAATACGTGAGCACCTAGAAAAGGTAGGATCCAAGGCCAGGCAGTGGTGCAGGAGGTGAGTCCGGGCACTGGCACTCATGACTCCTCCATTCAGCAGCTGTTATCACAGACCCTCTCTGGCTGTGGACTCCTCATCTGTGAGTTGAGGATAAATATACTTTGCAGGGTGCAGAGACGCAAAGTCCCTTGGGCAGTGCGCTCCTCCCTCTGCTATTCTGCCTGTCCTGAACCCTCCCCACCCCTCCTCAAACTGCTCCCCAACTGTGGGACACCCCCAGGAGCAACCATTGTTATGTGATATCACTGCTTGGCCACTCTTAATTGGTCAGGGGGCAGGCCCTGACCAGTGCCAATCAAGAGTCCTTTCCTGGGATTTTAGTTAACCTCGAGTCAGCGCTCAGCGGCTAAGGCAGAGGGAGCTGGAAGGGTCAGCATCCCTGCTCCCCTGCTAGAAAGCCGTCTAGAGTGGAAGAGGAGGAAGGCAGGAGGCGGGGAGCGGGTGCCGTGGGTGTTAGCGGTGCTGCTTCGGGTGGTCTCTGAGGCTGCTTCCCTGCCCACCCTCGGCAATGGTTTCCCTGCGCAGCGGCGCGGAGTCTAGCAGGACCCCCATGGCAGTGTCTGCCCCCTGCCCACCTGGAGGCCGCCCTCAGCATTTCTCCCATCTTCCTTCCCACTCCCATAGACAAAACAAAACACGTCAAAAGCTTTGGTGAGTAATGTTGGTTTTGTAAGAGATTCACGAGGCTGGACGCCACCCAGCACAGTTTCTCCAATTCCTTCTTTTCTTTTCTTTTTTTTTTTTGAGACGGAGTTTCGCTCTTGTTGCCCAGGCTGGAGTGCAATGGCGCGATCTCGGCTCACTGCAACCTCCGCCTCCCGGGTACGAGTGATTCTCCTGCCTCAGCCTCCCAAGTAGCGGGGATCACAGGCATGCGCCACCACGCCTGGCTAGTTTTGTCTTTTTATTAGAGACGGGGTTTCTCCATGTTGGTCAGGCTGGTCTCGAACTCCCGACCTTAGGTGATCCGCCCGCCTCGGCCTCCCAAAGTGCTGGGGTTACAGACATCAGCCACTGTGCCCGGCCCCAATTTCTTCTTTTCTTACATACTCTAAGCTCCCCTGCTCCACCCCCTCATCCACACCGGACCACTGGTCTCAAACTCATGGCCTCAAGAGGTCCTCCTACCTAAGCCTCCCAAAGTGTTGGGATTACTGGCGTGAGCCACCATGCCAGGGTTCAATGTCTCCTCTTTTTTTCCAAAAAAAAATTTTTTTTTGTGACTCTGTCACCCAGGCTGGGGTGCAATGGCGTGATCTCAGCTCCCTGCAACCTCCGCCTCCTGGGTTCAAGTGATTCTCCTACCGTAGCCTCCTGAGTAGCTGGGATTACAGGCACGCGCCATCATGCCTAGCTAATTTTTGTATTTTTAGTAGGGACAGGGTTTCACCATGTAGGCCAGGCTGGTCTTGAACTCCTGACCTCAAGTGATCCACCGGCCTTGGCCTCCCAAAATGCTGGGATTACAGGCGTGAGCCACCTCGCCTGGCCAAAAATGTTTTAAGTTTTTTTCTTCCCCTCCAAACTCAGGTTAAAATTGTCTCCTCTTTCAGTGTGGAGGAATCTAGCTTCACAAAATCACAAAACCATGGGCCGGGCGCAGTGGCTCATGCCTGTAATCCATGTGCCTGGTCAGCATGGTGAAACCCCGTCTCTACTAAAAATACAAAAATTAGCCAGGCGTGGTGGCAGGCGCCTATAATCCCAGCTACTCGGGAAGCTGAGGCAGGAGAATCGCTTGAACCCGGGAGGTGGAGGTTGCAGTGAGCTGAGATCGCACCACTGCACTCTAGCCTGGGCAACAGAGCGAGGCTCTGACTTAAACAAAAAACAAAAAACAAAAAAACAAACAAAAAAA
The DNA here is from genome assembly GCF_000001405.40 of Homo sapiens. NCBI lineage: Eukaryota > Metazoa > Chordata > Mammalia > Primates > Hominidae > Homo > Homo sapiens. The sequence continues at coordinate 42,760,699 of NC_000022.11, forward strand.
CCCCCACAAAACCAAGTCCAGAATCCCCCAGAAGTGGTCACTTGTTTTTCTGCAAACAGGTACGTACCTGGGGGTCTCTATTCCCCTGACACCCAACACTGGGGGAATTTGGGAGGCCTCACCCAGAGGGGCTGTGCAGTGTTCCTGGGGACACTGGGACCTTCTCTGATCTGAGGCCCAGCCCTGCTCCCAATGACTAGGGCCGTAGCTTTTGGCTGAGCCTGGCTTGGGAAGGCCCGTGGCCGGAGGGGACTGCCCGCACCCCTGGGGCTGAGGTGTTTACTTCTGTTGGGGTCAAATGCAGTTGGAGTCAGTCCCACTCGTGTCTTGGACCCCACGTCGTGGCTGCCTGGGCCCTCGTTCGGGCCAAACTCCTGGTTCCTGAAAGGTGAGAAGGTTGGTGTTTTTGCTGAGGATTTTGTTTCCGATGAGAGGAGGCCTCTTAGGGAATGCCCTGCCTCATCATGAATGGAACAGGGTGGTGCCCTCACCTCAGACCTCGGAGGCCGTTTCTGCCTCTGAATGAATCTTCTGAAAGCCAGGGCCTGTGAGGGCTCGCCAGGTGGCTCCTGGGTGGCCCGCTGTGGCCAAAGCCTCTCTGTCCGAAAGGATGCAGGTGCGCGGCCTCAAACACTGGTCCAGCTGTCTCTGAGATGTTGATGGGTGGGGACCAGCCTCTAGGCCTGAGCCTGCTCAGTGCCACCCAAGGCCACCTCAGCCACACCCCGATAATGCAGTTTTGTCCTCAGGGACAGCTGACTGCCTCTCACTTTCTTTTCTTGTATTAGCATCATCAGCAAGGGAAGCTGAGGAGTGGGGAGGCTGCTGGGCCTCCACAGTTTCCTGGAGAGGCTGCTCCCCCAGCTGCTCCCCCAGCTGCTCCCCCAGCCACCTCCTGCCCGGCCCAGTTCTCCCCCAGTCACGCTGTGGGGCTTGGTGCAGAAGTTTCTCTGGTCTGAGAGAAGTCCGTGAATCCCAGTGACTCTCCTGGCACCCGTGTGGCCCTTGCAGGGGCTGCTGGGCAATGGGCCCCAGGGACAGAGACTTTGTGACTTTGAGTCCCCATAGATGCCAGACCCCCAGGCTTCCTTATTTTATTATTATTTTTTTTGTCTGAGATGGAGTCCTGGAGTCTCTCTCTGTCACCCAGGCTGGAGTGAAGGGGTGCAATCTCGGCTCACTGCAGCCTTCGCCTCCAAAGTTCAAGCGATTCTTGTGCCTCAGCCTCTGAGTAGCTGGGATTACAGGTGCGTGCCACCACGCTTGGCTAATTTTTTGGTATTTTTAGTAGAGACGAGGTTTCACCATCTTGGCCAGGTGCCTTAAGCCTGTAATCCCAGCACTTTGGGAGGCCGAGGCAGGAGGATCACCTGAGGTCAGGAGTTCGAGACCAGCCTGGCCAACACGGCAAAATCTTGTCTCTGCTAAAAATATGAAAATTAGCCAGGCATTGTGGCATGCACCTATAATCCCAGCTACTCAGGAGGCTGAGGCAGGAGAATGGCTTGAACCTGGCAGGTGGAGGTTGCAGTGAGCCGAGATTGCACCATTGCACTCCAGCCTGGGCAACAGGGAGAGACTGAGAAAAAGGAAGGGAGGAAGGAAGGAAGGGAGAAAGGGAGGGATAAAATACTGATACAATGGCCAGGCGCAGTGGCTCACACCTGTAATCCCAACACTTATAGGAGGCTGAGGCAGGAGGATTGCTTGAACCCAGGAGTTTGAAACCAGGCTGGGTAACATAGCGAGACCCTTTCTCTGTTTAAAAAAAAAAAAAAGAAGAAGAAAATACTGATGCAATGTTTAAAAAACAATAATGATAATTTTCTTTTCTTTCTTTTTTCTTTTTTATTTTTTGAGACAGAGCCTTGCTCTGTCACCCAGGTTGGAGTGCCGTGGTGTGATCTTGGCTCACTGCAACCTCCACCTCCTGGGTTCAAGTCATTCTCCGGCCTCAGCCTCCCAAGTAGCTGGGATTACAGGCATGTGCCACCATGCCTGGCTAATTTTTTTGTATTTTTATTAGAGACAGGGTTTCACCATGTTGGTCAAGCTGGTCTTGAACTCTTGGCTTCAAATGATCCACCCACCTTGGCCTCCCAAAGTGCCAGGATTACAGGCGTGAGCCACCGTGCCCAGCCATTTTTCTCTTGTTGTGTTTTCAAGACTAGTTAAGTGCAGTGGTAAGACGGGGGAAGGAGTTGGATCTGTAACTGACTGTGAAGAATCGATTGAGATAACTTGCTACCTTTGGACCAATAATAATTTTTAGTCAACCACGCTAGTGGAAAGGCTGAATTATTGTTCTATTCTCTCAGTGGAAAATGATATTACAAAACTTGTTGTCTTTTCAAAAGATGATCAGAGAGTATTTAGGGGAGAAACGTAAAGTACAAAATACTGACTGGGCACAGTGGCTCACACCTGTAATCACAGCACTTTGGGAGGCCGAGGTGGGTGGATCGCCTGAGGTCAGGAGTTCGAGACCAGCCCGGCCAACACGGTGAAATCCCGTCTCTACTAAAAATACAAAAATTAGCTGGGCGTGGTGGCGGCTACGTACTTGGGAGGCTGAGGCAGGAGAATTGCTTGAACCTGGGAGGCGGAGGTTGCAGTGAGCCGAGATGACACCACTGTACTCCAGCCTGGTGACAGACCGAGACTCTGTCTCAAAAAACACAAACGCAACGTACTTCAGGGGTGCATCAGGCAGTTCTCTAAGAGAAATATTATGTTAATTTATTGGATCTTATTATGCTTATGCTGCTTATTGGCTTTTTACATTTTTTGCAGTTGTGATTTATTTACTTTTTTAAAACTAGAGATAGGGTCTCATACTGTGGCCCAGGCTGGTCTTGAGCTCCTGGGCTCAAGTGATCCTCCCACCTCAGATTCCCAAAGTGCTGGGATTACAGTTGTGAGCCACTGTGCGTGGCCAATTAACTTTTCTCTTTTTTTTCTTTTTTTTTGAGATGGAGTCTCACTCTGTCACCCAGGCTAGAGTGCAGTGGTACGATCTTGGCTCACTGCAACCTCTGCCTCCTGGGTTCAAGTGATTCTCCTGCCTCCTGAGTAGCTGGGATTACAGGCGCCTGCCACCGCACCCGGCTAATTTTTGTATTTTTAGTAGAGAGAGGGTTTCGCCATGTTGTCCAGTCTGGTCTCATACTCCCAACCTCGGGTGATCTGCCCGTCTCGGCCTCCCAAAGTGCTGGGATTACAGGCGTGAGCCTCCGTGCCTGGCCCTATTTACTCTTAATATTCACTTTTATGCCTAATTTTATAATCATAGTTTCCTATTTTTCTCCACAAAGAGGCCCTGAGAATGCCACCCATCGTCTCCAGCGGTGTCTCATCTGGAGGTGGCCCTGCAGGCTGGGGCTGGCTTCCCTGGGCAATGAAGAGCGTGCTAGGCCCTCAGGGTCACGTGGGCTCCCTTGCCACCTCATTGGCAGTCACTGGAAGAGTTTGCGTTGGTTCAGAGCCCAGGGCCTGATTCAATCCACGATGCAGTTGGGTACTGCCCATGAGCTGAAAAACCCCATCAACCCTCTGACCCGGGCCCGGCCAGCCTCACTGGTGTGGAACCCGTCCCCCACCCCCACACCTGGCTGCAGGACTCACTCCCTACACCCCAGAGACACAGGGCGGGTGGGGAGGTGGGAGTGGGCCCCGAGTCACTCTGCCTGCTCCCAGCTCCGCCACCTTCCAGTGCTTGACCTTAGGCACTTCCCTGTACCTCGGTTTCCCCATTTATGAAAGCAGGGAATAATGTACCTGTCCCACAGAGCAGCTGTGAGGATGGACTGGACCAGTGATGGCTGGTGCTCTGTAAAGCTTGGTAAATACATAGGGGTGCCTGGGAGCTGCTCTTATTACCTACTCTGCAAAGAGATGGGACTTTTTGGAAGGTTTTGTGGACAGATGTGGGGAGGACCGTGTTCCACCCACCGACCCACCGCCCCATGGGCCAGCTTCTCCATCGGCACCTGCCTCTCTCTCCAGAGCTCTCCTCTTGAATTTCTTTCTCTGTTCAGTCTCCTCTTCCCCTTGCACCTTCTCACTCATCTTCCTTCTGAAGGCAGAGAACGGCTCTGGCACCTCCCACTCTCTGATGCTCCCACCCAAGCCCCCAGGGGCCTCTGATCACTCATGGGATGACCCCAAACTCCTCTCCTGCACTTCATCCCCGACGCCCATATAACCTGGCCAGGCTGACTCAGCCCCCAGAACAAGTTTCCCCACAAAAGCTGGGGACCTGGGCTCCTTTTGACCCCAGATAAGCCCTATCTTCTCCAGCTTCAGTTTCGGTTCATGAAACATGGAGGGAGGCACTCAGATCCCCCCCAGTCCACAGGAAAGGGCAGGAAGAGGTTCTGACACGGAGGTGGGAGGTGAACCCCAGGGACGCGGATCAGAGCTGACAGGCTGGGGCTTTCCAGGGTGGCCGCATCACACCCCAAACACAACCACCCAAACAGTGCGTCATCCAGGTCCCCTGAAGAGCTCAGTTCTGGTTGGAGACTCCAAGAAACAGCGGCCCCTGGCCCGAGCCCATGCCCCAGCCCCCGGCCTGGGAGAAGAGCAGGGAGTCGCACAGAGGCCGCATGGCTTCTGGATTGGTCAAGGCAGAGCCTGGGTGGGCAAGGAGGTCATCCTTGTGTGGCCGCGAGCTGGCCCCTTCATAGCTGGGAGCCCCGTTATCCACGTGCCTCAGGTCCTGAGTCTCTGCTCCAATGTTGCCTCATCAGAGAGGCCCTTCTCTGACCCTTTATAAAGTGCCATCTCTCTCATGCCTTCATCTTTCTTCCTGTCGTCCGCAGGAAGACAAGCAATGATCCAGAGTCTTGAAGCAGTGTGCCGCGGAAGGTGGCGTATCCGTGGGACCGACTGCTGGGCATGGGGCGTCCCAGCCAGCAGAGAGGCAGCACCGGCCCCACTGCCGTCCCTCCTCTCCACCCCTGAGTTCCCACTGTACCAGGAGTGGGCTTGCTGTTCTCTGGCTCCTGCATCCCTGTGGTGGAATTTCCTCCCTTCCCCCTGGAGGGAGGGGCTCCCTCACCCTACCCACACCCCAGGTGGAGCTCAGGGATCCTTCCCTGTGTCCCCTACAAGGCCAGCCCCTCCCAGTGGGACTCGTGTGGGGTCTCCTCCCACCCCATTCTGTCAACCATGTGTGTGACTTGAGGATGCAAGTGGTTTATGCATCTGTTATAAAAACAGTCCCCGCCCCTCTCTGCCCATTGTGCGTCCACAAGGCTCCCATGCCCTTGTGTTTATTTTCCCAGCATTTATGTTTCAGGTCAGTCTTTTCATGTCTGCCTTTTTATGCTTAAATAATGTGCTTAGGAGGCCAGACATGGTGACTCACACCTGTCATCCCAGCACTTTGGGAGACCGAGGTGCGTGGATCACTTGAGGTCAGGAGTTCGAGACCAGCCTGGCCAACATGGTGAAACCCCGTCTCTACTAAAAATACAAAAATTAGCCAGACACAGGGGGGAATGCTTGTAATCCCAGCTACTTGGGAGGCTGAGGTGGGAGTATCACTTGAGCCAGGGAGGCAGAGGTTGCAGTGAGCTGAGATGGCGCCACTGCACTCCAGCCTGGGCAACAGAGTGAGACTCCGTCTCAAAAAATAAATAAAAAATGCCAGGCGTGGTGGTCAGGAGTTCGAGACCAGCCTGGCCAACGTGGTGAAACCCCCTCTCTACCAAAAATACAAAAATTAGCTGGGCATGGTGGCACACACCTGTAATCCCAGCAACTTGGGAGGCTGAGGCATGAGAATAGCTTGAACCCAGGATGCAGAGTTTGCAGTGGGCTGAGATCGAGCCACTGCACTCCAGCCTGGGTGACAGAGCAAGACTCTATCTCAAAAATAAATAAATAAATAAAAATAAATAAAAAATAATGTACTTAGGCCGGGCATGGGGGCTCATGTCTATCATCCCAGTACTTTAGGGGGCTGAGGCGGGAGGATCTGTTGAGCCCAGGAGTTGGAGACCACTGTGGGCAACACAGCAAGACCCCATCTCTACCCAAAATAATTATACTGTGCTTAGCTGGACACTTCTCAGGTTCTCAGTGTTGCACAGGGTCTCCTGATTCTCCACCCTGGAAGTGAAGGATTTAATTCCCTCTCACACATAGAACCCCCCAACTGTCCCCACCCCCAACATAATTTTGGTGAGACAGACATTCAGTGTCTACGTTACTATGCGGGTGCAGCTCACGCTGAGCCGTGCAGCAGGCTGGGGTTCCTCATTTTCCCTGGAGTGCATCTGGTTCCCAGGCCACTTGTGCCCCAGTTTCTTCCTGGGGCTGTGACTTCACCTCTGCACTCTCCTTCCGCTATGTAAGCCGCCTCTCCACGTGTTCAGACACATTGGAACAGTTTCCTCCCAGAGCCTCCTGACCATCCCCTGTGGCCTGGTGCCTGGCCTCTGTCATCTGGCACCCACTCTCTCCTATCAGTTGGCTCCTGCTGCCTGGACCCCATCTTCCTCTATGTGGCTGCCCCTCGTTTTGCTCATGCCCACCCTCCAAGACTTCTTTTTTTTTTAAATATATATAATGGGGACGGGGTGCGGTAGCCCATGCCTGCAATTCCAGCACTTTGGGAGGCCGAGGCGGGCGGATCACCTGAGGTCAGGAGTTCGAGACCAGCCTGGCCAACATGGAGAAACCCCGTCTCTACTAAAAATACAAAAATTAGCCGGTTGTGGTGGTAGACGCCTGTAATTCCAGCTACTCAGGAGGCTGAGACAGGAGAATCGCTTGAACCCAGGAGGCAGAGGTTGCGGTGAGCCGAGATCGTGCCATTGCACTCCAGCCTGGGAGACAGAGAGAGACTCTGTCTCAAAAAAAAAAAATATATATATATATATATATATATATATATATATTTTTTTTTTTTTTTTTTTTTTTTAATTATTTTTTTTTTGCCCACGGCACAGTTCCAAGAGATCTCGGGAACATGTTTCCCTCCATGGCCTTCTTTTTAATTAATTAATTTATTTATTTATTTTGAGACAGAGTCTTGCTGTCACCCAGGCTAGAGTGCAGTGGTGAGATCTCGGCTCACTGCAACCTCCACCTCCCAGGTTCAAGCAATTCTCCTGCCTCAGCCTCCTGAATAGCTGGGACTACAGGGGTGCACCACCACGCCTAGCTAATTTTTTCACATTTTTAGTGGAGACAGGGTTTCACCATGTTGGCCAGGCTGGTCTTGAACTCCTGACCTCAAGTGATCTGCCCACCTCAGCCTCCCAAAGTGCTGGGATCATAGGCATGAGCTACTGTGCCCAGCCATCTACTTCTATTTAAGAAAGGGGCAGCAAACAGTGGCTTAGACACCCTGTGCCACGTGCAGGATTCATCCATGTGGGACTCACATAAGAGGACCAGCTGGACGGTTTTCCTGGGCGAACTGCTGATGTCACTATCTTTGGGTCTTTTCTCTTGAGTTGCTTGGACTTTGGAAAAGGATGTTACAAGGCCGTACAGAGGGCAGCTGAGGGGGCCAACCAGGTCTGGTGGAAGGCGAAGTGGCCCCCAAAGATGTCCCAGTCCTGATCCCTGGTAGCTGGGAAGATGTTGTTACAAGACAAAAGGAAATTTGCAGGTGTAATTAAGGTTACGAACCTTAAAATAGGGAGGGAAATTATCCTAGACATGGCTGGGATAGTGGGTCTGGTCCAGTCCCATGAGCTGTAAGAGCAGAAAAGGACTTTCTCTGGCTGGAAGCAGAAGAGAGACCAGGCCGAATGGGAAGCCAGAGAGTTTCCAAGTGTGAGGACTGGACATGCCGCTGCCGGCTCCGAGACGGGGGCCCACGGGCAAGGACAGAGACAGGCCTCTACTTGCTAAGGCTGGGCCCTGGCTGACAGCCAGCCAGGGAACAGGGACTTCAGTCCTATAGCCACAGAAACCAGATCCCACCAACCACCTGCGCGGACTCAGAAGGCAACTCACTTGCAGAGCCTCCGGAAGGGACACCCACCCAGCAGGCACTGGGCCCCCTCCAGCCACCCTCAGGCATGCGGGGCTGCAGCCAGAGAGGGGCACAGGGTCGGGCTTGGGCCTGTCAGACCCTCCCCTCCACAGTCTGAGTGACCTGGCCAGTGGCAGGATGGAGGCCTGAGAGGTGGCGCCGTTCACGGAACTGGGAGGGCCATGGGACCGGCTGGGGCGCTGGCTGACGGTGACGGGCGTGTGTGTGAGAACCTGAATGGATGAGGGTGGGTGGGTGGGTGGTGGGGTGGAGGCAGCTCCCTCCCCGTTTACTGGGGTGTGACTTGAGCACCTCGCAAGCACAGGCAGTGCCTCAGCCGCTTACTCTGTGAGGGGCCGACCGTGCCCACCTGCAGGCCCACTGTGTGCCGGGCACCCTGAGCCCCGCGTTTCCAGTGGCTCCAACTCTCCCACAGGTGACCCGGTGGATGCTGCTCTCCTCTGTGTGAGGGAGGAAGCGAGGGGACTGTCATGGCCCACGAGCCTGTTCGCCTCCACAAGCGGCTCCCAACCCCAGGCTCCTTCCAGCAAACCCTTGGAAAGGTCATAGAGCCTGGATGCCCCAGGCCTTGAGGGGCAGAGGGTGGGGGGCAGCAGGGTGGACAGGCGCCCCTTGGGCCATTCTGAAGGGTTCAGGGCTTCACCTGGGAGGGTCTGCGCTGTGGAGAGGCAGGAGACCCCGTGGCAGGAGGAAGGGACCCTCAGGGCTCCCAGCCAGGGAGGGGGTGGCTCGAGTCACGTGGAGACCGTGGGCTTGGGAGGCTCAGGAGTCCGGGATCGGGAGGGTCTGCAGGCCCACCGGCTGCGGGTGGAAGGTGAGGGCCTCCAGAGTGGCCTGAATGGCTTGGTGGGGGCCGCAGGGGCTGGCTGGGCCTGGGGTGAGGTGAGGAGGTGACGGGGGAGGCGGCTGGAGTGTGGAGCTGCAGGGGCCCCTTTGAGGGACACGGGTCCCACAGGAGCGTCCACTGGACTTAGGTGTCCAGGCAGTGATGCCTTGTGCCTGGCTCCGGCCCTGGGTGCCTGGACAAACAGGGGCCTTCCCAAGCAGGGCGTCGTGGTGTAGACAAGGGCAGCCAACCGTGCGACAAGGAGGACAGCCACAGGGCAGCGGAGAGGAAGTGAGAGCTTGTGGGAGAGGTCATGTCCGGTGCGGGGGCGAACGGGGCCCCCACAGCCCAGGAGCAGGCCTCAGGGCACAGGGCACAGGGCACAGGTGGGTTCTCAGCCCGGCTGGGCGGCACCCTCTCTGCCCAGCGCCCCTGCAGGACCCCGCCGACCCGGCGGGACCAGCACAGGTGTCGGGCAGAGGGAAGCCGAGGAGCCCCTGATGTCTGGCTGCCGCCATCCGTCTGTCCGTGCTGGGCTGCAGCTGGCGTGACCTCCGCTGTGCTCCTGTTTTCGGCGAGACCAATGACTCACGCGAGCAAAATGATAAGAACCACAAACAGGGAACGCGGACGGGAGTGGGAGGGAGCAGAAGGCACGTGGTCCTGTGTAAATCCATCCCGGGACGCAGTGCAAACAATGGTCTCTGAGCCCACGTAACCACGCAGAGCGGGACGTTCCGGGATCAGTGGGGAGAGTCAGCTCCTTCCCGAGCCAAGCAGCAGCTGCGTGGGGGAGGGTCGCAATTATTTATTTTTGAGACAGGGTCTCGCCCTCTTGCCTAGGCTGGAGTGCAGAGTTACGATCACAGCTCACTGCAGTCTCGACCTACCAGGCTCAAGCGATCCTCTGGCTTCAGCCTCCCGAGTAGTTGGGACTATAGGTGCATACTTTCATGCCCAGCTAATTTTTTTTTCCCCAGTTTTTTGTAGAGATGGGGTCTTACTATGTTGCCCAGGCTGGTCTTAGACTTCTGGGCTTAAGAGATCCTCTTGCCTTGGCTTCCCAAAGTGCTGGGATTACAGACATGAGTTACCATGCTCAGCTGGGGAGGGGTGCAATTTTTATTTTTATCTTTATTTTTTTGAGACGGAGTTTCACTCCGTCACCCACGCTAGAGTATGATCTCGGCTCACTGCAACCTCCACCTCCCGGGTTCAAGCGATTCTCGTGCCTCAGCCTCCTGAGTAGCTGAGATTACAGGCACCCACCACCATGCCTGGCTAATTTTTGTATTTTTAGAGACAGGGTTTTGCTGTGTGGCCCAGGCTGGTCTCAAACTCCTGAGCTCAAGCGACCCCCCTGCCTCGGCCTCCCAAAGTGCTGGGGTTACAGGCGTGAGCCACTGCGCCCGGCTCTGAGGTGATTTCCTAATGCTGCATTTTAAGAGAGAATTTGTTCCTGGGAAAGGCTGTGTGTGTAAGACGAACCTCTGTCTCCCACTCCTCTCTCTTTGCTGACCCGATTCCTCTTGGCGCAGAGGTTCAGAAACATCCCCTGGCCCTCACTGGCTTCATCTCAAGAACAGAAGTACAATAAGTACCTTTTCCGCACCACTGCCTGAGCCCTCAGTCCAGCCTTCACCGGTTTCCACCTGGTCCTTGGATTGTCGTTATCACCTTTTTCTTTTTTAATCGATAGATCCAAAATGTGTTTTGTTTAACAAATATTAACTAACATCTTTCATATACTAAGCACTCATGCAAAATGATTACATAATAAAACACAAAAGCTGAAAGATGAATGGGCCAAGAACACACACTAAACTCACACACACACACATCTGTGCACTCAGGCAGGGGGAATGGGCCCACCAGATGGGACCGGCCACCCGCCCCACGGCTGAGGGAGCCTGCCTGGCAGGGTCCAGCACTGGGCCCAGCATCCTCCCTGAGACACCTGTGGCTGCTGGGCCCTAAAAGCATCAGATGGAAAGCTTGGGAAGGAGTCCCAGTGAGGCCTGGGGTTGGACGGTGCTGGGGAAACCCACGTTCATACGTTTGGAGTTAGAGAGAGCCACCTAGGGCTGCCTTTCACTCACCCTCCATGTGAAATGGGAATATGACCTGCTGGGAGGGTTTCTGGAAGACGGAACGACCACACAGCAACCGGTCGAGTCCAGGCCCCAGCCTGGAGCAGGCTCTCCCAGTGTGGGAAGTTTGTTGATGTCTTTTTCTGAGACAGGGTCTCGCTCTGTTGCCCAGGCTGGAGTGCAGTGGCACAATCACAGCTCACTGCAACCTCTGCCTTCCTGGGCTCAAGTGATTCTCCCACCTCGGCCTCCCACGTAACTGGGACCACAGGCATGTGCCACCACGCCCAGCTAATGTTTGCATTTTTTGTAGAGACAAGGTCTCGCTATGTTGCCCAGGCTGTTCTTGAACTCCTGGGCTCAAGCGATTCGCCTGCCCCAGCCTCCTAAAGTGCTGGGATTACAGGTGTGAGCCACCGTGCCCGGCCCCAGTGTGGGAATTTCCTACGGACACTGCTACAGATGGAACTGTGACATCACCAACCCCATCTTCAATATTCCTATCCCCTGAGTGACTGTATTGGCGATAAGGTGTTAGAAGGACACAGGGGAGGGCCCTTCCACAGGAAGAGGAACAGGTACCGGAGAGCTCTCCCTTCCCCTCTGCACACACAGAGGAAGGCCATGTGCGAGGGGGGCCACCTACAAGCCAGGAAAAGAGGCCTCACCAGAAACCAACCGCGATGGCGCCTTCATCTTGGACTTCAGCCTCTGGAACTGTGAGAAAATAAAAGTCTGTTGCTGAAGCCCCAGTCTGTGGGATCTTGTCACAGCAGCCTACCCTCCCGGAGACTGACCTACACATCTTCCCCTCCCCTCCCCTCCCTTCCCTTCCTCTCCCCTCCTCTCATGTCCCCTCCCCTCCACTCCCCTCTCCTCCCCTTCCCTTCCTTCCCCTCCTCTCATCTCCCTTCCCCTCCCCTCCCTTCTCCTCCCCTCCCCTCTCTTTTCCTCCCCTCCCCTCTACTCTCCTCTCCCCTTCCTTCTCTTCTCCTCCCCTCCCCTCATCTCTCTTCCCCTCCCCTCCCCTCTCCTCCCCTCTCCAGGCACAGGCAACCCAAGGCTAGAGATGGGACAGGAGGATGGGGTGAGTGGGAGCAGCCTGTGAGATCCCCTGGAGAGGCCTTGGTGGGGCTGAAAGAGGAGCAGAGGTGGGAGTAGGCACAGGGCCCTACAATTGTAGGAGAACTCCAGGCTCCCCGCTTGGCTGAGCCGATCCTCCACCCCCAGCCCATCAGCAGAGGCCCACCTGCCCCTCTCATCTCATCTCCTGGGTACTCCAACTGGCTAAACAACAGCCCTACCCCCAGTGCTGTGCCTTTGCACATGCTGCCACCCCCATCCCCGCTCCTCCTGCTCTATTGTGGCAGCCTCTCCCCAAAATGCAACCCCAGGGCCCTGCCCTCAGAAGGCCTCCTGGACCGCCAAGCCCTCATGTGGCCCTGCTGTCCGTCCCTGCAGCCTCCGTCCCTGAGCCTAGACCCTGAGCCTGGCCCGACAAGGATCTGGAGAACATGACATCACAGTTGATACAACAGAGTCTCCGATGGCCCGACCCAGGCAGAGACCTCGGATCTCTGTGGAAGGACGAGGTCTGGAGAGCAGCCCCTCCTCTGGGAGGGAATCCCAGGGCAGCCGTGCCTGTCCCCTGTTCCCTCAACCCCCTGTAGGGCTGGCCCCAGCCTCTGTCACACCCTTATCTACTCCTGCTGGCATTGCCTGGCAGCGGCGGGGAACCAGGCAGACATGAGCAGACACCGTCTGTGTCCACTACACACTCCTGCTGATGCGGTGTGGTGAAGACAAGTCTGCCCAGACACAACACCACGAGGCAGGAAGCACGGAGGTTGGGGGGACCCTGGGGAGGGCGGGCAGCCCAAGCCCAGCAGGCACCTGCTTCTGCCGCTGCCTCACTCTGCAGCCCTTGGGCGTGGCTATTGCGGCTGCTGACCCTGCTGCAATCCCCAGTTCTAGCCATTCTCTTTTCTGGGCCTCCAAGGTCATTCATCAGACATATTTGTCTCCACAAATATCCAAGGTTTAATACTCTCTGTATTTGTTTCTAATTCAGGCATCATAAAATTCTGAACTTGCTATTTAGAATATGAAATTGCTAATGGAAGATTGTTAAAAAAAGACTAGAAATTTTTAAATTTCTGGCACAGGTAAGCACTCATATATGTTGAATGAGTGAATGTAAGGACAATAGGATATAATAATTTGGGATCAGATTATTAGGCTATCTAAAATTTACCATGAATCCAGTTCGTGAAAAAGTGTTAGTGAAATAATTATATTGACTTAACCTCAACTTTAAAAGTCAATCATTGGGCTGGGTGCGGTGGCTCATGCCTGCAATCACAGCACTTTGGGAGGCCAAGGCGGTGGATCACCTGAGGTCAGGAGTTCGAGACCAGCCTGACCAACACGGAGAAACCCCGTCTCTACTAAAAATACAAAATTAGCAGGGCGTGTGGCACATACCTATAATCCCAGCTACTCAGGAGCTGAGGCAGAAGAATCATTTGAACCCAGGAGGCGGAGGTTGCAGTGAACCGAGGTTGCACCATTGCACTCCAGCCTGGGTGACAGAGCGAAACTCCATGTCAAAAAAAAAAAAAAAAAGTGAATCAATGTTCAACTATCCATGAATTTATCTAAATATTTTCAAATTTATATTATAGTTTCAGACTAGAAATTTTAGAAATAACAATTCTCAAATGTTTATATTGTAATGAAAAAACATACTTCTGTTCAAAAACTGCCTTCTTAATATCATTCCTCTATTTCATGGTAGTAGCTGCTCCAGACAGCCTGCCACTGCTGCAGCGGGGAGGTGCTACCCGGGCTACACGTTCCATGGAGCTGGCAGGAGCCCTGCCCCTTCTGAGTTGCAAGTCTGTAACTTCTGCAGCCACCCAAGTTGTGGCTGCAGATCTGAGCCTTCCTGTGCTCTTGCGGGGCAAGCAGGTAGGAGCCCTGTTCTCCTGGGTGCCACTGCAGCCACCCAAACTGTGGCTGCAGACCCGGGCCTCCTGCTCCACAGAATAGCCAGGAGCCCTGCCTCCTCTGGACGCACCTGCAGCCACCCAAACTGGTGGCTGCAGCTTCAGGCATCCCTCCACTCTTGGGGGCCTGGGAAGGCCCCCCCTCCCCGCCCTCACAGGCTCAAAAGTACCTGCCCCCACTGCCTGGCTTCTCCCTACTGTTGGCTGTCAACACCCACTCTGATCTCAGAGTAAAGCTGGGCTGAGCAGGGGCCATGAATGGCAGTGGGAGGCGGATTCCTGGGCAGAAGCCGGGGATACCCGATAAGACCCCACTTTCAGACCAGGGAGGGCCTGAAGGCTGAAGGCTGGGCTGCCAGATCCACAGACCAGAGTGGGGACCTGTGGTACCTCTTCTGGGTGCCCATGCACCAACTGGCATGCATTTCCTCCTCTCTGAGGTCCGTAAACACCCCAGTCTCAGCCAGAGCAAGGCAGAGGATGGAGAAACAACTGGAGACTGGATGACCAGCTGCAGAGAGGAGCTACCTTCTCTACTGAGAGCTGGGAAGTCAACAGGGACCTGCCTGCAGAGTGGAGCCACCCACTCCAGGGCCTCCAGGGCCTCCTCCCTATGGAGAGCTGAACACTGGAGGAGATGACCTGCTTACAGAGAGGAGCTGCCCACTGCGGGTCTCCTCTGAGCTGTCCTAAGATTCAGTAGAGCTTTTCTTTGTCTTGCTCACCCTCCACTTGTCTGTGTACCTCATTCTTCCTGGACACAGGACAAGAACTCAGGCAAAGGCTGGGATTACAGGCGTGAGCCCCTGTGCCCGGCCCAGTACCTTGACTTTGCTGCAATGCATTCCACTTCCTGTACCATTTGTTTATTTTTATTTTTATTTTATCATTATTTTTTGAGACAGAGTCTACTCTGTCCCCCAGGCTGGAGTGCAGTGGTGCGATATTGGCTCACTGCAACCTCCGCCTCCTGAGTTCAAGCAATTCTCCTGCCTCAGCCTCCCAAGTAGCTGGGACTACAGGCACATGCCACCATGCCCGGCTAATTTTTGTGTTTTTAGTAGAGACTGGGTTTTGCCATGTTGGCCAGGATGGTCTCGAACTCCTGACCTCAAGTGATCCACCTGCCTTGGCCTCCCAAAGTATTGAGATTACTGGCGTGAGCCACCACACCTGGCCCAGTACCTTGATTTTGATGCAATGCATTCAACTTCCTGTATCATTTAAATGTAGTGGAATTGTTATAAAGACTAATGTTATAGGCCAGGCGCGGTGGCTCACACCTGTAATCCCAGCACTTTGGGAGGCCGAGGCAGGCGAATCACAAGGTCAGGAGTTCGAGCTCAGCCTGGCCAACATGGTGAAACCCTGTCTCTACTAAAAATACAAAAAATTAGCTGGGTGTGGTGGTGGGTGCCTGTAATCCCAGCTACTTGGGAGGTTGAGGCAGGAGAATCGCTTGAACCCAGGAGACGGAGGTTGCAGTGAGCCAAGATTGAGCCACTGCACTCCAGCCCAGGCGACAGTGCGAGACTCTATCTCAAAAAAAAAAAAAAAAAGATGAATGTTATACCTCCCAGTTTTCTGGATAATGTTCTCCGTAAGGTTTATACATTGACTACGATGCCAATTATAGTTAAGGGCAAGCTTGTTTCTCATAAATGATGTGACTTCAAGTTAATTACTTGGCTTTTTTTTTTTTTTTTTGCTGGCCCTAAGTTTATTGTCTGTATCTGAAAAATCATCATAGAAAATTGTTTGGTTTAGCTCTCAGCAGCCCGCTCCTGAGCTCTGAGGAAGCTTGCCTTCTTTTGAGCTACCTGATCCTTCTTCTGAGCAAGGGGCATTTTGGGAAGGTTCCACCTCTCCTTTTTAACTTCTTTCTTGGGCTTCTTTTCATAGACTGGATTCTCTCGTATAGCAGCATGAGCTTTCTTATACATCTCCTCCATCATGTCTGGAGTTACGCTGTTCTTTATGTATTGAGAGAACTGTTTCTTGTAAGCATCGTCATCTTCTTCCATTAAGTAGCGCATGTAATCTGCAACATTCTGGCCCATGAAGTGCTTCTGGTGTACTCCTGCATTAAATTCCTTGCTTTCAGAATCATAACCAGGGAATCATTTGGTGCTGTGAGGGACAGACAAGCCTCCATCCACAACTCCCTTCAGGGCGCCAAAAACTTTATTGCCAGTGGTAGTTCTGGCAAGACCTGCATCCATACAGCAGGTGAAGGCACCTGGCTGACCATCAGTACTTTCCACATTGTATTTATCGCCAGTCACCTCCACTTGGCCGTCATAGATCTTGTCCATGCCAAACCTATCAAGAAGCCTGCGGGCCAGCAGCAGGCCAGTACAATATGCAGCAGCATAATTTGTCGGGCCAACCTTCACACCGTATTTTGGCAGTTCGTGTGCATATGCCGCGCAGACTATCATATCCCCCTCTATACGGGCATAAGCAATCTGACAAATGATATCTCTGTCAGTTACACGAACAATCATCCTATACTTGGGTGTGTTGTATTTATTTTTATCCTGTATCACCAAGCGTTTCCGAGCATAGTAATCAGTTTTACCCTCTCGTCGTCTTCTAAATTTCACTTGGTATCTGTTAAAGTAGGCCTTATTCTTAACAACTTTAACAAACCCCATCCAGCGGAACAGAGACCCGCGTCCGCGGCTCGACAGAGACCTGCAGGCCCAGCGGTGCCAGGGAGGGGAAGAGGCTACTTGGCTTTTTTGAGCCCAAAAGCCTGAATTTGTTATATGATGGGATCAGAATCCTTTGTCTCTGAAATTCTTTTCAACTCTAGTTGTGGGTCATTCTATATTTTAGTCAATAGTTAAGTTATCCATAAAAATGACATATTTCTTCTAAAGCCAAAATAGAAAATCTGTCTTCTTTAAGAGCAATTTCTGACCGGGCATGGTGGCTCATGCCTGTAATCCCAGCACTTTGGGAGGCCAAGGCAGGTGGATCACCTGAGGTCAGAAGTTCGAGACCAGCCTGACCAGCATAGTGAAACCCCGTCTGTACTAAAAATACAAAAATAAGCCGCTTGTGGTGGCTCATGCTTGTAATCCCAGCTACTTGGGAGGCTGAGGCAGGAGAATCGCTTGAACCTGGGAGGCAGAGGTTGCAGTGAGCCGAGATCGTGCCATTGCACTCCAGTCTGGGCAACAAGAGTGAAACTCCATCTCAAAATAAATAAATAAATAAATGCAGAAGGAATAATAAAATTAGAAAATTACTATTTTTTTCAAATCCTTTATGAAATGATGAATCTAAGTAATAATCATCAGTGTTGTTGTTGTTTTTTTTTTTTTTTAGACGGAGTCTCGCTCTGTTGCCAGGCTGGAGTGCAGTGGTGCAAACTTGGCTCACTGCAACCTCCACTTTCTGGGTTCTAAAGAGTTCTCCTGCCTCAGCCTCCCAAGTAGCTGGGACTATAGGCCCACGCCATAACACCTAGCTACTTTTTGTATTTTTAGTAGAGACAGGGTTTCACCATGTTGTCCAGGATGGTCTCGAACTCCTGACCTCGTGATCTGCTCCCCTCGGCCTCTTAAGTGCTGGGATTACAGGCGTGAGCCACAGCGCCCAGCCAATCATCAGTGGTTTCTAAAACCATTGGGTGAAAGATAGATAAGAAACCTTATTACTGTATCTATTGATGAATCAGGCCAACCACATTTGAACAACATTTGATTGATAACAAGACATTATGTGCCTCTTGATGTGGTACCATCGGAAGTACATAGAGAATAGAGTATACATATATAAAGTGGCTGGAAGCAGTGGCTCATACCTGTAATCCCAGCACTTTGGGAGGCCGAGGCGGGCGGATCACCTGTGGTCAGGGGTTCGAGACCAGCCTGGCCAGCATGGTAAAACCCCGCCTGTACTAAAAATATAGAAAATTAGCTGGGGGTGGTGGTACACGCCTGTAGTCCCAGCTACTCAGGAAGCTGCGGCAGGAGAATCACTTGAATCTGGGAAGCAGAGTCGGCAGTGAGCTGAGATCATGCCATTGGATTCCAGCCTGGGCAACAGAGCAAGACTCGTATAAAAAAAAAATACAGTATACATATATATCCTTACCTAAATAAATAATTTTTTTTTTTTTGAGATGGACTTTTCGCTCTTTTTGCCCAGGCTGGAGTGCAATGGCGCGATCTCAGCTCGCCACAACCTCTGCCTGCTGGGTTCAAGCAATTCTCCTGCCTCAGTCTCCTGCCTCAGTCTCCCAAGTATCTGGGATTACAGGCGCCTGCCACCACGCTCGGCTAATTTTTGTATTTTTTGTATTTTTTTTTTTTTTTGAGACAGTCTTGCTCTGTCGCCCAGGCTGGAGTGCAGTGGCACGATCTCCGCTCACTGCAAGCTGCGCCTCCTGGGTTCACGCCATTCTCCTGCCTCAGCCTCCCGAGTAGCTGGGACTACAGGCGCCCGCCACCACGCCTGGCTAATTTTTTTGTATTTTTAGTAGAGACGGGGTTTCACCGTGTTAGCCAGGATGGTCTCGATCTCCTGACCTTGTGATCCGCCCGTCTCGGCCTCCCAAAGTGCTGGGATTACAGGCGTGAGCCACCGCGCCTGGCAATTTTTGTATTTTTAGTAGAGACAAGGTTTTACCATGTTGGTCAGGCTGGTCTCGAACTCCGGACCTCAGGTGATCCGCCTGCCTCAGCCTCCTAAAGTGCTGGGATTACAGGCGTGAGCCACTGCACCTGGCCTAAATAAATACATTTTAAAAATGGAATCAGAAGCAAGCCTCTAAATCTCTCTTTTTTTTTTTTGAGACAGAATTTTGCTCTTGTTGCTCATGCTGGAGTGCAATGGCGTGATTTCAGCTCACCGCAACCTGTTTCCCGGGTTCAAGCGATTCTCCTGCCTCAGCCTCCCAAGTAGCTGGGATTACAGGCATGCGCCACAACACCCAGCTAATTTTGTATTTTTAGTAGAGACGGGTTTCTCCATGTTGGTCAGGCTGACCTCGAACTCCCGACCTCATCTGATCCGCCCGCCTTGGCCTCCCAAAGTGCTGGGATTACAAGCGTGAGCCACCATGCCCAGCAATAAGCCTCTAAATCTTACTATCAGTTTATCAGAAATACTATTCTGTATTCATTAAAATGAGAAAACTTAGTGAGTCTGAACTTAGCAAGCTTAGTGACAAGGTAGAATACTGTAAACTGCCAGGCACGGTCGCTCACACCTGTAATCCCAGCACTTTGGGAGGCCGAGGCAGGAGGATCACCTGAGGTCAGGAGTTTGAAACCAGCCTGGCCAATGTGGTGAAACCCCATCTCTACTAAAAATACAAAAATTAGCTGGGCATGGTGGTGGGTGCCTGTAATCCCAGCTACTTGGGAGGCTGAGGCAGGAGAATCGCTTGAACCTGGGAGGCGGAGGTTGCAGTGAGCCGAGATCACGCCACTGCACTCTAGCCTGGGCGACAAGAGTGAAATTGCATCTCAAAAATCAAAACAAAACAAAAAAACACACAAAAACAAAAACATTGGCAACTCTCACACCCTGCTGATAGGAATGCAAATTGTCCTATGCAGTTTGAATTTGACAGTACATACAAAATGGGAAAAAATCATCCCCTTGCCACTAGATGGCGCTTACTGGCTTTCAAGTACTTTATCGCATGTATTGTCTTCTGTTACATTGCTGCCTTCCTGTTTTTACTTCTCAAGGATGGCTGGAGGAAGGGGCTGGGCACTAGGGATTAGAGCCTCACAAGAATGCTGTAATCTGGATCCCAACAGCCATATCTGCTGTGGAACCATGTTGCCCCAGGGGACACATCTCTGAGCGTTGCTGTCTTCCCTAGCCACTTACATTATTCAGTTCCTTAGCAATATCTATCTCTGATACTGTGTTAAGGGTCTTTTTCTGAAGAATACACATTTTAATAAGTCTAATTTTTAATTATTTCACATAATATCTGTGCTATTTAACTTTTCTCTTTTTTATTATTATATTTATTTTTTTAATTTATTTTTTGAGACAAAGTCTAGCTCTGTTGCCCAGGCTGGAGTGCAGTGGCGCAAT
The DNA here is from genome assembly GCF_000001405.40 of Homo sapiens. NCBI lineage: Eukaryota > Metazoa > Chordata > Mammalia > Primates > Hominidae > Homo > Homo sapiens. Next base: position 42,780,709 of record NC_000022.11, read on the forward strand.
CTTGGCTCACTGCAACCTCTGCCTCCTGGGTTCAAGCGATTCTCCTGCCTCAGCCTCCCAAGTAGCTGGGATTACAGGCATGCGCTACTAAGCCTGGCTAATTTTGTATTTTTAGTAGACACGGTTTCTTCACGTTGGTGAGGCTGGTCTCGAACTCCCGACCTCAGGTGATCCACCTGCCTCAGCCTCCCAAAGTGCTGGGATTACATGCGTGAGCCACCACACCTGGCCTACTGAAGCATTCTATTCAAAATATTCCTATTCTGTTTCAAAAATATTAATTGCCCATCCCTGGGGTAATATCACACTTCCTGCTCCACAGAAATCAGGTTTGGAGACATAATTTGTTTTAGCCAATAGTATATGGGCAGAAGTTATGTTTGTCACTTCCAAGCAGAAGCTTCAAGAGCCAGAATGTGACTTGCTGTGGGGTTTTTGGTTTGTTTTTCTTTTTCCCTGCTATGAGATCAGTCATGTTCTAGAGGCTGTTTCATCAGCTTGGGTCCCAACGTGAAAATATTGGCCATCTACAGTGGACCTGAATGAGAAGTAAACCTTTATCTCCGTAAGCTGCTGAGATGTTGGAGTCATTTGTTCCTGCAGCATAATGTATCGTATCCTGACCGATATACTGGCCATTTCTTATTTTTTATTTTTTTTGTGACAGAGTCTCGCTCTGTCGCCCAGGCTGGAGTGCAGTGGTACGATCTCGGCTCACTGCAAGCTCCGCCTCCCGGGTTCACGCCTCTCTCTCCTGCCTCAGCCTCCCGGAGTAGCTGGGACTACAGATGCCCGCCACCATGCCCGGCTAATTTTTTTGTATTTTTAGTAGAGATGGGGTTTCACCATGTTAGCCAGGATGGTCTCGATCTCCCGACCTCGTGATCCGCCCACCTCGGCCTCCCAAAGTGCTGGGATTACAGGCGTGAGCCACTGCGCCCGGCTCTGGCCATTTCTTAAACATCCTTTCAGACCAGTCATGACCTCTGTGAGGTTCTGCACATGCATGGCTGCCTAATAGTTAATGATACAAGTAAACATTTTGTCTGGGTGATATGGATTGGATCTGAATCCCCACCCAAGTCTCATGATCTGTTGTAATCCCCAGTGTTCCAGGTAGGGCTCGGGGGAAGGCCATTGGATCATGGGGCAGAGTTCTCGTGAATGGATTAGTACCATCTCTCTTGGTACTGGATAGTGAGATCTCACGAGATCTGGCTGTTTAAAAGTGGATAACACCTCCTGTCTCTCTCTCTCAGTCCTGCGCTTGCCATGGAAGACTCATGCTCCCACTTGCCTTCTGCCTTCTGCTTTGAAGCTCCTTGAGGCCTCCCCAGAAGCAGAAGCCACTATGCTTTGTGTACAGCCTGCAGAACCATGAGCCAATTAAAGCTCTTTTCCTTATAAATTACCCAGTCTCAGGTATTTCTTTATAGCAGTTCAACAAGTGACGAATACATTGGGGAAAGCTCCATTGCATGCCCCCCCACTTTTTTTTTTTTGAGACTGAGTTTCACTGTTGCCCAGGCTGGAGTGCAATGGTGTGATCTTGGCTCACTGCAACCTCCATCTCCTGGGTTCAAGCAATTTTCCTGCCTCAGCCTCCTGAGTAGCTGGGATTACAGGCACCCGCCACCACGCCTGGCTAATTTTTGTATTTTTAGAGGAGATGGGGTTTCACCATGTTGGTCAGGCTGGTCTCGAACTCCCGACCTCAGGTGATCCACCTAACTCAGCCTCCCAAAGTGCTGGGATTACAGGCGTGAACCAGCGCACCCGGCCCATTGCATGACTTTTGGCAAAAAAAAAAAAAAAAACAGGTTCTGCCCCCGACTAAGGAAGCCAAGAAGAGCAGATACTTGCTCTCCTAGAGTCCTTACAGCTAGAGAAGTGTGACGTGACTCCTATCCACTCCAGCCTGGGTAACAGAGTGAGTCTCACAAAAAAAAAAAAAAAAAAAAACCCAGAAAATAAAAAATGAGAGTCCATGAAAAGATTATTTCAAATTCATCCTTGACAGGAATTTAAATTCTTCTCCTCCATATAGATTGTTGTGAAAACACATTAATATTCTTTTTCCCTGGTGCGGAAGGAGGGAATAGAAAACCACTTTTTTTTTTTTTTTTTTGAGACGCAGTCTTGCTCTGTCACCCAGGCTGGAGTGCAGTGGCGCGATCTCGGCTCACTGCAAGCTCCGCTTCCCGGGTTCACGCCATTCTCCTGCCTCAGCCTCCCGAGTAGCTGGGACTACAGGCACCCACCAACACGCCTGGCTAATTTTTTGTATTTTTAGTAGAGACGGGGTTTCACTGTGTTAGCCAGGATGGTCTTGATCTCCTGACCTCAGGTGATCCACCCGCCTCGGCCTCCCAAAGTGTTGGGATTACAGGCGTGAGCCACTGCGCCTGGCCTAGAAAACCACTTCTATACTGCCTATCACCATGCATTGACTCTCACTCTGCTTTTTGGATCATTTTCTTCGGAAAAAGTTTCTCATAGTGTGTCTTGACTTTTTAAAAAGTTGTGTATTCAAAGCACTTAAACATGGCTGGGCGAGGTGGGAGGCTGAGGTGGGTGGATCATCTGAGGTCAGGAATTCAAGACTAGCCTGACCAACATGGCAAAGCCCTGTCTCTACTAAAAATACAAAAATTAGCCAGTTGTGGTGGCTCACACCTGTAGTTCCAGTTACTTGAGAGGCTGAGGCACAAGAATCTCTTGAACCCAGGAGGCAGAAGTTGCAGTGAGCCAAGATCACGCCACTGCACTCCAGTCTGGGTGACAGAGTGAGACTGTGTCTCAAAAAACAAAAACAGCCTGGGCGTGGTGGCTCACACCTGTAATCCTAGCCCTTTGGGAGGCCGAGGTGGGCGGATCACGAGGTCAGAGGATCAAGACCATCCTGGCTAACACGGTGAAACCTCGTCTCTACTAAAAATACAAAAAAATTAGCCGGGTGTGGTGGCGGGTGCCTGTAGTCCCAGCTACTCGGTAGGCTGAGGCAGAATGGCGTGAACCCGTGAGGCAGAGCTTACAGTGAGCCGAGATCGTGCCACTGCACTCCAGTCTGGGTGACAGAGCAAGACGCTGTCTCAAAAAAAAAAAAAAAAAAAAAAAAAAAAAAAAAAAGACTTAAACACACTGACAGATACTGAAGAATGCAGAAAATGGTATGAATGTGAATATCTGACTTTATACCGTGTCCTAGTGGCAGCAAACCCAAACAAAACCGAAGTGCTTTGTTTTGATCACATTCGTTGGGCTTCAGATGTCAACTAGGAACAGCTTTGGCTTGTGTTTGCAGCTTTTCCTCTGTTGCTTTTTCCCACCCTTAGCTTAGTAACAGTGATCTGGTCCTGTTAAACGTGGGTGTGGACTCATGCCATGACTGACTTGCTTCTCTATAGCTTTTCTAGTGCCGTATTTGCCTTGTCTAGAATATCCTGCCTGCCATATCTGATTCCTTTTCTAAGACTCATACTCAGGCCGGGTGCAGTGGCTCACTCCTGTAATCCCAGCACTTTGGGAGGCCACGGCGAGCAGATCACCTAAGGTCAGGAGTTCAAGACCAGCCTGGATAATATGGCAAAACCCCGTCTCTACTAAAAATACAAAAATTAGCCGGGCATGGTGGCGGGCGCCTGTAATCTCAGCTACTCGGGAGGCTGAGGCAGGGGAATTGCTTGCGTCCATGGCACTGAGGAACCTTCTCTCCTGCATGGCCCCCTAACCCCCTGCTCTGTCATATGACAGACGCCCAAAGACCATGCTGCTTCTCTGCAGCCATCTGATGACACCATGTTACCTGGCAGTGTCCATTCCCCTGGTGCCAGTCTCAGTAGCATGGCGGCACCTCAGGTGGGAGCCTCCCCCCCATCTGCCCACTGCCCTCCTGTACTTACTATGGATTCTCCTCTCCTTTCACAGGTAGCTTGTTCCCTAGTGCCAAGTGCCCTTCCTGGGACCGGGCTGGTGGAAGGCTCACACTGGGCTTTTCCTTGTGGTCTGGGGAGACGGAAGATTGTTGGAATGAGCTTGGGAGCTTGGCTCACCCCGTCCTGGGTGATTCTTACCAGAAATTGAATGACCACCTCATATGTTTCTTCCCACACAGAATCATGATGCTGACACTGGCCTCAATCTCATGGATGAAACCAAGTGTCTCCCATCGGGGCAGCAGTCTCTAGGCCAAGGGAGTCAGGGAAGCCACTGCTCATGACCTCCTTTCCCATCGAGCCACCTGCATCCCTCACCCCTGTGTCTCCACCTCCAGGACTTTCTCATCGACGGAGAGCCTGCGACAACTCTCCCAACAACTCAATAGTCTTGTTTGTGAGGTACCTCAGGAATTGAGGGGGGTGCGGGGGGAAGGAAAGTATGATAGAAACTGAGGCAGGGATTCACGAGAGAGAGGGGAGATCCTGGGACCAGCCGATTTGCTGGGCAGTGTTGAGGAAGTCACCTCTTCCCTGAGCCTTCTCCCTGGAAGCTGTTCACAGGGAGGAGGTGGACCCCGTGACTGGCTGCATCATTTTATGCTGCCGCAGAAGAACCGGATGAGAGTTGCTCGGGAGGGAGGGATGGTGGGGAGGTAAGAACCATGAGAGACGTTGGCACAAAGGGGTTACGGGACGAAGGGTCCAAGTTAGGCAGAAAAGTAAATGTTGCCAGTTGATGGGGAAGAAAGGAAGTCAGAGGGCTTAGACACTGGGGGACAGAACATCTCAGGTGCAATCTCCTCTCTCGTAGTCAACAACATCTGTCAAAGGGGAGGGCCTGCATCGTCTGCTAACCTGAAGGATCTGGAGGTGAGAGTTCCGGAGCCATAGCCCAGTGTCCCTGCAGCCCAGCCCTCCAACCTCCATCCCACAGCGGGGGCTGGGTGCCCCTCTGCCAGCTGAGGGAGCCCACACAGCTCCCAACCCTAATGCCTCCTCCCATAGAGCAGGCTGGATGCCCCTCTGCCAGCTGAGACAGCCCACACAACCCCCAGCCCTAATGATTGCTCTACCTGTCCTCACAGTCCTCTTCCACCTCCTTCTCTCTGCATGCACCTCAGGATGAGAGGCTGTGGGAGCAGGAGAAGACGCAGGAAGAGGAGAGGCTGCAGGAGCTGGGCATAAGGCCGAGCTCTGGGGGGAGCAGGTGAAGGCGCGCGTGCAAACCCTGGAGGCCATGCAGACCGAGCTCACCACCGTCAGCTGTGCGCTCTCCTAGAACCACGAGCTGGAGGAGCAGCTGGCCGAGCTGCAGAGCGGCTTCAAGGAGCTGGTGCTCAGCCCCACCTGGGGAGCCTCCCCTTCTCCCTAGCCCTCTGGGTCTTTGTTTCCCCACCTGTGAAATGGGCGTTGTAGCCCTCAACGTGAAATGGTACTTCTGAAGGCACCTGTGAGCCAGAGCCCTGCTCGGATGGCTGTTGGGGAGGGGGGATGGTTTTTCTCTAACCTGCCTCCACCCTTCCTGGGGCCATGGGAGACAAAAGGCAGACACCAAGTTCTGGGGTCTCCAGCTGCAGTGGGTGGCCACTGATTGCTTCTCTCTGTCCGGAACAAGGAGAACATGGAGATAGCCAGTCCGTTGCAGTCGGAGCTGCATGGCAAGAAGGAGCTGCAGGAGAAGCTGGGCTGAAGGAGACGGTAACCCTGCCCCATACAAAAAGGGCTAGGAGGTGGGTACCAGCCCCTGGGGAGGGGAGGTATGAGGTCAGAGGCAGCTCCAGCGTGGGGGACAGTGACCCCAGCGCCCTCCAGGGCAGTCCTGTGACTGTTTCTTGCTTCCTGCCCTCTGACTTTTAGAGGCGGGTAGCCCCGGGTCTGGACATCATCATACTGAATAGAGGCATGGAGCTGTCCAGTTATAGGGAAAGAGACAGTGGTATAAGAGGCTCCTTAGATTCAAAGTGGATACCGGCCTTGGCTCCACTGGTCACCATTCAACTACTTTGCATCTCTAAGTCTCGGTTTCATTAGTTAAAAAGGAAGTTAGCATCTTCCTCGCAGAGGTGCTGAGGATTAAGTGGGATAATACGTGGAAACATTAGGCATGTCGCACACTTAGCAGATGGTGCTTGGCTCCCTCTGCGTTTCCACCAGTCTGTGGCCTACAGTTCAAATGGTGGGAAGAAGGCTGTGAGATCTGAGGCTGGGGAAGGAGGCATGGAGCTCTAGGCAAGGGAGGCCGTCACTGAGGCCTAGAGCAAGGGGCCAGGGGCCTGGAGAGGTGAAAGAGTCCCACAGAGCCCTCGCTACCTTATTTATGGGCCCAGAATCTGGAAGCCAGCCACCACCTGCCTTTACGCCCAGGATCTTCTGCAGGTGGAACTGAAGAGCCAAGAGACTCAGAGTCTGCAGGGAGACCAATACCTGGGACACCTGTAGCAGTACCCAAGGGCACTGACTTCCATCCAGCCCAGGCGTCTTCCGTTCAGTCCCCCTGCCTCCCTCACTGGTCTGTGCCTCCGGAGTGCCGGCTGCCCCGCAGGCTCTCTCCAGGCTGAGTTTGTGGCCCTGCCCCATCATGGCCAGAGCCGGCTTCACAGGATGAGAGCCAGCTAAGCTCCAGGAGCTTTCCAGGAAAAGTGTCCCTTGGAAACACCTTTTCAAGGTGAAAGGTGTTCCTTTTCACCGTTCCCAACAGCACCCTAGTAATGGCGTGGCCCTTTCCCTCCCCTGAGCTCCGCGGAGAACACAACCAGCAGGAGACATTCCCTGTTATCAAGAAATGAGTTTGATTCCCAGCCGAGGGACAGCAGGACTGGTAGAGACCGTCAGGCCACACGGCTGCCTGCACAGCACTCCAATACTTGGCAGGGGGCAGGAGGGGTGGCAGGAGCTGGCTGTCCAAAGGCTGGGCACGGCAGGGAGGCTCACTGGAGGCGGCGCATTTTGGAGGGGGGATGTCAAGGGACAGCGTTCTCTTGTAGTTGGACCACAAGACTCCACAAGGACAGCATGGTGACTGATGCCCAGCGCTAGAGGCGAGGCGGTCGGCCATGTGTAGGTGTGTCTATATATGAGTATTGATAGATATTTATAGAACAGGGCAGGGTGTACAACAGAGGCACAAGTTTTCACCAGTGGTCACACCTGGATGTGTCAGCTCACCACGACAGCAGACTAAGTCACAGATGAAGGGGGCTGGCTTTGGGGCTGGGGGAGCCACTGTTAAGTCACAGAACAACCGTCCAGGCAGGCTGGGAAAGGGAGGTCACCGAGAAGAGGAGGGATCTGTTTAGAGGTCGAAGGGCTTGGGGCTCTCTTGCCTGACTCGATCTATCAGCTGGCAGCTGGAGAGAAAGCGGAGAGAAAACGGGAGAGAGAAAAGTGAGGAGAGCTGGTAAGGCAAGTGCAGCACATGGTGGGAGGGCCCGGGACGGGAGGGAGAGGGAAGGGTGCACGTGCAGGTGCAGGTACAGGTGGGGGTGTGGCAAGGTTCCTGGAAAGGAGGGGCTGGAAGAGAAAGGGGAGGATGATGGAGGATTCGGAGCTTCACAGGTAGCACCTGGGGGCTGTGGCGGCCCTCCCGACCCCACACACGCTGGCCTTTCCCACGGCACCCAGGCAGTGCACCCACAGTTCAGACCGATCTCAGCCCCCTCGGGCTTCCCTCTTCTCTGGTCACCCTGTCTTCCAACCCACTGGCTCAGGGCTACCCCTTGCCGTGGAGAGCCCCACGCAACAGCCACCAGGTCTCATAGAGAAAACACTGCTTGAACCGGGAGGGTGAAGCTAAAAGGGGTCAGAAAGCCCAAGACCCTCTGAAGGGACCCTGGGGGAGGCAGGGAGGGCAGGCAGCCGGATGCCAGTGGCCATAGACTTGTAAGTCTAAGTGGGGAGCCTTAGCTGGTCGGGGTGGGGTGGCTGCAGGTGAGGCTGGGGTCTGTCTTCCTGCTGGGAAAAGCAGAAGAGCAAGAGTCAGTGGCCGGGGAAGTTGGCGGGCTCGCTGGGCAGAGCTCAGCCGGGCCAGCAGGCACCGTGGTCCCCTTGGCTGAATAGCATAGGCAGCTCCTAGGAGCAACAGGCCAAGGTGCGTGAGCTGCCGGCTGGCTACGTTCCTTCTGCTGGGGCCAAGGACACTGCCTTCAGTCACACGCTAGCAGGTATGTCAGTACCAGGAGGGAGGCAAGACCTCATTTCTATAAAAAAGATAAAACCTGGCACGGTGGCTCACACCTGTAATCCCAGCACTTTGGGAGGTTGAGGCAGGTGGATCACAGTGTCAGGAGTTTGAGATGAGCCTGGCCAACATGGTGAAACCCCATCTCTACTAAAAATAGAAAAATTAGCCGGGCATGGTGGCGGGCACCTGTAATCCCAGCTATTTGGGAGGCTGAGGTAGGAGAATTGCTTGAACCTGGGAGGCGGAGGTTGCAATGAGCTGAGATCACGCCATTGCACTCCAGCCTGGGCAAAAAGAGCAAAACTCTGTCTCAAAAAAAATAAAAAATAAAAGAAGATAAATTAGCCCGGTGTAGCGGTACACACCTGTGGTTCCAACTACTTAGGAGGCTGAGGCAGGAGGATCGCTTTAGCCCAGGAGGCTGAGGCCGCAGTGGGCCATGATTGCTCCACTGCACTCCAGCCTGGGCAAGAGCAAGACCATGCCTCAAAAACAAAAACAAACAAAGAAAAAGAGACAAGGAGGAGGGAGATTACATCTTGATTTTCCCTACACTTTAATTGAAATTCAGCATTTCCTTCCATGGTGAATGTTGCTGGGAACAAACCTCATTAGTGTTAGCAGCACCTGTTACCTTGTTACCAATAGAAATCAGATATTTTCATGTTACATTGCAGCTGTTGCAGACATCTTGAGATATCACTTTTGCTCATTATTACCTCAAAATTATAGTAATTAGACCCAACTCTGGATCTTATTTAACGTGCCAGTAAAGCATATCATGTAATATCAGAAATATTTTCATAAACTCTACAAGATTTATATACATTGCTGTGTTTTATTTTGTGCACTTAAAATAAAAATCTGAGGCCAGGCCAGGTGCAGTGACTCACGCCTGTAATCCCAGCACTTTGGGAAGCCGAGATGGGTGGATCACAAGGTCAGGAGATCGAGACCATTCTGGCCAAGATGGTGAAACCCTGTCTCTACTAAAAATACAAAAATTAGCCTGGCGTGGCAGTGCGCGCCTGTAATCCCAGATATTCAGGAGGCCAAGGCAGGAGAATCACTTGAACCTGGGAGGTGGAGGTTGCAGTGAGGCAAGATTGTGCCACTGCACTCCAGCCTGGGTGACAGCGAGACTCTCTCTCAAAAAAAAATCTGAGGCCTGATTACAGGCACAGTGGCTCATGCCTGTAATCCCAGCACTTTGGGAGGCTGAGGTGGGCGGATTGCCTGAGCTCAGGAGTTCAAGACCAGCCTGGCCAACCATCTCTACTAAAATACAAAAAATTTGCCAGGTGTGGTGGCATGCACCTGTAATCCCAACTACTCAGGAGGCTGAGACAGGAAAATCGCTTGATCCCAGGAGGCGGAGGTTGCAGTGAGCCGAGATCACCCCATTGCATTCCAGCCTGGGTGATAAGAGCGAGACTCTGTCTCAAAGAAAATAAAAAGAATCCCAGCTCCTCTACTTGTTGGCCCTATGACTTCACTGTGTCTGTTTCTCCATCTATAAAAATAGAAGGGAGAAAAGGTACCTACCCGGGCCGGGCACGGTGGCTCATGCCTGTAATCCCAGCACTTTGGGAGGCCGAGGCAGGCGGATCACAAGGTCAGTAGATCGATACCATCCTGGCTAACACGGTGAAACCCTGTCTCTACCAAAAATACAAAACATTAGCCGGGCATGGTGGTGGGTGCCTGTAGTCCCAGCTACTCGGGAGGCTGAGGCAGGAGAATGGCATGAACCTGGGAGGTGGAGCTTGCAATGAGCTGAGATCGGGCCACTGCACTCCAGCCTGGGCAACACAGCGAGACTCCATCTCAAAAAAAAAAAAAAAAAAAAAACAAAAAAAAACCCAACCAATCAAAAAACAAAAGGTACCTACCTGGTAGGTTTTGGTAATTCTAGAGTTAATCTGTGTGGTGTGGTGGCCAGGAGGCTCAGTGCACATTCAATAAACATCAGTGGCCATCATGATTCACCCACAGCTGCAAGTCATCCCCGCGACTGGGAAGTCCTCAGAACTCAGAGTCCCTGTCCCTGGCAAAATTTCCCTGTCCTAGGTTCTCCTCTGTCAAGAGACTGCTTTTCCTATAGCGCGAATAGATGGTCATGGATTATTCCACAAATGACTCTCTACTGAAGGTGTTCAGCCTGGCTTGCCCTTTCAGGAAGCAGGTTGAGGTTTCTCCAGAAAGTTGCCCAGAAGTAGTGTCTCTCCAGCTGTTGCGACGACAGCTGGCTGAACGTGCCCTAACCCAGCCCTGACTCTTGCTTCTTTTGAGCCTGTGCAGCAGCCGTGTTCATTACCAAGTGCTGCCGGCAGAGCCTGGTGGTGGAACGCCAAAGTGTGTGTTTCAGTAAATGCTCGTCACGTGCCTGCGTTAGTCTATGCACGCTACATTTTCGTAGCCCTCAGTTATTTCATTAATAGGCCTGAACTAGTTCTATAATATTGGGGAGTGAAGAATGAATGATCCTATTTCTTTTTTCTCAGTTTGTCTATCTCATTTTTCACTATATCCTGTGCCTAGAATAGTGCTTGGCACGGGTAGATGCTTAGTAGGTATATTTTATTTTATTTTTATTTTTGAGACAGAGTCTTGCTCTGTCACCCAGGCTGGAGTGCAGTGGCACGATCTCGGCTCACTGCAACCTCCGCCTCCTGGGTTCAAGCGATTCTCCTCCCTCAGCCTCTTGGGTAAGTGGGACTACAGGCGCCCACCACCACGCCTGGCTAATTTTTGTAGAGAGAGTTTTGCCATGTTGGCCAGGCTGAGCTGGAGCAATGCTCCTCTCACCTCATGGAGCCTCCACCTACCACAGCTGTCAGTTTCCCCTAATCCTAGGAACCCCCGCCCCAAGGGAAACAGGACAGACAGCGCCCGTGTCCCACTCTGCTCATTTTCAGATGAGGAAACAGTCACCAAGGTCCCGTGCAAACTCGCCGCCCACCCAACAGCCCACATCACTTGCCTTGCTCCAGCTTCCCGCTCGCCAGCTGGTGTTCCTGGCAGCCAGCAGGTCCGCGGGGGCCCCGTCTCAGCCAGGCTGGGGGCCGGGGGCTGGGCCTCAGGAACTCTGCTGCTGCTGTTGGGGCTGCCCCAAGCTAGCGTGGACAGAAGCCCAGAGCTCAGGGGCACCTCAGGGCTGAGGGGCTCAGGCTGGCCCTTGGGTCTCGGGCTCAGGGCAGTCACCCAGGGTGTGTGCCTGCAGCCAATCAGGGTTGTGGGGAGGAAGGTCCCCGGCACTGCCACAGTCTGCAGGTCCCATGAGCCTGGTCCTGGGGTTGGGAAGGTGGGAGTCTCTGGCTCCAGGAGGCTGTCCCTGCCCTTAATCTCCGGCAGAGTGCCTACGGGAGGAGGGGGAGGAGCCGCCCCCACAGTGGGCCACAGCTAACTGTCCACAGGCCCCAGGCCGCCATCCTGAGCTGGCTCCCAGGCTACAGTCCTTCCTGTCCACAGCTCCACCATGTCAGGACCAGGACAGGAGTGGGTGCTGTCGACAGGGAACAAAGGGGGCAGCGTGGGGCTGAGTCTCTGGGGCAGGTAGGGTGCTCCGTGACCCACGGGTTCCTCATTGTCCTTGGAAACCTCATTGGTCCTGTCCCACCATGGAGGGGGCAGCTGGTTCTGGCTGTCCTAGTCGACTAGGAAGTCATTTTGGCTCCCAGGGGTGGCAGGCGTCTGCGTGCCATCAATAGAAACCCTGGGCCAGGGCGGGCTGGAGAGCTCAAGGTCTGGAGCCTCTATGGGGGTGTCTTCCTCACGCAGGAAATTGACCAGAGTGTTCCCAGGAGTCTGCTCTGAAGGTGGGGGTGGGGAGTGGCTGGCCTGGCTGGGCCAAGGGCTAGTGGGCCAGGGTCTCAGTACCCCCTCCTCCTTGGCTGCAGGAGGCCCTGTGGCAGGCATGGGGCTGCCGGTGGAAGGTGCAGCAGGACGGCTGTGCAGTGGGGGCGTCCGATCCCCTGTCCCTGCCAGGTCTAGGTCAGGCCCCTCTAAGGGCCCATAGCACAGATCCTCGTGGAGATGAATGAAATTGTAGTCGTAGTGGAAGTCATCTACAAACACGCGCCCCAGTGGGCCCAGCTCTGGGGCCTCCTCCTCAATGGCATTGCCATGCTGGCTGGCGCAGGTGAAGGGCTTGGGGCCAGGAGGCGTGAGATGAAGTCAGCCTCGCTGAAGAGCTCGTGGCTGAGGAGCCGCTGCCTGAGCCTTCAGGGCCCAGTGTGTCCAGGATTCGCCAACAGGGTGGTAGAGAGCAGGTGACTGTGCTGGCTGGCTGCTGGGCCTTGTCACAGGGACACTGGTGTCATCGGTGCAGAGGACACTTCGGTGCTGAGTGCCCTCCCTGCATGTCACTGAGCACTGCAGGGAAGCCAGGGGAGGGGCTCAGGCTGGGAGGCAGGCTGCCAGGGGACGCTGGGGCAAGGCTGGGTAACCTGTCCACTGCCCGATGTCAGAGTGGCAGAGACCCCAGCCAGCCCTCTTTGGCCGTGCCCAGCTCAAGGCCATGGCTGTGGCCACAGCTTGCCAGGGGCTTCCTGATCCCTGAGGCTCTGGAGTCAGGGTCTGGACCCTGGAATCCCCCAGGCTCCCTCCCACCTGTGGTACCAGGCAATAAGGGCTCCCGGAAGGCCGTCTACCTCCCTGCAGCCCAAGACCAAGGGGGGAGCTGGAGGCAGGCCCCTTCCCATCCCGAGACCAGTTCCCCGCAGCCCAGGTGGACAGACGGGGCACATGGTGGTTGCAAGGGGTTCCAGCAGGGGACTGGGGATGGTGTTCACAGGCGGGCGGCTCCAGGGGTCTCTGCTCATCCAGCCCCACACTGGGATGCAGAGCACTGCCCAGCGGGAGAGGCCCCCAGGCCCCTGCCCACCACCATGCGAGGGCACACAGGTGGCATCAGCGTGGTGTCAGATGGGTGGCATCGGCAGGCTGACCAGCAGGGAGGGCCAGGAGGGGCTCCCAGACCCTCAGGGTTTGGGCAGAGCCGGGACTGAGGCCAGCGGACGATTCTCCAGAGCTCCTAGCCCAGGTCGGTGTCCCGCCCCCAAAGCCTGGTTACACGGCTCAGCCCCTCCACTCCCACAACCCTCCCCTCAGGGAAACTGAGGGTGACCAGAGGCCTATTTCCACATCCAGGGACCCAAAGAGGAGGAGCACAGGTGTCCCGGCTGTCCCAGGCTGGGGTGAGCGGCAACCCGGGGCTGGGGCTTCAGCCTTAGGAAGAGAGTGAAAGTCCGGCTCCCTCTGCTCCTCCCCTGGGCCTCAGGGAACCCAGATGTAGGGGCCTGTGGCAGACGCAGGACACCTAGGCGTGGGGAGTTGGTGGGGGTGTGGTCAGGGTGGGTTCACCCGGCAGGGCGGGACTCCTCACCACCCCCTCTGGCCGCCATCCCTGGGCCAGGGTGTCACAGTGCTCCTCGTCCAGCAGCTCTGCCTGCCACTCCGAGCAGTACACACTCTGCCTCTGCACACCTAGGGGCCATGGGGATCCATTTGGGCCTGGCACCCAGATGCCCACCACCCGAGACCCAAAGACACCCTTTCTGCCAGAACCCTCCCAGAACAGTGCCTCACTGCCTGTGTCAGGAGAAAGGCAGGCCTCCACCACCACCTCCTCGCTGTCCTCCTGGCCCTCACCCCCTTCCTCTCCAATGTAGCCTCCCCTCTGACTGCCCCTGGAGGGTGGCAGAGTGTGGCAGTTTAGTGGGTTGGGTGCCCAGACCCTCTGCTTCCTGACTGAGGGGCCTTGGGTGGCTCATTTTCCCTCTCTGAACCTCAGTGTCCTCCTCTGTGAAGTGGGAACGACAATCCTGCCTGCCTCTAAGCGCTGGTGTGAGGACTCCGTGTGCTCTCACACGTGCAGGCTCAGCCTGTGCCCCACACATCCTCAGAGCTCAGCAAGTGCCAGCTGCTGCTGGCCTGCAAACCCAACCATGGCGTCAAGGCTGTCCTACCGTCCACACCCTTCCTAGCAGGCTCAGGAAAAGCCTGGACGAGAAAATGCATCAAGGGGCAGGCCCCGCTCCCTGCCCCTGGCACCAGTCTCGCCACTGCTCCTGTCCTTTGCTCCCTCTGCCACCGCCCACCCCGGGGCCTCTGCACGGCCACACTCCTCACCTCGGACACTCACTTCCATACTGCCTGTCCAGGCCCAGCCGCAGGACCCCCTCTGCTGGTGGCTCTGCCTTCTCTGCTCCCCTCCGGTTCTCTGTTCCCCTAGTAGTCCTGAAGTAAGTTGTCCCTCCCCCAAGCTGCCAGTCCCACTCCCGTCCCCCTCTTTCCTCACCAACAGATTCTGATTTTGTTCAAGGCAGCAATGGGACCTGCTGAAAACACACCCCGTTGCCACTCCCTTGCAACTAGGGGGGCCTGGGACGCAGTTCTGGCTGGGGAGAAAAAGGCACAAGTCCCTCGCTGGGAGTCAGCCCTTTCTCCTCTCCTTGTTCTTGCGCAGAGGCCTGGAAGGGAGGATGCCATCTGTGACAAGCAGGAGGGGAGGGCTGGTGTGGCAAGGACAGTGCGGTTAAGGGCAAGCCAGCTCAAGTCCTGCCAGCTTGGATGGTACACCTGGGACTTCCTACCTGCGACAATAACCCGTCTGCTCCGGCCCCCACAGGGACCAGCCTCTGCATACACTCTTCAGTGGTCCGCCTGTGAAGCCAATTTGCTGAAAGACGACTCCCAAAATGTCTGGTGCTTCCAACGTATCTGTCAGTCTTCACCTCTATTTAAAGACACCGGTAGTAGATGAAATGGGTTTCCTAGCTCTCTGGAAGGTATCTGCCGAGTTCTCCAGTTTCCATTTTGCCATCTTAATAGCATTTTAAGGAATGCTCAAATGTCTCTATCTATCTCAGATTCCTGATTCTGAGACCCTGAGGACACTGAGTGTCAAAGATGGGAGGACTGAGGGGAAAAGGGGAGGACTAAGAGACGGGGTAGGGGAGATCGAGAGGCAGGTGGGGAGACTGAGGGGCGGGGGGAAGGGGGATGAGGAGCCTGAGGGGCAGGGGGGAAACCGAGGGGCAGTGGAGAGGGGCTGGGGGGAGACTGAGGGGCAGGGGGGAGACCGAGGGGAAGGGGAGGGGCAGTGGGGAGGGGCATGGAAGGCACATGACAGGCACCTTCAGCTAAGGCTCTGGGAGTGGGGAGTCAATCCCCTCCCTTCCTCTTTTTTTTTTTTCTTTTGAGACAGGGTCTTGCTCTGTCATCCAGGCTGCAGTGCAGTGTCCAGGTCGTAGCTCATTGCAGCCTTGACCTCCTGGGCTCAAGGGATCCTCCTGCTGCAGCTTCCTGAGTAGCTGGAATTACAGGCACATGCCACTGCACCCGGCTGAATTTTTTCTTTTTTGGTAGAGGCGGGGTCTTGCTGTGTTGTCCAGCCTGGTTTCAAACTCCTGGGCTCAGGCAATCCTCCCGCCCCAGCCTCCTAAGGTGCTAGGATTACAGGTGTGAGCCGCCTCACCTGGCCCAACATCCCCATTTTCAACCGGGACACCCCGCCTTGCTCCTGTGCTACAAACAACATCCCAAATTCATCACAACTGCACAGCAGGCCCCGCACGCACGCTAAATCCACGTCCACCTACAGTCACCACAATTCAAACGTTCATCAATGTCACACCAAAAACCTCGACTTACGATGACTTATTACGAAAGCTTTCAGGGAAAAATGTAGGCAATGCCATCTGCTGCAAGTGTTTATTCTATTTAGAAGTCTACAAATTTGAGCTTTTAAGAAAGATTCACAAAATATTCATTCAAAACCACATTTTTGGCTTATCAAATTTCAAATATATTTTACTGTGCTGAACAATATATTCTAATGCTGTCTAAAACACAGCTAAATTATTTTTCTTTATTTGTTTATACACATTCGGTAATTTCTGAAAAGCAAGATTTAAAAATATTTATTAACAAAACTACCCAATTACAATGACTGTTCTCCCATACACGCAACTATTTTCTGTAGCTGTATCTTCTTACCTCATTCCACTTTAACTCTGTATACCGTATTGATTTGTGATGAGATGATTTATTATGAGAACTCTTAGGGAGTTCTCATCTTCCATTTCTCATCAATTCAAACAGCAACACCTTTCACAAGATAACATTAATTCCCTTGGCAGGGCAGAAGCTTAAGTTTGTTAAAAGCACTCACTGAAAAACATTTTTAAATTTATAGGTCATATAAAATAATTTACAAAGAGACAGATGACTTCAAATATTATTTGGCAGTCACCTTACTATGTAGAAACATAAATGAAGCAATCTGTCACACGAGACACCAGTCACTTTTGGTCTTTTGAAGGAAGTGTGTGTGGTGAGTGTTGTTTCTGCAGGCCCATCCAGCATCCGCTGATTCTGGCAGCCCTGAGCCCATGTGTCACATGGAGACCTCTCCTCCTCCCCCACATGAAGCCTCCTGGTTCAGGAGCAGGAGGAGCCGAGGTCTCCAGGCCCTCAGTGTTGAAATCAAAGGTTCCAAGAAAATAAAGCAAGGATATACACAGAGACGCCAAAGGAGGGTGTGACAGGAAGGAACGTGAAACAGAAATCACAGGAAAGCTCCTACATCAGAACTCAGAATTTCTCAAAAGAAATATTAAAAATCAGAAACATATACCATATGAAAAAGTAGCAAAACAATCTGCAAAACTATCTGGACTTCACTGCCGCCTGAGATGTGGTTACTTGTTCATTTAAAGAGGAATTTCTCCAGGAAATACACATCATGACTTCAGTATTAAGAACCGTAGCGATCCTGAAGAGAGAACCAAAATGGAAGTTCACGACCATTCAGCAGCGATCCCTGACTCCCACGCCCTGAATATTCAGCATCACCCAAATTGACACTGCAGCCCATGTCAGGCATGTGACATGGACGCTGCACCCCGAGGGTGTGCTCATCTGGAAGCAGCCATTGCTGCAGCTTCAAGGCTGAGGGTAGGTGTGGGCTTCAGAACCCAACAGGATTCACATCCTGCCTCTGGCATCCACGGCCACAGTCCTGGGATCAGGAGGCAGGGAGCAAAGTGGGCGGGAGGATGCTCAGTGGGCCAGAGGCAACTTGCTGAGCCCTCTGGGAAGCAAGTGGGAAACGGAAGACAAAGGAACACATTTGGTGTTTGAAGCCCTGAAATTTTGGTTCAGCTGGTCATCTTGCAGAAGTGACCTAACCTTCTGTGCCTCAATTCCTTCACCTGTAAAATGGGGATATAAAAGGGAGCCATCTCTAAAATGGGGATGACCATCTATAAAATAGGGATGTTACCTATTTGGACACTGATGTGGGCTTAGCTGACCTAAGGGACATGAAAGAGCTCTATGCATTTTAACTTCAGTGCCACATGAAAGGGAAGACTGTGCTATTCACAGCATGAAAACGGCTACATCCAGAGTCCTGGGGCTGAGGGAACTCTCCGGAATGGGTGCACCTCCACGCCCTCCTTGAACTGCAGCTAGAGCAGCATCTGCCTGGGGACCAGGAATCTCCTTTGGAGGCACCAGAGTCCACACGGTTTCAGTCCTACTTCCTTTAGCAGCGTTTTACATTAATACAATCCTTCTTCAATAGCCTGACGTAAACAAGAAGGTGCAAAGAAACGAGCCACTCATATCGTCACAGATGGCCTCGACTCTCATGCGCAAGTATGCGCCATCCTTGGCTTATGTTTTCACTCAATAGAATGTGGTTTTAGGAAAACTTTTCATTACAAGGAAATGCTCCCAGCATCACAGAGAAAAAGCAAGATATAAAACCCTCTATACAATATAATCCCTTTTTAACTTTAAAAAGATAGATATGTATATCTTTTTAATCTACGTATAGAAAAATATCCTTAGAAATCTAGAGCTAAAAATATACCAAAATATTAACAGAGGTTATCCCTGTGATGTGGCATTACAGATAATTTCAGTTTTCTTCTTAATACTTCTCTGTTCCAATCTAGGAAAAAAACTGGACAATGGTCATGACAATTCCTCTAACAATTCCCCTAGAGTCATCCGTTAGAAAATATTAAATATAAAATTATAATTTCTGGTTTTCATAATGTTCTGGGTTATAGTGTAGCAAACATATCGATCCAATAATATATAATTGAATTTTCCAGCAGTTGAAGATTGAAGCAGGTCTCATTTTCAAACTGCTGAACCTACCGTCATAGCCAGTGAGCACTGCCCCATTCCACTGACCTGAATTGAAGTCACGACTCCATTAGCAAAGACGGAGAGTTTTCCAGCAACCGATCTCACTCCCTGCTTGAACTGCGCCATGTCGGGGGCGTTGGGCAGCACACTGGACAGGCTGTAGTTCCCTGCACACACACAGCAGACACTGTCTCATCACTGCCCTGGCCACAGCTGCGGCAAACCCAGTACCCAGAGTGCTCAACGGCTCCAGAGAACCCGGATCTCTCCCCTCCTGCTGCCTCACAAGGGGCCCAACAGTGGGATGGAGACTCGGGCTGAAGTGGCAGCCCTGCCATGATCCACATGAGAGAATCCACACGACAGAAAATGTAGTATGGGGGACTTAACACCACTATGAGTTCAAATCCTGGCACTGTCACTTCTAGGCTGTGTGCCTCTAGAGAAGTTCCTTGCTCTCTCTGGGCCCATTTCCTCAAGGTGCTTAACATAGCCCTGGCAGGTAAGTACCCAGCAAAAGGCAGATGGGCCAACACGGATGGCCTGTTTCTCATCACCTCCTCCCTCTTTTGGTAACAGTACTCCTCCCTTCCTCCAGGAACCACCTCTCCCTTCTACCCTGTCCACAGGCATGGGCACATGACCCAGGCCTGACCAATCAGAGCCTTCCCAGGGATTCATGTATCCTCAAATGAGAAGAGCCATTTGCTTGCTCTGGGGTTATTGGCAGGGACAAAGCAAAGCAGCAGCCATCTGTGACTACGACTGCCCCTCCCACTCGCTTGGGGTATGGAGGAAGCTTGTTACCTCCCCCAAGGAGGTGAGCCAAATAGATGCATCACTGATGCTGTCTGACTGTGACTTAGAAGCCAAGCTCCACTGCCAGTCTTCCCAGGTACAGAAGTTCACACTTCCACCCTCTTTGCTAGGGCCGGTGTTAGTGGCCCTAAGTTTTGTTAGTTGTTAGTTTTGTTAAGTGTTAGTTGCTTAAGTTTTGGTTGCCCTGATGTAAACATCACCATAATTGCTACCAATCTGGGTGAAGTTCATCAGGGTTATCACACATCAAGGAGGTCTGACCACACTCCTAGAGCTGACAATCAGGGGTTCATAAACTTCTGTGTCACAATTGTAATAAGACGCTGGAGGGGCTCAGTGAGCTCAACACAAACCCTGCAGGTCCTCAGGAGTAGCCACGCCCAGCTACTCCCTAAGCCCCACATGACACCACCTGCTCCTTACAAAACAGAAACCCACCAGACGCAGTGGCTCACGCCTGTAATCCCAGCACTCTGGGAGGCTGAGGTGGGAGGATCACTTGAGGTCAGGAGTTCAAGACCAGCCTGGCCAACATGGTGAAACCCCATCTCTACTAAAAATACAAAAAATTAGCTGGGCATGGTGGCACACACCTGTAACCCTAGCTACTTGGGAGGCTGAGGCAGGAGAATCACTTGAACCTGGGAGGTGGAGGTTGCAGTGAGCCAAGACTGTGCCACCCCACTCCAGCCTGGGTGACAGAGCGAGACCCCATCTCAAAAACAAAAACAGAAAGCCTTGGTCAAGTCCCTCTCTGAGAATAAAACAGAACTGACAAGTTACCCTGCAACGTGTCCCTTGGAAGAGACACTGCATTTGCCCCCAGCACTGTTCCCATGCCCACCACAGATGCAGGTCCTCCCATCTCCACCTCCAGCTGACTGTCTAAAATCTTGTAGGCCTTCACCAATGACAGAGTGTAATTCCAACACAGTGATGGGACTGGGGTGCTGTGTCTCCTCTGAGGGCTGCCTGGGCAGGCTGGAGGGGCCGGGTGGCCATGGTCAAAGACAGCCCTAGTGTGCTCAGGTTACACAATGAGCTCCAGGAAATGACAGTTCCAGCCACCTGCTCAGGAAGAGCGTCCTTGACCCAGGGAATCTCTCCTCCCTATCTTTTCCCAGAACACCCACAGTGTGTACTGAGGACACAGCTACAGACCTGCTTTTCCACAGCTCACCACCTACTGGGGAAAGCAGACAATTAACTGATAACATCACTAAAGTGTGACCTGTGTCATCTGGAGGGGACACAGAGCAAACTCAGGTAGACAGCTGGGAGGTGGCTGCAGGGGTCCAGGTGCATGGGGCGGTGCCTGAGCATGAGGAGGCGGCAGTGGGGATCAGGAGGGAACGGGCTGAGCGTCCTCAGGAGGCAGGTGTCAAGAGGCACACTGACTGACTGGCCTAGGCAGGCTGAGAGGCAGGCGGATTAAGGATGTTTCCCAGGTTTCTGCTTGGGCAGCCAGGAAGAAGACAGCTGCTCCCCTCTCTGAGACAGAGGGGACACTGAGCTACACAGTGGTCTGTGGTTGGGGCAAATGCCCTGGATGGGTCAGGACAGGCCAGGTGACTCTGAGCTAACAACCACCCACAACTGATGTTTGCTGTGCCCAGTGCAGGTGGGCAGGGGGTTCTGTGCATCACAGTCACTTGCGGTCCAAGCCCATGGGGCCACCTCTTAATTCCAGCTTCCTTGCCTACTATGACAGGGAAAGAAACATGGCAACATGCGCACAGCTCTTAAGGCTTGTGCTGGAGGCGGAACACATCGCCCCTGCAGCCTGGCACTGGCCATGGGACATGGGAGGTAGGGGGAGGCGTGTTCCAGCCTATGTTGGCCGGTGGGCAGGTGCTCAGACTCAGCAAGCTCCTTGGGGTCATTCATCACCCCTCCACCCATTCATCCTCAAACACCTGCAGAGGGCTTCCTCTGCCAGGCTGTCAGGCGCCAAGGGCACAGAAATGAGAACTGACAGTCCACTGGGGGAGACGGTCTTCGCATGGTCTTGCCCTCAGTGTAAGGCACAAGAGTGGTGCAAGGGGGCCTAACCAGGCCCCCAGGGTAAATACGGGTTGCGGGGCTGTCTGGGGGAATGGGGAAGAAGAGCATTCTGGGCTGGGGGCTCCACAGGCTCAACACAGCTGGAGTGAGCCACAACAGTGAATCACGAGAAATGAGGCTGGAAAGGCCAGTGGGAACCATGGTCCTGGAGGTGGGCATTGGGTGGGGAGCTGTGCTTCAAGCTGAGGGCAGGATTTTCAGCACAGATGACTGTGTTCTGAAAGATCCCTGTGGGAAGAGTGAGGAGAGGGGTGAGCAGCAGCCAAGACTGGAGGCAGGAGGACCAAGCAGCGGGTTGTGGCCACGTTTCAGGTCTGGAGTCACCCAGGAGAGATTCTGATCATATGGGTCTATGGTGTGACGTGGGAGGTGGAAGTTTCCAGGACAACTCCCAGGCTCCTCAAAATAACAATTTTTTTTTTTTTTTGAGACAGAGTCTCGCTGTGTCACCCAGACTGGAGTGTAGTGGCGCGATCTTAGCTCACTGCAAGCTCCGCCTCCCAGGTTCACGCCATTCTCCTGCCTCAGCCTCTGGAGTAGCTGGGACTACAGGTGCCCGCCACCACGCCCAGATAATTTTTTTTTTTTTGTATTTTTTAGTAGAGATGGGGTTTCACCGTGTTAGCCAGGATGGTCTCAATCTCCTGACCTTGTGATCCACCCGCCTCAGCCTCCCAAAGTGCTGGGATTACAGGCGAGAGCCACCGCGCCTGGCCCAAAATAAGAATTTTTTTTTTTTTTTTGAGATGGAGTCTTGCTCTGTTGCCCAGGCTGGAGTGCAGTGGTGCGATCTCGGCTCACTGCAAGCTCCACCTCCCAGGTTCACGCCATTCTCCTGCCTCAGCCTCCCGAGTTGCTGGGACTACAGGCGCCCACCACCATGCCTGGCTAATTTTTTGTATTTTTAGTAGAGATGTGGTTTCACCATGTTAGCCAGGATGGTCTCGATCTCCTGACCCGTGATCTGCCCGCCTCGGCCTCCCAAAGTGCTGGGATTACAGGCGTGAGCCACCACACCTGGCCCAAAATAAGAATTTTTAATAGAATACCACGTATTAATTTCTCTGCTTCATGCAGACAAATGAAGAGAAAAAGTATTTCCAAGATTATAAGAACAAGTTTGGGCATTGTTTGTTTGAGACAGGGACTCCCTCTGTTGCCCGGGCTGGAGTACAGTGGTGTGATCACAGCTGACTGCAGCCTCAATCTTTTGGGTTCAAGTGATCCTCCTGCCTTAGCCTCCGAGTAATTGGAACTATAGGCATTAGCCATCGCACCTAGCTAATTTTTTTATTTTTTAAATTTTTTGTAGAGATGGGGGTCCCACTATGTTGTCCAGGCTGGTCTGGAACTCCTGGGGCCACTGCACAGCTATACTGTCTGACAAGCACACATGGCAATAACCAAACCAGACTGCCTGATGCAGACTGAGGGCAGTGCTTTCGAGGTCACACTCCTAGACCCTGGGCTGGAGCAAAGAGAAAAGGAGACAGTGGTTAAGGGACCTCACAAACAACCTACCACTTGACCCCACGATGCACACAAGGAAGGGGTGCAGGTGTCTGCACTCCCATGCAGACGTGCTCTCATTCAAACAATCAGAATTGGCTTTCTGGGAGGAAACATGCTGAGGGGGCAGCTGGGTTTTAAGCTTTTTGTTGTATCCTGGCTCTCACACAGCTGCCTCCACTCTGTCATCTGGTGTCTGAGTGCCTCACGCCTGCCTGAGGCAGTGCCCAGCTGATGGCAGTCCCCCAGCTCTAATGACCCTGTCCCATGGGTGTGACCACAGGGACTGTTGCTGTGCCAGGTCAGGTTGGCTGCAGGCACTTACATGCGCTTCCCACTCAATCCTTCAGCTACAGTGAAAGAGAGTGCCCGTAAGAACGGCCGCAGGTCTCCTGGGCTAGAAACACCCCCAGAAAGCAGCTTACCTCACCAGAAGCGTTTCACATTTGGAAATTAAGATAAGGAACACAGAACTGATTGTTTCCTTCCTTCCTTCCTTCCCTCCCTCCTTCCTCTTTTTTTTTTTTTTTTTTTTTGATACAAGGCCTGGCTCTATCACCCAGGCTGGAGTGCAGTGGCACGATCTCAGATCACTGTAACCTCTGCCTCCTGGGCTCAGGTCATCCTCCCACCTTAGCCTCCAGAGTAGCTGGGACTACAGGTGTGCACCACCATGCCTGGCTAATTTTTGTATTTTTTGTAGAGACACGGTTTTGCCATGTTGCCCAGGCTGGTCTGGAACTCCTGAGCTCAAGCGATACGTCTTCCTCAGCCTCCCAAAGTGCTGGATTATAGGGGTGAGCCACCAAGCAGAATAGTTTCTTTTTTCCTTTTCTTTTTTTTGAAACAGAATCTCATTCTATTGCCCAGGCTGGAGTGTAATGGTGCGATCTCGGCCACTGCAACATCCCCGTCCCAGGTTCAAGCAATTCTTGTGCCTCAGCCGCCTGAGTGGTTGGGATTACAGGCGCCCACCACCACACCCAGCTAATTTTTTTTTTTTTTTTTTTTTTTTGAGATGGAGTCTCGCTCTGTCTCCAGGCTGGAGTGCAGCGGTGTGATCTCGGCACACTGCAACTCCCACCTCCCAGGTTCAAGCGATACTCCTGCCTCAGCCTCCGGAGTAGCTGGGACTACAGGCACATGCCACCACGCCAAGCTAGTTTTTGTATTTTTAGTAGAGATGGGGCTTCACCATGTTGGCCAGGCTGGTCTCGATCTCTTGACCTCGTGATCCACCCGCCTCGGCCTCCCAAAGTACTGGGATTACAGGCGTGAGCCACTGTGACTGGCCTAATTTTTGTATTTTTAGAAGGGATGGGGTTTCACCATGTTAGCCAGGCTGCTCTTGAACTCTCGACCTCAGGTGATCCGCCTACCTCGGCCTCCCAAAGTGTTGGGATTACAGGTGTGAGTCACCGTGCCTTGCCCAGAACAAGTTTTAAGAACTTGTTTTCTTAAAACAAGCTTTTACTTCAATAGGAAAGTATTAAAGACAAAATAAAAGAAAAAAAAATTTATAAAATAAAACAAGCTTTATGGAGGCAGAACACACAAAGCTCTTTGTTGAAATATGCTCTGAATAATAAAAAGTAAATATTTAATAAAAGTTGCTGGTGCCTGTAATTCCAGCTTCTTGGGAGGCTGAGGAGGGAGGTTTGCTCAAGGCCCGGAGTTTGAGACCAGCCTGGGCAACACAGTTAGACCCCGGCGGGGGCAGGGGAGTGAGTTTCTGGGTGGCCTCTCACCCCAGGGTGCACCTTACAATGACCACGAGGTGCCAGGAACCAGGGTTGGTTTGGCATCCACACAGGGTCAAAAAAATTTAATGGATCTTTGTTCTCTGAAAGGGAACAGGAAGGTAAACACAGGCTGCCACTATTTTTGTTCAGTAACTGGAAAGGCTGCTCTCATTTGATCTCCAAATATTTTTTTAAAAAAACAAACAGTGCTTCAGAGTAAAACTTCTATTGATTTAAATTACAAAGGCATCCATTGCAGGGAGTCAGGGGACTGAACAATGCAGGTCTCTGGACCGGCTGCTGGCTGTGCCAGGGCCCCTACAAGGCGACCCAGCACTGACCTGTGGGGCTGCTGGAGGTCTCCAAAGGTGGCCGGAGTGCCTCTCTGCCAGGGGTGGTCACAAAAGGAAGTTGCCCTGACAACAGGCCAGGACACTGAAAGTTTGGAGATGGAACAAGCCAATGAGCCTCACCTGCCCCCACCAAGACTCACTGCCAGGAAATGCCCAGTCAGCAAGTAACTGACTGCCCAAGGGAAACGAGGCCCCTCTGCTCAAGTCTGGGGTGAGGCACAGGGTGTGCTCCTGACCAAAGAGTGGCTCAGGGGAGCCGTGGCCCTGGCTGCGCACCCCCAGGCACCCTCACACTCTCACTGGCAGCGGATGTGCCGGGGCTTGTCCACTCTGGCCCTGGCCTCTGGCTCCTTGGGCTGCCTGGCTCTCTGCCAGCTGCTCTGCCAACACAACCCTTGTCTCACTTGCTGCCACCTGGCTAGGACTCTCCCTCCACTGCAGCACAGCAACTTGGCAGTGCCCACTGCACCCCGAGGGCCACAGTGTGTCTCTATAACATCCCCAAACCACAACCCAGAATGTCCGACACTCAGACCTCTCTCGAGCTGTTTCTCTTTGGACTCTGAAAACAGCTGTTCTCTGTGGCTGTAAGGCCAAGTGATAGCCTAGGTTGGTCACTTAGAGCCACAGCCAGCTCCTCTAGGCCTAGGGATGCTGAGGGTGCCAGGCTTGGAATGCCTGGCTCCTGAGAGTCATCCCTCCCCTTGGCTCTCCTGCTGATAAATGGCTTCCTGAAATGACCTCAGAGGACGCTGCCCCTTTCACGTTAACCACAGGGCCCCTCCTCCCCACTGTGGCCTGGCAGAGGCCTTTGTAGGGTACTCTCACAAGGCATCCCTCAGTCAGGGGGAGGGGAAGTCGAAGCAGAGGGGCCGGCGCTCTGAGGCCCACCACTGGGCTCACAGGCCGCCCCATCCTAGGCCATCCCAGCCCTGGGAGGACCAGACACCTCCTCGCTGGGGTCTGAACCCTGAAGAGGGATATGGGAGACAGGCAATTCCTCTCCACCTGCTCACTCCCAAAGCTGTGTTCTGTCTTCCCCAGAAGACAGATGCTGTTAGAGCCACATGTTTCTATCTGCCTCTGCCCACCCCTGGGGCCTGCTGTGTGCCAGACACTTGGTGGCACTTCACATTGCTCATTTAAGCCGCATGACAACCTTGTGAGGTGGTTTTATCCACCCCCGTTACAGAGGAGGAGACTGAGGCTAAAGACACCATGACATCCTCAAGGGCTCACAGCTAGAGGGTGGTGAGGATCACACGGGAGCCCGGCGCTGTCCACCTCTAAGGCTAAGATAGCACATGGTATTTCATAGCACAGCCGCACTCAGCTAGAAAACACTCCTCTATGACAGTGTTCAGAAGGATGACTTGCCAGGCAATGATGGGATGTTGCTTTAATTTCATGACTTGGTCTCCTTACGTGTGAAGCCTGGAATAGTAACTTCTGCTCTACCTGACTTATAGCAGAGATCAGAGCATCGAATAATGGTTGCTAAAATATCTTGGAAAAGGAAACAGTCCTATCCAGATGAAATGTGTTCATACCGTAGACATGACAGAGACCAGCTCTTGTTCAGTGCCCCCTACCTGCTGGCTGCTTCCTCGGCTCCTCGAACAGATCAGCCGAGCTTATGGAGGAACTTGCCGACAGCCTCTCTAGGCGGGCCCTGGTCTCATACTAGAGAAGACAAGGAAAAGGAAATGTTAGGCTCCAAAGATTGTGGGCAGTTTTGCAAAAAGAATCACTGAAGAGCTGTCATTTGAAAGTGTTTGACCCCCAGGCTCTTTCTTTCCAACAGTTACTGAATGCCACTGCCAAGGCCAGGTCCTGCGGGACAGCACAAAGCTCATGTTCTGCATGGGAGGCAGGTCACAGGCAGACTGATCAACATACAACACCTCAGCCACGATGGCCAGTGCGGAGGCCGTCGGAGTGAGGGAGGGAGAGCGGCATCTCTCTCCTGGTGCTGCTTCTAGCCAGCTGTCAGCAAAGGCCACTCTAAGAGTCTCTTTTCCAAGCCCCATGACACTATTTTAAAACTGAACTTGAATGTCAACTTTGAAGCAAGGCAGATTTTATGGACTGTGGGAACAGCAAGGGGCAATTCTACTTTCGAAATGATGGCGAAATGTTACACTTGCAGAAGTTTAAATTTCTGCAAAATACATTCAGCACATTTTAGGAAACCATCATCCAAATAGTCAGAGGCACACTAGCAATTCAGGATGAGAGGAAAGACGTAAACCTCCCCACTTCCACTTGAGTCTTACAGCTTAGCAAGACTTCACTATGATGAGTTCATTAACATTTCTTTCTTTTTTTTTTTTTTGAGACAGAGTCTCACTCTGCTTCTGGGTTCGAGCGATTCTCTGCCTCAGCCTCCCAAGTAGCTGGACTAGAAGCGCGTACCACCATACCGAGCTAATTTTTGTATTTTTTGTAGAGACGGAGTTTCATCATGTTGGCCAGGCTGGTCTCGAACTCCTGGCCTCAAGTGATCCACCTGCCTCAGCCTCCCAAAGTGCTAGGATTATAGGTGTGAGCCACAGTGCCTGGCCAAGTTCATTAACATTTCTGAGAAAAGCCAACAACCTGAAAATAAATATATGCACTCCTCAGAAACATATCTGGCTGGGCGTGGTGGCTCACGCCTGTAATACCAGCACTTTGGGAGGCCGAGGCAGCCAGATCACCTGAGGTCAGGAGTTCAAGACCAGCCTAGCCAATATGGTGAAACCTCATCTCTACTAAAAATACAAAAATTAGCCAGGTGTAGTGGTGCACGGCCGTATTCCCAGCTACTTGGGAGGCTGAGGCAGGAAAATCGCTTAAACTTGGGAGGCGGAGGTTGCAGTAAGCTGAAATCATGCCACTGCACTCCAGCCTGGGTGACAGAAGGAGGCTCCGTCTCAAAAAAAAAAAAAGAAACATATCTATGTGCTTCATTTCACTATGTTTAAAAGTTATTAAGTAAATTACAGCTGCACCAACAATTGAAATATATTCAAAAGATACTGGATAATGGCTATTCAAAACACCAAGAGAGGAATAAGACAACTGTGAGATAAGTCCTTGTCTTGTAAACATTCCTCTTGCTGAGGTAGCAAGCACATGATCAGTTATACAGACCTGGGTTCAAGTCCTGACTCCAGCACTTTCAGGCCAGAGGGCATCTGGCAGCCTGAGCCCAGCTCACTCAGGATCTCCTCCCCGACAATGCCCACACCCACACTTCCTTCCTGCATTATGGGGCACCCAAAGAAACTCTCTGGACCCTTACATCAGCCTGGGATTGTCTTCCAAAATACATATCTGATGAAATGGCCTTGACATTGCCAAACTTCTTCTGGGCCTCATCTGTATTTTCAACTGGCTCATAATCTGGCTTGCGGCGAGCAGTAGGTCTGCAATTAAAAACAGCCAAATTAGGTTAAACTAATTTGAGGTGAAGCAAATGTGTTTCATACTCATTTTATTTTTTAAAATGCCAACAGCAGTAAATTTTGTAAAAGGATTTTAGGCTGTTTTTAAAAGCCTGAAAATTCTAATTAAAAAAAAAAGAATAAATACCCAAACGATACAAAATTTGAAGGAATTTCTGTTTAAAACGGGGTCTGTTATTTCACATTTCAGTTCAAATATGTTATATCACATTTCAGATCAACTGGGTAAACACTGAATACATTGTTTGGAATGTCCATAGGACACTGCTCTCTCTACATTGTATAGGTTATAAAATGTCCCAGTTACCTGGGACAATTTCAAGTCACACCTGTTGTCCCAACATATTAGTAGTACCCCCTTGCACTCTCAGAAGTCCTCTGGTTGGAAAATAAATTCATTCATAATCACCAAAAACTGGAGACAGCCCTTCAGCAGGTGAATGGATAAACTTGGCAAGTAAGAGGAATGAATACAAGAATGAATGAGTCTTCCCCAAGTGTACTAAGACAAGTTAAACCAGAGTAGGAAGGCCAATTGCTACATGACTCCATTTATATGATATCTGGGAAAGGCAAAATTGTAAGGCCAGAAAACAGACCTGGGGTGACCAGGGGCCAGGGGCAGGGGAGGGGGGACTACAAAGGGCATGGGGAAAATTTGGGGGTGATGGGAACTGTTCTGTTTCTTGGTTTTGGTGGTAATTACATGAATGTATGTGCTTGTCAGAACTGTAAGTTTAAAAAGATGAATTTTACTATATGTAAATAATACCTTAAAATTGGGGGAAAAAAGGCCGGGTGCGGTGGCTCACGCCTGTAATCCCAGCACTGTGGGAGGCCAAGACGGGTGGATCATGAGGTCAGGAGATCGAGACCATCCTTGCTAACATGGTGAAACCCCGTCTCTATTAAAAATACAAAAGAATTAGCCAGGCGTGGTGGCGGGCGCCTGTAGTCCCAGCTACTCGGGAGGCTGAGGCAGGAGAATGGTGTGAACCCAGGAGGCGGAGCTTGCAGTGAGCTGAGATTGCACCACTGCACTCCAGCCTGGGTGACAGAGCAAGACTCCATCTTAAAAAAAAAAAAAAAAAAAAAAAAATTGGGGAAAAAGGTGAAACCTTCCTGACCTAGGCCACCCCTGACCCATGGATCAGAATCTTCAGGGAAGAGGACTCCACACACACATTTCTTTCAAGGTCCACAGAGGATTCTGATGTGCACTTCCTATTTAGAATCAGTAATTTAAAATCAAAACAGGCTGGGCACGGTGGCTCACACCTGTAATCCCAGCAGTTTGGGAGGCCGAGGCAGGCGGATCATTTGAGGTCAGGAGTTTGAGACCAGCCTGGCTGGTGAGGCAACCGTCTCTACTAAAAGTACAAAAATTAGCCTGGCATGATGGTGTGCACCGGTAGTCTCAGCTACTCGGGAGGCTGAGGCAGGAGAATCGCTTGAACCTGGGAGACGGAGGCTGCAGTAAGCTGAGATTGCACCACTGCACTCCAGCCTGGGCAACAGAGTGAGACTCTGTCTCAAAAATAAAACAAAACAAAACAAAAAAACAAAATCAAAACAATATTCCTGAAATAGTAGAACAAAATCATTTACTAGTCTTACAAAAGGTTTCAAAAGGTTTTCCTTTTTGAGGGGGACTTACTCTGTTGACCAGGCTAGAGTACACTGGCGTGATCATAGCTCACTGCAGCCTTGTACTCCTGGGCTCAAGTGATCCTTTGACCTCGGCCTCTTAAAGTGCTGGGATTATGGGAATGAGCCGCCGTGCCCAGCCCCTTACAAGGGTTTTCATGTCATCATGTTATCAGCAATTTTTTCCCAGAAATGCATGGATTCACTACTACAACCCCACAGTTTTGCATTCATACCTGTCTGAATAGCCTGTGGTTTTCAGAACTGTTTCAGTATCTTTGCTGGTCTCTTTTTTCCAATAGGAATCTGAACTGTCATCCCAGCTAGAGAAAGAACTGCTCCTTAACTCCACTGGCTCGTCAAAGTAACTGTAGGAGCAAGAGTACAACAGTGACTTTGGAGGTCCTTGTTGACACTCGTCCTGGGCTCTCTCACTTCCACAGATGTGGGGGATGCCTCCTTGAAGTTAATGGCAGTCACATAACTAGGTCTAGCCAATGAGACAGGAGCAGACACGAGGTGTGTCATTTCCAAGGCCTTTCAAGTACCTGTGTTCAACCTTGCCCAGTCCTCTCTTCCCAAGCTACATGGAAGAGATTGTGTTCCAGGTGCTACAGTCTCAGGTAGGTGAAACCTCCATCAGTCTGGACAATCAAGATGACACATGGAGGACAGGTACTCTAGAGAACCACCTGAACCCTTAGCTGACTTTATGTGAAAAAGAAATCAATTGTCATTGTGTTCAGCCCTTGAGATCTGGGGGATGTTTATAACCTTAGTATAACTTGGCCTATCCAGACAACACAGGGCATCTTTAAATGTTATCTACCACAGGTTACACATTTCACTGTCTTTAGGTCTCATTCCGCCTGGTTAGGCAATCACAAATAACACTGCTGGGCCTAGAGAACTGACTCCATACAAGGAGCTTCTTGTTGGCAATCCCTTCCGTGTTAAGCACATTCAATGAAAATGATGTAAATGATGCTCATTAACCTCCTCCTGGAGTTGGATACAAAGCTATGGATCATGATCACTGGACCATTCTGGGGATAGTCTTTCAGCCTGGAGCCTGCAGTAAACTTGATCTGATTTGCAAGCATCCCAGGAGAGCCTGGCCTTCAGATCAGTTTACACTTTAATTAGCCAATTGTCACTGAGCAGGGCATTGCTCAGAGAGCAGCACTCAGTGTTGGCTTTTGGTCCTGTGTGATTAGAGAAAAATCTTTGACCAAGAGCAGCAAGGTCTGCCTGGAACAGGAGAGACTGACAGGCGAGGTGGATGTGCCAAAACCTTGAGAAAAAGTGACCATCAACCAGCCAGGCACGGTGGCTCACACCTGTAATCCCAGCACTTTGGGAGGCCAAGGCAGGTGGATTGCTTGAGCCTGGGAGTTCCAGACCAGCCTGGGCAACATGGCAAAGCCCCATCTCTACAAAAAATGCAAAATAAAAAATAAATAAACAAATAAAATAACCGTTTCCTGACCATCTCCGGGGATTAAAAGAAAAAATTAATGGGGCATGGTGGCACGCCTATAGTCCCAGCTACTTGGGAGGCTCACCTAAGCCTGGGAGGCCGAGACTGCAGTGAGCCATGATCATGCCACTACACTCCAGCCTGGGTGACAGAGTGGGATACTGTCTCAAAAAAAAAAAAAAAAAAAAAAAGGGACTGTGCCATGCCAGAATTCACGATAGCTTAGGATGGAAAAGCAGTCTGGCCAGATATACACACCTCATTAAGGCAGTCCAAGAAGTTCAGAGGAGAGAGGCAGATCCCAGGGAGGTCTTAGGAAAGGAAGGGTGACAGAAGAGAATGCAGAGGCCTTAACAGACATCATCCAGGTTTTCTCCAGAGAGTAAGGACAGGAAGCACACTGGAAATAAGATGAGCACCAAGCTCCGTGCTATAAGGAGTTGCACAGAAGATGCAGATCATAGGAGGTCAGAGGGGCCAGTAACCAAAGGCCAATATAAGAGGGAAGCAAGAACCCATAAGAGCAAAGAGGCCAGGGACCTCGGTGAGCTAAGATCTGGGTGGGGGAAATGCTAAGAACACATTTACTCTTTCTTGGCAGAAAACAAAACGAAACAAAAAAGGGACAGAGGATAAACTGCTGTTGGAGCAGATGGTATGATATTACATCCTTAATAGACAGAAAGTAGAATTTCTAAATGTGGCTTCTGCCTTCTCTGGCAAGAAGGTCATTAAGAACAAATCTCATGACACTAGCATCTACTCCTTAGGAAGGAAAACGTGGTGTTCAAAGTGTATCTGGATTTCAGCTAGAAACCGACCAGGCTCTCCCTATGGCGGATGAGTGGATCTGTACTGCACCCAGGCTCTGCCTGGAGGAAGAGAGATGACCGATCCCCTTTCAGAGAAGAGAGATCAGGACACTGAAGGAACCGGAAGTTACATCGGAGGAAGGTTCAAAAGATGTGGGATGTGTGCTGGCCTGCAAGGTGATATTCACATGTTTGAGGGACTTATTTTAAGGCACCATGAAAGAACTAAGATCAATTCAGTGAGGAATTTTAAAACTACTTAATAAGCACCTACGAGGAGTCAGGCACTCTGCTAGGGGAAGACAAAGGGCAAGAAGACACATTCAGCTCCTGCCCTCATGAGGCTTGGGAACTGACTTATGGAAGGGAGGCTGACTTGAATGCAGAAGCCTCAGAAGCTGCATTAATGAAAGGCAGAGTTTCTCACGGAGCTGACCTGGGACCAAATGGCTGCCTTGAGGAGAAGGAAGGGTGTAGTAGAGGCTGGACTGCCCTGGAGTGGGAAGAGGGGGGTCAGCACTGGACTGGTGCAGGGTGAGGGTGGGGTGGAACTTCCAGGTTCTTCATGACTCTGTGATACTAAATTTTGTAGATTTAGCAACACTCTAAGGAAATAACATTCTTCATTCTTATAAGCCAATGTACTTATCCTGAAATGTAGAGGAATCAGATTACTTTTAAGTGACTGAACTATTCAGAAGTCAAAGAAGAGAGACAGCCATCGGCTTGGGTCCCCCTGACCAGCATGAGCCTGTGAGGCAGCAGTCCATGCGTGGGCTGGCTGGCGGCTTCTCTGTCTTCCAGTCATCCACGAGAGGCTCTCTGTGCTCATGCTAAGCAGGAGCAACTCAGTAGGAGGACTGGCAACTCACTAAGAGGACCGACAGACCACCAGCCAGGACTCCAGCTGACCTTTGGAAGGATGGGGTGAGTGGGACGACTAACGGCCACTAGTCCCTGCTCAGAAACACACAGACTTTCCTTCCTCATCTCCAAACCTTTATTGGCTTTCTAATGTTTTGATTGTATAGCTCTCAATGCTTTTTTACTTTTATTTTTCCCCTCCCACTCTGTCTTTACCCAATCTTGAAAACATTCCTTAAAATCCCTTGATAAGAGCACCCTAATATCACATTTGCTCTGATTTAGAGCTATAGACAGTTGTCTATTCTAATTAAGGCCATGCTGGCTTTATAAGGCTGAGCAAATTGTTCTAGTTTCATTATCTTGTACTCAATATATAATTATACTGTTTATATCCTAGAAATAATGGAACTCAATAATAAAAAAAAACAAGGACAGGTTTTATCTTATTTTTAACAGAAACAGAACTCTTTCATAATTCATAATGTTCAAGTTCTAATGGGCTAATGAATAATTTGAAAGCAATAAGAGCTCTTCATCGAACTAATATATTTGCTTTCAGAGTCCATGTTTATTTTACCTCAGTTGCCAAAGTACCTAATAGTATCCTCATTCTACTAGTGGTGGTCACCATGCCAAGGAGGACTAGAGAAGGCATTTATGTTCCTATTAGACAATCTGCAGGTCGTGATAAACAATACACCAAGGTCTCTCTGGAAAGAGTCCAGGAGGTGTGGTCTATATAAATATGCCATCTGCTCCCAGGTTTCAAACCATAAGTAACAGTTTCATAGCAACAGTGGCTTCTGGGTCTAACTCTTTTGATTAAGCCTTTGAAGAAGGGGAAGTCTGAAAGATCCCTGAAGCCTTTACAAGGCAGAAAGGCCCCACAGGGGCCTGTCAGTGACCTGGAGCCAGTGAGGGTCTCTGAAGTTCCCATTAGGCAACCTCACTTAGAGCTTTCTTACCAACCCGGCTACCAAGCAACAGTACTGATTTAACTGAAACTTTCTCTTTTTTTTGAGAGAGGGTCTTGCTCTGTTGCCCAGGCTGGAGTGCAGTGGTGCAATCTAATCTCACTGTAACCTCTGCCTCCCAGGCTCAAGTGATCCTCCACCTCAGCCTCCCAAGCAGCTGGGACTACAGGCATGTCCACCATGCTAGGCTAATATTTTTGAAATTTTTTGTAAAGATGAGGTCTCACTATATTTCCCAGTCTGGTCCTGAATTCCTGGGCTCGAGTGATCCTCCTGCCTTGGCTTCCCAAAGTGCTGGGATTATAAGTGTGAGCCACCATGCCCAGCCTAAACTTTCTTTACCTTCCTACACTATCATCTGCAGAAGTTGCTAATAAGCAGTGAAATAATCAAAGATGTTGTGAGAAGCCACACAGGCTAATACAGACCCGTACTGCCAAGAGTTTCCTCTGACCCAGACTTAGTCCACCATTTAATATTCACATCTGAAATGATCTGACACGTATGTAGTTTCCAAATCAAATTACACATTTAATTTTACTCTGTGTAAAATCTATTTACATACCTTTAAAAGGCATGATTTGGGTATCACTTCTGAGTAAAGTGAAACTTGGTGCATTATACAGGCTGCAAAGGATAGGCAAAAATATAAAACCACCCAAGTCTCTGAAAATACCACCATGGAACACCACTAAACTACTACTTTTTTTTTTTTTTTTGGTAAAATCCCTGGACTTGAAATAATTTAGAGCTATACTTAGAGACATTTTTAAGGATAGTATTCTTTATACAATTCCTTGTCTATAAACATTGATAGGAAAATATACAATTTCACAATTAGATCCTAGGTAATATATTTATATCTGTTCTATATATGAAGTGCATGTGTGTGGGTGTGTATATATACACACACACATATATATCTTTTATACATATGAAAACGCTTCAAACCTATAAATTGCCAGACAACTCTAATGCCCTCAGAGACATAAGTGATGGAGCCTTCCAGTAAGCACCGCCCATTTCCGACAGGAACACCTTCAGTTTTCATGAACTGCTAACCCAAAGGTGGTCCTCAATGTGGTTAGTTTAACTACCTAACAATAGTAATCAAACATTTAGGCTGGGCGTGGAGGCTCATGCCTGTAATCTCAGCACTTTGGGAGGCTGAGGCCAGCAGATCACTTGAAGTCAGGGGTTTGAGACCAGCCTGGCCAACATGGCGAAACTCCATCTCTATTAAAAATACAAAAAATTAGCCGGGTATGGTGGCACACGCCTGTAGTCCCAGCTACTCAGGAGGCTGAGGCATAAGAATTGCTTGAACCTGGGAGGTGGAGGTTGCAGTGAGCCGAGATCATGCTACTGTACTCCAGCCTGGGTGACAGAGTGAGACTCTATCTCATAAACAAACAAACAAACAAAAAACATTTAGACTGAATCACATCTCTTAAACTGAGTTTCTATATTATCATATAGCAGCTAAACATAGTAAGAGCCAAGCACCATTCTAAACGTGCTATAGCATTCGCAGTATCTCATTCGATCCTCACACAACCCTATTGGGTAGGTATTACTAGGGTCCCTAATTTACAGATGAGGAAGCTATAGCACAAAGAAGTTAAATAACTTGGCCTAGGTGACAAGTAAGTGAAAGCCAGGATTCAAATCCATGCCATCTGGCCCCTGGGCCCATATTCTTACCCCTCTGTTCCTGAGCTGTGCCCTCTCCAGTGAAATCACAGGTTCATTTTGTGCCTTTTTAGCAGACCTCTCACTGGGCCGAGCAGGTCCTTACGAAGTGAACTGACTCAAGTTTAAACTTGTTCTCTTTGCTCTGGCAGGCCACTTGACCGTGCACTGCTCTCCACAGTCAGCTTCACACTAGAGTTATGCATTTTGTCTCAATAAGATAGTGAGTGCTGAAGGAGAGAAACCTAGGCTTTACTCTGGGGTCCCCTCAAAGTACAATCATCTTCCTCATTAATAAATACACACACCCATAGAGTTTATTTAATGCACTATTGTACCAACTGGAGTTTTCTGAAGCTGGCATTCTGAAGCACAGAAATCTGCTGAAGCCCTGAGAAAGAGCTGTGAAATATTCCCACTGCTGGACTAAACAACACATACCTTCAGGATTTTGCAGTTTTCTCCAATTTCATAATTTAAATAAGCACATCTCTCCTACCTCTAATTTTAACTCACAGTTGCTGATTTTATTGCCAAACATTTTAATATTAGCCAACGTTGTTCTTTTACAAACGTTTCTCTAATTTTTACTCCAAAGAACAGCTCTGGCTCCAGCCAGAGCTTTTAAAAACAGTGAAGTAAATTGATTTGTAATTTCTCCTAATGCAAATAAACTAATAAATCCATACTAGTCACTGCTTTTCAAAATGACACTTCAACGATGATTTGTAATACAGTACCTTGAGCTGGAAGTAAAATATGAATCGTCACTGTCATCATTATACTTTTTTCTTGGTTTTGCCATAATGGGTGATTCCTGCTCTATGGTCTGCATATCTGAAGTCACTGAATGTGAAATAACACTTGAGAAAACAGAAAAATATATATATCAGTAAGTTCACAAACTTTTGTTTCACCAAAATAAACAAAGCTTTAATTTATGTTTTGAACAAAGACAAATGTATTCGAGGGGTTAAAAACATAAGCAATAAAACAATTTTTTTTTCTGGTGCAAGCTTTCAAAAATGTTAAAATTTTGTGAGGACTGTGTCTACACCAAATGCAGTCACAAATATTGGTTATGTCCATGGTTTCCTCTCTGGTAGGTGCTTCATGTAAAGAGCCAGACCTTTTTCCTTCTTTTAAAGAGCCAAATTTGAAATTTTTCATGTTATACTGAATACCAGAGCAAAGCAAAAATAATTAGAGAAGTTAATGAATAACAAAAAAAAATCTCTAAAGTTGAAACTAACACAGTCCAAGAAAAATCCACTGATGATTGACACACTGTTTTAAATTCTAACTCCAAGAAAGCAGTCTCACATACCTTCTGCAATTTCCAAATCCCATGCCGAGTCTGTCTGAGTCAACATTTTTTTTGCCACTAATGTTCATCTTTTCGTCTTTCTTCATTTGAATTTCAAGATCCTTATAGGCTAATCGTAATGATGAAACACTGCCAGAAAAACCAAATACTCCTTAATTTAGCTTTAATCCTTTGTTCTTATATTAAAATAGCAAGCAAAATTAAACATGTAATTTATACTTTTAGCTTCATGATTCTTTCCATAATTAACAATTATGAAGGCAAGTTGGTGTTTTTTCTACCTGCCTTTTTTGAACAGACGTTTAAGAAAATTTGAATGAGCTTACAGCCACTTTCTCATTGCTGCTCAACCTATACCACTGTTCAAGTTTAGTTCATGTTACCTATTATTGTATAATAACATAATGTATACCCAAATCACTTCCATATGGGATAGTGAAAAGCAAGATTTCTTACTTGGATTAATATTTTATTACACTTCCACATTACATAACAAAGCATGAGGTTAGTCTCACTAGTCTATCTTGATTTAAGATAAATAAATAAATATATAAATTTGACTTTACAAATAGATCAACTAAGGGGCTATTACTTAATTGTAAAAGGATCCTTCCATTTACAAAATAATTTCTTGTAGATACATCTCTATGCAATCAGGCTTCTGAGAGCATTTAAAATGGGATAGTGACTCATCAGCTAATAGACTCTTTAGCACTACTAGTCAGTCAAATACCACTCTTCTATTTAAAATCAAATATCTGCTACAAGCAGGACACCAAAGGGGTAAAAAGGTGTACAAAACATTGTCCTTGCTCTCAGATTTCTAAAAATGCAATAATGACTTAATTTTTCATAAAGAAAACTATGCCTATATAGCAAGAATAGCAGTTTGCATCATATTTTAGTGAGACAGCACAACATTTCAGGGCCCTGAAAAATGATCTATCTAACTTACAAGGATTTCTAAGTTATCATCCACTTTATAAAAACATGTAAAATACCATGAATTCCTGGCAAAAGAGGCATTGTATAAATTCCTAGTAATATAAATAAATTTCTGCATAGTAATAGGGAAAGACAACAGAATTTCTTTCTGTTTTTTGAAATGGAGTCTTGCTCTGTCGCCCAGGCTGGAGTGCAGTGGTGCAATCTTGGCTCACTGCAACCTCCACCCACGAGGTTCAAGCAATTCTCCTGCCTCAGCCTCCCGAGTAGCTGGGATTACAGGCACCTGCCACCATATCCAGCTAATTTTTCTATTTTTAGTAGAGACGAGGTTTCACCATGTTGGCCAGGCTGGTCTCGAACTCCTGACCTCAGGCGATCTGCCTGCCTCTGCCTCAAAGAGTCCTGGGATTACAGGCATGAGCCACCGCGCCCGGTGCAGAATTTCTTATTAGGAAAAAGTAATCTTGCTTTTGCTGTTTCTTTTCTTTAATGAGTCAAGCAAGATTTCTTTGGTTTTCACATGGCAGTTTGTTTTCCTTACTCTTCCTACAGAACAGGTTATGGCTATTTTATTCCTTAACAAATAAATACTACTTTTTCTTTTGGAGGAAAACAATAGCTCTGTTTAAAATCATGAATACATATAATTACAGCAACAGATTCTTCTGGAGAAGATGCATGGGGATGAAAAGGTTCTATTAGAAAGATAAGAGATGGAAAAGTTTTCCTTCCTAGGTAATCTGACATGGACTGGGTCACTCACTAAAAGCATGCACTTTGATGCTTACGAGAACATCTCTCTGGAAGCACCAACAGTTAAGAAGTCAGAACACCGCGTTTCTCAGAACTTCAGGAGTGCTTACGGGTACTGGCTCAAGGGAGGACTGCAGGACACAGATCAAACAAGCGGAGCAGCTCAAGGCAGCTCTGCCTCTTCCTTCCTTCCTACCAAGTGGGCACACAGAGAGCCTCTGAGGACGGGCTGGGAAACTGCTAGAAGGAGACCAGGATGCTGCATGGGCTGTTTAGTTTCACACTCTGACAGTACAAGAACAACACTGTTCTGACAGTTTACTGAGCCGAAATAACTTTATTTACAGCCATTAAACAAACTAACTTGCAACATAACACTCATGTATTAAGGATAAAACACCTGTACTTTCTACGGGTTTGAGTGGCAGTGGTGGTCATTAAGGCACAGTGGTGTGGTTGTTCTGAACAAGGCCATGAAAGTTGCCAAACTGGCTTCTCAAATCAAATTCATAAATCTTCCGATCTGCATCTTTGTTTTTGTGATGTATTAAACACTCCTAATGAAAGATACAAGTGAAGTCTGGTTGTTGCTTCCTGTTTTCAGGAAGATTAGCATGTTAATATTAGAAGTAACAACCAGACTTCACTCCATCCAGCTTACCTGCAGCTTCTCCATCCAGCTTACTTGCAGGAAGGAAGCTGATCAGGGCCCGATTTTACACACGCTCTGGGAAAACCTCAAGCATGAGTAATCTGGACAGAGCCTACTCCCAAATACCAAGAGAAGCCATCGAAACACTCAAATCTAACCTTTCCCTTTGCCAGGGTCAAAAACTTAGCTTAGTAAGAGAAATTAAAGTCTGTGACAAGTCAACGTAAATTTTTGTACACAAAGCATTTCAAACCATATTCGACCTAAATACAGTTCAGTGCTGCCCCCTATGTTCTGTGAATTAAATGACAAGGAGAAACAACTATCAACTTCAAATTATTTGGGTTTACCTTATAAACTCCATCTTAGCGAACCGTCAGTATGAACAGTAAGACAGTACGAAAAGTAGTTGCATTTACTGAGCACCTACTATGTGCCAGGTACTGTTTGATGCACTTCAATGAGCATTTAAGCTATTAAACTAATCCTTAAAACCACCTCATAAAATAGGTGTTATTTTCTTCATCATACAGTCTATAGTAACTCAAGCTAAAACAGATAAAATACACATGAAAGTAAGAGAAAACACCATTAAAAAACACACACATAAAAAATAGGGATCCAGGTTACTTTTCCTTTCTGTGTAGCATGCACCCTCCGCCCTTCTCTCCTGATCTTTGGTACAGTCACGGTTTCCAGAAGGCCATCTTTCTCTTCTGATTTCAACACAAATGAAAACCTCTCAAGAGCCTTACAAAAGTCTACGGAAAACCGATCTCTTCACTGGCCTCCTGGCTTCCAGTCTCCTCCCCTCTTCCTGGCCTGGGTATCACTACCGAACTCATTCTCCCGAGACGCCCCTTCATGACAGCACTGCTGAAGGAGCTGTTTCTCTTGGGTAAGTGGACAACCACAGCCTGACTTTAAGGTGCTCCACATTATCGTTCCAACTCCTCCACTTCAGGCAGGCCCCCGACACACACGATCATTCCACCTTCTTCATTCTCTGAAACTCTTCCTTCTCCCTCTCCAAGATCCAGGCTCAGAACCTCTGGAGACACGACCAGAGCCATAGTCTTCCATCATGTATTTAGAATTTAGTCACAGAGTCCAACAGGGCTTCAGATTATAAATACTTTTTTCATTATGCAGATATAATTCACATACCGTAAAACTCACCCTGTTAAAGTGCATGATTCAGTGGTTTCAGCACATTCACAAAGCTGTGCCATCATCACCACTAACTCCAGAACACTTTCAGCAGTCCAAAAAGCAGGCCTGGACCATTAGCAGCCACTCTCCATTCTCTCCTCACCCCAGGCCCTGGCAACCAGTAAGTTGCTTTCTGTCTCTACGGATTTGCCTATTCTGGACATTGCATATAGACAGAATCATATCATGTGATCTTTTATGACTGGCTTCTTTCTTAGCATAAACTTTTCAAGGTTTATCCATGTTGTGGCCAATATCAGGACTACATTCCTTTTTGTGGCTGAGTAATAGTCCATTGTATGGACATACCACATTTTCTTTCTCATTTATCAGTTGGTAGACATTTAGCTTATT
The DNA here is from genome assembly GCF_000001405.40 of Homo sapiens. Lineage (NCBI taxonomy): Eukaryota > Metazoa > Chordata > Mammalia > Primates > Hominidae > Homo > Homo sapiens. The sequence goes on from NC_000022.11 coordinate 42,821,648, forward strand.
TCTACTTTTTGGCTATTAGGATTAACGCCACTATGAACATTCATGCACGAGTTTGTGTGTGGTTGCACAGATGTAAGTTTTAATTTCTCTTGAGTATATACTTAGGAGTAGATTTGCTGGGTCACATGGAAACTTTACATTTAACTTTCTGAAGGACTGCCAAACTGTTTTTCACAACAGTGGCACCATTTCACATTGCCATCAGCAATGTACAAGGGTTCAAATTTCTCCACATCCTAGCCAACACCTGTTACTGATTTTTTTATTATAGCTTCCCTAGAGAGTACACAGTGGTATCTTATTGTGGCCTTGATTTGCATTTCCCCAACTCTAATAATGTGAAGCATGTTTCATGTGTAAACACCTCCATGCATCTCTGTCTTTCCCTTCTCACTGATGTCACTCCAGTCTTGCCCTTACAGCCTCAGCAGAGTGTTGCTGCCCCCATCGTCTCTTTCCCTTCCAATCCACATGCCAATGCAATATCAGTTTTCATAAAACTGAATTTTGCAGTACCCTCCCTTCCCCCCCCACACAAAAATACATGGCATTTGGAAAGCAAAATCTTGAGTTAATAGTTTTATTCCCTGAAAATGTATTAATATAATGAAATTAAACTTACATTGATTCTTCTTTAGATACCACCTTGGCCAGGTCTTCCTGCTCCTTCATTTTATCCGCAGCTTGAGCTTGTTTTTCAATTTCATTAAAGCATGTGTTTGCCAGTTTCTGAGCTCCCAAACTTCCTTTTTTGGCCCCAAGCTAGAACATATATAAGACTATAGTCTACACGAGCTGTTTGAAAGCTTCTGTGACTACAGCTAACATTTCCTAAGGGTTAGGACCTGCCAGGCACTGTGACAAGCACTCTACATTTGTTCTGTGGCTTAGTCCTCAGAACTCTGTGAAGTTAGTATTATTCCAGGAGTCCCTCAGCATGGGGGAATTGGTTTCACGACCCTGTGGATAACAAAATCTGCGATGATCAAGTCCCTTACGTAAAAGGGCGTAGTATCTGCATTTAACCCACGTGTAGCCTCCAGTATACTTTCAATCATCTCTAGATTACTTATTATGCCTAAATAATGTAAATGCTATGAAAATAGTTACTAATTCTGTGTTTTTATTTGTATTGTTTTTACTGTTGTATTCTTACTTTTTATTTTTTTTTACTTTTTTTGAGACAGGCTCTCATGCTGTTGACCAAGCTGGAGTACAGTGGCACAATCTCAGCTCACTGCAACCTCTGCCTCCTGGGGTAAAGCGATCCTCCCACCTTAGTATCCCGAGTAGCTGGGACTACAGGCACGGGCCACCAAATCCGGCTACTTTTTGTATTTTTTGAAGAGATGGGATTTCACCATTTTGCCCAGGCTGGTCTTGAACTCCGGGGCTCAAGTGATCCACCTGCCTCGGCCTCCCAAAGTGCTGGGATTACAGGCGTGAGTCACTACGCCTGGCCTATTGTTTTTTTTTCCCCCCCAAATAATTTTGATCTGCAATTGGTTGAATCCATGGATGCAGAACCCCTGGATACAGAGGGCTGAGGAAAGTAAAGCTCATATAAGTTAAGGAATGTGGCCAAGGTCACACAGCCAATACATGGCAAGGCCAGGATTCAAACCCTGCACCTGCCTCCAGAGCTGGTGCTCCGCAATGCTTCGCTGTATCTGAAAACTCACCAGACAACCACCCTCTAAGCCTCACAAGATGTCATTGCTTATTGATCTACACAAGCAGGAGACAAATTCCCAGGGGACCTTTGTTAATTTTTTTCAGAATTTTGTCATAGACAGAAAAAATGTTAAATAATCATTCTAGAAAAAATTCAATAAGTATAACATTAATCTCTTTGACATTAATCTCTTTGAACAAAACATAGACTCCTTATATCAAAGCTACATTTATTACAAGATGGTTCAAAAGAATAAAACTAAAATGACGAAGCGGCTTTTTAGTTTTAAAGCTTAACTACCAGATTTTTATATATAAAGTACATAATACTCACGCCTTTTTTAGCTTGATTTGGTTTCTTTTTTATGATAGAGGATACCTCTGCCAAAAAATAAAAATTAAAAAGTAAGACCAATAGAAATAATTTTTCTTTTTTAGTGTGTCTTTTAAAATTCTAAGATACTGCACTTTATTATTTAAGAGATGATAACATTTTCCACTTTAGTTTCTCATCCAGAAGACTCAAGTTGATAAGCATATTTTGGATTAACAGAACTTTGTCAAAATGGTGTCCTCAGTATTTCCACGCAGTCTCCAAACTCAGAGAAAATGTATTTTTTTTTTTAACAGCACACTGAAGAGAAATAGAGCCTGAGCTTGCCCCTCTCAGTACTTTCTTCAGGAGCATTTAAAAAATATATTACAACAACTTTTTTTTTTTTTTTGAGACAGGGTCTCGCTCTGTCACCTTAGCTGAGTGCAGTGGCATTACCTCCCAGATCAAGGGAGCCTTCCACTTCAGCCTCCTGAGTAGTTGGGATCACAGGTGCGCACCACCACATCTGGCTATTTTTTTTTTTTTTTTTTTTTTTTTTTAGAGATGGGTGTCTTGCTATGTTGCCCAGACTGGTCTTGGACTCCTGGGCTCAAGTGATGCTCCTGCCTCAGCCTCTCAAAGTGCTGAAATTATGAGTATGAGCCACCATGCCACAACTCTTTTATCAAGTGCTACTCTTCAAAAACTTTAAAACACTTAAAAATCTAACAATTTTTTAGAGATGGTCTCACTCCATTACCTAGGCTGGAGTGTAGTAGTGTGATCAGAGCTCACTGCAGCATTGAACTCCTGTATTCAAGTGATCCTCTCGTCTCAGCCTCCCTAGTAGCTGGGACTACAGGCATATGCCACCATGCCTGGTTTTCTTTCTTTTTTTTTTTTTTGTAGACATCAGGGGAGCTCACTATGTTGCCCAGTCTGGTCTTGAACTCCTGGCCTCAAGTGATCCTCCTGCCTTGGCTTTCTAAAGTGCTGGGATTACAGGTATGAACTATCATGCCCAGCCCAAAAACTTTAAAAATCATTATAATTTTCCATTTTTATTTTAGATTCAGGGAGTACACGTGCAGTTTTGTTACAAGGGTATATTGCGTGGTGCTGAGGTTTGGGCTTCTCTTGATCCCATCACCCAGACAGTGAGCACAGTATCCAACAGGAAGTGTTTCAGCTCTTGTTCCCCTCTCTCCCTCCCTCCTTTTGGAGTCCTCAGTGTCTACTCTTCCCATCTTTATGTTCGTATGAACCCAAGATTTAGCCCCCACTTATAAGTGAAAACATGTGATATTTGGTTTTGTTTCTGCATTAGTTTGTTTACGATAATGGCCTCCAGCCATGTTGCTGCAAAGGACATGACTGTTCTTTTTTACGGCTGCATAAAACTTATTTGAAAATATAAAGTTCGCAGCCTGGACAACATAGGGAGACTCCATCTCCACAAACAAACAAACAAAAAACATTAGTCCAGTGTGATGGCGTGCGCCTGTGGTCCCAGCTACTTGGGAGGCTGAGGTAGGAGAATCTCTTGGGCCAGGCTGCAGTGAACTGTGATTGCACCCACTGCACTCCAGCATGGGCAATAAAGCGAGACTCTAGCTCAAAAAAGTAATAACAATAATAAAAATAAAGTTAGCTAGGCATTATGTATACAACTAAAGCAGCCAGTGACGTGCTTTTTCACCTTGGCTTATATATAGATTTTATCATATTAGCCAAAATAAATATAAAGCATCCTCGGCCAGGCATGGTGGCTCATGCCTGTAATCCCAGCACTTTGGGAGGCCAAGGCGGGCAGATCACCTGAGGTCAGGAGTTTGAGAACAGCCTGGACAATATGGTGAAACCCCGTCTCCACTAAAAATACAAAAAGTTTGCTGGGCATGGTGGCACACACCTGTAATCCCAGCTACTTGGGAGGCTGAGGCACGAGAATCGCTTGAACCCAGGAGGCACCGGGAGGCAGAGGTTGCAGTGAGCTGAGATCGTGCCAGTGTACTCCAGCCTGGGTGACAGAGTGAGACTCTGTCTCCAAAAAAAAAAAAAAAAGAAACATAAAGCATTCTCTTATTTTAATAACAATACTTTCTAAATTGCACAAAAATACTTTTAGAGAAAGTTTCTTAAAAATCATTTTCTGAGTACATTTTACTTATAGGTTATATATTGTCTTTAGAATTATGTCTAAGAAACCCAGCAAAATTAAAGTCTTAATTTTTTCATATAAAGATAAGAATGTGCTTTGATAGGAAAAGATAGCATAAAGCCAGAAACAGCAAAAGATAACAATCTTTAGCCGTGAGTAGAGAATAACGTCATTACATTTCAAGTGTGAAAAAGATGCTTGTGGGAGTTTTCCTTTTCATTACTTTCTTTCAGATTTGTATTGTAGTAGTCACATAACCTGCTCCCAAACTCTGACGAGTCTAAAACATGATGAAAATGTCAGGAGCATTTCTAACAGTTTAGTTATTTTTCACCAAAGCAGCTGCTTTCCAACTAATGCAATGGAATATATAACAATTACAAATTATAATTCCTTGATAATGAAAAATTTAAGATTAAGTTCACCTATAATAAAATCAGAAAGAGAAGAAAATGAGTTCTTGAGTAAAAAGGAATGGTGTAGATGTTCTGACCACTGCTTATTTCCGTAAGGTGAGCCAGCCCAACATAAACCCACGAATCAAAACCATCAGCAGCCATATTGGCTAAATGTGCACATTGCTGCTTTTTTTTTTTTTTGAGACAAGGTATCACTCTGTCACCCAGGGCAGAGTGCAGTGGTGTGATCATGGCTCACTGCAGCCTCAACCTCCCAGGCTCAAGTGATCCTCCTGCCTCAGTCTCCCAAGTAGCTGGGACTACAGATGTGTGCCACCACACTCAGGTAATTTTTGTTGTTGTTGTTGTTGTTGTTGTTGTTTTGTAGAGCTAAGGTTTCGCTGTGTTGCCCAAGCTGGTCTCGAACTCCTGGGCTCAAGCGATCTGACCACCTCGGCTTCATAAAGCGTTAGGATTACAGGTGTGAGCCACTGCCCCCAGCCACAATGCTGCATTTTATATTATCAAGCTGGTTAAAATGTAGCATCTTTGTTGGAAGCTTGAGAGATGAATAAAAAACATATATATATAGTATCTTTTGTTTAATAAAATCTTATTAACAGATTCGGTCATGATTATATTACTCCGTCAGGTGAGATGCCCAGGCCAAATGCAAGAGGATTTATTTTTTTCTTAATGAGTCATACACTTTAAATCAGAATGTAGGATTTTAAGCATATTACCTAAAGTAGCCTTTGTTGGTACATTAAGACCTTCCACACTTGGTCCTTGCTCTTGTCCACCTGAAAATTCAAAACATTGATATTAGCGCAGAAAATATACTCAGCTAACTTGCTTTTGAATATATAATAATTCAACTTGCTCAGTGCTACATCTTATCCAATTTTGTCAATGATCACCTACCTTTTTAGCTGTATATTCTATTTTAACGTTATAAGAATTTTGACTTAAAAGTCCATTAAAGTAGAAGTTTATTTTTAATCCAATGGCTTTATCAAATAAAAATGTTAGTGGTCTCTTCAACTAATACGATTCAAAATTCTACCTTATGATCTGGTGATTTAATGTGACCTGTCAAAAGATACTTACTACCTCTGTGGACTATACATACCCAATGTATGTTAATATGTGGAAATCCTTGTTTTGTTTTGTTTTTTTTTCTTTTGGAGACAGAATTTCACTCTTCTTACCCAAGCTGGAGTGCAATGGCACGATCTCGGCTCACTGCAACCTTCGCCTCCCGGGTTCAAGCCATTATCCTGCCTCGGCCACCCGAGTAGCTGGGATTACAGGCATGCGCCACCATGCCCGGCTAATTTTGTATTTTTAGTAGAGATGGGGTTTCTCCATGTTGGTCAGGCTGGTCTCAAATTCCTGACCTCAGGTGGTCCACCCGCCTTGGCCTCCCGAAGTGCCAGGATTACAGGCGTGAGCCACTGAACCCGGCCTAATATGTGGAAATTCTAATACCAATTACATCAGTGATAGAAATCTAAATTTTCAGTTGCCAAGAAATCTGCCTTGTTTATTCTATTTTACCTAAAAAGTGATCCTGGTTAGCAACTCTATGAAGCCTTCATTAAAAGCCTGGCACAGTGGCTCACACCTGTAATCCCAGAACTTTCGGAGGCCAAGTTGGGCACACTGCGTGAGCTCAGGAGTTCGAGACCTCCCACCTTGGCCTCCCAAAGTGTTGGTATTACAGGCGTGAGCTACCGCGCCCAACCATACTTTGTTATTTTAATTTTATTTTATTTATTACTTTAAAAATAGATAAAGTGTAGGCTGGGCTTGTGGTGGCTTATGCCTGTAATCCCAGCACTTTGGGAGGTCGAGGCGGGCAGATCACTTGAGGTCAGGAGTTTGAGACCAGCCTGACCAACATGGTGAAACCCCATATCTACTAAAAAATACAAAGATGAGGGCCAGGTGTGGTGGCTCACGCCTGTAATCCCAGCACTTCGGGAGGCCAAGGGGGACGCATCATGAGGTCAAGAGTTCAAGATCAGCCTGGCCAACATGGTGAAACCCTGTATCTACTAAAAAATACAAAGATGAGGGCCAGGCGCGGTAGCTCACACCTGTAATCCCGGCACTTTGGGAGGCCAAGGGGGACGCATCATGAGGTCAAGAGTTCAAGACCAGCCTGGCCAACATGGTGAAACCCGTCTCTACTAAAAATATAAAAATTAGCCAGGAGTGGTGGCACATGCCTGTAATCCCAGCTACTTGGGAGGCTGAGACAGGAGAATCGCTTGAACCCGGGATGCAGAGGTTGTGGTGACCTGAGATCACACCATTGCACTCCAGCCTGGGCAACAAGAGTGAAACTCTGTCTCAAAAAAAAAAAAATTCTTGTTCTGTGTTAGTTACTGGGGTTTCTGTTAAAACAAACTGTGACATCCGGACTTCAGAGGTTACACATATCTCCTGTGGCTAACCCTCAATCTCAAAGCCCCCGGCCTTTTTTTTTTTTTTTTTTTTCTGAGACAGAGTCCTGTTCTGTTGCCCAGGCGGAGTGTAGTGGTGCGAACTCGGCTCACTGCAACCTCCGCCTCCCAGGTTCAAGGGATTCTCCTGCCTCAGCCTTCTGAGCAGCTGGGATTACAGGCATGCACCACCATGCCTGGCTAATTTTTGTATTTTTAGTAGAGATAGGGTCCTGCAATGTTGGCCAGGCTGGCCTTGAACCCCTGGCCTCTAGTGATCCACCCGCCTCAGCCATCCAAAGTGTTGGGATTATAGGCGTGAGCCACTGTGCCTGGCCTCAAAGCCCTTTTATGCTAATAAATTATAATAGTGAAAATAGTTAAATTATCATCTGTACTTTCACAAAAGATATATAACGCACTGTTCCTGTTTGTTAGGAGATTGTGGGAATTCTTTCTTCTCTTCTCTCTGATTGATAACGGTAAATCAATCAATGGCTCAGGTAGATTTCTCATCTTAAAAAACAATCTCTCTCTGGAAGAGCTCACAGCTCAGCAGAGGGGACACACAGTGGACATGCAAACTAAGAAACGCAGTAATTTCCAGAACTGGTGTTTGCTATGCTATGAGGAAGAAAAAATGTACAAATGCAGTTGTGACTGGGAGTGCTCGTTGGCTGGTCTTAAAGCTGAACCCCAACAAAGAGGCAACCCATGCCAATCAAGGCAGAGCCACACTCCAAGCAAAACAAAAAGCAAACACAGGCAGAAAAACACCCAAGGGCAAATGTGGCTGCAGTATAGTGTAAGGCTAAGAAATCAAAAAACTAAACTCCAGTTAGAGGTGTATAAATGTCTTCTTTGCAGGCATCTACGGTCATATGCCTAAAAAAAGAATGTGGAAAAAAAAAATCACAGGGTGCAAATCATCCACAAAACAACCACATCAGAGTTCTTTGCATAGTAAGGAAACAAGCCGTTTTTGTCTACATATGAATTGCAAATATAAGTTTATCATTTGTCTTCACTTTAAAGTATTTTTTCAAAACAGAAATGTTCTATTTTTATGTCATCAGATTTATTAACCTTTTCCTTTTATGAGATTTGAATATGCCTAGAAGGGCTTCCTCAATTCAGGATAATAAAAAAGGCTTTACCCATGTTTTCTTCTAGGATAATCATATTTTCATGTAAATCTTTGAACTACCTGAATTTAGCCTTGTGTAAAGAGTAAAGAAGAAATTCTACTTTGTTTTATTATTTGTTTCTAAAATGCCAGACACTTGTCCAAATTCCATTCATCAAATAACCCATTGTTACCTAGGATATGCAATGTTCTTATCCTGATTCACTGATATGTCTACGCCTATACCAGCAAAATGAAAAATCAGCATTCTACTGTTTGATGGAAATCTCAGACATTCCCACCCTTATACCTATAACTCAATACAAAGGAAGCGACTCCTTTTCTTTTTCTTCTTATTTTTTTTAGAGTCCGGGTCTCTGTCACCCACGCTGGAGAGTGCAGTGGTGCAATCATAGCTCACTGCAGTCTCAAACTCATAGGCTTAAGAGATCTGCCTGCCTCAGTCTCCCTAGTAGCTGGGATCACAGGCGTGCACAACCTGCCTGGCTATGCGACTCCTTTTCATTACAACATGACTCCACTCTGGGACACAGCTGAGTGCCTCTCTCTCCTAGGACTACTTTCTTGATAAATACCACTTACTCTCCTACCCTCCAGCAAAATCCTTGCCAGAAATTTTCTCAATACCATCACCCAACCCGCGGTTGGTGACTGCTTCATCTTTCCTGTTACGCTATGTTCCTTAGAGTAGTTCAAGGCTCAGTTTATATAAGCCAGCACTTCTTAAGGTATCATAACCCATGAACTCACTGCTTAGTTGTCCAAAGTTACATTTTTGTTGTTAATTTACACTAACATTCTGGCCTAACAAAGGATGCACAACTTTAAAACAGAAAGAGCTGACTACTCATGTCACAAGTGATTTTTAATATGTAAGCAACTGATATATTTACAATAAATGTAATCCTGTAAGAAAGTCACCAAATGTGAATCATTATGTATCAACTATTTTTATAAGTTTTTAAATTGAAATTTTGTTTTTGATGATAAAAGTAACCCATACTCATTATAAAAGTTCAGACACTTCAACACTATATCAAGTGAGAACTAAAAATCCTCAGTAATTTCACTCTCTATTTAACAATTTGCTATGTGCTTTCCAGAACGTTTTTGGTATGTTTTTCTTTTTTTACAAAAATGATTATTATATTCCATGTTCAGTAATATTTTTCCCCCACTTTATAGTCTATTATGAATATTTCTTCCTGTTAAGACAGAAGGGTCGGCCAGGTGTGGTGGCTCACGCCTGTAATCCCAGCACTTTGGGAGGCCAAGGCGGGTGGATCACCTGAGGTCAGGAGTTCGAGATCAGCATGGCCAACATGGTGAAATCATGTTGCAAAAATTAGCCAGATGTGCGGTGCATGTCTGTAATCCCAGCTTCTAGGGAGGCTGAGGCAGGAGAATTGCTTGAACCCAGGAGGCGGAGGTTGCAGTGAGCCGAGATCACACCATCGCACTCCAGCCTCGGCTACAGAGCAAGACTTAGTCTCAAAAAAAAAAAAAAAAAGACAGAAGGGTCTACATTTTAATATTTTTAGGTTTCAGTTTTTTTTTTTTTTGATAGAGATGGGGACTATGTTGCCCACGCTGGTCTCTGACTGCTGGGCTCAGGCGATCCCCCCGCCTCAGCCTCGCAAAGTGCTGGGATTACAGGCATGAGCCACTGTGCCTGGCCCATCTTAATTTTTAATAGTTTCATAGCATGCCACTGAACCATAGAATAGTATTACATGACAGTTCTAAGGACTCCACCTTCATTATTTTCCAAAGTGGTTTCCACAGGCCTTGATGTTAAAGAAGATGGTTCTGCTATTGCTGATGCCCACGCTGTGTCACTCACCTGAAACAAGGCGAGAAAAGTCATTAGCAGACAAAGCAAGAAAACAGCCATAAAAAACACATCAAAGCACGGGAAAAACCTAACAATTTAAACAGCCACATTCTGAGTCCCTGTTAATGGAAAGGAAGGCATATCTACTTTTTTCTTGCTTTCTTTTTTTTTTAGAAACAGGGTCTTGCTCTGTTGCCCAGGCTAGAGTGCAGAAGCACAATCACAGCTCACTGGAGCCTTGACCTCCCAGGCTCAAGCAGTGCTTCCACCTCAGCCTCCTGAGTAGCTGAGATTGCAGGCATGTGCCACCACGCCCAGCTAAAGTTTAAATTTTTTGTAGAGAAGGAGTCTCACTATGCTGCCCAGGCTCGTCTCAAACGCCTGGGCTCAAGCTATCCTCCCACCTCGGCCTCCCAAACTGCTGAGATTACAGGCATGAGCCAACATGCCTGGCCTGTTCTCCTCTTTCTTGATAACCATTTTTGGTAACTATTGACTGTGACAATGCTAATAAGTATGTGCAAATTATAATAGCAAAAAAAAAAAAAAAACCCAAAAAACAAGCTTTAACAACCTGTGTACAACTTTACATAGTTTTAAATTGAAAATTAAGGAATAAGCTGGGCACAGTGGCTCACATCTGTAATCCCAGCATTTTGGGAGGCTGCGGCAGGCAGATCACCTGAGGTCAGGAGTTCGAGACCAGACTGGCCAATATGGTGAAACCCTGTCTCTACTAAAATTACAAAAAAAATTAGCCAGGCGTGGTGGTGTGGGCCTGTAATCCCAACTACTTGGGAGGCTGAGGCAGGAGAATCACCTGAACCTGGGAGGCAGAGGCTGCAGTGAGCCAAGATTGTGCCAGTGCACTCCAACGTGGGTGACAGAAGAGTAAGACTCCATCTCAAAAAAAAAAAAAACGAAAGAAAAAAAGAAAATTAAAGAATAGATTGAGCAAGAGTTCAACAAATCGTGCTCCTTACCCAGTGGGACTGGGAGGAGCTAGAGTAGCTGGCAGAACATATGATGGTCCAAGACAGAGGTAGGCACACGTTACCTTAAAGGGCTAAATAGTAGGCCCGGTGTGGTGGCTCATGCCTATAATCCCAGCACTTTAGGAGGCCGAAGCAGGTGGATCACCTGAGGTCAGGAGTTTGAGACAAGCCTGACCAACATGGCGAAACCCCGTCTCCACTAAAAATACAAAATTAGCCAGGTGTGGTGGCACATGCCTATAATCCCAGCTAGTTGGGAGGCTGAGGCAGGAGAATCGCTTGAACCCGGGAGGTGGATGTTGCAGTGAGCCGAGATCGCGCCATTGCGCTACAGCCTGGGAAACAAGAGGGAAAACTCCGTCTTTAAAAAAAAAAAAAAAGAAAGGAAGAAAGAAAAGAAAGGGCCAAATAGTAAATATTGTCGCCTTTTAGGCTTTACTTTCCCTAGATCTAAGTGATCTGAGGAGAGGCCACAGAAGTACTATGGATTGCTGTCACTGTTGCTATCAGGTCACAAAGATGAAGATAGTGATATTTAGAGCACTTACTGAAGGCTTACTTTGTGCCAGGTACTAAGTACTTTTACCTGCATTAACTCATCCAATAGCTTTGAGATAATACTACATAAACAGCAAAACTGGGGCACTGAGAATGAAACCCCTATTAAAAATGTTTTCATTTTTAGTCAGTTTCAGAGCTCTGAACTGAACTGTGGCACACTACTAGTAATAAATTCTCAGTTCTCCCTAGCAGCTAGATAAGACATGCAACTAAATTCCAGCTCATAGGACATAAGTAGAAGGGATGGGAGCTCCCTCCAGACTTTTTCTGTAAAAGAATAGGGCATCTGTGGTGGGGTATGGTGGCTCACACCTATAATCCCAGAACTTTGGGTGGCCAAGGCGGGGGTATCACCTGAGGTCAGGAGTTCGAGACCAGCCTAGCCAATATGGTGAAACCTCGTCTCTACTACAAATACAAAAATTAGCCAGGTGTGGTGGCGTGCACCTGTTGTCCCAGCTACTCGGGAGGCTGAGGCAAGAGAATCGCTTGAACCCAGGAGGCGGAGATTGCAGTGAGCCAAGATCACACCATTGCACTCCACCCTAGGTGACAAGAGCGAAACTCCATCTCAAAAAAAATATTAGCTGGGTGTGTTGGTGCGCACCTGTAGTCCCAGCTACTCGGGAGGCTGAGGCTGGAGAATCACTTGAACCCAGGGGGCAGAGGTTGTAATGAGCTGAGATCGTGCCACTGCACTCCAGCCTGGGAAACAGAGCCAGATTCAGTCCCCCCAAAAATAAATAAATAGAAGAATAGGGCATTAGCTCTCAAGGATGCTTGTCTTTTTCTCTTAATCTGGGAGAGTCTTAAACTGGAGCAGCTGCTTTAGACCCTGAGATGGAAGCCACATGTTGAGAACAGCAAAGTAAGTCCATCAGTCAATAGCAGATATCCTAACCTTGGAATTGTTGATAATGTCATTTCTCTCTTCAGTAGTTATGTTTCAGCACTTCTTGTTACAAGAGCTTAGCCTACATCCTAACATTTTAAATATGCACCTTTTGTTAACTGTCAGAGTAAGCACACTTTAAAATGATGTGAAGCATAATACATACCTCAGGAGAAACGTGAGAGGCAAAAAAATCTTCCTCCTTTGGTGGAGGGGACAAAGGTGGAACCACACAACTATCAAGCCACAGCTAGAACAAAAAAACAACACAGGGCTGAGCATTTCATCCGGCCTGTAAAGGATTTTATTTGATACCTTTCACTTCCCTTAGAGACCTGTTTCCTAAAGATTGGTGCTTTCCATTCTTATAAAATCAGTAACATCCCTACAGAGGACCTCTGCGTGCACTTTAGTAATCTATCATCCAGTAAATTTTGCTTCCAAACCTTGAGGAAGTCAAGGACCTCAAACACATAAACCATTTCTGAAAAGGAAAGATCAAAGACTTCATATCTAAATGCAGGTTCCAAATGATAATCAATCCTTGTTATTCATGGATTCCATATTTATGAATCTACCTACTTGCTAAAATTTACGTTTAACCCAAAATTAGTCCTCGTGGTGTTTTCAGTCATTTGGAGAATAGTGCAGCAAAAAATGAGTTGCCCAAGAAGCACATTCTCAGCTGAGGTAGAACAAGACACACTACTCTGCCTTCTTGTTTCAGTTCTCATAACAAATGTCCTTTCTGCAGTTTATTTTGTGCTATGTTCTTCATATTCCCATGCTTTTTATTGAGGATGTCATTTTTTAAGATGCCTCTCAAGTGCAGTACTGAAGGGCTATCTAATGTTCTGAAGCACATGAAGGCTGTGATGTGCCTCATGGAGAAAATTCAGGCATTAAATAAGCTTCATTCAGGGCTGAGTTATAGTCCTTGGCTGTGAGTTCAATATTCATGAGCCATCAATATATATTTAAAAAGGTGTCTTTAAATAGAAACACATGTTAAATAAGGTTATGTATTGATCAGTTGATGAAAATGAGACCAGAGCTTATAGGAACCTAATCCTGTATTTCTCCTAGGAGCAATGTTTTAGTATTCACTAATCCAGTACTCATGATGAATTTACAGAACATAACTACTTCAATAGTAAGAATCTACTGTACACTAATTCCTTGTAAGACAACTCAGGTAGAAAAGTTTTACTATTCAGGATAAAAATCACTTTTTCTATGAAGTGAACATGTATCTAAAGGAAACAATCCAGCCTCCAGTGACTTACATCAGTGCCATGCTTCCGTGTTGCTTGAGAGGCGAGCGATTTGATTTTCTCCCTATAGAGCTGAGCAGCACGACTGTTGTACTTGGCATTGGTGTCATTGGTGGAACACCCATGTTGATGAAAAAAGGAAGACTACAGAGAAAAGCATGCACATTAATATTTTCGTAAAACTACGTATGGCCAGGCGCAGTGGCTCATGCCTGTAATCCCAGCACTCTGGGAGGCCGAGGCAGGCAGATCACGAGGTCGGGAGATCAGTACCATCCTGGCTAACACGGTGAAACCTTGCCTTTACTAAAAATACAAAAAATTAGCCAGGCGTGGTGGCGGGCGCCTGTAATCCCAGCTACTTGGGAGGCTGAGGCAGGAGAATGGCGAACCTGGGAGGCGGAGCTTGCAGTGAGCTGAGATCGTGTCACTGCACTCCAGCCTGGGCAACAGAGCAAGACTCCATCTCAAAACAACAACAACAACAAAAACTAGCTATGAGACTTGCATTACAAAATGAAATAACTAGTCCTCATTTGTCCATTAAACCATCTCTGTCATTGTGAACTTTATTTGGGGAAAAGCTTTCTACTCAGGACTACTTTTAATTCACGAGCAATCCATTTCTTTCTTTTTTTTTTTTTTTTTTTTTTGAGAGAGTCTTGCTCTATTACCCAGGCTGCAATGCAGTGGCTCCATCTCGGTTCACTGCAAACTCCACCTCCTGGGCTCAAGTGATCCCACCACCTCAGCCTCCCAAATAGCTGGGACTACAGGTGTGTGCCACCACGCCTGGCTAATTTTTGTATTTTTTGTAGAGATGGGGTCTTGTTATGTTGCTAGTCTTGAACTCCTGAGCTCAAGGAATCCACTTGCCTTGGCCTCACAAAGTGCTGGATTACAGGCGTGAGCCACCGCTCCTGGCCCTTTTCTTTGTTTTTTGAGATGGTCTGACTCTGTCACCTAGGCTGGAGGGTAGTGTGGCATGATCATGGCTCACTGCAGCCTCCAACTCCTGGATTCAAGCAATCCTCTCACCGTGGCTTCCCAAAGTGCTGGGATTAGAAGTGTGAACCACTACACTTCGTCCACAATCAATCTCAAAATGGATTCCAGTAAATCAGAATTTTTGACAAATTAGTGAGGAGCTACATTAATGTTTACCTTGTTTAGCACTATTTTATCATTAACAGATACTACAATATAGGTAAGATGATAAAACAAGTATTTAAACAATTAAAAGAAACTGCTTTTACCCACTTCATGAGGATCCATGTATAGACATGAATTATAGAATTCATATCTTAATTAAAACAGGTCTTCTAAAAACCTATACGAGTGATCCTTTGATGAACCTAATTTAACTGATAATGATATTGGTCACCCACATGTTCCGGATCCTGTTGTGAGTGCTTCATGGGCATCATCTCATTCAACCCTCATAGCAACACTATCAGACAGTCACTACTGCTGTCTACACTTTACAGATGGGGAAAATGAAGCACAGAGAGGTTCAACAACATGCCCCAAGTCACATGGGTAGCAAGGGACAGAGTTAGGATTCAAATACAAAAAGGATGGTTCCAAGCACAGAACTCACAGCTCCACTGGCTAAACCGAATGACCACTCATCTGAGCCTTCCCTCCCCATGTCCCCCAACCCCTGATGGCTTGAGATGAGAAAGCTCCTTTCTGGAGTTTGGAGGGTGACTCTGCAACCTTGGGAAGGCTTAGAAATAAGAACAGGTAAGTCAAACCAACAGTGCTAAGTTTAGGAACAAGTTTGTGAACATCATGATAATGGGCAAAGGTTTCTAAAAAGATGCTTGAGGCTGGGCACAGTGGCTCATGCCTGTAATCCTAGCACTTTGGGAAGCCAAAGCAGGAGGATTGCTTGAGGCCAGGAATTCGAGACCAACCTGGGAACCAAAGTGAGACCACGCCTCTACAAAAAAACAGAAAATCAATAAAAAATTAATAAGAAACACTGGCTGGGCCCGGTGGCTCATGCCTGCAATCCCAGCATTTTGGGTGGCAGAGGTAGGCAGATCACTTGAGCCTAGGAGTTCGAGACCAGCCTGGCAACATGGCAAAACCCTGTCTCTACTAAAAATGTAAAAAACTTGTTGTGCGTGGTGGTACTTGCCTGTAGTCCCAGCTACTTGGGAGGCTGAGTGAGAGAATCACCTGAGCCCAGGAAGTTGAGGCTGCAGTGAGCTATGATTTTGCCACTGCACTCCAGCCTAGGCAATAGGAGTGAGACTCTATCTCAAAAAAAAAAAAAAAAAAACCAAAAAAAAGCCTTGAAACATCTAAGGCATACTTCTTTTTTTTTTTTTTTTTTTTTTGAGACGGTCTTGCTTGATTACCCAGGCTGGAGTGCAGTGGCACGGTGAACACTGCTCACTGTAGCGCCAACCCCCTGGATTCAAGTGATTCTTCTGCCTCAGACTCCCAAGTGGCTAGGACTACAGGCATGCACCACTATGCCTGGCTAATTTAAAATTTTTTTTTTGTAGACTTTGTTGTCCAGGCTGGTCTTGAACTCATGGGCTCAAGTGGTCCTCCTGCCTCGGCCTCCCAAAGTTCTGGGATTACAGGTAGGAGCAACCATGCCTGGCCAGGCATATATTTTTAATTAAGAGGGGCAAAAATTGTTTCTTGAAAAGTGAAAAAAAAATCTTAGTTATTACAATGGTTTATGGCCTTCCAAAGGTCACCTCTACCTGACAAAATTGTATTCCTTAGTATTTAATTTATCTCATTAGGGAAACATTGGATCCAATTTAAATGGAAAATTATCTAATTAATTGATTTTTATGCTTAGGGACAACGAAGAAAAAAGATTGAGAAACTAGCATTTTGGAAACTGCTATTTTAGACCTCTGACTTTAACTATTTAATTGATATATATATACACACACACATATATATATATATATTTTTTTTTTCTTTTTTTTTTTTCTGAGACAGGGTCTTGCTCTGTCACCCAGGCTGGAGTGTAATGGCATGATCACAGCTCAGTGCAGCCTTGAACTCCTGGGCTCAAGTGATCCTCCCACCTCAGCCTCCTGAGTAGCTGAGGCTATAGGCAGGTTCCACTATGCCTTGCTAATTTTTAAGTCTTTTGTACGATGAGGTCTCACTATGTTGCCCAGGCTGGTCTTACACTCCTGGACTCAAGTGATCCTCTCGCCTCAGCCTCCCGAAGTGTTGGGATTCCAGGCACGAGCCACCATGCCTGGCCATAATTTTTATTTGAAATGCATACAAATTTGATTTCTTATACTTTAGCATATAAGAAACGCCTAAAGGAATTCCATTTACTCCATCTACACCATTTTGGCCTGATAAATAGGTTACCAGTGCTGTGCAAGATTTGGCTGGCTAGATTTGTAAGGCTGCCAGTTCAGTGTTTGAGATAATCAAATATACTGAATTTGTAAATAAAGTTTAAAATGTTTGAAAATCCTTAATTAGGCCGGGCGCGGTGGCTCATGCCTGTAATCCCAGCACTCTGGGAGGCTGAGGCGGGCGGATCACAAGGTCAGGTGATCGAGACCATCCTAGCTAACATGGTGAAACCCCGTCTCTACTAAAAATACAAAAAATTAGCTGGGTGTGGTGGCGGGCGCCTGTAGTCCCAGCTACTCGGGAGGCTGAGGCAGAAGAATGGCATGAACCTGGGAGGCAGAGGTTGCAGAGAGCTGAGATTGGGCCACTGCACTCCAGCCTGGGTGACAGAGCAAGATTCCGTCTCAAAAAAAAAAAAAGAAAAAAAAAAAAAAAGAAAATCCTTACTTAGGTTTGTAAATGGGGTTAAGGAAATCAGTTCTTTAAAATTATAAATTAATTGAATATTTTAAGGTTATTTTTTCACAGAACTTAACACACAGTATTTATGTTTGTGTTTAGAAATTAACACACAATATTTGCTATATTTAAAGACATGAAGAATGGGTTTTTTGGTCGGGTGCTGTGGCTCATGCCTGTAATTCCAGCACTTTGAGAGGCCAAGGCAGGCAGATCACTTGAGGTCAGGAGTTTGAGACCAGCTCGGCCAACATGGTGAAACCTCGTCTCTACTAAAAATACCAAAAAATCCAGGCATGGTGACGTGCACCTGTAGTCCCAGCTACTCAGGAGGCTGAGGCAGGAGAATCTCTTGAACCCGGGAGGTGGAGGTTGCAGTGAGCTGAGATGGCGCCACTGCACTCCAGCCTGGGCAACAGAGCCAAACTCTGTCTCAAAAAAAAAAAAAAAAGAATGGGTTTTTTAATTTGTAGATTTAAGAAGTTAAATATTAATTTAAATACAAGCATTCCATCCTAACCACAAAAGTCACCCCAGTTATTAAAAAACTATTATCATAAAGAAGCCTCCAGTTTCTCTGTACCCTCACTTCCTGTTTTAATTTTCTTAAAGCACTTATCACTGCCTGTTATTTTCCTGTGAACATATTTCTTTGATTACTCTCTGACTGCCCCTGTCTATAAGAGGGGATCTTGATTATTTTTATTTATAATAAAATATCCCCTATAAGAGGGGATATTGGTTATTTTAATTTATTATTTTGATAATCTATCAACTCACTCTATCTATCACTGATCTCACTCTATCAACCAGGCTGGAGCACAATGGTGCGATCTCAGCTCACTGCAACCTCTACCTCCCAGGCTCAAGAGATCCTCCCACCTCAGCCTCCCGAGTAGCTGGGACTACAGGTATGCACCACCATGATTTGCTAATTTTTGCATTTTTTGCAGAAACGGAGTTTTGTCATGTTGTCCAGGTCAGTCTTACATTCATGGGCTCAAGGCGATCTGCCTGCCTCAGCCTCCCAAAGTTCTAGGATTACAAGCATGAGCCACCGTGCCCAGCTGGGGATCTTGTTTGTCTTGTCTGTCACTATATCCCCAGCAGCTAGCCAACGCTTCCTGTTTATTAGGTGTTTAACAGATTTTTGAATAAACAAGTCAACTGGGTCTGTCCAACTCCAAAACCCATCAGGCTCTCTGCTTCTTCTCATAGGGCCTCCCAAACTTTCAAGTATTGAACTCTTTTTGTTTGTTTGTTTGTTTTTTTGGGATGGAGTCTCGCTCTGTCACCCAGGCTGGAGTGCAGTGGTGTGATCTCGGCTCACTGCAACCTCTGCCTCCCAGGTTCATGCAACTCTCCCGCCTCAGCCTCCCGAGTAGCTGGGATTACAGGTGTGCACCACCATACCCAGCTAATTTTTGTTATTATTATTTTTTTTTTAGTAGAGATGGGGTTCCACCATGTTGGCCAGGCTGGTCTCGAACTCTTGACCTCAAGTGATCCGCCCGCCTCAGCCTCCCAAAGTGTTGGGATTACAGGCGTGAGACACCACACCTGACTTGTTTGTTTTTTATAAACAGAGGGTCTTGCCATGTTGCCCAGGGTGGTCTTGAACTCCTGGGCTCCAGTGATCCTCCCAAACGCCTGTAATTTCAGCCTCCCAAATGGCTGAGATTACAGGCATGAGCCACTGCACCTAGCCTGAGCTTCTTTACTATTATAGCATAACAAATATTTAAACAAGAAGGAAAATGACGAGTTTGAGATGAACTTACTGCACTAGCGTTTCCTCCGACTTGCATGCATCGCAACTGAAACCATGACCAGTTGGAATCCAACTCTGTAGATCTAAATGGAAAGAATATTACTAACTGTTAATATTTTTTATCCCCAGGAGCAAAATCAGTGAGCTTTTGAGAACAAGGTTTCCTTAGGCTTTAGGATCCTAAAGAATTCTAAGTTTGTGTCAACAAGGACCCACACTTTTGGGATGCTAGGACTCCAGAGTGGATGATGGTTGGCGTGAGCAACCCCTGGCTCCTCTCGTCCTTCCTGGAATGCAGGGCACAGGGACATGACAAGTGTCAGCGGGCTGCTGGAACGACACCAACTCTTTGCCTCCCATCCTTGGTTGGATATGATTTGAAATTTGGTAATGTGTCTCTACTTGAAACAGATGCACTGTTTGGATGTTTTCAGGTCGGTGATCTACTTGTCCAGTTTGATCGCTACCAGAAGCTTGGAGGATGCTCATTCTCTTATCACAAGGTAGAAGAGACCTACCCAACATCACGACCAGCAGAGAGAGGAAAAAACACAAGATTTCATGCTCCTGAAGTGAAAGCTACAAGCACTTCCTGCCCCTTCCACACCTTATGCCTAACTTCTCTCCACTGTAAGATCAAATCTGAAACAAGTAAAGGCAGTGAGTATAGCCTCAACAATGCACATTCCCCAAGGGGTCGACGGTAAAGCAACAATGTTAGAATCTTTATACTGAATCCACAGAAATGAGCAAAAAGCAGAGGTTGTTATTCAGTAATAGCTTGCCCTACACTAACTGTAAAGGAATGTGGATATTTTAGAATGAGTATAGGCAGAATACCTTTTACAAAATGGGCAAGGAAGAAAGAAAAGAAAAGAAGCTTTAGGTCCACCAAAACTTTCCTTTGTGCTGCCCTTATATTTACTAATTTCTTTTTTTTTTTTTTTTGAGACAGGGTCTCACTCCATCACCCAGGAATGGAGTGGTGTGATCACAGCTCATTGCAGCCTCAACCAGGATTGCTCAAGCAATCCTCCTGTCTCAACCTCCCAAGTAGATGGTAGCTACCATGCCGGGCTTTTTTTTTTTTTTTTTTTTTGAGACGGAGTTGCCCCGGCTGGAGTGCAATGGTGCGATCTTGACTCACCGCAACCTCTGCCTCCTGGGTTCAAGTGATTCTCCTGCCTCAGCCTCCTGGGTAGCTGGGATAACAGGCAGGTGTCACTACGCCCGGCTAATTTTTGTATTTTTAGCAGAGACAGGGTTTCTTCATGTTGGTCAGGTTGGTCTCAAACTCCCGACCTTAGGTGATCCACCCACCTTGGCCTCCCAAAGTACTGTGATTACAGGCATGAGCCACCGTGCCTGGCCTTTTTTTTTTTTTTTTTTTTTTAAATAGAGATAGGGTCTTGTTATGTTGCCCAAGATGGTCTAGAACTCCTGGGCTCAGGCAATCCTCCCACCTCAGCCTCTCAGTGTTGGGATTACAGGTGTGAGCCACCATGCCCAGTGAACCATACCTTTTTTTTTTTGAGACACAGCCTCGTTCTGTTGCCCAGGCTAGAGTGCAGTGAGGCGATCTCAGCTCATGGTAATCTCTGCCTTCTGGATTCAAGCAATTCTTGTGCCCCAGCCTCCAGAGGTAGCTGGGATTAGAGGCGTGCGGAACCACACCTGGCTAATTTTCGTAATTTTAGTAGAGACGGGGTTTTGCCATGTTCGCCAGGCTAGTCTCGAACTCCTGGCCTCAAGCAATCCCCTCATCTCAGCCTCCCAAAGTGCATACCATTATTAATCTAGAGTTTTACTTATAGACAATCTCAGTAATTTCCCAGCCGCCCTTTGTTTATAACTTGTTTGATTACCTCTATAAGGTCATAAAAAGCGTTGCCTTTCTACGCCAACATCATAAAAAGGTTCTCCCCAGTGTCCACCGAGCAGGAGCCCAGATTCTGCCCTGGTCATCATCAACATGTTCTAGGGCTCACTATGTGCCAGGCTGTATGGGGCTCTCTTGCTCGCTCCTGCCAACACCCTGTACGGCAGGTCCTAGTATTCTCACCCTCACTTTCAAGAGAAGGAAAGCAAGACATTCAGAGGTAAGGAACACACCCAAGGCCAGGAAAGGACAGCTCAGATTTGCCTCCCCCCGACCCCCCAACCACATCCCCGCTCCTGCATCCTCAGCCTCGGTCCTCACCTCTTCCTGATGCTGTCTCCTGCTCTGCCCAGGCTGAGTCAGCCTCCCCACATGCCTCACCCCTCCAGGGCCTCAGGAGTGAACTTTTAGCTCCCAGTGTGGCAGCTAAAGCGCTCCACAATATGACACAGATCCTCTCCTTTCACCCTTACTTCTCTTTATTTTCCTATGCATACAAAAAGTCGCTACAAAGCATTTCGCTTTTTCCTGCTTTTATATCTGAAGGTCCGAGTGCTGACCTCAATTTTCCCTCCCTTGTCTCCATTATCTTTTTTTGTTGTCGTAGAGATGAGGTCTCACTATGTTGCCCAGGTTGGTCTTAAACTCCTGGGCTCAAGCTATCCTCCCACCCCGGCCTCCCAAGTGCTGGGATTACAGGCGCAAGCCACCATGCCCGGCCTTGTCTCCATTATCAAAACCTCACCAAACCTTCCAAGTTCATTGCAAATGTTACCTCTTTTAAACTTTGCCTTATTTTCCAACCAGAAGTGGGCACAGGACTTAGTTTCCATCTCTCATGCATAACTTTGCAGTCTATCTTCTTATTTACGTTGTATTTAAGCCTGTCCCTAACCCCAGGCCAACAAGATCGATGCAGGGATCCCATTCACCTTTAATAAGCTCATGAAATACGTAACGGCAAACTTGAGAAAAAACAGAGCTAGAGGGGAGGAGCAGCCTGAAACATGGAGATCCCAGCAATGGAGGTGAAAAGGGGCAGAGGTCAGTTCAATCTGGTCCACTCTGGGAGCAGTCAGCAACCAATGCAGTTTGCCCTCTCCATATACTCTTAATCTGCCTTCCCCCCTTTGCTTGGCAAAAGCCATAACTTATAAATTATTTTTCCTCTGTAAATTTGTTGACTTGAAATTCTAGTTAAAGAAAAAAAACTCCAGTTAAATATGCACACCACCCATGCCACACAGGAAGCAGTGCATGTGTGTGTGTCTGGCAGTGGGAGGGGAAGAAGAGGGGAAAAGTATTCTAGAGGAGAGACTTTATATATTTTGGGGCTGCTTGGATTTTTTCCCAATTAGCTAGTGGTTTTTTTTGTTTCTTTTTTTGGTGGTGGTTGTTGTTGTTTTTTGAGTCAGGGTCTTTGTTCTGTCACCCAGACTGAAGTGAAGTGGTGAGATCATAGCTCACTGCAGCCTCAAACTCCCATGCTCGGCTAGGTGCTGTGGCTCATGCCTGTAAACCCAGCACTTTGGGAAGCTGAGGTGGGTGGATCACATGAGGTCAGGAGTTCAAGACCAGCCTGGCCAACATGGTGAAACCCCGTCTCTAGTAAAAATACAAAAATTAGCTGGGTGTGGTGGCACACACCTGTAATCCCAGCTACTTCGGAGGCTGAAGCAGGAGAATTGCTTGAACCCGGGAGGCGGAGGTTGCAGTGAGCTGAGATCATGCCATTGCACTCCAGCCGAGGGGATAGAGTGAGACTCTGTCTCAAAGGAAAAAAAAAAAAAAAAAATAAAAAACCCAAAAAACTCCCAAGCTCAAGTGATGTTTCCACCTTGGCCTCCCAAAGTGCTGGGATTACAGGTGTGAACCACTATGTCCGGCCCCTCAGTTTTTTTTAAGGAATAAAAATGTTTAAAGAATAGCTCTTCTCTGCCTTAAAAATAACAACAAAAACAATACTGAGTACTTTCTCATCCTTGACTTTTTCTTGCCCAAATCCTAGACTCCTGCCCTAAGGTTGTATCATGAATTTTAATTGCTGTTTTTGAATCATTTACAAGCATTGTGACTCATACAGTTCTATTTATCTGACTTTTAAAAGGTCAGTGATTAAACCTGCAATGGCCCAAACAGATCCTGCTGTACTGCCCCTCAGGCTCTAGGTCACTCCTTCCCTCACGGAGGAACACATCATAAAACCACCCGATTTCCTGGAATGGCTTAAACTGGAAGTATTCTTTAGCGATGAGGAAGAAGGAGAGGTTATAATGGGCGAGACTTAGCAGAAAGAAAGAGGGAAAGAACACAGTAAAGACAGAAGGAAGAGAAGTAACTAGGTATTGCCTTGAGTCTAGTCTTCATCTGCTCTGGGCAGAGTAGGTTACCATAAGTTAACTGGTAATGATCAATCTGGAAAACAAAGTACATTAAAAACAAGCTTTAGCCGGGGTAATCCCAGCACTTTGGGAGGCCGAGGCGGGCAGATCACCTGAGGTCAGGAGTTCAAGACCAACCTGGCCAACACGGCGAAACTCTGTCTCTACTAAAAGTACAAAACTTAGATGGACGTGGTGGCACATGCCTGTAATCCCAGCTACTTAGGAGACTGAGGGCAGGAGAATCATTTGAATCTGGGAGGCGGAAGTTGAGGTGAGCCAAGATCGTGCCACTGCACCCCAGCCTGGGTGACAAAGCAAGACTCCATCTCAAAAAAAAAAAAAAACCCAAAACAACAACAACAAAAAAAAACCCCAAGTTTGATTCAATGGGGAAAAGACAGTCTTTTCAACAAATGGTGATGGAAAAACTAGGTATCCGCATACAAAAGAATGAAGTTGAACTCTTACCTGACATTGTGAACAAAAATTAATTCAAAATGAATCAAAGACTTAAAGGTAAGACCTAAAACTATAAAACTCTTAGAAGAAAACAGAAGGCAAGGCCAGGCACAGTGGCTCACGCCCGTAATCCCAACACTTTGGGAGGACGAGGGGGGTGGATCACAAGGTCAGGAGATCAAGACCATCCTGGCCAACAAGGTGAAAGCCCATCTCTACTAAATATACAAAAATTAGCTGAGTGTGGTGGCGCGCACTTGTAATCCCAGCTACTTGGGAGGCTGAGGCAGGAGAATCGCTTGAACCCAGGAGGTGGAGGTTGCAGTGAGCTGAGATCGCGCCATTGCACTCCAGCTTGGGCGACAAGAGCAAAACTCCATCTCAAAAAAAAAAAAAAAAAAAAAAAGACAAAGAATCATAATAGATTTTATCTTATAGAAACAAATGCTCCTTTTTAATAATCACGTTCTATCAATATTTCGATATTCCTTAAGTCATAATATAAGATTGCTTGCCACAATTCCAGATGGGCAGCCTAGCTGGTTCCTTCCCTAGAAAAGATGGAGTAGGGAAATCTCTGGAAATTGTCTGGGGGAGGCAGCAATGACTAAGCCATGGCTGTTTGAGGGTGCTCTGCACAAGTTGTCCTGGCAAGGGCCTGTGGCAGGTGACAGGCAGGCCTTGCTTAGCTTCCAAGCCCTGGGGATCTTTCCATTATTTCTTTTATTATTTCAATTTATTTCACTTCACAAATAGTCCTGCCTCCCACTGGACTGTGGGGTTATCCCATCAGACTGTCAGTCCAAAGGTGGTGTCTTCTTCTGATGCAAAAGGCCCCATATGGGCTATTGCCATAGAGTATCAGAAGTAGAAGACGGTTTACTCACCAGAGGGGCCAATGCAGCCCAAGTCTTCAGATAAAAGGAGAAAAAAGACCTTCATGTTATAAACATTTGAAACTGCCACTAAAAATCATTCACTCAGGCTTTGTGATATTAGTGTCCTTGGAAGCCAGAGCTATAAGATTACGGTGGAAGTGAAGCCCTGATACAAGGAGAGTGTCTCATCATTGACATAAACTCTCCACTTTGGAGGACATAGGACAGACCCACAGCACCTGATTCCCCTTCTCCCATGAGTCTGTACTTTGTACTGCCGAATTATTAGAAGATGATTGACATAAATCGGTTTTTCATTGCTTGTAACAGAATTCCTGAAACTGGGTAATTTATAAAGAAAAGAAGTTGATTTCTTACAGTTAAGGAGGCTGAGAAGACCAAGGTCAAGGGGCTACATCTGGTAAGAACCTTCTTACTGGTTGGACTCTGTAGAGTCCAGAGGCAGCATCGCCTAGTGAGAACGCTGAGCGTGCTAGCTCAGGTCTCTCCTCCTTTTCCTATAAAGCCGCTTACATGATAACCCATTAACCCATACCAATGAGGGCTCAATCAATTCTTAAAGGCCTCACCTTTTAATACTGTATGGCAACACTGAAAATCACATTTCTTTCTTTCTTTTTTTTTTTTTTAAGAGACAGGGTCTTACTCTGTCGCCCAGGCTGGAATGCAGCGGCAAGATCATAGTTCACTGCAGCCTTGACTCCTGGGCTTAAGTGATCCTCCCACTTCAGCCTCCTGAGTAACTAGGACTAGAGTTATACATCATCACACCACAACATTTTTTATTTTTTGTAGAGGCTGAGTTCACTTGAGCCCAGTGAGCTATGATGGCACTCCTGCAGCCAAGGTGACAGGCGACAAGGCAAGACACTGTCTCAAAAAAAGAAAAGAAAAAAGGGAAAAAAACACCCATGTAACAATGTAATCAATCTCACCCCAATGAGAGAAGATTCACTTACCGAATAAAACTCAAGTGAACACCAAGTGACCGGTGGGACCCTGAGCAATCAATGCAAAGGAACACTCCATAGGTTATGCTTGCCCAGCTGGGATTTTTGGCACCACAATCAAAACACACCTGAAAAAAAATGTTAAATTCAGTTACTAATTTATGTTAGCCAAATAAATTATCCTGTAAGATACAGTAAATGACTTAGCTTGAAAACTGTTTAACCTTTACAATGTAAACTTTGGGATTGTATTATTAGAAAATATCTCACCTAGGTTTTTTTAAAAGCCTCAAATTTCATGCTCTTTTATTATTATATATAATTATATTAATTATAAATTAGTATAGTTAATTACTATATTATGTATTTTTTTATTCTGAGACAGAGTTTCGCTCTGTCACCCAGGCTGGAGTGCAATGGTGCAATCTCGGCTCACTGTAACCTCTGCTTTCCAGGTTCCATTGATTCTCCTGCCTCAGCCTCCGGAGTAGCTGGGACTACAGGCTCACACCACTATACCCAACTAATTTAGTACTTTTAGTAGAGATGGGGTTTTACCATGTTGGACAGGCTGGTCTCGAATTCCTGACCTCAGGTGATCTGGCAGCCTCGGCCTCCCATAGTGTTGGGATTACAGGCACGAGCCACTGTGCCCAGTTTACTACATGATTTATACAGTATATTACAGATTATGTTATATATATATTTATCTATTTATTTTTGAGACGGAGTCTCGCTCTGTCGCCCAGGCTGGAGTGCAGCGGCACGATTTCGTCTCACTGCAAGCTCCGCCTCCCAGGTTCATGCCATTCTCCTGCCTCAGCCTCCTGAGTAGCTGGGACTACAGGCGCCCGCCACCGCACCCGGCTAATTTTTTGTATATTTAGTAGAGATGGGGTTTCACCGTGTTAGCCAGGATAGTCTCGATCTCCTGACCTCGTGATCCACCCGCCTTGGACTCCCAAAGTGCTGGGATTACAGGCGTGAGCCACCGCGCCCGGGCTATCATGTATATATTTTAACAATGCACACTATACATAGTGAAGAGAATTTAGGTTTGTGTACCATCTCAAACATGCCTTATCCTTGAAGCATCAGCAGGGATCCTACCAGTCATGTAAAGGAATGCTAGTGAGGGAAGCAGCCCTGCCTAGAAACACTCCAGCCCTACCATCCTTCCTGGCAGTGGCTATACCAGATGGCAGGCTGTTGAGCATATTGCTTCTCTCCCCAGCCAGAGGAAGAGGTTGTGGCAGCCAGACTCCAAGATGGCCCCAGTGAAACCCACCTCCTGGTATTTGCATCCCGTGTAATCTCCACCACCCTCACTTTACCAAGGTGATCTGTGTGTCTATGTGTATATGGCAGAAATGACCATGTCATTTTTGAGATTGGGTTACAAATGACACTATGGCCTTTTCCTGTCTCCCCCACTCTCTTTTTCTCTCTCCCCCTCTCTCCCTCCCCACCTTGGATCACTAGCTCTAGGGGAAGCCAGGTGCCATGTCTTGAGGACACTCAGGTTGCCCTGTGGAGAGGGTGAAGTGCTGAGGAGTTGAGGCCCCCAGTCCAACTGCCAGCGAGGAGAGGAGGCCTGCCAACCACCATGTGAGTAAGCTCCCAGATGACCTCAGCCCTGGGCCAACAGCTTGACTGCAGCCTCATGAAAGACCCTGGGTCAGAAGCAGCCAGCTAAGTCACCCCCAAATTCCTGACCCTCAGAACTATCTGTTGTTTTATGATGCCAAGTTGGGGGTGATCTGATACACAGCAATAGATGACTAATACAGAGAGATATTCCTTTATGAAATGCTGTGCCCTTCTCTACCTCCACTGCCTCACTCTGTCCAGGTCACTTTGATAACTCTTAGATGCAGGTTCATAACCGAGGACTACGTTCCCTGCCCACTGAGGGCACTGAGAGCTCTTACAGGGGTAGAATCTTTCCCTTTTGCTAATCTTTATGGCTTTTTTTCTTTTTTTTTTAAGGAGACAAGGTCTGGCTCTCACCTAGGCTGGAGTGCAGTGGCACGGTCCTAGCTCGCTGCTTTATGGCTTTTTTTTTTTTTTTTTTAAAGAGACAAGGTCTGGCTCTGTCACCTAGGTTGGAGTGCAGTGGCACGGTCCTAGCTCACTGCAGTCTCGAACTCTTGAGCTCGAGCCATCCACCCCCCTCAGCCTCCTAAGCAGTTAGGACAAGTGTATGCCACCGTGCCCAGATTTTTTTTTTTCTTTTGTAGAGATGGGGGTCTTGCTATGTTGCCTAAGCTGGTCTTGAACGCCTGGGCTCAAGCAATTTGGGCCCTCTCGGCCTCCCAAAATGCTAGGATTACAGGTGTGAGCCACCACGTCCGGCTCCTGTCACCTTACTTTCCTGTCCACTAGCACAGAACCTGCACATGGTAAACGCACAATAAGTGTTTGCTGAATAGTTGTGTACTTTTAAATCTCACACACAGCCTGAAAAATAGGCTTACCCATGGTAAGCATTCAGTAAATATTTGTTACTCAAAAGAATAACTTTAAAAACGTATTGCCAGCTCAAAAATTACTAGCCCCTTCAACACTGACACTGAAGCCCAACAGGAGCATAAAAGTACTTTAAAATACACAGTGCTAACTAGCAGAGTCACGCGTCGGAAGTGTGCTGGGCCCATAAAATACACAGTGCTTGTTGTGGAAAGTAGTATTTATAACTCATTAAACTCCGAATAGGGAAAAAATTCCTCTAATAGAGGTGTTTTTAATCTTTTTGCAGGAAAAAAAAATACATATTAGATATATAGGCTGGGTGCAGTGGCTCACACCTGTAATCCTAGCACTTTGGGAGGCCAAGGCAGGTAGATCGCTTGAGCTCAAGAGTTTGAGACCAGCCTGGGCAACATGGCGAAACCCTATCTCTACCAAAAAATTAAAAAAATTAGCCGGCGTGGTGGAACGTGCCTGTAGTCTCAGCTACTCAGGAGTTTGAGGTGAGAGGATCGCTTGAGCCTGGGAGGCGGAGGATGCAATGAGCGGAGACCACTCCACTGCACTCCAGCCTCAGCAACAGTGAGACCCTGCTATCAAAAAAAAAAAAAAAAAAAAAAAAAAGATATACTTTATAGGCAGAATCACTTATGTGAAGGTTGTCCAACCTATCATTATCAAGCAAGATCTGGCTTCTGGTCTTTTCAGGGCAATACAAGGGCAATACAAGAGAGGAAACACGAGTGGGTTTTCTAAAGCCCCTCACCACAATATGCTCACACTGATCGCACACTGAATAATCGGGGTGGAGTGACAACTGACACAAAAAGAGGCCAGGAGATTTACTTTGGTGTTTACTGATCACCTGCTGTATGTCAGACATGTGACAGGTGATGAGGTATGAAAAAGTAGCAGCACAAACACTAGCTGAACGCTTATTGGTGCTAGTCTTTAAAGAGCTCACTGAGAAGTGGGGAAGACAGACGCGCAAATTCAAACGCCCTGTGGTGATGGCCATTAGGAGAACCCTCTTCTGTGGGGCATCAAACAAAACGACAGACTCTGCCAAAAGGTGCTGTTCTTCCCCGTCAGGCTGTGTGTAATTTCTCACCTAGTTACTCAACTACCAGTTGCTGTGCACTTACCATCAAGTGTACCTGGCACATACCAAGTGGACATACCAGCGTGGTTCAGGAAGTCTGCCCACATGGAGCCCACAGTCTAGCAGTCCAGTGGGCAAGACAATTAGTTACAAGATTGTTTCCTAGTAAGCAAGGACAGGATGCAAAGGGTTTTTGGTAGAGGTGATGGCAGAGATTTTGGGTACACAGCCCAGAGCAGGCCAAGTTTGAGAATCACTTCTGAGGTGGTCACCAGACTGGCTACAAGAAGAGAGCAGTGAGGTTCCTAATGAGGCAGGCAGCTTTGGCATCCTCCGGACCCATCACCTAAGCTAAGGGATTGCTAAAATGTAGCCCCATGAGGGGGGGGCCATGTCTACCTTATTCACCTGAGCTTGGCACCATGCCTGGCACAACACAGGTGCTCACTAAATGCGAATGCACATGGTGGAGCAGTTTATAGGGGTAGAGGAGCTAACAAGTGGAGACTGGGACGTGTGGAGGTCAGAAGTGGTGAGAAATACAGGTCTGGCTCCCATAAATGCTGCCTTGATCCTCCTGCTATACCAGGAGGCTATGCTTTGGAAGCAGGGACTGCGCTTTGATTTGATATGCAATCCCAAACCAAAGTCAAGATGTGGCTTTTAAAGCAGAACATCAGTTCTTATGGTGATGAGCAAGAAATAGCTTTTGACTGACAATTTGTTTTGTTTAATGATGAGAATAATTAGTATACAAATAATAATAACAGCTAATATTGAGTGTTTAATTCAGGCACTATTGTTGGCACTTTAGCCAATTTCATCTTCCTAACAACGCTTTCATTAGTAGGGTACTAGTAGAAGGTACTATGATCATCCCCATCAGGGCCAGCTTCCTGGGCATGTGTGTGATCTATGCAGTCGCAGAGGGCCCCACACTTAGAATAAAAGAGTGTGTGATTGGCTTAATGCTCTGCTGTCTCATCTTGAAATTCTTTTTTTTTTTTTTTGAGATAGGGTCTCATGCTGGAGTATATGATATGATCTCGACTCACTTCAACCTCTGCCTCCCGAGCTCAAGCAATCCTCCCACCTCAGCCTCCCGAGCAGCTGGGACCACAGGCATGAGCCACCATGCATGGCTAATTTTAATTTTTTTTTTTGGTAGAGATGAGGTTTCACCATGTTGCCCAGGCTGGTGTCAAACTCCTGAGCTCAAGCTATTCATCTGCCTCGGCCTCCCAAAGTGCTGGGATTACAGGCGCCACCGCGCCTAGCCTCATCTTGAAATTCTTTTTTTTTGAGATAGGGTCTCGCTCTGTCGCCCACTCTTGAGTGCAATGGCGTGATCTTGGTTCACTGCAACCTCCGCCTCCTGGGTTCAAGCAACTCTCCTGTCTCAGCCTCCCGAGTAGTTGGGATTACAGGCACATGGCACCACGCCTGGCTAATTTTTTGTATTTTTAGTAGAGATGGGGTTTCACCATGTTGCCCAGGCTGGTCTCGAACTCCTGAGCTCAGATGATCCACCCACCTTGGCCTCCCAAAGTGCTAGGATTACAGGTGTGAGCCACTGTGTCTGGCCGAAATTCTTAATACTGTTCAAACAAGGGCCCTGCATTTTCATTTTGTACATTTCACAAATTATGTAGCTAGTCTTGATCTCCATTTTATTTATTTAATTTTATTTTATTTGTGTGTGCGTGTGAGATGGAGTCGCTCTCTGTTGCCCAGGCTGGAGTGCAGTGGCGTGACCTTGGTTCACTGCAACCTCTGCTTCCTGGATTCAAGCGATTCTCCTGCCTCAGCCTCCCGAACAGCTGAGATTACAGGCACTCGCCATCATGCCCAGCTAATTTTTGTATTTTTGTAGAGACGGGGCTTCATCATGTTGGCCAGGCTGGTCTTGAACTCCTGACCTCAGGTGATCCACCCGCCTCAGCCTCCCAAGGTACTGGGGTTACAGGCGTGAGCCACCGCGCCCGGCCTATTTATTTGTTTTTTAAATCAATGAATGTTTTCTTAATTCTGATTCCTTTTATCATGTGCTTTCTTAAACAAAGAACTTTCACATAAATTATCTTATAATAAGAGTTTCTTTCTGATTCAGTTTAAAAATGACAATAGCATTCGTTGTGCCCAAGTTAGAATTATACCAAAATTACCATATGCCAGCACATACAATCATTCCACTGGTGGCTGGAAAATTAGCTTACGGGAGTGTCTGTCACTCAGATGGGCCATCACCCCTGGTGGGCACATGGTGGAGATAAGGGAAGGCCAGACTAGAAGAAAGCTGGGTCTTTTGGATCGTTTCTACTCCTTTTTCACTTCTTCACCATTCTCCCCACTGAGCTTGAACAAGGGAATCTGCTGGCCATCCTTGGGCTCTAGGAAGACCTCATCAAGGTGCCACCTCTGAAAGGGGCACTTCTGGATGAGCTGACATGGAGATGGCCCTCTGACTTGGATCCAGAGCTAGGAATCTTCAACTTGGCATCAGCAATGTCCACAAAGTTGTGCTTGGTGAGTTTGAGACAGTGAATGTTGAGAAGAGGGCCCAGAGCTCCCTGTGCCTTGGGATGGCTATGCACCTGCTCCAATGCCAACTGGTAATACAAAGCCCTGGAAAAAGTCTTTTGTATGCGGTAATACACAAGGGCCAAGCCCCCAGTACCGAACACATTGCCGAAAAGGACCATTTTTTCCTTGAGGCACTGGCATCCTGCTGCCTGGATACTTTTGCCACCTCACAGCACAACTCTCTTGAAAATCATCAAAGGCAAGTTGTTCTGTAAGCGACAGAAGCACCATGCTGCAGAGAGCATGAGGAGCCCTTCCGGGCGTGGGATGGTGGCGGTAAATCTTGATCTCCATTTTAAAGAAAACTAAGGAATTACTGAATTAAGTATGACAGATAAGAAGTGGCCACTGCTTAGTAATTCCTTAGTGGAAATGCCCACAATGGGGACTGGATCCCATGCAGTCTGTTCCCAGAGCCACTCTTCCCGCTCCACCACACTGTGCTTCAGAGCAGAAAACATACCACCTGCCGTCCTGCATCTGCCCTTCATCTGTCCACTAGACTATAAGTTCCCTGAGGACAGGAACATACCATCAGTGTACATACCTTTCATGCTCTACACAGTGCCCAGCATAGCATAGGTGCTTAATGAATACTTGTTGAATGAATAACCCAATCTATATAAAAGTAAGGAATGGTATAGCAACAAAGAAGGATTTCCACAAACAAGAAAATTCACCCTTGGCCAGGTGCGGTGGCTCACGCCTGTAATCACAGCACTTTGGGAGGCTGAGACAGGCGGATCACTTTAGGTCAGGAGTTTGAGACCAGCCTGGCCAATATGGTGAAACTCCATTACTACTAAAAATACAAAAATTAGCCATGCGTGATGGCACACGCCTGTAGTCCCAGCTACTCAGGAGGCTGATGCAAGAGAATCGCTTGAACCTGGGAGGAGGAGGTCGCAGTGTGCCAAGATCGCACCACTGCACTCCAGACTGGACAACAGAGCTAGACTGTCTCAAAAGAAAAAAAAAAAGAAAGAAAAAGAAAAAAGAGAATTGACCCTCATGACCTTTGATCTAGAGTAAATCATCATACATGAGACGAAGAAATTGGATACCATGTTCTAAAAGTAAGCCGACTTGTTTTTCTTTGATTACCTTTCCTGGCTCATGTATCTTAGAGCTGTCTTTTATGACCCCAATTTTAAAATGCTATTGTTATCTTCGTTTAGGTAAGGGTTTCAAACCAATGATCAAATAAAAGGTCTCAACCAAGAAATATAGCACATTACTGTTAAACATTACCAGAAAACATTTTTGCTCATTGCTTTTATTAATCTTATTACAGAATATAAATTTTTCACAGGTGTGTTCTTCATCATAAAAACAGCTGCCATTTATTGAAGACTATTATATGCAGTTCCTACTCTAAGTGTTTTTCTTGGATTATTCCATTTAATCTTCACAATAACCCTCTGAGTCAGGTCTAGTTCATGCCCCATTTTCAGAGGAGGAAAAAAGGGACAAAGTGGTCAAGTAACCTGTCCAAGGGTGACATACCTAGAAAGTAGCAGTTTGGACAATACAAGCCTGTCTCTCAAAAGCCTCTTGATATAAAGACATTGATTTCTAATTTAAAATTATCTTTGAATTAAATCAAAGAGAATACATGTTGATGTTTCTGAGATAAAGGTGACAAAAAAATATAGTTTACACATTGCTAACCGCAGATCCTAATCTTGACTAAGTTACACAGGACCCACTCTTTATAAACACATCAATCTAAATTTAAAAATCAAGGCTGGGCGCGGTGGCTCACGCCTGTAATCCCAGCACTTCAGGAGGCCGAGGCGGGTGGATCACTTGAGGCCAGGAGTTTGAGACCAGAGTGACTGACATGGTGAAACCTCGTCTCTACTAAAAATATAAAAATTACTTGAGTGTAGTGGTGGATGCCTGTAATCCTGGCGACTCAGGAGGCTGAGGCAGAATTGCTCAAACCCAGGAGGCAGAGGTTGCAGTGAGCTGAGATCGCACCACTGCACTCCAGCCTGGGCGACAGAGCAAGGCTCTGTCTCAAAAAAATTAAAATTAAAACGTTAAAAAAAAAAAAAAGAACATTAAGGCCAGCATGGTGGCTCATGCCTGTAATCCTAGCACTCTGGGAGGCCAAGGCAGGAGGAGGCAGGAGGACTGCTTGAGCCCAGGAATTTGACACCAGCACGGGCAACATAGCAAGACCCTGTCTCTACAAAAATTAATTAATTAATTAATTAATAATAACAATTAGCTGGGCGTGGTGGTACAGCCCTGTGGTGTCAGCCTCATCAGGAGGCTGGGAAGGAAGGATGGCTTGGGCTGGGTAGGTCAAGGCTGCAGTGAGCTAGGATCAAGGCACTACACTTCAGCCTGGGTGACGGGGTGAGACCCTGTCTCTAAAAAAATAAATAAATAAAAATGTGAAAATCAAGAGAACAGTAAAGAAACGGGCACTGGAGAATTCCTGGAGCCTTTCTCTTAACTTTCCCACATCCATCAGACATCACCTCCAATAAACTGTTTCCTTCCTCACCTAGGCTGGAAAAAATATGGGCTCCCCTGTACCATCAAGACTTAAAACCAACAGAAACACCTATTTTGTAACACTCGGGAACTTTCTATGCCAGCATATCGAGGTTCAATAACAGCTGTTCCCTTCGGGAAGTGACAGTGGGAACCAGACAACACTCGTGTCACAGGAGGGGCGGGGAGAGCCCACGCTGACGCGACAGCCCTTTGCACTCTCCAAGTCCCTCTCCGACCCGACGTGTCACCTTAGCCCCCTGCGTCACCCCAACGCCTCCAGCCAGCTGCGCAAAGCTGTAAAAGTTCCAGGGAGAGAACAGCCTCTGGAGACAAAAAAAAAAAGGAAACCTCCATCTCCAAAGAGAACCGAGGAGAGGGAGGAGGCTGTGGTGAGCCTCCCTGGCCAAAGCGACAAAAGCTGGAAGCCAAAGCGTAGACTACTCGGCAACTTTATCAGAAGAGAAACTGAGGCAGGCACCGCAAGGCCCGAGGAGCCAAGCCGGCTCCAACAGGCGGGGTCGAGCTCCAGGGTGGCGCTGGGGGAGCCGCGCTTTCCCCGCATCCGGCGCCAGCAGCCGGGGTTTCCGAGCCGGGAGCTCCCTCCTCGCAGCGCCCCCGAGGATGCCCCCGCCCCCGCCTCCGCTCAGAGCCGCCGGTGCTCGCCCCCCGCCCCAAGAGCTCGCCGGGGGGTGTGCCCGCGCCGCCGCCCCCGGGAACGCTCCCCGGCTCGCGTGAGGACCCCCGCGCTGCGGCCTCCCGCCCGGGCCTCTCAGCTGCCCGGCCCCGCCCGCCCCGGCCCGGCCAGGCTGCCGCGGCCCCACAGTGCGACGTGTCACAGGCCGCGCCGGCCCCGCCTCCCAAGCCACGGGCACTGGCGCCCGCGGGGCCTCCCGCCGGTTCCCGCAGGGATGCCAGGCAGGCCCGCACTCGCCCGCGGCCGCTACCTTGTTAGTGGGCACCGAGCGGAGGCGCTTGAAGATGGTCAAGATGTCCTGCTTGCTGGGGTCCCCCATCGTCAGCTGTGAGCCGCGGCGCAGCTGGCCCAGCCAACCGGTAAGAGTCGACGAAAAGCGGCTACCGCCTCAGCAGGAGCGACGAGGCCGCGGGGGCGGGGCTGCGCGTAACGGTCAGGCTCCGCCCCAATCCCCGCCCACGACCGGGCCCGTCCACCGCCGGGGCGCAGGCGCCGCTCGCTTTCCCTCCCCGCCCTCGCTTCAGCCGCGCCGCTGGCCCGACCCCAGGCGCTGCACGCGCGTGCGCAGGAGGCTCGCGCGCCATTTGCGGCGCGGCTCCACGCCCTTAGCGCTGGGCGAAGCCGGGCCCGGGTGTGGCTGCCTGCCACGCGCGCTGCCATAGGATCCACCAACGTTTCGCCTGGTCGATCGCCATTTCGCCTAACGGGCTGCTTCCATGGAAAGGTCAGAGGCAGGGGAAGGGGCGCACGCGCCCTCCTTCGGCACGAGACGGACGGAGGGCCCGTGCCTTGACGCCGGACCTTAGCTGGTGGCCTTCCCTTTTTTTTTTTTTTTTTTTGAGACGGAGCCTCGCTCTGTCCCCCAGGCTGGAGTGTAATGGCGCGATTGCGGCTCCTTGCAACCTCCCTGGTTCAAGCGATTCTCCTGCCTCAGCCTCCCGAGTAGGTGGGATTACAGGCGTACATCACCACGCCCGGCTAATTTTTGTATTTTTAGTAGAGACCAGGGTTTCACCATGTTGCCCAGGCTGGTCTCGAACTCCTGACTTCAGGTGATCCACCCACTTCGGCCTTCCAAATTGCTGGGATTACAGACGTGAGCCGCCGCGCCCGACTCTTTTTAATTCTTGCCCTCAGCTCACGCCAGGCCCTGGGTGGAAAGCTTTCTTTGCCCGGAAACTGGCTTTCTGAAACCAAGGGCTTTTGTGTCACGTTCATGGAGAGATGGCAGTGCGGGTTGAGGCAGAAGTGCTCAGTCAGAACTGATGAGTCCAGATGAGAAGCTTGACTTTTAACCCCGGCCCTCGGGGCTGCACCCTACCCTCTGGGAAACAATTCCAGCCAGAAGAGTTTACACTCAGCAGAAGGTGCCTCTGTCACCACAATGGGTGTGGAGCCACTGGAAAGAGGTTGGGTGATAGTGAGGAAGGACAGCAGGTTTTGGCATCAAAGGCACTACCTTGGCCTCAATCCCAGTTCAGCCAGCTGCTTCCTAGCTCTGTGGCCTTGGTCAAGACACTTACCTTCTCTAAAGCATGGTTTATTTGCAGTCTCAGGGGCTCATGCCTGTGATCCCAGCACTTTGGGAGGCTGAGGCGGGAGGATCACTTGAGCTCAGGAGTTCAAGACCAGACTGGATAATATGGTGAAACCCCGTCTCTATAAAAAAATGCAAAAATTAGCCGGGCATGCTGGCATGGGCCTGTAGTCCTAGCTACTTGGGAGGCTGAGGTGGGAGGATCGCTTTAGTCCAGGAGGTCGAGGCTGCAGTGAGCCAAGATCGCACCACTGCACTCCAGCATGGGCGACAGACCAAGACCCTGTCTCAAAAAGTAAAATAAAATAAACCATGGTTTATTCATCTGTACAAAGAAATTAAAGAATCAGTGCTGAGTAGCACAGGTGAGCAGCTTCCTAGGGATATCCTGAAGAGCCTTTGGTGGAGGCTTTCTACTGTTAGAAGTCAGGAAATGTACACTCCACCTATCTGCTTGGAGACCCTCGGTGGCAGTTGGGAGCTTGCAGACAATGTAACTTATAAACCCAAAGCTGCAACTTTTCCAAGAAAGGGAAATTGATTATCTTCCAGAAAAGTACATTACTTTTGCAGGTAGCTCTGATGGTTTAAAAGTTCTTCCTGTATTGAGTCGAAGTATAACACCTGTGCTTTGTGTCCACCGGGTACTAGTTTGGCCTTATGCAGAATACCGGGCATGTTTATGAGCAGTTTTATCCTTCCTGATGGGAATGGGAATGATGGTCCCATTTACTACTTGGAGCTGAAATCTTACTAAGTTATATTATCAGAGTAGTGCAGTCTAGCCCATTCTCCACCATAGAGATTGAGGAGAGGGAAACAAAAGCAGTAAATTATAGACAGTATCTACACGAATAGGGGAGGAAGGGGTAGGAGGTACCATTTATACACTATGGTTGCTTAAGTGTTCTTCATAGAACTTAGCATCTAATACTATAACATATAATATTCTATCTATATGTTATCTGGCTCTAATTGAATACAAAAATATATATTTCTGGCCGGGGGCGGTGCCTCACACCTGTAATCCCAGCACTTTGGGAAGCTGAGGTGGGTGGATCATGAGGTCAGGAGTTCGAGACCAGCCTGACCAACATGGTGAAACCCCATCTCTACTAAAAATACAAAAATTAGCCAGGCATGGTGGTGGGCACCTGTAATCCCAACTACTCAGAGGCTGAGGCAGGAGAATCGCTTGAATCTGGGAAGCAGAGGTTGCAGTGAGCCGAGATCACACCACTGCACTCCAGCCTAGGCGACAGAGCGGGACTCTGTCTCAAAAAAAAAAAAAAAAAATATATATATATATATATATATATATATATATATATATTTCTTGAAATCAAATGTTTTTTCTCCTTTTTCTTTTGAGGAGTCTCGCCGGAGTGCAGTGGTGTGATCCTGACGCACTGCAACCTCTGCCTCCCAGGTTCAGCCGAGTCTCCTGCCTCAGCCTCCTGAGTAGCTGGGATTATAGGCGCCCGCAACCATGCCTGGCTAATTTTTTTTTTTTTTTTTTTTTTTGAGATGGAGTTTCACTCTTGTCATCCAGGTGGAGTGCCATGGCGTGATCTCGGCTCACTGCAACCTCTGCCTCCCAAGGTTCAAGCGACTCTCCTGCCTCATCCTCCCGAGTAGCTGGGATTACAGGCGCATGCCACCACACGTGGCTAATTTTTATATTTTTAGTAGAGACGGAGTTTCACCATGTTGTCCAGGCTGGTCTCGAACTCCTGACCTCAGGTGGTCTGCCCACCTCAGCCTCCCAAAGAGCTGGGATTACAGGCGTGAGCCACAGCACCCGGCCAATACACTATGGTTGTCTTATCTGTCAGTTGCTTAAGTGTTTTTCATAGAACTTATTGGCATCTAATATTATGATATATAATATTCTATCTATCTGTATCTGCCTCTCCTCAATTGAATATAAATCTCTTGAAATCAGATCTATTTTTCTACTTTTTTTTTTTTTTTTTTGGAGACAGAGTCTCGCTTTGTCACCCAGGCTGGAGTGCAGTGGCGCAACCTCAGCTCACTGCAACCTCTGCCTCGTGGATTCAAGCAATTATCCTGCCTCAGCCTCCCGAGTAGCTGTTTGTAGGCAGCTGCCGCCACGCCTGGCTAATTTTTGTATTTTTAGTAGAGATGGGGTTTTACCATGCTGGCCAGGCTGGTGTCAAACTCCTTCAAGTGATCCGCCCGCCTTGGCCTCCCAGTGTGCTGGGATTACAGGTGTGAGCCACTGTGCTCAGCCTGTTTTTTCTACTACTTTATCCCCAGCACCTAGAATAATGCCTGGCACATAGTATGCATTCAATAAAGATTTGTGGAATGGGCTTAGAATGTAGAAAGCTACAAAGGCTCTCCCTCCCAATATCATAATGAGAAAAGCTGGATAATCTACCAAATTGTAACTTCTGTTGAGCCCATCAGAAAGCTGAGGTTGCAAGGCAACCAAGTAACCTCAGCGCCAAAGAGAGACAACAGAAGCCTCTCCAAAGACAGAACACAAGAACCCCTTCACCTTTGGCAGAGCGCAGGAGAAAGAGGTTACTGCCAAACTAGTTGGCAACAGGAAATCGGCTATAATTTTAATGAAGTCTTAAAGGCCAAGTGTAGGTTGGCATGTGAGTTTGGACTAGCTGGGGGCCTCAGATACAAAGGGAGTTCACATTCATTCATAAGCCCTTTTTAATAAACCTCCATCAGAAACCGTACTTCACAAGGAAGATGGGGACTGGCAAAGAGCCCGGAGAGAGACCTCTCTGTGGGGTGGGCATCCAGCTGCTCAGGAACAGGCACAGACCCCACCTGCTTCCTCTGGACTCTTCTCTTCTAAAAAAGCAGGCTGGGCACAGTGGCTCATGGCTGTAATCCCAGCACTTTGGGAGGCCAAGGCGGGCAGATCATCTGAGGTCAGGAATTTGAGACCAGCCTGGCCAACATGGTGAAACTCTGTCTCTACTAAAAATACAAAATTAGCTCGGCGTGGTGGCGCACACCCGTAGTCCCAGCTACTTGGGGACTGAGGCACGAGAATTGCTTGAACCTGGGAGGGGAAGGCTGCAGTGAGCCAGGATCAAGCCAGTGCACTCCAGCCTGAGCGACAGAGGGAGACTCGTCACAAAAAAAAAAAAAAAAAAAAGAAAGAAAAGAGAAAGAAAAAAAGCAAAAGCAGTAAATTCTCTCTGTCTCAGGGAATGGGCAAAGATCTGTTGCTGCCAGGGGAGGGGTAGAAATAAAACCCAGTAATCCAAATTCAAATGCAAAAAAGGAGGGGAAAGAGAAGCAGAATCCCTCTACAATCCAGGGGTTTGCCATGAGGATGGTGGGAATGTTGAGAAGGCCCCACCCTTTGAGCATCCTGGGCTACACATTTTTTTTTTTTCTCGAGGCGGAGTCTGGCTCTGTCACCCAGTGCAGTGGTATGATCTTGACTCACTGCAACCTCTGCTTCCCAGGTTCAAGCAATGCTCCTGCCTCAGCCTCCCAAGTAGCTGGGATTAACAGGCACCCGCCACCACACCCAGCTGATTTTCCTATTTTTAGTAGAGATGGGGTTTCACCATGTTGCCCAGGCTGGTCTCGAACTCCTGACCTCAAGTGATCCGCCTGCCTCGGCCTCCCACTGTGCTGGGATTACAGGGGTGAGCCACCACCCAGCCCAGTATTGTCCGTCTTGTAGAGTATTTGCATTCTAATTCTCTTTGCTGTTCGTCTTTCATGAAGAGATCCTGGCATAGCTATGGCCAAATGAAGCAGCATTGTGTTTATTTAGTTCATTTACTGTTTAATAGGAGCTTGCTGAAAGCCAAATCCCACCCTAAAGAGAAACCAGACATGGCTACATAGTCATATGATGAATCACAAGTGAGAATACGCACAGATCCTGTCCCTTGCCCCTGGAAGACAACACCTGTGGACTTTGCTTAGTGCCAAGCGAAAACAAGTGAATGCTATCTCTTTGACATATTCTTTCTGTATAGGCCAGATACATTTGAAATGAACTTACTGGGGCCAGGTGTGGTGGCTCATGCCTGTAATCTCAGCACTTTGGGAGGCTGAGGCAGAAGGATGGCTTTTGGCCAGGAGTTTGAGACCACCCTGGGCCACATAGCAAGATCCCACTTCTACAAAAAATTGAAAAATTAGCGGGGCATGATGGCACGTGCCTGTAGTCCCAGCTAATCAGGAGGCTGAAGCAGGAGGATCACTTGAGCTCAGGAGTTCAAGGCTGCAGTGAGCTATGATTGCATCACTGCACTCCAGCCTGGGTGACAGAACGAGACACTGTCAGTAAAAAAATAAAAATAAATAAAAAAAAAGAAGGCCAGGCATAGTGGCTTGCACCTGGAATCCCAGCACTTTGGGAGACCAAAGTGGGCAAATCACTTGAA
Source organism: Homo sapiens (assembly GCF_000001405.40). Lineage (NCBI taxonomy): Eukaryota > Metazoa > Chordata > Mammalia > Primates > Hominidae > Homo > Homo sapiens. Next base: position 42,862,798 of record NC_000022.11, read on the forward strand.
GCCAGGAGTTTGAGACCAGCCTGGCCATCATGGGAGAACCCCGTCTCTACTAAAAATACAAAAATTAGCCGGGGGTGGTGGCGTGTGGCTGTAATTTCAGCTACTCACGTAGCTGAGGCATGAGAATCGCATGAACCCGGGAGGCAGAGGTTGCAGTGAGGAGAGATTGCACCACTGCACTCCACCCTGGGTGACAGAGGGAGACCCTGTCTCAAAAAAAAAAAAAAAAAAAGCCGGGCGTGGTGGCTCACGCCTGTAATCCCAGCACTTTGGGAGGCCGAGGCGGGCGGATCACGAGGTCAGGAGATCGAGACCATCCTGGCTAACACGGTGAAACCCCGTCTGTACTAAAAATTCAAAAAATTAGCTGGGTGTGGTGGCGGGCGCCTGTAGTCCCAGCTACTCGGGAGGCTGAGGCAGGAGAATGGCATGAACCCGGGAGGCGGAGCTTGCAGTGAGCCAAGATCACGCCACTGCACTCCAGCCTGGGCAACAGAGCGAGACTCCGTTTCAAAAAAAAAAAAAAAAAAAAAAGAAGAAGAAGAAAGAAGAAGGAAGAAGAAGAAACAAAATACTGACATATGAAACCACACAGATGAATGTCAGATGAGTCATGGGAAGTGAAAAAAGACAAGGCTACATATTGCACGGTTCCATTCTTATGGCATTCTGGAAAAGGTAGAAACAGAAAACATCTAAGTGGTTTCTAGGGACTGGGGGTGTAAGGAGGGGTTGACAACAAAAATCCACGTGTTGGGGAGGTGACGGAAGAGTTCTATATCTTGATTGTGGTGATGGTTATGTGATACGGTTTGGCTGTGTCCCACTCAAATCTCATCTTGAATTGTAGTTCCCATAATCCTCATGTGTCAGGAAAGGAACCTGGTGGGAGGTAACTGAATCATGGGGGCAGTTACCCCCATGCTGTTCTCATGATAGTGAGTAAATTCTCATGAGTTCTTATGGTTTTATAAGGGGTTTTCCCCCCTTTGCTCAGCATGTCTCTTTCCTGCTGCCATGTGAAGAAGGATGTGTTTGCTGCCCCTTCTGCTATGATTATAAGTTTCCTGAGGCTTCCCCAGCCATGCAGATGTGTGAGTCAATTAAACCTTTTTCCTTTATAAATTACCCAGTCTTGAGCAAGTTCTTTGTGGCAGCATGAGAATGGACTAGTACATTACATAACTGTATACATTCATCAAAACTTCAAGAACTGTACACTAAAAGGAGTGTTTTTGGCCTGGCGCAGTGGCTCACGCTTGTAATCCCAGCATTTTGGGAGGCTGAGGTGGGTGGATCATGAGGTCAGGAGTTCGAGACCAGTCTGACCAACATGGTGAAACCCCCCTCTACTAAAAATACAAAAATTAGCTGGGCATGGTGGTGGGTGCCTGTAGTCCCAGCTACTCAAGAGGCTGAGGCAGGAGAATCGCTTGAACCCAGGAGGCAGAGGTTGCAGTGAGCCAAGATGGCATCACTGTACTCCAGCCTGGGCAACAGAGGGAGACTCCATCTCAACAACAACAAAAAAAGTATATACATAAATTATACCTTAAGAACTGAGAAAAATGGGAAACAAAGCAAATGCTCAGCAACATGGGACTTACAGCATGAGTATCATTCGGCCACTAAACAGTACACTTCACGCATGAACAACTTGAGCTTGAACTACATGGGTCCACTTACATGTGGATTTTTTTCTTTTTTTTTTCTGAGATGGAGTCTTGCTCTGTCACCCAGGCTGGAGTGTGGTAGCACGATCTCAGCTCACTGCAACCTCTACCTCCCAGGTTCAAGCAATTCTCCTGCCTCAGCCTCCCAAGTAGCTGGGATTACAGGTGTGTGCCACCATGCCTGGCTAATTTTTGTATTTTTAGTAGAGACGGGGTTTCACCATGTTGGCTAGGCTGGTCTCCAACTCCTGACCTCATCCTCCCACCTCGGCCTCCCAAAGTGCTGGGATTACAGGTATGACCCACCATGCCCAGCCAGATTTTTTTCAATAAAAGTTACACTTGAGTGTGCCAGCCTTTCCTGTTGCTCCTTCCACCTCCTCTACTTCTTTCACTTCTTTTTTTGAGACAGGGTCTTGCTCTGTTTCCCAGGCGGGAGTGCAGTGGTGCAATCATGGCTCACGGCAGCCTTGACCTCTCAGGCTATAGTGATCCTCCCACCTCAGCCTCCTGAGTAGCTGGAACTACAGGTGTGTGCTACCATGCCTGGCTAATTTTTTTTTTATTTTTGGTAGAGACAGGGTGTCCCTGTGTTACCCAAGCTGGATTAGAACTCCTGGGCTCAAGTGATCCTCCCACCTCGGCCTCCCAAAGTGCTGGCATTACACGTATGAGCCACTATGTCTGGTGTTTATTTTTAATTGAAGTATATTTAGGGACATGAGAAAATGCTCATGATCAAATGGCAGGAGAACGAAACTATATTTACAGTACGATCCCAATTTTGTAAGACACATACACACATTGATGATGATGATGACGACAAGAAAACAGCACATGTGGCTGGGCGTGGTGGCTCACACCTGTAATCCCAGCTACTCGGGAGGCTGAGGCAGGAGAATTGTTGAACCTGAGAGGTGGGGGGCACAGGGAGCCGAGATTGTGCCATTGCACTCCAGCCTTGGGCAACGAGAGTGAAATTCCACCTCAAGAAAAGAAAAGAAAAAAAGAAAATGGCACATGTGCATATATGTTAGGAAAAATACCAGAAAAAAATACACCCCAATGTTAGCAATGTAACCTCTGGAAGTCAGGATCACAGATAACTAATGTTTTTCTGAATACCTTTACTAAATTTCCAAATTTTCATCTGAGCCTTTGTTCCTTTTACAATCAGGAAAAAATAATTAAGATTCCTATTGGAAAATACCATAAAGTGGCAGGGCCACCTGGCTGTCTTTGCCCAGAAGCGGCCAGTGACTGTATGTAGTTCACATGCCCTGAGGCGGCTGCCTTGGTGATCCGAATGCTGTTGAGCTCAGGGTCTTTTAGGTCCTCGTACCCTAACCCTAACCCTAACCCTAACCCTAAGGCGCTCTGGGTTTCTGCAACCTTCGGGAGGTCTAGCACCTAGTATTCCTCTGGCGTCTGAGTTTTGGTCCACTGGCCGTTGGTGCTGGTATCCTTTCCCCTAAGAGTGACATCACTTATTTAGTTCATTTCTTTCTTCCTTCCTTCCTTTCCTAGCCCTTTCCACAAAGGATTTGTAGATGCCTAGAACAATATAATCTGGGTTTCATAGGATAGTCCCAGATTTGTTGCGTTTTCTTTTTTCTTTTTGGTTTAGTGCCACATACCCAGGCTAGAGGGAGGATGAGCACTGTGGTTCCTCCGACCCTGTGCCTGGTGGTGGTCATGCCTGGCCAGAAATGAGCCTCGTACCTCAACTGCAGGCGAGGCCAGATTTAGCTCAGTTTGGGCACATCCTCCCAGGTGTGGTGGAGCCACCTCCATCCTGACCCTGGTTCTTTTCACTGGCTGGCACCTGGAGCTGACTCCGTCCTGGCCTGAGGGCCCCTCTGCTTGCTGCCACCACAGGGGCCACAGAGATGCAGCCCATTTATTCGGAAAACCGAGGCCCAGAGAGTGGCCTTTGTCTTCCACAGGTGTCTGTGGAAGGGCTGGGGAGGGGCGCAGACCTTCCCTGCCTCAGAGGAGGCTTCAGGAAGGGTGGACAAGGGAGGGGAGCAGAGCGGACAGCCACCACTCTGGGGAGACCTTGGACTGTGAAAAGGGGTGGGGGAAGGAAAGCTTACAGGGCACCCACAGGCTGGGGTGCCCACCTGGCAGGGTCTTTGGCTTCTGAGCACCCCTTAAGTTATCCTCACTTCATCACCCCTGTTTTTTTGTTGTCATTGTTTTGAGACAGAGTTTTGCTCTTATTTCCCAGACTGGAGTGCAGTGGTGCAATCTTGACTTACTGTAACCCCCGCCTCCCGGGTTCACACGATTCTCCTGCCTCAGCCTCCCAAGTAGCTGTGATTACAGGTGCCCACCACCATGCCCGGCTAATTTTTTGTATTTTTAGTAGAAACAGGGTTTTACCATGTTGGCCAGGCTGGTCTCGAACTCCTGATCTCAGGTGATCCACCCGCCTCAGCCTCCCAAACTGCTGGGATTACAGGCATGAGCCACTGTGCCCGCCAGTCATCCCTACTTTTCAGCAAATGAAGCTCAGGCATTTTCCGTTTGTCTGTGGTCCAGCCTCCTGCCCAGGTGGGGACTCAGGGACACTTCCTACAGGAAGTTGGGGAACGGCTCAAGGACTGAGCAGTGCTCTGATCTCTGAGGCCTTGGAGCCTGGGTTGGGAGGCCTGAGACTTCTGAAACCCAGCACACACATTCTCAGAAGACAACTCTGGCCCTTTGTCTCTGGCTGTCCCATCATGGTGTCAGAATAACACAGGTCCTTCTCTGAGCCTACCAGAGTTTCCCAAGGGCAAGATTGGCTTCTCTTCATGTTTGTCCTGGCACCGCTGAGTCTCACACACAGTATGTGCTCAATAGATGCATGGTGAATGAATGACTGCACAATGGATACATAAGGAGAGCCAGCTGATCCCTCACCAGGTTGGGCCACTCAGGGGTCAGGCCTTGCTCAGCTTCCCAAACCACATGGTCTGTGCCCACGGCGAAGTCACTGCTTCCTCTCACTTGTCCTGTTTCCCCATGAACTATGAGGGGGTTGGTCAGGTGGTCCACACAAGTCCTTCCCAACCTCCCCCATCCCTATCCCGATGGCTTGTGAGCGGGTTCCCTCCAGGCCTATCCAGTGCCTGAGGCCTTGACACAGCCCAGGCTGCCCAGTCGGGCCTTCACTACATGCTTCTGAGTGGACCAGGATCTGGCATCAGAGCCCAGAGCAGAGGTCAGCCCTGTTCTCCATCTGCAGGGACCTCCGAAGGCCCAGTTTTAGCTCAGGCTGCAGCAAAGCCAGATCCCTACTCCGGTCACTTGGCAGCACTTGCTCACCCTCCCGACATTTCTGGGTTGTGGGAAGGATGGAGAGAGATGATGAAATACCCCTGTCCTGAGCTCCAGGTAGCTTTGGCCCAGGAGAGGGCTCTGGGGCTAACACTCCCCCTAGTGTCAACTCAGGGGCCTTGGGGACCCGAAGAGGTGTGGACAGTTGGTGGCAGCACTGATCCAGGGTGGTGGCTGTGGGAGGAGCGAAGGGCAGCCATGGACAGCAGAGAACCCTGGGCCCCTGCCTATGGTGTCACTCATAATCGTGACAATGACCAGCTCCTGAGTGCCTGTGGCGTTTTTCTTTTTTTTTTTTTTTTTGAGATGGAGTCTTGCTCTGTCACCCAGGCTGGAGTGCAGTGGCGCGATCTCGGCTCACTGCAAGCTCCACCTCCCGGGTTCATGCCATTCTCCTGCCTCAGCCTCCTGAGTAGCTGGGACTACAGGTGCCAGGCACCACGCCCAGCTAATTTTTTGTATTTTTAGTAGAGACGGGGTTTCATCGTGTTAGCCAGGATTGTCTCGATCTCCTGACCTCGTGATCCACCCGCCTCGGCCTCCCAAAGTGCTGGGATTACAGGTGTGAGCGACCGTGCCCGGCCTTTTTCTTTTTTTGAGACTGTCTCGAGAGCTCTGTCGTCCAGGCTGGAGTGCAGTGGTGCAATCATGGCTCACTGCAGCCTCAAATTCCTGGGCTCAAGCAATCCTCCTGCCTCAGTCTCCCAAGTAGTTGGGACTAGATGCATGCACCACCACACTCGACCAATTTTTAAACTTTTTGTAGAGACAAGGTCTCACTATGTTGCCCAGGCCACCTTTTCTTCTTGCTCTAACTCTCCAACTGGAAAAGTATCACTTCTACTTGGGGAAACTGAGGCCTAGAGACAAGCTGAAGTTTCCAAGCTGGCCCCTGAGGGCAGGGCAGGAGAGGGAAGATGGGCAGTTAGAGGCCCTGCCAGATCTCTCACGGGGGGGGCCGTGTGATCCAGCCTCAGAGTGGAGGTTGCTTCATCCAGCTCAGCGGGGACCGTGGTCTTGCCATGGTGTTTGGGCAGTGACTGAGGCCACTGGCACCAGGAGCCTGCTTCTGACCCCCCACCTTCCCTCCCAACCCCGTTCTGCCTGTTTCTCTGCAGCCTGGGGCTGTGGGCCGAGCCGGGTGTCCGCCCTGCGCTGTAGGGCTCCAACTCCTCAGAAGCTGGGAGCAGGGGACCCGCCACCCCTCAGACAAGGAGGCTGCGTGACAAGGATCTGTCCCATACCCTTGCTGAGCTGGGACAAAGCCACACTGCAGGGGCAGCTGCCTGCCTTGCTCCTCCCAGGTGCTCTGTGAGGCCCCATGCCCAGCTGGCGTGCTTTTCTGGGCAGCCTTCCCAGGGCTCGGTGAGCGTGGCCACAGCCGCCCTCACGTCTTGCTTCTCTCCTGTCTTCAAGCCAGTCCAAGCCTCCTCCCTCCTCAGTTTCTCCAGCGAGGGAGGGGGTGGTTCCTCAGGGATTTCGCTCAGTGCTTTGGGCTGGCTGAGACTCCTCAAGAAACCCTGGCTGGCTCTTGGAGCCTCTGTTTCCTCCTCGGTAGAATGGAAATGGGGAGACTTGCCCATACCCTGTGGAGATGTTTGGAGACGCAGATAATGTAAGTAAAAAGTGGAGAGCACACAGTAGGTGCTCAGGAAAATGTGCTCATAGGAGAGTTATGGGTGATGTCAGTCTTGTCCTGCTGTTTGGGCTGGGGCAATAGAGAGGCGCCAGCCGATGCCCGCACCATGTGGAAGCCCAGGTCAAACAGCAGCAGGTCTCGGGGAGAAGGGAACCCCAAGGGGCTCAGGTGCCTCAAATCCCCAACCTCCAGTTTGGCAGGGGCAGTGGGCCGTGGCCTTTTGGGCAGGGGTCCTGTGCCCTGGATCTTGCCCAGCTCCAAAGCTAGTAAGCCCCAGGGAGGCCACCCCCGCCAAGTGAAGTGGGCATGAAGACAGATGATGGCGAAGGGACTTCCATATGCACGAGATCAACTGTTTATTGATTTTTTTCCTCAAATACTACACATGTAAAGGAACTGTTAAACTGAAAAAGACTTGACAATTTTTGGTAAATCCGTAGCACAGAAATGAGGATTTCTGCTGGTAAGTTCTCAGGACAGACACAGACACAGGTCCACTTTCCAAGCAAGACATCTGCTCACTGGAAACGGAGTGAATGCATAGCTGGTGACGGCGGCGGGCACTGCTGAGTCACGTGAAACACAGGTTCCCCCACGTTCCCCCCACCCCCGCCGGCCCGCGTGGCCCCCGCGTAACTCTGGCTGCAGCACCTGCTCCCGGGCGACTCCGGGCAGCCCGAGACACTCGTGCTGCGGGTAAGACCCAGCTTCTGTTTGTGCACAAGTAACACGACGACTGAAATCTGCAACTACTGCAAAGACGCGGGCACTTTTACAGTGTTCTGCTACGGAGCCAGGACAAAGGCCGGTCAGAAGCCGGACCAGCAGTCAGCTGGTGACGACGAGCCTCCCTCCAGCAGGCACCACGTCAGAGAGGCCCCAGGCCCACTGAGCCCGGGAGGAGACCCAGCCGGCCAGCCAGACGTGTGCCTGAATGCCACAGACTTCAAGCAGTTTACAAACGAAACTCACTGTTAAAAGCTGTTAAATCTCATTAAAACAGTAGACGAGTGCTTTAGATTCTCTGAATATCAAATAATATATACAGATAGACACTGAGACATGACAGTCTAATCTAAAGCATCTTTACAGATGCATTTGCTTGAAAAGTTAGTCTTCTTTTTAACTCTGAATCAGTGATAAAATTGTTAATTTGCAAAAGAGTACAGTTTTAAGCAAGAATAGAGTGAAAATAATTTTTAAATATGGCGATTTGGGGGAGTTCTACCTAAGGTTCTATGTAAAGCTTCCATTCAGATGCCCAAAAGCACAAAGAGCATTCCCAATAGAAACCCGACCATAACCCGGTCCCACCTTCCTGGCATAATTCCTTTCCTCAAACATCTGCCACCTGAGGCTAAGCCTACACACGGCGTGGCTGAGTAACAGGGTAAGGGAATAGGGAGATCGTTTCCTCAAGACTGGTGCGCATCAATCTGTGCCATAATTTAAGTAGAAATGAACAGGTGTATAAAAAAGTATAACTGTACACAGCCTTTAAATTAAAAACCTCAAAATCTTCACTCAAAATGGGATGTAAGCTTGTTCATTTAAGTTGCAGGTGATGGACTCGTCAGAGAGAGTAATCAGTGGAACAAGATCAGTGTAACCCACCATTGACTCGGAAAGGAGAGACAAAGTCAAGAACATAGAGATCTATGATAGGCCAACAGGCACAGTGGGCGGGGAGGGGCGGCTATTTCTGTTGTTCTGCGTCTTCCTGCGCTCAGATCCCTCCAGCTGCACTCGGAAAGGTGCCGAGTCCCAGGCGAAATGACCAGCTCATCTGCCTTCCAGGAACACCATGAAGCCAAGAGCAATGGAACCATCATCTCTTGCAGGAAAAGGAGTGGATGCCCACGTGGCTGGCTGAGGCTCCTGGGCCCGCCGCCTCCGTCCCCCCGCTGGCCTGTCCCCGACTCATCACTGGATCGCCTCCACATAATTTGCCGGGTATAGGCCAACTTGCCCGTTGTCCAAGCGTCCCTTGCACCAGCCCTGCTCATCCTCGTCCTCCATCTTGGTCAGCTCATCCCCTGCAAGACAAAGAGGGAGCCGTCTCCATGAGAGGTATGACACCGACGGTGGGCTACAGAGCCGCATTCACGAGCTTTGAGCCCACAGAGGGTGGAGGGCCAGGCATTCTGTGGCGGGCAGGCCGAGGGCCTGGTCATTTCTCTACTAAATGCATGCATTTTAAGTTGCCTCTTTGGTCATGGGCCTCTGACAGACCTAGAGATGACAGTCTCACACAGTAATTTGGAACAAGCTGCTCTCAGCTGCCACAGTGGCTCCCACTGAGACTGCGGCATCCAGCTCCATAGGGCTGTGCCTTCCTCACCACCCTGGCCAGGTGGCAGGAATCGTCCCTCGGTTGTGCCCCTCCCTCACGTTGGGCCTCTTCTGTCCCCTCCCCAGGGCCCCGGCCGCCTTGCTCCCAGCAGCTGTCTCTGGGGTCTCTCTGCCTTTGCTAATCCCTCTCCTCTGCAACTTCCAGGCTGCGAGGGGAAGGGACCATGTCTGACAGTCATACCTGTCATTTTATCCCCAGCACCTGGCTGATGACTTGTGCACGGTGCCATGTGTCAACCCTTCCTGAGACCCTGAGAAGGAGCCCCTGGCGCTGTTCTGGAATCTCCCTGTGGCTCTAATGTATTAACGTGGTTCCATTTATCTTTGGTTGTTCCAACCTGAAGGACCTCCTACTTCTGGCCAGGCCTTGGGTAGAAGAGGAGATACAGAGATGAGAGGAACTGATGGATCCTGGTCTCAAGGAGGCAGACTAGGGTGGTGAGGGGGAGGTGGCACTAGGGTAGGGCCCCAGGTCTGGCATTTGCCAGGTTAGGGAAGCAGAGCAGCTCAGAGCCCAGGGGTGGGCAGGGGCCTGTGTGCTTCTGGTTGGTAACTCACTGCAGGGAAGGCCAGTTGGGCCTGCTGGCTCGGACCTCGTCAGGAGCAAGCAATTGGTGGGAAAGAAATAGTCCCAGTGCTGTTTTGCCTTTATTGCTAAGTTTGAAGTTTTGTAACTCTCTTTGGCATTTTTTGGTCCATTTTTCAGAATTAGATGCAGTTTTCCCCCTGGTTTAGCATTTCCCTGATGCTTTGGATTTTGTATGGCAGCAATGCTGGTCAACATGCCTGCGGAGCTAATACCTGGGGCTTCCAGTGCTCCCCGGACTGCCTGGGCTCAAATCCCACAGCCATCACTCACTGGCTGGGAGACCTGGACCAACTGCGTCCACTCCCTGGGCCTGTGGCCCTCATCTGTGGACTGGGGGTACTGTGAAGATTAAGTGTTAAGACACTAAAGAACCCTGGGAGGGTGGGACATGCGTAAGCACTGGCTCAGCCTCCCACTGTCGTGCCGCTTCTGCCAGACCAGTGCGCCTGCAGATCTAACCCAGAGGCATCAGGAGCAGATGCAGGGGCCACAGGGCAGCAGCCACGATGAACCACCATCTCTTTCCACCGCTTCGTGCCTCGGGCCCCTGGCGTTTCTTTTGTCCTGCCTTCATTGGTTGCTGTGCTCTCACAGGCCTGGATCCAGGCTACCGAGGCTAGGATGAGGCCTGTAACCCCACACTACCATGTGGCAAACAGCCAGAACACCGCAAGAGACGTAAGTCAAGCCACACTGGCTGGGAGCTAATTTTGCATTGTTAAAAAGCAGGATAACACAGAAAATAGAACGGACAGGAAAGCTTTCACATTGTGCAAATGTGAACTGGTGATTAGAAGGTTCATTTCAATCAGTTTGCTTTTGACAATTTACTTGGATCTGGAAGAAACATTTTAAATCTACAAAATTACTGTCAAACCCAATAGGCAGGATTGAAAAGGAGTTAGAAATTATAAACAAATAAACCAACAAAGTCGGGGGTAACAACCCCAACCAAAGATATCAGAAACTGGATGAAGATGGCTTAAAGGCACATTAAAAAAAAATCCAAAAAAACAAAAAAACCCAACTTCTCAAACTGGGCAGAGGCAGCTGATAACCAGCCCAGGGGAAGAGTGTCTGGGGACAGCAGGCTGGCACTCTGGGTGCTGAGGGGAGGAGGCTGAAGACTGGTTAGAAGCTAGGCCATTGGGCACAGCCCCCAGGCCCTGGCTTCCCTGCTGAGTCAGGGGTTGGGGTGGTGGTGGTAAGGCAGCCTTTCCCACAAGTGTAGCCTAGGGGCAAGGGCACACTTCAGCCTGTGTGGGTTGAGTTCTGGCCCAGCTTCCCTCTTGGAGTGGTAGATGCTGCTTCTGGGGGAGCTTCACAAAGAGGGCAAGAGAGGGAAGAATCTGGGTTGCTGTGGGTCCACTTTGGCCCTAGGCCACTCCAGCTTCCTTAGGTGCTAAGATAGCAATTTTCTTTCCTTTTTTTTTTTTTGAGACAGAGTGTCACTCCATCACCCAGGCTGGAGTGCAGTGGTATGATCTCAGCTCACTGCAACCTCCACCTCCCAGGTTCAAGTGATTCTCTTGGCCTCCCCAGTAGCTGGGATTACAGGTGTGTGCCACCATGCCTGAATAATTTTTTTATTTTTTAATAGAGGCAGGGTTTCACCATGTTGGCCAGGCTGGTCTCAAACTCCTGACCTCAAGTGATCCTTCGGCCTTGGCCTCGCAAAGTGCTGGGATTACAGGTGTGAGCCATCGTGCCCGGACAAGATAACACTTTTCAAATTGAAGATGTGAAAAGCCATTTTGGTAAACTGCAAATGCATTAAAAAAGATTCCTATAGTGGGTGGGGTGGTAGCACACATCTGTGGTCCCAGCTACGTAGGAGGCTGAGGTGGGAGGACTGCTTGAGCCCAGGAGATCAAGGCTGCAGCTGCTGTGAGCTATGATCGCACCACTGTAACCCAGCTTGGCTAACAGAGTGAGACCGTGTCTCTATTAAAAAAAAAAAAAAAAAAGATTATCATTGAAGACCATTCAAAGAAGAAAAAGACATTGCACAGAAAGTCTTCACAGGCAGAGCACATGTAATCAGGATCCAGGCTGTTTTATAAAACTATGGTTTCTGCTCCTAGCAACACAGATATGTGTGTGGGTTGGTGTGTGCATGGTAGGTGTGGGCAGGTAGGTGTGCACACACACAAGTTGCTGCCTGAGACAAGGCCCCACCTGGCCCAGGGGCATGCCAAGTGCTACTCTGGGGTCTGGGCAAAGCTGTGGCTCTCCTGAGGGCTTCTCTGGCAGTTGGGGACCCCTAGAGAAAGGCTTCTCTCATGGCCCTGCGGGGCTAGCAGCTCCCAGACTACATATGGGGGAACCTGGTGGTCCTGGCCAACAGCTTCTCCAGATGCCCTTCTGTGTGACTAGCCAGTGCCCTGCAATTCACAGCCTTGGCCCAGCAAGGTGAGGAGTCCAGGCACTGGCTTGGCAGCACCTCACTATTTCTGAGTCTTGGCATTGGGCATCCGCTTTTTTTTTTTTTTTTGAAAAAGAGTTTTGCTCTGTCGCCCAGGCTGGAGTGCAGTGGCGCAATCTCGGCTCACTGCAAGCTCCGCCTCCCGGGTTCAAGCAATTTTCCTGCGTCAGCCTCCCGAGTAGCTGGGACTACAGGCGGCTGCCACCACGCCCGGCTAATTTTTTGTATTTTTAGTAGAGACGGGGTTTCACACTCTTAGCCAGGATGGTCTCAATCTCCTGACCTCGTGATCTGTGTGCCTCGGCCTCCCAAAGTGCTGGGATTACAGGCGTGAGCCACCATGCCCAGCCTACTTTTTTTTTTTTTTAAGAGATGGGGTCTTGCTCTCTCTTCTAGGCTAGAGTACGTGGTATGAACATGGCTCACTGTATCCTCTTGGGTTTAAGTGATCCTCTGCCTCAGCCTCCCAAGCAGCTGGGACTATAGGTATGCAACACCACGCCCAGCTAATCTGCTACTTTTGTTTGTTTATTTATTTGAGACAGGATCTCGCTCTGTTGCCCAGGTTATTTATTTGTTTGTTTGTTTGCGACAGGGTCTCGCTCTGTTGTCCAGGTTGGAGTATAGTGGTACAATCATGATTCATTGCAACCTCAATCTACTGGGCTCAGGTGATCCTCCCACCTCAGCCTCCCAGAGAGCTGGGACTACAGGCATGTGCCACTAAAATTAGCCCAGCTAATTTTTTTTTTTTGACACAAAGTCTTGCTCTGTCACCCAGCCTGGGGTACAGTGGTGTGACCTTGGCTCACTGCAACCTCCACCTCCCAGGTTCAAGTGATTCTCCTGCCGCAGCCTCCTGAGTAACTGTGATTATAGATGCCCCGCCACACGCCTGGCTCATTTTTGTATTTTTAGTAGAGACAGGGTTTCACCATGTTGGTTAGGCTGGGCTCGAACTCCTGACCTCAAGTGATCTGCCTGCCTTGGCCTCCCAAAGGTGCTGGGATTACAGGCGTGAGCCACCATGCCTGGCCTAATTTTTTGTATTTTTTGTAGAGACAGGTTTTGCCATTTTGCCCAGGTTGGTCTCATACTCCTGGGCTCAAGCGATCCTTCCACCTCGGCCTCCCAAAGCTCTGGGACTATAGGCATGAGCCACCACATCCAGCCAATTGGCTGCTTTTGACAATGAAGCCAGGGCACTGGGGAAGGGCCTGCAGTGACTCACAAGTGAAACTAGCAAGAACTTTTCCAGACTTAAAAAACAAAAAAGACCGCCCACAGCCTGCAGGTTGGAAGCCCTCCTCCCCTGGATGCTGGGGGAGCCCACCTACCAGCCTTGAAGCTCAGCTCATCATGCTCCTGCCCCTCATAGTCATACAGGGCCCGGACTCGCACTTCCGTCCCCGAGGTGGCGTCGTCGTCGAATGGATTCGAGTCCCCATTGGCATCCGTGGAGGAGAAGGGGTTGTTAGACTCATCGTCTGACCAGTCGGTGGGATAGCTCTGGGTCTTCTCGTAGCTGCTCACACTGCAAGAAAGGGGAGGCCACAGGGCCCTCAGCACAGGGCGGCAGAGGGTGTGAGGCCCCCGCCCCGCAAGGGGAGGGCACTGGAGCCTTGGGGCTCAGGGCTGAGGGCTCCTTCCGAAGGAGCACAGGTGGAGCCAGTGCTAGTGTGAGTTCATGCCATCCACACTCATCCTGAGCCATCAACAGGCTTTCCAGGGGCAGGCGGCTGGAGATGCCCACAGCAGAGGCCAACCTGGGGCCTCACTCTCTAGTCCCCAGCACAGACTGCGCGTTGTCTGTTTTCCTGTCATGGTGCTGCTAGGGCCTTGAAGGGTTAACAGAGGACAGAGAAAAAGCAACTTAAGATTGTTAGCTGTGCCCTCCCCGAGGAATGGGGGTGCCAGAGAGCCTGTGCCAGAGAGCAGGTAGTGGGCCAGGGTGCGGCACGCCAGGTGCCCACTTCCTGCAGAGCTCCGTGCATTGCCGAGTGCCGAGGGGTGAGACCCCTGGACAGAGAGAGAGGAAGAGAGACAGAGTGAGCGCGGTGGGAGCAGAGGAAGCATTTGTTCACCAACTTTTTGGCCTTAGTGTCGTCCTTCTCACTGACGGTGCTGCCCGTGTCGTCCTCATCCTCGAAGGGGTTGTAGCTGGACTGTGACTGCGCAGACTGGGCGGGGTTGCTCGGGACATTAAGGGTGCTATGGAGAGAGAGAGCTTTCAGGGGATCCCAGCTCTGCAGGGGCCCGTGAGGGTCCTGGCAACTCCTAGCTGCAGGATCTCAAGAGACAAATCAGCTCCTCCTGTGACCGGAGGGGACCGTGGTGTTTCAACAGAAAGGTTACTATGGCAGAATGCGGGCAATACTTCAGCTGTGAAACACGGTCCAGGAGCCTAGGAGAGGACTTGGTTTCCCTTTTCCTTCCTTGCACCTGGAGACAGTCCGTCCAGAACAGGGGCCCTGGGGTGGCCCAGGGGCGGGTGACAAGCCACAGCTGGAGCAAAAGTCGTTTCCAGGTTCAGGGCTTCTCCTCTGTCCTGACTCCCACCAATGTGAGCTGGGGGGGTCAAAAAGCCCCTCAGGGTCTCCTCTGAGAGTGACAGTGTGGGAGGGGCCGGCTCCCATGGATGAGTGGGAGAGGGCTCTGAGCTCTTCAGCCCACACGGCCTCCTCCTGACTACTAAGGGGTTCAGGGCTCGCTCTTCTGCTCTGTGGAGCTGAAGCCTCCAAAATCAGGGCCAGGGCCTGCGGCACCGTCTTTTCTAGATAGAAAGAAGATTCCTTTGGTGCTCCAGAGGGAAAATCCAGTCGTGCAACTGCCTACTGTTTGCCAGGCCCAGTGTGGGAACCAGAGAGATCTGGGCCAAGCTCTGCCTGAGGGCTGGGAGCCGGGAGCTGAGTTACACACTACGAAGACCACAGGCAGACCATCAAGCAATCCAATCAGACAGGCACCAAGGGCCCTGGCACCCCACCAAGTAACTGATCCTAGGACCGGGCTACCCTGGCCAGCAGCACCTTCTACTTCCAAGACCAGGGCCTCAGGGCACAGGCCCCCAAAGCACTGGATGGACTGCTCAGCCTGAGCACCCACCACCCCAGAACCAAGGAAGGGAGGCGAGGACATGCCTCCAATGCCACCAGGGTGATCCTGAGTGGCCAGTAACTGCCTCATCCACTTCAGCCTGGCAAGTGGTACTTGACCTAGGCCTGCTGGAGGCCAATATCCAGGCCACATGTCTGAGCTCACCGGCCCTCCTCCCTCCTTGGCACCTTTCTCTAGCAGACTGTTGTGAGACGGCACTGGTGGGGGCGGCTGGATTGTGCAGCAACCCTGGCCAGCCCAGGGCCCCCAGGGTCTCCTCTGAGGCAGTGTTTCTTCTTTCCCATTCCCACCCCCAAGCATACAGGTGCTGGCCTGATCCCTGGGACAGGCACTTACTGCCGAGCCCACCTGCCCAGACAGCGTGCAAAGCAGCGGAATGACG
The DNA here is from genome assembly GCF_000001405.40 of Homo sapiens. NCBI lineage: Eukaryota > Metazoa > Chordata > Mammalia > Primates > Hominidae > Homo > Homo sapiens. Next base: position 42,878,299 of record NC_000022.11, read on the forward strand.
ACAGCCACACCTGCTGGGGAGCCTGGGTGGGGGCTTCAGTGCCTGGGGCTGCAGGAAGGCCAAGGGAACCTGGGCTAAGCCTTCTTAGGAAGCCCCCGTATGAAATGACTATTACTGAGTGTCACATGGAGGCCTGTGGGCAGGTCCTATAGGAAGACCTCCTCTAGCACACACTTTCCAGAAGGTTCTAATGACCACAGTGCCACCCTTATATCTCTCATTTTCAGCCAATGACTAAGTCAGAAATAACCAATGCTCCTAGTGAAGAGGTAATTTGGAAAGGAGATGCCTGGCAGTCCTCTCCTGTCCCTCCCTCGACTGGCGCCTGCACACAATACAGAGTGAGCATGAACCTCGGCAGGACCTCAGCTGCCTGAGGGAACCAGGGTGGCACCTCCACCAGTGTCCGGGCAGGGCGGTGCTATCCCTGGGGACATGAATGCCAGCCCTGTCATCAGCTCCTCCCCACTCAGGTCTGAAGCTCAGGGCCAAGCCTCCCTCTCTGGATCTGTCAGCAGCTCTGGCACCAGGCAGGAAGACGACCTTCCCTGGAGATGCCCCTGGGCCACGGCCCACAGAGCTCAGGAGCCCAGGAACCTCCCAGGTGTCCAGGCTGGGCCACGGCCCACAGAGCTCAGGAGCCCAGGAACCTCCCAGGTGTCCAGGCCGGGGCTGCCCTGGACCATGCAGATTGCCCAGGGCCCCCACCATGGAACGGCCTCTTTTGGATGGAGGTGGCGCCCACTCACCTGCTGGGCTTACTCGGCAGAGACTGGTCGCCTGTCTGGTTGATGCCCGTCAGGGTGACGCCGTCAGTGGCCTTCTTCTTCTCTCTCCGGCTGAGGGTTCGATTCAGGTCTGCGGACCACTCCTAGGCAACAGGTGCCGAGGGAGAGAAACCAAAGGTTCACTACTTGCTGGAAGCCACGTCTGTCCTCAGTTCCTGCCCAGCGAGCCTGCAGTTGGCTCTGTGCATCTGATGTGTAGACTCAGGGCCCCAGCTCTCCCTGGTTTCCCAGAAGACCTCAGGCTCCCCATGCCCCACTTATGAACCCAAACGACCTGAGCCCCTCCTCACTGTTCAAAGCAGGGGCTCATCAGGGGATCTGGAGGCTTGCACCTCTACAACCACCCCCAGGCCATGCTGCCCACCTCCCAGAGGACCAGCGGGGGTGGCGAGGACCAGGGCAAGGTCCGGGGCCTCCTGTTCCTGACCCCACCCACCAAGGTTCTCAGTCCCAGCCCCCTCAGGCCAGCATGGGCCCCTGTGGCCTCCCCAGATGTCTGCTGAGCCTCCCAAAGTAGACAGGAGCCAGCCTCTGAGGCACCTGTCCTGAAGTGCTGAAGATCCTTTGCGTCGATGCCCTAAATTGTCCCTGGGCCACAGGGTCAAGACAGTTGGCTTCGGAGACCTGAGCAAGCCTGCCATGTGGAAAGGCAGGTGCAAATAAAACCAGGTGCAAATAAAGCCACTGCAAATAAAACCAGGGCTAGGTGGCTACCCGCTGACAGAAGGGGCAGGCAAGCAGACTCTCAGTCTCCAAAGCGCAGGGCCCTCCCCAGTGTTTTGCTGCCCTGGGACTTTTCCTCTGTGATCTGAGCACATGCTGGGGCTAACGAAGCAAAGCAGAGTACGCTCCTCCTGGAAGCCTCACGAGTTCTCGGGTGGCGAACTGGCTTCACCAACCGCACTGAAAATGGACTAGGGCAAAACCATGAATGGAGACTGTGTCTTGATTTTCTAGAAGAGTCTGTGCATGCCCGCAGGTGTTTAATGAGCTCTCCTTCCCCCCATCTCCACCAGTTACCAGACAACTCTGATTAAAACTTGGTGTGGCTGAGTCCACGGCTCTGCTCACACGTACTTACAGAACTTTTGGGTTGGAAGCCAACTCAGAAGCATCCTGTCTAACCTGTCCATTTGTCAGATTAGGAAACTGAGGCCCAGAAAGGCAATGTGATTTGCCCACGCAGTGTGGGTGGCAGACTTGGGCCCGACCCCAAATCTGGGTCACCTTTTCATCTATTAATTATTTTCTGACCAAAATAGATTGACTGAGAACTCAATTGGAACCTCAGAGTTCTCCACAGTGACCTCTGAATATAAATTCATCCTGATTGGGTGGCTTCCAAAGGCCAATGGGATCAACACCAAGCCGGCACTGATGGGAAGGGCCGGCTCTCAATACCCCTGACAGCAGCGCAGCCTCAGCTGAACTGCTAGGAGCCTAGCGGGGGCAGCACACCCACCCATGCGGGCCACAGACACCCTGCATGGCGTATGGCACTCTATGAGGTAGCCGAACGCAGACACTTACTTCATCCTTGTGGCATGAAAAATAAAAACAAAGAATTGCATTAGAGAAAGGCATGGTCCCGTAACAGCTGCAAATGTGCGCAGAATGAATGCACAGGGGCTGGTTCCCAGCCCATGGACCCACAGAGAGAAGGACCCCCTAGGCTCTGGCTGGGACACCCTCCAGGAGACAGACTGTCAAATAGTCCTCCCCACTGTGCCCCTCTTTGGGTATAATGGGCACCTCTAAGGGACCCAGGCGAATTTCACAGGTGGTTTCCTGTGCCACTCCGGGAGCAGCAAATCCTCGCTGTGTCTGAAACCCCAGCTGTGCACAAAACACGTCAGCCAAGACTTCCTGGTGTGTGGCTCCAGAGGAGAGGCTGGGCTTTGTGCTGTCCCCTCTAGGGCCGCTTCCAGTCAGGACGGCTCTGGCCCTCCATGCTCTCTCAGTGCCTCTGTGGAAGGGGCACAGCTGCTCTACTGCCTCCTACTGGGAGCAAGTCCTGGGGCTGGCGCAGGGGAGTGCTCGGCAGCAGGGCCCACACTGTCATTTGGAAAAACCTTCCTGTTAAGGGCCATAAAAGAAGTGCAGGAGTAAGGACTGACAAAACTGCAGGCTATGAGGCGCCCAGGAGGTTTCTGAGTGGTGGGCCTGGGTCAATAGCCCTGCGTGGACAAAGTCACCATGTTCCCTAACAGCCCCCGACAGGAGATGGGTGCTCTTGTCATTCCCATTCCACACGTGGGAAAACTGAGTCACAAAAAGGGCGAATAGTTTGCTCAGCTTCCCACAGGTGGTCAGAGGTGAGCAGAATCTGAATGCAGCCCGGGCTCTGGCCGCTGCTGAGTCGGGGAAGCCACGAGGCCCACGCCCACAGCAGAGGTAGTCGCCCTCAGCATCCCTGCTGGGGCAGCTGACGCCACGTGCTTAAGCCTCAGGGGCACCAGGACCTTTGCCCACTGCCTTCAGGGTGCCAGGTGGGGCCTAGTGACCAATCCAAGGGCTAGGTGAGTCCTGAGATCCCCAGGCCCTTGCATTTCGAATGTAAAGATAATGAAAGCTTAGACCCACATGATGGGAAAAGAAGAACATTCATTTTGAATCAGGATTCACTGAATTTACTGCCTGGAGTAGGGAAAAGTCCTTTGTTGGAAGGGTAGGGAGGGCTGCCCACTGAGACCACCTCCCCTCCCCTGGCCCACCGTGAGGGGAGCACTGTGGCTGCTCCCTTCCTGGCCATCCCACAGGGTGGGTCAGGGACCTGAGGTCCTGTGTGCCTACGGCTCCTGAGACTGACTAGGAAGGAAGGGAATGCCAGTGGCCAAAAAGTGACAGTCAAACATTCCCAACTAGAGAGGACATAACCGCGACTTCAGGAGAGGTTCAGAAGGCCTTCGGTAATGCCTGCAGCCCCCCAGGACTCTATGCCAGAACTTGGTCTGTACTATAGCTATGCCTAAAGGCTGCCTGATAAACAGGGCAAACACTAACATAGAGTCTAGAATGAGAAAGACATCATCTAGCAACTCTGTGGGCCCAGGTCCTCTTCCAGGCTGATGAGCTCATGGGCACACCCTCCTCTTACCTCAAACTGCGGCCAGTTCATGGCCATGCCCGGCCCGTGATTGGCTCGGAACCACCTCAGGTCCTCCACTGCATCAGCTGCTCTGATGCTCTGCTCCAGGTCATGGTAAATGGCTTTGTAGCTAAATCAGAGAGAAACGTGGCTCTTTTAGAAGGCAGGGGCCAGCTACCCTTTGTCCCAGCCCAGTGCCAGCCACAGCAGGTCCCGTGGTCTCTGCCCTCTGTGAGTTGGTTTCACAGACAGAGCCAGAACACTCCTCCCTTGGCTCAGGTGGAAGGTCACGGGCCGCCACGTGCACAGATGGCTCCTGACAAATGAGCTTTAAATCAAACCAGCCAAGCAGGTGGCAATGACTAAGCCCTGCTCTGTGTCACATATGCAAAAGGCACCAGCAGGTGGGCTGTGTGGGCCACCACTCTGTGTGGTCCCATTTCACCAGGCCCAGAGTTGAGGAAGAGAAAACTGGAGGGTGTTAGAAAGTACCCCTCCTTCCTCATCTCTGTCCAGAAAAGCTTTATACCCAGACTTGCCAATGCAGAGCGTGAAGATGACCCGGTGCTGAACACACCCACCACCAAGACGGGGTGGGGGCTGCCTTCCGCCTGGCAGCCATCATCGGCTCACCTTCCTAGGAAGCTGCCCTGCCAGGGAAGAGTATGGATCACTGCTGGACCTGATATTTTCACTTATAATCTTTATGGCTGGTGAGTCATGTACTTTCTCTGGGCCTCGGTTTCCTCCTCCGTTGAGTGGGCATGATCCCCTCCATCAAGGGTTGAATTGTGTCCTTCATAGGAGACATGCTGGAGTCCAAACCCCAGTGCCTCGGAATGTGGCCTTATTTGGAAATAAGGTCTTTATAGAGGTAATCAAGCTAAAATGAGGTCACTAGCAGGGGCCCTAATCCATATGACTGGTGCCTGTATTAAAAGGGGGAAATCCAGACACAGAGACAGACAAGCATCCACACGATGGGAGTCACTCCACATGCAGAAGAGCCTGACACAGGCCAGCCTCACCCTGCTCCTGCCAGCAGAGCAGCCTCGGGCAAGTCATTTAATCTCACCCAGCCTCAGCTTCCTCATCAATAAGATGGGGTCAGTGCCACCCACTTTACAAGACTATCATAAAAATGGAATGGTGGCAGAGCAGCAGCGGTGCAGTAACTGTTGCTTTTGATGATTGTTACACAGAGGGAGACAAACGGAATGTGTCTCCTATTAACAGCAAGCCTTGACCCGTGACGCATCCCTACACGGTTCTGCTAGATGGATGACAGTAATCCACGTCCTTGACTTAGCTGGGACCTCTGCCCTGGTGAAGGCATCACAGAACCAAAGATGAGGAAAGCACAGAAGAAACAGCACAGCTTCCATATCACAATTCAGAACCAAGTCTCAGAGGGTATGTGCTGTCCTGGGGGCTGAGAGCCACTAAGCAGTCACCTGATCACAAAGGGCCTCAAAGAAAGACTGTCCCAGGCACGACCAGCCCAGAAATGCCAGATTCACCTCCAGTGGATCTTACATATGCCAGCTGCGGCCAGGTGCGGTGGCTCACGCCTGTAATCCCAGCACTTTGGAAGGCCGAGGTGGGCGGATCACAAGGTCAAGAGATCGAGACCATCCTGGACAACATGGTGAAACCCCATCTCTACTAAAAATACAGAAATTAGCTGGGTGTGGTGGCGCATGCCTGTAATCCCAGCTACTCGGGAGGCTGAGGCAGGAGAACTGCTTGAAACCAGAAGGTGGAGGAGGTTGCAGTGAACTGAGATCACGCCACTGCACTCCAGCCTGGGGACAAAGCAAGACTCCGTCTCAAAAAAAAAAAAAGAAAAGAAAAGATATGCCAGCTGCCTTGGTCCTAGCTGTGGCCCCAGAATGGGCAATCTCCATTCCCACCCAGACCTGTACATGGAGTTGGCAGAGTGGGCCCGGCCTTATCTGCTTGGGCCAGCAATTGGCCGGGTCAACCAGGCCTTCCAGAGGTCCAGCCGGCCATGCCTGCAGCTGCAGAAACACTCAGCAGAGGGGCCCTCCCTGCCATCCAGATTACAAAGAAGCAGGAGGCCCTGAGGGCGGTGAGGAGACCTCCTGATGAACGCGCCATCCCAAACCTGGGAGCAGCATCTGAGTTTGCTTCAAAAGCACTTTCCGTTGACTTCAATGACGTGTGTGTTTTAGCTCAAAGGAAACTTACCCAGCCACATTGGACAGGTCTAGGTGCTTCTGAACCTCCAGCAGAACCTCCCGGAAGAAGCGAAGGCGTTTCTCCTCGAACTGCTGGCACTGCTCAAACACCTGCTCCATGTTCTCCATGTACTGGGGTGTGCCCTGGTCGAGTTCCTTCAGGGACTTCTCATACTTCTCTTTGGTCTAAAGGAAAATCCAGGCACAAGACAGAGGTTCATTTCCATTTAGCCCTTGGCTCACCCTGCCCCTGGAGTGTCTCAGGCCTTCCCAGATTCCAAATGCAAAGAAAAAACAGGAGCTCTGGATTCTGACAGACTTCAAGTTCAAGTCCCAGTTCCTCCACTCCTGCAAGGTGAATCACACTCCTGCCATCTGCCCTGTCTCTCAGCTGGAGCAAGGCCCAGACAGGTAGATGCCGGCAAAGGGCAGTCTCCCCAGAACTCAGTGTGTATGGTCTTGAGCGTGCCACACGCCCATGTCCTCTTCTCCCTGTGGGGAAGGGCTGTGCCTGGCTACCCTCAAGCCTCAGATCTGGCCCACAGCAAAGGTGGGGCTGGGGCTGAATCCTGCAGCTCTCTTGGAGCCTCACTGTCCTTTATCAGATGAGGACATCTCTCCTTCACAGTGTTCTGATATGTACATGATGGGGTGCAGGAAGAAGGCATTCAAAAAAAGTCCTCCTTCTCTTGTCTTTCAGCCCACTCCATCCCCCTCACACAGCTGCTCCCTCCCAGATTGTCCCAAGAAGGGGTTTTACAAGGCAGGAAATGTTAAAAAGCAGGTGTGGCCTATCTCAAGAATATCCAGGGGCAGCTAGAAAACGTGTGAAATTCCTAAGACATGGCTAAAGTGGGCACATTCATCTGGTGGGGATGTGCCTCGAGGTCAATGACCTCACACTGGTACACACTTCCCCGCACCCCCTCATCTCAGCATGCAGGGCCACCAGTTTGGTGGCCAGGTGGTTTTGTTAGTTGGTGGGATCATGGTCGTGTTGTCCCCCTGGGGTGGGTGAGAGATAGCAGGGCTGGGGCCACCTATTTATTGCAATTCTTTCTACTATGGGGGTAGTCACGGGCTCCACTCAGGTCTAAGCTTTGCTGTCCCTAACAACATGTGCAGGGCCTTCTGAGGAAGGATGGAGCGCTTCCCGAGACACTGCAGGCCTATCGGGCACCCTCTCTGCCCCCAGCTGGGACTGAGTCTACCCTGCCCATGCGGCTCCCCTCCCAGATGCTCTCCTCTGACTCACGTGGCTCAGAGCCCTGGGAGACTCTGCTTCAGGCTCCAAAGCAACTCCTCTTCTTGAAGCCTTCCCCAGCCTCGTGAGACCAGGTTCCACCCCGCCCTCTAGGGCCCTGACTCCTGCCCCTTTCTCCTCTCCTGGTATCCGGGTCCTTGCTCTGCTTCTCAGCCTCCTAAGATGGCTGGGCTTGGGTCCTCTGTGCCAGGAAAAGGCCACCCCTGCCAGGGCTGGGGCATGCCCAGCAGAGAAAGAGCTCCACAGCGCTGTGGCTATTCCCCTATTCCCCACAGCCATCCACACTGCCCGTGCCCACTACCTGGCAGCCCTGCATGGGAGCCTAGCTCAGAAGCCCAAGACACATAGCTGTGGGTTCAGCGCCCAGCATCTGGAGGATACTGCTGAAGTGACACAGAGCAGCCCCATCTCAGGAGCCTTCAAGACACAATAGCCTCCCGGGAGCTCTCAGGGTACTCAGTGGCAACAAGATGCTCCACCTCTGGGCTGCCCCTGCCCTCAGCCTGTGCCGACCCTGCTAGCCCCAAGTCCTGCCCCCAGCACAGGCCAGGTACTCAGCAGGGTCATCACTGTTCTGGAAATCCCCTTGCAGGGCATAGAAAGTTCTCAGCGAACACCCATGGAGTAAAACAAGAGGCGGCCTTCACCCTTAGGTGGATTGTAATATTTTAGCACTAAATGCAAAAAGTTCTTTTATGATGGATGCTACAAGATGTAGTTGATGGCTGATAAGAAACATGAAAGTACATGTGCAACCAGTCAGCAATGGTATGTATGTAGGTAGGTAGGTAGGTAGGTAGGTAGGTAGGTAGGTATGTATGTACCTACCTACTTACCTACTTTAGAGATGAGGTCTCACTCTGTCACCCAGGCTGGAGTGCAGTGGTGTGACCACAGCTTGCAGCAGCCTTGAACTCCTGGGCTCAAGCAATCCTCCCGCCTCAGCCTCCAAAGTAGCTGGGACTACAGGCACGTGCTACCACACCCAACTAAGTTTTTAAATTTTTTGTAGAGATGAGGTCTCACTATGTTTCCCAGGCTGTGTGCTGGATTTTGGAAACTGCGTCAAGAAGGGTGGTGGGGAGGGACTGGCCTCCTCTCCAGAGCTCTAGGCACACAAGGACCTCTCATATCCTGCAGTCACTGGCCAGACCAAAGAGGCAGGGAGGGTCCCAGGAGGGAACCCACTACAAACTGTCCCAGTCATCCTGCCAGGCGCTTATGTCCAACCTCGAGCCCTGGGCCTGTTCTGCAAAAGCCTGAGTTGATGTTCTGGGTGGCTGTCAAACATGAAAGGCCTCTTCCTCTCCATCTCTGTCTCCCTTTCTCTCACACAGGCACGCCCCCGCCCAACATGGAGAAGCCCCATCTTTCCTCTAGGCACCTTTTTGGGCACCTGATTCCCTGGGATTCTGGCAAAGGCCCGAGAGTTCTCCCGGACCTTGTGCTTCTTGAGCCCAGGTGCCTCCCACTCAGTAGTTGGTTCCAGGCTCCTCACCTGATCCCACCGTGGAGGCACCTGGGCTGCTTCAAAAGCCCAGATTCCTGGCTCCAGCAATGGGAGTGAGAGGGGTTTCCCAGAGGATTCTGACACTTGGTCTGAGTGACGAACTCTCGTGTAGATGACGTGTTCCCCTTGCTACACCGACGGCATAGCAGTGAGGAACAGTGGAGAAAGGGCATATGTATGGGCTTGAGGTCAGAAGTTCCTGCTCTCACCTGCTGGATGGCACGTGACTTAACCTCTCTGATCTTGGTTTCCTCATTCACAAAACAGGGATGCCACCACCTAACTGACAGGGGCCAGGAAAGGCTGGTGGGTAGTGAAACCAGCTTAGGCCTCTTGCCTCCCCTCTGCCCATGTCCTCTTCCTGGAGTGCAGCCTCTCTCTACCTCATTCCGTCTCTCTCTGCAAATCCTGGTTGGGAATCTCCTCTCCAAACACCGAGGCAGGGCAGGCCCTCGGCAATCACACCCCCCAGCCCTCACCCCTCATGGCTGACCAAAGGAGGGGAGGTGGGGCCGAGGGCTGAGCCCCTCCCTTCCTGTGAACTTTTAAATCACAAGACGATGACGCTGTCTGGTTTTAAGTCCTGTGACTCCAGGACCTTCCAGGCAGAATCACTTATCTACACCTGCGGAGCATGTAATAGTTTACACAATGATTTCTCATTAACCCATGGGGCAGAAAATCTCCGCTTCACAACAGAAATGGAAGGGCACCCATGATGCCACAGTGCCTGGTCACGGTCTCTCCTTGGCCAAAGACCACCCTTCTGCCACCCCTGGCTCCACAGCCTCTGCCTCACTTTCGGGGCCTGTCACTGTGGAGACTGCAGGGCCCCTCCATCCTCCCTCCCACCTGGCTCCCCCAGACAAGCGCTCCCAGCCTGCAGTCCCTCCCCCAGGTCTCTGCCCCCAGCCCCTCTCCCTACACAAGCAGAGCAATCCTTCTAAACCATCTCACCCTCCTCACCTCCTCCCTGATCCCACCCAGGCTCAGGCCTTCCTGAGTGGCTCCTGGTCAGCAGCATCCTAAGCTCCTTACTCAGCCTGGCTGTCCAGGCCACTGGTGATTTGGTCCTCATAACCCTCCATACCAGCTCACACCACACCCATTCACACCCACCACTGGCCACAACCATTCACACCTGCCACCAGCCACACCCATTCACACCCACCACTGGCGACGCCCATGTTGGCACAAGCAGCTCCCTGCAGCAATCCCAGCTGTCCTTGTGTCTCTGAGCACCAAGAGCTGTCTCTTACCCCTGGCTTGCCCAGAGCCTGGCTCTGTCCCTTGACTGAGCAGGTACAGTGGCTATGGTGAGGCGAGGTGCTAGGGCACTCACCTGTGGCCTTCTTGAGGACAGGGGTGTGTTTTATTGGTTATTTATCCCTCTATCCACCCATTCACCCAAGCAGTTACAGAAGGCTATATGCCAGACACGTCAACAACTGACACGGTGACACTCGACGTGTAAAAACAAGTGTACAGTTTACCTTAAGAACATCTTGCTTGCACTTTTCTATTTTGTCTTGCAATTTCTTGAGCTGTTCAGGGTTGAGGGATGGGTCTGCCTTGCTGTTGGCTTCTCGTGAGATAGCCAGCTTCTCCTCTTTGCACGCTGCATGGTGGGCTTTCTTTGCTGCTTCTACCTACAGGGAGAATGAGTTCCTGAATGCCATGTCACTGGGAGTTCAGGATCCTCACTAGAAGTCACACAGACCATGGGAATGCTTGTGCTACCAAGAGGGGAGAAAAAGGCAGGTACAAAATTGTATGTATACTATCATAGCAACCAGTCACAACAGGAACGCACTCAACACATATTCATGGAGTACTTGCTTGTCCTGTGCATGGTTCGAGGCACCAGGAACACAGCAAGAAACACAAGGTCTTTGTGAAGCTTTCATTTGAGTTGCAGGAGGCAGATACAGTATAGGAAAAGTTACATGCCAGAGTCAATTAGAGGGCATTAAGTGTAGGGGAGGACAACTGAGACGGAGCATGGGGTGGGTGGAGAAAGCCACTGAGATGACATGGAACACGCACATGGAGCACGCACATGGAACACGCACATGGAGGGGTTATGGGCATCCCAGGAAGACCATGCCAGGCCGCAGGATCGGCAAATACAAAGAAAGTTCCAAGGAGGAACCCAGCATGAGAGAGAGGACCATACTAGGGGGCAGGGCCATCAGCCACATTTCCTCTGGTTTTAATGGTTTTTACACACACACACACACACACACACACTCTTAACAGATCCTTCCTTATTTGAGCCAAAGCCACAAATTTCATTCTAGAGGGAAGGAGGAGTTTATTAGCAAAGGCCTCATGAGACACAGACAGTTTCATTATGAATGGGGCCAGGGACAAAACAGAAGAGAAAGGAGATGTGACAAAAGCTAAGACACAGAGAAAAGGAGACACAGAGAAAACCATCCGGAAGGACAGAGGCATGTTCTGGATGATTCTGAGGCGGAGGAAGGCAGCGCAAGGCCAGAGAACATCTGGGTGTTGGGGGTGGCACATCTACCGTCTACTCCATTCCAGCTAGGAATGGGGGGCGAGGCTGCAGGCAGGGGCGGGGCACACAAGCTGAGGGCTGGGGTGGACAGATGACAGCCTCCAACTAGCCAAGGCTCGACAAAACTCAATGGCTTTGGTTGCTACTTTTAGAAAAACAGGTATCAATGTTTGAAATTTTGGGATAAAAACCTATGCAAGAGAAAGAAAAATGTAAACTAGTTCTTTCTATCGTCAAAGGGACTTGAAAAAAAAATAAAGTGAAAGCAAGTTTATTGAGAAAGTAAAGGAATAAAGAAAGGCTACTGCACACGCAGAGCAGCCAAAGGGACTTTTTTTTTTTTTTTTGAGACAGAGTCTCCCTCTGTCACCAGGCTGGAGTGCAGTGGCGTGATCTCAGCTCACTGCAACTTCCACCTCCTGGGTTCAAGTGATTCTCCTCCCTCAGCCTCCTGAGTAGCTGGAACTACAGGTGCCCGCCACCACGCCCTGCTAATTTTTGTACTTTTAGTAGAGATGGGGTTTCATCATGTTGGCCAGGATGGTCTCAATCTCCTGACCTCGTGATCCGCCTGCCTCAGCCTCCCAAAGTGCTGGGATTACAGGCGTGAGCCACCGCGCCCGGCAAGGACTTTTAAGTCTCCAGCAGACACTTCCCCAGGGTTGGGAGAAGTACTGTTAGTGGTTAAGAGCTTGGGCTTTGAGCTCTACCACCAATGTATGGTTCTGATCCTCAGTTACCAAATCTGTAAAATGTGTTGGTAGGATCAAATTTAAAGAATGCCCTGTAATTCCAGCACTTTGGGAGGCCAAGGTGGGTGGATCACCTGAGGTCAAGAGTTCGAGACCAGCCTGGCCAACATGGTGAAACCCCGTCTCTACTAAAAATACAAAAATTAGCAGGGTGTGGTGGCATGTGCCGGTAGTCCCAGCTACTCGGAGGGCTGAGGCAGAATTGCTTGAACCCAGGAGGCACAGGTTGCAGTGAGCTGAGATTGCACCACTGCACTCCAGCCTGGGAGAGAGAGTGAGACTTTGTCTCAAAAAATAAAAATAAAAAATTTAAAGAATGCACATAGAGCATTCAGCATCTTCAACCTGGGTAAATGTCAACTACCATGGGCTTCTAGCCTGAGGAGTGGCTTCATCTCTACCAGGTCTGGCCTCCTGTGCCTACAGCCAGTGGCAGGAAGTCCTAGGTGCAGGAGGTGGTGCTGCTAGTGGGGTGCCAGGCAGAGCAAGGCCGGGCAGGGAAGCCTGCAGGACAGATGTACCTCTTTCAGCTTCTTGGCCCAGGGCTTCTGTGCCTTCCGAAAGCCGTCCTCAGCTTCCTTGGTCTCCTTGAAGCCGCCCATCATCTGCTTGTGAAAGGCTTCCTTCTGCCAGTTCTTGATCTTCTCGAAGTCATCGTTCATCAGTGAGGCCTTCACCTCGAGGTGCAGCTCGCTCACCCTCTCTGCCTCGGACATGAAGGCCATCCAGGCCTTCTCCACGGTCCCGTACTGGGGCCCTGTGCAGGGGAGAGAAGCTGCGGGTCACTCAGCGCCGGCCATGGTGGGGTCTGCTCTGCTCACACCTCGGCTGTTCAATGTGGCCATTTAGACCACAGAGGGTTTCCTTTCAGGGTTTCAGATATTTTTCTCTCAGGGACTCTGTGCCTTTTTCAGTTCCCAAAGCTGAATTTGCTCTGCCCCTCGTGTTAGGAAAATTGGGGGATTACATGCCTTTCCTTTATTTTTATTTTTGGGATGGAGTTTCGCTCTTATTGTCCCGGCTGGAGTGCAGAGACGTGATCTTGGCTCACTGCAAACTCTGTCTCCCAGGTTCAAGAGATTCTCCTGCCTCAGCCTCCCGAGTAGCTGGGATTACAGGTGCCCGCCACCACGCCTGGCTAAATTTTTGTATTTTTAGTAGAGACGGGGTTTCACCATGTTGGCCAGGCTGGCTGATCTCGAACTCCTGACCTCAGGTGATCCATTCGCCTCGGCCTCCCAAAGTGCAGGGATTACAGGCGTGAGCCACCGCGCCCGGCCATGCCTTTCCTTTATTTAAAGCCACTGAACTCTATAAAAACTCAAATTTCCACATCTTAGAAGTCTTAATTTACTTAAAGGTGGCCAGAGAAGGGGGGACCTTCTGAAGTGAGCAGATGCTTCTCCCAGGTGTTGGGCACCCACCCACACCATGCCAACGCTTCTCCTGGCATGGCTCCTATCAGCCCTGCTTGGCCCCTGGCTAGCCCTGCACTGCCTTCCTCTGCAGGACTGTGTTCATTCACTCCCAGAAAGAGCCTGGCTCTGAGCACAAGCTTGAGAACACTGTGGAATGAGGACTGTCCCCTCAGCAGAATGGAAGCCCATCCTGCAGGAGGAAGGAGAGGAGGAAGCAGGAGCCTGCTCTGGACCAGTATGGCAGGAGGGGCTGAGTCGCCTCTCCCTACTCACTGTTCTCAGTCCCCGAGGCTCAGGAAGGAAGCCCTAATCCAGGCTGGCATTTCTATTCAGGGGGTAGGGTGGGGTGGCGTGAGGCTGGAGGGAGGGAGAGCCACAACGGAGCCGGGGCAGAAATCGAGAAGATCCATGGCTGGTCTTCAAGGTGGTCACAGGGACAGTGACCAAGTGCGCTGAGTCATGACAGAGGTGGGCTGAGGGGAGGGCAGGCTGTGAGAACCCAGAGGGGGACACGTGACTCTGGGGCTTGGAGACAACAGAGAACAGCCCCGGAAGTTGGACCTCTCTGTGCCTTCGTGTCTACAAAATGAGCACATTCCTGTCCTGTCCACAACGTTACAGCCAGACCCACAAGGTGAGGGTGGTAAGGGTGCTCTGTAAACCTCAAGCTCTGACTGACAGCTTGATCCTGGGAGAGGGGCTGCAGCAGGTGGAAACGAAATGACGACACTGCCACCGACCAAGGGAGCTGACCTATCCTAGGCCCCTCCTCTGCCACGTGCCTGCTCCACAGCCTGGGCACATACCCTGCCCTAAGGACTGTGCTAAGCCCACACAAACAACCCATGTCAGCATCACGGGAAAGGACAGGCAGCTGGACTAGACCTGGCTTGCTTGGGACCTGGCTCCCCTGATTGGCTGAGGACAGCTGGGGCTGAGGACAGCTGGTCAGCACAGGAAAGCCTGCCCCAAAACACACCTTGAGAAACCCACACTGCTCTGCTTCTGTGCCGGAAAGGCTGTAATCAGTCAAGTTCCCCTTCCCTGCTGGGAAGTGTGTTCTAAGCATGGCCCCTGTCCACACAACAGTGGCACTAATAAAGCTACAGAATCTTCTGAGCTTTTCGGTGGGGACAGAAGGGGGTGAAACCTCTGCCATACAACACCTGTAATTATTCCCTTAAAATGTAAACTCAGAAAGACTGCCAGGTGTTGCCAGCTAGTCTTATCTGACCTGCTACATGGCCAAGTTTAAAAATAAACAGCTCTCAGTGTTAGAAACTAAGGTGCCAAGCGGCAAGGCCTTCCACGTGATAGGAACTTACCCGAGTTCTGAGTTAACTCGGCAAGTGCAAGTGTGTCCTATGGATGACAAGGGCTATAGTCCTGTGTCCCCAAGGAAAGTGGACAAAAGCTCATGGAGCCTGTGCCTTCTGGTGATGGGCGCTAATGCTCCCCATAAAAATCACACCCCGCTCTGGAACTGGGAAATGCACTCTTGCCCCAATCTTAAAAGACAGAAAACTGGCATAGAGAGGGTCACAACGTGCCCAGAGCCCCCGGCTGGGGTGTAGCTGCCTCCAGGCCACAGGACCTGTGCCGGGGCCCCATACCTTTCTCCACGAGCTGCCTCCAGCGCCGGGCCCACTCAGTGAGCTGCTGCGCATACGCCTTCTCGATGCGCGCCCGCTCATGCAGGCAGTTCATGAGGTCGCTGCACAGGCGGTGGCCATCGTCGATCCGCTTCACAGTCCGCTTGTAGTTCCCGACCTAGGAGAGAGAACCAGCTGGGAGGCAGGGGGCTTGGGGCAGCCTGTCCTTGGCTGTGGCACAAATGGCCTCCATGCCAACCAGGCCCTGATGCGCCCCTGGGGTCATGTTTACCACACCCCTCTCCAAGAGTTTGAAAGGCACTCCGTGTAGTTAGATAATGAGCCTCTCTATTTTTATTATTAATAAGATCATACACATCAGTGAACGGGGGCTTCTCAATGTTCTTTAGGTTGGGTACCAAGTAGAAACTGGGCTGTGGGTCAGGAAGGGAGGCTGACTGGCTCAGGAAGGGGTGGGGCTGAGGATGCCTAAACGGGCACCTCACGCAGACTGAGGGGCTGGGGCTGGCTTCCTGGAGTAGGTGACATCTAACCAAAGCCTTCTGCTTTGATGTCATCCATCATGTGCTGGGTTATTACTTCCCAATCATAGCTGTAAAAACTTTTCCACTTCCTGAGCACCTACCATGTGCCAGGCGACCTGCTAGGTGTTTTACACCTCCAAATACTGTCTCCCCTACCTAGTAGGAATAAGTGTCCCCATTTTACAGATGAGGAAACAAAGGCTTAGAGAAGTTACGTGGTTTGTCAAGATCCTGCAGCCACAGTGGCTAGGCTGGAGCTGAAGGCAATTGTTTTTTTTTTTGAGACACAGTCTCGCTGTCGTCAGGCTGGAGTGCAGTGGCACGATCTCGGCTCACTGCAACCTCCGCATCCCAGGTTCAAGTGATTCTTCTGCCTCAGCCTCCTCAGTAGCTGGGACTACAGGCACGCATGCCATCACACCCAGCTAGTTTTTGTATTTTTAGTGGAGACAGGGTTTCACCATGTTGGCCAGGATGGTCTCAATCTCCTGACCTTGTGATCCACCCACATCAGCCTCCCAAAGTGCTGGGATTACAGGCGTGAGGCACCGCGCCCAGCCCAAAGGCAGTTTTTCAAAGGGTTCCAAGTAGGACTGTCTTGATGGCAAAGCTTTGTCAGGGCTAAGCTGAGTTTTGACTGCCTTTTTTCGTATATGAAAAGAAAAACTAGTTCATCAAAGTTATAAGTAATAAAAGAGTAACTGAGGAAATGTTAATGGCTAATTTGGGGTGAAAACGAAAATGTTCGATATGTTTCATTCTTTTAGCTGCTGGCTTGAAAGGCTACAGTCGCTGATAACTTGAGCACCCAGAGGAAATATGACAGAAAAACGATCTCTTTTCAGCCTTTTTCTCCCAATGCCTTCAAAAATCTTAGTCAACCCCTTGTCAGTTTTACCTTTTCTAAAATCTCTTTGCCTGGCCCTGCACAGAGATGGGCAAGGGGAGGGAAGGGGGCTGCAGCACCTGGAGGAAGGGCTGTCCCTGAGGCTGAGCTACATGGGCTGAGATGACTCCACTCCTGTGAGAACCAGAATCCTGGTGAAAAGCAAAGACCCCTGGAAGGTGGTTAGCCTGGGCAGCCTTCTCCAGAGGCAGATGAGACTTCCGGCTCTACTCATTCCCTCCAAAGACCTCCCCCAGCAAGGCTGGCAGCTCGGCAGCTCGTCAAAACATGAGCTGAACCTGAGCATCCACTCCAAACTAGAGCAGCTCCTGTGAGGAAGTCGGAAGTGAGCATTTTCACAGCTCACTGGAAGTGACATTATGTGGTTGCTTCCCTTAAAATGAGGCCTTACTGTCATTTTGAAATTTACAGCAGGATGAAAAAAATACCCAACAAGCAACTCAGTATCGTTGAGCTGGTGGTAGGAGGAGCTGAGGTAACACGGCCCTAACTTAGCCTTGACAGTCGACATGAAGCCACAACCCAGAGCTGGTTTTCATCTGCCTATTACCAACAGTATTCAAATTGGTAATCACCATCAAATCATGTATTTTGGCTCTCTTGAAACCTGCTTATCTCTGTGATTTTCAGAACCACTGGTTAAAGGTTTAGGGAAAAGAAAAGGATATTTCTTAACAAGTCACATGTTGGTACCACCCATCGGCACACACAGGAGCTGCAAATACACATTTACATGACAACTCTTGAAATGTGGAAATCCGTGATGAATACAGGAAGAGTGTTTCCGTAAGTACACATTTCAGGTTTCCAAATAAGCTCCCAGTTGGTCCTAGAGGCTGCAGAGGAGCCTGTGCTGGTCCTGTGACCACTGCTGGGGACAAGAGGCAAGTTGGCTGAGCACAGAGCCAACGGGAGAAGGGCAGTATGCCAAACAGTTGGGACCGAGGCACCCCAGCAACATCGGCCCTGCTGTCCCTTTAATGAAACGGTTGTGTGGTGGCCGGTGAAGGCCATCACTGGAAGTCTCTATCGCCATAAACCACCAGGGACAGAGCAATGTGGCCTTTCCACTTCCCTGGGCAAAGCACTGCAGTCGTCCCAGGAGCAGAGCTACTGCTGGCTGCTTCTCTAGGTCGAGATGGAATCTACACACAGGCAAAACTGCCCACTACAGGGTACACTTAGATCTGAATGTGGACAAACATATACCACTGTCTACCACCTCCACAGCAAGGAACAGGACACTTCCATCTCTCATGAAGTGCCTTTGTGCCCCCTTGCAGCCCATCCCCTCCCCATACAGCCCCCAGCAACCACAGACATGATTTTTGCCCCTTTTCCAGGATGGCAAGGATATATGGAATACACAGTATGCAGCCTGGCTTTTGAGACTGGCTTCTGTCACCCACCATAATGTTTCTGAGACTGATCCATGTTGCTATCTACGTCAGAAGGTCACTCTTTCTTACTGCTAAGTAGTATTCGATTGTGTAGTTATGCCACTATCAGAAGTTCACTCTTTCTTACTGCTAAGTAGTATTCGACTGTGTAGGTATACCACTATCAGAAGTTCACTCTTTCTTACTGCTAAGTAGTATTCGATTGGGTAGTTATACCACTCTTTGGTTTATCCATATTCTTCCTGCTGAAGGTTGCTTGGGTCATTTTCAGTTTGGGGGAATTATGAATAAAGAAGCTATAACGTTCATCTATTGGTCTTTTGTGGGGACATAAGCTTCCATGACTCTTCGGTGAATACCTAGGAATGGAAATGTTAACTGTACGTTTAACAAAACTGCCGAACTGCTACCCAAAGTGACTGGACAGCTGTGCACTGCCATCAGCAACGTATGAGACTTCCCTGTCCTGCATGCTCCCAGCACTTAGTATTGCCAGGGTGTTTTGTTCTGTTTTGTTATTTTTAGCCATTCTACTTAGTGTAGCAATATTGCATTGTGATTTTAATTTGCATCTTTCTAAAGTCTAATAATACTGAAAATCTTTTCTTATGACTATTTGCCATCTGTATGCCTTCTTGAGTAAAGTTTGTTCCTTTTTTTTCTTTTTGAGACAGGGTCTTGCTTTGTTGCCCAGGCTAGAGTGCAGTGCCACAATCATGGCTCACTGTGGCCTTAACCTCCCAGGCTCAAGTGATCCTCCCACCTCAGCCTCCAGAGTAGCTGGAACTACAGGTACGCACCACCACACCTGGCTAATTTTTGTATTTTTTGCAGAGACAGGGTTTTGCCGTGTTGCCTAGGCTGGTCTTGAATTCCTGGGCTCAAGCGATCCTCCCACCTTGGCCTCCCAAAGTGTTGGGATTACATGTATAAGCCACAGCGCCTGGCCTGTTCCCTTTTTAATATATTTTTTAAAAAATCAAACGTATAATAATGACTAGTTTTTACAATGCAAGAAAATTAATTTTCAAATATTTGACAAATCGATCATACATTAAAATCAGCACATATATAGTTAACTATTTCTGCTCTATCAGTTTTGTAATTAAAAACCTCTCTTCTACTTCTTCAAAACATTAGGTTGTTTTGGGATAGCCAAATGGCAGAAAACTTTAGGTAGAAACTGAATATAAGCATGCTTTCTTCCAAACATATTAATTGCTTCATTCACAAAATCCTCATTTTTGAACCAGGTATGAAGCTATGTTCCTAACTTCCTCTAAATTCAGGCTCACTCCACTCAGAAACTAAGCTACCAAAGACAAATGCTCAGCATACATGTGCCTGGACATCCCTTCACTCCCCTGAGGGACTGCCTGGCAGACGGAGGGCCAAGCATGTACCTACTGAGGGACTCAGTGCTTGGGCACAGGGCACTGGAACTGGGGCACTAGGAGGAGGGGGTGAGAGGTATCCTGAACGCAATATCCAAAGGGCATCTTCAAGGACAGGTAGGAGGCTGGCCAGATTAAAGGTGAGGCCAGGAAAATAATTCCAGGCACAGGGAACAGCACTGGCAAAAGGAAGGTGTGTCCACATGGCAACCCTGGGGCCCTGAGAGAAGTCAGCTGGGAATGGAACACAGAACACAGGGAGCAAATGGCAATGAGGGAGGGCAGATGCTGAGAAACTGGGAAGGCTAGGCCTGCATCCTGAAGGGTGTCAGGCTTGGGGACTGGTGGGGCTCAGAAGGCTGGCGGGGGTGGGGACATCCTGGAAGGAAGAATTGAGAGCAGCCTCCAGAGAATGGGGCTGCTCAGTGGAACCCAGGGCATGCGAGCCAAAAAAGGGAGCTGCCCATCCTCCAGGTGGAGGATGCGGGGACAAAGGTCGTGGGAATCCCTGGCTCCCAGACAGGTTTCTCTGCATACAGCACCCCTGCCTTCTCCAGGCTGTGCCCACCTTGGGAAAGAGAACCTCCTTCCTTTTCTTTTTTTTTTTTTGAGACAGTTTCGCTCTTGTTGTCCAGGCTGGAGTGCAATGGTGCGATCTCGGCTCACCACAACCTCTGCCTCCTTGGTTCAAGCGATTCTCTTGCCTCAGCCTCACGAGTAGCTGGGATTACAGACATGCGCCACCACGCCCAGCTAATTTTGTATTTTTAGTAGAGACGGGTTTTCTGCATGTTGGTCAGGCTGGTCTCAAACTCCCGAACTCAGGTGATCTGCCCACCTCAGCCTCCCAAAGTGCTGGGATTACAGGCGTGAGCCACTGTGCCCGGCTGAGAACCTCCTTTCTAGGGTCCTCCGGAGGCCGCTCTCCTGCCTCCCAGGGATGGACCTTGGGGGCCACATCCCTCACAATCAAGCTCTGCCTCCAGGGAATCCACTCCCTTCCCCATGCCCTTCCCCGAGCCCAGGACTCGCCCTGCCGCCTGCCCTCCTCCAGGCTGCACTCACTCCCTCTCAGTGAGCCAGGCTTCTAATCGTTCCTCTGAGAACCCAATGTCAGCCAAGCCTCAGTTTTAAAGTCAGCTAGGATGAGGTGGCAGCTGGAATCTCAACCATCCCTGTGCAGAAACATCCGTGCAATCAGGAGCAGAGAAAGGGGCTCTACCTGAAACCCAGCAGCTTATTGTCACAGGCGTGCTGGGGGGACTATCCAAAGAGGCCACGTCAGCTCCTCCTCCATCCTGCATGCATCTGTTGTAAACAGTCCAGAGGTGCCTTTCACAAGGACGCTGGAGAAGGTCTGCTGTGCAGACACAGGACCATGCCAAGCTCTGTGGTGCTCCCAACCCCTAATACCTTCAGACTCTGGGCCCTAAGAGGGTGTGGACCTGTGTCTTCCTAATCCACCACTCTTTCTCCATTGCTTTCCACAGGGTCTACCGCACAGCAGGCACCCCATACAAATGTGAGGTAAAACCATAACATGACCAGAAGAAAATGAACGCGAATACCTTTGTGACTTACGGCATGGCTCCTTAAACAAAATTTTTCTTTTTCTTTTTTTTTGAGACGGAGTCTAGCTCTGTTGCCCAAGCTGAAGCGCAGTGGTGCCATCTCGGCTCACTTGCAACCTCTGCCTCCCGGGTTTAAGCGATTTTCCTGCCTCGGCCTCCCGAGTAGCTGGGATGACAGCAGGCAGAGCACACAGAGACACCTCTGTATGTGGGTGCCCAGAGGGATGTGCCTGAGAACAGCAAGGCAGCTCTACGCCTGTGGACTGGCAACCACCAGAGAGTGGGAAAGGCCAAGTGTGGGCAGAGGTGGGTGTACAGCACCCTTTACTGGATATACTGGTGGAAACAGACTGGGCAGGCCTCTGTGCACAACTAGGCAGTCATTAAATCATAAAGCATGCAAGTGCCCTACGATGACCCAGCAGCTTCATTCTGGGCTTAGATTCCCATAGAAGTGTTCCCTTTGGTCCCAGGACAGGTAGGGGGCCTCTCCCTGGGGAATGCACAGGTAAGCACGGGGCCCAGCAGTGCAGCGGGAGGAAGGATGTGCGCGACTACGCCGACACACTGACCCAGAACAGAAACAGAATGATGTGGGGCATGATGCCATTTACATCAATTAAGAATACGTGCACATGAAGTAGGGGTGCGAAGTTTATGAGAGCAGATGCTAACAAAAGCTGTAACATTAGAAATGGGGAGGGGGCCTAGGTATCAACTGCAGGTGGAGAAATAGAGACAGGAACGGTTATTGATGAGCGAGTCCCCCTCCTACCTGCCCCCATCTCAGCTCTCTGTGAAGTCTTGGCTCCTTTTCCCCACGCAGGCTTCCCTGATGCAGCCCGTCCTTGCTGGAGCACCAGCGTGGAGCACCAACCCAGTCTACACCACCTGCACCCACAGACAGGGGAGACTCATCTGAGGACTCCTGCCATCTGGTCCAGCTGGGGGCCATGATGGCCCTTGTGAACACCGTCCCCATGCCCTTCGGGTCACAGCTCGTCTCAAAATTGCCTCGAGCACATTAGCCTCACTTCCCTAGCTAGACTGTAAGCCTCCCGCCAAAAGGTGCCACACACTGAGTGATTTTCACTAGCGACGGCGTCATAATAGAGCATCCCATACTTGGCCAGGCAGGGTACTGACAGTTTTACATGCCACCCCACTTAATCTTGTGAGAATGCTAGCCAGGGGATACTATTAATGTCTATTTTTAAAAATTAAATTAAATTTTATTATTTTATTTGCGAGAAGGGTCTCACTGTATTGCCCAGGCTGGAGTGCAGTGGCACAATCACAGAGGCGCAACCTTCCCGTCCGAAGTGATCCTCCTGC
Organism: Homo sapiens; assembly: GCF_000001405.40. Lineage (NCBI taxonomy): Eukaryota > Metazoa > Chordata > Mammalia > Primates > Hominidae > Homo > Homo sapiens. The sequence continues at coordinate 42,900,588 of NC_000022.11, forward strand.
CTCAGCCTCCGAGTAGCTGGGACCACAGGTATGTACCACTACACCTGGCTAATTTTTTATATTTTTTGTAGAGACAGGTTCTTACTATGTTGCCAGGGCTGATTTCAAACTCCTAGGCTCAAGCAATCCTCCCAACTTGGACTCCCAAAGTGCTGGGATTACAGGCATGAGCCACCGCACCCGACCTAGTGTCCCTATTTTAGAGAAAAGGAAACTGAAGTTTGAAGAGATGCAGTCACTCATGGTCATGCAACAGAAAGAGAGGCCACCTGCCCAAACATCCCTCAGGCCGGGATCAGAGCTGGTGTAAACTGAGACTTACCAAGTCAACATGAGATGATGCGTGTGCTTCCAGCCAGCCCTGTGGGCGCCAGCAAGTCACAAACAGAATTCCAGACTCCATGCAGCACACAGGCCCTGCTCCTGTCCCCACCATATGCCAACAAAGTTCCCAGGAACCCCAAGCCTGTAAACTTCTAGGACCGGTTGCCAAGGATGACCCTGATTTTAACCTCAGGATGATCTTCCCCTTTAATCTGTGGCCCTGAAGGCCCAAGCACCACAACCGCTCCCTCTGCACCCTGGAGAGGAAGGGTCAAGGGTGAGCCAGCTATCCCAAGCTGACCTACAGAAGAGCTCCTGGCGTACCCCTCGCCAGGCAAGCCCATGGAACCAGAGTCAAATGTTTTATCCAAAGCTGACCAAATATGCCAAGAAGCTCTAGCATCTCCTCTGTCAGCCTGGCAGACAAGGATGAGGCAACTCTTTAGGGATTCCTTAATTCCAAGTCTGCAGTTGGCAACGAGACGGGCAAAATGCTTTCGATAACTTGTTCAAATCCATCGGATTTCCCAGCCCTAACAAGACCTCCTTCCCTTCACCTGCTCTCATGAGGGGAGCAGCACAGATCTGGCCCTGCCCCAAAATGTGTAACTTTGTACAAGTCCCTCTCCGTATATTTCTGCCCTTTCAGTTGTCAGGTAGAGTCAGAGCTATTCCTGTGAGGACCAAATGGCCCAGGATAGGAGGGGTTTACACTGCACGGTAGGTTTCTTCCCAGCCAGCTGTGCTCTCCGCCTGCCACGGCGATCGCCTGACAAGGCCTAACTTCTTGCTAAGCCATTTCTTCACCCTGTCTGGGGGTCAGGGTGGGGGGTGAGGTGAGCCTTCAGGATTCCAGGGTGTCTGGTTGAAGACGATGTTGGTGCTTCCTGGCATACCTGACCAGCTCTGGGTCAGACATTCGACTCTGGTTCCATGGGCTTTGCCTGCAGGGGCACCACCAGGGCGTCTTCCTTCCGTGGTTCAGCTCGGACCAGCTGGCTCGCCCCTGGCCCTTCCTCTCCGTGGTGCAGAGGGAGCAGTTTCCAGTCTGCTGATGCCACCAGCTGGCTGGCTCCCCACTGAAGCATTCATCACTCCATTTCTGAGCGTCTGGCAACACTCTCTTGCCACTGAGAGGTATTTAAGGAACATCCACTGTGTGTGAAGGGCCACGAGGCCCTAGGGATATAGTGGTGAACAAACTGCCATGCGACTGTCCCTCATGGAACTTATGGCCAGAAAAATAATGCAATGAGACAGTGACACATTGTGAGAAGGAACACTCTGGGTGGTCAGGGCTGCCTGGAGGAAGCGATGTTTGAGGCGGTAGCTGAAGACAGCTCTGAGGCAAGGCCGCTTTCTCACAGCTGAGGAAAATGCCATGAGGCCCACGGAGAGTGAGCTGGGGGCTCTGCTGCCCCAGGACGCTTCCCCCACAGATTACCCCTCCCCCTGGTGGACATGTGCTGTCACATGCCAAAATGCATCAAAATAGTGGGTTCTGAGGGCAACTACTATGCCTCTATATGTCTCCATCATCCATGCCAGGCAGAAAGAGGACACCCTATCTTCTCAGAGCCCAAACAGTGCTGGGAGCTGGGATTTCCATTCCCCCTGGAAAGGAAGGGACTGAGAAGTCGCTGAGATCTCAGAGGCATGGTCAACCAAACAACTCATGATCCTTTATCTGTCAGTTCTTTTTTTTTTGAGATGGAGTCTCGCTCTGTCTTCCAGGCTGGACAGTGGTGCATCTCAGCAGTGGCATGATCTCGGCTCACCACAACCTCTGCCTCCTGGGTTCAAGCGATTCTCCTGCCTCAGCCTCCCAAGTAGCTGGGATTACAGACATGCACCACCACGCCTGGCTAATTTTTGTATTTTTAGTAGAGACAGGGCTTCGCCATGTTGGCCAGGCTGGTCTTGAACTCCTGACCTCAAGTGATCCACCCACCTCAGCCTCCCAAAGTGTTGGGAATACAGGTGTGAGCCACCGCGCCCGGCCTATTTATCAGTTCTCAATCCTGCGAGTCACACGAGCTCTCTCCATGGTAGCTAAAAGGAATCAACTCTTAGCACGTCATCAGCCAGTAACTTCATGGCCGGCAGAAGAGCAACTCCCGGCGCTTCTGCCGCATTCCTGAGAGAGTCACATAAGCACAGCCAGCTGCAGGGCCTCACCGGGCCTTCACTGCAGCTACAAAGCTTTCAGGGAAATCCAGGGCCTGAGTTAGTTTATCCCTAAGCCAACCCACGTCCCAGGCAGCTAGAGGGGGCTCCAGGACTGAGTCCCTTCTCCTCAGGACTGTGCCCTGCAGAGTCACTACCTCTCACCCACCTTCCCTGGGGAGGGTGTGCGTGTGCCTGGCAGATGTTGTATCCTGTACACACCTGCCAGATGTCCCCATGGTGACAGCTTCAGGCAACTTTCTTCCAACCTATCCTAACCCCTATGCTGAATCTTCCTTTCCAAACGGGGATGACTGTTGATATTAGGGTTGTGAAATCTGTGATGTGTGTTTGAAAACACCAAAGAGTAACAGGGGTCCTTGAAAAACCATCTAGTCCGTGCCTTGCTTTCAGGTGCCAAACTGCAATTTCCACATCCTCATTTCTATGGGATTCCACTCGTCCTGGTCCCCAAACTTCCCACCAGCTCATCCACCACTGGGCTCCCAACTTGTCTCAGCCCTGGAATGTAGGCCCTGGGAGTTCCACACTTCGGTGCTGCCTTGAACCACAAGCTCAGACTAACACCTAACCTCACTGGGGCTCGCCATCTGCAAATGAGGTGATGCTATTTACCTTGCAGGGCCCAAGAGGGTTAGAGATTCAGAATCGCCTTGAGTCTGATCTACAATCCAGACTCGATTCTGACCCAGCACTAGTCCTGTCCTTTCCTCGGGGCCTCAATTCTGTCTCAACTTGGGGTTTTCAGTTCTTGCTCCCAACACTGACTGGCCGTATCCTCTGTTCCTGAAACCTGTATCCTCAAGTACGAAGGTGAAGAAAATGGAGCTCACTACCCTGAAAGCACCCCTTGCCGTTTGATCATTTAAAAGCATGAATCCCAGATTTCAACAATCATAAAGACACACTGAGTTACGAATCTTTAACTGAAATGTTCAAAATGACAAAATAAAAAATAGATGACACAGAAACCCAGAAATTGCAATTTTCAGATCCTAACTCCAAAGGCAGAACACATAAGATAGACAACATAGAAAGAAAGGATGTGTTTACGCAAAGCTGTGTTGAACTAACTCTTCCTCAAGGCCGTCGGCCAGGCTCCCCATGCTCTGCTCCCTTGGTGCGTGTTACACAGATGTCGAGAAGGCCCCGCGACACCCTACATGGCGTTCACATGCACAGCATATGCCGCCCTGTGTGCCATCTCCCATCCTGGAGCCCTGGGTCTCTGGGAAGACATGCACTGCTCACTTGCCTTCAGCCGAGCACCCAGCAAGTGGCAGGAATTTGGTATGTGGCTGCCGTTTTTGCTCTCCCTCACTCCTCAGGGAGGCGCCCCCACTGATGCAGGCATCACCTTGCTGGAAGAGCTGCCATGGCGAGATCACCTGCCCGGTCCCTAAGCTCGCTGAAGACCTGAGGCTTTTGGCAGAATTCCCAAGGCACCCCCTGACTGACAGGGAGTGTGAGAGACATCCAAAACTGGCTCGACCCCTAAGGTCCAAAGCCGATGATCTAGTGGGGAAACGCCAGCTGGGAAAAGCTGGAGGATCAATTCTTCCAGGAAGCCTCCCCACCTCCTTCCGTTCCCTCCTCTTCCCAGTTTGGTGCTTCCACAGCCCCCCCATACTGCACTCCAGTCTACCTCCACCCTGGCCCTAGCCCCCTGCACCCGAATCCTGGTTTACTTTATGACTCCTGTTACCCTACCAGTCCCCACTAGTGGAATGTGGGCTCCTCTCCCCATCTCTGTGCCTGGGCACCCCAGCTCCGCCCCCCTGCACTGTGCCCAGCTCAAACAATCGTTTATCCACAAATGTCTCCATGGAGCTAAGCCCACCACAGTCTAATGAGCACTACGGACCCCACCGGCTCTAAAATGAAAGGAGATTTGTTACTGAATAGAAAGGAAAAATGTGTCTCTTAAACAGTTTTAAAAAGTTATTCTGACATCACTGAGATCAAATAAGAAAATAAAATTTTATCTTCATCTACAGAAATGCACAAAAAAAATTTAAAAAATTTTATCTTCAGAAGACAAGCTTCTTGACAGCACAAAACCCCGAAGTGCTAAATTCCCTCAACGCAAAAACCAAAGAACTCTTTCTCTGCATTCAGAATGATGGCATTCACACGGGGGGAAGACAGGTCTGTCTGCACAACAGAAGGAAAGGTGACCTCATTCATCCACCTTTTCCTGTCTCCGCGTGTGCGATGCTCCCGCGTGTGGCTGCAGAAACGGTAAGTGTAGAGAGGACGCTCAGAGACCACTCGGGCTCGGGAGTCATTTAGACTTGGCCTTGCCATGCAGGTGTCCTGTGACCTCAGACAAAATAAACTCTGGGTGTCAACAGGCTCATTGGTGCCGCTGGCCCAGTGCCCAACTACCAGCAAGTGCTGTCCCTGGCCTGGGCAGCCCATCACAGAACAGCAGCAGGCCATCACTGCTGGCTGAGCCTGACCTGCGACGGTGCACCCCAAATTCTGCTTTCTTTTCCTCCACTGAAAGTGGAATTTGATTTTTCCCAGTATCGGGAATGGCTGAGCACGCAGGCCGAAGACAATGTTGTAGATGTCATACACCAAAGGGCATGAAAGAGCTGAAAACAAAAATGACAGATTCGACGGCCTGCAGCAGCCAGCCAAAATAAACTGCCCGGCTGGCTCCCTGCAGTGCTCCTGGTGGGTGGATGGGTAAAAGGGATTGGTGCTGGCCAGGGCTGGTCCCTGCCCTGTTTGCCCTAAAAGCAGGAAGCCGCCTGTGGGAACCAGGCCAATTCTGCAGCTGCTGGAACACAGCAGGAGAGGCTCCTGTGAGACCTTCAGTCATATCTACCTGACCACCCACCGCCACCCACTCCTTCAAGTATGTAAGTCCCTCCCATGTGCTGTGCATGGCACCAGGCCCTGGCAACACCAGCCAAGCAACACCTGCCAAGCTAGGGGACAGTGGCCATGGACAGGGATGGCAGCAGTGCTGAAAACTGTCCAAGGGAAATGGCAGTCACTTGTGGAACTGTCTTGTGCTGCTGCTGGCCTGTGAGCTCCAAGAGGACAAGGGACTGTCCCTGTCACACTCACCTCTGTGTCCCAGCCCCAAGCTCAGGCCAGGCATGAGCCTGACTGACTGACCAAGGGGGACAAAGGACAGCTTGGTTAAAACCCATCACATCATGAGAAAAACCTCCATTACTGGGTAGAGATTGGGCAGCAAAGGCTGCTTTCTGCTCTAATCTCAACGTCAAAGTCTGTCCAATGTTGACGTCTGTTTTCATAAGCGTCCAAGCATTGCTTAGGTTGTGTATTCTAAACTGTGAAAACCACCCATTTAAAAACACGTAATTCTGAAGAGTCACGAGATTCAGGGTCAGCCAAACATGGCCAAGACAAAGGCAGCCCACACGTCGAGGGCCCTGATCTGCCCCATAGGACGACAAAGTCTATCTGAACCACAATGGAAATGTCCACTATAGCTCAGGGGGAGGGTCACCCACCAAAGAAGGGCAGGATCTTAGGAAAACTATTTTCTCACTGGCTTAGAAGGAATTCACATGAATATAACTCATTCCTGAAAAAGGTAGGTATACAGTGCTCTGAAGAGCAGGCTGCAGCAGCCTGTTCAGAAATCCCAGAACAGCCAAATACCATCAGAAACACAACTCTCCCCAAAATAAGCATAAGAACCTTAAACGAAGATTACGCAATATACACCATGTCTACATTTTGTGTGTAACATCGGGGTAGGAAAAAGAGTTTTTGCCAAAAGAGAAAAAAAGTACCACACACAATTTTAGCCTCTTTGTGGGTGTTCTCTGTAATTCTTACAACCATCCTGGAAGTAGGAAATGAGCAATGCCATGTTACAGCCTAGGAAATGCTGGAGAGCACAGAGGAAGACTGCCCAAGCCCGCCCGGAGCAGTCAGGGAAGGCTCTTCCTTTCCCAGAGCAGCTCCCTAGGAAGGAGATGGAAGTCTGGATGGAGGAAAGAATCCTCCAAGCCACACCAGGCAGGGTCACAGATCTTTGTGGATGGGAGCCTGGGGTGGCTCAGCTTGGCTGGAGCCCAGGGCAGAGCTTCTCAGGAAGAGCCAGGGAGTCCAGCTGGCTGTCAACACATGCTCGTGTCTTGGCCATGCTAAAGAGTATGCTTCTATTTTGAAGGTGATGCAGAAAACTGAAGCTTCCCAGCAGGGCAGGGAGCCATCCAATCTGCTTTTCTAGATGGGCTATCTGGCAGTGGGGTGGAGACTGAGGAGTTGATGCCTTAATCCTTGCTCATGGTTCAGCAGATACTAGTTCAGTGAAAAGAAATAATTAATGGTAATTTTTAGAAACTTTAGTGAAACTAATGTGGGCCACTAACCTTCTAGGAGCCATATGTGAGCACGGTGGGGTGATAATTAAGCTGATGCGCACCCTGTCCCGAGGAGCCCATGGATGTGGGCACAGTGCTCCTGCAAGGCTGACACAGGCAGGCCATCACACGGAAAAGTCCGTTGGGGTCGGCGTGCGTGGAGGCGGCTGGGCAGCAGACAGAGCCAGTCACTGCTGCTGAGCATGAGGTGGTATTGACATTCGCTCGCTTCGTGCTTGCGCTCAGGGCACTGCTCTGCCGCCTCCTAACTGCTCTCCATACAACGCTGGCTCTAGGAGGCCCGAGGCTGGGCTCTCATATGGGGTGCCCAGGACTTAGCCCAGGGCCCGGGTCATGGCAGCTTCTAAATATGTGTCCTATAGAATTGGTATGGAAGGATGGGGAAAGTATCACTCCACATGGATGATGAATATGAAGGTGTTCTCACGTGATGAGCTGTCCTGCAGTGCTAGAGTCTGAGAGAAACCAGCCCGACTCAGAGCAAGTTGCAACAACCTACAGGGAGCGCCTTCCTGGCAGGGAACGGTAAATGTTGAGAGTCACGTGCCAACTCTTCAGGGCTAACATTCCCAGAATATTTGACACAAGATACTTATGTTCTCTTCATCTCCCCAAATACTCTTCTCAGGGGCTCTTTGTACCCACAAGATAGTGCACAGAGGTCAGACTCAGCCTGGGTTCATCCAGAAGATCTGAGCTCTAAATGCACAGACAGCTGACAGCTGTGCAGAAATCCCGCCTCCGGGGAGCTTTTGTTGAGGCAGACTCAGGCTCCAGTTCCTAAAATAAGTGGCGTCTGCCCTCCTAGCCTGGCCCCCAAGGAGCCTTCAGAGATGCAGGCAGCGGCTCTCAGCCCTGCTAGGGACAGACCTGCCATCCTGTTCCCAGAGCCTACTGAATGAAGGTAAGGGAGGCCAGGAAGCACTGGTGACACGTGAAAAGCCCCAAGGCTCACAGCCCAGGCCCTTTGGACACCAGCTCCCAGAACCAAAGAGAAGGCCTGGAAGCAGTGCCCAGAAGTGGAAAGGCAGGAGGAGGGCCCCTGGGCTCCTGCAACAAGTCAGGAAAACTTGCCAGAAGTAGCCAAGCTGCCCCATGCCCTGCCGTGAAGCCTGTGGGCGGGCCAGACCAGGCTCTGACTTGCTGAGGGAGCGACCCACCTGGGGAACTGCCTCCACTTGGCCCCCGCCACTGTAATCCCACACGACTTCCCATTTTGCTCCAAAACTGGCCCTTAGCTCCAAAAAGGTCAAGGTCCTCAGCACTCTGTAAGACCACACTCATTCAGGCTCCAGACTTGGTTCCAACCTGGAATGCCATCCCTTCTACTTGTTCCCAATTCTTGGCCCAACCCTACTCAGCCACAGGCCTCCTCTGCTGACTCTGCCCAGCAGACCATGTTACTGAGAGGCAGAGCTGGGGGTGGTCCCTCCTGCTCTCATACTCCATAAGCATCTTCTTTGTGGGAACTGGATCCCCTCTCCCCTCTTCCTCTTTTTATTTTTCCCCTATATCTACAGGGTTGGGGGAATGCAGGAGGTACTCCTTCCGAATATGCATTAAATAGCTCTATTCAGTATCATGTCCCTGTGGGTAACCTCTCCTCCCACAGGTCAGTATGGGTTCCTTCATTCGTCCAGCAAGCATCCAAGTGCAGCAACGTCCACTACCCCATGCTGCCTTTCCTGCCCTTCCCCCTGGGCAAACCTAGCAAATCCTACGGCACCTGGCATGATGACCTGCCTAGTGTCTACCTTATTCCTCCAAATGTCACAGCCAAAGGCTCCTGGAGGACAGGGCCACACAGAAGATGGCTCTGGAATGACATATTCCAGTTAGTATCTTTTGGTGGGAAGGAGTAAAATTAAACACAAAAAACTTTTCCACCTCAAGACCACAAGGCTTTCTTTGGAAAAGTGTCCTTCCATGGGAAAGAGGAACTTGCTACCTGCCTGGGAAGATGTGCAGTTGGCAGTGTGCACCTGAGTCTCTCAGATCCCAGCAGGCCATCACTGAGCAGTCACTCCGCCACTCAACGAACATCCGTCATGGAGAAGGCGGACGACCACAGCACTGCGGAGTTGATACCAGCTGGAGAGTAATTTCAGGGACAGCATCACAAGCTGAGCAGAGCCCGCCTGAGCATTTTCAGGCAAAAGGAGATGTTCTTGTCTACTGACATTATTGCAGTTGAGAATTTAACAGGGAGCATAAGAGCTTAATTACTGGACTTGTTAAAGCTAGTTGATTTAATATATGCTGACAATATACACTGGCAACGTTCACCTGAATGTTTTTTAACAAGCAGCTGAAGAATTCTGTAATAGCACTATATTTAGCTACATAATTTTCCCAGCAGTTTCTGCCACCAAGTGGGTAATGAAGACAATGTCGCCAAGGGCACCGCAGGAACAGACATTGACTGTGCACACCGACTCCCTCAGCTCCCGTGTCAGAGGGAAGGGCCCCCACCAGCCTTGCCCTGATGCCCTAAAACACTTAACGTTTATTCATTCTTTTAACCCTCACAATACTAGGATATGGGTACCGTTATTACCCCCATCTTATAGATTGGGAAATGAAGGCAAAGAAAAATCAGTAACTTGCCCAAAGCCATACACAGAAGTAAGTGATCAGGTCAGCAGTCAAACCCAGACCTCCTGGCTCCAAAGCAATGTCTTCACCTGTCCCCATTGCCTCTCCTGGCCTATCCCTCACAAGGAAGGGCCTTTTGAGTGTGCTTGTCCTGTCTGCACCACCACCAAGCTCAAGGCAGGGAATGATTGGTGCCAGCCAGCAATGTCACTACAGTTACAAAAAAGAGGCTCCCCATAACTGGAAAGGTTTCTATCTATAGTTTTGGTTCAGTGTTGAGAACAAGGGCCTGCACTTCTAAAGGCTGGAGAGCTCACAGGAAGGCTCTCACAGCTGCTGCCAGCTCCATAAGCGCTCCTGCACTAATGAGGCCACAGCCTCTCTGGGGGGGCCAGCCAGCGGGACCTGATTACTGTGAACCTGTACCTGCAAGCGGGGGCAAAGGCAGTCCTGAATTCTAGCACTATTCCAGGGGCACCTCCAAACCACGTCGTGTAACTGCTGGTCCTGCTTCATCTAGTTTCACGGCCAACCTCCTGCCATGCTGTGAGATGTGGCTGGCGACCTGTTTGGCTGTCACTGCTCCTGTCACTCTTGCTGTCTTAAGTGAAATATTTCTCAGGCAGATGTGCCTCTCCGGCTGCTGAAATTTGAGCTGGGTGCCCCCCTCACCCCTCCAGAAGGATGCCACCAGCCGAGGGGTGGCAGCAGAGAGGACCTGCATGCTCTGTGCCTTTCCACATTTATTTCTGCTGTGGCAGAAGCCAGCTTCTGGAGGGCAGGAACTCAGTCTGTCACATCCCTTGCCTAGCACACTACAGGTACTCAGTTAACACATAATTTTTTTTTTTTTGAGACGGAGTCTTGCTCTGTCACCCAGGCTGGAGTGCAGTGGCGCTGTCTCGGCTCACTGCAAGCTCCGCCTCCCGGGTTCATGCCATTCTCCTGCCTCAGCCTCCCAAATAGCTGGGGTTACAGGTGCCCACCACCACGCCCAGCTAATTTTTTGTATTTTTAGTAGAGATGGGGTTTCACCATGTTGGCCAGGCTGGTCTTGAACTCCTGACCTCAAGATCCACCCGCCTCGGCCTCCCAAAGTGCTGGGGTTACAGACATGAGCCACTGCGCCCGGCCATGCAAAGCCTCTTTCCATGAAGGCCAAGAAAGCTCCAGGGGTTTTGCCACAGGGACAAAATTAGACCAAAAATTGACTTCCTATAGTCTCAGCTACTCAGTAGGCTGAGGTGGGAGGATGGCTTGAGCCCAGGAGATCAAGGCTTCAGTGAGCCATGATGGTGCCACTGAACTCCAGCCTGCGCTCTCGAGACCTCAACTGTTAAAAAAAAAAAAAAAAAAAAGATGGACTTTCCATTAACTAGCAGGAAGGAAAAGTAAGTGGGACTCAGGAACAACACCCTCCGCCTCCACAAAAAAACAAAAATAATCCAATCAGGAAGAGGGCCACTCATGGGTACAGACTGGCGGCAGATGCTCCAGCAAGTTTGAAGGCATTTGGCCCTCTGGCCACTTGCCTGTGTTGTCCAGCATGATGTCAAATCACAGCCCTCCTTGTTTCTACATAAAACTCAACAGTAAAGTGCCTCGTAGGATAAGCTGAGCAATTAGTGTCTGTCTCTCCCACTCACACCATGGCAAACATAAAAAGGAAGGTGATCCCCAAGACCTTTCATAAACACCCCTAACCTCTTTAAGTATCAGCCTTTCCTAGCAAGGTAAGTTCACTGCCTTCGATGATGGCTAAGGCATACCTGAACTGCCTAAAAACAAGTGTCCAAACCTTTTCTGCTGCTATCTAGGTCTGACTACAAATGCATGGCTGGTTTGGGGGTATGTTCACCTCAGTTCCCAACCTCCACCAAAAAAACCAAAGGGCCTGCCAGACACTATTGGCCTGGCCACTTCATTCACTGGAAGAAAGCAGGTGCATTACCTCCCAGAAGCTGTCGCTGGACACTTCTACTCCAACGGAATCATCATATGTGACAGACATTTTTTCAAAGGCTGAGGGAGCAGCAAAGTATACTTAGTCAGGGGTCAACTTCGAACGCTCAAAATCTGTAGACAAACCTATAAATGAAAAACATATAACATAGTGGTTTTTAAATTCCCAAGGTAAAGAAACAAGTCATCTCTATTTCACAACTTCCCGTTTCTAATCACTGCCTTCAGTACAGGGCGGTCTATAATATTTCCTTTAGGTGGCAGAAAGCCAGTAGACTCTAATCAACTCTGGGCACATATGTGTATGTCTGTGTGTGTGCATGGTGGGTGATGGGGGCGAGGGGTGCATGTGCATAAAAGGCAGAGTCCTTGGATCTCTGGGCTTGCCCATCCCGACCTACTCTACCTAACTGGTAGGGCTAGGACCCGGGATAAAACGTGAGTGGAGGTAATCCCACCTTTGACACCCTACTCCCCTCTCCAGAGTGGCTACCACATTCCACTTGTGTGAGCACTGTCCCCACTCAACTCCACCTTTACTGACTCCGCCACTGAAGCCACAAATTCAGACCAGTTTGTTCTGACACTGTCTGTGTGTGGCTCAGCTGGAAAGCTAAATGGATCACTTCTGAATAACAGACTCAGCAATCTACAATCCAGGCAAGGGTAAAGGCGGCAATTATTTCCCCTGTTGGAGGGAAGAAACTGAAGGACTCCCATAAGCACAAACCACACCTTGCTAGTGTGATGACCTGTCCGCAGCCGAGATGAAACTGTCTGACTTTTTGGTAAAAAGGTGACCCCACCTTTCTTTACCTTACCCTGTGTTCAGATCACACAGCCAGAGATCCAAGACCTTCCTCACTGCCACAGTCAACAGTCTAAAGCCTTAGCTTAGCAACAGGAAGGGGTGAGACAGAATGGCCAACTTGTTTTGAGCACCAACAAGGCACAAGACTTTGTTCTAGGTCCTGTTTCATATGTAATCACATGAATCTTCATGATTCTCTGTGACACAGCCTGGAATTGGAGCAAGAAACACAGACTCCAGAGTCAGACTACCTAGGCTTAAATCCCAGACCCATTACTTATGAGGTGGGCAACAGTGGGCAAGTTACCTACCCTCTCTGTGCCTCGCTTGCCTTATCTGGAAAAAAGAGACAATAGGCCGGGCACAGTGGCTCATGCCTGTAATCCCAGCACTTTGGGAGGCCAAGGCGGGCGGATCACCTGAGGTCAGGAGTTCAAGACCAGCCTGACCAAGACGGAGAAACCCCGTCTCTACTAAAAATACAAAATTAGCCAAGCGTGGTGGCATGTGCCTATAATCCCAGCTACTCAGGAGGCTGAGGCAGGAGAATCGCTTGAACCTGGGAGGTGGAGGTTGCGGTCAGCCAAGATCGTGCCATTGCACTCCAGCCTGGGCAACAAGAGCGAAACTCCGTCTCCAAAAAAAAAAAAAAAAAAAAAAAAGAGAGACACTAATGGAACCTACAACACAGAATTGCTGCAAGTCAAATATATACAAGAGCTTAGAACAATACTTGGCCCTTAGTAAGTGCTACGAACTTACTAAGTACTGTTATACACCCTTAGTAAGTGCTACGAACATAGTAAATAATGAATTATTGTTGCCACTATTATTATTGCATAGTAATTATGATTACTATCATTACTTCTGTCTCTATTTTAAAGTCAAGACAATTGATGTTCAGTAATTTGCCCACGGTTGTCCAAGTAATGGCTGGTGGAGACTAGTATTTGACACCAGCTCTGCCTGCTTGCTAAGGTAATATTCTCTCCATTACACCAAGATGTTTTCCAAAAACAATCTCAAAGTTAAGTAAATCAGGCTTCCTACAACCTAAAATTGGATTGCTAATTAAAAGGGCTTAATCTGGTGGATTGCAGAGCTCCTAAAGGTAAACACACTGCTGTGCAGCAACAGAGACAAAGTCCACAACAGATAACGGTACTTCAAAGCCAAGTCCTCCAAAGACATTGCCGCTGTGAGGAGACTGTTGCAGGACTAAGATGCATGCACGCTCCTAACCAGGCTCTCATGGAGAGAACTCCAGTGAGGGGTTCTCCCACACTGGTTAGGGCTCTGCTCCATAATCATAGGGGCAGCGTGTCATCTGAACCACTAGGATTCACAGAGGCTGGACAGGCCACCTGGCCTGGGCCCTGATGCCACCTCTCACAGTAATTTTTTTTTTTAGGTGGAATCTGGCTCTGTTGCCCGGGCTGGAGTGCAGTAGTGCAATCTCAGCTCACTAAAACCTCTGCTTCCCAGGTTCAAGCAACTCTAGTGCCTCAGCCTCCCCAGTAGCTGGGATTACAGGCATGTGCCACCACGCTCGGCTAATTTTTGTATTTTTTAGTAGAGATGGGGTTTCCACCATGTTGGCCAGGCTGGTTTCAAACTCCTGACCTCAAGTGATCCACCCACCTTGCCCTCCCGAAGTGCTGGGATTACAGGTGTGAGCCTTTTTTCTATGGAATCCTATGCTGCTAGCCAGGGCCCTCCTGGAGTCGCCTCACCCCATGTTTCAGCAGGAGAAAGTTTTCTACCCAGAGCAGCTGGTCTCTGCTCTAGGCTTCTCAGGGAATAGCAGGGCTTTGGGCTCAGGTGAGTCTCAAAGTGGCCCAATCAAGCCACCAGCTGGGCTGCCTGGCCAGCCATGGGAGCAGCTGCAGGGAAGAGCAGGCCCCTGCTCCGGACTGAGAGGCAGCTTGACACCTGAGCCACTTGGGCAGAGGAATTCAGATTCTGTCTGGATGCAGCTGTGGTCTTGACACAGTTCTGCACAAGACTGATTGATTGACTGACTGGTGGTTGACTGACTGACAAAGCGTCTTGTCTGTCATCCAAGCTGGAGTGCAGTGGCATGATCACACAGCTCACTGCAGCCTCGAACTCATGGGCTCAAGCAATCCTCTCGCCTCAGCCTCCTGAGTAGCTGGGACTACAGGCACGTGCTGCCAGGCCCAGCTAATTAAAAAAAAAATTTATGTGTGGAAACTGGGGTCTCACTGTTGCCCAGACTGGTCTCAAACTCCTGGGCTCAAGCGTTCCTCCTGCCTTGGCCTCCCAAATTGCTGAGATTACATGGATGAGCCACCACACCGGGCCTAAGATTTAAGAGCCCACTAAGTGCCAGGAGCCAAGGAGAGGCTCAGCACAGTGGGCAGCCTTTAGGAGTAAGAGCCTGAATCACTGAGGAGAGAGGTAATATAACCAAGATTCTGGGTCTGCCAAGGGCATCAGACAGGACATATGCTCTTAGCTGACCAAAAGGAACAAGGAGCAACCAGCAAGGGGAAGGGACATTCTCCGGTTACATGGTGGCAGAGCTGGGAAAGGCCCATACTTATTCACTTTCCTTCTGTCTGGGACCAGGATCTCATCATAGCACTGCACTCAGCAACAGTGACATCCTGTAGAATGCCTTCAGGTGCAATGAGGGACAAGCGTACCCCACGGGTATCCCCTGTGGCCACAGCTCAATCTGTAATAACATCAGCTCAACTATCCCCATGTGCATTACTTAAGAGTTCATCTTAATGCTCAGCCAGCTCCTCCCTGCCACAAATCTGTCACCTTCCAACTTAGACATTCTCCGAGATTATATACATCTTTATTAATTTAAGTAAAACAGAATTAGGAAGACAAATCTTTTTATAAAATGCACAAGGCATTTCAGACCCAACAGAAATTACTTTAGGAAGCTCTGCACCACCACTTCAGTTCTTGAGCTGGAATAATTCACAATCAACTACTTTCATCTGAACCCTCTAAGCACATCTTATACAAGGTCTCACTGAACTGTGCAGTCAGAATCTAGCAAAGATATCCGAAGCCCTAAGGCGACACTGAGGCAAGATATAGAAAACCCAAAAAGACAGAGACTGTGAGGGGAAGAAATGAAAGTCTCCTGCCCAAAGAGTCAGTGACGTAATGCAGACGAGGTGCCTGTGGGGAAGGCCTGGGATGGTGGAAGGCGGGAAATCCGAGCTCTACCACTGGCCAGCTGGGTGACCGCAGAAAGCCATGTAATTTCTCTGAACCCCAGTTCCTGAGCTGTGCTTTACCAGGTTTCAGTGAAGGTTAAATGAGATGAAGGTCTCAGTACCCCCAGGTCACAGGCCGTGGCACGGCCTACCTCAATGGGAGCATTGTTCTTGGCCGGCACCCTGGGCTTCAAAGTGTCCTTGCTACTTCCTTCAGCTCCACAGTCACAAGGAATGCAGGTAAAGGGGAGGACCTGGGGGACAAGAATCTGCACCACAAAGAAAACCCAACTGATTGTACAACCATGGCCAATCTGGGAACTCATTTCTGATGTTCACAGAGCAACAACCTGGGGTGGGGGTGGGGATGGGGGGTGGGGAAGGGGGGCCTTGAGGGCAGGCACCGAGCTGAGTTCTCAATGACAACTCCCAAGTCCCCTCTCTCCTGCCCCTGCTCCGGGATATGAGCAGCAGGGGCCCTGTCCAACCACCTCACCCCTCCCACGGCACGCCGCACCAGCCTCAGCGTATGGGACTCTCCTGGCTCCCCGCTCTCACCCTGACAAGCCTCCCTTTCCTCCCCCAACTGCTTGCACACCTTGCAGTCCGCTCTATGGCTCCTCCCATCCCTCCCAGCACTGATCTCTGGAACTCCCATGACTTCAAACGGCATCCATGTGCAGGGACACACCAGCAGCTCTCAAGAGGCAGCCTCTCAACCCAATAAGGTGATTTCCTCGCAGGCATGGAGAAGGCCCAGCAGTGACGAAGTCACCTGGCATACATCTGACACCCTAAAAGTGATAGCCATTGTTCTTAGAATCACCACAGCAAGCCACCCGAAGGTACTCGGAAATGTTGGTGACTGGGGCTGGGTTTGATTTTTGTTTTCCTGTCATTGTTGCTACTGGGATAAGCACTTTTGGTGACGCTGCCACCTGCCACTGTGACCTTGCCACCAGCCCTCCCTTCTTCAACAGCAAAGAAGCCAGTCATACCCACCCCTATGGCGACTCCTCATGTGCCAGACACTGCGCCCCATGCACTACACGCGTGCACTCCATTTAGTCCTAACAACTCTATGGGGTAGCGGTTTCGCCATGGGCATTGTCAAAGCAAGGAACCTGGGGCATACAAAGGGTTGGAGCTTGCCCAAGCAGCGGAGTTGAGACCTTAATAAAGGCAGGCTGACAGCAGTCATGCTCTTAACCACTGATCTTAACCACCTCAGTGCTGAGTTCAAATCTTCTAGAACATATAACATGAAAAACTAAATATCGGTCAGACACGGTGGCTCACACCTGTAATCCCAGCACTTTGAGAGGACAAGGCAGAAGGAATGCCTAAGCCCAGGAGCTCAAGACCAGCCTGGGCAACATAGTGAGATCCCATCTCTACAAAAAGTAGAAATTAAAAAAAATTAGCCAAGCATGGTGGCACGCACCTGTGGTCCCAGCTACTCAGGAGGCTGAGGCGAGAGGATTGCTTGAGCCCAGTAGGTCAAGGCTGCAGTGAGCTATTATTGTGCCACTGCACTCCTGCCTGGGCAACAGAGCAAGACCCTATCTCAAAAAAACCAACCAAACAAAAAAAAAAGTGAACACGCACTGCTCTGCGGTGTGCCGTGATGAACTACTGCTATAGTCCTATTTCCAGGCACAGTCTGTCGATCTTGGCCTTTCAGAAGATGTTAGTAAGCCATGGTGGTTTAATCTGCATTTCCCTCACTGATTGGTACTCTTTTCTTTTTCTTTTTCTTTTTAGAGATGGGATCTCACTATGTTGCCCCGGCTGGCCTTTAACTCCTGGGCTCAAGGGATCCTCCTGCCTCAGCCTCCCAAGTAGCTAGGACTACAGAGTGTGTGCCACTGCCTGGCTATGCTCTATCTTTTTATGCCTTAATGGTGCCATTTGTTGCACGGGAACACTCAGTCCCAGGGCAACTGTATTTAAATATAATGTTTACTGCACCAATATTATCCCCACTTGCCTGGCAGAATCGTGGTGAGGGTCAACTGAGAAGGATGTGAAAATGCTTTGTAAAGTAAAAATGTCCTTTGCAGGTAACAGTTGCTATGGTGGGCATGACCCCATCCTGAGTAGGAACCAGCTGCACACCAGGGCCACTGCAGACAGGCCACACCCTAGAATAGCCATGCTCAACCTCATAGGGAGTCCAAGGAGCTAGAAGAGCTGCCTCATGGCACCATGCAGTGTTCAAAAGCTATTTGATGACTGAATTATATCCCCCAAAGACAGCTATATTGCCTGGAGTCTGCCATGTTTGCATCAAACCAAGCAAGACTGCTCCACCTGGGAGCCCAAGCTACAAATTTTCTAGAAGTGGGATAAACCACCATCCAAGCAGCTACCAGCTACTCAGTACCTCTCAGCACCAACAGATGGGTGAGGTGAACTTCAGATATATTATTTTTGTACCTCAAAAATCCTATAAAAGATGTATTATTGTTTCCATTTGATGAAAAGGCAACCAAGATACAGATAATTCAAATCACTGGTCACAGACCCATAGCTCTTAAGTGCTAGGCTGAGACTCAACCCAGACCATCAGACTCCACGCTGCCCAACTCCAACAAGACACCACATGCCCAGCTACCAGGCATTTCCAGAATCCGGCAATCTCTGGCAGCGAAAAGAAGAAAGGGCAGGAGGATTCTCCAGAGTCCCACCACCTGCCAGGGAGGCTGGAGCCTCAGGGCTTCCACATTGACCCTGATCTCTACCACATCCCCAAAGGCGCTGGGCCTGTCAGGAAGTACTACTATAATTTTTTTTTGACACACACATGTCCTTAACCATAAAAATGAATCTGCTTGCAGCACCCTCTCAGCTGAAGAAACACATAAGCTGAGGAGACTGAGAGGCTTCTGAGAGCGATTGTTTCTTCAAAACGAGGTCAGGTAGGGCATGTTTCCTGGCTCTGCTTCATTCATTCTTCCAGGTTGAGCCGACTACAACGACCTTTACCATACCTGTGCACACGTATGGGACAAGCTGCTCTTTAATGCCAAACAGTGCTGGAGCCTTTGGAAATCAATTTATTAATGCAAAAAATATGTAAAATGTGTATTTAATAATTAATTGGGGGCTTCTCATCTGGAAGGTAAAGTTCCTGGGAAGAGAGTGTGATATTGAGTCGAAAATGAGTCTCAGCTCCACCTCTGTAATTCAGCTATTTGTCCCCTCTGAGAGCCACTGTCCTTGTCTGTAAGGCAGTACAACATGGGCTCTCATTACCTCCCAGGGTATTAAGAGGCTCGGGGCGACAGCTGTGAAAGAATTTTGAGAAAGTGCAAAGTGACAGACAAATGAGTCATCCCTGGTCTTTCCAAGGACAGGGACTCATCTGGCACTTCTTTTGCACATTTCAGACTGTCTGGCACCCAGTGGTTGACTGATTATTTCTTCCTAAAGAAACTGAACTCAGGCTGGGCGTGGTGGCTCACGCCTGTAATTCCAGCACTTCGGGAGGCTGAGGCAGGCAGATCATGAGGTCAGGAGTTTAAGACCAGCCTGGCCAACATGGTGAAACTGTGTCTCTACTAAAAATACAAAAATTAGCTGGGTGTGGTAGCATGCGCCTGTAATCTCAGCTACTCAGGAGGCTGAGGCAGGAGAATCACTTGAACCCGGGAAGTGGAGGTTGTAGTGAGCCGAGATTGCACCACTGTACTCCAGCCTGGGTGACAGAGCAAGAACCTGTCTCAAAAAAAAAAAAAAAAAAAAAAAAAGAAAGAAAGAAAGAAAAAGAAAAAGAAACTGAGCTCAGCCAGGCACGGTGGTTCACGCCTGGAAATCTCAACACTTTGAAAGGCCAAAGCAGGTGGATCACTTGAGGCCACCCTGGGCAACACAGTGAGACCACCATCTCTAAAAAAAAAAAAAAGAAAAATTAGCCAGGGGTGGTGGTACACACCTGTAGTCCCAGCTACTCAAGAAGCTGAGGTGGGAGGATCACTTGAGCCCAGGAGCTGGAGGCTGCAGTGAGCTACGATCATACTGCTGCACTCCAGGCTGGGTGACAGAGTGAGACCTGGTCTCTAAAAGAACTTTAAAAATTAAAAATAAGAAAGAATCTAAAAAAGAAAAAAAGAAACTGAGCTCCAATACCGGAATTCAATGCTGAATGAGTTCTGTGAACTCTGAACAAGGGCTACACGTGAGGGAGACTGTTCCTGCACACACTCCAGACCTGAACTCACTCTCACGGGCTACCCTGGGTGCCATGCAAGATGAATCAGAAGCATGCCATCCGAATTCCAACAAGTGATTTTGAAATAAACTTTTAGAATGGGGTGGTGTGTGCTGAGTTATTCTGGATTCTTTCCCATCACAATGGCAAAAACATGTAAGAAAATATGTTTCCCATGTAGTTCCTCTGAATTTATTTCTTTTCCAAAATAATGACATTACAGCATGGCTATTTTAGTGTCACTTTTTGGAAAGAAACAAATTCAAGGGAGGCAAACATACCTCCTTCTCCTTCCTCCCAAAGGCCTGCTGAATTAAGAGGTGGAAGCTGTAACAACGCAGAAACAAGGCCGCACCGCCCATGGTGGAGGACGTGCTGGAAGAGAGCAGCCAGGTGTGCACCAGGAGAAGAAAACCACCTAAAAACGCCAGTGCTGGAGACAGGCCTTGGCAGGGTAGGAACGCCAAGCTCAGGGTTGAGAAATGCAAAGTTGTGAGTGGCAGGGGTGAGGGTCAATTATCATGAATTATCACACTTTTTTTTTTTTTTTTTTTTTTTTTTTGAGACAGGGTCTCGGTCTGCCGCCCAGGCTGAAGTGCAGTGGTGTGATCACAGCTCACTGCAGCCTCAACCTCCTCAGCTCAAGTGATCCTCCCACCTCGGCCTCCCCAGTAGCTAGAACCACAGGCATGCGCCCAGCTAATTTTTGTATTTTCCAGTAGAGACGGGGTTTCGTCGTATTGCCCAAGCTGGTCTTGAACTCTTGGGCTCAAGTGATCCACTGTGCCTGCTCCAGGGTCATTTTTAAAAATGTATTTGGGCCAGGTGCAGTGGCTCACGCCTGTAATCCCAGCACTTTGGGAGGCCGAGAAGGGCAGATCATGAGGTCAGGAGATAGAGACCATCTTGGCTAACACGGTGAAACCCTGTCTCTACTAAAAATACAAAAAGTTAGCCAGGCGTGGTGGCACACGCCTGTAGTTCTAGCTGCTCGGGAGGCTGAGCCAGGAGAATCATTTGAACCCAGGAGGTGGAGGCTGCAGTGAGCCGAGATTGTGTCACTGTCGCCCACCCTGGGCGACAGTGTGAGACTCCGTCTCAAAAAAGAAAAAAGAAAAAAAAAAAAAAAGCTGCATTTGGAGCCAAGCCATCAAGTACAGATGACTTTCAGGGAAACCCACCTGGGGCATTGCCCAGACTCTTACAGAGATGTGGCCACTCTCCCATTTAGGGGAAGGGCCAAGAGGGAACCAGCTCAGCTTCCTATGCCATCAGCCCTACCCTTTCATAAAGTTCAAACTGAAATCAGGGGAAAACAAATACTTGAGGGAACAAGAGAGAAATTCTAATGAAATCTGATGAGAATTCTTGGAGAGACTCAAGGGTTATGTACCCATAAAACACAAACAGGCTGCTATGAAAAGGGAGCAATCAGGAGCCAGAAAATAGCTTTTCTAACTTTTGGAAACTTCATTTAGAAGCTTTTTTTTTTTTTTAGACAGAATCTTGCTTTGTCATTGCCCAGGCTGGAGTGCAGTGGCGCGATCTCAGCTCACTGCAACCTCCGTCTCCCGGGTTCAGGCGATTCTCCTGCCTCAGCCTCCCGAGTAGCTGGGATTACAGGCGCTCACCACCATGCCAGGCTAATTTTTGTATTTTTAGTAGAGACGGGGTTTCGCCATGTTGGCCAGGCTGGTCTCGAACTCCTGAACTCAGGTGATCCACCTGCCTCAGCCTCCCAAAGTGCTGGGATTACAGGTGTGAGCCACCCAACCCTTTTGTTCTAAGGGGCACTTCTCAGGAATCTGGGAATCCGGGAATGACTGAGGTATTGAAAACAGTTCCAGATCTCAGATTCCAGTGACTTCTGCCAGCAATGTATGTAAGTACAGTGAGTCAGAGCCATTCCTTAGATGGTGTGCAGAGTCTCAGAGGTTAACAGAGGTTGCTAAGGTGACCGTGGCACAGGCTGGAAGCTGGCATAACCTCCTTCCTCCCCTTTGGGCTTGATAACAGATATCAGGTAAACAAATGATGTATTCACAAGGACATCCAGCTCCCCCTTAACACCCTTAATTTATTCCACAACCAGACAAAAGAACAGGTCATTTTTTAGGCCAAAAGGCTATTTTCATAAAGCAAGAACATTCTGAGTAAAAAGACCATGTTGCTCATCTCTCCTGAAAGCTGGCCTCGGGAGAAAGCCCCCGATACCCCGCTCTAATCCTCTAACTGCAGAGGTAGGCAGAGGTGGACATCCTCGCTGCCACGGCCCGAGCACACCTGGCTGGCTGGGTTCTGGCCGCTCCACAGGCCTTGCACTGAGCACAGGCTGACCTGCAGCTCGTTTCCTCTTCACTATCTGGGGGGAGATTCTTCAGTGGTTGGGAAATAACGATTTATTCTAAGCCAATGTTTGGGCCCAAGGTGAGAGGGCCCTTTGATAAGGGACATATTTACCATGTGAACATCTACCATGTGCCAGGCACTCTTCTAAGCTGGGGGAGGGGCAGTGGACAAGGCAGACTGGGTCCCTGCCCTCCTGGGGCTGACATCCTACTAGGGCAGATTGGCACACAGCAAAGTAAAAACAGCTATATGGTGTGAAAAGCACCAGGACACAGAGAAGTAGGGCACTCTAAAAGACCTGGGGGTGGGGCGGGCTTACTGAGATAGAATGCGAGCTCTCTGAGGACTGCAGGAAGATGGGCAGTGGGCATGAGAAGGACAGGGGAGGGGTCTTTCCGGCAGAGGCAGAGGGAGTGAGTGTTGTGGCTGTCCCAGCACCCAACAAAGCGGAAGCTCACATGCTTCTGTGGGGCAGGGTGCACTTTAGAAAGGACTAATCTGGCATCATAGATAAGCTGCATGGTAACTCAGAGTTTTGTACCCATGCTACTGGTTTTAAAAATGAGAACATATTCATTTCATAATTGGCCGCAGAACTGTAGCTGTATGCACTGTTGCATGTCTTCTCAATGCATGATATATTTAACAATCCGACTTCAGTCTATTCTCAACACGGTGACCCTCTCAAAATGCAAGGCAGACCACATTGCTGGTCTTAAGTCCCTTGTGCAGAGTAAAAGCCCAGGTCCTCCTGGCCCGCAGGCCCGCATCTGCTCACCTCCACTAAGCTACTTCATCTTCAACTATTTCTCCTTCTTCTTCTTTTTTTTATTTTTTTGAGACAGAGTTTCACTCTGTTGCCCAGGCTGGAGTGCAGTGGCGTGATCTCGGCTCACTGTAAGCTCCGCCTCCCGGGTTCACGCCATTCTCCTGCCTCAGCCTCCCGAGTAGCTGGGACTACAGGCGCCCGCCACCATGCCTGGCTAATTTTTTGTATTTTTAGTAGAGACGGGGTTTCACCGTGTCAGCCAGGATGGTCTCGATCTCCTGACCTCGTGATCCGCCCGCCTCGGCCTCCCAAAGTGCTGGCATTACAGGCGTGAGCCACTGCGCCCGGCCTCAACTATTTCCTCTAAAAATTTATCCTGACTGGGCATGGTGGTTCATGCCTGTAATCCTAGCACTTTGAGAAGCTGAGGCGGGAGGTCTGCTTGAAGCCAGGAATTCAAGACCAGCCTAGGCAAGATGGTGAGATCCCATCTCTAAAATAAATTAAAAAATAAAATTAGCCAGGTGTGGTAGTGCACGCCTGTACTCCCAGCTACTCAGGGGGCTGAGGCAGGGGAACTGCTTGAGCCCAGGAATTTGAGGCAGCAGTGAGTTACGATTGTGCCACTGCACTTCAATCTGGGTGACAAAGCGAGACCTGGTCTCTTTAAAAAAAAAAAAAAAAAATCCTGGAGAATACCCGACTTTGTTTCATGAATGGCCCCATACTAGAAGGAAGGGAGGTTCCCACAAGACCCCCAGGCCCCAGCTTTAGGGAGCGGGGGAGGTCCATGAGCACCTCCTGGACCGGCCTTGCCTCCAAAAAGCCAAGGACATGACCAGACCCCCTGCATCTCTCCACTGTCAGTGCCACTATCACCTCTCCTTTGTGTGGCTGCAGTCTTCTTCCCTCTAACAGAGCTCCCAGCTTCCCACAGTAACTCAGTGTTTTGTATCTGTGCTACTGTTTTTAAAAATTAGAA
The DNA here is from genome assembly GCF_000001405.40 of Homo sapiens. Classification (NCBI taxonomy): domain Eukaryota; kingdom Metazoa; phylum Chordata; class Mammalia; order Primates; family Hominidae; genus Homo; species Homo sapiens. The sequence continues at coordinate 42,924,359 of NC_000022.11, forward strand.
CATATTAATTTCATACTTGTACATACAACTGTAGCTGTATGCACTGCTGCATGCTTTCTCAATGCATGATATATTTAACAATCTGACTTCAGTCCACTCTGAACAGTGTGACCCTCTCAAAATGCAAGGCAGACCACATTGCTGCTCTTAAGCCCCCCATGCAGAGTAAAAGCCCAGGTCCTCCCAGCCCGCATCTGCTCACCTCCACCGAGCTACTTTGTCCTCAGACCCTGCTCTCCAACCCGCCACCACTGCTGTCCACCCTACACCAAGCTCCACTTGGCTCCTCCGCTGGTCTGGGCACTGCCAGGCACAGTGAATGTGCTCGTCTCCTCCCTGAAATGGTCTCCCTCCTGCCCCACAGGCCTGTATCAGCCCCCACCCCAGTGAGGTTTTTTTTCTTTTTTTTTTTTTTCGACACAGTGTCTAGCTCTGTCGCCCAGGCTGAAGCGCAGTGGCACGATCTCAGATCACTGCAAGCTCTGCCTCCCGGGTACACGCCATTCTCCTGCCTCAGCCTCCCAAGTAGCTGGGACTACAGGTGCCTGCCACTACGCCCAGCTAATTTTTTATATTTTTGGTAGAGACGGGGTTTCACCTGTGTTAGCCAGGATGATCTCGATCTCCTGACCTCGTGATCGGCCCAAAGTGCTGGGATCACAGGCGTGAGCCACTGCGTCCGGCCCCAGTGAGAACTTTTCTAACCCTGCCCCAGCCCCCTCAGACCCCCTCCCTGCTTTATTTTTCTCTCCCAAGCACTTACCACCTCCTAACGAGCTACATAATTTACTTAAATGTTTTATTTCTTGTCTGTCTGACCCTCTAGAAAGTCAGCTCTAGGGCCGGGGCGGTGGCTCACGTCTGTAATCCCAGCACTTTGGGCGGCCGAGGCTGGCGGATCACTTGAGGTCAGGAGTTTAAGACCAGCCTGGCCAACATGGTGAAACCCCATTTCTACTAAAAATACAAAAATTAGCTGTGTGTGGTGGCGCATGCCTGTAGTTCCAGCTACTTGGGAAGCTGAGGCAGGAGAATCACTTGAACCTGGCAGGCAGAGGTTGCAGTGAGCCAAGATCACGCCATAGCACTCCAGCCTGGGCGACAGAGCAAGACTCCGTCTTTAAAAAAAAAAAAAAAAAGTATCAGCTCTAGGAGGGCAGGGACAAATGTCAGCTGTGATCACTGCTACAGCCCCAGCATCCAGTGTCAAACACAAAGCAGTTGCTTTGTAAATTGCTGGATGAATTCAGGACAAGAAAAGTTGAAGAGCCTGGGTAATTTTGATTTATGGAGACTGAGGATTCAAAGATGGAAAATAATGAGAGCATTTATGTGAAGGTGCTATAACTCTAATGGTTAGAATTCTTTCGTAAACACTACTGCACATGTTAATCTAAACCACACATGGGTTTAGCAACCACGGTTGGGGGCTGTGTGGTTCTACCCTGCCTGTCTACCACCGGCCTCACGGGAGGCCCTCCTGCTGCCTGACAACCCAGCTGCGGCCCATGGGTCCCTGGGCCCTCTATGTCACCAGCCTTGGCTCAGCTCGGGCTATTCATGTATGTCCAGTCAGTCTCCTGGAAGAATGGGGTCTCTTGCTTGTCTCTACCACCCAGGTCACCCCCTATAAGCCAGTGGGCGCTCAGGAAGTAAGGCCCACATTAAGATAGTGCTTTGCACCATTAGCAAAGCTGGGATGTTTTTTAAGAGCTCAACTACCTGGCACAACTCATTTTGTTTCCAGTGATTTCATCTGGAAAAGTGAACATTCCTCAAAGGAAGAGATAAGAGATCAGCAAATAAAGTGACTTATATCTCTCTGGAACATGGTGTAGTACATTTGATTCAACAACGGGAAACAGCTTGCGCATTGCAAGATGCTTGGGCTTAAAGGCTGGCCCCTCCCTCAAGGGAATCACACTGAGGCCTAGAGCTCAGCAGGTCCTAGGCCCTCCAGAAGCACCCATCGGCCTGGGCAGGGTGGGGCAGAACACACTCAAAGGTGCTTCCAGAGATTAAAAAAACAGCCAGCATCTCCAGGCAGACACAACTCATTGTTGCTATAGAAACCATCACCGAAAACCAGAGGATTTCAAACCACCTCATGGCACAGAACTATCCACTGCAAACTGAAGAAAAACAGTGGGAGGAAGGGGAATCTTAGGAACTCCACGAGGACACAGAATCACTTCAAAGAAACACAGCACAGACTCTCCAATATCTCTGTTAAGAAGAAAAGAGAAAAAGAGAGGGGGGAAAACACATCTTGTTTCACTCAACATGACAGACCAAGCCCTCTTCTTCCCACAGGAAAAAAAAAAAAATCATTCTGGAGCTGAGTGCACCTGTGGTCCCAGCTCCTCAGGAGGCTGAGGTGGGAGGACTGCTTGAGCCTAGGAGTTCAAGGCTGCAGTGAGCTATGATCACGCCTGTGAATAGCCACTGCACTCCTGCCTCGGCAACATAGAGAGACCCTATCTCTTAAAAAAAAAAAAATGCTTGGAGGAGGTTAAGGAAAAACAAACAACAGAGCAACCTCAGTGCAGTTCTTCTGCTTACCACACCTGGCTGGGCTCCTCGGCAGCTCTGAAGCTCACGATTCCTGTTCAGGAGAACCTCTGGCTCTCCTCTTTCCAGCCTCCCCACACTGCCAAGCCCATGATGATTTTAAGTCCAAATGTTGGCTAGCACAGAGCTGTCAAGGCCAACAGGGGCTCCTCATGGCCAGTTCTGTCCCACCAGCCTCCGCTCTCCTCATTTAGCCCTTGCTTCTCCCATCATCTATGGACTGACTTCACTGTCCTTGCAGCCAACAAGCCATCCTGTGTTCTGCTTTCCTCAGCTGCATAAGCAGCATTTCTCCCTGTTGTCTGGGTATCTTCCAGTTACTTTTTTTTTTTTTGAGACAGAGTCTCGCTCTGTTGCCCAGACTGGAGCACAGTGGCACGATCTTAGCTAACTGCAACCTCTGCCCCCGAGTTCAAGCAACTTTCATGTCTCAGCTTCCCGAGTAGCTGGGACGACAGGTGCCCGCCACCATGCCCAGCTAATTTTTAAAAATATTTTTAGTAGAGACAGGGTTTCGCCATGTTGGCCAGGCTGGTCTCAAACTTCTGGCCTCAAGTGATCCACCCATCTTGGCCTCCCAAAGTGCTGGGATTACAGGCGTGAGCCACCACGCCTGGCCCCAGTCTTTTATTTATTTATTTATTTAGTTATTTAGTTATTTAGTTAGTTATTTTTGAGACTGAGTTTTGCTCTTCTTGCCCAAGTTGGAGTGCAATGGCGTGATCTTGGCTCACTGCAACCTCTGCCTCCCAGGTTCAAGCGATTCTCCTGCCTCAGCCTCCCGAGTAGCTGGGATTAGAAGCATGCACCACCACGTCTGGCTAATTTTGTATTTTTAGTAGAGATGGGGTTTCGCCATGTTGGTCAGGCTGGTCTCGAATTCCAGACCTCAGGTGATCCGCCTGCCTCAGCCTCCCAAAGTGCTACAATTACAGGCGTGAGCCACCGTGCCCGGCCTCAGTCATTTTTAATGGCTGTAAAACGTCATGTCATGGTCCCATACTCCACTGAGCCGAGCCCTCATGTCCAGATGTTTGGGTTTCCAGGTAGTCCTCAGGCGGAGCCCAGGTTGGGGATGTCATGGCACATGCAGCTTCCACTTCTGTCCCACTGTTTCCCTGAGGCTCTCTGGCTCACACATTCCAAAGAGAGTTGAAGAACCTCTGGATACAGTTTAAAGAGCAAGATTTCAATCTGACATCCTCAATCTACACTTAAGGGGCAAACCATAAACCCTTGAGAAAGGACGGGAACACACCCGGAGAGGCATAGGAGGAAAATGGCCCAAAGAAACACCTTGGCTAAAAAATGTCGCTGCCTCTGAAGTCCTTAAAGTGATTCACTGTCTCTTCACGTGCTGAATCTGAGAGTGCTGTAGGCGATGAAATATCACCTGCCATCTTACACATGCATCAGAAATGGACAGAAGGAGGAAAGAAAAGAAGGTGTTCACATAAAACAAGACTTCAGTTGCTGTGGAGGCAGGTGAGCCTCACATAGCTTCTAATTTCATGCATCAGAGTACAGAAATCAGGTTGGTTTTGTTTTTATTTTTAAGAAACTTCAAATACATAAGCCTCATTTGTGAAATTTTAGATGTGAAACTCCTTTAATATGTAAGTTGTCAGAGTGTTTCACTGGGCCTGATGGACTGATGCTCATTAAACTCAGTAGATGGTGTTAATGTCTGAAGACAATGAAGTACACCCCAAAATAGTGGTGGAGGCACTTGTAGGTAATCAGGCTGGTGAAGGGAATCACTGGGTATACCCTACCTGGAACACCAAATTTAAGGAAAAATACACACAAATACATATACCTCTAAACAAACAAAATCAATAAAGCTACACTGAACATAATTTCATTTTTGATAATTCTGAAGTCATTTTTTACACTTACAAAGAGCTCTCAGTGCCAAAATTTAGAAGCCTCATCCCAAATTTGCCATTAAACAGCAATGGGACATTGGGCAAGTCCCTTATCTTCTCAGCATCCAACTACTTTCACATGAAAAGAAGAGAGTGGGATTCAACAAGCTCTTAGAGTTCTCTGAGTTTAAAATGTTTTAAGACAGCCTCCTATAAGCAGGAGATTATGGAAGAATAAACGTGAATTAAAGCCGAGTAATTATAAGAGTGTGTATGTGCAGTGAGCATGGCTGCAAAGATCCTCCCTACTTCATCAGATCCAGGCCTGACGGCCGCCCTGTGCAACTATACTCACCAGGACCCCAATGTCCGGGCTTGAGCTCATTATCAGGGTCTCACTGTGAAACAAGCCACAGTCAGCATAAAGAAAGTCCATGCTTCCCAAGCACGTCCACATCACATAAATTACTTACAATGTTGGTAACACAAGGTCTCATCTATGCTACAAGTCCTGCCCACATACAGAGGCTAAAATTTAAAGGGAAAGTCAACAGCAATTAATATTTGTATCTTGCAAAACCAGTAAAAAGTGCTCTGACTCTGGGTCCCAGGACTTCTCATTGAAGATGCTGTCAATAGCTTCTGAGAACTGAAACACAGTGACAGCACTGGGCTCAGTGGATTGTGAAATGTTCAGTGGGAGTGGCGTGCCTACGAATGGCTTGATCCTGCTTCCAAAGTACAGGCAAAAGAATGAGTATCTCAGAACTCCAAAACGATCCTGTCTGGTTTCTTTCCAGGTTCTTTTGTTCACCTTTTAGAATGGATGTCATACTAATCACACAGCTGGGGACATCTTTCCAATTGTGTGACGTCTGCTCCAGAATGATGGTCTACTTCAACTCGGACAAGGCAGGAGAGTGACCCGCCACCCGGGGCTCCAAACAGAGCCCTGCCCTTTCAGGTCTTCGTACCTCCCTTCACAGTATCCTTCTCCCTCAAACAGCCTCCCAGATGAGTGTCAAGATACTAATTATTCTTTAAGATCAAGATCAGATGCCACCTCTTTCATAAAGACTTCCTTTATTCCCAAATGTCAGCTCTGCTGCCTGGCCTGCCTGCCTGTGTTCCTCTCACACAGGGCTCCTTCCAATCAACCTCAGATGGAGGGCGGTCATCCAGGCATCTGTCTCTCCCAAGAGACCTAAGATCCTTGAGGGCAGGAACCACATGGAGTTTATTTTTGTGTCCCAATCCTAGCACAAAGTTCGCCGTGTTAAATATGAATGCCATGCTTTTCTCATCGCGAACCATGAGGTGACTTGGGAACAGAGCCATGCACAAAACGAGACAGAGGAAGTCTAGGTCTCTGACAGTGTGGTGTGCCCACCAGCCATGCCACCTCTGGACTCTGCAGATGAGAGGAATAAACTTCTCTTTAAGCCACTATTATTTTGAGGGTCTCTGTGACATGCAGCCTAACTCACACACTTTCCTGCTACCTGTGCTCTCTGCCCCAATTCCACAGCCACAACATGCAGCAGCACCAGGACCTCTGGGTTTGGGCCCTGGACACACTCAGCACCTTTGTCTCAGCTCTCAGACCTTCTCTGGACCCTCCTGTCCTCGTGTCTCACGCAGAGCCTAGCACAGATGAGGCACCCACTCAATCCTGACCCAAGAAGTACATGGATACCCACGTTCACACCACATAAACAAGGGAAAAAGTTATTCAATAAACTAATTTTGAAAATGATTGTCTTTTAAATTAATCAAAATGTTTCTAAAATGCATTTGGAAGTATGAAAGTAGGTCATTTTGAAATAACAAAAGGCACGCTCATAAAAAGCAAAAATACCTCCATGGTTTTGGTTATCCAATTTCTCAATCTGGTTTGGGTCAGTGGGAAAGTTTAAGAATTAAAAAATGAAAGTTTTTGACAGTTCAAGTTCAAAAGTAAATTTATAGATGAAGAAACAGAGGCATAAGAGTGTTTAAATAACGTGCCCAAGTCACACAACTAGTAAGGGGCAGAGCTTGGATTCAAACCCAGACCAGGTGCTCCAGAGCCTCCCTGAGCCACCAGGCTGTGCTGCCTCCTGCATGAGACACAGGCAACAAAAGACACCAAGGAAAGGCAGAGGTGAGTCACGTGTGCGTGACTCTGAAGAGTGACAGGCTGGATGCTAAGGGAGGCAGCATGCCAACCCGAGTCCAACAAGAGTAGAATGTTGACAGGAATTCTTTCATTCACTCATTCATTCGCTCAGTGTTCACTGCATGCCTATTCCAGACGCCTGCCTGCTCAAACAGCTCAAGGTGTTGAGGGAGGCAGACACCTAACTCACACCTGCCTTGTTCACAGTTGTATCCCACGGCTGGGCACAGCACCTGGCTTACACGAGGCAATGATATGTGAGAAGCAGCAATGAATGAATCCCAGCCTTGCTGCAAACCAGCTGGGTAACCAGGGGCACGTTACTTAACCTTCCTGAACCTTAGTTTCCTCATCCAGAAAACAAAACTAACACTGCCTACCACTCCTTGGGATTGTTGGAGGACTGAAGTAGCTGCTTTCCACCCAGGGAAGTGAGGAAATGGCTTCCAAGCCAGCGACACCAAGGTGAACCTTGGATGGGAATGGGGCAGGTGCAGAGTGGGAGAGGCAGGAGGTGTCCGAGACAGAAGAGACCTTAGGTGATGGGAAGGTAGTGGAGGAACACAGTCAGCGTCAATGGAACCAGCCAGGGTTCAGAGGGCTCCACAAAGCCGATGGCTGCCCTGAAACAGGAACAGCGAGGAAGGAAGGAGGAACTGGTATATTTCTACACAGAAATCCCCATGTGGTTTAAACTTGATGAGTTTCTCATAATGTGTAATCTTCCAGCTGCTGGCTAGGCTGAGAACTATTTCACACACTATTAATAGTTACATTTTTTAATTTAACAGAGCCATGCAGAGATCACGTTGTTATTATTATGGTTAACAACCAGGGTATATTCACTTACACAATCCCTCTCTTCCAAAACAGCCCAGAAAATGTCACAAAACCCCCAATTGTAAGGAACACAGGTGGTATTAATAACCCTAAATTTTCAAAGCTAAAATGAAAACGTTTAATGTTTTCCCATGGAAACTCAACGTTAAAGAGAACAGAAAACCTATCCTCACTTCCAGTTTCTAGCCTCTTCAGGGCAATATTTGTAAATACTCAAATCATGTCACTTCCCTTCTCTAAACCATCACATCACTTCAACCCTAACTCCTCCGCTGTACTGCAAATCCCGTCATGACCCGGCCCCTGCCTGCCCTTCCACCCATTCCCCAACTACTCTCCCTTACCTGCTGGCCCTTCTCTGTCCCAGCACAGGATCTTCTCTCTGTTTCTTCAACATAATAAGCTCATCCCTGCCTCAGAGCCTTTGCACATGCTGTTCCCTCTGCCAGGAATGTTCTTCCCTGAGACAAGCGTATGGCCGGCTCCCCCTCACACCATTTGGGGCATCCCTTAGAGAATCTAGCCACACCTCCCACCACCACCAACTCTAGCCTGTTACCTTCTAACTCTTTTTATATTTCCTCAAAGCACATACCACTACCTCAGTTTTTACCTGTGTACAGTCTGCTTTCCCCTCTAGACAGTGAATTCCAGAAGCGTATCTCACATATGACAACAGGTCCTTTCTAACATTTGTTGAAACTGACAGCGACACACTTGGGGATCTTTACAAGTGAAATGGTGGGACAGTAAAGTGTTGACTTGATAAAAGGATATCAAATAAGACCTTTAGGATAATGTACTATTGGTATCAATTTTACTCACGAAGACCATATACTGACATATCTTGGATTACACAGGAGAGAAAAAAGATTAGTTACTCGGATTATTAACTACAAATGTTTATTGAGCTGAGAGCAAAACAATTTTTTGATGATTCTTACAAAGTCAATTCTAAAAAAAAAAAAAAGGAAAAAGCCAATTCTTCCACAATGGCCAGCTTGTAGAGCCACTAAGTCAGAAGCACTTCCCACCTGGAGCCTCCTGGGCAGCCCCCAGGACACCCCCCTGTCCACATGCCACTAGAAGTCCACACTTTCCACACTTTTATTTTGCTTTTGATCTTCAAAAAGGGGTCCTCTCTGAATCAGAGGAACCAACTGTGTTAGGAGACGAAATGTCCAATCAGTTACGCAGCACTTTAAATTCTCAAGTATCAAGAGTTGCTGTATCATTGAATCAGCATTTATATTTACAGTAGAATTTGAAAACACCTGGCAAAGCCAAGTTCCCATAATTAAGTCCAAAGCACATATTCAGAACCTAGTCTATTATTATCTTTATGTGTCAGAGGAAAACCTTGTTATCCCTGAAAAGTTGAGGTCTAAGACTTTAAGAAATTGGAAACAAACTATCTCTATGGTTCCATATACCTCCCCAACTTTCCTTAAATCCTGAACAACTCTTTAAGAAATATATATTTCTCAAAGCAATGAGATGTAGAAAGGTACCTCTCTGAATAATCCTGCATGCCTGGAGGGCGGGCAAAGCCGACTTCACCAGTGACTGCCAAGCCCAGCATTGTTTTTCTCTGGACTGCAGATTCTCAAAACAAGAGACCTGCCCAAAGTGGAAGCCTCAATTCAAGTCCAAAAATAAATGACAAAATAAATAAGAGCAACAGAACACACCCATGTTCATGTTTGAGGGGACCAAAGAACCAAGGGTGGTCTGTTAGATGTCTAGACCAAAATGTATAACACCAACTCCTCCCAAGCAAAAGCAGCAGCCTGTCCGTCCTATACTCTCAACCGTGGCGCCTAAAGGGGAAGTGGCTCCACACAGATGACATAGGTCCACCCACTCAAACCCCAACGGGGCCCTCACAGCCCCCGCACCCTGCACCGTCCTTCACAGAACCAGACCCTCTTTCTTCCCAGCATCTGCAAGTGGCAGAACAACGGACTTTTCCCATTTGGAGAAAAATGCTATTGCAGCTGGAGAAACATTCTTGGAAGTTATGAATAAGATATTCTGATTGTAAGGAATTGTAAATGTGATGCTGAAGTGTGTGAAAGTATGAACAAGCAGACGAGGAAATATTATGGCGCCATGGTAACAGAAACTATGGAAGAAACTCCAGTTCACAGAACTGTTTAAAAATAAACCGGATACTCAAATACCAGTGAAAAGCTACAATGACTCACACTGTTCTCCTCAAATACTTACAAGAACAGCCAGTTCTTTAACACACTTGTCTTCCAGGCTTTTTCCCCATTGGAGAAATGTGAGACAAAGAGAGTAAAAAGGAGCTTTGAAATTTTCTCTAATTTTACCAGCAAGTTGATCTGAATAACAACTTATATGTTTTAGAGTTGAGATGGGAGTATGGAAACGTGCAGAGAGCACTGAGGCTTTGAATAAAAACCATACTAAATTCAAAACATATAACCGAGGCCCAGAGTATGCTCAACTGTGTGCCCAAATACCAGTCAATCTGGTAAAGAGCTACAGCACAATTTCTACGGGAAACGCAAGACCTTCAAGGCACTGTGTGTGTGCAGATCGCCTTTTCCCTTCTTTTCCCTTCTTGGCTTCTGTGTACTCCCCCTCCTTTGGGCCCTGCCTCAGCTGCACATCCTCCAACTACACTTGCACACCTTTCAATGTGGCAGCTGCACACAGAACACCTCCTGGGGCCTCCCCACTCTGGCTTCCCAGCCTGCCCAGCAGCCTTGCCCCTCATGGGCTGGCCCTGATAGCCACACGTGCAGCACACTGCCACCTGAGACTGCCGCCTTGCTGGTCAACTCCCACCTACCTTGCAAGGCCCAGTTTGAGTGTCATCTCCTCCAAGAAGCCCCCCACCGTTCTAGTGACCCTTTGCCCACCACTGTCCCGTTATAGTTCCTCTATGGTGCCATTATTTGGCCCCCATTCCTCTTTCCCCAACCAAGTTGTTAACCCTGGTAGATCAGACCATACTCGAGTCACCTGCCTTCCCTAGTGCCTATCACGGTACCCACAGCTCCTCAGTGAGGGTCACTGAAAGAAAAAATGGAGCCAGGGCATGGATTTCTTTTCTTTCTTTTCTCTTTCTTTTCTTTTCTTTCTTCCTTTTTCTTTTTCTTTTTTTTTGAGACAGAGTTTCGCTTTATCGCCCAGGCTGGAGTGCAGTGGCGCAATCTCGGCTCACTGCAAGCTCCACCTCCCAGGTTCACGCCATTCTCCTGCCTCAGCCTCCTGAGTAGCTAGGACTACAGGTGCCCGCCACCGCGCCCGGCTAATTTTTTTTTTTTTTTTTTATTTTCAGTAGAGTCGGGGTTTCACTGTTTTAGCCAGGATGGTCTCGATCTCCTGACCTCATGATCTGCCCGTCTCGGCCTCCCAAAGTGCTGGGATTATAGGCGTGAGCCACCGTGCCCAGCCCAGGGCATGAATTTTTTAGGAAACCTCAGAGTCCAGCAGTGTCTGCGCCATATTCCTGATTATCGAGGACCTGCCTCCTCCCTGTTTCCCTTTCCCCTGACCTAACTCACCATTTCTCTCCTTTTCCCATGGGGCGGGGTGGGGGGAAGAAGGCTCTCCTGCACAGACTGCCCCTCTTCCACATGTGCGGAGACCTACTGTGGACATGGCTCCAGACTCATGGTCTTGTCTAGGGTCAGAGCACCAAAAAACTTGTTTCCACATAAGCTTTGCCACCAGCTGGTGAGCAGTTTCAATGAAGTAACTGTACTTAGGCAACACTTAAAATGGACTTCGTGAGGGATGATTTTTCAATCTTTTGCAACACAAATTATTCATCAAGTCCTATAATCACTGAGATTTCAATTTGGCTTGTTACCAAAATCCCAAATACTGGCTTCGAGGAAAAAGTGTTTCCACAGAGACAAGGGCAACTTGAGAACAGGTTCACGGGCCAGACACTGAAACACACTGGTCCCGAGGGAACACAGGTGGCCCCACAAGCAGCACCCTCAGACAGCATGAGACCTGGAGAGCTCAGAGAGTCCCAGGCATCCCAGGGGCTCCATGGCACCCCTGAGAGATGACCTAGCCATCAAGTCTTACTGGCCACGTTACCCAGGTACATTCTATCACTTCATTCTTCCTGTTGAAAACTACAGAATTCCAGCAGGGCACGGTGGCTCACGCCTGTAATCCCAGCACTTTGGGAGGCCGAGGTGGGTGAATCACAAGGTCAGGAGATCGAGACCATCCTGGCTAACACGGTGAAACCCCGTCTCTACTAAAAAAAATACAAAAAATTAGCCGAACATGGTGGCGGGTGCCTGTAGTCCCAGCTACTCAGGAGGCAGAGGCAGGAGAATGGCGTGAACCCGGGAGGCGGAGCTTGCAGTGAGCCAAGATTGCGCCACTGCACTCCAGCCTGGGCGGCAGAGCGAGACTCCGTCTCAAAAAAAAAAAAAAAAATCCTACAGAATTCCACTCATGAAACAGGGATGACAATGCACACCCTGTGACTTCTGAGGATTCACTTAGATCATGCGGGGAAATACCTGTCTCTCATCTGGCAAACAATCCATGTTGGTTCCCTTCCCTGGCTCCAGTATCAGTGGAAGGAGATGGAGCAGAATGACCCCGGACTTAGCACAAGACTCCTCCCCTCTGACCTTCAGTTCCCTTGTTCATGGAGCAGATGATCTTTAAGTCCTATGAAGACTCAAACATTCTAAGGGGACATGAAGCATAGGCAAAGGCAAAGGATGGACTGGTTTAAGTGAAAATATGTAGTATGCATTTTGTATCAAAGCAAAAAAAGAAAAAAGACTTTTACATATATCAAAGCAGAAATAAAGATGGGGTTATGGCTGGGCATGGTGGCTCATGCCTGTAATCCCAGCACTTTGGAAGGTCCAACTGGGTGGATCACCTAAGATGAGGGGTTCAAGACCAGCCTGGCCAACATGGTGAAACCCCATCTCCACTAAAAATACAAAAATTAGCCAGGTGTGGCAGCACACATCTGCAATTCCAGCTACTCAGGAGGCTGAGGCAAGAGAATCACCTGAACCCGCGAGACGGAGGTTGCAGTGAGCCGAGATCATGCCATAGCACTCCAGCCTGGGCAACACAGCAAGACTCTGCCTCAAAAAAAGGGGGGGGGGCAGGGGCAGTAAATTAAATTAGCAAATACCTATTTACACCCATTGCGAATGCATTAGTAATCTACCCACCAATGCCTACTTTCCATTCTTTCAACACCTGTATATTGGGTGCCTGTGCAGCCACACGGTGTTCTGAATGCTGGGAATCTAACAGCGGAGAGAACAGACCAAAACTCCTGCCCTCATGGGTCTGTGTTCTGGCACAGGTGACTGACCCAGCAGGTGCTATGCAGAGAAATAAGCGAGGATGAGATAGGGAGGAGACAGAAAGGAGACTGCTTCTAAACAGAGTGACCAGAGAAGGTCCCCAAAGAAGGTGACACCTGAGACAACATGGGAAGAAGTAAGCCATATGGGCCCCCAGAGCACAGGCAGCCCCAGCAAAAGGCAAGAGAGGCCCACCTGGCATGTCTGAGGCACAGAAAGACAGGTGTGGCAGCAGTTCCTGGTGAGATGGCTGTGGGTGAGCCCAGGCAGGCGGCAGTAGAAATAACGATGCATGAGCTTAAACGGGCACCGAAGACAAAACAAAATGACCTCTTTGTTCAACTTCTAGCCCCACCACCAAAGTCCACCTCTGAGCCCCTGCCTAGATGTCCCGGCTCGATCACCAAGGTTGTGTGCAGTGACTACCACACACTGAATCTCCACACGGCCTCATTCTCAAGGAGCCCTGTGCAAGCAGTCAGGCATGTGAGTCAGCATACGAGGTGCTTTCACTTACCACACCCCTTGCCTGGCCACAAATCCTGCACTTCCCCTAACTCGGCTCTCCCTCAGACTCAACCAAGGCCCCACTGTGGGTGAGGAGCAGGGACACTGGCTCCCAGCCCTTTCCATGGCACCCATGCAGCTCCGAGAACAGCAAAGTCCAGCATCCCTAGGGGGTCACACGATCTGAAGACCAGTCACACAGACATGGAGCCCCGCAGGGGGACCCTTCTCCTGGCTCGAGCAGTCTGGACCCCCATCTCCAGAAGGCTTCAATCTCCCACTGGAGAACTCTGGAATGACAGCGGTAGAAGTCTCACCTGCGCCTGCCTGGTTGATTTTTCCCAGCTAACTTGCTCCCTGCCCTCTACCCACAGTTGTACAGAGTAAAACAAAATCATCATGTTAAATACTAGATTCTAGATGACAGCCCTAAAAACGACTGCCATTTAAGTCGAGCAAAATTTAAAATCTTTTTGAAACAAACCAAGCAATCACTTGAGGTAAGTTTGGGGAAGGTCTTTTGAAATCAATCACTCTCTCCACTGGAGATCCAGTTTCCAAGTTGTTTCCTGGGCTCGCGAAGCAGCAGAAGGTATGAATAGAGAATGCTAGGCAGTGAATTCCTAAAACCCGAGGATGAAAACACACACGGTTCTGAAGATCCCACAGAAAGATATGCCAATTAATCTTATTCTTAAAATTGGCCTGAAGAAGAAAGGGAAGCCCCTGATGCAGAAACTGCATAAGGAATCCTCCCCTCTGGAACACACAGGAGGCGTCAGAAAGAAGCCTGACCTTCTCCCTTTCCCATGACCTTAGAGGAAAGGAAGGTCAGTCACAGCAGCAGTGGCTCAGAAGCAGGTAGGGAATCTTTTTCTATGGGAAGAGCTCACCAGGTGTGTGCTGTGTGCCAAGGACCACAGCAAGCAGAGGCTGTCCAAACATGAAGAATGCCTCTGCACAGGCCAACTGCATGTTCCGCAGGACCATTTAGGTTGCACCATCTCCCTCTCGACAGCCTGGCACAGTGGCATTCCGGTGTGTGCTACCCGTGCCTGGCTGGTGAAGAGCCTTTCTCCCACTCCACCTGGAGCTCCACGAGGGAAGGGCTTCACCCTTTTTATCTAACCCAAAGCAAGTGCTCAAGTAACAAGAGAAGACGACAAGGGAAGGGAAGAGAGGAGGTGCTGTTTGTGCTGGATCCCGAGGTGGAGAAGGTAAAAATGCTGTCTGTGACAAATTTGTATTTTTTAAAAATCCTATATGCAGATTCATATAGTAACCCTTAAAATAACCATGTTTTCCCCAACATCTTTATAGGTCAAAGGAAACAAGCTGATGACCAGCCATCCTGGTGGCATTCAGACCGCTTGCTCCAGCTGACAACCACCTGGGCTATCAGAATCAGCAGCAAAGGTAGGACAGGCCCCAAGGTCACCCGTCCCAGCGCAGCCCATCAGCTCTTAGCTCACCTATGCAACTTAATGAAGAGCTGGAGCTAACAGCGTGTAATTAGATGTGTCCCCAAAACTCGTTTATCTTATGCAATGGGAACACATCAGCTGACAGATCCAGACTTGCCTTGGACTGATTTTTACAGCAATATTTTTTTAGCCTCTGGTTGGCAAGCACCCTGGGAATGTGGAGATGGAGGCTGAACACTTCCCCAACCTAAATACTCAGTTGATGTTCCAGAGGTTTAAAACAGAAAAACTTACTTTAAAAAGGACAAAAATGACACTTTTTCAAATTTGATATTAACATGAGAATTCAAACAGTAGTGTAAGAAGATGTACAAGAGTCTAAAGATTTGAAAGAAGAATGATTGGAAGTGACGCAGTTAGAGCAGGCCTAACTGAACCAGAACGATGCAACTCCACAGCTCCTCCCCTCCCCATTCCAGTGGAGCCAACCCCACAGAGGGAATGGGAAGCACTCCCACAGGGCAACGTTTTTAACAGAAATATATAACAACTTTTGCTTTCAAAGTTGGGTGGGACTAGAACACACAATGGAAGGATGGAGTCAGGAGACCTGGATTCTTGTGCCCGCTCTGGCTTTTACAGTCTGCCTAACTCTATGCAGTCACTTCCTGCCAGCCTGTTTCCTTACCTACAAGAGGGAGAGACACTCCCTGGCCAGCCTAGTTCTCAGGGTGAACGAAAGGTCATTATCACTGCATCCTCTAGTCATTTGCTTCTTCGCTAATTAACACATCTTGAGCACCTGCGATGTTCCAGGAACAGGAGATGGCAGCGTGCAAGATAAAGTCCCTGACTTCTAGAGACTGCATGTTAGTGGCAATCGGCGTCTACCCGGCCTTCAATAAACTACTGAATGAAGGAAAATTCTACCTAGCACCAGACACAATTACTGGGTTTCTAAAATGGAATTATTCCCCCGGCCCCCTGCATCCAGCAGCCTGCTGCAGGGAAGCTCCTCCGAAGGCTGTAGGCAGGAGCGGGACAATGCTTGCTATCAGCTCCACAGATGTTACCTAGTACTATTCCTACACAGCGCCTTACAGAACAAACAGTAAAACCAAGTGGAAAGCATGCACGGGCTTAAAAACTCAAACTCCTTAACTACTCAGTAATTAGGATGTCATTTTACACCAAAAATAGATTTTTCTATTTTATACAATAGAAGGAAAGAAATGTAGTGCAGAGTGAGTCATTAGATCGTGACCTTATACTGTCTTCATCTCTGAATCTCAGACGCTGTGCAAAGCAGGGGGTCAGCATGTGTTTGCTGAATGAGTAACACTGTTCCTGTCAACAGGAATACGGATTACACCAGGTAGCTCTCAAACTTCCTCCTCAATCCACTCCTCCTTTTACATTCATGGAAAGGGAGGGGGAAAGAAGCCCAGTCTCCAAGGTCAGCCAGTTACACCAGAAGCAGTGCCACCAGAATATGAGCCCCGCCCTGGGACAGGGCACAGAGCCCTCACTAGCATGCTGGAGAGGGGCCACCCCAGGTCCTGGGTTTCCCTATACCCAGCTGCTTCTCTTCAAGCTGGTGAAGCCCCTGCCACCGCCACCACCTCCTCCCCTACCTTGGGACTTTGTGTTTAATCCCGGAAGTCACAATTTAGGAGGCTCAAAAAGAATAAAATTCTGGGTATACAAATGGAAAAGACCCAAATGTGTCTGTCAAGAATAGCCAAAGGGATGGGATTATTTAGCCAGGAGAGGCTGTGGGAGGGATGATGGGTGAAGTACTTGAGATTCTTGCTATTTTTCTAACAGTTTTATTAAGATAATAATTCACACAGTTCACCCATCTAAAATGTACACAATGATTTTTAGTGTGTTCACAGAGTTGTGCCACATCATGACAATCATTTTAGAACATTTTCATCACCCCAAAAAGAAACCCCACACCCTTCCCCAGTCATCCCCCACCTCCTCTACTCCCAATCCTGGCAATCACTAATCTACTTTCTGTCTCTATGGATTTGCCTATGCTGGACATTTCAGATAAATGGGATCATAACATGTGGCTCTGGTGATTGGCTTCCTTCACTTTTTCCAGAATGTCTTCAAGGTTCAAGGTTCGTCCACGTTGCAGCATGTGTATTTCACTCCTTTTTGTTGCTAAGTAATATTCCACTGTATGAATATACCACAATTTGTTTGCCCATTACCAAGTGACTGGACATTTGGGTTGTTTGCCACTTTTCCGCTATTAATAGTGCTGCTATTACCATTTGTGTACAAGCCTTTGTATGGACAGATGTTTTCATTTCTTTTGAGTAGATACCTAGGAGTAGAACTGCTGGGTCATAATGAGAAACTTCCAAAGTCAGGAGTTTCCAACATTCAGCCAGAGTGCTTTCCAAAGCAGGTGCATCATTTGACATTCCCACCAGCAGTGTGTGACAGTTCCAATTTCCCATATCCTCACCAACACATGTTGTCTTTTTTATTGTAACCATCTTAGTGGGTGGGAAGTGATATCTCATTGTGATTTTGATTCGTGTTTCCCTAATGACTAGTGATATTGGGTATCTTTTCATGTGCTTATTGGCCATTTGTATACTATCTTTGAAGAAACGTCGGTTTAGATCCTTTGCTCATTTTTTAAACTGGTGTGTCTTCTTATTGCTGAGTTTGGGGTTTTTGTTTTGTTTTGTTTTGTTTGAGACAGAGTCTCACTCTGTCACTCTGTCACCCAGGCTGGAGTGCAGTGGCGCATTCTCGGCTCACTGCAACCTCTGACTCCTGGGTTCAAGCGATTCTCCTGCCTCAGCCTCCTGAGTAGCTGGGATTACAGGCATGGGCCAACACGCCCAGCTAATTTTTGTATTTTTAGTAGAGACAGGGTTTCACCATGTTGGCCAGGCTGGTCTCGAACTCTTGACCTCAGGTGATCTGCCCGCCTCTGCCTCCCAAAGTGCTGGGATTACAGGAGTGAGCCACTGTGTCCGGCCTTTATTATTGAATTTTAAGAGTTCTTTTTTTTTTTTTTTTTTAATTCTTTCAATTTTTTTGGTAGAGACAGGGTCTCATGTTGCTCAGGCTGGTCTCAAACTCTTGGCCTCAAGTGATCCTCCAAAGTAATGGGATTACAGATGTGAGCCAATGCACCCACCCAAGAGTTCTTTATGTATTCAAGGTATCTTTATCAGATATATGATTTGAAACTATTTTCTTCCATTCTGAGTTGTCTTTTTACTTTCTTGATAACATCCTCTGAAGCACAAAAGTTCTTAATTTTTATGAAGTTCAATTTACCCACTTTTTTCTTTTGTTGATTGTTTTGGTGTCATATCTAGGAAAACACTGCCTAATCCAAGGTGACAAAGACTTATGCTATGTTTTAAGAGTTTTACATCACTTATTATGACTAATTTTTTTAAACGTTTTTTTAATTAAAAAAGCTTTACAGATTTAGCTCTTACATTTAGGTCTCTGATCCATCTGGAGTTAAGTTTTATATGTGGCATGAGGCAGAGATCCAAATTCATGCTTCTGCAAGCAGATATCCAGTTGTCCCAGCGTCACTTGTTGAAAAGATTTTTCTTTCCCCCATTGAACTGGCTTAGCATCCTTGTCCAAAGTCAACTGACCATAAATGTAGGGGTTTAGTTTTGTTTTCTTGACTCTATCTCATTTTTCCATGTCTATCCTTATGCCCGCACCACACTGTTTCTTGAATACTGTAGATTTATACATTTTTGTAAATTGGGAAGTGTGAGCCCTCCAACTTTGTTCTCTGACTTTTCAAAACTGTTCTGACTATTCTTGGTCCCTTGCATTTCCACAGGGATTTTAGAATTGGCTTGTTGCTTTGGGATTTTGAAAGGGACTGCTGTGACTCTGTAGCTCAATTTGAGGAGTACTGCCATCTGAACTATGTGAAGTCTTCCAGTCCATGGATGTAGGATCTCTTTCCATTTATTCAGGTCCTTTTAAATTTATTTCAACAATGTTTTGTAATTTTCAGAATATAAGTCTTACACTTCTCTTCATAAATTTACTCCTATTTTATTCTTTATATACTATAATAAATGAAACTGTTTTCTTAATTCCATTTTTTGAATTATTCCTTGCTAGATTATAGAAATATCGTTATTTTTGTATATTGATCTTATATCCTACAACCTTGCTGAACCTGTATATTAATTCTAAGAGTTTTTTTGGTGATTCCTTATGATTTTCTTTATATAAGATCATGCCATCTTTGAACAGAGAGTGTTTTACCTTTTCCTTTCCAATCTGTATGCCTTTTGTTTTCTTGTCTAACTTCGAAGTTCCTGGTTAGACTCTCCAGTACAATATTGAGCAGAAGGAGTGAGAACAGACATCAAGGTCCTATTCTTCTGGATTGTAGGAAGAAAGCTTTTAGTCTTTCACTGCCAGCCCTGGAAGTTTTGATTAATACCCTTTATCCAGTCAAGTTCCCTTCTGTTCCTGGTTTGCTGAGTGTTTCTGTCATGAAGAGGTGTTGCTTGGGGTTGGGTGTTTTTTCTTTCTTTTGTTTTGTTTTAATGTTGCAGAACAGGCATCACCAAGGACCTAATTAACTTAGATTAAAACCACCTGACATTATATATTTTGATGAATTTCAAGTGTCATAAGGAGCCAAATAAAATCCATTTTAAGCAACTCAAAGAAAAGCAGCTTATTCTCTGGCTTTGAGAAAAGAAATTTGTGATAATAAGGTATCAGAGGAAAACATGAATGTGTCCAAAACTTACGTTAAACTTTTGCACAATACAATATAGAAAGCAAAGAAAGAAAAAGACACAATTGATAAAAATCTTATTACCTAAAATACATTAAGAGCTGATATGAAGACAGAGGATCCAATTCCACTGGACAAAGAAGTTGCTGGAGAGGAACAAACAGAAGAGGAGATGGCTGGGCAGAGACAGGAATGCTCACTAAGTTCTACCTGCTAAGCCAGACTGTGTTGGTAGTCCTGGCCACATCAGTAGTGAAAAGTCCACACAAAGCCCCCAGCCTCTCCTGTCTACTGTGTTGTCCAC
This sequence comes from Homo sapiens, assembly GCF_000001405.40. NCBI lineage: Eukaryota > Metazoa > Chordata > Mammalia > Primates > Hominidae > Homo > Homo sapiens. The sequence goes on from NC_000022.11 coordinate 42,944,138, forward strand.
TGAGCAGGCCTCGAGTGGCAGCTCTCAGAGAGTGCTGTCTCCTTAATCAGCCTGGCCTGAGGGACTCTGTGGAACCGCACCCCCAGCCATCCTACAAGGGACACACAGATCAAGCGAGAAAGACATTTGTGTTAGGCTAAGTCTCTGAGACTTGGGGTTTGCTTGTTACTGCAATGTAACCTAGCTAAATATAATACAACAAATTCCCATGCAGGAAAAAAAAGCACAACTTCCTTTAAAATATGGAAATAACTTGTAAAATAAGGAAAATTAATATGACAATGCCAGTTTTGGTGGGGCTACAGGAAAACAGAAATGTACTCTAACATTGCTAATAGGCTTCATGGAAAAATCTGAAAATACAGAACAAGGCAGATAACAGTTACCAACCTCTGACCCTTAAGTCCCACTCTGGGGAACATGCCCCAAGCAAATAAACTCAAAGAAAAAATAGCTTGGACAAAATGTTCATCACTGCAATATTTATAACAGCAAAAATTGGAAACGAGTCAGCTGCTCAAAGCTAAGAAAACAATGACGAGTTGACAGAAAGGACACAACACATCCGTTACAGAGAACTAGCAGGTGAGCTATTTTCCATCCGAAATTGGGTATAAGCAAAAAAGGCAGAGTGGCACAGCGCATCCACTACACATCAACTTATAAGGTGAGGACTGTAGCTGGGCGCGGTGGCTCACGCCTATAATCTCAGCACTTTGGGAGGCCAAGATGGGTGGATCACCTGAGGTCAGGAGTTCAAGACCAGCCGGGCCAACACAGTGAAACCCTATGTCTACTAAAAATACAAAAATTAGCCAGGTGTGGTGGTACGCCCCTGTAGTTTCAGCTACTCAGGAGGCTGAGGCAGGAGAATCACTTGAACCTGGGAGGCAGAGGTTGCGGTGAGCCAAGATCATACCACTGTACTCTAGCCTGGACGACAGGGCAAGACTCGTCTCAAAAAAAAAAAAAAAGAGGCAAGGGCTGTGTCATCTCCGTATCCCCAGTGCTTAGCATGAGGTAGATGCTCAAATGAGTCTGCACAGTGACTAGATGTACGCACCGGCAATTACCAAGCTGACAGAAGCAAAATCAGTGGGGGACGAGGGCAAGAGGAGTCTTTGGGGAGGGAGCTGACACTCACCAGCTCATTTCTGTAGTGGCTGCAGTGTGCCTTCTCTCAACCTCCTCTGCCTGTTTCCTGGCTGCTGGCGCTCCCCAGGTTCTGTCCCAGGCCCTCTCTCTTACGTCTTCTGTGCCCACACACCAAACCACCTTTAACCTCAAGCCCCCTGATCTGCTGTCTGGCCCAGACCCGCATCTCTGCCTACTGGATGCCTCCACTTGGCCATCACACAGTCCTTGCAAACTATCCCCTTCCCTATGAGCCCACTCCTGTTCCTGGGTTTTCTACGTCAGAAATGGTCCCACCATTCATTCACCCAGCTTCTCAAGCCAGAAACTCCTCTTCTTCCCACACCCAACCCCCCTCACCACTACCACATTCAATCAGCTTCCAAGACCGGACTACATCAGCTCTTCAATATCTCTTGAATCCTCCCACTTGGCTCTGTCCCCATGATGATAGCTACCTTCGCTAAGGCCACCATTGCCTCCTGCCTAATCCTTAACAACGTCCTAACTAACCTGCAGCCACTTGTTTAGTCCCCGACTCCCTTCATTCTCCATGACATTACTGTGACTCTACCATGGTGGTTGGAATGTCTTCTGGAAAGATCAGGTTTTGCCTCTACTCAAACTCCTCCCCCTACTTCCTCCCGAAGCCAGCAGGGCCTCCAGGCTGTAACTACTGCTCCTCCAGCCTCACCACTCACACCACACTCCTGGCCACACTATACACGCTCTGGCCACCGTTAATCACCTGTGTCTACCAACACAAGCACCACACTCCTATCAGCTCCACCCCTTCACACACACTGTTCCCTCTGAACAAATGCACAAATGAATTAGAGGAGGTGGAGGAGAAATCAACTTCTCATAGCCAAATAGTTTCAAAAGCAAAATAATAAGAATCCTTCCAATTACTTTTATAACATAAAGAAGTGTTTAAACTGCATGTGAGCATAACATACCTAATATAATCCAGGGTAGGGTCTCCAGAAGTATGGGTACCCCAAACCTGCCACAGTCTAAGGGGGAAGTAAGGACAAAGCTAATAAAGCCAAAGGATTTGTCCCTGGGGGCAGGAGTGGAAGCACTCACTGACTGCCACTGCATCCAGGAAGGAGGCACACATTGGCCTCTGAGCCTGGCGAGAGCAGCAATGTACCACGGGCTCACCCACTACTTGGGAGGCTGAGGCACAAGAATCACTTGAACCCAGGTGATGGAGGTTGCAGTGAGATCGCACCACTGCACTCCAGCCTGGGGGAAAGAGCAAAACTCTGTCTCAAAAAACAAAAAGAACAAGTGCTCACTGATTTGCCACCATGTCCCCACAGCAAGAAGCCCCAGTTACACAACACACAAAGCTGCCTGCCCAGGACTGATGCAGTGTTATTCCAACATAATCTTAGGATCCCTTCACACAGGCATGCGCACACACATGATCCTCTCTCGTCCAGCTGGGGATCAGGACTTCAGAGCACATGAGGACGCGTCAGCTCATCTCTGCCACCACTTCCCTCGCTTCTGGTGTCCTCACATCCTAACCACAGTATTTAACAACTGACAGATGGCCACAAATACAGGAGACATGTGGACCATGTTGCAGGGAGCTGGGCCGTGGGTCCGGGTACCTGCGCTTCCCCTCTGATGCCTGAAATTCTCTGTGCGGCTCCATTCCCCTTCGTGCCAGTCTTCAGGATCATGCCAGAGCAGCCACGGCCACATACTTCCCGACGACGCCTCCTCTCCGTCAGAGGCACCTGCCCAGTGGGACAGCTCTCCCTTAAGCTGCAAGTTTTCCAACTCAAGAGACGCACTTAAACCCTAAAAAAGAAAACTCACACAGGCCCAGATGAGACAGAAAGATTCTCCTGGCATAAATAGAAGGAAAAAATATAGAATGGGTCAGGAGGCTGCCCTTTGTTCAGGTCAGAAAATAGGGGCATTCACAGGCGGCAGAGTGAGCAGGAAGGAGGGAGAAGAGGAATGCTCCAGGCCACCTTCGAGGTCTGCTGTGCCAGGTTCCCAAGACAGACAAAGAGTATTATTGACAACATGCATGAGTCAGAGTGGCCCCAGGTCAACGCTTCAGCTTCTTTCAACCCCTCCACTTTCAGGCAGCCCCTTCTAGAAGCAGGACTTCCTGTCACACAAAGGGCCTCTGTGGCCCTTTGTCCACAAAAGAGGAGCGGCCTCTTCCCATGCTTGGAGGCAGCCGTTTCAGAGGCTCTTCCCTACCCAACAGTCTGATGAGTGGAATCCTCAAGAGGAGCTGAAGCCCTGGTCTGAACAAGCTGAATATGAGAGACAGCAAGAGGGGACAACACCAAAGAACACGCTAGCCTGGATGCACAAATCTAGAAGGTCTCTGAAATCTGCATCTATGAGTCTTCACAAGACCCCTGGGGGTGGGGGGGGGGACCTCTTAATGATCCAGCTGCCTCAGGCAAAATACCTAAGAGCTCTGCGCCTGACACTGCTCATGGGTAAAATAGAATCCAATCTGCCTGACAGGTTGCACGGATCAAATGGCATCCGGCTGGGACCTGGCACAGTGCCTGGAGTATGGGGACCTTCCACAAGCATTGGCCAGGGAGAAGGTGACTGGGGCCAGGCTCCACGGCAGCCCAGCTCCTGAGCCCGTAAGCCAGGTGCCCCCACACTGGGGCACTCCATTCTCACAGGGTCGATGGACACTTGAACAACCTCCTCCAACACAGCGGCCAAGAGCTAGGAAACAGTTCTGCACAACATGCTACGGGGACACATAGAGGGTCCAGAAAGGGTGCCCAGGGCTGATGTTTCAGTGGGAATTCTTCAGCAGGAGCAGCAAGGAAAGGCATCCCAGGTAGAGGAACCTGTGTGACAAAGGGGAGTTAGAAACCAGCCCAGTGCAGGGTCCCGCTGGTCCTGGAGGGCAAACCCTGGGAAGCTGCTGTGGCTGTGAAGGAGGGGAGAGGGGACTGACAAATGGCAGGGCGCTGAAGATCAGACACCAGCTCAAGTCACTAGTTACTCCACCACAAGAGTGACTTCTGCTCCATTTACCTACCAGCAATAAAAAGTAGAATGTCCTGATAAAAGCCCACCATAAGAATGCTAGGTAAGCATGGACAAGAAGAGGTCACACCCATCAGAAGCGCTATCTAGAAGTGAACTACCTAAATACCTTCTCAACCAGTACTATAAATATGTGCCTTTGAAGTTTAAAAAGCCACACGAGCTGGGTGTGGTGGCACATGACTATCTATAGTCCCAGATACTTGGGAAGCTGAGGCAGGAAGATCACTTGAGCCCAAGAGTTTGAGGCTGCAGTGAGCTATGATAGTGCCTGTGAGTAGCCACTGTACTCCAGCCTGGGCAACACAGTGAGATCCCATCTCTAAAAAAAAATTTTAAGTACAAACCATGAGAGGATTTGGTTTTCAAATATTTTCTGGGCATCTATGCACTCAACTATGGTGCCGCTTTCTCAAGAAAATATTCTATTTCATTCAAAGGTATCAGCTAGAGCCAAAGCACTCTACTGTAGAGAAGAATATGGAGCCAGTTTCGTGTGACAAACTGATAAATGAATTCTAACTTGACAGTGCTTTTATTTCTAAAAAAAGTTCACATAAAATGAACTAGCCAGTAATTTGGAAAAACAAACAGGGAACTCAATTGTCAGGCAACAATCTGAAACTAATAGGCTTAAATCAAGCATAAAATTAATAGCAAAAGTTTCCCTTAAACAAGGGGAGTGGGTCAGGCATAGTGGCTCACGCCTGTAATCCCAGCACTTTGGGAGGTGGAGGTGGAAGGATTGCTTGAGCCCAGGAGTTACAAACCAGCCTGAGCAACAAGGTGGGATCCTGTCTCTATAAGGACAAAACATTTCTTAAATAATAGGTGCACATTTTAACTTCTAAGCTACCTTCTTACCAGCAAAATGGGAATAAAGGTGGCTGACCTACACAGAGTAGGAATTTAAATGACACATTGTATGTGAGTGCCTGAAAATGTCAGTCTCCAGCCTTCCCAGCCTTCTTGCTCCTAGTATGACTCCTCCTGGCCTCTCTGGCAACTCCCACCCCACACAGGGAGGATATGGCTTTGGCAAGCAGGACTTACACACCCATTCTCAGCTGTGCCACTGAGAACTCTAGAAACACAAAACAAAGACCTTCAACGTTAAGCCTCATACACACACGCGCGCGCACGCACACACACACACATTTTGTGATGCTAGCTGCCTAATAAACATTTCCAGTGACCACTTATAAAGGGGAAAAATTAATGACAATTCTTATTTATGATAAAATGCCGAATTACAATATACAATAATATTATCTGAGAAGCCCTGAAGAAAATGTCTTGGTTACTCTCTTGACTTCATTACAATACCCAATACCCCCACTACACACACACATACACTCACACACACACACTCACACACACTCTCTCACACACACACACACAGGCAGAAAGAACCTGTCCTTCATAAAAATTTGTCAGTTTGGCTGTCTCAAGACATAGCCTGTGTCCCAAATTCTTAAATATTTTCAATAAAATGTTTAATTTATTCTAATAAACTGAGTAAATATCAAGCCAAGGAAATTGATTTTACAAATTATTTTACATCTATCTCTCCCAATATTCTAAAAACATTTACTTTCTGAGTGCCAGAAACCTTGCTAAGAGCTAGGGGATGGAAATGAAAACAAGTGAATAACACCATGCAGGCCCTGCGGTCCAGGAGCTCACAGCACACTCAGCCCTTCATACCCAAGGGTTCCACATCTGTGGATTCAACCAGTCAGGAATCGAAAATATACGGGGGAAAGAAGTGGGTAGCTGCATCTGTACTAAACATGTACAGACTTTTTTTGCTTGTCATTATTCCCTAAACAATACGGTATAACTATTTACATTGTATTTATATTCTATTAGGTATTATAAGTAATCTAGAGATGATTTAAAGAATACTGAAGAGTATACATAAGTTATATGCAAATACAACACTATTTTATATCAGAGACGAGCATCCATGGATTTTGGTATCCTTTGGAGGGTCCTGGAACAATCCTCCAAGATACAAAGGAACAAATTGTCTAAATACTAGGAAAGATAAGACAAAGTCATACCAGATTAGGCTGAGAGGGAGGGAGGGAAGGGAGTGGGCAGGTGGGCAGGCACAGCATTTTGGTTGAGGAAAGAAGGCCTGCAGCTGCACAGCCTCCTAGGAGACAGCATGAGGTGGACTGACGATTCACGCTGCTGTCCAGGCACAGGCTCAGGAAGGGCTCTGAAGGCCTGTGCAGCCACCATTGCTGAAACTGACTGAAAACAGCAGCCCCAGCCAACTAGTGCAAAGTTAGCTTACAGTAACATTCAACGCCATAAGTAGCATTCTTACGTCTAAAAAGCTGAACACTTGGGCTTTATCTAAAAATATATGTTTAAGAGTGGGTAATTACCTAGAAAAAAAGTCCAGATGGCTATGTACCAAAAATGTGAATTCTTCCATTCAATGAAATGTAATGCAGCCTTACTTACCGTATGCCAGGCACCTCGCTGGGCCTGTGGGGTCCCGGGATGGGTAGAAGTGACAAGGCCCCTGTATATATTCCAGTAGGGGTCAGGGGATTTCAAAGCCACACCAGTAGGTAATGTAGCGGCAGACAGCATTAAGGGCTGGGGGAAAGCATGAAGCCAAGTGGGGGACAGAGAGTGACAGGGTCTACCTGGACATATGGTGGTCAGGGAAGGTTGTCCTGAGTCTTGAATGAACATCTCTGGGTGGTGGAACATGAAAGTCTGGGCTTTTGCATATCTGTATCACTTAATTGTTCTGCCATAAGAATACACTGATTGAGTTGCTTTTGAAAATTCAAAAGGAAGATAAGGCAGCACGTGGGCACCTTCCCTTTAGGTAAGCATGAAATCCAAGCTTTTCTGGTAAAGGAATCCACGAGCCTTATCTTCTAGTCACGATAACCGGCCTGCAGTATTAACTGCATTCTCTCTAGACAAGTAATTCCGGACAGTCCTGCAAAGCACCCAATTGGTGCCCTTATCACCCTGTGCACACCCGTGGTGCCCAGGGCTCAGCCTCCTCTTCTCTGTGCACACTAGTTTCCTGGGTGACCCTCTCCCTCCTGTGACCTAAAATTCCATCCACGTGCTGATGCCTCCTCACTCAGCCTCTCCCTGAGCTCCAGATCCGGCATGGCCCGAGCTGCTGGCTCAGCATCTCCCCCTGGGAGGCTCACGGGCCTCTCCGACACACTGGCCAAAACCCACCTCTTGCTCCTGCATCCCCCGGTTGGGCTCCTCCAGGACACAGCTGCTCAGGACAAATGCCCCAGTGTCATCCCTGACTCCTCTCCTCCTCTCATGTCCACATAACATCACCTCTACCTCAAAACAGAGCCAGAATGTGGCCGCTTCACACCACCTCTGTCTCAGTTACCCTGGTTCAATCTACTAAACTCAAATCTTGCCAACAGCTATTGTCAACTGTCACAGTTATTGATACTCCCCACCCTGATTACAAGGTCCCATGTGATTCTAGCCCCTGCTTCCAGCGCCAGTCTCGCTCCTTCCAATCCCCACACCCTGGACTCTGGCTACAGTGACCTCCATGTGGTTCTCCAGATGCACCAGACTCGGCTTACCTTTGCACCTGCCTCCCCTCTGCCGGGAATACCTGCCTCCCACATCTGTAGGATCTGCTGCCTCCCAGCATCAGATATTTGCTCAAACATTACCCTCTTCTTAAGAAAGCCTTCCCCCAGCCCTGATACTCCAGCCCTAACTCTGTTTTATTTTCTTAACACTCAACCTCACCTGCCAAATTATCTTTTCTCTCTCCACTCACGAGAATGTAGGTTCCTTATGCACCAGGATTTTGCCTTGTTTGCCCGTGTTCCTACCACTGATACGTAACAGGCACATAATAAACACAACTAGAATGAATGAGTCAAGGAATGACAGAGCATAATTCTGTTTTCAGCAGCACAGCAAACCAGGTATCTTAATGACTCTCCTGTTGAAGAAATTTATTTATTTATTTATTATTTTATTTTATTTATTTATTTTTTATTTTTAAGTTTATCTTTTTTTTGAGACAGAGTCTCATTCTGTCACCCAGGCTGGAGTGCAGTGGCATGATCTTGGCTCACTGCAGCAGCCTCTGCCTCCTTGGTTCAAGCGATTCTCCTGCCTCAGCCTCCTGATTAGCTGGGACTTTAGGCGCGCACCACCACGCCTGGCTAATTTGTTTTGTATTTTTAGTAGAGACGGGTTTTCACATTGGCCAGGATGGTCTCAGTCTCCTGACCTCGTGATCCGCCCACCTTGGCCTCCCAAAGTGCTGGGATTATAGACGTTGAGCCACCACACCCGGCCTATTTATTTATTTTTTTTTTTTTGAGATGGAGTCTCGCTCTGTCGCCCCGGCTGGAGTGCAGTGGAGCGATCTCGGCTCACTACAATCTCTGCCTCCCAGGTTCAAGCAATTCTCCTGCCTCAGCCTCCCGAGTAGCTGGGATTACAGGTGTGTGCCACCAGGCCCAGCTAATTTTTGTGTGTTTTTTAGTAGAGACGGGGTTTCTCCATATTGGACAGGCTGGTCTTGAACTCCTGACCTCAAGTGATCCACTGGCCTCGGCCTCCCACAGTGTTGGGATTACAGGCGTGAACCACCATGCCCAGCCCTTAAAGGATATACTTTTAAAAGAAGGAAATTATTTCAGATGGAAAGCCCTGAAGCACAAGAAGGAATGGTAAGCAAATATGCAGATAAATATATTGGATAAATCTAAATAGCATTAGCTGTATAAAAGACAATGGCAAATTTGCAGGATTTAAAAAAATCAGAAAAAAAAAACTGGACAAGTTGAGAGGGCATATGGAGTTAAAATGTTTTCTATCCTTCCATTGTTCAAGAGAAGGGTAAAGATATCACTTAAGATTTTGTTAAGTACACAAAAATATCTAGGATAACCACTAAAGGAGCAGGCTGAGAATTTAATTTCTAAACTAAGAGTGAAAAAAAAATGCAATGGAAAATGGGCATGATGAAATGCAATCAAAACAAAAGAGAGAATAAAAATCTCACCAGAAGAACTACAGCCAATAGAAATTACAGGAATAAAAAATTACATGTCTATGCAAATTGCATTGAAGGGCCTAGCCACTGCAATAAGAAAAATAACTAAAAGGTGTAACAATCAGAAAAGAAGAAACGTAACAGCATTATTAGCATTAACAAACCATTAAATGGTTTTAGCATGGCTGATGAACAGAGGAAGGGAATTTATCTAGAATGAGAGCTCTCAGCTACAATTTGAGAGCTATATATTTAAATGCAGTGCTAAGGGTTTCATTTAACACGAGGAAAAAACCATTGTCTTCATTTTATAGCTGAAGAAACTAAAACTCCGAGAGGTTAAGTAATGTGTTCAAAGCCACCTGGCAAGTAACCGGCTAGTTTTGAAATTAAGACAATCTGTCCCCAAGGCTTAACCACTATACTATGATGTCTCGACACACGATAAACATATATGTGCCCTCTCAGAGGCAAGCGTGATTGTGTGATTACAAGGACACTGGAGGAAAAAAGAGACGAAATTCACCTAAGGAAAGCCAGGGAAGAGAGGAATGCTTAGAGCAAGAATGGTATTCTGGAGAGAATAAGAACAGCAAGTACAAAGGTTAAAAGGCATGAGGCTGGGTGCGGTGGCTCATGCCTGTAATCCTAGCACTTTGGGAGGCTGAGGCAGGCAGATCACTTGAGGTCAGGAGTTCGAAACCAGCCTAGCCAACATAGTGAAACCCTGTCTCTACCAAAAAACTCAAAAAATTAGCCAGGCATGGTGACATGTGCCTATAGTCCCAGCTACTTGGGAGGCTGAGGCAAGAGAATCACTTGAACCTGGGAGGCGGAGGTTGCAGTGAGCCGAGATCATGCCACTGCACTCCAGCCTAGGCGACTGGGCAAGACCCTATCTTGAAAGCAAAAAGCACATAAAGGAAGGTTCCCTTGGACAGAGAGTGGAGAACAGCCCATTGAGCCTCTAGTCTTGGGCTGTCCAGTATGGCAGCCACCAGCTATTAACACTTAAAAAGTAGTTAGTCCAAGTGAGAAACTGACTTTTTTTTTTGAGACAGGGTGTCCCTCTGTCATTCAGGCTGAGTGCAGTGGCACTATCACAGCTCATTGCAGCCTCAACCTCCTGGGTGTAAGCGATCCTCCCACTTGAGCCTTCTGAAGCTTGGACTACAAGTATGTGCCACTGCACCTGGCTAATTTTTTATTTTTTATAGAGACAGAGGACTCACTATGTTGTCCAGACTGGTCTCAATGACTTTTTAATTTTAGTCAATTTTAATGTAAACAGTCACGTGGTTAGTGGCTACCACACTGGACATCGCAGTTCTGGAGGTTCAAGTCTGGAGAAAGGGAAATGGTTAGAAGACCAGGAAAGAGGAATATATCCAAGAGGAAAAACAGACAGGACATAGTGATGGATGATGCCAGGGAATGGGGGATGGGGGCAGGGATTCAAAGTCTCAAATTTCGGAGGCATGGTAGGTGATAATGCCACAAAGAGAAAAATAGAATTAAGAACAAACTGGTTTGGATCTGATAAATATGATGTTCCTGAAGCATGTCCACATATAAACGGCACTCCAGCCACAACAAGCTCCTAAGTCTGGCAGATTCTGACCTCCTTGCCTTTGCATATATTGCTCCCGCTGCTTCTCTTGGGTACCTGACAAACCACTCCCTCTAAAACTCATCATCAAACTGGAGTTTCCCCCCAATCTCCTCCATTCTTCATGGCAGAATAAGGTCCCAATAGCTCTTTAAGACTCACCACCCTGCTGCTTAGAAGTCTCTTTACCTTACTGGACTGTGAGGTCCTCAGAGACCAGAACTCAATCCTAACCGTCTATGGATCCCTAGAGTCTAGCACAGTGCCTGATGTGAACTGCGTGGACAAGAGACCAAGAAGGTAAACTGAATGAATGAATGAATGAATGAACAAACAAACGAACGAACGAACGAAAAAACAAATCAACTGATCCAGCCAGCCAGCATCCAGGTGAACTGTCCCTCCAGGCAGTGATCTAACGGATGGCTGGAAATAAGCCCAGAGCTCACTCAGGTGCCTGCATGTCTACCAATAAAAGCTGTCATACCTGGAGATAGCATCAGGGGGAAAAAAAAAAAGGCTGTCAGGTGCTGGGACAAGTACAGTTTACATAGCCTCACATCATGACTTTTCATCATCATGACAACTTCCACCATCCCAAATGCAAACTCTTCAACCTCAGAAGTTCACTGGGTACACCTAAGATTCAATTTAATGTCTTCGAGTTCAATGTGAAGTATGAAAGATTTATCCACCAAAAGTGGTCTTGCCACTTTCCTTCATGGCTTTACAGTCTTGCTTTCTAACATTCTTCCTGCACAGTAATGGTAGGATCTGACTAAGTGAACCTGAGGTGACCGTCCCTATAGATGGGAAAGTAGTAACAAATGTTTCTGTCTTCCAAATCAATAGATACTGGTGATCAGTCTACTACGCCCTGTGCTATTTTTTCTTCATGTGTCAGTTCATAGCAGAGAAGATAGAGAAGTCATTTCATTATCCCCAAAACTGTCATGTGCTTCATTTATTTTGTTAAACTAGCACTACCAATCTATGTTAGGAATTTAAGAGTCAAAGAGAGAGTTCCAAATTGGGAAGTTCAACATTTTGTCCTGTTAATTACATCAACATTTCGTCAAGTAAGCATTTTCCAGCAAAATCATTCTTCCTTGTTCTCCTTCAAGGACTCCACTGTAGAACAAATCCTGATGGGAAACATGACTGAGTATGAAATTCATAGCACCCTTCACATTAACAAAAAGATAATCTAAATGCCATACTATTGTGATGACCACTGGCACACATTTCAAATTAATTCTAACTTCCTATTAGATTCTTTAAGTTTCTCAAAATAAAATATGTACCATGAGCCCACATAAAGATTTATGTCTTATGATTCATATATGACAGAGTCTAATAAGAAAAAACTTAGGCCAGAGCCCCAGGGCTGGAGGAGACGTCAGGTAGACACAACCTGTTACTTGGTGTCAAGGCAGAACTGTGACATGCAAATGCATTTAGACCACCTAGTGAAATGTGACTATAGTGCCTTCAAAAGTAATCACTATGGAAAAGCAAACAATGTCATTCATTCATTCATTCATTCAAATCAATAACCCTTGTCTAATTACTATCTCACCATACTGACACACACATACATGCTCCTCTTTACCAAACTCTAAGGGCCTAGGATACTGGGGGATGTTTCTTCATAGTCTTAGAGAAGGTTCTGAGGCCACTTCTAGAATCTGGTCTGGAGAGCTGCCCTGGACAGAGGTGGACATGAAAAAGGCCCAAACACCAACAACACAAACTCTGAGATTTCTAAGCCAACAGCAGCCCCAGGGGGCTGCCGTTTAACCCCTTCTCAGTTTGGAGCAATGCCAGCACTGCAACAGTCTGGTATCTCTTTCTCATCTTTAAATCTCACAAGCACAGCAACATTTATACTAATGTGGGCAGAAGCTAGAGGCCAGGGAGGGAAGCATATCAAATGTTACTTATAGACTGCAGAAGATAAGAAGGTCAATTATACACTAAGAAAAGGAAGCCGATTGGAATATTCTATACTTAATATATAGTGAAAATATAATAGTAAGTATAAAATGCTAATTGGGGAACAAAGGTAACTAAATTATGGGAGAAGCGAACTAAGCCACTGCGGCTCCTGAGCCTGCAGCCCCACTTCTTCTCTAGGATAATGTCGCCTGGCTCACCAAATGAAAGCAGCACCTCTTTAAGGAGACTGACAGAAAGTGCCCACTAGAACACCAGGAGGGAAGACAGTTCTGACACACTGCATAAAAATATTGCTTATGTATTCCACTTCATTCTTCAGTTTCATAAATTAAAATAGTTGTAAAGTTATTAAATTCAACTTCAAATACAATTAACATATTTATGAAAGTGCCAGTTTTCCTGAAGTGCTTTTGTTTCAGAAATTCTTCAAGGCATATATTCTAAATACTTTAGAAAATACAAATAAGCGCTATCCTGTGAACCTCCCCAAGGTATTTTAAGGTGACTTTGGACAGACAGTGATGGCCACACCGAGGTCTAGGAACAGTCACCCACTGTTCTCAGCATACCTGTTTATAACTAACTCCCACACCTGAATTTCAGAGGATTCAAACTGAATTTTTAGCAGAGACCATTTTTAATGATTCTGGAAAATTGTGAGTAAATTCCATTTTTATAAATTAAATCGTTTTCTCCTTTATTTATATTATGTTGTATTATTTTAAAGTCTTTCATATTCCAATACCTCTTCAGTTCAGCTCAAGACAGAGTCAGTATTCCCTTATAGGGGCTGAAAGGCAGAAATGCTAAAGGTTTGGGGTTTCCCTTTCACACCCTGAAGAATCCTGTTTCAAAGAAGAATTGAGTGCTTGTCTGTTTCTTGTATTAGTTGTGATTGTATTAAGTTTGGCATTCTCATCTGGCAAGCAATCCCATCGTGAGGCCCGCTTCTATCAGTAACAATTGACTGTCTCTCCCCTGAGCTAGGGGAGAGGCAAGCAAAACTTTATAATATAGAGAATTGTTGATTTTTAAGAAATGTCAATGCTCTTTGTACTTGAGGTAATTCACTATACATCTATGCAAATGGTACTTACAGCAAAAAAGTTATTGAATAAAAGCTGAGTGTTTGAAAGTGAAACAAATATGAACGGACTCATCAGTAGAAAAAAAAAACACTCTTAGCTAAGTGATATTCATCTTAAGATAATAATGCGAAGAAAGCAGATTACTGTAATGGAAAGAGTAATGAGTCTCATGACCAGGGTTTCAGACTCACTCGGCTACCAACGAGACGAGTGACCTTGGACAAGTCGTCACCTCTGGATCCCAATTCCTTTGGTAAAGTGAGGATCCTGGAATATTAAGTCCAAGAGCCATTACAGCTCTAAATATTGCGTTCCCACCTTCTGCATTATGCCACCAAATGAATAACAGAATTGTGTGGGTGGGCAAACGGGTCTCAAAGGACTAACACTGTTTAAAAAGAAAAAAGGAAGGCGTATTTTTACTTATTGGCATAAATCTCATACCTGTAAAAATGCTTTGGTTTGAAGTTATGAAACCTCTTTGCTGTTTTCATAAATACAGCATTTAAAATTCATGCAGAATTCAGTAGGATGTTTTACTGACAAGAAGGAAGGGATCTGAAGAAAGAGATATTCAGAGCTACAAGAGCAAAGACAAAACTGATGGGCCCGATTAAGGTCGGACAGACATACTATATACCTTGGGGGTTTCTAGAAACCTTTCCTATGCAATCTTAAAAGTATTTGAAACACACACTTCACAGTAGGTAACATCCTAACAAGAAAGCATGTTTTTCTGTGAGGCACAGGCTGCACCAGCACAGTATTTTCTGGAGGACGGAGAGAGGATGCTGCCTTTTTAATGGCAATCAGTAATCCAGTAAGTATAATTCACTGAGTGATGGGTCACTTAAGTATCAGGATTTTAAAAATCTAATTAGAATTACAGCACCACAGCAATAAAGGGGAGCCACTGTTTTTCAAAAATTCCAGAATATGACTTCTAAGAAACAATTGAATACGTACATAAGGCTGCTCAGTTATTAAAACAATAAGACTTTTACATTTTGTTACCCGACAAAAATATAAACAGTGTCTAGTGACAGCCCTCAGAGGGGGACGAGGGCACAGGGTCCAGCTGGGATGAGAAATGAGAAGAACTGAGGGGGAGGATGGGAAGGTGGTCGGGAGGGGTCCTGGAGCGGTGGCAGGTGATCAGAGACTCTGCAGTAAACAGTCATGAAACAGCAATTACAGTCTCCTGGAAAAGATAATTTGCTTTCTCTCTCAAGTCCCACTTATGTGTTTGTAGATTAGATTTGGCTGTAAAGAAAGAAAATGGCAGCATGTAATAAACATTAACGCCTTAAAGTAGGGGGAAAAGCCCTCTATTAACAGCTAACTCAAGTAACTCATTTAGCTACTCGGTAAGAAAAAAATACAGCTAAAGTATGTCAGCTACTCTAAAACATGCCAAAGCAAAGGTGCAAAGTTATTGCATCTATTTTGAAAGGAAACACGCACGTATGTTCTAAAACCAGAGTCAAAAATTACAAAACACAATCCTTCATTTGTTTAAGCCGAAATCTATTCTCCAAGAAAATCAAACACTTACTCTGACATCTTCTCCAAGCACCCTGGATAAAGCATTCTGCATTGCTCAGTTAATAATGAACTAATTGAACATTGCCGTCACGGAGCTCTAAAACTAGGTGCGCTTGCATAGAAGGTGAGAGTTCTGTTAAATCAGTCACTCAGTGAGAAAGAAAACAATTCCGTGAAAATTCTACTTTCAAAGAGGTCTACCTTAAAGGAAATGCAAGCCTTCCACAGCACACTCACATTTTTCTGTCAGATGCCGGCTAACTCTGCAGCTCAGCTTCCGTACCTGCCTCTTTCCAACCCTGCTGGCATGTCTGACCTCTGTCTCTCAGCTGAATTCTCCCAGCACATTTCATCATTTCCTGTTGGCTGCCGAGATAAGGTCATTCCCATACACTGCTGCATTCGCTGTACAGTCCCAGGTTCCCAGACTGCACGCTCCTGCCTGCTGTGGCCATCACAGAAGAGCTCTCTTTTCAGAAAGTGGCCAAAGAGAAATTTCAGTATTTCCACGGAAAATCAGGGAGAAGAGGTCTGAGAACAAAATTCATACTACCCCCTCCCCAACACACAAAAAATCAAATTATATACAAACTAACTTACACCATACATGAGTCTTCTAATATCTTCTTGTATTTGGGATCCTCCTGCTTACAAGAGAAAAAAGACAGCATGCTCTCTCTGCATCTGAGGGGCGTCACAGCAGTCAGTGGGACAGGGACTTGCTTGCACAGGATAATCTTACACTGTCCCTACATGTGGAAGTCAACTTCCTTCTGTGACTACACACAACAAGGCAATGCCTGTCAGCAGATGAACAGGAAGCCTCATGCAGGAGACAGGACTGGGGACACAGAGTCCCCTGGAGACAGGCAGGTGACCCCATGGTCTCTCAGCAGCACGACTGTCTCCTAAGAACTAGGACACTCAAATACGCAACTGTGATTACATGGAAATAAAAACACCTCGCTTCTTCAATTTTTACAAAGAATTTAAAGTGAAGAAAAAAACAATAAAGCTTTAGGTGAGGAGAGAAAGATTTTAAAATGCTTGTGCCTACAAGAATACATGCTGTACGATTCCCTTTGGATCCAGCACAAGAAAAGGCGTAACTAATCTACACCCTTCGAAGCCGGGACAGGGAAGAGAAAGAGGAGGCAGGCAGGAAGGGGTGCCAGGAGGGTTTTGGAGCTGTGCTGTGGCTCTTAAACTGGCTATGGGTGTGCTGGGCTTGTGAAAATTCACTGATATGTACACTTGAGATCTGTGCACTTTAGGTATGCATATTATTCAATAACACTTTTTAAAATCTCATACAGTAACAAAAAATACAGACACTACAGGAAAGAGTAGATATGGAAACCAACCTGCAAAAACAGACAGGAAACAAATATTTCAAGGGATCAATTTCTGCTAGGTGCCCTCCTAGAAGATACACATGCACACTCCCCCATTCCCCTTGGCAAGCCAGGATCTAAGTGGTAATGGCCAGGGCAGGGCCAGTTCAGGGCGGTTCCTCCTTTCAACATGGCCCAAGCGGGTGTATGTAGGGATGGGAAAATACGTAATTGGCAAAAGAACATACTGCAAGGGGAAACTGTGCTAAGTGGATATACACTATTTACCAGTGTTCTTGCTACTCATATTCATTCAAAAATGTTCAGTTAAAAACAGCCATCTAGTCTTACCTTATAACACAAAACGAAGTAGGTTAAAAATCTCTTTTGAAAATCTTGTGTTTAGACAAACACTGCGGAAGGCCGCAGGGTCCTCTGCCTAGGAAAACCAGAGACCTTTGTTCACTTGTTTATCTGTTGACCTTCCCTCCACTATTGTCCTATGACCCTGCCAAATCCCCCTCTGTGAGAAACACCCAAGAATGATCAATTAAAAAAAAAAAAAAAAAAAAATCTTGTGTTTAGAAATTCCTTAGGCTGGGCCGGTGGCTCACACTTGTAGTCCCAGCACTTTGGTAGGCTGAGGCAAATGGATTGCTTGAAGCCAGGAGTTTGAGACCAGCCTAGCCAATATGGTGAAACCTCATCTCTACTAAAAAATACAAAAATTGGCCAGGTGTAGTGGCACATGCCTGTAATCCCAGCTACTCAGGAGGCTGAGGCACGAGAATCGCTTGACCCCAGGGAGCAGAGGTTGCAGTGAGCTGAGATCACGTCACTGCACTCTAGCCTGGGTGACAGAGCGAGATCCTGTCTCAAAAAAAAGAGAAAAAGAAATTCCTTAATGGAAAAATACCAATAAAAGCAAAGACCACATAACATGAGACTCTATTACTTGACATATGATAATAATTTACACTACTTGAGAAATTATTTACCACCCCTCCCCACACAGCCCGTCACCAAAAAAGCAGAGAAGTCAACACATATTTCACTATATCCTGTGGTTGGCTTAGTTAAATCCACGGCACCATCACAGAAGATGAACACCAGAGTGCCACGCCCGCCACAGCTGGCAAGCACTCACTCCACTAAGACAGAAGCAGCGCCTGAGTTCTGGGGAAGCAAGTTTGAGACCAGCCTGGCCAACATGGTGAAACCCCGTCTGTACTAAAAAATACAAAAATTGTCTACCTGTTCCCTCCCCCAAGCCAGGATACCAGAAAACTTTTTTTTTTTTTGTCCCAGAGCCCCACTTAGGGCTGCTGGTTATGGGAGGGCTTTTTGTTTAAAAGACTCACTCTCTTCTTTTAAATCCAACAAACACAGGCTGCTCAATAAACATTTACACAGCACTTACTTTATTTCTGGCTAATCATGAAAATAGCTCTTTGGGGGTAAGCATTGTTATCTTCATTTCCCAGATGAGAGGTTATGCAACTTGCTAAGTGTCCCACAGCTGGCGCAAGGAGAGCCAGCCTGTAAGCCAGGCTACACAACACTGCCCCTCCAACTTGACTTCCCTCAACGGTCAGAACTGGGTCTTGGATAGTTTCTGCTTAATAAAAAGCTGAACTTGGAAAAGGAGAAGAGGCCCAAGGCAGAACTGGGGGTGGGGGGTGGAGGGTGAGGTCTGGGGTAGGGGGTGAGGGCCACATCCAGCACAGGGCAAGGGAAGGCCAGCCCAGCAGCCATTCACAGTCCAAGTCACAGGGCCACCCTCACATGCCCTCAGGCAAAGTGCAGCCTGGATGCCTGGGGTGGGTGGAGGCATTGTGAGTCCTGCCCCAAGTACCCAGTCACAAGAGCAAGGTGTGGGCGGGGGGGGGGGGCGGCGCAGAAAAAGAAAACTGACTTTGAACTGAATAGTAGTGGGACTAGGAAGTCATCAGACCAGATCTCCAGTGTGGCTAAAGACACCCTCTCCCTGCCCATGTCAGCCACATCTCACTAGTGGATTCCAGGCAGGAAACGTGGACTATGGCAGAAGACAAGACTGACTCAGGCAGCTCTCCTGTCCCTGGCAGTGATACAGCTGCCCGACCACTCTTTAGGTGATGCTGGGACAGAAACCGCTCAGGGAAGCTCACCTGCTGGCCTCTGGCATGCAGAGCCTAAGCTGGAATTCCAGTTCTGATCTGGCTTCTGTCATCAAAGACTGGAAACCATTGGACATTCATTCAACAAACATTAATGCCAGGCACAGTGCTTAGGGTCCCACAGTCAAAGCAGCCAAGGTCCCTGCCCCGGCCCACAATGTACAGGCTGAGCAGAAGTGCAAATAAATAAAATGAGGGACATCTCGTGCTGGTTCTCCAAGAGTGTGCAACCAGCCTACTCAAACCATGTGGATTAAGGCGGAAGAAAATTCAGAAACAGAGAGTCCACCAAGTTAACTAAAGACCAGCAGCGCCACCCATCAGCTCAGGCCCCCTGCAGAGGCGGCAAACAACACGCAGGGCAGCACTTCCCAGGGGGATTCTTTCGCCCAGCGGTCAGTGCAGCTCCAGCAGGCCAGTTCATCAGCCTAGCAGGACTCAAAGACAGGACAGGATCCAGCAAGGCTGCTGCTTCTATCTGAGGCCTTTTGTTATATGATTGTCGCATGGTAAAAATGACTGCTTGTACCACGTTTACCACGCTCATTTGAAACACTATAAGATAGGTACTCCTAGCCCTGTTTTACAGGGAAGGAAACCACCACAGAACATAAGCAATCTGCCCAAGGTCACCCAGCTAATAAGGGCAGAATGGGATTCAGTCAGGTCCACTTGATACAAAGTCCCTCCTCTCTCTACCACACCCGTGCCTCCCATGGAACGGGACCTGCTATGAAAATCAAGATATTTGGCAAAAGGTCGTGTCATTTGGAAACAATAAAATTTCTACAATTTTTTTTTCACCACTTCTCTACTGGTCTGTCATCGCTCTAATACTATACTGCCTTAAAAAAAAAACAGCTTTATTGAGATATAATTCACGTCACACAGTTCACCCATTTAAAGGGCACAATTCAATGTTATTTAGTATATTCACAGGTGTGTGCAACCATCACCACCGTCAAGGGTAGGACATTTTCATTACCTCAAAGAGAAACCCTGTACCCTTTAGCTATCATCCCTCTATTCCCAACCCTTTCCCCAGCCCGCGGCAGTCATTGTGTTTTACAAGGTGATTCTTGGCTGGGCACGGTGGCCCATGCCTGTAATCCCAGTACTTTGTGGGGCCAAGGTGCGCAGATCACTTGAGGTCAGGAGTTGGAGACCAGCCTGGCCAACATAGTGAAACCCTGTCTCCACTAAAAGTACAAAAATTAGCTGGGCATGGTGGCACATGCCTGTAATCTCAGCTACTCGAGAGGCTGAGGCAGGAGAATTGCTTGAACCCAGGAGGTGGAGGTTGCAGTGAGCCAAGATCGTGCCATTACACTCCAGCCTGGGCGACAGAGCGAGACTCCGTCTGGAAAAAAAAAAAAAAAAGGTGATTCTTAAAGTGATCATGGGCACACAATAATTGGGTTGTTAATAGAATACCACAGATTGCAGTTCTGCGCTCGCCTCAGTCTTTCCCTAGCAGGCTAAAACTAACAGCTGAGCCAGGACAGGGCAAGGGCAAGGCAGGAGACCTGAGTGGCAGGTGGCTGGCATAGGAGGTGGGGTACCTGGCAGCCTGGCACAGGGCAGGCTCTACAGTTCCTATGTACCTGGGTCCCTGAACTTTGCATGCCCCAAACACAGAGCCAGGTGATCCATCGGCAGCAGGGACGACAAAGTTAGACAAAAGACCAAAAGGAGCTGCTCTGACCACAAGCCTTTTCCATTAGGAATTTGTAACTCCCCATCTCCAGAAAGGCAAACACCGAGATCCTACAGGCTGGCCCAAGCCAGGGGTAACTAGAATAGTGTTGTTCTGAGAAGCCAAACTAGTCAAGGACTAGCAAGACCCATGGCTTGGATAAAAAGAAGATTCCCCCAAATCTGGTTCATTTATTTGCTAGTTCCCTCTGCCTTCCTCATATGCTGCTGAAAGATGGGGAGGGCATGCACACACTCCTGTAGCACCTAGGTTTGTCACACATCTCTATAGAGGACATCAAAACCCAACTGTGTGTGGCATCGGCGCACAGCTGAAAACCACTCGGCAATAAAAAGGAATGAGCTACTGACAGATGTGACATGGATCAATCACAAAAACATCATGCTGAGCAAAGCAGCCAGATGCAAAATAGCACCCACTGTGTGTGTCTATGTGGATGAAATTCGAAACCAAGCAAAACCAATCTACAGTGACAGATTAATGTTTGCCAGGGCCAGGGGGCAGGGTGGGGGACTGACTTCAAAGGGACACAAGGAAATTTTGGAGCAATGGAAATATTCTGTCTTGACTGAGTCATACAGGTGTTTCCACTTGTCAAAGCTCCTAAAAGGATGCATTCAATTGTATGTAAACTAATACCTCAATAAAGAGGAAGAAGGCGGGAGAAGGAGGGGAAAAGAAGGTGAGAAAACAGGAGAAAAGGAAGAAAAGCCCCCAGCAGAAGTCTAGTAACAGAGCTTCCTTCCTACCCAGCGTCTGCATCTGCAATACAGTGGTGACTGACATTAACCAAGAACCACAAAGTGCCTCAGATTCAAAAGATTAAAGTAAGTTCTGTGTCATTTTAGCCCAAGTGTATTTCTTGGGCCTCAATTCTTGGAATAACTGATCCTCTACCAATGACTTTGGTAGAGGATCCAAATGGTCCACTTTCTAACCAGGCTAGCTTGGGTTCTTCCCACTAGCACCGCGATGAAAGGCATGACAATGACAGTTCAGTGACCTGGAAGTGGCAGGTGTCAGCAATAGGTTTCAATGGCTGCTAGACAGTAAACCAGTAAAATTTAATATGATAATTTAAGGCATTAGTTTCTCTCTTCAAATAAGTAAATCTTAAATTCTAGAAACCTACTATAATCATAAATAAATAAATAATCATAAATAAATAAATAATCATAAATAAATTATGTGAAAATGTGATAGGTCAATCTTTTTCATATTTTTCTTTTGGCTGAGAACAGGGTAGTGGCTATTTGCAAATCCTACTTGTTAGCCTTTCATATGTTTCATGAACCAAGATGTAAATAGAGCCATCTTGGGCTGGGCGCGGTGGCTCACGCCTGTAATCCCAGCACTTTGGGAGGCTGAGGCAGGCGGATCACGAGGTCAAGAGATCGAGACCATCTTGGCCAAAATGGTGAAACCCCGTCTCTTTGAAAAATACAAAAATTAGCAGGGTGTGGTGGTGTGCACCTGTAGTCCCAGCTACTTGGGAGGCTGAGGCAGGAGAATTGCTTGAACCTGGGAGGCGGAGGTTGCAATGAGATCGTGCCCCTGCACTCCGGCCTGGCGACAGAGTGAGACTGCATCTAAAAAAAAAAAAAAGCCACTTGTCTTTACTCATCCAACACGTGTACATAAAAAGGAATAAACCAAGCCAAATGTCTAACATTCTCTATCAAAGAAGAAGGTCCCAGGACAAAGCAAAGCTAAGTATCAGTTCTATCTTTGGCAAAGGAGAAAATGTTAAAACCCTTTACATAAGCTTCTTTGCTTCTCTGGCACTTGTCCAAAGATTTTTTTAACAGTGAAGTGAGACTAATTAATGGAGACAGCCCAATTGAGGAAAAACTTGAAAGCACCAATGTGATAGAGGGAACATGTTAATTTTTTTCTTATGCATTTTATAGAATCCCCAAATGCCACAGAAGAAGCAACATCTAGATTTCTAGCACATCTCAGTTAAGATGTCACGCAGCCTCATGGTCCTGGCAACAGCTTGAGCCTTCTCTGGGCAACACATTAAAAATGGAAGATGATCCAAGAAAGATCTGAAATTCAAAAGGAATGTGAGCAAGGTTCCTGGTGAGTCTGTGGGTATTTTCAGGAATAAAGTCAGGGGCATGTTATGTTAATGTTTTATCGGTGTGATTTTTTTCCCCTCATTTATTTATAGTTTAATTCAGCCATCTGACAAATATTTTTCAGCACTGTCCAGGCTCTGGAAGTTACAAACTAAATAATTAACTTAAACGAACTTGTCCGTAAGCAGCTTCAAGTCTGGTAGGGTAGACGGACGAGTACCCAGAGGACCATGCAGGGTGACAGGTGCTCCGTAACAGAAACTAGGCAGGGAATGTGGAAGGTGGGGCTGGGACAGGGGGCCAGGAAGAGATGTGAGAAGATGCCCAGGAAGGCTGGACTCTGAGCTGAATCACGTAAACAAGGGCCGTGTCCTGCTGCACCTCTGGCTGTGGCCTCCCCTCTTTGGCTGGGGCTTCCTCCTCCCTCAAAGGAGAGCAGGGACCAGATAGAAGATCCCAATGTTACTGATCAGGGCTTTTTCCTGAGGGCAGGAAAGGCAGCCAACACAAGGCCGCCAACTTTATTTTGCCCCCTAAGGACATTTAAAAAAGAAAAAGACCTATCACTCCCATTATTTCATTTCAGACATTTTAACACCAAAAGACAGGTAATACAACCCCAGAATCAATGAAAAGCCTTAAACTAAAGATCTTTAACTTTGTAACAGAATAATTATACTGTTGGTGTTTCATCGTCTAGCATGATAGTGAAACTGGCATTGTGAGTTGGTGTTTAGAAACCCTGCAAATGGGCCGGGCGCGGTGGCTCACGCCTGTAATCCCAGCACTTTGGGAGGCCGAGGCGGGCGGATCACGAGGTCAGGAGATCAAGACCATCCTGGCTAACATGGTGAAACCCCATCTCTACTAAAAATACAAAAAATTAGCCGGGCGTGGGGGTGGGCGCCTGTAGTCCCAGCTACTTGGGAGGCTGAGGCAGGAGAATGGCATGAACCCGGGAGGCAGAGTTTGCAGTGAGCCGAGATCACGCCACTGCACTCCAGCCTGGGCCGCAGAGCGAGACTCCATCTCAAAAATAAAAAGAAATCCTGCAAATGGATGATCAAATTAGGTACTTTACTGAGTGCATATTTTATGACATTTTATACACGCTCCTCAGATCTTTATATACAATGATATACTCAGGATATACACTCATGATAACCTTGCAAGGTGGGAGTACTGCGCCAGTTTTCAGATGAGAAAACTACAGGTTTGGGGAAGTGGCTTGCCCACAGTTGCACAGCAATGGTAGCGCGGGAAGCTGCAACCCTGGCTCCCTCTGACGGCCGAGTGTGTCCTGGACCTCCACAAACAGCGTGACACTGCAAGACAGCTGTGGGTGATTGCAACGGCTCCTCCCAGAACTAAACATCTGTTTCACTGTTGTTGTTTTGGGGAAGGCAAAGGAAGAGTTCAAGTCTGCCACCTTTTTTTTCATAGTCCCTAATAACCAACTCAAACCCTTAGTGAAACCAGGAAGGGTATAAATATGTAAGAAAATGAAATCGTGGTGCCAAGCATTCCAGGACGCTACCATTATCTTCTCCCTTCTCCTTCTATATTTTGGATCAGTGCTGGGGAAAAAGAAAATGGGCAAGATGGGAAAAGAAATAGGTAGCATTTGAACCCTTATTCGAGATTTTCAATACTTGGCATGTGTCATGGTTAGTTTTAGAGTTTTAGGTGTCAACTTGACTGGAACACCTAGGAAAACCTAGAAACCTAGTAAAGCCTGATTTTGGGGTGTGTCCATGGGGCTGTTTCCAGAAGAGACTAGCACATTAGTGTGAGTGGATGAGGTGGGGAAGAGCCACCATCAATAAGGGCAGGCACCATCCAATCTGCCGGGGGCCTAAAAAGAACAAAAACAGGAAAAGGGCAAATGTGTCTATCAATGTCCTGGAGCTGGGATGCACTCACCTCCTGCCTTGGGCCACGGAACCCCAAGCTTGCCAGCCTTTGGACTCCTGGACTTATACCAGCGGCCCCTGGGTTCTTAGGCCTTCAGCACTGGACTGAGAGCTACATGACTGGCTTCTCTAGTTCTGGGGCCCTCAAATGTGGACTGAGCCCCACTACCGGCATCCCAGAGTCTCCAGCTTGCAGGCAGCCTGTCATAGAATTTCTCAGACTCTACAACCATGTGAGCCAATTCCCCTAATAAACTGCTTCTTATCTATCTATCTCCATCCATCCATCCATCCATCCATCCACCCTATTGGCTCTGACTAATACAGCCACGTAGTAAGTATACATCTAAAGCCTCTAGGCAAGTGTTACATAAATACAACTTAAAAGACATGGTCACTAACTTCTAAAAGCTTCCATTCTCAGTTTGAAATATGGAGATAATTATAAATAGAATACCAACTATAAACTTAAAAGTGTATCTCATTTTACAAATTTCTTTTCAACAAATGATCATGACATTACATGGTAAACTTTCTTTGTATTCTATAAATGTATTCCAACTAATCTGTAACCTCATTTCAATTGGAATTCTTTTCTGATGGCACACCAGTGATTTTTCTCCCTGAAAGATGTTAAGGAATATTATTATTACCCTGTTATTAGCAGTACCACTTAACACTGGTTTAGATGCAAGTTTTTCTTCTTATGGAGGCCTTGGGGAAGAACCAAATACATTTAAGATGAGTAATCCTCCCACCTCAATAACTCTGGCAACGATGACCATTGTAACACCGGCATTATCCAAGCAATATGGGATTGATTATCGCTGTAGATTGGAAATAGTTTTCCCTTCTCCTACGTAGTTTCTACGTAGAAAGTAGAAACTAGGTCAGGCACAGTGGTTCATGCCTGTAATTCCAGCACTCTGAGAGGCCGAGGCATGATGATCGCTCGAGTCCACGTGTTCGAGACCAGCCTGGGCAACATGGAAAGAACCCATCTCTACGAAAAATTTTTAAGCTGGGCTTGATAGTGCACAGCTGTGGTCCCAGCTACTCAGGAGGGTGAGGCTGCAATGAATCATGATCCCACCACTGCACTCTAGCCTGAGTGACAGGGTGAGATGCTGGCCCTTAAAAAAAAAAAGAAAAAGAAAAAAAAAAGAAAAGAAACTAGAATGACCCCCCGTTTCAACAAGTATCAACACATGGCCAATCCTGTTTCACCTGTGATGTGAAAACTGTAGAATGCTCACAAAATCACAGAACCCAAATGCATCTCCACCTGACCTGGCATGCCCCCTTCGACACTGGCACCACAGCCCAAGTCCTCACGCTGGGAAGAGGCACAAAGCAAGCAGAGCAGGGTCCTGGCCTGAAGGGATCAGCAATCTTTTGGGGAACCAGTGCCACCTGAATCACATTTAAAAAGGAGAACGACTAAAGTAAACCCGCAAGGTTAACATCACGGTGGTGAGTCATGGCAGTATCAGGTGCCTCCTGAGATGATGTAATGAAAAGGGCACTTCACCTCTGTGGGACTCTCCCCAAATTCATCCACCAATCTAATACTAGGAAAAATCATCAAGGACCTGGATGGGATCCTAGAACTGCAAGAAAACATCAGTGGGAAAACTGGTGAAATCCAAAGAAAGTCCATAGTTTATTCAGTAATACTGCATCAATGTTAATTTCTTAATTTCAAAAAATAAGCTATGGTTACATAAAATGTTAACATTAGAGAAAGTCAGGCAAAAGGTAGACAGGAACTCTATTAGTTTTGCAACTTTTCTGCACATATAGAATTCTTGTAAAATAAAAAGTTTATTATAGAAATAATAATACAAAAGTTTAACGAACATTCATTACGTCCTTTGCAAAAAGGAGTCAGGGACAATGTGGTCTTCTTTTTAAAATTTAGCCAAGGAAGATGAAGCCTAAAGAAATCAAATGATTTGTTAAAATCTTTAAGTAAGCAAGCACCTGGAAAGGAAGGCAGGGCCCCGTGTAAGCTGATGTCACCCGAGGTGCTCCATGGCAGTGCACCACCAGATATGGAGTGCTTGTGGTAACAAGCAGTGCTGACCATGAGATGGGAGGCTGGCCTGCAGCGCCTCCCCACGCCACCCACAGCTGTGCGGTCAGACAGCGACCCAGGCTCCCTGCACCACCCTGCCCTGCCCCCAGCCTCTCCACAGCCCTCTCTGCTACAGCCTACCCCTGCACCACCTCTCACCACTCAGCAGTTTCTGAGGGTCTGCAGGCTAACGCTAAGCTAAAAACAATGAAAGGAGGTGGCATTACAAACCACCATGATAAAAATATTCTCCCTCTCCCTCTCCCTCCACGGTCTCCCTCTGATGCCGAGCCAAAGCTGGACTGTACTGCCGCCATCTCGGCTCACTGCAGCCTCCCTGCCTGATTCTCCTGCCTCAGCCTGCCAAGCGCCTGGGATTGCAGGCGCGCGCCGCCACGCCTGACTGGTTTTTGTATTTTTTGGTGGAGACGGGGTTTCGCCGTGTTGGCCGGGCTGGTCTCCAGCTCCCGACCGCAAGTGATCTGCCCGCCTCAGCCTCCCGAGGTGCCAGGACTGCAGACGGAGTCTCGCTCACTCAGTGCTCTATGTTGCCCAGGCTGGAGTGCAGTGGCGTGATCTCGGCTCGCTACAACCCCCACCTCCCAGCCGCCTGCCTTGGCCTCCCAAAGTGCCAAGAGTGCAGCCTCTGCCCGGCC
Organism: Homo sapiens; assembly: GCF_000001405.40. Lineage (NCBI taxonomy): Eukaryota > Metazoa > Chordata > Mammalia > Primates > Hominidae > Homo > Homo sapiens. The sequence goes on from NC_000022.11 coordinate 42,971,502, forward strand.
GCCACCCCATCTGGGAAGTGAGGAGCGTCTCTGCCTGGCAGCCCATCGTCTGGGATGTGAGGAGCCCCTCTGCCCGGCCACCCAGTCTGGGAAGTGAGGAGTGTCTCTGCCCAACCGCCACCATGTCTGGGAAGTGAGGAGCGTCTCTGCCCGGCCGCCCATCGTCTGAGAAGTGAGGAGCCCCTCCGCCGGGCAGCCGCCCTGTCTGGGAAGTGAGGAGCATCTCTGTCCGGCAGCCGCCCCGTCCGGGAGGTGGGGGGTAGCCCCCGCCCGGCCAGCCGCCCCATCCGGGAGGGAGGTGGGGGGCAGCCCCCGCCCGGCCAGCAGCCCCGTCCGGGAGGGAGGTGGGGGGCAGCCCCCGCCCAGCCAGCAGCCCCGTTCGGGAGGTGGGGGGCAGCCTCCACCCGGCCGCCGCCCCGTCTGGAAGGTGGGGGGTGCCTCTGCCCGGCCGCCCCGTCTGGGAGGTGAGGAGCCCCTCTGCCCGGCCGCCACCCCGTCTGGGAGGTGTACCCAGCAGCTCATTGAGAACGGGCCATGATGACAATGGCGGTTTTGTCCAATGGGGGGGGGAAATGTGGGGAAAAGAAAGAGAAGTCGGATTGTTACTGTGTCTGTGTGGAAAGAAGTAGACATAGGAGACTCCATTTTGTTCTGTGCTAGGAAAGATTCTTCTGCCTTGGGACGCTGTTGATCTATGGCCTTGCCCCCAATCCCGTGCTCTCTGAAACATGTGCTGTGTCCACTCAGGGTTAAATGGATTAAGGGCGGTGCACGATGTGCTTTGTTAAACAGATGCTTGAAGGCAGCATGCTCTTTAAGAGTCATCACCACTCCCTAAGCTCCAGTACCCAGGGACATAAACATTGCGGAAGGCCGCAGGGTCCTCTGCCTAGGAAAACCAGAGACCCTTGTTCACATGTTTATCTGCTGACCTTCCCTCCACTATTGTCCTATGACCCTGCCAAATCCCCCTCTCCGAGAAACACCCAAGAATCATCAATAAATACTAAATATATATATATATATTTTAAACCACCACCATTTTAGAAAAATAGTTCCTTATACATCTAGGAAAAAAAGATATGATCAGAACTGTGCACTAGGAAACCTGAAGTTGTAGCTCTGCACCAGGATGGGCCCAAAGTGGCCAAAGGAGAATTCCACCTCTGGGCTTTCCGACCTGGACACCACGCCAGGAAGCACACAGTCTACTGCCTCACTCTAAGAAAAGTCAGCCATGCTTTTACTTTTTTTTTTCTTATGTTGCCCAGGCTGGACTTCAACTCCTGGGCTGAAGCCATGTTCCCGCCTCAGCCTCCTGTGTACCTGGATTACAGATGCATGCCACTGCACCCAGCTCAACCGTGCTTTTAAATGGCTTTGAATGTGCTTCTTTATAACAGCATCTTCCTACATTTCAGACAGGACAAAATTCTAGAAATAAAAGCACACACCTGGATTTTCTAATTACGAACAGCATGTGAGGATTGTTCATTGTGAACCAGATTTATCATGACTTTTATGGCTGGGGTCAATACGGAAGTAAGAACTTTGACAGGGCAGTCATATATCTGCCCACATACTGCAGCAAACACATCTGGGACATGACCGTCAGCTCAAACAAGAATATCAGTGAAATATTCCTATCCAAAATGCCCTGCAACAAATTACTGAAAGATAAGGAGAGAAAGCGAGAAGTGGTGTTTTTAAAACAATCTTTAAAAAGAAAAAAGGCAGAAGACACTGTAAAAAGTATTTCCAGAACAGAAGGTTCAAAATGACAGACTCTGTCACAGGTCTCGCCCACAAGGCAATCCCTCCTGAGCAACTTCATTATTTCCACTTGCTCAGGAATTGACGAGCAAAACACAGGTCAAAACTTCCCCAGTGCTCTGAATTATGCAACTGGGAATCTGTACCACACTGTTTTTTGTCAACAAGGCTCCACTGAAGCTTCCTCCTTTAACTTCTCATTGAGAAAAAGACTCCAGATGCTTTCCCCATTCATTTTTCAAATGTTTCATTCAATCAGAAACTCTACATATACACTTTGGAATTTACACATTTGATAGCTGCAAAGCTCGCAAGCAAGCTCTCCAGCCAACATGCCTGCCTGTCTCCGCCCAGGTGTGGCAAGCCCCACACTTGTGCCACGCATGGCCCCCTGCCCCATAAACCCAGACTGGGTTGGCTGCTCTCCCCTGTAACTGACACAGAAACAGGCCTGCTACACTCCAGTCTTAGGCCTGGGCCCATCCTCCACTCCCGTCTCCATCATCCCTCATTGCCCTTGTTTCCTTGGCACCTAGCACAGGGCTTAGGGTCTAGGGGCACAGCATATGCTAAAAGAGGAAAAGAGAAAAGCCCACGAGAGAAATGGCAGCCTCATCCTTGGGGACACATAGCTCAGGTGTGGATGCCAAGTACCAAGAACAGAAGCGTAGCCTTAACTTGTAGCCTGATACAAATGCCAGCTCACAGCCCACGAGCTGTGGAATCGCAATTCAATTTACCTCAGAGCCTCTGTTTCCTCACCTGTATAAAAAGGACCAGCATCTCCCACCTCACATGTTACCAAGTGGATTACATGAGATAAAGCACCTGGCCTGGTGCCTGGCAGCTCACTGTTGTCCTGAAATCTATGTAAGTCTCCTTCCCTCCGTATCCCTATGTCGACTCTGCTTCCGGTTATCCGCCATCCAGTGTACCATGACTAGGTACAATGAAAAACAAAAGCCAGTTCCACCAAGGGCCTGGCGCCTGAACCGTCTACCCAAGGCCCTTTCCCATGAGCACCAAATAGCAGGTGCCATACCCAGAGCATTCACCTGTTAATTAGATATGATCTACTTCTAAACAGTAGGGAAGGATGCCAGCTCCCCTTTGCCAATGATTTCCATTCCCTCAATGCTCCTGGTCTAAGCCACGCCTAACTCCTCCCCACTGGAGAACAGTAGAGGAGAGTGCTCTTCCTGGTGAGTAGGGGCAGAAGTACCACATACAGGCTTCTTGTCTGGGTAGAGGCCATCCATTAAAAGATCATAAGCACCAGCCATGGCCAACATGGTGAAACCCTGCCTCTATTAAAAATACAAAAATTAGCTGGGCATGGTGGTGTGTGCCTGTAATCCCAGCTACTCGGGTGGCTGAGGCACCGTAACTGCTTAAACCTGGGAGGTGGAGGTTGCAGTGAGTTGAGATTGTGCCACTGCACTCCAGCCTGGGCAACACAGTGAGATCTTGTCTCAAAAAAAAAAAAAAAAAGAAAAGAAAAGAGAAGAAGGAGGAGGAGGAGGAGGAGAGGAAGAAAAGAGAAAGAAGAAGAAGAAGAGGAGGAGGAGGACGAGGAGAAGGAACAACAACAACAACATAAGCTTTGGGAATTAGTCCTCTTTTCCTTTCCTCTCCACCCCAGATTGATGCAAGGCAGCCAGCTGGAGCAAGGATATCTCCTCTGCAGACCCAGCTGACCTTTGAGTAGACTGTGCCAGGGCCTAGAATGTGGGTCAGGGAGAGTCAGCAAGCCCACCTGCCTGCACTGCAGATGAGCTCTAGTCCACCACTTCTACTACATTGTAACAAGGGTGGCATTTTGGTCTTGTTCTGACACTCACATCACCCTCTCTAAGGTCCAATCTGTATCAGTTTAACCTACTGACTCCCTTAAATCCAATGCCAATACTCAGTTATTAGCATGGAGGACGCTCCCACCATATTCACCACAAGTTTTAGTACTTTCACAGGATACAGAAATCCATTAGAGAAAGTCCCCATTCTTGTGGTTTACTCATAAGACAAATAAAACTAAAATATATCTATTAAAAGGTAGAAAGGGGGCTGGGCATGGTGGCTCATGCCTATAATCCCAGCACTTTGGGAGGCTGAGGCAGGAGAATTGCTCGAGCTCAGGAGTTCGGGCAAGACCCTGTCTCTACAAAAATAAAAAATATATACAAATATATATATATATAGCATGCACACAATGAAAAATTATCCAGCTGTAAAAATGAATGAAAAATGAAATTTGCAGATTACTTATGAGTCTCTTTTTATAAAATTCATAAACAAAAATAGAATATATTATTTACAGATACATGTGTATAAGTATTCTTTTTTTTTTCCCTTTTTCTAACCAGAGCCTTGTCAATATTCTTTAAAAAAAAAAAAAAGGTGCAGGAATGATGAACTATTCTAGAATGCCTTTACCCCCTGGCAGGGAGCACCCACTAGGAGTTTCCCTGTGGTGCACAGTGGTTTAGTTCTCCAGCTAGGAGGTTGGCTCCCAGGCATTTATTAGTATGTTCCAAAACTTATATATCCATCACCTCTTATTTTACATGAATTTTAAGTTATCTAAGAAAACATTTCTAAACTAGGGGTAGATGAGAGAAATGCTGTAAGACAGACACAAGAAAAAGACCCACTGATAGATGTTCAACAAATACCAGGCCAAAAGCGGGCCAATGCTGAGACACCCTGGCCCCCATGGCTTTCCAGGCCAGTCTGGAAGGTCCAATCTGAGCTGAAACCCTACAGAGTTCACAGCATTGAGGCCTTCCCCTCCTCTGTCATTTGGAGAACATTCATCATCTTATTTTGCATGTAGGAGAGGAAAAGGGGGCTAGAAACTATGCCTGTGCTAATTCTTCACCTAGAGGGAGTACAGAACCTTGGCACCTGCCAGGCTAACCCACCCACTGCTGACCCTCCTCACTCTAAATGTCACAGGTAGTTCTCAAAATGCCTCCAGGCTTATCACTTTAACGATCCTCTTCCCAGCCCAACCCCAGGAATTCCTGGTTCCTATAGAGCAAGGCCAGAAGCTACACCCTGGTGAAAGGCCACTGGCAAGCGCAGGCCTTAATGCACACTTGCTCCAGACAGAGCAGAGGCAACACTGGCCAGCCCAGGCGACAGACTGGCTCCTCTCCCCAAAAGCCTGACAAGTCCACAGGATCATCGATTTGAGGCAACAGTGCTAAATGCAGGCCTCCCTGTCATGCCTGGAGTGTCACAGAATGGCCACTTAACAGGCTTGCTGCTGGGTGTTGGCACCTATTTCTGTATTTATGTAGATTCTATGACTGTTTTAGATTTTCATTAAGATTAGCGGCAGAATTGTATTACATGCCTTTTAAATATGCTAACATAACCACATGGGTTTTCTTTTTAATGTGATACAGTGAATTGTGATGTATAACATTAACTGAGCACTTATTATGCACCAAACCCAGGTCTAATCATTTCACAGATACCCCATTTCGTCCTTCCATCAACCCTATACAGCAGTATTGTAATTGTCCTGCCAATTTTATAGATGAGGAGACTGAAGCTCAGGGAGATTAACTAATTTGGCTAACGTCAGAGAATTAGTAAATGGCAGGACTGGGGCAAACCATGCTCTAATCCCTGAGCTAGAAGTTTCTCCAGCCGACACAATACCTCATGTTATGCTATCCTTGCATTGCTAGAGTAAACCTTGTTTGGTCATGAAAAATTAATCTTTTAATACACTACTGTATTCAAATTATTATTTGATTTAGAAACCTACTTTAAAATGTTGCAAATATATAAACATATATATGCATTAATAGACACATATTACATTCATATGAGACTGATCTGTAATTTCATTTAGACCATGGATGGAAGAAGAAACAAACATTTTTACAAAGAAATAGAAATAGAAATTTGCAAAAAATCTTAAAATTTTATGGCAAAACACACCTAAACAATGTAAAAACAAACTATAGAAACAATAGCTGGGGACACATTTGCAATGCACACAACAAATAATTTATAGCCCTAATATACAAAGAGTTCCTAAAAATTCAAAACAATCCAGTAGACGGAAAAACGGAGAAAGGATATAGGTATGGAATTCACAGAAGAAAAAATAAAGAAAAAAGGTGAAATGGTGCTCAACCTCACCAGTACTCAGGAAAACACAAATTAAAATAAAAGTGCTCCATAGAAACAGAATGGTGAAAAACAGTTTTTAGTTAAAAATAATTAAGACTATAATACCATTTTCAGCCATGAGATTAGCAAAAACAATACAACATCTAGCACTGGTGGAAATGCCCAGTAAAAGGGGTTGATATGGTTAGGCTCTGTGTCCTCACCCAAATCTCACGGCAAATTGTAATCCCTGTGTGGCAGGGGAGGGACCTGATGGGAGGTGATTAGATCATGGAGGCGAATTTCCCCCTTGCTATTCTCATGACAGTAAGTGTGTTCTCGGAGATCTGAAGCATGTGGCACTTCCCCCCTCACGCTCTCTGTCTCTCTCCTGCTCTGCCATGGTAAGACACGCTTGCTTCCCCTTCCACCATGATTGTAGTTTCCTGAGGCCTCCTAGCCATGCTTCCTGCTAAGCCTGTGAAACTGAGTCAATTAAACCTCTTTTCTTCATAAATCACCCAGTCTCAGGTGGTTCTTTATAGCAATGTGAGAACGAACTAATACAGGGGTACTCATACATTGCTAGTACAAGTCTGAAAAAGACTAGAGCAATTCAGTGTGACATAACTACTAAAAACTACTGACCTGGAGAGAGATCCAGAGTACAACACTCACTCACTGGCTCATTCATTCATTCATCCCACAATGAGCACCTACAACCTGCCATGCACTTTTTTCAATTATTTGTTATCAAAAGAGCTTAAATTCAGGGGTGTGTAAGCTCAAGAGAAGTGAAAATAACAAGTTGCTGAATAATGCCTACAATAGGTCCCTCTCTTTTTTTAAAACATGCATTTGTGAGGGTCAGGAGAAAGTTGTGGAAGGCTCTGCTACAACAAGCAGTCAACAGTTGATTACCACCTAGCTGTTTATACATCTTCTGTTTCTCTTGGCATGAGCACACAGTAACAAATCCAATAACCTATAACGCTGAGAAATCTAACAGAAAATATCAGTCTTCGTTTACACGCAACACAAGAAGAGCACAGGGCCCACACTGCGTTGGTGGCAGAGCCAAAAGTCCACCCTCATCCTGCTGAATGACTGCAAAGCTGGGCTCTTCACTCCCAGATGACAGTGTTTCTCCTCACTCACATTCACCCACCCACACAGAGCAGAAAGCAGGAAGGTTTCCATGCCCGCACTGACGGTAAGTTGTGGGAGGCAGTCGGGCAACATTTCTGGAGTTCCTATGAATGATGTGCTATGCTTTTTGGCCTGCAGACGTTCAGGTGGACTCAGATCTGAGACATATTCAAAAGTATGTTTGCATCCTGGCCCTTGGTTTATGTATTTCCTCTTCCCTAGGGCATTCTACAAAGCATTTCCAAAAAGGCTGGTCCCTGCCCCTTAACTGGTTCCTCCTCCTGGCAACAGCATTCCAGCTGGGCTTTGGGAAATCTCCCTACTCCTTCAAAACAATTGTTTCTCCCCTGGCTTCTTTTCAGGTTTCCTATGAGTCTATGAGGTCACTCCACCCAATGTCTTCCAAGGAACTGATTATGCTCAGGTTAGCTGGTGACCTCAGAACTCTGACCAGTATAATGAACTGTGACAGAAAGGAATGCATCCTGTTGACCAATCCCCCTGCAGTATAGCACAGACAACAGGGGTACTACAAAGCTCCATTGCCTAGGAGAAACAGCCAGCACCTGTACTGGCTGAGACATAGAAACTTCAAAAACAATTCAAATGTCCATACCACTGCCCAAGGCCCAATGATGGTTCATCTGTTTGTGTTTTTATTTATAGATTTACAGAAATATAGAGATATTTGGCCAGGTGCGGTGGCTCATGCCTGCAATCTCAGCACTTTGGGAGGCAGAGGCAGGTGGATCACCTAAGATCGGGAGTTTGAGACCAGCCTGGTCAACATGGTGAAACCCCATCTCTACTAAAAATACAAAAATTAGCCAAGCGTGGTAGCAGGCGTCTGTAATCCCAGCTACTCCAAAGGCTGAGGCATGGGAATCACTTGAACATGGGAGGTGGAGGTTGCAGTGAGCCGAGATCATGCCACTGCACTCCAGCCTAGGCAACAAAGCAAGACTCCCTCTCAAAAAAAAAAAAAAAAAAAAAGGAAAGAAAAGAAAAAAGAAATATACAGATATTTAACTAAATATAAAAACAGTCAAAAAACAAAGAAAGAAGTAATTGGCCCAGGTCAGATACCTCCTTCTCTATGAATTCTCTGGCTCCTTCCTCCTGGGAGTATATGCTCTGTCTTAAGGCACCTGCCGCTTTCTAACTTGGGTTATAGTTATTTAAACACAGACATTGCCTCCTCTAGGCTGGGAGATTCCTGAGGACAAAATCCCTAAGTTATTAATGGATTAACGGATCCCCCTTGCATCCTGACCACATGCTACAGACTGATATGTTGCCCAGTGTGCTGAAACACGTTTGTCTGCAAACCCCTGCTTATGCCAACTGTACTTGTCATTGTAAATTTACATACACACATTTATTACACATACGCACATACATACAATACACATATAGTATAAATACACATACATGCTTAACTATATAAACCTATGAAATAAGCGCATCATTGTTTCCATTAAAACTATTAAAACAAGTTTCTATTAAAACAAGTTGTTAATTAAAAAAAAAAGAAAGAAAGAAACAATCTGCTAACTAAATTATAGGTATGGCAAAACAAGTATAGAGTATTGGGTGAAAATTTGTAAAATCTATAATTCCACATTCATGTTGCTTCTAAGTTCTCAATTGTCATTAAGAAAATTAATTAAATTAATTAATGGCCACACACAGTAGCTCATGCCTATAATCCCAGCACTTTGAGAGGCCAAGGCATGAGGACTGCTTGAGCCCAAGAGTTCAAGAACAGCCTGAACAACATGGCAGGACCTTGTCTCTACTAAAAATCAAAAACACTAGCTTGTCATGGTCATTAGGAGGTCAAGGCTGCATGATCACACCACGACACTCCAGCCTGGGCGACAGAGAGAGACCCTCCCTCAAAAAAACAAACAACCCTCTCCCTCTCCCTCTCCCCCTCCCCCTCCCCCTCTCCCTCTCCCTCCACGGTCTCCCTCTGATGCCGAGCCAAAGCTGGACGGTACTGCTGCCATCTCGGCTCACTGCAACCTCCCTGCCTGATTCTCCTGCCTCAGCCTGCCGAGTGCCTGCGATTGCAGGCGCGCGCCGCCACGCCTGACTGGTTTTCGTTTTTTTTTGGTGGAGACGGGGTTTCGCTGTGTTGGCCGGGCTGGTCTCCAGCTCCTAACCGCGAGTGATCCGCCAGCCTCGGCCTCCCGAGGTGCCGGGATTGCAGATGGAGTCTCGTTCACTCAGTGCTCAATGGTGCCCAGGCTGGAGTGCAGTGGCGTGATCTCGGCTCGCTACAACCACCTCCCAGCCGCCTGCCTTGGCCTCCCAAAGAGCCGAGATTGCAGCCTCTGCCCGGCCGCCACCCCGTCTGGGAAGTGAGGAGCGTCTCTGCTTGGCCACCCATCGTCTGGGATATGAGGAGCCCCTCTGCCTGGCTGCCCAGTCTGGAAAGTGAGGAGCGTCTCTGCCCGGCCGCCATCCCATCTAGGAAGCGAGGAGCGCCTCTTCCCCGCCGCCATCCCATCTAGGAAGTGAGGAACGTCTCTGCCCGGCCGCCCATCGTCTGAGATGTGGGGAGCACCTCTGCCCCACCGCCCTGTCTGGGATGTGAGGAGCGCCTCTGCTGGGCCGCAACCCTGTCTGGGAGGTGAGGAGCGTCTCTGCCCGGCCGCTCCGTCTGAGAAGTGAGGAAACCCTCTGCCTGGCAACCGCCCCGTCTGAGAAGTGAGGAGCCCCTCCGTCCGGCAACCACCCCGTCTGGGAAGTGAGGAGCGTCTCCGCCCGGCAGCCACCCCGTCCGGGAGGGAGGTGGGGGGGGTCAGCCCCCCGCCCGACCAGCCGCCCCGTCCGGGAGGTGAGGGGCGCCTCTGCCCGGCCGCCCCTACTGGGAAGTGAGGAGCCCCTCTGCCCGGCCAGCCGCCCCGTCCGGGAGGGAGGCGGCGGGGGGGGTCGGCCAGCCGCCCCGTCCGGGAGGGAGGTGGGGGGGTCAGCCCCCCGCCCGGCCGGCCGCCCCGTCCGGGAGGTGAGGGGCGCCTCTGCCCGGCTGCCCCTACTGGGAAGTGAGGACCCCTCTGCCCGGCCAGCCGCCCCGTCCGGGAGGGAGGTGGGGGGGTCAGCCCCCCGCCCGGCCAGCCGCCCCGTCCGGGAGGTGAGGGGCTCCTCTGCCCGGCCGCCCCTACTGGGAAGTGAGGAGCCCCTCTGCCCGGCCAGTCGCCCCGTCCAGGAGGGAGGTGGGTGGGTCAGCCCCCCGCCCGGCCAGCCGCCCAGTCCGGGAGGGAGGTGGGGGGTCAGCCCCCCGCCCGGCCAGCCGCCCCGTCCGGGAGGGAGGTGGGGGGATCAGCCCCCCGCCTGGCCAGCCGCCCCGTCCGGGAGGTGAGGGGCGCCTCTGCCCGGCCGCCCCTACTGGGAAGTGAGGAGCCCCTCTGCCCGGCCAGCCGCCCCGTCCGGGAGGGAGGTGGGGGGGTCAGCCCCCCTTCCGGCCGGCCGCCCCGTCCGGGAGGTGAGGGGCGCCTCTGCCCGGCCGCCCCTACTGGGAAGTGAGGACCCCTCTGCCCGGCCAGCCGCCCCGTCCGGGAGGGAGGTGGGGGGACAGCCCCCCGCCCGGCCAGCCGCCCTATCCAGGAGGTGAGGGGCGCCTCTGCCCGGCCGCCCCTACTGGGAAGTGAGGAGCCCCTCTGCCTGGCCAGCCGCCCCGTCCGGGAGGGTGGTGGGGGGGTCAGCCCCCCGCCCGGCCAGCCGCCCCATCCGGGAGGTGAGGGGCGCTTCTGCCCGGCCGCCCCTACTGGGAAGTGAGGAGCCCCTCTGCCCGGCCACGACCCCGTCTGGGAGGTGTGCCCAGCGGCTCATTGGGGATGGGCCATGATGACAATGGCGGTTTTGTGGAATAGAAAGGCGGGAAGGGTGGGGAAAAAATTGAGAAATCGGATGGTTGCCGGGTCTGTGTGGATAGAAGTAGACATGGGAGACTTTTCATTTTGTTCTGTACTAAGAAAAATTCTTCTGCCTTGGGATCTGTTGATCTGTGACCTTATCCCCAACCCTGTGCTCTCTGAAACATGTGCTGTGTCACTCAGGGTTAAATGGATTAAGGGCGGTGCAAGATGTGCTTTGTTAAACAGATGCTTGAAGGCAGCATGCTCGTTAAGAGTCATCACCACTCCCTAATCTTAAGTACCCAGGGACACAAACACTGCGGAAGGCTGCAGGGTCCTCTGCCTAGGAAAACCAGAGACCTTTGTTCACTTGTTTATCTGCTGACCTTCCCTCCACTATTGTCCTATGACCCTGCCAAATCCCCCTCTGCGAGAAACACCAAAGAATGATCAATAAAAAAAAAAAAAAAAAAAAACAACAACAAGGCTAGGAGCAGTGGCTCACACCTGTAATCCCAGCACTTGGGAGACTTAGGCAGGCAGATCACTTGAGGTCACGAGTTCAAGACCAGCGTGGCCAACATGGTGAAACCCCATCTCTACTAAAAATACAAAAATTAGGCCGGGCACAGTGGCTTACAACTGTAATTCCAGCACTTTGGGAAGCTGAGGCGGGTGGATTACCTGAAGTCACGAGTTCGAGACCAGCCTGGCCAACATGGTAAAACCCCGTCTCTACTGAAAATACAAAAATTAGCCGGCTGTGGTGACGCACACCTGTAGTCTCAGCTACTCAGGAGGCTGAGGCAAGAGAACTGCTCAAATCCAGGAGGTGGAGGCTGCAGTGAGTCGACAATGTGCCACTGCACTCCAGCCCAGGCAACAGAGCGAGACTCCATCTCAAAAAAAAAAAAAAAAAAAAGAAACTGGCTGGGTGTGGTGGCACACACTTCTAATCCCAGCTACTTGGGAGGCTGAGGCAGGAGGATCACTTGAACCCAGAAGGCGGAGGTTGCAGTGAGCCGAGATTGTGCCACTGCACTCCAGCCTGGACAACAGAGTGAGACTCCATCTCAAAAAAAAAAAAAAAAAAACAGATATTGAAGGCAATAAATTATTGGTGTGGCATATGCAAAAAAAATAACCAGCAGTTCTAATTAGTAAACTGAAAGTAAAAGAAAAGGACAATAAAAGATTGACATATGAGAATATATCAATTTTTTGTTTTTAAGAGATAGGGTCTTGCTATGTTGCCCAGGCTGGTCTTGAACTCCTGGGCTTAAGCCATCCTCCCACCTCAGCCTCCTGAGTAGCTGGGACTATAGGAGCACACCATCATGCCTATCATTTTTTTTACATCCCTAAACTATGTATTGTTTTTTAAGAATCTTTGTCTTTGTTCTTCAGTTAACTGACTGGTGGTCAGTCTCCATCTCATGAGACAGATACTTAATGACCACTGATCAGATGTCATGTCAGGTCAGGAAATAAACTAGTGTAAACCTGGGCTGAAGAAGCTACGCACAGGCTATGGGCACAGCACTTAGCACTTTTTTTTTTTTTTTTTTTTTTTTGAGACAGGGTCTGGCTCTGTCACCAAGGCTGGAGTGCAATGATGAAATCTTGGCTCACTGCAGCCTCAACCTCCTGGGCTCAAGCAATCCTCCCACTTCAGCCTCCTGAGCAGCTGGGATCATAGGTGTGCACCACCACATCTGGCTAATTTTTATGTTTTTTTGTAGAGACGGAGTTTCGCCATGTTGCTCAGGCTGGTCTCAAACTCCCAAACTCAAGTAATCTGCCTGTCCCAGCCTCCCACAGTGCTGGGATTACAGGTGTGAGCTACCACCCACTACCTAGCACTTAGCACTTTTTAAATAAAATTCTTCCTGCCCTCAATGAAAAGAAACAACTATATAATTTGTTTAAAGACCAGGAAAAGTTAATAATGAGTACAGAATTCAGAATTCTCAATTTCCCACCCGGAAGAAATGCTCTAGGCCCTCGGCCTCCCTGAAGCTTCCCTGATGTTGATATGTGAACCTAGTAAAACACTGGTCCCATCTTGCATCTCCCCAGACTGGATCTGGAGATGAGGTGAAAACCCACATGGCCAGGAGAAAAGCAGGACTGTGATCTGCACTGCCCTGACCCAGGCCAGCGGGTTGACAACACCTGCTGCAAAGGTTCCTGGTGCAAAAACTACTCCCTTTAATCGGTGCTTCAGGGCATCTGGGAATAAGGAGCAGGGTAAACCAGAAGGAAAGGAAAATGAAATTTCTCTTACCTCACCTGTGCCAAAAGGCTGCAGAGCTGTGGCCTTTGACACTTACAAGATTATCTTAACACAAGGAGGGCAGAAAACATCCCCAAGACTAAGAGCACAGGTCTTCCTTCTCAGCACATCAACACCCAGCTTAGTAACAATGAGACCCCAAAAGAGGCAACTACTTACCTGAAAAAAGCAGCTGGGGAGAGGTTGGAAAACAAAAGTAGGCCCCACCCCTAGTTTTTCTTATTCTAAACTAAACCCTAGAGATGGATATATGTGGATTTGCTTGTTCTGTTTGGCAACCAAAGGTCAGGAAAGCTGGCTGCTTTCTATAAAAAATGAAATCAGTAAGTGTGTATGGGCTGGGTGTGGTGGCTCACGCCTGTAATCTCAGCACTTTGGGAGGCCAAGGTGAGAGGATCACTTGAGGTCAGGGGTTCAAGACCAGCCTGGCCAACATGCGAAACCCCATCTCTGCTAAAAATACAAAACTCAGCCAGGAGTGGCGGCACATGCCTGTAATCCCAGCTACTTGGGGGCTGAGGCAGAAGAACTGCTTAAACCCAGGAGGCAGAGGTTGCAGTGAGCCGAGATCTCATCACCGCACTCCAGCACTCCAGCTTTGGCGACAGAGCGAGACTCCATCAGCTGTGCACCTCTCTGGATGGGGTGCTCACCCCAGAGACTGGCTGTCTCCCACAAGCCATTCCTGATGGGCTCCACGTTCTGCCCACAAGGGCAGCAGATGGGCACACTCCAAGGCTCCGTTGTGGCCCCCCACTGGCCTCACTTCTCTCCACATGCAGGCCCAGGTCTAGGTCCAGGAGTGTCACCTTTACAGCACCTAGGTGCAACTGAAGACACTGCCTCCAGCCCTCGCTCGGCCAACCCCTGAGAAGGACCCACCTGGTTTTGAAACATTTGCAAAACATAAAGATAACAGGACAAAGAACAGCCCCTCCAACAGACACACACACAGACACATTCACATGTCATCCAGCTCCAGCTGGTTTTTAACCTTCTGTCTGCCTCTTCACCACATTATATTCAGAGGGAGGGCTAAGGTCTGAAAATGTCCTGGAAATCTGATAAGTCTCCCAGACGCCTAACCCCTCCCCATGCAGGAATCACTGAGCAAAACCCAGGTTCTCCACAGTCTCATCTCCAACTGAAGTGATTCTCCACCCTCCCATGCCCACCCTGCCCACCCCTTGCTGACTGCAGGTCTGATGTCCATTACAGGGCCACTATAGAGCCACCGGCCACTTGGCTTCACCCCACACCCCCAACACAAAGAAACATCGAGGTCTTCTTGATTGGGCCAATGCCCCAGGTCAGGAGGCTCACGCTTGACTTTCCAAACAACGATCCCCTTGCTCTGTAGTTTTAGCCAAGCACCCTCAAGGTGATTTCCCTTTCCCCAGAATTAACACAGAAACAGTAAGCATTAGGCAAGGGAAAAACAAGAAAAGGAAGACCAGGAACTATGCTAGGAGATTTAAAAGAGGTAAATGATCACTAACAAAAGAGAACTTGACCAACAGAAAAGGAAAAGCAATTCAAGCTAAGCAAAACCGTGCCACTGCGTCAGCCACGACGCTGGGCTGCAGTGTGGTCAGCGAGTCTGGTAAGCACCCTGGCTGTTTGGAAAAGCGCAGCGGCCCCCAAAGAAAACACTCGTGAGTATCAATCAAGGGCAGCATTCATCCGGCCAAACGAAATCAAACGCCTAAAAGAAATGACCTTGGTTCCCCTCTCCCTCCACAACCCCTTCCCAGCATGGCAACCAGCAGACAGGCTCGATCTCACCACCCGCCACTTCAGGGGCTCATTCCTCCACAGTTCACGGAGGCCTTTTGGGGCCCTGCACGCTGCTGAGTGCACATGCATGACAGTGACACTCTAATGGGGGGTGAAGATACACACTAAAATCCACATGGGAACACAATGACTTCAGACACAGCAGAGGGCTACTTCAGGGCAGAGAGCAACATCAGTGACCACTGAGAGGGGGCTTTTGTGCTATGACCTGAAGACAAAGAACATTCCAGGAAGTGGGAACCCCACGTGCAAAGACCCTAAGAAGGGGCAGCAGCTACTGCATCAACACTTGTCTCTCTAGATCTAATCTCTATCCTTTTCTACCCATTCTAAAAAAACCTTCCCGAAACCTAGATGTGGTCTCACCTTTCTCTTCTGCTTAAAAGCCTTTGATAGCCACTGCCTATATAATAAAGCCCCTAAGATCCCCTTCTTGAGTAAAGTTTATTGGATGTAAATCACACATACCTACACGCACACATACATAGATACTCCATTCCCACTGACGCCTTCCCTAACTAACACCCCTCAGACAGCCTGTAGAGTCCACTCCACCCACCCTTGATGTGTAGTCAATGAGAAGACATTTTTGATGACTTGCTGGGGGGTGTGTCTGAATCTATACACAAAACACCAAGACTGACCTGGGTTCAAACCCTGACTCTGTCACTTACCACCCATGTGTCCCTGAACAAATATTTTAACTATCTCTCTGAGCCTCCATTTCATTTATGTGTAAAAAAGTGATAACAGCACTAACCTTGGGTACCCCAACACTGATCATCACTGTTATTATATGGGCTGCTTAGCTTCCCACAGATAAAAATTTCATCTCCAGCCCCTAGATAAGATGACACCCCTACACGCAGGTGGCTCTGCCCGAGGGACCTCACTGGCCACCCAGCATGTGGTTTGAGACACCCCACCCTGAGTCCAGGAGCAACACACACACACACACACACACACACACACACACACACACACACCCATGGCACCATGTTCAGAAGACGGGCACATTCATTCTTTTTTTTTTTTTTTTTTGAGACAGGAGTCTCACTCTGTCACCCAGGCTGGAGTGCAGTGGTGCAATCTCGGCTCACTGCAACCTCCGCCTCCCGGGTTCAAGCGATTCTCCTGCCTCAGCGTCCCAAGTAGCTGGGACTACAGGTGCGCACCACCACACCCGGCTAATTTTTTGTATTTTTAGTAGAGACAGGGTTTAATCACTGTGTTAGCCAGGATGGTCTCAATCTCCTGACCTCATCATCTACCCACCTCCGCCTCCCAAAGTGCTCGGATTACAGGCATGAGCCATAAAACCTCCAGAACACATTTTAAAATGCCTGTTCCAGGCTGGACGTAGTGGTTTATGTCTGTAATCCCAGCACTTTGGGAGGCTGAGGCGGGCAGATCACTTGAGGTCAGGAGTTCAAGACCAGCCTGGCCAACATGGTGAAACCCCGTCTCTACTAAAGATACAAAAATTAGCCAGGTGTGATGGCACATCCCTGTAGTCCCAGCTACTTGGGAGGCTGAGGTGAATCACTTGAACTCGGGAGGTGGAGGTTGCTGTGAGCCGAGATCGCACCACTGCACCCCAGCCTGGGCAACATAACGAGACTGTGGCTCAAAAACAAAATAAATAAATACATAAATGCCTGTTCCAGAGAACACAAAAGCAAAACCATTTAGAAAATGTAGGTTTGTCCCAGGCACCAAAGACAAGGAGAAGATAGTCTCTGAACACTTTTCATTCACATTCACTGCTAGGACCCTCACAGTTACAAAGCCCACGAGGACACAGACAGCTGTGGGATGTGTGAGTGAGGGGTGGGGGGCACGTCATGGCCAGAGCAGGAGAGGACCACAACCAAATAGAGCTTGAACTCATCTTCATCAAGGTACAACTCAACCTTCTACTTCCCAAGATTAGTTAATCCTGCGTCCTAGTAATTAAAGAAAAAAATACATTATGCAATGAACTGAAAATCTGGTTCAAATTCAGCAACCTGTAGAAGTCCAGGCTTAGGGTCCACTGGCCAAAAGTATAACTGCTCCTAACTACAGCAGCTCGGGAAGAAAATAATGTAGCCACAGGTATGAAGATTTCAGTGAAATGTAGCAAAACATTTCTAAATAGCTCTCTGTACCAAATGCAGTTCAGTTAACATTGCTCTCCAAACTTCCTTCTCTTTCAAGAAGGGATACCAAACTTGATCCAATCTAATTCATGTTGGCCCCAGCCCACACATTCCAAAGAAACATTTTCAAAAACTCAAATTATTTTTTTAGCTTGCCATAAAATTTACAATGACATCACATGCATTTGGGAAAAAATATAGAAACTTAAATCCATGATCTGAAAGGTGGTCAAAGAAATTTTTTTTTTTGTTTTTGGGAGTGAGTCTGTCATCCAGACTGGAGTGCAGTGGCGCAATCATGGCTCACTGCAGCCTTGACTTCCTAGGCTCAAGCAACTCTCCCACCTCAGCCTCCTGAATAGCTGGGACCACAGGCACATACCATGACACCTGGCTAGTTTTAAATTTTCTGTAGACACAGGGTCTCACTATGTTGCCCAGGCTGGTCTCAAACTCCTAGGCTCACGAAATCCTCCTGCCTTGACCTCCCAAAGTGCTGGGATTACAGGTATGAGCCACTGCACCTGGTCTAGTTCGTTTCTTAATACAATAGAAAACTCAATTCTCGGCCGGGCGCAGTGGCTCACGCCTATTAACCCAGCACTTTGGGAGGCGAGGTGGGTGGATCACCTGAGGTCAGGAGGTCAAGACCAGCCTGGCCAACATGATGAAACCCCATCTCTACTAAAAATACAAAAAATTAGCTGGGTGTGGTGGTGGATGCCTGTAATCCCAGCTACTAAGGAGGCTGAGGCAGGAGAATCGCTTGAACCTGGGAGGTGGAGGTTGCAGTGAGCCGAGATCACACGATTGCACTCCAGCCTGGGCAATAAGAGTGAAACTCCATCCCCCTCAAAAAAAAAAAAGGCCAGGTGTGGTGGTTCACACCTGTAATCCCAGCACCTTGGGAGGCCGAGGCGGGTGGATCACGAGGTCACGAGTTCAAGACCAGCCTGGCCAACACAGTGAAACCCCGTCTCTACTAAAAATACAAAAAAAATTAGCTGGGCATGGTGGTGGGTGCCTGTAGTCCCAGCTACTTGGGAGGCTGAGGTAGGAGAATCATTTGAACCTGGGAGGCAGAGATTGCAGCAGTGAGCTGAGATCGCGCCACCGCATTCCAGCCTGGGCGACACAGTGAGACTCTGTCTCAAAAAAACAAAACAAGAAAGAAAAAAAAAAGAAAAGAAAACTCATTCTCTTGGAGGGGGAAAAAAAAATATATATATATATATATACACACACACACACATATATGTATATATATGTGTGTATATATAGGTAAGATGTAAGCCAGTTCAAGCATTTAAACAGGTTTAAAAAAAGAAGATATATTTATATATACATATATACACACACATATATATACACACATATGTATATATATGTATATATATATATATACACACACATATGTGTGTATATATATGTGTGTGTATATATGTAAGATGTAAGCCAGTTCAAGCATTTAAACAGGTTTAAAAAATGAATGATTTTTTTAAAAAGAATGATTTTTAAACACAGCTAATTTCTGCAGTCAGTCAACGTGACTTTCCACATGAGGGCAGCCCTGGGCACTTGCAATCACAGACGGCCACAAACCAACTGGCTTTGGGTAAGAAGGGATACTCCTCCCAAAGAATGAATCAGTCTTAGGACTGCAGATCCTCATGTCACTCATGCCTGCATTGTTCATCCCACAGAGCCTGCTTGCCTATGATGTGCCATTTCAGAGCTAAGAACTGCACACTACAATACAAAATGCAGTCCCCTGCCCTCCGCCTACCCAGCTCCTAGCCCCACAGAAGACAAACAGGTCGGTCATACCATACATGAGGAGTATGGGGACGGGGGTGGACCATCCACTCTGCAGGCCCAGGGGCAAAACACCTGGAGGGAGGGGAAGGTGAAATTAGAGCCAAGTTTTGAAGGATGAGTTCAGCAGGCAAAGACGGGAAGAATGGCATTTGCAGTAGACAAGATTTGCATGGGAGAAATGCAAGAAGTTCAGGAGTGTGGCAAGAGATGAGACTCAACGGGTAAGCAGGGGTCAGACCACAAGTCTGGATTTTATTGTGATAACAACAGAGAACCACTCAAGAATTTTAATCTCAGACAGTCCGACCCCTCCCCGTTGCCAATAAGAACATGAAGATGTGGAAGAGGGCCATGGAAACCACTCTATTTGGCTCAAGAGCTAATGAAAAATGCTAAACCATATCTGTCCTTCAATGTTCAATAACAAAAAGCACAGCCCAAAGACTTCTTCCAGATGGTCACCTTCTCTGTGCCTCAGTTTCCTCATCTGTAAAATGGACAGCAGCCACCTCACAACGCTGTTGTGAGGACTCAACGGGTTCTATACACAAAGTGCTTACAGCAGAAGAAAGCTCCATCACTTTTAGGTGCTGGTGGAACTCCTAGTGCTAGGACTAGTAGTACCAGCAGTTTATGAGTCAGAACACACTGCCCCCAGATCAAAAAGCAGATGGAGACTTTACCACCTCCTAGGAAGCTGCTGTACAATGGTATAGACTTGGAGACTGCTCAGAGCCACTTTGTGACTGAAGGGAAAAGAATGAACTTGTGTTAACCCCTCCCACCCCCATCCACCCCAGTCATAAAGCTGGTCAAGGACAAGCAGTGGCTCAGAGCAGAGCCCAGTTCCCTGGGTCTCAGCTGGCTGCAGGTCTCAAGGCTGTCAGCCCTCGCAGAATGGGGAACAGCCCCTCCCACCTTTCTCAGCCTGAGCCCCACCCCACCCATCCAGGCACAGAAGGCTTCTTCTCCCTCCACCTCTCTGTCCTGGCAAGCCTCTAGTCACCTCTGGAAATGAGACACTGCCCAGAACCCACCAACCAGAAGCCTCTGTATGGCCCAGAGAAGAAGGAGAGAGACTGTGCGGGAATCCAGCGGGCATCGCCCAGTCCCTTTCCCAGCCCTATCCAATGATAGAGCTCCTGCTGTCAGGAGCTGGGAACTCCCAGGTGCGATAAAGAGAAAGCCATGCCATACGAAGCTGAGAACAGTAAACAGTCATGAAGAGATCCAAGGGCTCAGAACCACAATTCCCAGACCTCTGGGTTTCACCAATTAGAAATTTTCCCCCAAAATTTTGGGGACTTTTCAACAAATGGTACTGAAACAACTGGCTATCCACAGACAAAAAAAAAAAAAAAAAACCTTCAATTCACACACCGCAACACATTTTAAAAGTTCAAAATGGATCACAGGCCTAAATGTAAAACATAAAACTATAACATTTCTAGACGAGACATGAGAAAACATTTGTGACCTGGGATTAGGCAAAGATTTTAGCTGTGACACCAACCAAAAAAGCACAAGCCGTAAAAGAACAAATTGACTTCAGCAAATGTTTAAAACTTCTGTTCTTCAAAAGATACTGTTAAAAGAATGAAAAGACAGCCTCAGACAGGGAGTCAATATTTTCAAATTATGTAATTGATCAAGGAATTGTATCCAAAATATATTTTAAAAATTTCAAAACTAAGTTAATAAAACAACTCAGCTTTTTCAACAGGCAAGTGATTTAAAGAGATAATCACTAGGGAAATGCAAATTAAACCTACCAGAATGGCAAAAATTAAAAAGACTACATGTACCAAGTGTTGGTGAGGATGTGGGGGAACTAGAACCCAGTGCTGGTGATGCGCGCAAAGCACTTTGGAAAAGTTTGGCAGTGTCTGGACATGTTAAACGTACCCTAGCCACCAAACCTAGCCTAACCACCTAAACCACCAAAGCACCTAGCCATTCCACTCTAGGTATTTACCCCAGGGAAGTGGAAGCAGATGTTGGCCAAGTGCAGTGGTTCACACCTGTAATCCCAACACTTTAGAAGACTGAGGCAGGAGGATCATTTGAGCCCAGGAGTTCAAGATCAGTCTTGGCAACATAGGGAGACTCTGTCTCCATTAAATTTTTGATAAAAAGAAAGCAGATGTCCCCACAGAGACTGG
Organism: Homo sapiens; assembly: GCF_000001405.40. Classification (NCBI taxonomy): domain Eukaryota; kingdom Metazoa; phylum Chordata; class Mammalia; order Primates; family Hominidae; genus Homo; species Homo sapiens. The sequence goes on from NC_000022.11 coordinate 42,992,629, forward strand.
CACACAAATGTTAATAGCACCTTATTTTTCTGTAACATCTTTTCACGACATAGCATCTTCATTTGTGATTACACCAAGTGGAAACAGCCCAAACGTCTGTCAATAGGTGAATGAACAAATTGTAGCATGCCCATGCATTGGATTTTTTAAAAAATGAAACTAACTGATAAATGCTACAACAATCTCAAAGTAATTTTACTGAGTGAAAGAAGCCAGACTAAAAATAACACATACTGTAAAAAGAATATATACTGGCCGGAAGTGGTGGCTCACACCTGTAATCCTAGCACTCTGGGAGGCTGAGGCGGGCAGATTGCCCGAGCTCAGGAGTTTGAGACCAGCCTGGGCAACACAGTGAAGCCCCGTCTCTACTAAAAATACAAAAAAATTGGCCGGGCATGGCAGCATGCACTTATAGTCCCAGCTACTCGGGAGCTGGGAGCTGGGAAGCAGGAGAATCACTTCAACCCGGGAGGCGGAGGTTGCAGTGAGTCGAGATTGCACCACTGCACTCCAGCCTAGCAACAGAACAAGACTCCATCTCAAAAAAAAAAAAGGAAGAAGAAGAATACATAGAATACATACTGTATGATTCCATTTACATAAAATTTTAGAAAATGCAAATGATTCTACAGTGGCAAAGAGTAGAGCAGTGGTGGCCTGGAAGAAGTGGGGGCAGAGGGACCCCAAGTGGCAAGAGGAACCCTCAGAGGGTGGACTTCTCACTATCTTCTTTGCAATGATGGCTTAACAGTGTATTCATATGCCAAAACTTATCGCCTGTTCATTATAACTCAATAAAACTGTTTCAAATTTGAAGGCAGAATAACATAAGACTGCTTACTTCTTATTTTGCCAAGTAAGAATATCCTTTAGAAACTACCAGCTCTTTTCATCAACATGGAAAGATAGGACATTTTAAAATGTAAAAGATACAATGGTCAAAATTTTATACAGAAAGAGCCCTTCCCAAGAAAGGGCAGCTGCTAACCTTACACACATGAAAACTGCATTGCCCTTATTTTTTCCACGTTGATGATAACACGATTGCAGACTGTCATCTTCTGAGACTGGCAGGAATGCCCCTGAAGGCCGACCAGAGCCGAAGGACACTCTCCGGGTTCATCTCCACATCCGACCTGGCAGTTCCTCCTGGAAGGGCGGCACCAGGGACAGCCATGTGCGCTGTGGGACCCAGACATCACTTCCCTGCCCTCCCACAAGTCAAGAAATCACAAGAAGAATGTGGCCCAAAAGGTTCCTGAAGCACTCCTATGCAGCTGAAGAAGGGAAGTGCCTTGTTTCCACAAGAGCTGCTCACCCCCAAGCCACAGTATCTGTGGTTTGCTGCTGGGACAAGTTCCATAAGTCAACATTAAAAACTCTTCAGTGGGATTCCTCCAGGCTAAAGTCCAGTGAGCTAAAGCCGAAATCAAATATGAGCTCTCAAGAAGACCACGATGTAGACTGGAATCCTTCTGATATTGCGCCAGAATGCTAACAAAAGCCAAGAGATGTCATCAGCAAAGCCCTAGAGGGAAACTTTGGGTAAAATGACAGTGCAGTGCGCTCCTGCTCAAGTGTGGCTGGTTTGGTGGTAAGAAGGGCTGAGCAGGGGGACAGGCCTGCTCTTAACCCCACCTCCCCATGCAACTGGGGCTCCAGGCATGGTCCCAAGCCCCATGTGTCAGATAGGGAGGGACAACCCCAAACACACCCAGAAAATAAGCATGAACTTTACCATTCAAGAAACCAGGCACACACATGAATCCAGAGCCGTGTCCTGCGCCACAAAGACCCTCGGGCGTGCTTATGGGGACACCCCAGCCTGCACACCCAAGCTCTGTCCACACATACCCTGCCCATGGCCACCATTCAGCCACCTTTGGCTGGAGGCACGTGCACACAGTGCACAGCCTACCCTCAGCAGGACACGCCAGGGAGGCGGCCCATGCAGGCCATGTAAGGGGTCTGGGGGTTACTGGGGCAGGGAATTCCAGGGTCTCTGTCCCTGTGCATGGCCTAAAGGGAGAGGCACAAGTTTTAGGGAGATACCACTTCTTGATACCTCAGATTCCTCACCCTATAGGGACAGTCACACTGGAAAAAGGGCCCCGGGCAGGGGTCCCACATGCCCCACCTACGGGAATGCTGACATATGAAAGGTCTGGGGGCTGCGGGGAGCACCCTAGCATATCCACACCTAGAGCCACAGCCTCGCAGCCAGCGAATGCAGCTGCCTCTTCCCTGGCCCAGAGATCCTTCTCTCTTGTCAGCAATCCCCATCCCACCCCAAGCCCCAGTCTCTGTCTCACTGGACTTTACACCAGGACTCCCGCAACTGTGCCTTGCCCGTTTAGACTGGAAATTCCATTTAGGCTGCCTCCTGGACTCCCTCTCAGGACCCTGCTTCCAACAATCACATAGTCAAAGGGGACAATGTCCCCCCTCCCCGCCTCGGGGCTGCTCCGGGCCCCAACTGCCAGGAAGCAAGACTGGACACTGCAACGTTTAACTCACATTGAGCTGAAGCAGCCGAGTTCTTCCTCTATAAAGTGAGCTGACTGCAGAGAAACTGCACCCTGGCATTCAGTCATGTTTCACAATAACTCCAGAGGAGGAGCTCTGCTTCTGACATGAAGTGTGGCAAGCCTTAGAAGGAAGCAGAGCTACAAAGTTATTCAATGCAAATATTTAAAGAACAGGCTGCTTTTGGTGCCAGGAGGACGGCAGCTTGCAAACCTCCAGTCACAATAAAGGTTCTGCTTGGTTGGGACTGAGTCAGGATGACAAATGTTGTTTCATTGCACCCTCCGTCCACTGAGGAGACAAGGTTTTTAAAGCAACTTTTCAGGAAGTTACTCTGTCCATTGGGCAGGACCTTAAAAGTCACAGCAAGAGAGCAAGTGTCTGGTGTGGAAAAACCAGAGTGTGTATACAACTACTCAGTCAAGAACTAAATGTGCATTTCCAATGTCATTCACGCGGCAATTATTTGGAAATAAGGATGGGATCATGCAATTTTGCCAACAGTAAATATACAGATTTGGTAACTTCAAGTGCCTATAATGTCCACCAGACAGAGGCCTTAAAGCACATTCCACCCATGTTTTCCTCCTTGAGAAAGGCAATTTGATTGTTAAAAGAAACAGTGGCCAGGCACAGTGACCCACACCTGTAATCCCAGCGCTCTGGGAAGCCGGGACAGGAGGATCACTTGAAGCCAGGAGTTCAAGACCAGCCTGGGCAACACAGTGAGACCTGCCCCCTTCCCCAGTCTCCAGAAAAATTTAAAAATTAGCCAGGTATTGGCTGGGCGTGGTGGCTCACGTCTGTAATCCCAGCACTTTGGGAGGCCGAAGTGGGCGGATCACAAGGTCAGGAGATCAAGACCATCCTGGCTAACACGGTGAAACCTCATTTCTACTAAAAATACAAAAAATTAGCTGGGCGTGGTGGTGGGCGCCTGTAGTCCCAGCTACTTGGGAGGCTGAGGTAGGAGAATGGCTTGAACCTGGGAAGCGGAGCTTGCAATGAGCCGAGATTGCACCACTGCACTCCAGGCTGGGCGACAGAGCGAGACTCCGTCTCAAAAAAAAAATAATAAAATTAGCCAGGTATGACACTGGACGCGGTGGCTCACGCCTGTAATCCTAGCACTTTGGGAGGCCAAGATGGGTGGATCACAAGGTCAGGAATTCAAGACCAGCCTGGCCAAGATGCTGAAACCCCATCACTACTAAAAATACAAAAATTAGCTGGGCATGGTGGCACACGCCCGTAATCCCAGCTACTGGGAAGGCTGAGGCAGGAGAATCGCCTGAACCCAGGCAGCAAAGGTTGCAGTGAGCCAAGATCGAGCCACTGCACTCCAGCCTGGGTGACAGAGCAAGACTCTGCCGCAAAAAAAAAAAAAAAAAAAAATTGGCCAGGTATGATGGTACACACTTGTAATTTGGGAGGGTGAGGTGAGAGGATCATTAAGCCCTGGAGTTGGAGGCTGCAGTGGGCCACAATCACACCACTACACTCCAGCCTGGGTGACAGAGTGAGGCCCTGTCTCAATCAGGGGGAAAAAAAGCAGAGAATAGAGACGGTCCAGGCCAAAATGGACACACTGAATTTTTTGTTGGTATTTCTGATGGTGTCCTCAGGCCTGGCTTACTGAGTTCTACAGCCTCAAGCTGCATGCTGATCAAAACCACACATCACATTTCCTAGGTATGAGGCCTAGGCCCAGCTTTCTCACTTGCAAAACAAAGTTGTCATGAGAATAAGTGTAATCACGCAAGGAAAAATAGGACACCTGGCACAAAATGAGCCTCAATAAACATTAAATTTTTTAAAAATAATTCTGATAACGATTGTGAAGTCAGAAACCAGTTCAGGGAAGTGAAGGCTAGAAGGGGGCTGGGAGGTTTGGCAACAAGCAGAGCCCTGGCAGGAGGGGATGAGGCTTGGACCCTCCCGCCCACTGAGGCTGGCCTTCCCTCCACACCAGGCTGGGGGTGTTTAATCACGCTCTGCCTCCTCTGACCAGAATGTAAGATCATGGACTACGTTGTTCCTGTTGTAACTCCAGTGCCTAGAACCGTGCCTAGCACATGGCAGGCGTTCAAAAATTTGCTGAATACATAAATGGGGATTTGGCCAGGCACAGTGGCTCACGCCTGTTATCCCAGGACTTTGGGAGGCAGAGGCGGGCAGATCACAAGGTCAGGAGATTGAGACCATCCTGGCTAACATGGTAAAACCCTGTCTCTACTAAAAATAGAAAAAATTAGCCAGGCGTGGTGGCAGGCGCCTGTAGTCCCAGCTACCTGGGAGGCTGAGGCAGGAGAATCGCTTGAACCCGGGAGGCAGAGGTTGCAGTGAGCTGAGATGGCGCCACTGCACTCCAGCCTGGGCGACAGCGAGACTCCGTCTCAAAAAAAAAAACAATAAATAATAAATAAATAAATAAAAATGAATGGGGATTTATGAATACATTGAATTGCATGCAAAAATGTCTGAGTCCATTTCTAGGGGGAAAGAATCTATTTGCATGAAATTCTCATGTAAATATAAGATCCAAATACAGGTCAACAAAAATTAGCCAGGCATGGTGGCGCATGCCTGTGGTCCCAGCTATTACTTCACTCGGGAGGCAGAGTGAGGCAGGAGAATCATCTGAACCCGTGAGGTGGAGGATGCAGTGAGCTGAGATCACACCACTGCACCCCAGCCTGGGCGACAGGGCAAGACTCTGTCTCAAAAAACAAACAAACAAAAATACAAGTGAAGAAACATTGCTGAGTTCCACCCACGTGTCTCAGAACACCAGTGACCACCGTTAGGTGAGCAAGGCAGTAAAATTACAGAGCAAAATCTAACAGGCCAGAGCTTTCCTGGAAAAGAGGTTTCTCAGGAGCCAGCCCCAAACATATCCAAGGGCAGTTACCAGCCTTTAAGTCTGAGGTTTGGATTTGAGAATTAACTTTGAAACTAGAGCCAACCCCAGGTTAAGGAGGGAGCAGAAGGAAATACAGGAAGTTGATGAATAAAAACAGAAAGTCTTTGGTACCATGAGAGTGAGACACATCAATGCTCCCAGAGAACCTGGGGACCCAGCAAAATTCCTTCAGGGACCGTGAATATAGGAACCTTCTTTGCTGCTGCAGGGATTTCAGATATTCTCCCAGTCTGAACCTGGTTTGGATTCTGGGCTCCCAACCTTGCTTCCAGTTTATAACTCAACCCAGCCACACTGGCCTCCATCTCCCCAACATGCCCTGACGCATGACTCGCACAGATGCCAGACAGACAGAAGGGCAGACACCAAAACACAGAGCAAGAAAAGGGCAACAATAAACTTTTTCTGAACTTAAGCCTTTTAAAGATCAATAAGGTTGCTAGATCCCTAAATAATAGTATTTTTCACATTCAATGATTTAGAAACTCCAGATGACAAAAGGCTACTGTAAATTCAAGTTTTAAAGTAAACTGGTATTTTGTTAATCATAATCACAGCATCATTTATATATAGTAATGATACAAACACGAGGCAGAAGGGCAGGGTCCCTGGTGAGAGCCCCACCCTCAAGCCTGGACCCAAGGCCCTAAATGAGAACAAGCATTCCTGTTTTCGCACCCAAATGTTGCCTTTCAGCCCACCATGTCCCCCATCATCCTGTGCCCATATAAAACCCCAAACCCCAGAATCCAGGAGCAGAAGAGTGGCAGAGGAGAGAAGAGAGGAAGTCGAGAGGAGTTGAGCTGGGGGCAGTTGAAGAGGAGATCGGCTGCAGAATGGCCAAACTCCAGGAAAAGATCACCTTCCCACTCCATCCCATCTCCAGCTCCCCATCCTGCTGAGAGCCACCTCCATCACTCAATAAAATCCCGCATTCACCATCCTTCAAGTCCATGTGACCTGATTCTTCCTGGACGCCAGATAATTCGGGATGCTGAACCCAAAAAGGCTGTCACACTGACTCTTAAGCCGTTTAACACTTAAGCCGTCCTCAGACAGGAGGGCTAAAAGAGCATTGTAACAACCCTAGACACTGCTGTGGGGCCAGAGCCCAAAAGTGCTCGCCTCGGCCCCTGTACTTGCTCACCTGCATGCTCCCCCTCCTGTAAGTGGTTTAAGCAAACCAGCCACACCCCTGTCCCAAGTACCTCGAAGGGGTCCAGGGAACTCTCCCATTTCAGTAACATATAAATGTCTAATGTGTGTGTGTATGTGTGTGTACGGAGGCATTAAAAAATCTGTCTACAGGCCAGGCGTGGTGGCTCATGCCTCTAATCCCAGCACTTTGGGAGGCCAAGGCCAGTGGATCACCTGAGGTTGGGAATTCAAGACCAGCCTGACCAAGATGGAGAAACCCTGTCTCTACTAAAAACACAAAATTAGCCCAGCGTGGTGGTACATGCCTGTAATCCCAGCTACTTGGGAGGCTGAAGAAGAGAATCGCTTGAACCCGGGACGCGGAGGTTGCCGTGAGACAAGATCATGCCATTGCACTCCAGCCTGGGCAACAAGAATGAAACTCCATCTCAAAAAAAAAAATGCTGTCTACAGACTATGCCTGGTGGGCACAGGACTGATGGAGCAGTCCCCTGGCAGTCACTCCCTAACTTGCTGGGGAGACAGGGCCACTGTGGGGGACCACCAGTGCTTTGAAGAGAGAACCCTGAGACAGACCCAGATCTGAAGATATATTAAGCTTCTCTGAGCCTATTTCCTCAACTGTAAAGTGGGAATCAAAGAGTCCCAAGGCAAGATGGTTGGCAGGCTCAGAGGCACCGATGGCTGTGCTACAATGGAGTTCTCTAAGGGCAATGCCATCACAAGTGCAGGGCACACATTCATGCATCCCATCTGCACAACAATCCTATCATGATCCCCATTTCAAAGGTGAGGTAGGTATCACAACCAATCTCAGAGCTGGGATTCAAGCCCAGGCAATCTGGTTGCAGAGCTCCTTACTAACAACAGCTCACTGCAGGCACTTGTAGCCCCAATGGACGGGGCCGGCCCAAGACCAAAACATGCCAGAGGCTTCTCCCTGAACCTCTGCTCCAGACAGAGGCCCTCCTATGGGGAAAAGCAACCCGGGTTCCAGGTCAGGACCCCAAAAGCCAGCCATCCTGGACAGCAGGATGCACAGGGAGTGGGTAGCAGGGCTTTGCAGCCTTTGTGGGGACTGGTAATTTGCCAACTCTACCCCAAGGAGAGAACTCCCCTCTCCCACCTGGTAACCCCACGAGTTCCCAATGGACTGAGTTTGTCTCCACCTCCACCAATCACACTGCTAACATGAGGCTTTTGGAGGGTTTGGAGGATTGGAGGAGGTTTCTCTCTCTACTCACCTCTTTACTTACTAGTAAGAGCTCATGTTATGTTAAACTATTTCTAAATTTCGTGAACCTGCAAGTTCCTAGTAGAGGCAGCAGAGAGAAAAGCATGGGCCCAAAATAGCAATTCTGGAAATGAGCGTACACCCAAAAAACTTTAAGGAAGGTGACTTGTCTGAGCTATAAGGGGAGGTGATGAGTCAGCCCCAACCCCCACATCAGCAACTTCAGACTCACATTTGCAAGACTAAGAAGAAAAGAAATAAATCCAAAAGGAAATACAAGAAGCATTAAAGAAAATAACAAAGGATAAAACTGGAATTGATTATATCCTTTCACTCAGTCTTCATAAAAGGAGACATACTGTGTGGCACTGCCGTGATCCAATCACATTGACTTTCTTCCCATGGCTTACAGGTGGTCAGGAGTACCCCTCTGGAGTACTGGAAGGCCCTGCTTTTGCGTGACTCTCAGGCAAGGCCCAGCTCTGGGCCCCAACAAGCACCCCAGGCCTAAAAAGCAGAAGGCACTTGAAGGGAGAGCACAAGCAGCCCTTGGGCCCCGTCCGACCTCAAATAAAACTTAGGCCAAGGGCTGCTATGGAATCACGTCTTGTGTTACCAAAAATCCAGTCTCGAAATAAATCAGCCCTATCAGTGCATGCCATGCCATGCCATACCACCCACCCAAGTCTAGGGCAGCTGAGCAGGGATTTCTCAGGGAAATAAAATGGGAAGCTCCAAACGACAAAGGGGAGCTAAGAGCATATGGTTCTGGGCTTGGGAGTAACCGCCAGCTTAGCTGAAAAGCTCTAAGGATGACCAGAGGCTTCCATGAAGCCCCTGCCAGAACCTTCACCACACACACAACCAACAGCTCAGCCAGTTGCCAAGGCAACAGCAACCTAGACATGTTTAGGCATCTGTAGAAACCAGAGCAAAGTACAATTTCCACACTTGTGATAAAAATGCAGCCCCCAAAGCATCAAGCAAAGCATCACTCTAAAATTTTGTTTTACTGACAGAAGAAGCAGGACTGGGAGGGGAAGCAGGAAGCTGGGCAGCGCCTGGCAGAGCCAGTGCAGTCAGACGAGCCCTGAAGTGTGGGCACAAAAACCTGCCTGTGCTTGGGAAGCAAGACACTTGTATGCCTGTGCTGTTTGTGGCTGTTTCCTCTTATGTCTACCTTCCTGGGTAGTCAAGTCTCTTCATTTTGTTGTGAACATCAGCTTTTCTTAGCTGGGATAAGAGGAACCAAGAAAAGTAAGCTTTTGCCCACAGTAAGGCAAGAGAACTAAAAGGGAAACAGCCCCTGTGGGGAGAGGGTAGACATGGTGGAGGCATCGCAGGAATTCTAGGGAGGGGACCCAGGGGTAAGCACTAAGGTCAGCTGGCCTGACCACTGCTCCCCACCTGGAGCCCCTCTCTGTCCCTGCTAAGCACCTTGTCCTTTGCAGACCCTGGCAAATGAGCCACCAGGAAAACAGGACACCACTCAGTCTGAGAGTGAATACCTAAGGGACAGTGGAGGGTAGGAAAGTCAGTCCATGGGGAGGGGACATGGTGACAAGTTCCACAGCAGACCAGAACAGAAAAACAAACAAGCAAACAAGGCAAGCAAGCACCAGTGCTATAAACTTCCCAGGTTCCCTTTGAGATGCTTGTCTCTGGAGATGAACAGAGCCAGGAACCCCCATGAGAGCAGCATCTAGAAGCTAGAGATGAACTCTAAAGGACCACACGACCCCCAGGCTGCCTGGCAGAAAGAACCCTGCAGAGTCTTTCCAATATGCATCCCTTAAGTGAGGAAAAGAAAGCTAGAGAAGGTCTGTGAGATACCTACCGCGATGGCTGAGCTGATGCAGGAATGTGGCCATAAGCACTCACAACCTTGGGAACGTGGAACATTAGCTCCAAGGATTAATCATCAAGTAGTAAGGATTTTCTAAAACAGCGTTCCTTGCTCATCAAAGTATGGCAACCAATTCAAGTAAAATGATATCCAGAAACTTAGGAAGGAAATGTGACTCATTTAAGAAACCCTCACAGAACTTTCTTATCTCACAGATACTTGGAAGTTCTAAAGGCCAAGGCAGGCACTTTAAAGAGAAAGAATCCCCATTTTTTCACCCAAAAAATCAGAAAAATACACTTACAAGCAGCAAGACAGGCTTTCAAAACACTCTTAAGGTGTTCATACCCTTTAATACAAGATTTCTATTCTCGGGAATTTATCCCCAGGAACTAATTACACAGATGAAAAAGGATGAAATTATAAACTGCAAATTCATCTACATTAGCAAAAAAGTGGAAATAACCTAAAATGTCCAGCACTAGGGAATGTTTTAATCTCATTACGTCAACAGGATAATATAACCATTAATAATCTTTTTGAAGATGAAGGTAAAACATGGAAAATACTTGAGAAAATATTTAAGTGAATCTGAATAATACAATTATAACAATGTCAGTTATTGAAAAGGAAACAGCGAGGTCAGTTCAAGCTCCAGATCTCTCCCATCTACAAACTGGATGGCCTTGAACTAGGCACCTGATCTCACTACCTACAGCTTCCTCACATTCAAACTAACAACCTCGAAGTGTTGCCTTGAGGCAGGACAGAGACAACGTACCTCTCTTGCCTCTTCTGAAGCTTGGTACAAAGTTGGCAGGGAATAGGTTACTTGATCAAGATACACAAAAACCACTTTGTGCGTGGAAGGTAAACTACAAAGAGTTTTTTACTCAGAACATTGTTTTCTATGTTGAACCTTCAATTTTTAAAAGATTTAAAGAAAGCAAAAAAGAAGTCATTTGACACAAAAGTGATGATTATCCCAAGCATAAAAACAAATATCGGCTGGGCGCGGTGGCTCACGCCTGTAATCCCAGCACTTCGGGAGGCCAAGGCAGGCGGATCACGTCAGGAGATAGAGACCATCCTGGCTAACACGGTGAAACCCCGTCTCTACTAAAAATACAAAAAATTAGCTGGGCGTGGTGGCGGGCACCTGTAGTCCCAGCTACTTGGGAGGCTGAGGCAGGAGAATGGTGTGAACCCAGGAGGCGGAGCTTGCAGTGAGCCGAGATCGCGCCACTGCACTCCAGCCTGGGCGACAGAGCAAGACTCTGTCTCAAAATAAAACAAAACAAAACAAATATCTGCTCTAATATACCTGAGCAAATGCTCTTATGTGATATCACAACGTTGACAAAATGTGAAGACCTTTCGCAATTTTACAAAGTGCAGTCCTCTACAGAAACACAATTTCTTCTCCCTTGTCTACCTGCTCTTTAACAGCATAAGATGCCTTTTAAAATGCATCTGCCGAAGATGAGGCACTCCTAAGCCAGGGCCTCTGGAATCTTCCTCCTGTCCCACGTGGGATGCATCATGGGGTGGGTGTACCAGCGAGTCACCCACGGCCTTGACCGCACCCCAGCAGCTCTCCCTTTTGTGCCCTTATCTCCCTGCTGTGTAAATGGTTGTAAACTTTCAGATTATTGAAACCAAGTTAGTTACAGACATAGATGCCGTCTTAAGCAAAGGACACACATAATCTCCCTCATGTCTATGTTTCTCAGAGGTGGGGGAGAAAGATTAATTATCTTTTAAAGATGTTCACATCTGAGAGTGATTCACAACTTACTTATTCCAGCCAGCCAGAGGAGGTGAAATGAGTGTGGGCTTCGGTAGGCAGAGCACCAGCTCTGATGGTGACCCTCTGAAGGCCACTGAATCTCTCTGAGCTTAGGTTTACTGATGGATCAAGTGGAGAGAACACTATCTGGTTGCAAGAATTAAATGGGCAGGAATGTAAAGCTTCTTGAATGGTCCCTCAGAAACTTCAGAACATGGGGGCCTGTGCAGACAGCCCCTCACCACTGACTCTGCACCCCCCACGCACATCCTCCTTGGTGGCACATGCCCAGTCTCCTTATCTGATGACACATTTGCAGGAGCAAAGGTCGCAATTGCTTAATTAAAGCATCACCACGTGCGAGCTAAGTGGCGAGCAGGCAGCCAGCTCCAGCCAATCAGACAGCTACAGAACCCACTAATAGCGGGCTTGGACGTCTGTACAGGGAGCACTGCCTGCTCTGTGGTTCCTCTGAAGACCACAATTCATGATCTTGGCACGCTCGGTTGGCGACAACATAATTTAATATAATGAAAGACAAATGCAGTTTAAAACATGAAAATGCTCACAAACTACGGTTTGGGTATCACTTTACATTAAGAAGATTTCATTTCATTCAATAGGAAACTTCAGAATACACAGTTGATCCTATCTAAAGACCACCCTGCAGGTCCAGGCAGAGGCCCCGTCACAGGCCTCCCTGGGCGCTCTGGGCTTGGGCTCAGAGGCCCATATGGGGTCCTGGCAGGTGGCCTCAGGCAAAACCACTCACCCCTTTAGCTCTGACTCTCTTTCTCCTCTAAACAATGAAAAGGGAAACAAATCAACAAGGCTGTCCTGAAAACAAAATGAGGGCTATGGAAAGCTTCTTGGTAAAATGCAAATGCCTAGACAACCAAGCTCTTTTTATTTATACTTATTTTAATTACAAAGTTATTACTTAAACATTAATCTAAAAGTAAAAGGGCAATGGTACTGTGTGGAAAACAAGGAGAAACTTCCTATAATTCTAAAGCCTTAACTATCACTGCTGCGTGTTATCTTAATACAATTTCACACAGGTGAGCAGTGCTCACACCTTTATCATTTGCTTTCTAAGTCCTATTTCCCATCACCTAGGGATAAGCTATCATTACCAGTACTCCCTTCCAATCCTGAGTCACTACGTGTAGTCAAGCAACATCCCTTCACCCCAGGGTCAGGCTTTCTAGAATCCATCACATTAAACTCAGGCAGAGAATTACCAACCCAGAAGAGAGCAAGGCCTCTCTGCATGGCAAGGCTGCCCTCAAAACCCAGGGAGGATATGACCATCATCAGGCCCTTACCCCAACAAAAGGGCCAGGTGCCAACAGCAGCTTACAAAAGGTGGTGGGGAGAAAGACAGGCCCTGTAAGTGCCAGGATATGAGGGGAGTCCATGCAGGGCCAGGGCAGGAGGCCTCACCCACACCAATGACCTGCGACTACACCCGTGACCCCGAGTCACCAAGGAAAGGTCCAAAAAGTTCTGGAAGGATTTTTAAATAGAACTGGATAAAATCACTTTGGGCACTTTAAAGGTATAGTTTGCTGGCAAATTCACTTACGTAGACTGATAGGAGAGTGACTGAATGAGCACTGTGACCAGGCACACATGCTGGGCTCCTGGGGTCCATCACCTCATGCTGCCCCGCCAAAATCCTATGAGGAAGGGCTCTCAGTATCCTGGTGCAAAGGACTGCATGTATGGATCCCCTCAAAATTCATATGTTGAAATTCTACCCCTCAGTTTGATGGCATTAGGAAGTAGGGCCTTTGGAAGCTAATTAGGCAGGGCCCTCATGAATGGGACTAGTGTCCTTACAATTTTTTTTTTTTAGTTTTTGTTGAGATAGGGTCTCACTATGTTACCCAGGCTGGCCATGAACTCCTGGCATCAAGTGATCCTCCTGCCTCAGCCTCCAAAAGTGTTGAGATTACAGGCATAAGCCACTGCACTCAGCCACTCATGCCTTTATAAAAAGTACCTGAGAGCTCTCTCGCCTTCTTTCTGTCATGTGAAGCTATAAGAAGTCAGCAATCCGCAACATGAAAAAGGACCCTCCTCAGAACCCAACCATGCTGGTACCCTGATCTCAGACTTGCAGCCTACAGAACTGTAAGAAGGAAATTTCTGTTGTTTACAAGCCACCGCATCTTTGTTATAGCAGCCCCAACTGACTAAGACACTCAAGTTTTGGAGACATTGAAACATTTGGCCAAAAGCCGCACAGTCACCTAGTGATGGAGCTCGAACCCACACCCAAGGGCTGTATGACTCCAAAACCATGTTCCTAACCTCCAAAACCTTATTGCAAAATTACCTTTCTTCTGTAGGAACTAACAGTGAAAGTGACATATTAACCTCAAGGATCTGTAAGCATAAACCATATGGAAAGAGAAACAGCCAGGCACGGTGGCTCATGCCTGAAATCCCAGCACTTTGGGAGGCAGAGGCAGGCGGGCCGTTTGAGGTCAGGAGTTTGAGACCAGCCTGGCCAACATGGTAAAACCCCATCTCTACCAAAAATACAAAAATTAGCCCGGCATGATGGCGCATGCCTATAATCCCAGCTACTTGGGAGGCTGAGGCAGGAGACTCACTGGAACCTGGGAGGTGGAGGGTGCAGTGAGCCGAAATCGCACCATTGTACTCCAGCCTGGGCGACAAGAGCAAAATTCCGTCTCAAAAAAGAAAAAAGAAAGAGAAGCAGAACCCACACAGCTACTGCATTCTCAACCAAACACGTAAATGCAGGTTAAGAGAATGAGTCAAGGCTGAGGCCATTCCCACTCGAAAAGCCCTTCTCATTAGAGTGGAGCCACTGCTTCCTAGGAACACAGATGGCAATCCTTGAGACTCCCAGAGACAGAGGTGACCTTTGTGAAATTGAGTCACCTGAATCACCCCTCCCCCATCTGCATCCCTGACTTCTCAACTGACATCTTGCTTCTCTGAAGATCTTCATCCCGGTATTTTAAATACCCAGAAACTGCTCCCCAGTGAACTGTCCTCCAGGAGAATATAAGGCAGGTCATAACCTGGAGCCTTCCCTGCCCCTAGCAGCCCCTCTCACACACACCTCTTGTTCTTTTTTTTTTTTTTTTTGAGACAGTCTCGCTCTGTCACCCAGGCTGGAATGAAGTAGCACTATCCTGGCTCACTGCAATCTCTGCCCCCAGGTTCAAGCGATTCTCCTGCCTCAGCCTCCCGAGTACCTGGGTTCACAGTCACAAACCACCACGCCCAGCTAATTTTTGTACTTTTAGTAGAGACAGGGTTTTGCTATGTTGGCCAGGCTGGTCTCAAACTCCTGGCCTCAAGTGATCCGCCCACCTCAGCTTCCCAAAGTGTTGGGATTACAGGCGTGACCCCTCTCTCCCAGCCACTCCTTGTTCTTCAGAGCTCTGTAGCTCTGCCCAGAATGGTCCTTCACGTCAGCCCCACCTGGAGAGCACCTGTGGCTCTGGCACAATCCCTCCCAAGTCACTTCCCTGAAGGTCAGCTCTCTGTAGTGTCCTGAGGACAGTCAGACCCGCCCTCCTCTGTCGTGCAGTACTTTGTACACACTACTATCTGGTACCGCCACAATGAAAAGAGAAGTTTCCAGGCCTGCTGCCTATACTGAGCTGCCTTTACAGAGCAGCCATCATCTTTATCTCAGGATTCCAGAGCTGCAGGCAGAGCCAGGGGCACCAGGCATGCAGTGGCCAGGACCACTACCTCTGACTCACCCTGCCTGTTGCCTTCCACCCACAGATGCTCCCTCCACATGAGCCACTGAGATATCCTCCAAACACTCTCAGTCCAGGGAGTGAAATGAAAATAAAAAGCAGGTACTTCCACGGGCAGCTTAATGGAGTGCCCCAGCTGGCTGCAACTCTATCAATAGTCACATCACACATGACATAACAGGAAGACAGGTGGATTCTCCACACACACTCCACATTGAGTGATGCCTGCTGTGTGCAGTACTATCAGCTTCCATGTCTGAGTATTCAAAACAGCTTTCAGAAATACATCAGAAGTATTCTTTTAAAAAATAAAAATAAAAAACATCTTTATTATGATTATTTTCATCAGAAATAAGCCACCTAACATCTGTGAGGCTCTAAAATTCAGTGGTCTTCTTTTTTTTTTGAGACAGAGTCTCACTCTGTCGCCCAGGCTGGAGTGCAGTGGCACAATCTCGGCTCACTGCAACCTCCGCCTCCTGGGTTCAAGCCATTCGCCTGCCTCAGCCTCCCCAGTAGCTGGGATTACAGGCACGCACCACCATGACCAGCTAGTTTTTATATTTTTAGTAGAGATGGGGTTTCACCATATTGGCCAGGCTGGTCTCAAACTCCTGACCTTGTGATCTGCCCACCTCAGCTTCCCAAAGTGCTGGAATTACAGGCGTTAGCCACCACGCCCGGCCTAAGTTCAGTGTTCTTTTACATATATGAGCTCTTTATATAGCTCAGAATGTGTACTCTTTCAATAAACCAAAAAAATTAGTCCATAAAATGTTAGGAATCTAGCCAGAAGGCCACAAGCAGCCACTGTTGGACAGTCCTGGCCACTGGCACAATCCACACCCAACTTTCAAACCCACCCAGCGGCTCTGGGCCCAGGGAGGGGCCTCCTAGACTGCAGAAAGCATCTCATCTGTGAGGACATACTTGGATAGGACAAGTGAGACATTTGGAATTTTTACTTAACATTTATTTCACAACTTTCTCAAGTGCTAAGCAACTGAGAAGTAGTCATTTTAATGTACTCTTTCATCAATAAGCATTAAATAAGTCTGCTCAAAACACTCAAGCCCTACAAACTGTCCCTATGAAAAATGTGGCAAGAAAAAATAACAAAAACAAATAAGTAGCCTTTTCACATACAGAAAAGGTGTTTAGTGATCCAAATTCAGAGAGAAAAACAGTCCTTTCCGGCAGATGAACAAATAGTTTCCTCTACGAGTGACACATTCTGGGATATTTGAACTGCCAAACATAACTCATAATGACAACCACCAAGGAAGCAAAACCTAATGGAAAAGCCCCAGGATGGCAACCAGGAGCCCCAGTTCTGGTCCCAGGACGGCCTCTGGCTGTTTGCTCCATCAACGTGCTGACCAAGCCTGGCCCACTTTCTTCATCACAGGAAGGAATATCTATTGCCACCTGTACCACTCAGAAATGTTTTGAGGACAAAAGAATGAGAGGTGAAAGTGCTTTGGAATGTGCATCTTCTATAAATACAAGTCATCATTATTATTAGCTCAAAGATGACCAGGAAAATAGGATTACAGAATATCACAGGTGAGAGGGAGCTTAGAGATGGAATAATCCAGTTCTTAATCTGGGTCCACGCCTATGAAGCTGTCCCCCTTCGTGGGAAGGGGTCACAGTTGCTATCAGATTTGCAAAAGGTGAAGGTCCTCTAAGTCCTTCATTTTACAAATATGAAAACTGAGACCTGGAGTTCTGTGCTGATTGTCCCAGACCTCAGGGTTGGTCAGGGAAAGGCTGGACAAGAGCCCAAGGCTCCTAGTCTCCATCCACGCTCCTCCCCCTCTGTCATCTCATATTCTTGGGAGGAAAAATAATCATATAAATTTTATCTGGCCACAGAATATGTACTATAAACCACCACACATGCACTTTCCAAAGGTACAGCAAAATCTCTAGCCTTATTTATCATTTTTAAGGCTTCTTGCGAGGTCTTTGATAGTTGAGACATCATTTTATTTTTTCTATTTTTTTTTTTTTTTTTTTTTGAGACAGAGTCTTGCTCTGTCACCCAAGGCTGGAGTGCAGTGGCACAATCTCGGCTCACTGCAGCCTCTGCCTCCCGGGTTCTAGTGATTCTCCTGCCTCAGCCTCCCGAGTAGCTGAGATTATAGGCGCACGCCACCATACCCGACTAATTTTTGTATTTTCAGCAGAGATGGGGTTTCACCATGTTGGCCAGGCTGGTCTCGAACTCCTGACCTGAAGTGATCTGCTCCTTTACTTCCCATAGTGCTGGGATTACAGGTGTGAGCCACAGCGCCCAGCCCCATTTTATTATTTCTATATTCTCATCTCCGTCTAGTTCAGTGCCTAAAATCAAGAAACACGCAAATGATTTTTTTAGGATTGAAAATAGGCCAGGTGTGGTAGCTCACACCTGTAATCCTAGCACTTTGGGAACCCGAGATGGGAGGATCACTTGAGGCCAGGGGTTTGAGACCAGCCTGGCAAACATGGCGGAATCCCATCTCTGTTTAAAAATACATATATATATATATTTTTTTTTAATTGAAAATAAAAAAGACCGGCCAGGCACGGTGGCTCACGCCTGTAATCCCAGCACTTTGGGAGGCAGAGGCGGGCAGATCACGAAGGTCAGGAGATCAAGACCATCCTGGCTAACATAGTGAAACCCCGTCTCTACTAAAAATACAAAACATTAGCCAAGTGTGGCGGCGGGCGCCTGTAGTCCCAGCTACTTGGGAGGCTGAGGCAGGAGAATGGCATGAACTCGGGAGGCGCAGCCTGCAGTGAGCCAAGATCACACCACAGGGCACTTCCAGCCTGGGCAACAAAGCGAGACTCCGTCTCAACAACAACAACAACAAAAAAAGACAAGAAAGGAAAAGAAAAAAGACCTTATTCTAGGAAACAAGAAAGACTCTATGGTGCTTTAAGTTTTATTAAGCAAACAGATGAACATGCATTTATGGGAATAAGCACAATTCAATAGGTAACTTAAGGAAAGGTGGTTTTTATTTGTTTTATGTGTGCTTTTCATCAAAATGTCAAAACTTGTGCTCTTTGGTGGCCACTGTCCCTCAAGTAGTTACCTTTGGAACTGCAGAGATACCAAAAAATGATGTATTGTGCAGAATAATTTGAGAATTCTTTGAAGCCTGTCTCCAGTCCACAGACAGAGCATACTCATCTGAACACTAAAATTCTGCAGAAATTCCTACAAAACTATCCCAAGAACCACCACTGGGACGCATCTGGAGTCTGTCTGGGGCAGGGACGAATGATACTTTCTGGTATGTGAGGGATCAGTGCCCTGGCCATAAGGAAAGACTCTACCTGTGGAATGCAAACTGCCTTCGTAACTAAGGCATTGCTGCACTGCCCTCAGGTATGCAGCTACCATTCCAAACAACCTAACTGGAAAAAAACTAAGCCAGCACTATTGCTCACATGAATGTGGTCATTAATCGCATAATCTACAGGGCGGCCTCCACAAAGCTGCCATTACAATCTGATGGCAGATAAAGCAGGCCCGAGTCAGCTGGGAGGTTCACATGAAGGTGGCCAGAGAGCATCTGGTAAATGCCACTGCGAACTCTAAACACAAGGTGCCATCACTATTATTAAAGAAACTTTTCGATCTGTTTGATATTCCACAACATCCGGAATCATCCACTGATAACCCCTTCAGAATCAGTAAGCCTGAGCATGACGCCCTTAACACAGCACAGACTTTCAAGGTATAGAGAAGAAACAAAAGGCAAGGACATCTGCGAGGCCGAGGCGGGCAGATCACTGGAGGTCAGGAGTTCCAGATCAGCCTGGCCAACACTGTGAAACCCCATCTCTATTAAAAATACAAAAACTAACCAGGCAAGGTGGCAGGCGCCTGTAATCCCAGCACTTTGGGAAGCTGAGGTGGGCAGATCACCTGAGGTCAGGAGTTCCAGATCAGCCTGGCCAACATGGTAAAACCCCATCTCTATTAAAAATACAAAAACTAGCCAGGCAAGGTGGCAGGTGCCTGTAATCCCAGCACTTTGGGAGGCCAAGGCAGGTGGATCACAAGGTCAGGAAATCGAGACCATACTGGCCAACACGGTGAAATCCCGTCTCTACTATAAATACAAAAATTAGCCAGGCGTGGTGGTGGATGCCTGTAGTCCCAGTTACTCAGGAGGCTGAGGCAGGGGAATCACTTGAACCTGGGAGGCAGAGGTTACAGTGAGCTGAGATCGCACCACTGCCTCCAGCCCGGGCGACAGAGCGAGACTCTGTCTCAAAATAAATAAATACATACATACATACATACATACATACATACATACATACATACATACAAACATACAAAAACTAGCCAGGCAAGGTGGCAGGCGCCTGTAATCCCAACTACTGAGGAGGCTGAGGCAGAGGAATCATTTGAACCTGGGCAGAGACTCTCTCTCAAAAAAAAAAAAAAAAAAAAAGCAAGGACAAATGCCCCTCTGCTCCCACTCCAGAAATGCCTGGCCATCAGAGATGTGGATGGGTATCCAGGATTAGGGAAAAGTTCATGTTATCTCCCTGCAGAATGCTATGTTGGTGGAAATCCAGAATTTTTTTTAAATATATGCATACTTTTAGATTTATTTATTTTTAAACAGAGTCTCACTCTGTCACCCAGGCTAGAGTGCAGTGGTGTGATCTCAGTGCACTGCAACTTCCATCTCCCAGGTTCAAGCAATTATCATGCCACAGCCTCCCAAGTAGCTGAGGCTGAGATTACACGTGTGCACCACTACGCCAGACTAATTTTTTTTTTTTTTTGAAACAGGAGTTTTGCTCTTGTTGCCTAGGCTGGAGTGCAACGGCCGGATCTTGGCTCACCGCAACCTCCGCCTCCTGGGTTCAAGCAATTCTCCTTCCTCAGCCTCCCAAGTAGCTGGGATTACAGGTATGAGCACCACCACACCCAGCTAATTTTGTATTTTTAGTAGACATGGGGTTTCTCCATGTTGGTCAAGCTGGTCTCGAACTCCCGACCTCTGGTGATCCGCCCGCCTCTGCCTCCCAAAGTGCTGGAGATTACAGGCGTGAGCCACCACGCCCGGCCTTAATTTTTGTATCTTTAGTAGAGACGGGGTTTCACCATGTTAGCCAGGCTGGTCTCTAAGTTCTGACCTCAGGTGATCTGCCCGCCTCGGCCTTCCCAAGTGCTGGGATCCCAGGCGTGAGCCACCCCGCCCAGCCTAGATTATTTAAATATCACATCACAACTTCATATACATTTGAGATTAAAAGTGATAAAGTTCCAAGTCCCAAAGCAGCACGAGCTAAGGATACCATTTCCATTCAAATGAGTTGTTATTCTTCTCCCAAAAAGTGGATAAAGAGTGCAGACCTAATCACCCATCTACTTCTCTGTGTTATGTTACTTTCCCAAGTAATAAATATCACCAGCCTAATGGCCACTTTCTTTAAAGCTTTAAGTCTATTGTCAAAAGAAAAACACACCAATGTTTTTGATGTAGTGGCCTCATATCTCAACCAGCATAACCTCACCAAAGAGGCTACCAAACTCTAGAATTAAGTTTAAGTCCACACAAGTGAAAGTTTTCCAGGTGAATCAAGAGAGATCCAAGTTGCACTGGCACAGCTTCAATGTCTCCATGAGGAGGCTGCATGCAGGCAGGCTCATGAATCAAGTGGAACGACAACATCTTGGGCAAGAACAGGAGGGCTGGCATTCAACACTGCCTGCCTGGTCGGTTCCCTTGCCCTGGGCTCCAACCTGGCAATCCCAGGAGGGTTAAAACAGAACTTCAGCACACGGGAATAACCGCAGAGGAAGGCACCGAAAAGGAGGGAAGGAAGAAGGTGTGAGCTCACCATCTGCAGCTGAGGTTCAAACTCTTTGAGCTGGTTTCCTGATTTTCATCAAGACAGCCAGGCAGTATTTGGTAAACAGTGTACCAAGTAGCCCTGGAGACTCTGAGCAGCCTACCCCCTTAACCACAAAAACACCGGACAGGCGGAGGGAAAAAGAGAAGACAGGATCCAGGAATGGTGCACACACCCAGCCAAAGGCCACCTTCCCTCAGGCACCCAAGCCAAGAGTGGCATCCCCAGGTCCTGTTATACGTCAAAGGCTGCAGCCGTGTGGGCCCCAAAGCAATAGCACAGCTTGCTCCCCTGACCAACCAACTCCTTCTGAAAAGAAAATCGACCTTCTCTGATGGAGCCGAAACCCAATGAATCAATGAAATTCAACAGCAGCAGCAATCACTACCTCTCCAATTGCGGACCTCTCAGGATGCCTGGCCAGGCTTGAAAGCCCTAGAGGAGTAAGGAGTTCGGATTTCTGATTCAGTGAGTCTGGGGAAACTCTGAGGAGGGTCACAAGGGCAAACCTCCCCGGCCTCTCCTGCTTGGCCCCAGCCCTAGGACGTGCTGCGGTAAGGGCTTTGCTCCCCCCGCCCTACACACACACACACACACACACACACACACAGACACACACACACCACCCCCCCCCCCCCGGGACACGGAGGGTGGGAAGGAAGGAAATGGAGGCCGCTCATCAAAGCGCCCGAAATCAGCGCACCCGCGTGTGTCCTGCGTCGCCCCCCAGGCCACCCCAGGACTAAGCCCTGCCCTCTCACCGGCGCGTCCCAGCCACGCCTTCCCTCCAGCGTTGCTCCGGCACCCTCGCCTAACCTCTGCACGTCTCGGATTCCCAGCTTTCTCCTAAATCGCGTCCCTCCAAAAGTCGCCCCAGCTCCCCCTTCTGCAGCTGTCTACACCTCCCCCACTCATTAGCAGCTCTTAACCCCCGACGGCCCTGCTCCTGCACTTCCCTCTCCAGCAGGCCCCGGACCCCGGAAAACTGCCCCGCTCCCACAGCGCCGCCCCCATGGGCCCCCGCCCCTTCCCCGAGCCGACCCCACTCGCCCTCGTCCTCCCCAAGATGTCTTCTCCAGGCGCCCCCCGGGGCCCCGAGCACTCGCCCCCTCCCACAGAGACAGGAAGTTCCGCGCGGCCCGACCCGCTTCCCTCAGGGCGCGGAGCTCGGCGCGGCGGCCCTGACGGGGCGCGGGCCCGGCCGCGGACCAGCGCCCCCGCGTCCCGCCCGCGGCGCCCCAACCGTCGCGGCGACCCCTGACCTCGGCGGCCACTCACCTCCCAATCCGTCGCACACTCCGTTCAGGCTGCCACGGCGTCTCCAGACCCAGCTCCGGCCGGGCTCCCGCTACCGCTTTTGCTCCGGCAGCACTGCCCAGCCCTGCCCAGACCCCTGCGGCCGCTTCTGCCGCCAGCCGCGACCGCACCGCCCCCGCCGCTCCCGCTGGGCTCTGTCCATTGGCTACCGGACACCGAGCCCCGCCCCACAGCCTCCCCGGCGCCCCCGATTGGGCCAGATGAGTAGAGAGGCGGCTCACCCCGCGTGAGGACGAGGGAAAGCCCCAGGACGCGCATTGGTGACTTCTCCTGTCAATCAAACGGGGAGTGCCTATTTAATGGGCTGCGAGGGTGGCGCAGATTACTCTCCCAAAGCCGCTCGCTGGTGGTGGTCCTTGAGACGCGCTTCCCGGGGCTGGAGTTTTGCGGTTTCGTCGGCATCCAGGGGTAAGAGGGCGCGGCAGGGCAGCACCGCACCTGACCGGAAGTTCAGGGAAGGTAATCCTACAGTCTTTCAGAAAGTTTCCTCTCCCAAGGGACTCAAAGAAGCTAATGTCGTTAGGAGCTCCTCCGACTTGCGCCAAAAGCGTCATTCCACGTGGACCCGCTTAGTTTAAACGGGGGGTTGGGGGGGCGTATGTTGCTGCTCTCTCTAATAAAATATATTTGGATGGCAAGGCACCAGGCAATGCACACGCATTCTTTCCAATTCTCACAATCACCTTGCATGATAGGGTATTAGCCCCGTTCTGCAGAGGGAAATACTCTTGAAGGAAAATGGAGAGCACTTCCTGAGCACTGTCCTACGCGCTGTCCAAGCACTGCTTCATGTCATCCAGGTGGAGAGGATGGTGAGAGGAACCCCAGGTGAGGGGTGAGCCAGGTAACTTGCTGGGGGTGATGTGGAGTAAAGAGAGTAAATGGCAGAGCCAGGATTAGAAACCCAGGTCAGCCCAACCCTTGAGAATAATAATGATGACTGTGTAGCACTATGGGAAAATGCTTAAACTAAAACGTTAAAAGAAAAAGCCAGATAGAGCCAGGCATGGTGACATGCACCTGGAATCCCAGCTTCTTGGGACGCCGAGGCAGGAGAATCGCTTCAGCCCAGGAGTTTGAGGCCAACCTGGGCCACATAGCAAGACCCAGTTCTCTAAAAAGTAAAATAAAAGAAAATAATAATAAAAGAAAAAGCTAGATACAAAATGGTAGAAACTGTAGAATTGCTGCTACATATAGATAGGTATGAGAAAAGAGTCCACAAAGAAATCTAGTGGTTGTTTACTTTCTAGACTGCTCTGTGGCATTGTCCTTATGACAATAATTGAGAAAGAAACAAAAGAACCGGCTAGGCACGGTGGCTCACGCCTGGAATCCCAGTACTCTGGGAGGCCGAGGCGGGCAGATCACAAGGTCAGGAGTTTGAGACCAGCCTGGCCAACACAGTGAAAGCCTGTCTCTGCTAAAAATACAAAAAATTAGCTGGGTGTGGTGGCATGCACCTGTAATCCCAGCTACTTGGGAGTCTGAGGCAGGAGAATCACTTGAACCTGGGAGGCGGAGGTTGCAGTGAGCCAAGATCACGCCACTGTACTCCAGCCCTGGCGACAGTGCGAGACTCCATCTCAAAAAAAAAAAAAAAAAACCAACACACAGTGCCAGGACAAACCACTGCCAAGAAGTCTCTCCTCATTCTCCAGGACTGAGCCAACAGGGACCTCTTTGCCACCCACAATACCTGTGGACCATTTGTATAGATAGAACTCAGCCATCAGCTCTCAGCACTTTCATATCTGGGTAAGTTCCGCTTACATCGCAATTCCATGCCCTATAAAAATATAGAGCCTTGTCGGGCGCTGTGGCTCACGCCTGTAATCCTAGCACTTTGGGAGGCCGAGACGGGCGGATCACGAGGTCAGGAGATCAAGACCATCCTGGCTAACATGGTGAAACCCTGTCTCTACTAAAAATACAAAAAATTAGCCAGGCGTGGTGGCGGTCGCCTGTGGTCCCAGCTACTCGGGAGGCTGAGGCAGGAGAATGGCGTGAACCCGGGAGGCGGAGCTTGCAGTGAGCTGATATCGCGCCACTGCACTCCAGCCCGGGCAACAGAGTGAGACTCCGCCTCAAAAAAAAAAAGAAATACAGAGCCTCTCCCAAATTTTTGGGGGTTTTTGTTTTGGTTTGTTTGAGACAGGGTCTCACTCTGATGCCCAGGCTGGAATGCAGTGGCACAATGATGGCTCACTGCAGCCTTGACCTCCTAGGCTCAAGCCATCCTCCTGCCTCAGCCTCCCAAGTAGCTGCGACCACTGGTGCGCACCACCATGCCCAGTTAATTATTTTTTAAAATCTTTGTAGAGACAGAATCTCGCCATGTTGCCCAGGCTCGTCTTGAACTCCTGGGCTCAAGCAATCCTCCTGCCTCATCCTCCCAAAGTGCTGGGATTACACGCACGAGCCACTGTACGCAGCCTCTCCCAAGGTTTCTGAACAAGCGTCTGTCATCAGGCCTCCTGCTCTTCCACACACCGCATGCTCACTGGTCTCACCATCATCCCCTTATCCAGTTGCACGAATCCCCCTGCACTCCAAGCACTGCTGAGTCTAGCAGGGGTTCCTGAAGACTGGAAGCTGGAGAGAGGCATCAAGCCTGGCACTGCCCAGCAACAAGACAGGATGCCTCGTGAGCCTTTTTGGCTGCCTGGCCCCAGGAGTCACCACCTGGTCACGTGACCCATGCCACACTCTGGCCACTTCACATGCCTTTGGTTTTCTGCACTCTCCCCCTCTTCTTTTCTCTCCTCCTCCTTCTCAGGACAAACACAAAATTCCTTTCCTTGTCTTGCACCTAGCAGCTTGACATCATTGCCTGAACTCTTTGGGCCTTATACCTTCTGTCCTGGCAGCTTATCAGGGTATTTTTCCAAAGATAGCTCCCCGTTGCCACATGTGAGCACCCCAACTTTGTTCCCCACAAACATTTCACAACATTCCATCCAGCCTCCTCCTTCAGTCATATTTGAACAGGCCTGGAGCCCAATCCTGCCTCCACCCCTTTTCAGCCAAGGGGCCTTGGGCCAGTCACTGCAGCTCTCTGCACCTCTGTGTCCCCTCCGTGATATGGGGATTAGGAAGAGCAACAGGGCTGTGGTAAGGAGTCAAAGCATGGAGAGCTGTTCCGGGCACACGGCTGTGAATGCTGTGTCTGAACGGTGGACATGTGGTCATGCCTTGTCAGCTGCTCCTTCCTTCCCCCAAAATGTGACCATTGCCACAGAGTGCCTGGGACTGAGACTGACCGGCTTTAGTTTAGTCCTTTATTAACCATTTCCCACTAAGCAGCCTGGATAAACAGACAGTCTGGGCTAAAACATACTTGCACAGAGAATATCATATTCTCAAAAAATTTAAAACATCCAGATATAGTTGTATTGCTGAAAATACAGTGATACGTGTATTTTCAGTGTGATAAGTACAGTGATTTATGGATTGTACAGTGATACATGTCTTTCAAGAAAAAAAATCAAAATCAGTTACAGACATTCACTCACTCAATAATTCCAATATTTAGAACGTGCCAGGCAGGGAAGGTGGCTCGGGGTGGACCTGGGTCCTGCTGATGTTCCTGGAAAGATCTGGCAAGGACATAGAGTTTAGAACAGAAGAGGGTGCAGTGGTATTGAAAACAGTGCTGTTTACCTGAGCCAAAATGAGTGGAAGATTACAGAGAGCAAAGATCAGGAGGCAAGAACTCCTCCTGTCCAGGAAGAGAGGAGGGTTCCACTTGGCTGCATTGCAGGCACAAAGAGAAGCCAGGGGAAACAAGGCAGTAAGGCAGCCGAGCGGCAAGGAGCTCTGCGGCCCTGGCAAGTGACTTCACTACTCCAGCCCTTGGTTTTCCCTACTGTAAAACGGGGATAATCACAAAACCTAGTGATTGTTAGCTTAGAGAATCTGTGAGGATTTGTGAGTTCGCTCTGCAATATTCAGCATGGGGCCTGGCACAGGTCATTGTTCAGTGTGTTCAAGGACCCCTGATTTTGTAAAAGTGCTTCAGGGTATATTCACTTTTTTAAATTTTTAATCGTGTCTAAAAGAAAAGCCTGGGCGTGGTGGCTCACGCCTAAAATCCCAGTACTTTGGGAGGCCAAGGCGGGAGCATCACTTGAGTCCAAGAGTTGGAGACCAGTCTGGGCAACATCATGAGATCCTGGTCTCAAAAAAAAAAAAAAAAAAAAAAAAAATTAGACAGACGTGGTGGTGCAGGCCTGTAGTCCCAGGTACTCAGGAGGCTGAGGTGGGAGGATCACTTGAGCCCAGGAGATTGAGGCTGCAGTGAACCAAGATTGCACCACTGCACTCCAGCCTGGGCAACAGAGCAGGACCCTGTCTCAAAAATAAATAAATAAATAAATAAATAAATAAATAAATAAATAAATGGAAAACAAACCTAAGAACACGTGCTGTGCACCAACTGTTAATATTTTGGCCATATCAAAGCACTAACTATGGCGGCTGGAGGAACACATTTCTGAACATACCTCTGAATGACATGCTCACCTGCCAAGTACGTGTAAAGATCTGAATTCTTTGTAAATGTGTCATTGATTAGGAGGCAATTACCCCAATCTCCCTGGCTTTGTTTTGTTTTGTTCCATTCTGGCTGCACATGTCTGCTCACGTCAAATTGTACCAGCAAGTACAATGTTCCACTCCTGCCATGCCCGGCTGGAGCCTGCTCCCAGACAAAGGTAGGTATGGAGCAGCATACAAACAGGGCTTCCCAAGTGGGCACTGGGCACTGCCCAGGTGCCCTGAATTGGGATCAATCCATTCTTTTTTTTTTTTTTTTTTTTTTGAGACGGAGTCTCACTCAGTCGCCGAGGCTGGAGTGCAGTGGCGCTATCTCGGCTCACTGCAAGCTCTGCCTCCCGGGTTCACGCCATTCTCCTGCCTCAGCCTCCCGAGTAGCTGGGACTACAAGCGCGTGCCACTGCGCCCAGCTAATTTTTTGTATTTTTTTAGTAGAGACGGGGTTTCACCGTGTTAGCCAGGATGATCTCCATCTCCTGACCTCATGATCTGCCCACCTCGGCCTCCCAAAGTGCTGGGATTCCAGGCGTGAGCCACCACGCCCGGCCATGGGATCACTCAATTTTTTTGCAAGTTCTTCAGTTGGTTCTACTTCTATCTTATTTTACTAAGTGGAAAAGCTCATTTGGAGAATTCGGGTTTACAGTGTTACCATTTGTACCAAAGTGGGCCAGTGTCAACAATTTCAAAGTAACTGTTTTAAAATTTGGAATGAAAACCTAACAATGCCCAGGCTTTATGTGATACATTTTAAAGTATTTTCTACTCTGGGAGGAAGATATAAACTCCGGCAATAGTCCCTCCTTGAGTCCTTGCTATGCAGGAGGATGAGGAGGTCCCAGAAGCCAACAGATTCCATTCTGAATCCAGCCAATCATCTTACCTTTTGCCAGCTCCTAATTAGATAAATTAAAAGGCATCCTGCAATTGTAAAACTAATTTTTTTTAAAGTTATTGGATGCAACTGCTGTGAATCCAGATTGCCTTAGTGTAAGGTAAAATGAGATACTGAGGCTACTTTTTTTTTTTTTTTTTTTGAGACGGAGTCTCGCTGTGTTGCCCAGGCTGGAGTGCAGTGGCGCGATCTCGGCTCACTGCAAGCTCCGCCTCTCAGGTTCCAGCGACTCTCCTGCCTCAGCCTCCCGAGTAGCTGGGACTACAGGCACCTGCCACCACGCCTGGCTAATTTTTTATATTTTTTAGTAGAGACGGGGTTTCACCGTGTGTTAGCCAGGATTGTCTCGATCTCCTGACCTCGTGATCCGCCTGCCTCAGCTTCCCAAAGTGCTGGGATTACAGGCGTGAATGAGGCTACTTTTTAAAACATTGCAGCAGTCTCAAAATGTAAATGCATCAAAAAAGTAACATTGCCCTTCCTGATTAACTTTATAACAAATATTTTCTCTTTTTTTATTTTTTTTCCATAAACCTTTTGCATTCCTAATTTTTAAAATAATTTTACCGTTTCTTTATACTTTTTGGAGACAGGGTCTTGCTATGTTAGCCCAGGCTGGATTCAAACTCCTAGGCTCAAGTGATCCTCCCACTTCAGCCCTCCCGAGTAGCTGGTGCTATAGGCAGGCACTACCATGCCGAGAATTTTTATACTTTTTAAATGTGGGTACAAGATTACATATGTGCCTTACATTCTATTTATTTTTTTTTCTTTTTCTTTTGAGAGAGGGTCTTGCTTTGTCACCCAGACTGCAGTGCAATGGTGTGATCATACCTCACTGCAGCCTCAGCCTCCCAAATAGCTGGGACTACAGGCATGTCCCACCACACCTGGCTAATGGTTTAAATATTTTTTGCAGAGATGGGGTCTCACTACGTTGCCCAGACTGATCTTGAACTCCTGGTCTTAAGCGATCCTCCCACATCAGCTTTTGAAAGTGCTGAGATTGGCCAAACGCAGTGGCTCATGCCTGTAACCTCAGCACTCTGGGAGGCCGAGGCAGGCAGATCACTTGAGGCCAGGAGTTCGAGACAAGCCTGGACAATATGGCAAAACTGCATCTGTACTAAAAATACAAATTTTAGCCGGGTGTGGTGGTGGGCGCCTGTAGTCCCAGCCACTTGGGAGGCTGAGGAATGAGAATCACTTAAACCCAGGAGGTGGAGGTTGCAGTGAGCTGAGATCATGCCACTGCACTCTAGCCTGGGCGACAGAGCAAGATTCTGCCAAAAAAAAAAAGTGCTAGGTACTGAGATTACAGACATAAGCCACGGCGCCCAGCCCTATGACAAATAAATGTTGTTAACTTGAACTTGTAAAATAACCTGTACACCAATACATACATTATAAATTGTATACCAATAAAAATAAAATACCTGCCAGGCACAGTGGCTCATGCCTATAATCCCAGCACTTTGGGAGGCCTAGGAGGGCGGATCACTTGAGGTCAGAAGTTCAAGACCAGCCTTGAGGCGGGGCACGGTGGCTCATGCCTGTAATCCCAGCACTTTGGGAGGCCAAGGCGGGCGGATCACGAGGTCAGGAGATTGAGACCATCCTGGCTAACACGGTGAAACCCTGTCTCCACTACAAATACAAAAAATTAGCCAGGCGTCATGGCAGGCGCCTGTGGTCCCAGCTACTCGGGAGGCTGAGGCAGAAGAATGGCGTGAACCCGGGAGGCGGAGCTTGCAGTGAGTCGAGATCGCGCCACTGCACTCCAGCCTGGGCGACAGAATGAGACTCAGTCTCAAAAAAAAAAAAAAAAAAAAGACCAGCCTGGCCAACATGGTGAAACTATGTCTCTACTAAAAACACAAAAATTAGCTGGGCATGGTGACGCACGCCTGTAATCCTGGCTGAGGCACGAGAATCACTTGAACCCGGGAGGCGGAGGTTGCAGTGATGCAGTGAGCTGAGATTGCACCATTCCACTTCAGCTTTGGGGCAGAGCGAGACTCCATCTCAAAAACAAACTCACGCCTGTAATTCCATCACTTTTGGAGGCCAAGGCAGGTGGATCACGAGGTCAGGAGTTCGAGACCAGCCTTGCCAACATGGTGAAGCCGCACCTCTACTAAAAATACAAAAAAATTAGCTGGGCATGGTGGTGCGTGCCTATAATCCCAGCTACTCGGGAGGCAGAGGTTGCAGTGAGCCGAGATCGCGCCACTGCACTCCAGCCTGGGTGACAACAGCAAAACTGCATCTCAAAAAAAAAAAAAAAGAAAAGAAAAAGAAAGAAAGAAAGAAAAAAAACCACACACAAACAGCAAGTTGTTCCATAAACCTGTGCCCAAGAGCTTAAAGGACATCCCCTCACGTCATCCTGGGACAAAGACAGAGAGGAATTGGAATCCCACCGCCCCCACGCCCCTGCCACACACACACACACACACACACACATCCTTTATAAGCCACACGGCTTTGGGCAAGCCACTCACTTCTCAGCCTCAATGTCCTCATCTGGACAGGGAGCGATAGCTCACCCCTGCTTCATGGGGTGCTGCTGGAACTCACTGCAGTCACATGGGGAAAGTGCTCAGTGCGCACGCCCGTCACGGCACACAGTAAGTTACCAGCTCCACCAATGCTGGTTCCCGGCCCGGGCTGTCATGGCCCTAACCCAGAGCCGCCTCCTAGTCTGTGAAAGAGGAGAGCAAGCCGCTGAGGTGTGTGGCAGGCCCCAGCTCCCTCTCACCCACACTCCCTGCCCCAAGGGGAGTTGGAGCCAAGGGGTGCTGCCTACCAGGAATGGACATGTCTCTGGGGAGCTGACTTTCGGCTTCAGCTAGCACCCAGTCCACCGGCGTTATCATTCACAGAAGAATGAGGCCCCATCTCCCCATCCTGCGGGGTGGCACCTGCTGCCTGCATTCCACTCCCACAGCGTTCTGCACCTCCCAGCCTCCATTCCCACCCCCACCTGTCTCCCTGTCCCCCCTTCTTCTGCTGAGCCTCCAACCAAGTCTGAGGCCCATGGGAACCCACACTCCAATCCAGGCAGCCCCTCTGGAGGCAGGGGGTGGGTGAGGCCAACTCTGCATCAAGTTCTCTTCTCTCTGAGTCTGGGCCACAGATGGCAGGTCCAAGCTGGCATGGGTGACTGATGGTTGTAAGTCATCTGGCCCAGAGCTGTGCGCAGCACGAGGCAGATGCTGGAAGTGTATGAGGAAGGAATCTTCCCTTTCACCCGCAGGTGCATGAAGGATGGAGAGCCGACCACGTGGGCAGTCAGAAGGTGAACAGGCCTGGGGGGTGGCTTCACCTCACAGCTCAGTATGGGGCAGGGAGTGGGCAGGTGGGAGACAGGGCAGGGGGCAGCCTGTGGAGCATTTGGGACCACAGAACATCTAAGCCAGAAGACCCCCAAAGGTGAGTCCTAGCCTCTTCTAAGGCGAAGGAAGCTGAGGCCCAGGGAAGTCAGGCGAGTGGCCCGAGGTCTGCCAGCCATTAGGAGTCAGAGACCCCTCTCAAATCAAACTCAGGCCTTCTGGCTCCTGCTCCAGTATTCTTTTTTTTTTTTTTTTTTTTTTTTTTTTTGAGACAGAGTCTCTGTCACCCAGGCTGGAGTGCAGTGGCACAATCTCAGCTCACTGCAACCTCCCTCCTGCTTCAGCCTCCTGGGTAGCTGGGATTACAGGTGCCTGCCACCATGCCCGGCTCATTTTTTATATTTTTGGTAGAGAGGGGGTTTCACCATGTTGGCCAGGCTGGTCTCAATCTCCTGACCTCAAGTGATCTGCCCGCTTCAGCCTCCCAAAGTGCTGGAATTACAGGCTGAGCCACCATGCCCGGTTCTGCTCCTGTATTCTTTACCAACCCCATTTCTCCCTCTATTTAATTCAGTGGGCACATGATGCGGGCTACCATGCTGGGCATGAATGAAAAATACTGCCCACCTTGAAGCAACTCCTGCTAGATGGGGGGCCAGAGGAGAGGTCATAAGCAGTGTTCTAGAGGGACTGGAGCCGCACAGGGCGGGCCCTGGAAGGCTTCTGGGAGGAGTTTGAGCAGGTCCTGAAAATAAGCAGGGCACAGTGGAAGGAAAGGTGCTGGGGACACTGGGAGCAAAGGGCTGGAGCACAAGCTCCTGAAGGCTGTGGGAAAACAACCTCTTTTTTTTTTTTTTTGAGACAGAGTCCTACTCTGTCGCCCAGGCTGGAGTGCAGTGGCGCAATCTCGGCTCACTGCAAGCTCCGCCTCCCGGGTTCACGCCATTCTCCTGCCTCTGCCTCCCGAGTAGCTGGGACTACAGGCACCCGCCACCATGTTCGGCTAATTTTTTGTATTTTTTTTAGTAGAGACGGGGTTTCACCGTGTTAGCCAGGATGGTCTCAATCTCCTGACCTCGTGATCTGCCTGCCTCGGCCTCCCAAAGTACCTGAAATCAGTACTTTGGGCCTGAATCAAGTACCCAGCCCTGGGCACTCTCCCAGCAGCCAGCAGCCATTCTCTAGGCATCGGGGTCCTGGCAGCCTCTGGGTGGCATGAGGTGCGGAAGCGCAGGCCCAGGCCCCCTCCTGCCGCTCCTCCAGCAGGCTCTGAACACACCCTTCCTGTTGTGACAATTCTATTCTCTGTGCAACTGGTTCCAGCCCCTGCCTCAGGTTTCAGATTGCAGCACGTGCACTCATTAAGGCTGATGGCAGTATCATGTGGGCACCGGGGAGAGCCTGCCTGCCTGCCAAGCCTGGCCTAGGTTAATTACAGGTCACGGCATTCCTGCTGTGTGCCCAGACAGTGGGCGGCCAGGCTAGGACCAGGCCTATGACACAGCCACCCTCCACTCATTTGCACAGCTGGTGGGTTAGTTAATTGCCTATGGGGGCAGACCCTGTGCTGGGCATGCAGGGAGGGTCACACTGACTGCCACCCAAATAATTCCCTCCACGGTGGCCAGCCACATGCTCAGTGTTTTATACACGGCACCTCAGGTTTCCTCACAATCTCCCCACTTTGCAGTTAGGGAAACTGAGACTCAAAGAGGTAAAGGTTTTGTAGGTCTCGTGTGGCTGCAAAGCCACGCCCTCCTCACTCCCCTGAGCACTGGCCTTGGAGCCAGGCTGGATGTCAGCAGCGTGTTTCCAGGGCTTGCTCTGTGATGCCCTTGCCCATTGAGCCCCCATGCCCTCTCCGTCTCTGTGTTTCGGTTCCTGCAGCTTCCACCACCTGCCAGCATGCCCACTCTGGCAGACGGTGCTCCTTCCTGGAGATCCCTAAACACAGCACCCCTTTCTGAGGAGCACGGGCACCCCATGACCTGCTCTCTTTGTCAAACTGCAGTTAGGTAGCTTTTTTTTTTTTTTTTTTTTTTTTTGAGACGGAGTCTCCCTCTGTCGCCCAGGCTGGAGTTCAGTGGCGCGATCTCAGCTCACTGCAACCTCCGCCTCCCGGGTTCACGCCATTCTCCTGCCTCAGCCTCTCCGAGTAGCTGGGACTACAGGTGCCCGCCACCAGGCCCGGCTAATTTTTTTTTGTATTTTCAGTAGAGACGGGGTTTCACCGTGGTCTCGATCTCCTGACCTTGTGATCCGCCTGCCTCAGCCTCCCAAAGTGCTGGGATTACAAGGGTGAGCCACCATGCCCAGCCCCTTTTTTTTTTTTGAGATGGAGTCTCACTCTGTTGCCCAGGCTGGAGTGCAGTGGCACGATCTCGGCTCACTGCAAACTCCACCTTCCAAGTTCAAGTGATTCCCCTGCCTCGGCTCCCGAGTAGCTGTGATTACAGGCATGCACCATGGCACCCGGCTACTTTTTGTATTTTTAGTGGAGAGGGGATGTTTCACCATGTTGGCCAGGCTAGTCTCGAACTCCTGACCTCAAATGATCCGCCCACCTCGGCCTCCGGAAGTGCCGGGATTACAGGCGTGAGCGACCACACCCAGCCACCTCTTATTCTTTATATACTGTATTAGGGTGGTATCTTTACAATTGACGAGCCAATATTGATACATTATTATGAATTCAAGTCCACCGTTTACATTAGGGTTCATTGTTTGTGTTGTATAGTTTGTGAGTTTTGACCCACGCATAACTACATCATACATAGTTTAACTACCCTAAAAGTTCCCTGTGCCTCATGATTTCTCCTCTCCGTCTTCACTCCCAAGTCCCTGGCAACCACCGATCTTTTTACTGTCTCCGTAGTTTTGCCTTTTCCAAAATGTCACAGAGTTGGAATCATAGTATTCGTAGCTTTTCAGCTTGCTTCTTTCATTTGGTGATATGCATTTAAGTTTCCTCCATATGTTTTCTTTTCTTTTTGAGACTGAGTCTCGCTCTATCGCCCAGGCTGGAGTGCAGTGGCACCATCTCAACTCACTGCAACCTCCGCCTCCTGGGTTCAAGCAATTCTCCTGCCTCAGCCTCCTGAGTAGCTGGGATTACAGGCACCCACCACCACGCCCGGCCCATTTTTATACTTTTTGTAGAGACAGGTTTTCGCCATGTTGGCCAGGCTGGTCTCAAACTCCTGACCTCAGGTGATTCACCCACCTCGGCCTCCCAAAGTGCTGGGATTACAGGTGTGAACCACGGCGCCCGGCCTAATTTTTGTATTTTTAGTATGGGGTTTTACCATGTTGGCCAGGCTGGTCTCAAACCCCTGACCTCAAATGATTGGCCTGCCTCTGCCTCCCAAAGTGCTGGGATTACAGGTGTGAGCCACCACACCTGGCCTAGTTTTTGTATTTTTAGTAGAGATGGTGTTTTACCATGTTGGCCAGGCTGGTCTCGAACCCCTGGCCTCAAATGATCAGCTTGCCTCGCCCTCCCAAAGTGCCAGGATTACAGGCTTTAGCCACAGCACCCTGCCTCCTCCATGTCTTTTCACAGCTTGATAGTTCTTTTCTTTTTTTGAGACAGGGTCTTGCTCTATCACCCAGGCTGGAGTGCAGGGGTGCGATCTTGGCTCACTGCAGCCTGGAACCCCTGGACTAAAGCAATCCTCCCTCCCCAAGCCCCTCAAGTAGCTGGGACTACAGGCACGCACCGCCACATCGGGCTAATTTTTGTATTTTTTGTAGAGACAGAGTTTCACCATGTTGGGCAGGCTGGCCTATCCAGCCTGGGTGCTATCCAAAGCCTGAAATGTCAAGGGCAGGCAGAGGACAGTGGCAGGGGCTACATCAGAAGATGGCTGAAAGCCTCAGGGAAATGTTTTTTTTTTTTTGAGATGGAGTCTCGCTCTGTTGCCAGGCTAGTGGCACAATCTCGGCTCATTGCAGGCTCCGCCTCCCGGGTTCACGCCATTCTCCTGCCTCAGCCTCCCAAGTAGCTGGGATTACGGGCGCCCGCCACCACGCCCAGCTAATTTTGTTGTATTTTTAGTAGACACGGGGTTTCGCCGTGTTAGCCAGGATGATCTCGATCTCCTGACCTCGTGATTCGCCTGCCTTGGCCTCCCAAAGTGCTGGGATTACAGGCGTGAGCCACCGCGCCTGGTCAGAAATGTGTTTTAACTGGGTCTCAGGAATGAGCAGGAGTTCAGCAGGTGAGGGAATGGGGAGGGGACCCACATACCGGGAACAGGTATGGCATGAGCTGTGGCCCTGGGGCAAGATGGTGAGGAGCACGGGGATGCCTGAAGGTTCAGTGCCTGTAGCTGGGAAGGCCACTCCAGGCTGAGTGATGGGCCGGGCCAGGTATAGATTGGGGGCTGATACTCCAAAGACTCTCACGATGAAGGGATTCCTTGACAGCCGTTAGTCAAAATTTTCCAGCTGCCCTCCTGTCTCCTTTCTTTGCCAAAGCCTTTCTGCTTGGGCTCACTTGCCCAAATGTGCCAAATGTGAGACATGGCACCCTCCAGGCTGGAAGTGGATGTCCTGTCACCACGACACACCCCTGACCTTATGGCTGTGACTCAGCCTTCTTCCAGCCCAGGGTTCTGCTAGTCCCAAGCTCACCCTCCCTTGGCACTGGCCCATGTTCCAGCTCTACCAGCTGGGCTGTTCTCCACAAGCCGGCAGGTGGTGGGCAGGGTCTGAAAACTGCCTGCCCGGGGAACCATGGGAGGGGAGGGGCAGCACCCAACAGCAGGTATGCCTTCATGGCGGCTAACAATAGCAGGAAAGCAACCAGACCCAGGCACAGGTGCACAAGCTCAGCCACCTGGGAGGTAGGAATAGCCATTACTCTCATGTCACCATCTGTAAGGAAATAGACTCAGAGAGGTGAAGGAGCCAACCTGAGCTCACACAGCCAGTAGGTGGGCAGGGAGCGCCTCCACGGACTCCTAATTACAGAGCCCAGGCTTTTTAGCTGGAGGTGTCCAGCACCATTCTGCACACTGGGGCTACTGAGGGGACTGTGATGACAAGCTCCTGCCCAGGCTGGAGTGCAGTGGCGGGATCTCGGCTCACTGCAAGCTCCGCCTCCCGGGTTCACGCCATTCTCCTGCCTCAGCCTCCCAAGTAGCTGGGACTACAGGCGCCCGCCACTAAGCCCGGCTAATTTTTTTTGTATTTTTAGTAGAGACGGGGTTTCACCGTTTTAGCCGGGATGGTCTCGATCTCCTGACCTCGTGATCCGCCCGCCTTGGCCTCCCAAAGTGCTGGGATTACAGGCGTGAGCCACCGCGCCCGGCCGGGGGAGAAACATTCAACAAAGCAACAAGTGAGCAGAAATTCCTTCTCAGGGCCACGGAGCTTGGCCTGTCCTCGCCCTGGCTTCTCCATGCCGTTCAGTTCCCAGGCTGGTGCTGTCTTTCCTCCCTGCCCCTGAAGTGGCTCTTTCCCCATCCCAGAAGTCCCAGAGCAAAATCTGGGTCTCCCCTGAAAGCTGGGTCAGTGCAGCACATACCTTCAGCTGAGGGCACTCAGAGGCAGAAAGGACATCTTTTCCATGTGTCCCTTCTATGCACCCCTGGGGGAATCTGCCCTCTGCTTGAACTTGCCCTTGACAGGAGACTCATTACCTCACAAGATGGACCACTCTATACCCAGGCAACGCTAATGGAGACATCCCCTGG
The DNA here is from genome assembly GCF_000001405.40 of Homo sapiens. NCBI lineage: Eukaryota > Metazoa > Chordata > Mammalia > Primates > Hominidae > Homo > Homo sapiens. The sequence goes on from NC_000022.11 coordinate 43,029,546, forward strand.
CCCCTAACACTCGGCTAAGCATGGTGGCTCATGCCTGTAATCTCAGCACGTTGGGAGGTTGAGGTGGGAGGATTCGCTTGAGTCCAGGAGTTCGAGATTAGCCCTTTTTTTTTTTTTTTTTTTTGAGACGGAGTTTCGCTCTTGTTGCCCAGGCTGGAATTCAATGGTGTGATCCTGGCTCACCACAACCTCTGCCTCCTGGGTTCAAGCGAGTCTCCTGCCTCAGCCTCCCGAGTAGCTGGGATACAGGCATGCAGCACCACGCCTGACTAGTTTTGTATTTTTAGTAGAGACGGGGTTTCTCCATCTTGGTCAGGCTCTTCTTGTACTCCTAACCTCAGGTGATCCACCTGCCTCGGCCCCCCAAAATGTTGGGATTATAGGCATGAGCCACCGCGCCCGGCCGAGATTAGCCTTTTTTTTTTTTTTTTTGAGATGGAGTCTTGCTCTGTCGCCCAGGCTGGAGTGCAGTGGCGCGATCTTGGCTTACTGCAAGCTCCGACTCCCGGGTTCACGCCATTCTCCTGCCTCAGCACCCCCAGCAGCTGGAACTACAGGCACACACCTCCACGCCCGGCTAATTTTTTCGTATTTTTAGTAGAGACGGGGTTTCATCATGTTAGCCAGGATGGTCTCTATCTCCTGACCTCGTGATCCGCCCACCTCGGCCTCCCAAAGTGCTAGGATTACAGGCGTCAGCCACCGTGCCCAGCAAGAGATTAGCCCATTTTTAACCCTTCCTATTGCCCTGACACCTCAACATGCCCACACACAGGCTGAGAGCACCCCACCCTGGCAGCCAGGCAGCCCCGTGGAATAAGCCTGGTCCCTGCTCCAGGTTCCCTTCCAGCCTTCCCCTGAGGGTCACCCAGTCACTTTGAAACACACCAGTGAGATCTGCTCACGTCTCTGGCTAGTGCCCCCCGCCCTGACCCCCCAGGAAAGGCACTTGCCTGTGGGTCCTCAGGCCCTCAAGCTCTCTTGGCCCCGAACCTGCTAGGTGGGCCTGCTCCCTGTGGGCTCCTCCCATCCAGCCCCCTACATGGGGGCTGGCCTTCCTCTCTGGGGCCCGTGAGTGTAATTGAGCCCTTCACCTACACCTGTCTGAGTGTGATTTCTGCGGCTGTGCTGGAAAGACCCCAAAAGGCCAAAGGGGCTTCCCTGTCTCCAGCACTCCCTCCCTCTGTGGAAACAGCGCCCCTCACCCATTCCTTCTGTGCTCTGCTCCTCACCTCGGCCCCCAGAAACACATGCACATCACGAATTGCCCCTCATCACCTAACAGTCCCTGAACTCCTTTGTGTTACACCTAAATCATCCCTCTTAAGACTAAATGTCTTTGATTTCCCAATCATCCCTCGCCCGCCTGCTGCTCTCCCTCCATTTTTGCTGCTCTGACATTGTCCATAAATGCTTCGACAAATGACCAGCGTTGCCTGGGAGTGGAGGACAGATCTCGGCCCTTGCCCTCCAGTTCCTCCTTATCTCAGCCTGGGGGTGGATAGCAAAGACCCAGGCAATAAGAGCGACACAGCAGGAGGACAAGGACCATCCCAAATGAGTAGACGGCCTGGTTCCCACAGTCGTTCGGCCATCACGTATCAGTGCTGCACGCATGTGTCAGGCTGGGGCCAGGCAGAGGCACGCGGAGCTGGAGGCTGTGCCGGGGAGAAAGCACAGAGGCACATGCCTGACCCGGATCATCTCAGGGATATGAGTGCTTTGGAGAAAACGGAAGAAGGTGGTAATAAAGTGGGGCTAGAGGGATCACCAGGAGAGCCTCTCTGGGACCGGGCATGGTGGCTCACGCCTGTAATCCCAGCACTTTGGGAGGCTGAGGGCAGGTGGAGCACCTGAGGTCAGGAGTTCGAGACCAGCCTGACCAACATGGTAAAACCCCGTTTCTACTAGAAATACTAAAATTAGTCAGGCATGGTGGTGAGTGCCTGTAATCCCAGCTACTCAGGAGGCTGAAACAGGAGAATTGCTTGAACCCGGCAGGCAGAGGTTGCAGTGAGCCAAGATCATGTCACTGCACTCCAGCCTGGGTGACAGAATGAGACTCAGTCTCAAAAAAAAAAAAAAGGAGAGCCTCTCTGGGAAGGTGGCAGACAGGATAGGCTGCTCCAAGTGATGAAAAGAGCCAGGCCTGCAGAGATGGGGGAGGAGAATTCTAGTAGAGGGGCCTGCCATGCAAAGGCCCTGAGGCAGGGAGGGGCATGACGCTTGAAGATTGCTGTGTCTCCAGCAAAACCAGCAAGGGCAGAAGGGAGGGGGTGGAGGGGGAGGCCAGAGAGGCGAGGAACTTGATTTTATTTATGTTCCAGGGGAGGCTTTTGGAGGGCATTAGGGCTCTGATAGAATCTGATTTATGCTTTAAAATGCAAGAGAGGCTGGGCGTGGTGACTCATGCCTGTAATCCCAGCACTTCAGGAGGCTGAGATGGGAGGATCCCTGGAGCCCAGGAGTTCCAGACCACCCTATGCAACATAACAAGACCCCCATCTCTAATATTTTTTAAAATAATAATAAAATGTAAGAGAAAGGAGAGACCATTGGAGACTAGAGTCACCAGGAAAGGCTTTATAGAAGAGGCAATGATGCCTTCTACCACAGAATTAGAGAGGAGTCATGATTTCCTATGAGCAGTACAAAAATCACCCCTTTAAAAATGCGGCTGGGCATAGTGGCCCCTGCCTGTAATCCTTTGGGGGGCCAAGGTGGGCGGATCATGTGAGCCCAGGAGTTTTTCTTTTTTTTTTTTTTTTTTGAGATGGAGTCTCGCTCTGTCACCCAGGCTGGAGTGCAGTGGCGTGATCTCAGCTCACTGCAAGCTCTGCCTCCCGGGTTCACACCATTCTCCTGCCTCAGCCTCCCAAGTAGCTGGGACTACAGGCGCCTGCCACCATACCCGGCTAATTTTTTGTATTTTTAGTAGAGACGGGGTTTCACCGTGTTAGCCAGGATGGTCTTGATTTCATGATCCATCTGCCTCGGCCTCCCAAAGTGCTGGGATTACAGGCGTGAGCCACCGCACCCAGCCGTGCCCAGGAGTTTGAAACCAGCCTGGGCAACATGGCAAAACCCCATCTCTACAAAAAATACAAAAAATTAGCTGGGCATGGTGGCACATGCCTGTAGTTCTAGCTGCTCAGGAGGCTGAAGTGGGAGGATCGCCTGAGCCTGGGAGGTTGAGGCTGTAGGGAGCTGTGATTGTGCCACTGCACTCCAGCCTAGGTGATGGAGTAAGACCCTGTCTCAAGAAAAAAATAAATAAATAAATCAAAACAGTTTCTCCCAGGAAGGCATACGAATGGCCAATAAGCACATGAAAAGATACTCAACATCATCAGCTGTCAGAAAAAATGCAAATCAAAACCATAATGAGATACTACTTCAGGGGAGCAGTGGTTCACGTTTGTAATCCCAGCACTTTGGGAGGCCAAGGCAGGCCAATTGCTTGAGGCCAAGAGTTCAAGACCAGCCTGGGTAACATGGTGAGACCCTGTCGCTACAAAAAAATAAAAAATTAGCAGCCAGGCACGGTGGCTCATGCCTGTAATCCCAGCACCCTGGGAGGCCGAGGCAGGTGGAGCACAAGGTCAGGAGTTTGAGACCAGCCTGGCCAACATAGTGAAACCCTGTCACTACTAAAAATACAAAAGTTAGCCGCACGTGGTGGCATGTGCCTGTAATCTCAACTACTTAGGAGGCTGAGGTGGGAGAATCGACTGAACCCAGAAGGCAGAAGTTGCAGTGAGCCGAGACCACACCACTGCACTCCAGCCTGGGTGACAGAATGAGACTCTGTTTCAAAAAACAAAATAAAATAAAATAAATAAAAATCAGCAGGGTGTGGTAGCATGCACCTGTAATCCCAGCTGCTTGGGAGGCTGAGGTGGGAGGATCACCCCAGGAGGTCAAGGCTGCAGTGAGCTGTGATCATACCACTGCGCTCCAGCCTGGATGACAGAGCCAGACCCTGTCTCAAAAAAAAAAGAGCTATCAGGCTGGACGTGGTGGCTCACGCCTGTAATCCCAGCACTTTGGGAGGCCAAGGTGGGTGGACCACCAGGTCAGGAGTTCAAGACCAGCCTGGCCAAGATGGTGAAACCCCATCTCTACTAAAAATACAAAAATTAGCTGGGCATGGTGGCGGGCGCCTGTAATCCCAGCTGAGACAGGAGAATCACTGGAACCTGGGAGGTGGAGGTTGCAGTGAACCAAGATTACGCCATTGCACTCCAGCCTGGGCAACAGAGCAAGACTCCGTCCCAAAAAAACAAAAAGTTCTGATTTCATTTTAACCAGTACAAGATGCAGGAAGGGAAGCTGCCTGGTGACGTTCTTGCTATTCAGCCATGGCCTCGAGGCAGCATTATTCATAACCATGAGTAGCGTGGCCTTTCTGAACAGCTTCTGAAAAGCACGTTTGTTACTGCAGCTTTGCAGTTTACCTCCTTCTACATTCAGGGCTCAAACCCCGTTTAACACACGCCCCCTACTGGGCCACTGAGAACTGCTCGTCTCTGCAGATCCCCTTCCACCCGGTGTGCAGGCTCCCTGTGCACAACTCCCCTCCTCCCGTCCCTAGGGCACCGCCTGAGTTCACATTGTGGCCTGCACTGCCAGATCTCCCTCTAGCCTCTCACCAGCTCCGTCATCCTTAGAGAGGCACATCTCTAAGAACACTGATGCCATCACTCAAAAACATTTGGCTGGAAGCCGGGCACGGTAGCTCATGCCTGTAATCCCAGCACTTTGGGAGATGGAGGCTGGCGGATCACTTGAGGTCTGGAGTTCAAGACCAGCCTGGCCAACATAGTGAAACCCCATCTCTACTAAAAATACAAAACTAGGCCAGGCACGGTGGCTGATGCCTGTAATCCCGGCACTTTGGGAGGCTGAGGCAGGCGGATCACAAGGTCAGGAGATCAAGACTATCCTGGCTAACACGTCAGGATGTAGACATGTTTAGTAGAGAAACCCCGTCTCTACTAAAAATACAAAAAATTAGCCGGGCGTGGTGGCGGGCGCCTGTAGTCCCAGCTACTCGGGAGGCTGAGGCAGGAGAATGGCATGAACCTGGGAGGCGGAGCTTGCAGTGAGCTGAGCTCACGCCACTGCACTCCAGCCTGGGTGTCAGAGTGAGACTCCGTCTCAAAACAAAACAAAACAAAACTAGCCGGGCATGGTGGCGCATGCCTGTAATCCCAGCTACTTCTTGGGAGGTTGAGGCATGAGAATGACTTGAACCCAGGAGGCAAAGGTTGCTGTGAGCCGAGATTGTGCCACTAGCCTGGGCAACAGAGTGAGACTCTGTCTAAAAAAAAAAAAAAAAAAAAAAAAAAAGGAAAGAAAGGGGGGAGGGGAGGGGGGAGGGGAGGGGTGGGAAGGGGAGGGGAGATTAGGTGAGTTAAACTGGAATTGTGGGGGAATGTTGGCCAAGTGGCAGGCAGGGTGGGCCTGGGCCTGAGGGAACGCCATGGGCCCCTAGACTTGTTCCTGCTGACAGAGCGCCAGCGGCCGGGCAGGAGCATAAGCAAGGTGGGTTTGCATCTGTCACTGGAGGAGCGCTCCGAATGCTTCTCAGGACAAAAGCAGGAGGCCGCCATTGTTCACAGGATGTGAGATCTAATATGGTTCAGGCTGGGGCAAATCAGTGAAGATCAAAATCCCTCGTCTTCCACAATGAGAGACTGGAATCAAAAGTGGATGTGCTCCCACCTGCTCACAAAGGGTCCTCACGTGCCCCAGGGCCCTCCACTGGGGCACAGTTCACATTAGGGGACACACAAACAGCCTGAGGGTGCCCAGTCGCTGAGCAGCCCCAGTCGCTGTGCCGTTACCAGCAGGCAGGGCCCTGCAGGAGACCTTGGCCTCCCCAGACCACAGGGGCTGCAGGGCTGCTGCGGGGAGAGGGCCAGGCGGCCGCAGCACAGCTGGGAATGGCTCCAGAGGGGAGGGTGGAGAGTGCGCTGGCCCCTGGGGGCACTCAGAGAGGAGCTGCGTGTGTTTGGCACTGGTGGACATGGTGTGTGGCAGTGTGAGCCAACAGGCCAATGGGTGGCAAGCATAGGAGGCTTTATGGAGCACCCTGAAGAACCACTGTGTGGAGGGGAAATGGCCCCCTGTGAGGAAAGTCCTAGCAGCTGGTGGAGCGCAACCAGATGCGGGTCCAGACTGATGGGGTCTCCATGGCAGCCCAGGTGGGAGGCGGAGGAGGAGAAGGGAGACAGTGAGAAGGTTGTCACCAGGCCCTCACTAATACCCGGGGAGCAGCCCGTGTGCAAAGGAGGTGAAGGATGGTGGTTTTCTTTTGTTTGAGATGGAGTCTTGCTCAGTTGTCCAGGCTGGAGTGCAATGGTGCGATCTCGGCTCACTGCAACCTCCGCCTCCTGGGTTCAAGTGATTCTTCCGCCTCAGCCTCCCAAGTAGGTGGGATTACAGGCATGAACCACCAAGCCCAGCTAATGTTTGTATTTTTAGTAGAGACGGGGTTTCACCTTGTTGGCCAGGCTGGTCTCAAACTCCTGACCTCAGGTGATCCACCCACCTCAGCCTCCCAAAGTGCTGGGACTACAGGCGTGAGCTACTGTGCCCAGTCGAGGATGGGTTTATATTGGGAAAACCAAGCCTATCAAACTTGGTGAAAACGACCACAGGATGCAACCCTCTGGCCTGGGACCCACCCCATCAAGTGTGTGGGGGCTGACAAGAAAACAGCAACGGCTCCCGGACAGCTCCCAGCAGGGCTCACTGCTTAGCCCCAGCCTAGCGCTGAATGGGGCTGTTCCTGGCCCGACAGCCTCCCGAGGCCTGCTGCCAACACCGCACCCTTCCCACCCGTGTCCTGGAAGTGCTCAGAGGAAACATCTGCCCAGAACATGACATCACTAAATCATTAATGAGACAGTCACTATATGACATAAATCCACTTAGCAGAGCCTCACTCTCACCTAGCAACTGGGTCACCAGCAAACTAACCACTTGGTGTGACTCTTCCATTAGGACTGCGTGGCCCCGGAGCCTCAGAGGCCAACGTTCCCAACCAGGGACTCCACCCTTCTCCCAGAGGGAGGCAAAAACAACACAATGTAACTGAGAACCGGGTTGTAAAAACCGGTGGAAGAGCTGGGAACAGTTAACGGGGTGTCTTTCACTTCTGCGTGTAGGAGCCGAGGTGGAGCCGCCAGCTGTGCAGAGGACACCCCCTCCTGGGAGGTAAGAGGGCTCGCCAGAGCCAGCAAGGCGTGCGGGCAGGGTCCCTGTGCGGTGGTACTGGTTGTTTCTGAGGCAAACAGAACTCCCCCCCTTTTTTTTTTTGAGACGGAGTTTCGCTCTTATTGCCCAGGCTTGAGTGTAATGGCGCCATCTCGGCTCTCCGCAACCTCCGCCTCCTGGGTTCAAGCGATTCTCCTGCCTCAGCCTCCAGGCTAATTTTTGTATTTTTAGTAGAGATGAGGTTTCACCATGTTGGCCAAGCTGGTCTCGAACTCCTGACCTCAGATGATCCACCCTCCTCGGCCTCCCAAAGTGCTGGGATTACAGGCATGAGCCACTGCGCCCGGCCACAGAACTCCCCATTTTATACAGTGGGAAACAAAGGTGCAACGACCCCAGGGACAGGCTTGGGAAACAGCTAATAAACAGCAGAGCCAGGCCACAAGGCCAAGTCTGACTCGGGGATCTCCATCCCACACCCGCCATCAACAGCAAACACATTAAAACTAAACCCCACGGCTGGGCGCAGTGGCTCACACCTGTATTCCCAGCACTCTGGAAGGCTGAGGCAGGCGGATCACCTAAGGCTGGGAGTTTGAGACCAGCCTAGCCAACATGGTGAAGCCCCATCTCTACTAAAAATACAAAAATTAGCCGGGCATGGTGGTGTACACCTGTAATCCCAGCTACTTGGGAAGCTGAGGCACGAGAATCACTTCAACCCGGGAGGCAGAGATTGCAGTGAGCTGAGGTTGCGCCACTGCACTCCAGCCTGCTGGGCGACAGAGCGAGACTCTGTCTCAAAAACAAAACAAAACAAAACAAAACTTAAACACCAGGGAACACACACAACACACATACCAATAAGATCACGAAGAAGGAATGGCTGAAAAGCCCACCAATTGTAGTTTATTTGGAGTCCAGCCAAGTACCATTTGTGTTGAAAAGACCTATTTTTCCCTAATTGGCAGTGAAACATCATTAAATATATGTACTCATATACACACACACAATATGGCATGTACACTTGACACACGTCCATGCATGGGCACTGAGAGAGCCTGGGCAAGTCAGTTAAGACCCTTATCTGAAGGACATACCCTTGGTGCCATTTGGGAGAACAAACTCCTGTTACTAGCATTGCAACAAAAACAGGTGGCAAGCTTTAAAGATAAACTCAAGACAGCGAGTGAAACTTCAGCAAATACGTGTTAATACGACCATGAGTAAAAGGCCCTTCCTGGCCGGGCGCAGTGGCTCACGCCTGTAATTTCAGCACTTTGGGAGGCGGAGGCGGGAGGATCACCTGAGGTCAGGAGTTCGAGACCAGCCTGGCCAACATGGTGAAACCCCGTCTCCACTAAAAATACAAAAATTAGTTGGGCGTGGTGGCAGGCGCCTGTAAGCCCACCTCTTTGGGAGGCTGAGCCATGAGAATCGCCTGAACCCAGGAGGTGGAGGTTGCAGTGAGCCTAGATTGTGCCATTGCACTCCAGCCTGGGTGTCAAGAGTGAAACTCCACCTCAAAAAAAAAAAAAAAAAAAAAGACCCTTCCTAAGAACAGCACTGTAACTCATGAGTTATTACTCAAATGCATCTGTCCATCTACCCACCAACTCAGGTCCTCTCCATACACTCCTGTAAGTCACCGGGCTACCGGGAGACTGCATGGGAACAACCACGCTCGCGCAGCCTGTCCCGCAGCCATCGCTCCTCCCACAGCTCCTGGCTGCCCACGGCGCTTCCCTGTAGCAAACCCAGCTGCTGACGTCATAAAAGGCACACAGCCGGACCTGTCTGTGCTCATCTAGTTCCATTTACAACAGACTCATCCACAAAACCGAAGTGGTAGAAACAGGTCTTTTTGAAGCCAGGCGTGGTGGCTCATGCCTGTAATCCCAACACTTTGGGAAGCTTAGGCAGGAGTATCGCTTGAGCCCAGGAGTTCGAGAACAGCCTGGCCAACATGGTGAAACTCTGTCTCTACAAAAAAAACTTTAAAAAGTAGCTGGGGGTGGTGGTGTGTGCCTGTGTGGTCCCAGTTACTCGGGAGGCTGAGGTGAGCGGATCACTTGAGCCCAGGAAGTTGAGCCACAATGGCACCACGGCACTCCAGCCTGGGTGACAGGGCGAGATCCTGTCTGAAAAGAAAAAAAAAAAGAAAAGAGAAGAAAAGAAAAGAAAACAGGTCTTCCTGGGAGCACCTAGACAAAGGCCTTTGTAAAGATAAATTACCGAGGAATATTTCTAGTTGCCTGTTTTCTTCAAAATCACAGTCAAGTAAGCTGGGCGTGGTGGCTCACCTCTGTAATCCCAGCATTTTGGGAGGCCGAGGTGGGCAGATCACCTGAGGTCAGGAGTTTGAGACCAGCCTGCCCAACATGGTCAAAACCCCATCTCTACTAAAAATACAAAAATTAGCCAGGTGTGGTGGCACACGCCTGTAATCCCAGCTACTTGGGAGCCTGAGGTGGGAGAAATACTACCCAGGAGGCAGAGGTTGCAGTGAGCCAAGATTGTGCCAGTGCACTCCAGCCTGGGCGACAGAGCAAAACTCTGTCTCGGGAAAAAAAAAAAAAATCGCAGTCAAGTAAAAAGAAACGCAACTAAAAGAGCCGTCAGTTAAATACATTCCTCTCTCGTGGCAGGACGAGTCTATAAGATTTGTTTTGTTTTTAATTTAGTGTAAAGTTTTTTTAATGTTTAAACCTTGTGACACATCAAATTACATGCTTGAAGCTGTTACTTTCTGTCAAAAAAGTGAGTTTTTAATATGAAAATTCTGCTTAGGTTAAAAATTAAAAAAAAAAGAGCGAGTTTTATACATCCGCATGAATTGTTTCCTTTAGCACTAGTCAAACAGACTCCATAACCTTCCAAAGAAGTGCCTTCGTTTATTTACAGGGCTTAGGAAAGGAAAAAAGCTCTACAAAAGGGAAATTTCAAAATAGGGCTTCAGCAGGGGCCCAGGTGGAGTGAGTAGTTTTGATAAGGTCCAGGTGGGACTCACTTCCAGGTGGTGAGGACCGCTCTCCCCGAGTCTCTCGATCGGCCTGCTCTGGGCCCCAGAGACTGACCCTGACGGCTTCTCAGCTCCCGGTCAGCCCCGTCACCCTGGGCCAATTCTTCATCATACCTGGAGACAGAAACAGCCAGGATCACGGCAGGCTCTCTTTCAAAGGCAACAGGCAGGGCCACCAGGCTGCTGTGTGGCAAATATGACATCACCCAGAGAAGCGGCCTGAGGGGGCCCCACCCTCGCGACTCCTGCTGGCTCCCGCCCACCTCCCACCTGGCTCCAGCCCACCTGCCTGCCAGGTGGCTCTCGCAGCCCAGCAAATGCTCCCCAAGGCCAGCCTGCCTATGTGTACAACCTTGTTGTTATTGTGGACAGTGGTCTCCCCTCGGAAGCTGACATTTTATACAGGTCACCAGGTCAAATATGGCAATGACTCCAAAGGCAACATGCATGAGGTGACACAGAACCAGCCCAGGGTAAGTGAGGTGAGACTGCCTGGCTGGAAACGCTTCACACAAGGCACCTGCAGGCTGGGGGGACTAACTCCATTCCAGATGGGAGTGGTACATGAGCACTGGTCAGTGGAGGCCAGGGCAGAGAGGCCCCACGGTGCACACTCAGCTAGAGACTCTGCCAGTGTGACCCACGCCACCCCTCCCCATTTTCTTTTTTTTTGAGATGGAGTTTCACTCTATCACCAAGGCTGGTATACAGTGGCGCAATCTTGGCTCACTACAACCTCCACCTCCCTGGTTCAAGCGATTCTCCTGCCTCAGCCTTTCAGGTAGCTGGGATCATAGGTGCCCACCACCACACCCAGCAAATTTTTGTATTTTTAGTAGAGACAGGGTTTCCCCATGTTGGCCAGGCTGGTCTCGAACTCCTGACCTCAGGTGATCTGCCCATTCGGCCTCCCAAAGTGCTGGGATGACAGGCGTGGGCCACCGTGCCTGGCCCCCATTTTCTTTAACTGCCTGTTTCCCAATTAACGTTCATGCATCCTAAGGCCGCGTGTGCTAAGGAGGCAGCAGTGTAGGAAACAGCCTGAATTTTCGTGTCTGGAAGAGCTGGATGCCAGCTGCAGCTCCCCAGACGGGGTGGTCACAGCATCTGGGCAAGTCCTGGGTCCTTCCCACAGTGGCGGGGCCCTTCTCTCACGGGGTCCTGGAGCATGGTCGTTGCTGCCTGCACCTATTGCAGGCTGTGGCAGGGAGCAGGCTGGGGGAATGGGGCCGCCCCCCTCCACGGTGACTGACATTATCCTCCCAACTCGGGCGGCAGCACCAGGACTTGCTTCCTATGGGGGGAAACTGGGGTTCTAGAGGTTTGCTCAGGGCCTAGGGTCCCACAGCTGGCCTGTGGCACAGGTAAGATTAACCTCTAGGACTTCTGATTTCTAATTCGGAGTTTTTTGTCCCATAGCGCTGAGGAGTGTGGAAAGCATCTTTCCCCAGTTAAAGCACATCCGTCGGTGTGCTGCGCTGGCCATCCTGACTAGGACCCTCGGTTGTATGTAGGTATTTGTGTCAAACACAAAAGGTACCCAGATGCTGAGTGCTAATCATGTGGACTTCTGGAAAAGGGTGGATTTCTGTGATAAGCTTATTACCAAAACCAGAGTTTGCAGGTTGAATGTAGTATGAGTTAGAAACTTCTGAGGTTAAAGAATGTATTTTCTGCATTGTGCTTCTGGTGGCAAACTGGGACTGAAAGAGTAGGTGGGAAGAAAGCATTTTCTGATTCCTTTTTTTTTTTTTAAACGGTCACCCAGACTGGAGTGTAGTGGCCCGATCTTGGCTCACTGCAACCTCTGCCTCCTGGGTTCAAGAGATTCTCATGCCTCAGCCTCCCAAGTAGCTGGCATTACAGGCGCATGCCACCACGCCCGGCTAACTTTTTGTATTTTTGGTAGAGATGGGGTTTCACCATGTTGCCCAGACTGGCCTCGAACCCCTGAGCTCAAGCAATCTTCCTGCCTCGGTCTCCCAAAGTGCTGGGATTACAGGTGTGAGCCACTGCGCCTGGCCGCATTTTCTGACTTCTGTCTGTGAAGCAGACACCACAGGGATCCAGGCTCTGCACCAGGGTGGAGCTGTCAGGATGATGATACAGGGGCCTGCTTCCTCTCTGGCTCTCGAAGGAGAGACACAGCCATAGTCCCTATGACACAAGGAAGCCGGACAGGACACCCCTGGAACTCTGGAATCTGCCTGGGTGGGGGGGGTCCTCCAGGAAGCCTCCCTGGCGCCTCTCCACAGGATCAGATACCCCTACCCCGTGGGGACTCCACATTCATAAATGTCGTCACTCCACTGCCCCCGTGTTTGCTTCCCTGGCCAGGGGGCTGCAGTGACCGCCCGTCTGGTTCGTGGCTGCCCCCAGCAGCTTGCTCAAGGTCTGGTGGATAGGAATCTACTGAATGAATGGAGAAAAGGACCACATATGGTGACCGGTTTCACGGAGCACTTGTGCTGATCTGTGTGGCTCAAAAAACAAAACAAACAGAAAGGAGCATTTGGCAAGCAGCTGGCACCGGGATGCGCTGTTCCCAGGGGTGGTCTGGCCACCTACCGAGCCAACGCAGAGGAGAATCAGAGCCAAGATGGCTCTTCGAAGTTCCTGTTCTAGCAGGCTTTTCTTCTGGCTTTTCACAGAAACAATCTAGTCACTGTTAGGGTTTTTTAAAGGCTGTAAAAGTACAGTCAGCAACTTCGGAACAGGGTCCTGGAGGTGGCAGATGCAAAGTGCCAGGCCTTGTAGGGCCACAGCCAATGGTATGGCCTGGGGCACGTGACCTCATGCGGCCAGTGTCCTCTGCTAGATGCTGCTGGGCTCTGAGGAGTTGCTGTGGGCACGCAGAGCACCTGGCATGGACGGGCGGCGCCGCTCAGATGACGTGGCCCTCCCAGTCAGCACCAACTGCTACTGCTGCTGGTGGCTGCACCTGAAAATGGAGCTGGGGTTCTTTGATCAGCTGAATGCCTAAGGGAAGCAAGCCCTGACTAGAAGCGTTTAGAGGCCATCAGCTCCACACAAGAGCCTTCCATTACTCCTCAGGAGCCAGGAGAGGACGGCTGGATCAGGGAGGGGGGTTCACCTTGTTGTCTCTTCAACTAAAAGCAGTGAGGCTCTGGCCTCTGCTGCTTTTTCTTTTTTTTTTTTTTTTTTTGAGGCAGACTTTCGCTGTGTCGCCCAGGCTGGAGTGCGGTGGCACGATCTCGGCTCACTGCAACCTCCGCCTCCTGGGTTCAAGCCATTCTCCTGCCCTCAGCCTCCCAAGTAGCTGGGATTACAGGTGCCCACCACCACGCCCGGCTAATTTTTGTATTTTTAGCAGAGACGGGATTTCACCATGTTGGCCAGGCTGGTCTTGAACTCATGACCTCAGGTGAGCCACCTGCCTTGGCCTCCCAAAGTGCTGGGATTACAGGTATGAGCCACCATACCCAGCCTGGCCTCTGCTTCTTGGCCGGGAAATGGCGAGTCTGGCCCACTCCCTCAAGAAGTCCACAGGCTGGACGCGGCAGAGGCTCTACACGCTCCCAACAAGCCAGCCTCTCCACCACCCTCAACTGGACTGAAGAGAACCCCCCAAGGTCCTCATGCTACTGACAAGTCTCCCCGCAATGGTCCCCACCCTGTACACACTCACAGACCCCCTCAGTCCTCCAGCACAGGGGCCATCAGGACCCAGCCCCGAAGGCCGCCATCGCAGTTGCCATCCCCAACCCTGATCTCACCCTTCACCTTCCAGGCTGCCAATCCCAGTCTGACCCCATCCCCAGACTCACCCTCTGTGGGCTCCGGAACTCTCTGCCCATCATCGCACCCACCATGCCCTCTGCTTATCCTTTAATCTCCACTTCCCCTTCCTGCTCTAATGGGCTCCTGCGAGACGCTGCTTCCCCTGCAGCCCCTGGTGTGGAGACTGCTTTCTCTCCCACCCCCCATACTCCTGGTTGGAGGGGGCCTCCTCTCTAAAGCCCCCAGCTCTTTCCAGGCCTGGTCACCACAGTTACCTTCCTCCTTGTGCAGTCACCTCCAGTCCTCCAGGTCACCACCCCAGATCCCTTGGAGAGCCAGGCTCCTAGTTCATGGTGGTGGGTGATGGCAATGACCAAACAGATGAAACCCCCAACTCCCTGACCTCTGGTGACCCTGTCCTCTACTCCATCTCAGTCCCATCCCCAGGGAGTCCCCAAGCCTCGTCACCCCTTGCATTATCTCCATGGCAAGTGCTCACTCCCTGACCACTGCCCCTTCTCCTCCCAGCCCACTTCCCTAGTGCCCGACTCCAACAACCCTCCTCCCCGAGAGACTGCCACCCACCCCCATCTTCTCCCTGTCCCCGCTGCCCTCTGTCTTGCCATCGCAAGCTCCCAATCCTGGTCCCTCCCAACCCTCTGCCTTCTCTGTACCTAGCCTGGGCAGCTGATCATGGAGGGAGAGAACAACCAACCACACACTGACTGGTCACCCCTGAAGTTCACAGCCACTACCCTGTAGAGGCCCCGAGGTTGCCGGCAAGCCCAGTATACTTCCATCTAAACTCCCCTTGCACCTGCTCCTCCTGTTCCAGACAATGAGCTGTAACACGCACATCCACACCACACATCACCCACAGCAGGGGCAGGAGGCAGCTAAGCATGGGCTTCAGAGTCCTCCCACCAGCAGCGCCTACCAGCTACAAGCCTGACGTCTCTGTGTGTGTGTGTAAATTTCACTAAATATTTCTTCCTTTGTTTTTTAAAAATTTACATGAAATGCACATTTTTGCTGTGACAGAAGCATGTAACTGTGATCCTAACACACCTACTCCTCCGCCTTTTACTGCCGTCTGCTTCCCTCTCTTCTCCACGCCCACTCGACTGCAGTATCGATGCCAACAACATGATGTGTGTCCTTCCATGTTTCCCTGCTCATGCATTCGCATGTAAGCCACCGCACATGTCACTGTATGTACACACAGGGGATTCTGAGGCCAATGTTTTACAAGGATTACGTTATACACCCTTTTCTGCAGTGAGTTTTTCCCAGGCAACCTCCCAGGCCCCATGGTGTAGCTCTGGGTCAATCCTTTTTTTTTTTTTTGGAGACAGAGTCTCACTCTGTCGCCCAGGCTGGAGTGCAGTGGTGCAATTTGGGCTCACTGCAACCTCCGCCTCCCGGGTTCAAGCGATTCTCCTGCCTCAGCCTCCTGAGTAGCTGACATTACAAGCGCGCACTACCACACCCGGCTAATTTTTGTATTTTTAGTAGAGATACAGTTTCACCATGTTGGTCAGGCTGGTCTTGAACTCCTGAGCTCGTGATCCACCTGCCTTGGCCTCCTGAAGTGCTGGGATTACAGGCGTGAGCCACCACGCCCAGCCAGGTCAATCTTTTTAAAGGCCACTTAATAGACCGCAGAATGAATGAACCATACTGTGTTCAGCCACCACACTCCTGATGGGCTCTCACTTTGTTCCCACTTTCGTCACTACGAGTATGCCACGGAACCGCTCTAAGCCTTTGTTTCCACACCTGTGAAATGGAGCTAATAGTCTTACCTACTTCAAAATATTACTGGGGAAAGGAATTGATACTGTGTGTAAAGCACTCTGCACAGTTTCTGACACATGACAAGCCCTCGAAAGTTAGCTATTTCCTTCCCGCTCTGTAAAATAGATCTTATTATACCCATTTTTTTTTTTTTTTTTTTTTGTAGAGATGGGGTTTCGCTATGTTTGCCAGCCTGGTCTCGAACTCCTGACCTCAGGTGATCTGCCCGCCTCGGCCTCCCAAAATGCTGGGATTACAGGTGTGAGCCACTGCACCTGGTCTATTATACCAATTTAAAGGTGGACAAACTGAGGCTCAAACAGTTGCACTGAGTTCCTCCCTGTCACCCAGCTCTATGCGGCAAAGCCAGGGAATGAGCCCAGGTGACCCGTGAGAAACACGCACTCCACCCAGCCTACTCCAGCTATCCTAGCGGCCAAGCACTCCACCCAGCCTACTCCAGCTATCCCAGCGGCCAAGCACTCCACCCAGCCTGCTCCAGCTATCCCGGCGGCCAGCGGGGGCCTGGCACGTGATCAGTGCACCACACATATGTTTTGAGTAGGAGCATACACAATGATCAAGTTCAGCACCCAAACTGCTTTTCTGGGCTGGGTGCAGTGGCTCACACTTGTAATCTCAGCACTTTGGGAGGCCGAGGTGGGAGAATCACTTGAGGTCAGGAGTTCAAGACCAGCCTGGCCAACGTGGTGAAACCCTGTCTATACTAAAAATACAAAAATTAGCCAGGAGTGGTAACACATGCCTACAGTCCCAGCTACTTGGGAGGCTGAGGCAGGAGAACTGCTTGAACCCAGGAGGCGGAGGTTGCAGTGAGCCAAGATCGTGCCACTGCAACCCAGCCTTGGCGACAGAGTGAGACTCCCTCTCAAAATAATAATAATAAAATAAACAAATTGCTTTTCTGCTACAACAAGATCTATCCCATCATGTCATTAGTAAATGAAACAGTCTGCCCAAATAAGGAGAATCCACATATGCCCAGAAATCCAAGCTGGGCTATGGCACACGCCATTCGGAAACACAGAAGGACAAGCGCACAGTCACACACACACTTACAGAATCTCGTAATTGCCGAGGACTTCCTTAGGTGGCGACTTGTTCCATTTGCAGTCTGGGATTTCACCATTCGGGACGGCGATGTTGAGGGTGTCATTAATCAGGTTGTACTTGAGGATTCGGTCATTGGCAGTGCTGGACGTGAGAGACGGGGACGCATTCACCTGTGAGATGAAAGACCCATGTTCCTCACCTGTGTCTCTCGCTCTTTTGGAATGAAAATGTGCACTGCAGAAGGAGATGCTGGCTGCTACACACTTTAGTGAAGTTTTTTTTTGAGACAGAGTTTCGCTCTTGTTGCCCAGGCTGGAGTGCAGTGGCGCAATCTCGGTTCACTGCAACCTCCGCCTCCCGGGCTCAAGCGATTCTCCTGCCTCAGCCTCCTGAGTAGCTGGGACTACAGGCACACACCAACACGCCCAGCTATTTTTTTGTATTTTTATTAGAGATGGGGTTTCACCATATTGACCAGGCTGGTCTCGAACTCCTGACCTCAGGTGATCCTCCCACCTCGGCCTCCCAAAGTGCTGGTATTACAGGCGTGAGCCACCACACCTGGAAAATGGTTATTTAATATTGCTACTATCTAATACCGTCAGAGCACCTTGGATAGGAAACTCTTTGTGATCCACTTTTATTAGCTGTTCAATGAAATATAAGTAATACTTAAAGGTAGGATTAGAATTAGGATCTACAAATCAGCGATCGCACAAACATTTTGGGCCAGTGTATATCACAAACGTTATCAGTGCCTACCTGTGTGACTGGTTCTGTCCTAAGTACCAAGAGCCCCACAAGGGTTTGTTAGAATCAGTGACCCAAATGGCCCTGCCCAAGCAGCAGTGTGGGTTTCAGCAAAAGGCAATGGGCTCCCTTTTTGCTAAGAGAGTAATATCTCATTAGTAAAGCAGCATTCTCACTCAAATGATGAATCCTTCCAACACATGGAAAGGTGGTCCCATAAGGCCTCTGAGAAGCTAAGCAACGTCACAAGATCCACACATTAAAATGAAGACATTCGCTTTGTTCTGTGGAGAGTCCCACAGGCCCTCAGTCACTACTTTTTTTGGTTTTTTTGAGACAGAGTCTTGCTGTGTCACCCAGGCTGGAATGCAGTGGTGTGATCTCAGCTCACTGCAGCCTCTGCCTCCCGGGTTCAAGCAATTCTCCTGCCTCAGCCTCCTGGGTAGCTGGGATTACAGGCATGCACCACCACGCCTGGCTAATACTTGTATTTTCAGTAGAGACAGGGTTTCACCATGTTGGTCAGGCTGGTCTTGAACCCCTGACCTCAGGGGTTCTGCCCGCCTCGGCCTCCCAAAGTGCTGGGGTTACAGGCGTGAGCCACCGTGCCCGGCCAGTCACTACTTATTTACTCATATTTTAGGCACTGTTCTAATGACCTTGGTTAGCTGTTTCAGGCCATGGGGGATTAGAGGGAGCAAATTTGTAAGCTGTTTACATTTCTCCCAGTCAGACTGCCTGTCTGTGCTGCTAGCAGTGTATCGAATATGTACTGTGCCAAAGAATTGCACACATCTCATTGTCCTCAAAATGACCACTGTAGTATACCATAATACTATAATTCTTATTATGAATACATGAAGATTAAGAATTGTTATTAGGGGCCGGGCGCGGTGGCTCATGCCCGTAATCCTAGTACTTTGGGACGCTGAGGCGGGTGGATCACAAGGTCAAGAGTTCGAGACCAGCTTGGCCAACATGGTGAAACCCTGTCTCTACTAAAAATAAAAAAAATTAGCCAAGTGTGGTGGCAGGCGCCTGTAATCCCAGCCACTTGGGAGACTGAGACAGGAGAATCGCTTGAACCCGGGAGGTGGAGGTTGCAGTGAGCTGAGATCACGCCACTGCGCTCCAGCCTGGGTCACAGAGTGAGACTCCGTCTCAAAAAAAAAGAAAGAAAAAAAAAAAGAATTGTTTTAGGCTGTGTGCAGTGGCTCACACCTATAACTCCAGCACTTTGGGAGGCCGAGGTGGAGGGATCGCTTGAAGCTAGGAGTTCAAGACTAGCCTAGGCAACACAGCGAGACCCCATCTCTACCAAAAAAAAAAAAAAAAATTATCTGGGAAGAGTGGCACACACCTCTACTCCCAGCTACACAGGAGGCTGAGGTGAGAAGGATCACTTGAGCCCAGGAGTTCAAGTTGCGGCGAGCAATGATGGTGACATTGCACTCCAGCCTGGAACACAGAGCGAGACTTGGTCTCTTAAAAAAAAAAACCCAGGCCAGACATGGTGGCTCAAACCTGTAATCCCAGCACTTTGGGAGGCTGCAGTGGGCGGATCACTTGAGGTCCGGGTTCAAGACCAGCCTGACCAACATGGTAAAACCCCATCTCTACTAAAAATACAAAAATTAGCCAGGCGTGGTGGCAGTTACCTGTAATCCCAGCTACTCAGGAGGCCGAGGCACAAGAATCACTTGAACCCAGGAGGCAGAGGTTGGAGTGAGCCGAGGTCGTGCCACTGCACTCCAGCCTGGGTGACAGAGCAGGACTCTGTCTCAAAAAAATAAAAATAAAAAATACCCAAAACACTAGGCTCTGCAAAAGAGGGGAGTGAAGAAGAAGGCGAGAGTTTAAAAACTCCGTATTGAATACTATGTTCACTATTTGGGTGACGGGCTCAAGAGAAGCCCAAAGCCCAGCATTCTGCAATATATCCATGTAACAAACCGGCATATGTGCCCCCTGAAACAAGAAAAAAAAAAAAAAAGGCTGGGAGCAGTTGCTCACACTTGTAATTCCAGCACTTTGGGAAGCCAAGGCAGGAGGATCACTTGAGCCCAGGAGTTCAAAACCAGCTTGGGATGCTGGGCATGGTGGCTCATGCCTGTAATCCCAGCACTTTGGGAGGCCAAGATGGGCAGATCACTTGAGGTCAGGAGTTCGAGACCAGCCTGACCAACATGGAGAAACCCCATCTCTACTAAAAATACAAAATTAGCCAGGAGTGGTGGCTCATATCTGTAATCCCAGCTACTCGGGAGACTGAGGCAGGAGAATCACTTGAACCTGGGAGGCAGAGGTTGTGGTGAGCCAAGATGGCGCCATTGCACTCCAGCCTGGGCAACAAGAGTGAAACTCAGTCTCAAAAAAACAAAACCAAACAAACAAAAAACACACACAAAAAAACCCAGCTTGCACAACATAGTGAGACCCCATCTCCACAAAAAAAAAAAAAAAAAATTAGCCAAGCATGGTGGCACATGCCTGTAATCCCAGCTACTCAGGAGGCTGAGGCAGGAAGATCACTTAAGCTCAGAAGGTGTAGGCTGCAGCGAGCTATGATTACACCACTGCCTCCAGCCTAGGCCACAGAGTGGGACCCTGTCTCAAGACAGAAAAAAAAAAAGAAAAGAAAAAAAAAAAAGAATTGTTGGCTGGGCACGGTGGCTCACGCCTGTCATCCTAGCACTTTGGGAGGCCGAGGCAGGCAAATTGCCTGAGCGCTCAGGAGTTGGAGACCAGCCTGGGCAACATGGTGAAACCCCGTCTCTGCTAAAATACAAAAAATTAGCCAGGGTTGGCGGCATGCACCCGTAGTCCCAGCTACTCCAGGAGGCTGAGGCAGGAGAATTGCTTGAACCCGGGAGGCGGGGGTTGCAGTGAGCCGAGATTGCGCCATTGCTCTCCAGCCTAGGCGACAGAGTGAGACTCCGTCTCAAAAACAAAAAAACAGAATTGTTATTATATAAAAAGTAGGGCTGGGTGCAGTGGCTCACACCTGTAATCCCAGCACTTTGGGAGGCCGAGGTGGGCAGATCACGAGGTCAGGAGTTTGAGACCAGCCTGACCAAAATGGTGAAACACCATCTCTACTAAAAATACAAAAATTAGCTGGGCGTGGTGGTGCACGCCTGTAATCCCAGCTACTCAGGAGGCTGAGGCAGGAGAATCGCTTAAACCCGGGAGGCGGAGGTTGCAGTGAGCCGAGATCGTGCCATTGTACTCCAGCCTCAGTGACAGAGCAAGACTCTGTCTCAAAAACAAAAAAAAAAAGAAAAGAAAAGTAATGTTCACAATTAAGATCCTAGGTCATCCAGGAGAGACTTCCATTCAAGTCACTCTGGTTTTTTTTTGTTTTTTTTTTTGTTTGTTTGTTTTTGAGACAAAGTCTCTCCTCTGTCACCCAAGGTTGGAGTGCAGTGGCGCGATCTCAGCTCACTGCAACCTCAGCCTCCCCAGTTCAAGCGATTCTTCTGCCTCGGCCTCCCCGGTAGCTGGGATTACAGGTGCACACCACCACACCTGGGCAATTTTTTAATTTTTAGTAGAGGTGGGGTTTTGCCATGTTGGCCAGGCTGGTCTTGAATTCCTGACCTCAGGTGATCCACCCGCCTTGGCTTTCCAAAGTGCTGGGATTACAGGAGTGAGCCACCATGCCCAGCCTCAAGTTATTCTGTTTAACATGGAGGACAAGAAAGTACAAACACTGGCTATCTATTCCCCGCTCACACACCCAGCTTTGGCGGCATAAGGAGTTGCCTGGAAAATGCCACGATGGAACCAGCTCACTTGGCTCTTCAGCAGCTTCCTGCAGGGGTTCCCATGACTCTACCCATAGGGAACCAGTCCCTACAACCTGCTATTGTGGACTTGGGTGTCCTGGCTCAAAATGTGACCGAGATGAAGGGCCCAAGCCATCCACTGGCAAATGAACTTGGTTGGGAGGGCGTGCAGGGAGATGAACCAATAGAGCCGGAGTTCTTTTGTCCCCTTGGAGGCCTGAAGCTCCTCCTCCTGGCTCCAGAGCAACGGTTGGGCAAGGTGGGTTTGAAGCTGGGGCCTCTGAGAAGCGCGCCAGCGCCCACTGTGGCTGAGGTCGCACCAGCCAGGCTTGGTGTCAGGAGGCAGTGCTAAACAGATAGCCAACACGACATCCTCTCCACCCACTGAAAGAGGCAGAGGAATCCACTTCCAAACTCTACCTTCATATATGCCAAAGAAGAGCAGGGGCGTTCCTTCCCTCAGGAGAGTGTGCTCCTGCTGGCCAAGGGTACCGAGGTTGTGAGCTGCTTTCCTAGATGGGAACACTGTCACCCATGAGGACAGGGGAGGGCCTGGGGGACAGGGTGCAGGACTGAGGGAGGATGAACTAGCCCAGATGCACCCTGGAGGAGTCATAGCCACCAAGTTCACGTGAGATGGGCTACAGCTCCCTGTCGTGGGCTGGGCTCTGGGAGGGGAGCAAGGCAGGAATGTGCTTATACCTTAACCATCAGCAAACAATCAAACTCGAACATCAGTCCCCTTCCTGCCTGGCCTGAGAAACATCTGGGGCCTGGGGGACTGCTGGGCCCGAATCGGGGCAGAAGTGTGTTGGGGGCTATGTGTGGTGTGACCAGGTGCAGGTGCTCCCGCAGTTACCTCGATCAGCCAGGGCTTCAGCTTGTCGTCGATGATGATGTCGTAGCCATAGCATTCAAAGCAGTGCTTGTCATTGTTCATCACCGGCTGGAGAGAGAGTGACCAGTGGGTGACATGGCCAGCATCGAAGGGCGCAGCCGAGACCAACGCCACAGAGACAAGCAGGATCGTCCCACGTCCCGACCTCCCACAGCACAGGTTCCCACCCTCCACCACAAACGCTTCCTTCCCTCCTCTCCCTCTTCCTCCCGCAGAGCTCAGAGATTGGGCACTTTCCTCAGCCTGATAGAGGGAATTGATGAAGCCGTAATGGGCATCTCTGCGTCTCACTCATCAGAGGCTTGACTAGCACCCAACCCCTCTGTTGGCGTGAGACTGTCATCAGAGTGAACGGATGTCCAGCTCCAAGCCCAGAACCTGCAGTGAAGGTCTGTGCAGCCTTATCACAGACAAACACAAACTGTCCACCAGGCTGCCCGTTACCCCTTCCCAGGCCCTTAGGGATCCGGGTGCCAGACTATTAACCTCTGTTCCCAGTGACAAAAGTAAATCCATTTACATACAAATTTTTGAATTTCCTTTGTAATTTTCAATTCCATTTCACTTAGATACACCTTAGATTAACTGTTCTCCAGATACATAAATAACACCACCTGAGGCTGGGTGCAGTGGCTCATGCCTGTAATCCCAGCACTTTGGGAGGCCAAGGTGGGAGGATCACTTGAGCCCAGGAGTTTGAGACCAGCCTGAGCAACACAGCGAGACCCCCGCCTCTACAAAAAATAAAAAATTTAGCTGGGTGTGGTGGTATGTGCCATTAGTCCCAGCTACTCGGGACAGCTGGAGGCTGGGAGGAAGAGGAGTGCCGTGAGGAGTGCTGGAGTGCAGTGAGCCATGATCGTGCCACTGCACTCCAGCCTGGGTGACAGAGCAAGAACCTGTCACTTAAAAGCAAACAAACAAAAAAAAGAAAACTGGCTGGGCGCAGTGGCTGATGTCTGTAATCCCAGCACTTTGGGAGGCGGAGGCAGGTGGATCACCTGACGTCGGGAGTTCGAGACCAGCCTGGCCAACATGGTGAAACCCCGTCTCTACTAAAAATACAAAAAATTAGCGAGCCGTGGTGGCGCGTGCCTGTAATCCCAGCTACTTGGGAGGCTGAGACAGGAGAATCCCTTGAACCTGGGAGGCGGAGGTTGCAGTAAGCCGAGACTGCGCCACTGCACTCCAGCCTGGGCAACAAGAGCGAAACTCTGTCTCAAAAAACAAACAAACAAACAAAAAACACAAAACCCCCCAAACCCAGCTGCTTATGATGCAGATTCCTGGGCCCTCCCCAGCCTGCCTGGATTCAACCTCTGGAGACGCACCACAGTTTTACAGGCTCCTCAGAGACTTGTGCACCCTATAGTCAGTGAAGCATAGAGACGGGGTAGGGAGGTCTTGTCACACGATAGAGGGCATCGGACTCCGCTTCAACGAAACACTTGAAGCTAGAAACTCTGGGAAGGAGACAGCCTGGACCACCCTCCTCACTCACTGAGAGAAAGGGAGGCTCTTGGCTGCCTCCTCATGTAATTTAGCGGAATTACATTTAAACTAAAAGCCTGGTATCCTCATCCAGGCCAGTGCCCAGATTACTGTCCCAGAAAATGTCTGTAAGACAGGAAGTCATTAGCCTGACTGTCATTCTCCAAACCCTGCTCTGCCTCCAGCCCTGAGCAGGCTGCCTGCATTGCGTAGCTCTCAGTGTCTCTGTCCAGTCTCATGCTGCAGGTTTGGGTTCCTCGGGGGGTCTCAGAGCCACCTCCCGTCCTGCACCAGGCCCCTCCCATGTGCCTGTTTCCTTGTCTGCCTCACTCTGAGGACAACATGCCTGGTAAAAACCAGGTGATGAAATATTTGCTAAGTGAATAAAAACTGAATAAATAAATTCCTGCTCCCAAAGCCTCACAGAGCCTTAGAAATCTATCATAACAGCTTTTCAGTTCAGGAAACTGAGGCCCAGAAGGAGTCGTTCAGAGGCACCTGCCAGAGGGCCAGGCTGAAAGAATACAGGTTTCCTTGATTAAACAGCTAACTTTTTCTCAAAGATCTACCAAAATGGGCTGGGGAGGGAGGGAGAGCAAAGGGCTGCTTAATCCGGCATTAGAATTCACACAGTCACGTGTCAACCGATGAGCGGTATTTAACCCTTCCCAATCATGAAGTCAGTCTCTGCAGAGCACTGTTCACACATACGCCGTGACACTGGTGTCAGGGTCCCAGTTTCACAGATGAGGCATCTGAGGCCCAGCAAGAGTGGGCTCTTGAGCAAAGTCCCCTGTCGGGATATGGTGGGGCCTGGCATGGAATCAGATCTGAACTCCACACTCGTTACCTGCCACCCAAGCTGCAACCCAAGCCACCAAGGTATAAGGAGCTTCAGTGGGACAAGAGATGGGGCACTCGGCCCCTAAGATGTATCTCCAGCAGTGAACTAGGTCCCGGGTTTTTTCTGTCGAATCCTCTGTGAGCCAAAGACACAAAACGAACCCACACACTGTGCTCACGCACCACTTTGAAAGCAGGAAGAGCTTCACTTAAAGTGCAGAAAGTCAAGGCACCAACCCGACATAATCTCTTTTTTTTTTTTTTTTTTGAGATGGAGTTTTGCTCTTGTTGCCCAGGCTGGAGTACAATGGCACGGTCTCGGCTGACTGCAAATTCCACCTCCCAGGTTCAAGCGATTCTCTTGCTTCAGCCTCCCAAATAGCTGGGATCACAGGCATGCGCCACCACACCCAGCTAATTTTGTATTTTTAGTAGAGATAGGATTTCACCATGTTGGCCAGGCTGGTCTCGAACTCCTGACCTCAGGTGATCCACCCACCTCGCCCTCCCAAAGTACTGGGATTACAAGCATGAGCCACTGCACCTGGCCTTTTTTTTTTTTTTTTTTTTGAGACGGAGTCTTGCTCTGTGGCCCAGGCTGGAGTGCAGTGGCGCAATCTCGGCTCACTGCAAGCTCCGCCTCCCGGGTTCACGCCATTCTCCTGCCTCAGCCTCCCGAGTAGCTGGGACTACAGGCACTGCCACTACGCCTGGCTAATTTTTTGTATTTTTAGTAGAGATGGGGTTTCACCATGTTAGCCAGGATGGTCTTGATCTTCTGACCTTGTGATCCGCCCGCCTAGGCCTCCCAAAGTGCTGGGATTACAGGTGTGAGCCACCGCACCCAGCCCCTTCTTTTTGTTTTTTGAGACAGAATCTTAACTCTGTCACCCAGGCTGGGGTGCAGTGGTGTGGTCTCCACTCACTGCAACCTCTACCTCCCGGGTTCAAGCGATTCTCCTGCGTCAGCCTCCCGAGTAGCTGGGATTATGGGTGTGTGCCATCACGCCTGGCTAATTTTTGTATTTTTAGTAGAGATGGGGTTTCATCATGTTATCCAGGCTGGTCTTCAACTCCTGGCCTCATGTGATCCGCCCACCTCAGCCTCTCAAAGTGCTGGGATTACAGGCACTGTGCCTGGCCACGTCTGTCTATAGTTTTCTTTCTTTTTTTTTTGAGACAAGGTCTCACTCTGTCGCCCAGGCTGGAGTGCACTGGTGTGATCACAGCTCCCTGTAGCCTCCATCTTCCAGGCTCAAGTGATTTTCCCAGGTCAGCCTGCCCAGTAGCTGGGACTATAGGCATGCACCACCATGCCTGGCTAATTTTTGTATTTTTTGTAGAGACAGAGTCTCGCATGTTGCCCAGGCTGGTCTCAAATTCCTGGGCTCAAGCAATCTGCCCACCTTGACCTCCCAAAGGGCTGGGACAACAGGTGTGCACCAACACATTCGGCTAATTAAAAATAATTTTTTTTTTTTGTAGAGACAGCATCTTGCTATGTGGTCCAGGCTGGTCTTGAACTCCTGGCCTCAAGCAATCCTCCTGTCTCAGTCTCCCAAAGGGCTGAGATTACAAGCATGAGCCACCACGCCCAGCCTCTTAATTTTCGTGGTTGTTTCACTGAAGCCTTTCACTTCAAAGAGGCTCAATATAAGCCTCTTTGGTTATGTTTAAAGGTAAAAGTAGAAGACAAGGCCTTAATTTTCCACAGAGAATGTTTCTTTTTTTGTCTTTTTTTTTCCCTTTTTGTGGAGAAGGAGGTCTCGCTATATTGCCCAGGCAGGTCTCGAATTCCTGGGTTCAAGCTATCCTCCTGCCTCTGCCTCCCTAAGAGCTGGGATTACAGGCGTGAGCCACCATACCTGGCCTCCACAGAGACTGTTTTCTATAAATATGTTCATACAGCCAGGCACAGTGGCTCCTGCCTGTAATCCCAGCACTTTGGGAGTCCGAGGCAGGTGGATCACGAGGTCAAGAGATGGAGACCATCCTAGCCAACATGGTGAAACCTGTCTCTACTAAAAATACAAAAATTAGCTGGGCGTGGTGGCGCGCACTTGTAGTCCCAGCTACTCAGGAGGCTGAGACAAGAGAATTGCTTGAACCTGGGAGGCGGAGGTTGCAGTGAGCCGAGATCGCATCACTGCACTCCAGCCTGGCGACACAGCGAGACTCTGTCTCAAAAAAAAAAAATTGAAAAAAAAAAAAATGTTCACACATCAACCTTGATGCCATCACACTTTCTCCAGAACAGCAGTTTCACACATTTCCATCTTTCTTCTTGTCTTTTTTTTTTTTTTTTTTTTTTTTAAAGAGACAGGGCTGGCCGGGTGCAGTAGCTCACGCCTGTAATCCCAGCACTTTTGGGAGGTCCAGGTGCGTGGATCACCTCAGGTCAGGAGTTCGAGACTAGCCTGGGCAACATGGCGAAACCCTGTCTCTACTTAAAAATACAAAAATTAGCCAGGTATGGTGACGCGCACCTGTAGTCCCAGCTACTTGGGAGGCTGAAGCAAGAGAATCTCTTGAACCCGGGAGGTGGAGGTTGCTAGGAGCCAAGATCGCGCCACTGCACTCCAGCCTGGGTGACAGAGAGAGACTCCATCTCAAAAACAAAACAAAACAAAAACATTAAAGAGACAGGGCCTCATGGTCACCCAGACTGGAGTGCATTGGCGTGATCGTGGCTCACTGTACCCTCAAACTCCTGGACTCAAGCAATCCTCCCACCTCACCCTTCTGACTAGCTGGGATCACAAGTATGTGCCACCACGCCCGGCTAATTTATTTTTTATTTTTAGAAGCAAGGTCTTGGCCAGGCGCGGTGGCTCACATCTGTAATCCCAGCACTTTGGGAGGCTGAGGTGGGTGGATCACAAGTTCAGGAGATCCAGACCAGCCTGGCCAACATGGTGAAACTCTGTCAGTACTAAAAATACAAAAATTAGTTGGACATTGTGGCGCAAGCCTGTAATCCCAGCTACTTGGGAGGCTGAGGCAGGAGAATTGTTTGAACCAGGGATCGGAGGCTGCAGTGGGCTGAGATTGTGCCACTGCACTCCAGCCTGGTCGACAGAATGAGACTCCGTCTCAAATTAAATTAAAAAAAAAAAAAAAAAAAAAGCAGGGTCTTACTTTGTTACCCTCAAGTCCCAAACTTTTGGGCTTAAGTGATCCTCCACCTCGGCGTCTCAAAGTGCTGGGATTACAGGCGTGAGCCACTGTGCCCGGCCAATTTCATACATTTCTGACTGTGGAGGGAAGCTCTTTCTCACAGCCTCTTGACACCAATGTGGGGGACACATACCACAGCTGGCCATGGTTACTTTTGCTCTTTGACATGGTGGTGATTCTTTGAGCTTTGGGAGTTTTGTAAAGCACCTTTGTTAAAAGAATGGGAAGTATCCCACCACACACACACTCCACGGTGATGTGGCACCCACTCTCTGGGCCCACATCTGAGTAGGTGGGTCTCTCAGGGGCCACCTCAAAAAGTAAAAGAACAGACCATACTTGCCCTCAGAGAAAAAAACAAAAGACCACGAAACTGACAGGAGAGACTGGGCTCCTGGAGTGGGCAGGGGAGGGTGGGAGGGTTGCTTTCCTGCCCCTCCCTCATAGGTGAGATGGGAAGATTTCATGGGCTTTGGGCCAGAAACCTGTTCTACTTCCCAGCTCCGGGGCCTGGGCCTCCGTTTTCCCAGGAGTCATATGCGAGTAACAAAACACCCCAAGACACCCACTGGGGAAGCACTGGAAATATATATATATATATATTTTTTTTTTTCTAGACAGTCTCACTCTGTCGCCAGGCTGGAGTGCAGTGGTACGATCTCGGCTCACTGCAAGCTCTGCCTCCCAGGTTCACACCATTCTCCTGCCTCAGCCTCCCGAGTAGCTGGGACTACAGGCGCCCACTACCACGCCCGGCAAATTTTTTTGTAGTTGTAGTAGAGACGGGGTTTCACCCTGTTAGCCAGGATGGTCTCGATCTCCTGACCTCGTGATCTGCGCACCTTGGCCTCCCAAAGTGCTGGGATTACAGGTGTGAGCCACAGCGCCCGGCCCCGGAAATATTAATAGTAGCAAGCTTGCTGGTGCTCATATGTTCATTTCTCTCTTTTCCCTTAAAAACAGATGTGCACCTGCTTTAACACGGTAAAACAAAACACGAATGCCAACTGAAAACCAGCAAACAAACATAAAATGTGAAGATAAAAAAAGAGGCACGCCATTTCCAGCCCGAAATATCTATGAAATACTAAAGTCAGGACATCACAGACAAGACGCTGCTGGAAGTCCATCTCCAATATATCAGTTTATGCCAAAATAGTTATTATTGACTTAGTGGGTATAAGAGGAGTGGAGGGGCCAGGGCCTGTGGCTACACCTGAGAGGCTAGCCCGGCTCACCCCGGGATGGCACTGGGCTGCAAGCTAGCCCCTTTCCCTTTCCGAAAAGACTGCAGCCTCTGGCAGATGTGCAGGCGGCAAGAAAGTGAAAACAGGTTTTTTTTTGTTTTTTTTTTTGTTTTTGAGACAGAGTTTCGCTCCTGTTGCCCAGGCTGGAGTGCAATGGCGCGATCGCGGCTCACTGCAACCTCTGCCTCCTGGGTTCAAGCAATTCTCCTGCCTCAGCCTCCCAAGTAGCTGAGATTACAGGTGCACACCACCACACCCCGCTAATTTTTTGTATGTTTCGTAGAGACAGGGTTTCACCGTGTCCAGGCTGGTCTTGAACTTCTGACCTCAGGTGATCCGCCTGCCTCGCCCTCCCAGCGTGCTGGGATTACAGGCGTTAACCAACGCGCCCAGCCTGTTTTTTGTTTTTTGAGACAGAGTCTTGCTCTGTCACCCAGGCTGGAGTGCAGTGGTGTGACCTCCGCTCACTGCAACCTCTGCCTCCCGGGTTCAAGTGATTCTCCTGCCTCAGCCTCCCCAGTAGCTGGGATTACACGTGCATGCCACCATGCCCGGCTAATTTTTGTATTTTTAGTAGAAACAGGGTTTCACCATGTATGTGGGCCAGGCTAGTCTCAAACTTCTGACCTCAGGTGATCCGCCCGCCTCGGCCTCCCA
This sequence comes from Homo sapiens, assembly GCF_000001405.40. Classification (NCBI taxonomy): domain Eukaryota; kingdom Metazoa; phylum Chordata; class Mammalia; order Primates; family Hominidae; genus Homo; species Homo sapiens. Next base: position 43,059,255 of record NC_000022.11, read on the forward strand.
GCTTGCTGGGATTACAGGCGTGAGCCGCCGCGCACAGCTGAAAACAGGGATTTTTAACAGAAAGACAGCAAGCCCCCCCACTCCCAAACGGGCCCTGGGAGCCGGCTCCCCCGCCCGCACCAAACTCACCGCCACAGCCTTCAGGGACTGCACGATGATCCAGTGGATCTCGTCGAACAGCTTGCTGGTCACCTCCTTGCCGCGGGTGCTCTCCAGGTAGAGCCGCAGGTTACTCACTGTCCACTTGCCCCCATGGATGTGGTTGTAGTCCTCCTGGTGACGGGAAAGCGGGCAGGCATCCCTCAGGCTATGCACCCCAGAGGAACCCAGCGGAACCGTTGCATCCCCCAAGCATTTCTGGAGTGCCCCCTGGGTGTGGGCATCCAGCAACAAGGCAAACATCCAGACCCCTGCCCCAGGGAGATCTGGGCCGGCTATTTTCCGTTTTGTTTTAAGACAGGGTCTCACTCTGTCCCCCAAGCTGGAGTGCGGTGGCATTACTTTGGTGCACTGCAACCTTGACCTCTTGAGCTCAAGCAATCCTCCCACCTCAGCCTCTCAAGTAACTGGGACTACAGGCATGTGCCACTATGCCTGGCTAATTTTTAAATTTTTTGTAGAGAAGAGGTCTCACTATGTTGCCCAGACTGGTCTTGAACTCCTGGCCTCAAGGGATCCTCCTGCCTTGGCCTCCCAAAGTGTTGGGATTACAGGCATGAGCCACTGTGCCCGGCCACCTGGGCCTCCTATTAATGTGGGGTTTTTCTGTTTTTATTTTTGTTTTTTGAGACAGAGTCTCACTCTGTCACCCAGGCTGGAGTGCAATGGCACGATCTCGGCTTACTGCACTGTGAGCCACCGCGCTTGGCCTTCCGTGGGTATTTTAAAATGCTCATCTCCCTAATACTCTCAGGCTTAATCATTTATGCCTCACAGCACAGGCTGTGGAGTGCTGCCGGGATACCCTTCAAGACCAAGGCACTCATTCTTCTAGCTGAGACCCACCCTCACTGAGAGTGCCCTTGGCTTGAGGGAGCTGCCTAATCCAGGGTGAAAGCCCTCCCCAAGGCAACAGCATACCATGTCTGGCTGATGCCAGGTGTCAGCCCCTGCTCCCTCCAGGACAGCTCTGCAGGGCCACCCCTGCTCCACAGCGCCCCACGGTGGGCAGAGGCCTCCACTGCAGCAACATCAGCTTGCCGACTTCTACCTCAGAGTCTTTCCTGGGGAAGCCAACCTAAGACACTGGGCTCACACTGCAGTTTAAAAGCACCACACTCATCACTCTCTAACAACCTTGAGAAGACGCCATTATCATCCCATTTCACAGGGGACGCCGGGCTCAGAGAAGCTGTTACTTGGCCAAGCTTTCCTCCTGGGCTGGGATGGGGCTGGGCCTCCAGCCCAAATGTTCTGATGCCACTTCTGAGCTCTTCCTGTTTTGCCACCCCTGAAAATTAATTCTCCATACAATGCTTATCTTTGAAGGCAAAGAGCTAGAAAATACCCAAATGTATTACATTGTTAGGAGACTACATTTCATTTTCTAAGTATAAAGTGAGAACCATGAACTAAAACAAAACCAGCCTACTAACTCTTCGAGCAAACACCACTGACTCAAAGCAGATAAAAGGAGAATTAACCATATTTTAAAAGAAAGTCCAGGCGCGGTGGCTCACGCCTGTAATCCCAGCACTTTGGGAAGCTGGGGTGAGAGGATCACCTGAGGTCAGGAGTTCGAGACCAGCCTGGCCAACATGGTGAAACCTCGTCTCTACTAAAAACCCCAGCCAGGTGTGGTGGCGTGCACCTGTAACCCCAGTTACTCGGGGGGCTGAGGCAGAAGAATCGCTTGAACCCGGAAGGCAGAGGTTGCAGTGAGCCGAGATCCTGCCACTGTACTCCAGCGTGGGTGACAGAGCAAGACTCTGTCTAAAAAAACTAATAATCATAAATACATAAATAAAAAATAAAATTTGTAAAACTGATGCTTGCTTGGTTTACTCTGAGGAAGACCTGAAGGGGAAGCGAGTTAGGCCAGCCACATGTGGAAGCCACTTGGCCCCGGTAAGCAGTGGCCATCGTCATCCCAAGACCAGCAAGGTGAACCCCTGGCTCCTGTTGGCAGCTGTGGGGCCCAGAGGGCTGGTGAGCTGCCCAAGTCACACAGAGGTAAGTGATGGGCAGAGGACCGAGTCCAGCCTCGTCTGACCAAACTCTTCAGCAGGTTCTTCAGAAATGCATATTTCATACCAATACTCACTCTCTTTCTCCTCAAATCAGAAAACAGACCAGAGCATTCAAGGCTTCCATCCAAAGAAGATTCAAATCAAAGAAGGAGTCTTTCATAAAGAAACGAGACCTTTGGTTTATGTTGGGGTGAAATTAGAGCCCCTAACCTGAACTGGGTCCACAAAGCCCTGTGTGTCTGCCCTTGCTGGCCTCTCCAGTCCCTCCCCATCCACTGCCCTCACGCCAGGGGCTCCTGCTACCCTGGCGTCCTTTCAGCCCCTGTAATGCTCCCTCTGGCAACAGGGCCTCGGCACACGTTGTACCTACTACTATGGAACCTTCTCCACCCTCTCTGGATTATCCCTACTCATGCTTCAGATCTCGGCTCCAGCACCGCTTTGCAGGGAAGCCTTCTCCAACCACTGGATAAGGGGCTTCTTTTGTTCCATGATCTTCTAGATGTGTGTTCCTCACTTTCAGAGCAAGCAGCTCAGTTTGTAATTTCATGTTCATCAGGGTGATTATTTGATGACTATCTCCCCTGGAAGCTCTGGGATCTGTGAGAGTAGGTACTAAGGTAGGCTTTGCCTATCACTGTGTCCTGGGCACTCAGAAGGGGACCAACTCACATAGGTACTCAATGGGTACAGATGGGGCCTCCGATGGGGCTATGTCCAGATAAACCCATAGCAAGTTGAAAATATTGTAAGTTGAAAGTAGATTTGGCCGGGCGCAGTAGCTCACACCTCTAATCCCAGCACTTTGGGAGGCCGAGGAGGGTGGATCACGAGGTCAAGAGATCAAGACCATTCTGGCCAACATGGGGAAATCCCATCTCTACTAAAAATACAAAAATTAGCTGGGCGTGGTGGCGCACGCCTGTGATCCCAGCTACTCAGGAGGCTGAGGCAGGAGAATCGCTTGAACCTGGGAGGCGGAGGTTGCAGTGAGCTGAGATCACGGCACTGCACTCCAGCCTGGCAACAGAGCAAGACTCTGTCTCTTAAAAAAAAAAAAGAAAAGAAAAGAAAAAAGAAAAAAAAAGAAACTGCATTATTTAACGCCAGGCGCAGTGGCACACGCCTGTAATCCCAGCACTTTGGGAGGTTGAGGTGGGCGGATCACTTGAGAAAATGAGTTCGAGACCAGCCTGGCCAACATGGTGAAACCCCATCTCTACTAAAATACAAAAATTAGCCAGGCATGGTGACACATGCTTGTAGTCTCAGCTCCTCAGGAGGCTGAGGCAGGAGAATCACTTGAACCTGGGAGACAGGTTGTGGTGAGCTGAGATCATGCCACTGCACTCTAGCCGGGGCAACAGAGCGAGACTCCGCCTCAAAAAGAAAAAAAAAGTGCGTTTTCTATACCTAACCTACTGAATATCATAGCCTTGCCTATCTAAGACATGCTTAGAACACTTACAATAGCCTGAAGTTGGGCAAAATCATCTAAGGCAAAGCCTATTTTATAATAAAGCGTGAAATACCTCACATAATTTATTGACTACTGTACTCAAAGTAAAAAACCAAACGGTTGCATGTGTACTTGAAGTACGGTTCCTACTGAATGCATGTCACTTTCATACCACTGGAAGCTTGAAAAATTGTAAGTTGAGGCAGGGTACCTCAGGGATGGTCTAAGCAGAAGTCACCTCATGACATCCTCCCACAGTCCCGCCAGGTAATACTATGATCTCCTTTTATAAATGGAGAAACCGAGGCTCTGAGAGTTACACTGACTTGCCCGAGGCCACAGAACTAGAAAGGCAGGGCTTGAGCCTGCTGCCTTCTTTCTCCAGGTGCCCCCACCCAGCCACGGCATTCAGCTGATGTGTCCTAGGCCAGCCCGCCTGATGCCTAGAGCCTCCCAGTCCCATCAGTGCCGGACCTTAGACCAGGATACTCTTTGAGTATCACTTCTATACCCACCCTGTTCTTGCAAAAATAGAAGAAAGAAACCCACAAAGTCGGTCCTTTTTTTTTTTTTTTTCTTTTGAGACAGAGTCTCGCTCAGTTGTCCAGGCTGGAGTGCAATGGTGCAATCTCGGCTCACTGCAACCTTTGCCTTCTGGTTCAAGCGATTCTCCTGCCTCAGCCTCCCGAGTAGCTAGAATTACAGGCGCCAGCCACCATGGTAATTTCCGTATTTTTTTTTTTAGTAGAGACAGGGTTTCATTGTGTTCGTCAGGCTGGTCTCGAACTCCTGACCTCAGGTGATCCACCCGCCTCAGCCTCCCAAAGTGCCGGGATTACAGGCGTGAGCCACCACACCCGGCCTGAAAGTCAGTCCATTTCTGTAAGCACAAATGAAAGGACACACTCACCCCGTGTTTCTGGATGGCGACGTTGGTGAGATGAACGAACATGTTGTCCAGCTCACTGGTACTCGGGGTGTATTTCACTGTGCAGAACCGGCAAAACCCAAGCTTGTACCTAGGAGGGAATGTAGATTAATTCAAACTCTGAGGAGAAACAAAAAGAAAAGACACCACTTCATTCTCTAAAAAGAGCTGCTTTTGTGTGTGTGATTTACACGACTCACATCGGCATCGGGCCTGACTGCTCTTACTTCCCTCAATCCCTGCCCCGTGCCAGGCACCGCACATGCACTGTTTTATGAAACCTCACAATGGTGCTAAGAAGAAAGACGTTTTGGGTGAAAACACAATCAAGAGGGAACCAAAACCTTAGGGACGCTTACATGTAACAGCGCAGTGGACGGTACGTGGACACCAGAACGTACAAGCGCAGGTCGAACTTCCTCCCGCCAATTAGTAACGGGTTGTTAATATAGAGAGAGATCACGTAGGCTTCCTTATTAGATTGAGACACAAACCTAAACATGGCAGAGAAAGTAAAAATTAGATGGTAAAAGATGCAATAACGAAGACACAATCCAAGAAAGGAATAACTGATAAGCCGGACTTCATTAAAATTAAAAAATTAAAGAGTTTTGGCTGGGCGCGGTGGCTCACGCCTGTAATCCCAGCACTTTGGGAGGCGAGGCGGGTGGATCACTTCAGGTCGGGAGTTCAAGACGAGCCTGGTCAACACGGTGAAACCCCGTCTCTGCTAAAAAGAAAAAAAATTAGCCCGGTGTGGTGGTGTGTGCCTGTAGTCCCAGATACTCAGGAGGCTGTGGCAGGAGAATCACTTGAACCCAAGAGGTGGAGGTTGCAGTGAGCTGAGATGGCACCACTGCACTCCAGCCTGGGTGACAGAGCAAGACTCCATCTCAAATAAATAAATAAGTAAATAAATAAATAAAGACAGTAAAAAGATCTGTGGTTGCCACAGACTAGGGATAAACAGGCAGAGCACAGAGGATTTTGAGGGCAGTGAAACTACTCCGTATGTTACTATGATGGTGGATCTGGACGAGCTTGGTGGCTCACGCCTGTAATCCCAGCACTTTGGGAGGCCGAGGCGGGTGGATCACCTGAGGTCAGGAGTTCGAGACCAGCCTGGCCAACATGGTGAAACCCTGTCTCTACTAAAAATACAAAAATAGCCAGGCATGGGGGCGGGTGCCTGTAATTCCAGCTACTCCAGAGGCTGAGGCAGGATAATCGCTTGAACCCGGGAGGCAGAGTTTGCAGTGAACCAAGATCCTGCCACCGCACTCCAGCCTGGGCAATAGAGCAAGACTCCATCTCAAAAAATAAATAAATAAAATAATGGTGGATCCATGTCACTATACATTTGTCTAAGCTCCCAAAATGGACAACACTAAGAGTAAACCCTAATGTGAACTATGGCCTTTGGGTGATGATGGGCTGGTGTCAGTCTGCCAATTTTTATTTATATATATATATTTTTGAGACACAGTCTTCCTCTGTCACCCAGGCTGGAGTGCACTGGCGTGATCTTGGCTCACTGCAACCTCCACCTCCTGGGTTAAAATGATTCTCCTGCCTCAGCCTCCTGAGTAGCTGGGATTACAGACGCCAGCCACCATGCCTGGCTAATTTTTGTATTTTTAGTAGAGACAGGATTTTGCCATGTCGGCCAGGCTAGTCTCAAACTCCTGACCTCAAGTGATCCGCCTGCCTTGGCCTCCCAAAGTGCTGGGATTACAGGCTTGTGCCACACACATGGCCAAATTTTTTTTTTTGAGATGGTCTTGCTGTGTTGCCCAGGCTGGAGTGCAGTGGTGCGATCACAGCTCACTGCAGTCTCCTGGGCTCAAGTGATAGTCTCACCTCAGCCTGGCAAGTAGCTGAGACTACAGGCATGTGCCACGACACCCAGCTAATCAGTTTGCTAACTTTAACAATTCTGGTAGGGGATGCTGATAAGGGGGGAGGCCGTGCATGTGTGGGGAAGGGGTATAGGAAAAAAAAAATCTCTGTATCTTCTTCAATTGTGCAGTAAACCTAAAACTGCTCTAAAAAAATCAAGCTACTGGAGGCCTGTAATCCCAGCACTTTGGGAAGCCGAGGCAGGAGGATCACGAGGTCAGGAGTTCAAGACCAGCCTAACCAACATGGTGAAACCCTGTCTCTACTAAAAATACAAAAATTAGCCAGGTGTGGTGGCGGGTGCCTGTAGTCCCAGCTACTCAGGAGGCTGAGGCAGGAGAATCGCTTGAACCTGGGACGTGGAGGTTGCAGTGAGCTGAGATCGCACCACTGCAGTCCAGCCTGGGAGACAGAGCGAGACACTGTCTCAAAAAAAAAAAAAATTAAAAAAAAAATCAAGCTACTAGAAAAAAAATGGATGGTAAAGACCAAAGGTGCATCTCGTCAGCTGGCAACACGCTCCCGGCCTCTCACTGTGAGGGGCTGGGTCATCAGGAAGGAAATGGGGGTGGGGTGTATCCATGGAGGACACACCCCCTGCCCCAGGGGACAGTGCAAGCAGCTGCAGGACAGTCCCCAGGAGTCCACTCAGGGAAATGCTCCTCGGGCCTGGCCATCTGGGGGCTAGCAAAGTGTAATTAGATTTAAGCATGGCCGGGCATGGTGGCTGACACCTGTAGTCCCAGCACTTTGGGAGGCTGAGGCAGGCAGATCACTTGAGCCCGGGAATTTGAGATCAACCTGGGCAACATGATGAAACCCTGCCTCTACAAAAAAGAAAAATTAGCCAGGTGTGGTCGTGTGTACCTATAGTCTCAGCTACTCAGGAGGCTGAGGTGGGAGGATCGCTTGGGCCTAGGAGGTTGAGGTTGCAGTGAGCCATGATCCCGTCTTAAAAAAAAAAAAATTTTTTTTTAGGCCACACACAGTGGCTCACCCCCTGTAATACTAGCACTTTGGGAGGCCAAGGTGGGTGGATCACTTGAGGTCAAGAGTTAGAGACCAGCCTGGCCAACATGGTAAAACCCCATCTCTACTAAAAATAAAAAAATTAGCCAGGCATGGTGGGTGCCTGTGATCCCAGCTACTTGGGAGGCTGAGGTAGGCAGATCGCTTGAACCTGGGAGGCGTGAGGTTGCAGTGAGCTGAGATTGTACCACTGTACTCCAGCCTGGGCAACAGAGTGAGACTCCATCTCAAAAGAAAAAAAAAAAAGTAAACATGCTATAAAATGAGAAGGTGTCTCCTGTCACCCTGGGAACTCCTGACAAGTGAGTCATCTCCCCACTGGAAAAGGATCAGACAGAAGCTTTGCCCCGGTGGGCCCCGGGCACTTCTGAGCAGCTGAGAAAAAACAAAGACAGAGAAGCCAGCAGACCCAGGCCCCTGGGCTTGCCACGAGGCCACTGCCCCACCACTTGCTCGGCTGTGCCCATCGGCTGTGCCCGGCTCCTCCCAGATGCTTCATATTTCACATGTGTTAACTCGTTCCATCCCCATCACAACCCCATGGCAGTGGTGCTGCTGGTGTCCCCGGTTTACTCAGATGGAGAATGTAAGACATGGAGAGTCTGAAGAACAAAATACGCTCAGCCACTTCGTGTGAGACTGGGCTTCAAACCCAGGACCCTAGGGCCACGAGTCCCAGGACTTTGGCAGGTGCCTCGCTGCCTCAGAACCACCACGACTGAGCGGTTCTCACACCAGCCTGTAATCAAAAAGTGGCTGCAGGCCCTGGCCCATGACCTACACCCTTCTTCATGGCCTGCCTTGGGCAGAGTCTGGGACTAATCACACGAAGACAACCACAGAACCCCACCGTGACGCCACGTGACAGATGACGCACGCCTGTAAAAGCAAGCATGGGCTGTGTGGCTCATGGCCAAAGACCACAGAACAGGCCAGGAACAGTGAATCACGCCTGTAATCCCAGCACTTTGGGAGGCCGAGGTGGGTGGATCACCCTGAGGTCAGGAGTTTGAGACCAGCCTGGCTAACAGGGCAAAACCCCACCTCTCTCTCTTTCTTTTTTTTAGACAGAATCTCACTCTGTCACCCAGGCTGGAGTGCATGGCGCGATCTCAGCTCACTGCAACCTCTGCCTTCTGGGTTCAAGCGATTCTCCTGCCTCAGCCTCCTGAGTAGATGGGATTACAGGCACCTGCCACCTCACCTGGCTAATTTTTTTTTTTTTTTTTGTATTTTTAGTAGAGATGGAGTTTCGCCATCTTGGCCAGGCTGGTCTTGATCTCCTGACCTCATGATCCACCCACCTCGGCCTCCCAAAGGGCTGAGATTACAGGCATGAGCCACCATGCCCAGCCGCAAAACCCCATCTCTATTTAAAAAAAAAAAACTCTATTAAAAAAATACAAAAATTAGCTGGGCGTGGTGACGCATGCCTGTAATCCCAACTACTCGGGAGGCTGAAGCAGGAGAATCGCTTGAACCCAGAAGGCGGAGGTTGCAGTGAGCTGAGATTGTGCCACTGTAATCCTGCCTGGGCGACAGAGTGAGACTCTGTCAAAAAAAAACCAAACAAAAACCCACAAAGACTGCGAACAGCATAAAACGGTGAACTGGGACCTGGCACACAAAGTGGGTGGCTGCCCACACTTACGAAGATGTCTTGCTGTCCCGGGACCACTTTTTGATCTGTGAGAGCTTGTTGATAAGGAAGATGCCCTTTCCCTGGGCCTTGCCACAAGGCTTCATGATCCAGGTGCTGGACGGGCTCTTCCGGAACTCCTCTACAAACAGGTTGTAGTCAGCGGGCAGCATATAGGTGACTGGAACAAAGTCTGCAAGGCAAAGACACCCAGCACTGGTAAGCAGCCAGCCCAACAGTGGCCATGAACAGAAAGATCTTGCCCTTGCCTTTCCAGGGCCTGTGGGCTGAGTGTCCCCCACCGCAACCCAGCAGCTAACAGAACAAGGGCCTCTGCTGCACAATCCCTGGGCAACACTCACAAGTTACATTTATAGAGCCTACCTAAGCACCTTACAAACCTGTATTTTTCAATCCCCACGGCCACCTGGGAGCTACTGTAAACCCTGTAATAATTCCCATTTAGCAGACGAGGAAACTGAGGCCCAGGGAGATCAGATAGAGAATTCTACCCAGGTTTGTGAAGAAATCTGAAACTATTCAGTCCAGCTTTTATCCCGGACTTGGACAGGGACACACTGTCTTCCCTGGGTATAGCCAGACACAGTCATGAGCCCTCGTGGCAGCCTGTGGCTCAAGAAGTATTTCCCCAGGCTGAGCGCTGAGGGCATCCTCTGGCTTACACAAAGTCCATGCTGGCTGGGTGTGGTGGCTCACGTCTATAATCCCAGCACTTTGGGAGGCAGAAGCGGGTGGATCACAAGGTCAGGAGTTCGAGACCAGCCTGGCCAATATGGTGAAATCCCATCTCTACTAAAAATACAAAAAAAAAAAAAAAAAAAAAATTAGTCGGGCATGGTAGAGGGCACCAGTAGTCCCAGCTACTTGGGAGGCTGAGGCAGGAGAATTGCTTGAACTCAGGAGGCGGAGGTTGCAGTGAGCTGAGATCGCGCCACTACACTCCAGCCTGGATGACAGAGTGAGATTCTGTCTCAAAAAAAAAAAAAAAAAAACGCCATGCCAGGCAATTCCCAAGGCACTCACAGAAACTAGGATGCCACACTCAGGCCCCTCCTTCTCCCTCATTCTGGAGACACCTGAAATGAAACAGGTGCCACCACAACTCGCATGGACATGCTCACGCATCAAAGCCAACAGTCACCACCTCAGCGCCTCGCGCCCCAAAGAAAAAATTCAGCTGTTTACTGAAAACATGAGCCGGTGGAAGACGCACAAACCCAGATAGAGGTATTTTCCATTTTCATCTTTTTCTGCCAGAGGACTCCCTTCTTTCTCCAGCTCCTTCCTGTATCTTTTGATGTTCTTCACCATCAGGTCCTTCCGGGTCAGTTCATAGTGGTTTGGAAAATGGTTGACTATTTGGTCATCTGAGAGCCGATATCCAGCTTCAACGCTGAACACATTTCGGATGGTTTGCACACTCATCCTGAAAGAGATGAGCAGGAGAGACACTTGGCAGTGATGTCTGTGTGGCAGAAGTCCTTTGTTCCCGTCCCCGCAAACACCCTGAACCCTCAGCACCCTTCACCACTACTCCCACATCCCCTGGCACCTGAGCCAGGGGTTGCCCGGCCCACAGCAGCAGAGAATGGGTGCCCAGGGACAGGCCGGGACCCAAGTGGTGTGAGGGCCAGGAGCTGTGCTGATTCTGAGCTGTTTCCCTCTCTGGCCCGGAGCAGGCACTCAATAGATGTTTATTGATTAGTGATAACACGGATTAATGATAACACTGTCAACAAATAAAAGATATACCCTTTTCAGACTCTGAAGTCAGGAAACTCATTTAAACAGGATCTGTACCGAAATTCAGGAAGGTCAAGGAGCCTTTAAAAACAAAATCACAGGGGTTATTTAAGGGCCCTGAGTCAGTATTTGATATTCTTGGAGAGTCTGCTGAAGGGGCAAGTTGGGGACGACAGAGTTGAAAGAGAAATAGATTCCTTCTGAGCCTCTGAGAAAGCCACGGTCTCCCCGCCACACGCCTGTCCTCACCAACCCCCAGAGAAGCAGGGAAGGGGTACGGAGGAAGGGCTGGCCCCTGCTCAGAGCCAGAGTCACAAAACATGGCAAGTGGCCCCAGCCTCTTGCACTGTGGTCCCTGTGCCCCCAGCCTACCCCCACCCCACAGCACCACCCTAGAGAGGGTGCCCGGAGCCCCCGAAGGGTTGCTGTGGATTCCAGGATGGCTAGAATAAAGGGAATCTTTTTTGACTTTTTATTATGGAAAACCTCCATCACACTCAGAAGGAGAGAGAAAGCGTTAAGGGACCCCCATTGCCCCACTTCACCAGTTAACGGCACGTGGCCAGTCTCGTTTAGTCTGAACCTCCACCCCCCTCAGCACTGGCATGTTCTGAACCAATTCCCAGACATCATATTATTTCATCCAAAGCATTTCTGTAAGATTCTCTAACGGTTCAAGACTCCATGTTTAATTATGTGATATCCTATTTTATATAATTATCAGAACTAAAAAAGCAATATGTATGTATGTATGTATGTATTTATTTTTGAGACAGGGTCTCGCTCTGTTGCCCAGGCCGGGGTGTCATGACTTGATCTCGCCGCACTGCAACCTCTGCCTCCCAGGCTCAAGCAATCCTCCTCTCTCAGCTTCCCAAGTAGCTGGGACTACAGGAAGGGGCCACCGTGTCCTGCTAAATTTTTATAATTTTTTTTGTAGAGATGGGGATTTGCCATGTTGCCCAGGCTGGTCTCAAACTCCTGGATTCAACTGATCCTGCCGCCTCAGCCTCCCAAAGTGCTGCAGTTACAGGTGTGAGCCACCGTGCTTGGCAACGGCAGGAATACTTCTATAGGGACAAGCTTCCCTTCATCAACAATCTAGGTGCCTCAAGAACAGTTCATACACAAAACACAGAATCAGTGCTTGATTCTTTCCCTTTATTTATCAGTTTTTCAAAATAAAGAGCTGGCCGGGCGCAGTGGCTCACGTCTGTAATCCAGCACTTTTGTTTTGTTTTGTTTTGTTTTGTTTATTTGTTTTTGGAGATAGAGTTTTACTCTGTTGCCCAGGCTGGAGTGCAGTGGCACGATCTTGGCTCACTGCAACCTCTGCCTCGCAGGTTCGAGCCATTCTCCTGCCTCAGCCTCCTGAGTAGCTGGGATTACAGACATGAACCACCACACACCGCTAATTGTTATATTTTTAGTAGAGACGGGGTTTTGCCACGTTGGCCAGGCTGGTCTCAAACTCCTGACCTCAGGTGATCTGCCCGACTTGGCTTCCCACAGTGCTAGGATTGCAGGCGTGAGCCACCATGCCGGCCTATAATCCAGCACTTTGGAAGGCTGAGAATTGGGGCAGGGCTCAGCTGAGCAATTCTACTTCTCCTTGTGGCACTGACTGAGGTCATTCAGAAGTGTAGAGCCAGCCGATGGGATGAGCTGGGGGTCCCAGAAGGCTTTCTTCATGTCTAACACCTTGGCAGGCCTAGCTGGAGGCTGGAAGGTGGGCACAGCTGCACTGCCATGTACAACACCTACCTGTGGCCGCTGTGGCACGAGGGCTTCAGGATGGCACCTTCTCACAGGACAGCTCAGGGCACCCACATGTTTCCAACAGAGGAATTGGCCTGGGCCCAGGCATGTATGATTTTTACTGTATTCCACTGGTCAATGTGGTCAAAGAGTCTTTCACGAGGAAAGGACAAAGACCTCAACTTTAGAGTGAAGTAGTGGCAAGAACTTCGCAACCATCTTTATTTTCTTTTTCTTTTTTTTTTTTTTTTTGAGACGGAGTCTTGCTCTGTCGCCCAGGCTGGAGTGTAGTGGCGTGACCTCGGCTCACTGCAATCTCCGCCTCCCGGGTTCACGCCATTCTCCTGTCTCAGCCTCCCGAGTAGCTGGGACTACCGGCACTCGCCACCACGCCCGGATAATTTTTTTGTATTTTTAGTAGAGATGAGGTTTCACTGTGTTAGCCTGGATAGTCTCGATCTCCTGACCTTGTGATCCGCCCATCTCGGCCTCCCAAAGTGCTGGGATTACAGGCGTGAGCCACCGCGCCTGGCCACCATCTTTATTTTCTCTCTTTCTTTCTTTCTTTTAGAGACAAGGTCTCACTCTGTTGCCCAGGCTGGAGTGCAGTAGCACAATCAAGGCTCACTGTAGTCTTGACCTCCTGGGCTCAAGCAAGCCTCCCACCTCAGCCTCTCAAGTAGCTGGGGCTACAGGCACGAACCACTATGCCTGGATAATTTTTGTATTTGTTTGTAGAGATGAGGTTTCACCATTTGCACAGGCTGGTGTCAAACTCCTGGGCTCAAGAGATCTGTCTGCCTCCACCTCCCAAAAGGCTGGGATTACAGGCATGAGTCACTGCACCCAGGCACCCCACCACCCAGCTAATTTTTTTGAGACAGGGTCTCAGTATACTGCCCAGGCTGGTCTCAAACTCCTCGCAAGGTGCTGGGATTACAGGCATGAGCCACTGTGCCCAAGAGTTCTATGCCCTGGCCTGTGGCCATCTTTAATCTGCCACAAATTGGGTATGTGGCTTTTGGGGTATTTTTCTGTTTGCAGTTGTATGAACTTATAAATTCAAATACATATGATAAGTTTCAATTCATTGCAATTATTCTTTTTTTTTTTTTGAGACAGTCTTGCTGTGTCGCCCAGGCTGGAGTGCAGTGGTGCGATCTTAGCTAACTGCAACCTCCGCCTCCTGGGTTCAAGCAATTCTCCCTGCCTCAGCCTCTCAAGTAGCTGGGATTACAGGCGCCTGCCACTAAGCCCAGCTAATTTTTGTATTTTTAGTAGAGACAGGGTTTCACCATGTTGGCCATGGTTGGCCAGGCTGGTCTCAAACTCCTGACCTCAGGTGATCCACCTGCCTGGGCATCCCAAGGTGCTGAGATTATAGGTGTGAGCCACTGCGCCCGGTCTATTTATTTATTTATTTATTTATTTATTTATTTATTTATTTTATTTTTTGAGGTACAGTCTCACTCTGTCACCCAGGCTGGAGTGCAGTGGTGTGATTTCAGCTCACTGCAACCTCTGCCTCCCAGGTTGAGGCCATTTGCCTGCCTCAGCCTCCCGGGCAGCTAGGATTACAGGTGCGCACCACCACACCCAGATAATTTTTGTATTTTTGTAGTGATGGGGTTTCACCAAGTTGGCTAGGCTGGTCTCCAACTCCTGACCTCAGGTGATGCACCCGCCTTGGCCTCCCAAAGTGCTGGGATTACAGGCATGAGCCGCTGTGCCCAGCCCATCATAATTATTTTAACGGCTGCACCATAATCCACTCAAAGTACTTAACCCACCCCCCCATACTGTTTAACATTTAGTTGTTTCCAGTATTTTACCCCAACCAATTTTTCTGTAAACCTGATTGTACATTTAGTGCTTAGAACAGAAGCTCTTCTTTTTTATTTATTTATTTATTTATTTTTTTTGAGACAGAGTCTCACTGTCACCCAGGTTGGAGTGCAGTGGCGCGATCTCAGCTCACTGCAACCTCCACCTCCTGGGTTCAAGCGATTCTCCTGCTTCAATCTCCCGAGTTCCTGGGATTACAGGCAGGCACCACCACACCCAGCTAGTTTTTTTGTATTTTTAGTAGAGACAAGGTTTTGTCATGTTGGTCATGCTGGTCTCCAACTCCTGGCCTCAAGTGATCCACCGGCCTTGGCCTCCCACAGTGCTGGGATTACGGGCATGACGGCCAGAACAAGAGCTCTCAAAATATCAATTAGCTTGGCCAGGCACAGTGGCTCACGCCTGTAATCCTAGCACTTTGGGAGGCCAAGGCGGGCGGATCACCTGAGGTCGGGAGTTCGAGACCAGCCTGACCAACATGGAGAAACCCCCGTCTCTACTAAAAATACAAAATAAGCCAGGCGTGGTGGCACATGCTTGTAATCCCAGCTACTAGGGAGGCTAAGGCAGGAGAATCGCTTGAACCCAGGAGGTGGAGGTTGCAATGAGCCGAGATTGCCCCATGGCACTCCAGTCTGGGTGACAGGAGCGAAATTTCGTCTCAAAAAAAAAAAAAAAAAAAGAAAGAAAGAAAGAAAAAAAAATATATGTATCAATTAGCCAAGACTATTACACTGTTTAGCCTTTTTCTTCATTTCATTCCATTTTTTGCTGTTGTTGAGAATAGCTCCGAAGGCTGGGTACAGTGGCTCACGCCTGTAATCCCAACACTTTGGGAGGCTGAAGTGGGAAGATCACTTGAGTCCAGGAGTTTGAGACCAGCCTGGGCAACATGGGAAGACTCTGCCTCTGAAATAAATAAATAAATAAATAAACAGCAGCTTTATGACCAAAAAAGAAAAAAAGAATAACTCCAAACTGCTTCTTATTCATGGCCGGACATGGTGGCTCATGCCTGTAATCCCAGCACTTTGGGAGGCCGAGATGGGAAGGTCCCTTGAGGCCAGGAATTCAAGACCAGCCTAGGCAACATAGCAAGACCCTGTCTCTACAAAAAAAGAAAAAAATGTGGCCAGGCGCTTGGCTTAGACCTGTAATCCCAGCACTTTGGGAGGCCGAGGCGGGTGGATCACAAAGTTCAAGACCAGCCCGGCCAACATGGTGAAACCCCGTCTCTACTAAAAACACAAAAAAATTAGCCAGGTGTGGTGGCGCCTGTAATCCCAGGTACTTGGGAGCCTAAGGCAGGAGAATCGCTTGAACCCAGGAGGCAGAGATTGCAATGAGCTGAGATCGCACCATTGCACTCCAGCCTGGGTGACAGAGCAAGACTCTGTCCTGTCCTCTGGCCCAGCTATAACGCACGCTCACTGGAAGGGGAGGGCTGAGGCTCTTGTTTCTCACCCAAACTCCCCACAGGGTTGCTGTGCTGAAACACCCCGGACTTCATACCCCAGGGTGAACACAGTGATGTGGGAACACACCACAACACATACTCTCACAAAAAACCTTAAGGAAAAATGTGTGCGGGGAGATGGCACAATGACAGGAGACAGTGGCTCTGAGGCCACTCTCTGGGAGGCACTGGAATTAGTAAAACCGATACGTAAGCCTCAGAGAAACAACCCAGCCCTGCTGTGTATGCTTACCAGTAAAAATTCCAGTCCTCGTTTTCTGTCACTTGGACCCATCCTCTCTTTTCAAAGTTATTGATCAGCACTGACTTCTCGATATCAGTGACCCATTTTACTTTCCCTGCCATAATCCTGGAAGAGATCAAAATATTAGAGATATGAAACTTCAACAGCTCACTTCCCTTTAAACCCAAGGAATCCTCTAAACAGCATGCCCATCCCAAACTCGATCTTACCCCGGCAATGGTTCTCAACCAGGAGTGATTCCATCTCCCAGGGGACACCTGGCAATGTCTAGAGAGTCTGGTTGTCATGACCAGGGGATGCCTCTGGCATCGGGCATGTCCAGGCCAGGGATGCTGCTCGATGTCCGACTGCACAGATGACCCCTCACAACCAATTATCCAGCCCCAAATGTCAACTGTGCCAAGGCTGAGAAACCCTGGTCTGGTGGGAGATAGAGGCAGCCATCAAATCACCACCCGGGAATGTTCAACTGCAAGTGTGCCAGGAGCCACAAAGGAGGGGCACATGGGGCTCTGAGAGCCGCAGACAGGGCAGCTGGGGAGGGCCACCCTGAGAAGGGGACCCTCGGGCCGACTTCCGATGGGTGAGTGGGGATCAGCATGCCTGTCCCACATCCCTCCAGGCACTGCCTGTCTCCCTACTTCAAGTCACCCTCTGTAACTGCAGAGTGACCGTAAGTGTTTATCTGGACTGGGCGTGGTGGCTCATGCCTGTAATCCCAGCACTTTGGGAGGCCGAGGCAGGCGGATCGCCTGAGGTTGGGAGTTCAAGACCAGCGTGGCCAATGTGGTGAAACCCCATCTCTACTAAAAATACAAAAATTAGCCGGGTGTGGTTGTGCGCACCCGTAATCCCAACTACTCGGGAGGTTGAGGCAGGAGAATCGCTTGAACCCGGGAGGCAGAGGTTGTAGTGAGCTGAGATCGCACTACTGCCCTCCAGCCTCGGCGACAGAGCGAGACTCCATCGCAAAAAATAAAAATAGGCCGGGCGCGGTGGCTCACGCCTGTAATCCCAACACTTTGGGCGGCCAAGGTGGGCAGATCATGAGGTCAGGAGATTGAGACCATCCTGGCTAACACGGTGAAACCCTGTCTCTACTAAAAATACAAAAAATTAGCCAGGCATGGTGGCATGCGCCTGTAATCCCAGCTACTCGGGAGGCTGAGGTAGGAGAATCACTTGAACCTGGGAGGTGGAGGTTGCAGTGGGCAGAGATTGCGCCACTGCACCCCAGCTTGGGCGATAGAGCGAGACTCCATCTCAAAATAATAATAATAATAATAAATCAAATAAAATAAAAATAAAATAATTTTTTAACAAGTGTTTATCTGGGCCAGGCATGGTGGCTCACGCCTGTAATCCCAGCACTTTGGGAGGCCGAGGCAGGTGGATCACGAGGTCAGGAGATCGAGACCATCCTGGCTAACACAGTAAAACCCCGTCTCTACTAAAAATACAAAAAATTAGCCGGGTGCGGTGGCAGGCGCCTGTAGTCCCAGCTACTTGGGAGGCTGAGGCAGGAGAATGGTGTGAACCCGGGAGGCGGAGATTGCAGTGAGCGGAGATCGCACCACTGCACTCCAGCCTGGGTGACAGAGTGAGACTCCACCTCAAAAAAAAAAAATTGTTTATCTGACGACATCACTCCCATTTAATAACCTCCATGACTCCCCAGGGCACTTAAACACACAGACCCCTGGCCCTCACCTGCTTCCCCAGGTACACCTCACACCACCTTCTCCTTTACCCTCTGTTCTGCCACGCTGGGCTTCTCTGCCCACTCTCTCTCCTGCCACAGGCCTCGCACACACTGGGCCCCTCCGCCTGCAGCATGCTGCCCTCGATCTCTGCCTGGCTAAGCCGCCTCCCACTCATCTGCCAGCATAAATGAATGTCGCTTGCTCCACAAAGCCTCCCTGACCCTCCAAACAAGGTGCTGTACCCCTCGGCAACCCTGGAGCTCTGTATCAAGCATCTGCTGTCCCTGCTGGGGGCCAGGGAGCTGGCTTGCTTTCTTCTTCACTGCCATGTGCCCAGGGCCCAGCTCCATGCCTGGCACGTGAGGGATGCTCAGTTCAGATGGAGAAACTGGCTGCTGTCCCAGGCCTGTCAGCGCCACTGTGGGACTCGGAGCTATCATAGTTACAGGAGGACTCTGGACCTCGGTCTGCTCTGAAAAGTCTCGTTTTCAAACTGCTCAGGCAGCCCAAGATTCAAGGCTCCCACCCCGGCTCCAACCAGGAAGGCTACAGGAGGCTGCCTCCCCACCCTGGCAACCCCCACACCACAGGCATCTGGCCTGTACAATTCACACGTTGTACTTAAGACAATCTTCTGGCCGGGCGCGGTGGCTCACGCCTATAATCCCAGCACTTTGAGAGGCCGAGGCAGGCGGATCACTTGAGCCCAAGAGTTTGAGACCAGCCTGGGCAACATGGCAAAACCCCATCTCTACAAAAAAATACAAAAATTAGCTGGGCGTGGTGGCATGCACCAATAGTCCCAGCTACTTGGGAAGCTGAGGCAGGAGGATCACTTGAATCTGGGAGGTCAAGCTGCTGTGAGCCAGGATGACGCCACTGCACTCCAACCTGGGGGACAGAGTGAGACCCTGTCTTAAAAAAAAAAGCACTCAAGAGACATTCACTATTATCAT
This sequence comes from Homo sapiens, assembly GCF_000001405.40. NCBI lineage: Eukaryota > Metazoa > Chordata > Mammalia > Primates > Hominidae > Homo > Homo sapiens. Next base: position 43,078,145 of record NC_000022.11, read on the forward strand.
CATCATCCCCACTGCACCAATGAGGAAGCTGAGGCTCAACAGTTAAGAGCCTGTGTAAGAACCAGACTCAGCTGGGTGCAGTGGCTCATGTCTACAATCCCAGCACTTTGGGAGGCTGAGGTGGGCGGATCACCTGAGGTCAGGAGTTCAAGACCACCCTGGCCAACATGGGGAAACCCCGTCTCTACTAAAAATACAAAAATTAGCTGGGCGTGGTGGCATGTGCCTGTAATCCCAGCTACTCAGGAGGCTGAGGCAGGAGAATTGCTTGAACCCGAGAGGCGGAGGTCACAGTGAGCCAAGATCGCACCATTGCACTCTAGCCTGGGCGACACAGCAAGACTCTGTCAGAAAAGAAAAGGAAGGAAAAACAAAAGAGAAGAGAAGAGAAGAAAAGGAAACAGACTCAAGGGAGTCCGGGTGCCCTGATTCAAAGCCGGGATGATACTACTCTAAAGTGCCGCCTCTCTCCACACAGCCCATCACTTCCCTCTGTGAACCTGGCCTTTGGCAGGATGATGACAACACCCAGGTCACAGGGTCAATGAGCAATAAACAGAACCGCTCTCTGCAAGCTACAAGGTGCTGTATAAAGGACTGCTGTTAGGTGATCCGATATGGTGCACGTGGAACCTCAGCAGTCACACCAAGATGACAATAAAAGCACAGGAGCCGCACCCCAGAGCGTGAGCCCATCCCACACCCCTCACACCCACAGACACGGGGACCACGGGAGCCGCACCCCAGAGCGTGAGCCCATCCCACACCCCTCACACCCACAGACACGGGGACCACGGGAGCCGCACCCCAGAGCGTGAGCCCATCCCACACCCCTCACACCCACAGACACGGGGACCACGGGAGCCGCACCCCAGAGCGTGAGTCCATCCCACACCCCTCACACCCGCAGACAAGGGGACCACGGGAGCCACACCCCAGAGCGTGAGTCCATCCCACACCCCTCACACCCGCAGACACGGGGACCATGGGAGCCGCACCCCAGAGCGTGAGCCCATCCTACACCCCTCACACCCACAGACACGGGGACCACGGGAGCCGCACCCCAGAGCGTGAGCCCATCCCACACCCCTCACACCCACAGACATGGGGGCCAAGGGAGCCGCACCCCAGAGCGTGAGCCCATCCCACACCCCTCACATCTGCAGACACGGGGGCCACAGGAGCCACACCCCAGGTGTGAGCCCATCCCACACCCCTCACACCCGAAGACATGGGGACCACGGGAGCTGCATCCCAGAGCGTGAGCCGATTCCACACCCCTCACACCCGCAGACACGGGGCCACGCCAATGGCTCAGGGAACTTTTCATTTTCACTATGTGATTTCAGCCTCCACAGCTGTGATTTCCTGATGAATCCTGCTTGCGGCCTGGGGACCACCCCCCAACCACCGCCGTCCAGGCTGCATGGTTCACATGTTGTACTTAAAGCAAGCATCTTAGTGGGTGACCTCACACCAGCCACTGACATCTACCTGGAGGTGACAGAAGAGTAGTGACTGGAGACCAGGAAGGCTGTGCGCGATTCTCACACAGTGCTTCCCCAGGCCTCAACGCTTTCAGGTGTGAGACCCCAAACCTACCGAGGCAGACGGGCCAAACATCCTCATCCACATTTCACTAAGCAACTGGGGCAGGTGCTTTAGCCAGACCATCAGGTGTCCCTCCCAGGCCCCGCGCCCTCTCTCCCACCGTGTGGGCAAATGGTCCCTAAGGGGCCGTCTCAGGCTGTACCTACCATAGGCACTGACAGAGCACCACTGGCAACGCCCACGCTCACCTCGGTCTCGCTGACGTCACTGACGCCGGCCCCTCCTTCTTCCCTAAAAGTTAACACACAGATGAAATGTACATCAAACACATTAAGAAGACACTCTTTAACCATTTTTTGTTTGTTTTTGTTTTTTTGAGACAGGTTCTCACTCTGCTCAACCAGGCTGAAGTGCAGTGGTATGATCTCGGCTCACTGCAATCTCTGCCTCCCGGGTTCAAGTGATTCTCCTGCCTGAGCCTCCTAAGTAGCTGCAACTACAGGCGAGTGCCACCACACCCGGTTAATTTTTGTATTTTTTGTAGAGACAGGGTTTCCCCATGTTGGCCAGGCTGGTCTCAAACTCCCAGGCTCTAGCTATCTGCCCACCTCAGCCTCCCAAAGTGCTGGATTTATAGGCGTGAGCCACCGCGCCTGGCCTCTTTAACCATTTTAAGAATACTATGACAAAACCGTAACTAGCCAGAATATTCAGTGGCTGGCATCTTGTTGAACAAATGTACACCAAAAGATGCTCTTAAGAGTCTTCCCATTACAGTAAGAATTTCTGAACTGTATTACTTACTGGCTCCAGCTGGCCTTCTCAAGCTGCCATACCACCCCTCATGTCACACACCCCTCACTCCAGCTGAGCTCAGCCCCTTCCCACACCTGCCCGACCCTTTCCTCCCACCTGCAAGCCTGTGTGCACCCTGTGCCCCACCTGGAACGGCCCCTCTGCACTGCCTCTTCTCCAACTCCTACCAATCATTCAAGGTACAGTTCAAAGGTCACTCCCTCCACAGAGAGCCATTCTCAGCCTTAGCTGGATGGAGCTAAGGTGCCCTCCCCAGACCCTCTGTCTCCTCTCCTGCCATCCTTGCTGGCACTCAGAACTGCCTACCTTGCATTTCAGCCCTTTAAGTACATTCCTTCTATAAACACAGGAGGGTGGGACTCTGAGTCACCTGTTCCCAGTGTTGCATGACTTTTTTTTTTTTTTTTTTTTTTTTTTTTTTTTTAGACAAAGTCTCGCTCTGTCACCCAGGCTGGAGTGCAATGGCACATCTTGGCTCACTACAACCTCTGCCTCCTGGGCTCAAGCGATTCTTCTGCCTCAGCCTCTGGAGTAGCTGGGATTACAGGAGCCCATCACCACGCCTGGTTAATTTTTGTATTTTTAGTAGAGACAGGGTTTCACCATGTTGGCCAGGCTGGTCTCAAACTCCCGACCTCAGGTGATCCGTCTGCCTCGGCCTCTCAAAGTGCTGGGATGACAAGCGTGAGCCACCGCGCCCGGCTGCACAGAATCTTTCCAGGCTGTGATGTGGGCATGCGCATCAAAGCCCCCCATCCATCCTGCCTGACCTGAACATCTCCAGCACAAGCCCAGGCACAGGCAAGGCCCTCAGTAAATATTCAGTGCATGACGGAGGGAGTGGGTAAACCCTCCAGGTGAGTCCCTTGAACCTGACTCTGCTTTTGACAGTCGCTCCCATAGAGATGTGTTACGGGTTAAGTTGTGTCCCCACAAACTTATGGGGAAGTCCTAACTTGTCTGAAACAAGTACATGCAGCAGAAAGAGCTTTGCTCCAAAGATCCCCACACACCCCTTCCATTTTTTTTTAATGTATTTTATTTTTTTATTTTTTTGAGACAGAGTCTCGCTCAGTCGCCCAGGCTGGAGTGCAGTGGCGCGATCTCAGCTCACTGCAACCTCCGCCTCCTGGGTTCAAGCATTCTCTGCCTCAGCCTCCCAAGTAGCTGGGACTACAGGCGCCTGCCACCACGCCCAGCTAATTTTTGTATTTTTACTAGAGATGGGGGTTTCACCATGTTGGCCAGGTTGGTCTTGAACTCCTGACCTCATGATCCACCCGCTTCGGCCTCCCAAAGTGCTGGGATTATAGGCGTGAGCCATCACACCTGGCCTTTTTTTTTTTTTTTTTTTTTGAGTCAGAGTCTTTCTCTGTCACTCAGGCTGGAGTGCAGTGGCACCATCTTGGCTCACTGCAACCTCCGCCTCCTGGGATCAAGCGAGATTCTCCTGCCTCAGCCTCCCAAGTGGCTGGGATTACAGGTACATGCCCCCGCGCCTGGCTAGTTTTTGTATTTTTAGTAGAGGCAGGGTTTCACCATGTTTACCAGGCTAGTCTCAAACTCCTGACCTCAAGTGATCCATCCCCTTCTGCCTCCCAAAGTGCTGGGATTACTGGTGTGAGTCACCGCACCTGGACCCCTTCCATTTTTTTTTTTTTTAAACAACACAGATAATTGATTACGTCACATTAATAATATCTACAAAGGCTCCAGAGCTGGTAATTTCTGGGCTTGATATCATCACCAATAGCTTGAGTTCTTCCCATTTTCCATTTTGCCATCCTCAGAAAATTGGCTCTGTCCTCAGTCAAGCCCAGTCAAGACAGCTACATTTCCAGGAGAGGAAAAGCCTGTTTCTTTTTCAGGGTTTCTTTTTATGTGAGAAAATCTTTTGGAAAAAAAATAAAGGCCAGACAGGGCGTGGGGCGTAGTGGCTCATGCCTGTAATCCCAGCACTTTGGAAGGCTGAGGTGGGTGGATCACCTAAGGTCTGGAGTTCGAGACCAGCCTGACCAACATGGTGAAATACCGTCTCTACTAAAAATACAAAAATTAGCCAGGCATGGTGGTGCGCGCCTGTGATCCCAGCTACTCAGGAGGCTGAGGCAGGAGAATTGCTTGAACCCAGGAGGCGGAGTTTGCAGTGGGCCAAGATTGTACCACTGCACTCCAGCCTGGGCAACAGGATGAGACTCTGTATCAAAAATAATAAAAACAGGCTGCGCGCGGTGGCTCATGCCTGTAATCCCAGCACTTTGGGAGGCCAAGGTGGGTGGATTACCTGAGGTCAGGAGTTTGAGACCAGCCTGGCCAACATGGCGAAACCCCGTCTCTACTAAAAATACAAAAATTAGCTGGGCATGGTGGCGGGCGCCTGTAATCCCAGCTACTTGGGAGGCTAAGGCAGGAGAATCGCTTGAACCCTGGAGGCAGAGGTTGCAATGAGCCGAGATCGTGCCATTGCACTCCAGCCTTGGTGACAAGAACAAAACTCTGTCTCAAAAATAATAAAATAATAATAATAATAATAATAAAGACCAACAATACTCCTTTTTAAAAATACATATATAGGCTGGGCGCAGCGGCTCACGCCTGTAATCCTAGCACTCTGGGAGGCCGAGGCAGGCAGATCACGAGGTCAGGAGATCAAGACCATCCTGGCTAACATGGTGAAAACTCTTCTCTACTAAAAAAAATACAAAAAATTAGCTAGGCATGGTGGCGGGCGCCTGTAGTCCCAGCTACTCAGGAGGCTGAGGCAGGAGAATGGTGTGAACCTGGGAGGTAGAGCTTGCAGTGAGCCAAGATTGCACCACTGCAGTCCAGCCTGGGCGACAGAGCGAGACTTAGTCTCAAACAAACAGACAAAAAACATATATAGCTCTCTCACTGGCCAAAATTTTATCACCCACCAATTCCTAAAACAAACATAGGCTGGCCAAGTGGCGTGGCTTACACCTGTAATCCCAGCATTTTGGAAGGCCGAGATGGGCGGGTCACCTGAGGTCACGAGTTCGAGGCCAGCCGGACCAACAGAAACCCCGTCTCTACTAAAAATACAAAATTAGCTGGGTGTGGTGGCGCTTGCCTGTAATGCCAGCTACTCGGGAGGCTGAGGCATGAGAACTGCTTGAACTCAGGAGGCGGAGACAGCGGTGAGCCAAGATCGCACCATTGCACTGCAGCCTGGGCAACAAGAGCAAACTCCATCTCAGAAACAACAACCACAACCACAACAATAAAAACCCACTGGCAAGGGAATGAGCATATCAAACTGGCTTAGGCTAATTAGGATTTATTCCTGAGTTGGGGATATGATCACCTTCCCTGAGCAAAATTCTTGATTTAATTAATCAAGAAAAAAAATGAAAAAAGGATATGTGTCAGCTACAAGTGTCTTAACAGATCAGCTGAGCCAACTGAGATTTAACAAGTTGAGACTCTCAAAGCAGTTTGGTTAATTTCCTTGACATTATTTACTAATGCTTACCAAATTGCTACTCTGTGTCATACTTTCTACTAACCATTTTACCTAACAATATCATGGCATTAAAATAAACTAAATCCTTATTCTCGTCAAAAGGGATGCCACGGAAGATAGAAACAGAGTTCCTGTCTTCTGAAAAAACTCTAAACATATTTTTTTTCTTTTTTGAGATGGAGTCTAGCTCTACTGCCCAGGCTGGAGTGCAGTGGTGCAATCTTGGCTCACTGCAACCTCCGCCTCTCAGGTTCAAGCGATTCTCCTGCCTCAGCCTCCTGAGTAGCTGGGATTACAGGCACCCGCCACGATGCCCAGCTAATTGTGTATTTTTAGTAGAGGTGGGGTTTCACCATGTTGTCCAGGCTGGTCTTGAACTCCTAACCTCACGTGATCCATCCACCTCAGCCTGCCAAAGTGTTGGGATTACAGGTGGCTCAGAGCTACTGTGCCCAGCTGACACCTTTTTCCTTCTTTCTTTGCAGGCTCCCCACCTGCTTTTTCTAGGTTTCTTTTCTTTTTTTGAGATGGAGTCTTGCTCAATCGCCCAGGCTGGAGTGCAGTGGCGCGATCTTGGCTCACTGCAAGCTCTGCCTCCTGGGCTCACGCCATTCTCCTGCCTCAGCCTCCCGAGTAGCCAGGACTACAGGCGCCCGCCACCACGCCCGGATAATTTTTTGTATTTTTAGTAGAGATGGGGTTTCACCGTGTTAGCCAGGATGGTCTCGATCTCCTGACCTTGTTATCTGCCCGCCTCAGCCTCCCAAAGTGCTGGGATTACAGGCATGAGCCACTGTGCCCAGCCTTTTTTCTAGGTTTCAACCACAAGCTTCCAATCTCTTATCATCAGGTGGTTAGGTTGGAGTAATTCTAGCCAGGGCCCTGGCTGGGCACTGGAGCTCAACCATGCCTGCACAGAGTAAGGAATGACAAATTTATATCATCATTAAGAACAAAAGCTGCCACCTTTTTTTTTTTTTTTTTTTTTTTGAGATGGCATCTTGCTCTGTCGCCCAGGCTGGAGTGCAGTGGCGCGATCTCAGCTCACTGTAACCTCCACTTTCCAGGTTCAAGTGATTCAAGCGATTCTCCTGCCTCAGCCTCCCGAGTAGCTGGGACTACAGGCGCATGCCACCATGCCCGGCTAATTTTTTGTATTTTTAATAGAGACGAGGTTTCACTGTGTCAGCCAGGATGGTCTCCATCTCCTGACCTCGTGATCCGCCTGCCTCGGCCTCCCAAAGTGCTGGGATTACAGGTGTGAGCCACCGCGCCTGGCAAAGCTACCACTTATTAAGCTCTAGCATGTGTCAGGTACTGGGTGGGGTAGTTTATGAATATTCTTCTCCACTGTGTATATTATCGTCTCATGTGATGCCCAAAGGCAGATGATATGATTTGTCTGTATCCCAATCTCAACTTGACTTGTAATAATCCCCACGAGTCAAGGGCAGGGCAAGGTGGAGATAAACGAATCATGGGAGTGGTTCCCCCGTACTGTTCTCGTGGTAGTGAATAAATCTTGTGAGATCTGATGGTTTTATAAATGCGAGTTCCCCTGCACAAGCTCTCTTGCCTGCCACCATGTATAATGTGCCTTTGCTCTTCCTTCATCTTCCGCCATGATTGTGACTGAGTCAATTAAACCTCTTCCTTTTATAAATTACCCAGTTTTGGGTATGTCTTTATTAGCAGCATGAGAACAGACTAATACAGCAGGAATTCTCCGCATTTTACAGATGAGGAAAATGGGGGCCAGAGAATAAAAAGAAGAGGAGAGTGTGCAGCCTGTGGACAGCCTACACGCTTCCCTCCCACACCAGATGGCAACTGTTATTTCACATGTGCCTCCCACATTAGATAGCAACCTCCTGCGGGGCAGCAGAGTGGGCTGGCTCAGGAGCGGGCTGGCTCAGGAGTGGGCTGACTCGTGTCTGTTCTCATGTCGGGCACGCAGCCAGCCAGGCCTAGCGTGGGGCTCCAAAATCGTGTGTAGACAAGTGATCCACCGGGCCACGCCCCACAGTGTGGAAGAATGGGTGATTCCTTCCCAACCCTAAGCAATACTAAGCCGTTTTCCTTAGAAAAGTAAATAAATACCTGATATCAGATTGTTTTATTGTTGCTTCCTCCTAAAACAGAAAACGGAAGTGGGGTTAAGGGTACTGAGTAACGTGTTATTATCTCTCCTGGTTCACGTGAATTGATGCATCTGAATCTTACGTCACTTTCTAAACTGAGCATCATAAAAACCTAACCAGGAAAAACAGAGTGACATATTGACCTTTTATGTTGAATGCAGCTCACAATTGGAGTTGGGGCTGTCACCACCTGAAGTGTGTCAACCACAGAAAGCCATCCTGAAACCAGAGAGCTGCTGGTTATTTTCAGAAGACAACCTGGGTCTCGCTCCTGGGGCAACTGGGTAGGATCGTCATGAGCTCAAAGAGAAGGTTTCCCATGAACACCCTGGATATCAGGGCCACTGGTGGTCTAACTTCTCATCCACCCACACAGCCCTGACAGCCACTCAGTGCCAGGCCTGTAACAGACAGACATTAAACTGAGAGCCCAGATGGGGGCGAGGAGCACAGGAGACACATTTAACAAGCTGTAAGGCCTGCCTGCAGCAAAGGGCTTCAACAACACATCACAGTTCAACTGTGGCCGGGGAAGGAAGGGATGGTTAATTTGATCCAGCAGCAAATCAGGTCAGCTCCACTCCAGAAGATTCCAAATCCATCCTCCACTCCCATAATGTCCCCTCTCTCCTGGGCAACTGCAGCAGGCCCCACTCTGTCCCCTGCTACTCTTCTCACTCCACTACAACCCATTTCCCACCCAGCAGCGGACCAATGTGTGACACACACAACACTAACCATGTCACCCTGCTCACTACCCCACAGTAGCTTCATACTGCATTCAGAATGAAGCTAGTGGTCCTCCATGGCCTACGAGGCCAGCCCTGCAGATCTGGACCATCACCTCTTAGGCCTTGTCTCTCACCAACCCTCTTTAGCCCCTGGCCTTCTTTCAGCTCCTGACACCCCACAGGCTGCATTTTGTCTTAAGCCTTTGCTCGTCCTCCAGATCTGTCCCTTCTCAAAAGTCAACTGCTCAGAGTGGCTTTCCCCAACCACTCAATCTCAATCCTCCTGACTCCACCACATTGTCACTTTATTTTCTCCATGGCACTTGGGTTGTAAGCAATCATTTAGTCCAGTGCTACTCAAAGCATGGCCCACATGTGAGCAGCACCTGGAGCTTGTTAGAAATACAGATTCTTTGGGAGGCCAAGACAGGTGGATCACCTGAGGTCGGGAGTTCGAGACCAGCCTGGCTAACATGGTGAAACCCCGTCTCTACTAAAAATACAAAATTAGCTGCGCGTGGTGGTGCACATCTGTAATCCCAGCTACTCAGAAGGCTGATGCACGAGAATCACTTGAACCTGGGAGGTGGAGGTTGCAGTGAGCTGGCATCACGCCACTGCACTCCAGCCCGGGCAACAGAGTGAGACTCCATCTCAAAAAAAAAAAAAAAAAGAAATACAGATTCTTAGCAGGGCACGGTGGCTCACGCCTGTAATCCCAACACTTTGGGAGGCCAAGGTGGGTAGATCACCTGAGGTCAGGAATTCAAAACCAGCCTGGCCAACATGGTGAAACCCTATCTCTACTAAAAATACAAATATCAGCCGGGCGTGGTGGTGGGCGCCTGTAATCCAAGCTATCTGGGAGGCTGAGGTGGGAGGATTGCTTGAACCCGGGAGGCAGAGGTTGCAGTGAGCCAAGATCGCACCACTGCACACTCCAGCCTGGGTGACAGAGTGAGACGGTCTCAAAAAAAAAAAAAAAAAACCAAGAATATGGCCAGGCACAGTGGCTCACGCTTGTAATCCCAGCACTTTGGGAGGCCGAGGTGGGCGGATCACCTGAGGTCAGGAGCTCGAGACCAGCCTGGCCAACATGGCGAAACCCCATCTCTACTAAAATTTAAAAAATTAGCGGGGCATGGTGGCGCGTGCCTGTAATCACAGCTACATGGGAGGCTGAGGCAGGAGAATCGCTTGAACCCAGGAGGCAGAGGTTGCAGTGAGCCGAGAGCGACCGCACTCCAGCCTGGGCAACAAAGCAAGACTCCGTCTAAAAATAAATAAATAAATAAATAAAGTAATAACAATGTCAGTGATGACTTCATGTTGAGCAGGGCATTCGTTCACAGCGGTATTGTCACTGTCCATCTCCACGCCCGCACTGGGTGACAGTACCATGCTCCACAGTGACTGCTTACCAGTGTCTGTAATTTGAGGGCAGAGAAGGGCCCATCTTTTTTTTTTTTTTTTTTTTTTTTTTTTTTGAGACAGAATCTCGCTCTGTCGCCCAGGCTGGAGTGCAGTGGCGCAATCTCGGCTCACTGCAAGCTCCGCCTCCCGGGTTCACGCCATTCTCCTGCCTCAGCCTCCCGAGTAGCTGGGACTACAGGCCCCCGCCACCATGCCCGGCTAATTTTTTTTTTTTTGTATTTTTAGTATAGACGGGGTTTCACCGTGTTAGCCAGGATGGTCTCGATCTCCTGACCTCGTGATCCTCCCGCCTCGGCCTCCCAAAGTGCTGGGATTACAGGCGTGAGCCACCGTGCCCGGCCGGGGCCCATCTTTTTGTACCGCCACAACCCGGCACCATAATGTGCTCATCAAACGTTTCCTGAGCAAAGAACCTGCTTTGCAAATGCCAAAAGGGCTAACAATGATAAGATACTTTCACTTCCAGAATTAATCTCCTCTAATGCCCCAGCTACTCTATGGAAAAGGATGACTACCCCGCCCTGCCCTCTTAGCTGATAGGGAATCAGAGAGGGGAAATGTCTTGGTCCAGTCATCTAGAGGGAAGACACAAGGCTCTTGTCTCCTGCCCTGAGTTCTCTCCACAGGTACATTGCGCCCTGCAAAAGATGCCAACAGAAACAACACAGATTGCAAACGAATGGGAAACGTGTAGGAACAATGAAAGTCTGGGATAACAAATAATAAACATAATGATGCAATTGCAACAGTCGGACAGCACGAGGTAAGTCATAGGAACTCAGCGGACGGAGAAAGGCACGGTGGTTAGCGCGGGCTTCCTGGAGGACGCGGATCCGGCAAGCAGCATCTGAACCGCATTTTCGCAGCCGCGTAGACACTGGCGCCCACACTCTCTCACCCATGCGCACTCGCCAGCCCGCGCGCAGCCACACCCTCGGTGCCCGGGAGGCGGCGGCCTGGGGGACAGGACCTCACCTGTGGGCTCAGAGCGCCGAGGGACTCGGAGGAGCGCCCTGCAGGGATGCCTCGAGCCGCGCCCTCGCCCCGCCTCCAGCCCCTCTCCGGCGCTCGCAGGAGTACGCAGCCGACTGCCAGGCGCACCGGCCCGCCCCGCCCCGCGCTGCACTCTACTTCCAGGGCGGCGCCCTGGCAACCCAGGACGCGACCGCCGGCGCTGCGACTATTTCCGGAGTCAGACTTGCCTGGGGCTCCTTTGGGCTCCATACCTCGGGCGGCCGCTATGCCCAGGGCTTGGATCCTAGGAAATGCCAGGCCGTCCACCCTCTCGGGGCCCAGAAAGGAGATTGAGAAGGGTCTGGAGCACGGGATTAAGTCTAAAAAGAAAGGTAGAGCGGTGTGATGATTAGGTCCGAATCCTGGGTTCGGTCTCAATCCGCTGTTTAGCCTCTCCTACCCCTTCTACCTCGGCTTCCTTATCTGAAGAAATGGTGATGTTGCGCCACTGCACTCCAGCCTGGGCGATAGAGCGAGACTCCATCTCAAATAATAATAATAATAATAACATAAAAATAAAATAATTTTTTTTAAAAAGTGTTTATCTGGGCCAGACTCGGTGGCTCACGCCTGTAATCCCAGCACTTTGGGAGGCAGAGGCGGGTGGGTCGCGAGGTCAGGAGATCGAGACCATCCTGGCTAGGCTGAGGCAAGAGAATCGCTTGAACCCGGGAGACAGAGGTTGCAGTGAGCCAAGATCGTGCCACTGCACTCAAGCCTGGGCGACAGAACAAGACTCCGCCTCAAAAAAAAAAAAAAAAGACGTTTATTATTCTCGTTATAGACCTGTGTTACCTCGAATTCTCTATACAATTATTCATTTTTAATTTCATCAATTTAAAGAGTTATGCAAACTTGTGCAACTTGTAAGTGACAGAGTCTGGCTTTGAACCCAGGACACCTGACCATTCATGCTGCTGCCTCTCAGGAGGGGTGGTGGTGTGCTTTCTTAGTGATGATTGGAGCTTTGCTAACATCACTTCCTATAATCTCCCACACAACCGCCTCCCAGGCCCAGAGCACATTCAGCGCATCATCATTTACTTTTGGCACCATCTAGTGGAACCAACACTTATCTGGAGTCCAAATTGCCAATTCATACCCTTCAGCTGCTGTCTGGTTGTGAGGCCTTGAGAAGTCCCAAGGCTTCCGACTACAGTGTTCTCACCTTAAACCCAGGAGATGAGTGAAGGCTTGCAAGACGTGGTTAGGGCCTGGCATAGTAAAGTGTTCAATAAACATTGTAGCCTTCCAGCATGTTGCCTCATGCCTGCAATCCCTGTACTTTGGGAGGCCAAGATGGGAGGATCACTTGAGGTCAGGAGTTCCAGACCAGCCTGGCCAATATAGCAAGACCCCATTTCTAAAAAAAAAAGAAAAAATATTTTTAATCAGCCGGGTATGGGGGCGTAGCCAGCAGTCCTACTCAGTTACTCAGGAGGCTGAGGTGGATCACTTGAGCCTAGGAGATTGAGGCTGCAGTGAGCTATGATCCCGCCACTACACTACAGCCTGGCCAACAGAACAAGACTCTGTCTCTTAGAGAAAAAAAGTTAAAAAAAACAACAACAAAAAAAGAATTTTAAGGCAGGGCATGGTGCCTTACGCCTGTAATCCCAGCACTTTGGGAGGCCGAGGCGGGTGGATCACCTAAGGTCAGCAGTTTGAGACCAGCCTGGCCAACATGGTGAAACCCCGTCTTTACTAAAAATACAAAAATTTGCCGGGCATGGTGGTGCGCACTTGTAATCCCAGCTACTTGGGAGGCTGAGGCAGGAGAATTGTTTGAGCCTGGGAGACAGAGGTTACAGTGAGCCGAGATCGCACTATTGCACTCCAGCCTGGGCAACAGGGCGAGACTCCGTCTTAAAAAAAAAAAAAGAACTTTAAGATGGCGACAGCAGCATTAAACTAACTTCAGGGCTTGTCTGAGCACGGGGTCCTATGGTTCTGTACAGGTCACAGGCCCATGAGGCTGGCCTTACCCTAAGAAGCTGGCCACAGCTCCCCTCAATGAATCCCCACAAGAACTCTGCTGAGTTAATGGTGTTATCACCACTTTTTAAAAAATAGTGGTAAATTGGCCGGGCGCAGTGGCTCACGCCTGTAATCTTAGCACTTTGGGAGGCCGAGGTGGGCGGATCATGAGGTCAAGAGATCGAGACCATTCTGGCCAACATGATGGAAACCCGTCTCTACTAAAAATACAAAAATTAGCCGGGCATGATGGCACACGCCTGTAGTCCCAGCTACTCAGGGAGCTGAGGCGGGAGAATCGCTTGAACCTGGGAGGCAGAGGTTGCAGTGAGCTGAGATCACACCACTGCACTCCAGCCTAGCGACAGAGCGAGACTCTGTCTAAAAACAAAAAAAAGAAAAAGTGGTAAAATATGTATAACATAAAACTTAACCATCTTAGCCATTTTTAAATGTACAGTTCAGTGATGTTAAATATATTCACGTTGTGCAATCAGTCTCCAGAACTTTATCCTCTTGCTAAACTAAAACTCTTTACCCATTGAACACAATTCCCCATCCTTCCTTCCCCAGCCCCTGGTAACTGCCTTTCTACTTTCTGTCTTAATGAATTAGACTCCCTAAGTACCTCATCTAAGTGGAATCTGGGCCAGGCACAGTGGCTCATGCCTGTAATCCCAGCATTTTGGGAGCCTGAGGCAGGAGGATTGCCTGAGCCCAGGAGTTTGAGACCAGCCTGGGCAACATAGGGCGACCTCGTCTCTGCAAAAAAAAAAAAAAAGAAGAAGAAGAAGAAAGAAAGAGAAGGAAGGAAGGGAGGGAGGGAGGGAAGAAAGGGTTCGCTGCTGCTCTCTGAGCTTCGCCGTGCTATCAATGGATGACAAGAAGAACGAAGACACCGGAAAGTCGCTAAGAAAGACAAAGATTCAGTGAACAAATCTGGGGGCAGGGCCCAAAAGAAGAAGTGGTTCAAAGGCAAAGTCCGGGACAAGCTCAATAACTGAGTCGTGTTTGACAAACCTACCTATGACAAACTCTGTAAGGAACTTCCTAACCATAAACTTATAAGCCCTGCTGTGGTCTCTGAGAAACTGAAGATTCGAGGCTTCCTGGCCAGGGCAGCCCTTCAGGAGAACCTTAGTAAAGGACTTAACAAACTGGTTTCAAAGCACAGAGCTCAAGTAATTTACATCAGAAATACCAAGGGTGGAGATGTTATAGCTGCTGGTGATGATACATGAACAGGTCCAACCAACTGTACATTTGCAAAAATAAAACTTTATTAAATCAAAAAAAGAGGCCAGGCGCGGTGGCTCATGCCTATAATCCCACACTTTGGGAGGCCGAGGTGGGTGGATCACCTGAGCTCAGGAGTTCGAGACCAGCCTGGCCAACATGGCGAAACCCCGTCTCTACTAAAAATACAAAACTTAGCAGGGCATGGTGGCATGTGCCTGTAGTCCCAGCCACTAGGGGGGCTGAGGCAGGAGGATCGCTTGAACCCAGGAGGCGGAGGTTGCAGTGAGCCAAGATCATGCCACTGCACTCCAGCCTGGGCGACAGAGTGAGACTCCATCTCCAAAAAAAAAAAAAAAAAGAAAGAAAAAGAAGAAAGGAAGAAAGTAGAATCATACAGTATTTGTTATTTATTTATTTATTTATTTTTAGAGAGGACGTCTTGCTCTGTGGCCCATGCTGGGTGCAGTGGCAGGATCATAGCTCACTGTAACCTTGAGCTCTGGACCTCAAGTGATCCTCCTTCCTCAGCCTCTAGAGCAATTAGGACTACAGGCATGTGCCACCACACTCAGCTAATTTTTGTCTTTTTGTGACTGGCTTATTTCATGTAGCATAATGCCCTCAGGTTCATTCCTGTTGTAGTATGGATTTCCTTTTTTTTTTTTTTTAAGGCTGAAAACATTTCATTGTATGTTTTTAAGGCATTTAAAAAAATCCAGGGCGGGGGGAGGGGGGAGGGATAGCATTAGGAGATATACCTAATGTAAATGACGATTTAATGGGTGCAGCACACCAACATGGCACATGTATACGTATGTAACAAACCTGCACGTTGTGCACATGTACCCTAAAACTTAAAGTATAATTAAAAAAAAAAAATCCAGGGCCAGGCTTGGTGGCTCATGCCTATAATCCCAGCTCTTTGGGAGGCCCAGGCAGGCAGATCACCTGAAGTCAGGAGTTCAAGACCAGCCTGGCCAACGTGGCAAAACCCCGTCTCTATTAAAAATACAAAAATTAGCCGGGCATGGTGGCGGGCGCCTGTAATCCCAGCCACTCGGGAGGCTGAGACAGGAGAATCACTTGAACCCAGGAGGCGGAGATTGCAGTGAGCCGAAATCATGCCACTGCACTCCAGCCTAGGGGATAGAGCGAGAACCCGCCACCCAAAAAAAAAAAATCCATTCATCAGTTTCTACCTTTTGGCTATTGTGATTAATGCTACTATGAACACGGGTGTATATCTGAGACCCTGCTTTTAATTCTTTTTTTTTTTCTTAATAACTGA
This sequence comes from Homo sapiens, assembly GCF_000001405.40. Taxonomy (NCBI): domain Eukaryota; kingdom Metazoa; phylum Chordata; class Mammalia; order Primates; family Hominidae; genus Homo; species Homo sapiens. Next base: position 43,093,820 of record NC_000022.11, read on the forward strand.
GATCAGGTCTCACTATGTTGCCTAGGCTGTCTCCAACTCCTGGGCTCAAGTGATCCGCCTGCCTTGGCCTTCCAAAGTGGTGGCATTACAGGCATGAACCACCACCCCAGGCTCCTTGCTTTCAGTTATCTGGGGTATGTACCCAGCGTGAGACTGCTGGATCATGTAGGAATTCTATATTGAACTTTCCGAGGACTCTCCATAAGGTTTTCCACAGCAGCTGCACCATTTCACATTCCCACCAACAGTGCCAGAGTTCCAATTCCTCCACATCCTGGACAATACCTGTTATCTTCTATTTTTTGATAGCAGTTATTCTAACGGGTGTGACATCCTCCCTGCCTTGTAAATATGGGAACTGAAGCTTGAAGGTGGTGAGTAACTTGCCCAAGGCCAGGCAGCAATCACTACAGCAGTCATCGTCACTGGGCAGATGTCTCAACACATCAGCCCCACTCACACTGCCACCAGGAGGCCAGCTCGCCGCTGTCACAGTGCCAGCCAATAGCACACACAAGTACTTCACCTTCGCTCCAGTCTGATGCTCCCTGAGGCCAACAGGAGCCCTCAGGCACGCCCCATGCCACTGCAGCCCCCTGGCCAGCCAGCTGGACCCGAACCTGCCTAGACCTGGCCATGCTCCTCCCCATGCTGCCCCACCCTCAGCCTCTAGCAGCCTTGCCCCCTTCTCCCCCACTTCCCACCACAGGCCCTGACTTCCCAGGGTCTCTGTCCCCTCCTCCCTCCCCCTTGCAGCATGGAGGTGGGAAGGCTGCCTCTTCTCCAGGTGAAAGAACCAGGTGCTCTCGGGATCTCTCCTTATCCTCCTTGCCCATTTACCTGAGCACCTAGAAGGATTAGGGAGAGGCCAGACAGCTGGGCCTCAGGCTCTGGCTTTGTCAGGCCCTTTTCTAGCCCCAAGGGGCTGAGGCCCAGAGCGCAGGCCTCCTGGCCTAGGGCCAAAGGGTGGAGTCCCTGGGGGCTCAGAGAACAATAAGAAAGCCAGCCGGGTGCAGTGGCTCACACCTGTAATCCCAGCACTGTGGGATGCTGAGACAGGTGGATTACCTGAGGCCAAGAGTTTGAGATCAGCCTGGCTAACTTGACGAAACCCTGGCTCTACCAAAAATACAAAAAATTAGCCAGGCGTGGTGGCACGTGCCTGTAATCCCAGCTACTCTGGAGGCTGAAGCACGAGAATTGCTTGAACCTGGGAGGCGGAGGTTGCAGTGTGCCGAGATTGCACCATTGCACTCCAGCCTGGGCAACAGAGGGAGACTCAGTCTCAAAAAAAAAAAAAAAAAGAAAAGAAAATAATCTTCAATCCCCAGAGCTGGTGGGAGACGAGGGCCGCCCCTACCTGTTATTCCTCCAAGAACCGCCCACAGGGTGGCTGTTTGTTTCCCTTGGGGGGCCTGGCTTTCCATTCCCTCCTTCTCTCCCCCTTCCCTTCTCATCCATTTCCACCCCTTTGCCCTCCTGCTGGGCAACCAAGTCCCCCGTGCCCCAGTTCCCCAGTCCTGGGGACCCAAGTGTCCACCCAGGTAAAGCCGAGGAGGTGTCCGGTCAGGGAAGGTTAAAGGACAATAACAAAAGTACCGACTGGTACCCCAGAGAGCCTCCCCACAAGTGGACTTCGAGTGCTTAACCTCTGCTCGCTCCTGCTCTTTACAATGGAGTTAATAATAGAACCAGCTTCCCGGGGCAGCTGTGACGATCAGATGAGACCATGCCAGTGACCGTGCTCAGCATGCAGCCCGCACAGAGGGCAGCTCCTAGGAAGACTGTTCATGATCAATCAAGGGGAAGCTGCTCAGAGAGGACCGCATGCCCAGAGTGTGAGAGTGTGTGTGAGTGTGAGTATATGTGGGTTGTGTGTGAGTGCATGGGTGTTGTGTGTGTGTGTTATTGTGTGTGTGGTGTGTTTGTGTGAGTGTGAGAGTGTGTGTGAGTGTGAGTGTGTGTTGTGTGTGAGTGTATGTGTGTTGTGTGTGTGAATGAGTGTTATTGTGTGTGTGGTGTGTTTGTGTGAGTGTGAGAGTGTGTGTGTGGTGTGTGTGTGTGTGTGTGAGAAATGGGAAAGTTCTTCAAAGATTATAAAAAGTCACAATTTCTTACTGTAAGATTGCTATCCACTATATATATATATATAGTGTCCTATCAGCTGTCCTAGCTTGCTCCGGCATGCCTGGACAGAACTAGACAAGCCCCAGCCGGGCCGGGTGCGGTGGCTCAGGCCTGTAATCCCAGCACTTTGGGAGGCCGAGGCGGGTGGATCACGAGGTCAGGAGATGGAGACCATCCTGGCTAACATGGTGAAACCCCATCTCTACTAAAAATACAAAAAATTAGCCTGGGAGGTGGCAGGCGCCTGTAGTCCCAGCTACTCGGGAGGCTGAGGCAGGAGAATGGCGTGAACCCAGGGGGCGGAGTCTGCAGTGAGGCGAGATTGTGCCACTGCATTCCAGCCTGGGTGACAGCGAGACTCCGTCTCAAAAAAAAAAAAAAAAAAAAAAAAAAGAATAGAAAGCCCCAGCCCATAGTGCGTCCCATTCCTTATTTGGAGATGCTCCCTTAACTATCCCTGGGCAACTTCCTTTTCTTTCTTTGTTCTGTCCCCCTTACCCAATTAAAACGTTTTAAACCAATAGCCAATCGAGTAAAGTGTAAAATGTGAGGTCCTATTCCAGCCAATGGAAACTGGACACAGCAGTAGGGTAGATGCGTTAGGTTATAAATAACAGTCTCCTTCGCTCAGTGTGCTCTCGTGGCTGAGCAGCTATTGAGCAGCGCCCTTTCTGCAGAAAGTAAAGCGCACCTTGCCGAGAGATCATTTGTTTCTGTGTTAATTTTTTTTGTGTGTGACACCAAAAACTTCATTCCCAACACATGTGAGTGACTGTGTGTGTATGTGTGTGTTCACCCCACCCACAGCAGGACCCAAGGTTGGTGGGGAGGGTTGGGACAAGGGGCTTGAAGCTGGAAGGGACTAGAGCTCCTCCCCAACCCCCTGCTAAGCAGCACCCAGCACAGACAGCAGAGGCCCCAGCTGAGGAAGATGGGGCTGATCTTCCCGGGAGCTGGGTCCTGCACGCTCTCCCACGGCCCAGTGAGACGCAGAAACGGATCCTTTGTCCGACTTCCTCCAGATTGCCTGGGGTTGGACCCCTGCAAGCCAGGAGGAGCCAGCGGCTTCCAGAGGGGATCTGAGTCCAGGTCTGGAGGCCTCTGTGTTTGGTGCTCTTTCTTTTGTATCAGCTGGATGGTGGAGGAGGAAGGCAGAGGTGTGTGGGTGAGGGGTTGTGGATAGCGGAGCCTGGGAGGTGGGGTGCAGGTAAGGGAGGCTCAGGGAGCCCAGGCAGCACAGAGCCCGTCTTACGGGGCTGACCAGTCACCGGTCTGCTGCTCTCACCTGCCTGGAGAGGCTCTACTCTGTACCCCAGAGACCTACATGGGCCTGGCCTTGAAACATGACCAGTAAGGCCTGTGAAGGATGGAGGGAAGAACTGCACCCTATAACGAGCAGGCAGCTAGGACCCCCAGACTCCTCTCAGGCCTGGGTCCTCCTGGGATGCAGCAAGACTGCCTCAGAAGAGATCTGAGCTGGGCGCGGTGGCTCACGCCTGTAATCCCAGCACTTTGGGAGGCCGAGGCAGGGAGATCACCTGAGGTTGGGAGGTCAAGACTAGCCGGACCAACATGGAGAAACTTCATCTCTGCTAAAAATAGCTGGGCGTGGTGGCACATGCCTGTAGTCCCAGCTACTCGGGAGGCTGAGGCAGGAGAATCACTTGAACTCGGGAGGTGGAGGTTGCGGTGAACCGAGATTGCACCATTGTACTCCAGCCTGGGCAACAAGAGCGAAACTCCGTCTCAATAAATAAATAAATAAAAAGGCCAGGCGCGGTGGCTCACGCCTGTAATCCCAGCACTTTGGGAGGCCGAGGCGGGCGGATCACGAGGTCAGGAGATCGAGACCATCCTGGCTAACATGGTGAAACCCCATCTCTACTAAAAATACAAAAAATTAGCAGGCGTGGTAGTGGGCGCCTGTAGTCCCAGCTACTTGGGAGGCTGAGGCAGGAGAATGGCGAGAACCCAGGAGGCGGAGCTTGCAGTGAGCTGAGATCGTGCCACTGCACTCCAGCCTGGGTGACAGAGCGAGACTCCATCTAAAAAAATAATAATAATAAAAAAAATAAATAAAAGAAGAAGAAGAAGAGAGCTGAACCTCTGATCCTCTTCACTGGACCTAAGCTCGGCCCTCCAGGTCCCTGGGCCTTGGTTTCTCCATCAGGAAGGAGCCATGCACCCCACCTTGCAATGCTGTTGAGGAGGCAGAATTGAAGACAGCAAACTGTGCCAGGAATGTGGGTCTTGACTTCAGTGAGCCCTCCTTGCTCCCTCCGTCAGGCGCACTGCACACCTCACCCCCAGACAGCGCCGGAGGCAGTACTCACAGCTGAGGGAGCCAGGGAAGGGCAATGGGGCAACAGGAAGGCAGGGTGGTGTTGGCGAGAGATGGCGGAAGAGTTCCTGCTGGGCTTATGTAGTCCCAACATTTTTGGAGGCTGAAGCAGGACGATTGCTTAAGCCCAGTAGTTGGAGGCTGCAATGAGCTATAATGGCACCACTGCTCTCCAGCCTGAGCCACAGAGTGAGACTCTGTCTCAAAAAAAAGAAAAAAAAAGTTTCTGTCAATCATTTAAGCTCCCAGCCCCAACAGGAAAGGCAGGAAAATGAGAACTAAGGTCTGGTTTACATCAGGACGTCCACTTGACCCCACAGCAGTCCCTTTTAGGTTTTCCCTGTTTAGCACAGAAGGAACCTGAGGCTCACAGACATGTAGAGGCTGGCCCAGGCCCAGAGCTTGTCTGGGGCCAACACAGTCCTGGCCCGGACCCTGTAGAATATCTGCCTGGTCCAGCTGGGCACGGTGTCTTATGCCTGTAATCCCAGCACTTTGGGAGGCCGAGGTGAGTGGATCACGAGGTCAGGAGATCAAGACCATTCTGGCCAACATGGTGAAACCCCGTCTCTACTAAAAATACAAAAATTAGCTGGGCATGGTGGTGCGTGCCTGTAATCCCAGCTACTCAGGAGGCTGAGGCAACAAGAGCGAAACTCCGTCTCAAAAAAAAGAAAAAAAAAGAAAGAAAGAAATTGAAACTTGGACACACCTGAGTTCAAACTGGGGTTGTGCAGGAGGGCTGACCCTGGCTGAAGTCAGCTTCCGCGTCTGTGAAATGGGCTCATGCTACACACTTCACCAGGTTAGAGAGAAGCAGAAAAATAACACTAACCCTGCAAATGCTTCACAGGCAGCTGAGACAAGGGCTTCCACCCACCTCCAGGTTCCAGGTTCCCACTGGGGCCTCCTGTCTGGAATTCTCTAGCCCCTGCAGTTCCCGGCCTTACCCCCTGCAGCCAACTTGGCTGGTAGCTCCCTTCCTTCCGAGGCAAAGAGCCAGGCTAGCTTTTGCTGCTACATGTCAACACTCAGACTTTGTCTTCCTCACCTTGGCTCGCTCACAGGAGTCCTTCTATCTAGAATGTCCTAAATGAAATACATATCTGGGTCATTTTTTTTTTTTTTTTGAGACAGGGCCTCACTCTGCTGCCCAGGCTGGAGTGCAGTGGCGCAGTCTTGGCTCACTGCAGCCTCCACCTCCCAGGTTCAAGTGATTCTCCTGCCTCAGCCTCCCGAGTAGCTGGGAATACAGGCGCCCACCACCATGCCCGGCTAATTTTTGTATTTTTAGTGGAGATGGCGTTTTGCCATGTTGGCCAGGCTGGTCTTTTTTTTTTTTTTTTTTTTTTTGAGACGCATTTTCACTCTGTTGCCCAGGCTGGAGTACAGTGGTGCCATCTCGGCTCACTGCAACCTCCACCTCTTGGGTTCAAGTGATTCTCGTGTCTCAGCCTCCAGAGAAGCTGGGATTACAAGCATGCGCCACCCTGCCTGGCTAATTTTTGTATTTTTAGTGAAGAGAGGGTTTAACCATGTTGGCCAGGCTGGTCTCGAACTCCTGACCTCAAGTGATCCGCCTGCTTTGGCCTCCCAAAGTGCTGGGATTACACGTGTGACCTACCATGCCCGGCCCAACCATGCACTTTTTTTTTTTTTTGAGACAGAGTCTCACTCTTGTCACCCAGGCTGGAGCGCAATGGTGCAATCTCGGCTCAGTGCAACCTCCGCCTCCCAGGTTCAAGTGATTCTCCAGCCTCAGCCTCCTGAGTAGCTGGAACTAGAGGCGCATGACACCATGCCCAGCTGATTTTTGTATTTTTAGTAGAGATGGGGTTTCACCATGTTGGCCAGGATGGTCTTGATCTTCTGATCTTGTGATCCACCCGCCTCGGCCTCCCAAAATGCTGGGATTACAGGCATGAGCCACGGTGCCCGGCCCTGCCCCACATTTTAAATGTTTTGAGGTATTCACCAGACTGCCCTCCTAAGAGGGTGTGTCCGTGTGTATTTCCAGCACAGGCTGACAAGACGGCCAGGCTCCTGCCTATCTGACAGGCCATCAAAGGATGAAATACTGAGAGCATTGTTGCTGCTTTTCTTTGCATCTCTTTCATGATTCGTGGGGACATGGTAACATAAACTTCCTGGGGCAAAAGAGATATGACTATTACAGAACTTCAAAAGAAATGGTTACTCACGAGAGGGGAAAATCCCAGCATGCTGTATCTCCTGAGTCTTCCTCATTCTTCGAGGCAGGAGAAGGAAAGTTGGAGAGAGTGGTGAAACCAGGAGACCTGTGGGCCTGGAATGAGAAATTGGGTCCTCCCATGGCCCACAAGACCTCAGGGCATCATTTTGCCTGTCTGGCCTCAGTTTCCTCTCCTGTAAAGTGGCAACAGCAGAAATTGTCTCTTAAGGTTGTTGTGGAGATGAAAAGGGATGGAAAAATCCACTCATTTGTGCAACAGACATCTACTGAGGGTCCGCTTTTTGGGGTGCAGAGGAGCAAAAATGTACACCCGTGTTGGGGCTGATAGACCAGGGGAAGGTTGGCTAGAAGAGATTCTTCCCAGCCAGGCACAGTGGCTCAGGCCTGTCATCCCAGCACTTTGAGAGGCTGAGGCGGGTAGATCACCTGAGGTCAGGAGTTCGAGACCAGCCTGGCCAACATGGTGAAATCCCGTCGCTACTAAAAATACAAAAATATTAGCCAGGCATGGTGGCGGGCGCCTGTAATCCCAGCTACTTGGGAGGCTAAGGCAGGAGAATGACTTGAACCCAGGAGGCAGAGGTTGCGGTGAGCCAAGATCGCACCATTGCACTCCAGCCTGGGCAACAAGAGGGAAACTCTGTCTCCAAAAAAAAAAAGGAGATGAAGAGGTCTTTCCCAGAGTGCCCTGAGAGCAGAGGTGTGGGTGGCGGCCACTGCCAATTCCATGGCCACCCCATCCTCGTTGAGGGTGCAGGTTGAACCCCAGGAGCTGCCAGAGCTGCTATTGTTTTGAAAATATCTGCTATCACTCTGATAAGCTCAGTTGTCAGAAGGGATGTTATTTCTGGGCGAAAGGAGGTTCCGCAGGACTGGAGGTCCTTCCTGCTTACACCACATGGGCCTAGCCCCTCCCATCAGACCCGGCTTGGGTGATAATCTGGGGCCTTGAGCCTGCTCCTGGCAGGGACAGCAGTGGCCATCACTGTAGGACGTCTCCGGACTGCTGCCCAAGGCCTCCGCAATGCTGCAGGAGCTGAGATCACCTCTTTTCTGACCCTGGATTCCTGGAATTGTCTCACAGAATGGAGGCCTGTTCTCCATCCTCCTGACAGGCCACAGTAGATTATGTTGGTCACACTAGCCATTTGGATATCTGGCCCAAACGTGTGTCTGTTACATGGCTGTGGCACTGAGCTGAGAGGCCTGGCGGGTTGAGCCTCCATAATTTGCTCTGAAATGCACTGGTCCTGTTTTCAGTTACATTATTCTTGTCACCTGCAAAGCTGGCCTCTCAGATCTCACCATGGCCTTGGCCTACCAAGCACCCTGGCAGCTGTGAATCCAGATCTGGATTAAAATCCTTGATGTTGACTATTTCAAGTTTGATCCACTGGGCTTTGCTTTGATTTTATTGTTTAGTATTGAGTTTTAATTGATATACCCAAAAGTGCACAGATCCTAAGCATTCAGTTCAATGTATGTTTGCATACATATGTACCCCTGCAGCCACCATCTGTGTTACCCCAGAAGCTTCCATCATGCCCCTTCCCAGCCAATACCCATCCCCACCCTGGAGAGGGAGTCACCGATCTCACATCTAATGCCGTAGATTAGTTGTGCCTAGTTATGCCTAGTTATGAACGTCATAGAAATGGAATTACAGCATGCTTTATTTTGTGTCCAGCTTCTTTTTTTTTTTTTTTTCGAGATGGCGTTTCGCTCTTGTTGTCCAGGCTGGAGTGCAGTGGCACGATCTTGGCTTACTGCAACCTCCACCTCCCTGGTTCAAGCAATTCTCCTGCCTCAGCCTCCCGAGTAGCTGGGATTACAGGCGTGCACCACCACACCCGGCTAATTTTTGTGTCTTTAGTGGAGACAGGGTTGGCCAGGCTAGTTTCAAATTCCTGGCCTCAGGTGATCCACCTGCCTTGGACTCCCGAAGTGTTAGTATTACAGGCGTGAGCCACCGCACCTGGCCTCGTGTCTGGCTTCTTTCATTCAACATAATGTCTGTAAAAAAAAGTTAAAGCCGGGCGCTCACGCCTGTAATCCCAGCACTTTGGGAGGCCGAGGCGGGCGGATCACAAGGTCAGGAGATCGAGACCATCCTGGCTAACACAGTGAAACCTCCTCTCTACTAAACATACAAAAAATTAGCCAGGCATGGTGGCACACGCCTGTAGTCCCAGCTACTTGGAAGGCTGAGGCAGGAGAATGGCTTAAACCCAGGAGGTGGAAGTTGCAGTGAGCCGAGAATGCGTCACTGCACTCCAGCCTGGGAGACAAAGTGAGACTCTGTCTCAAAAAAAAAAGAAAATATATATATATACACATATATATATACACACATATACATATATATACACATATATACATATATACACATATATACACATATACATATATACACATATACACATATATACATATATACATATATACACATATACACATATATACATATATACATATATACACATATACACATATATACATATATACACATATATACATATATACATACATACACACATATATATACATATAGAGAGAGAGAGAGAGAGAGAGACTGAGAGAGAGAGAGGGCTGGGCACGATGGCTCATGCCTATAAACTGAGCACTTTGCAAGGCTGAAGCAGGTGGATCACTTGACGTCAAGATTTAAGACCAGCCTGGCCAACATGGTGAAACCCTGTCTCAATAAAAAATATAAAAACTATCCAGGTGTGGTGGTGGGTGCCTGTAATCCCAGCTTCTCAGGAGGCTGAGGAAGGAGAGTCGCTCAAAGTGGGGAGGCAGAGGTTACATTGAGCCGAGATCACGCCACTGCACTCCAGCCTGGGTGACAGAGCGAGACTCTGTCTCAAAAAAAAAAAAAAAAAAAAAAAAAAAAGAGAGAGAGAGAAGCTGTGAAGCCTCAGCAGAAGCTGTTCTTTTGTGTTCGTTTGCTTTTGAGCTGGAGTCTCACCCTGTCACCCAGGCTGGAGTGCAGTGGCACGATCCTGGCTCACTGCAGCCTCCACCTCCTGGGTTCAAGCAATTCTTCTGCCTTAGCCTCCCAAATAGCTGGGACTACAGGCACATGCTGCCATGCCTGGCTAATTTTTTGTATTTTTAGTAGAGATGGGGTTTCACCACGTAGCCCAGGCTGGTGTCAAACTCCTGAGGTCAGGTGATCTGCCCGCCTCAGCCTCTCAAAGTGTTGGGATTACAGGCGTGAGCCACTGCACCCGGCCCAGAAGTTGTTCTTAACTGTTGTTCAAGGAGAAGCCTATCGGGGGGAAGAACCAAGAGAGGGACAGAGGGAGGAAATCACCCAAAAATAGATGTGTCTCTTTGGCCCTAATGCACACAACATGCATGCATTTCTTCAACAGCTATACAGCTGGGCATGGTGGCTCACGCCTGTAATCCTAGCATTTTGGCGTAGGGTCCAGCCCTACTGGGCCTTGTGGGTTTTCTCGTCGTGTGCGGAGACATAGAAAGAAAGACACAAGAGTAAGAGAGAGTATGAAAGACAGCTGGGCCCAGGGGGCCACTACCACCAATGCACGGAGTCCGGTAGTTGTTCCGAATGCCTGGACGCACTGCTATTTATTGTATACAAGGCAAGGGGGCAGGGGAAGGAGAGTGAGTCATCCCAAGTGATTGATAAGGTCAAGCAAGTCACGTGTCCACGTGACAGGGAGCCTTTCCCTTTGTGGTTGCTAAAGCAGAGAGGGAGGATAGCAGACGTCAGCGTTTTTTCTATGCACTTATCAGAGAGATCAAAGACTTTAATACTTTCACTAATTCTGCTACTGCTATCTTCTAGGAACTTAAAAGAGGCACCAGGTGTACAGGCGGGACATGAAAGTGAACAGGGAGCGTGACCACTGAAGCACAGCACCACAGGGAGACGTTGAAGCTTCCGGATGACTATGGGCAGGCCCGAGTCATGTCAGGCCTCCCACAAGAGCTGGTGGAGCAGAGTGTTCTCTAATTCCCCCAAGGAAGGGGAAACTCCCTTTCCTGGTCTGCTAAGTAACGGGTGCCTTCCCAGGCACTGGCGCTACCACTAGACCAAGGAGCCCTCAAGTGGCCCTTATCCGGGTGTGACAGAGGGCTCACACTCTTGTCTTCTGGTCACCTCTCACAATGTCCCTTCAGCTCCTGACTCTGTATGGCCTGGTTTTTCCTCGGTTATTATAATAATAATAATAATACAAAGATTAATACTAGAAACTAATGATTGATAATATCCATATATAATCATCTCTATATCCTATTTCTAATATAACTTTCTCTTATCCTATTTTCTTTATTATATTGGAACAGCTTGTGCCTTCAGTCTCTTGCCTCTGCAACTGGGTGGCTTTCTGCCCACACTTTGGGAGGCCAAGGCAGGCAGATCACCTAAGGTCAGGAGTTTGAGACCAGCCTAGCCAACATGGCAAAACCCTGTCTCTACTAAAAGTACAAAAATTAGCAGGCTTGGTGGCGCATGCCTGTAATCCCAGCTACTCAAGAGGCTGAGGCAGAAGAATTGCTTGAACCTGGGAGGTGGAGGTTGCAGTGAGCTGAGATTGCACCATTGCACTCCAGCCTGGGTGACAAGAGGGAAACTGTTTCAAAAACAAAAAACAAACAAAAAAACAAAAAAACAAACCAAAAAACCCCCAGCTATTTACTGAGCACCTACTATATGAGCGGCGCAGGATGAGTCTGGTTTAGATTCTAGTGGGGGATGGGAGTCAGACAATAAGCAAATAGACAGGTGACTAAATATGTAAGAGAGCAGAAGGTGCTGTGGAAGAAAGTAAAATAAGCAGGAGAAGAAGGGAAGCAGTAGCCCCACCACCAGCCTCGGACAATAGTGAAGATCACTTGGCATTGGGTCTGACATCCTGCCAACATCCTTATGAGTTGTGTATCGCAATCTCCATTTCCCAGAGAGTGTGGGAAAGACAGCCTCTGATGCACGAGGCTGTGCTCAAGCTCACACAGCTGTGAAGGGCAGCCTCCACCCCTCATGTCAGGTGCAGTGTCTATGCCCCTCCACCCTACAGCTCAGTTGGCCTCTCAAAGCCTCAGTCTCCTCACCGATAAACTGGGAATGTAATAAAGTTTCCTAGGCTGGGCGCAGTGGCTCACACCTGTAATCCCGGCAGTTTGGGAGGTGGAGGTGGGCTGATCACTTGAGGCCAGGAGTTCAAGACCAACCTGGCCAACACAGTGAAACCCCATCTCTACTAAAAAATACAAAAATTAGCCGGACGTGAGGTGCGTGCCTATAATCTCAGAGCCTTGGGAGGCTGAGGCGGGAGAATCGCTTGAACCTAGGAGGCGGAGGTCGCAGTGAGTCAAGATCGCACCACTGCACTCCAGCCTAGGCGACAGGGTGAGAATATGTCTCAGAAAAAAAAAAAAAAAAAGGGCTGGGCGCGGTGGCTCACGCCCATAATCCCAGCACTTTGGGAGGCCAAGGTGGGCGAATCACGAGGACAGGAGTTCGAGATCAGTCTGGCCAACGTGGTGAAACCCCATCTCTACAAAAAATTAGCCAGGCTTGGTGGCAGGCGCTTGTAATCCCAGCTACTTGGGAGGCTGAGGCAGGAGAATCGCTAGAACCTGGGAGGTGGAGGTTGCAATGAGCCAAGATTGTGCCATTGCACTCTAGCCGGGGCGGCAATGCGAGACTCAGTTTAAAAAAAAAAAAAAAAGTTTTCAGAGGATGTACAACAGCTCTGTCCATGGAGGGCCTCACAGCTTCGGAGCTGAGTCCAGGCTGGGTGTGCAGAATGCCAGCTGACGGATGTACTGCTGGCCAGCTGTGGGTCGGGGGGCAGCCTGGGTACGCCAATCAGTTGGACGGAGGCTGCAATACCTCTATTTAGGAGCCCTGGGCACTCTCGGAGACAATGGGCATTATTTTCCCTTCAATACCCCTCCGCATGGCTGCTAGATTCCAATTCCTTAACCTCTTGTTCCTTTCCAGCTCAGTGTCCTTCCATAGCTCCCCAGTACCGACAGGATAATTAGGCCACATTCACCTTTCTATTCTGGTTGGAATCCAGTCCCTTCTTTGAATTCCCCTCAAATATCTCCTCCTCCATGAAGCTTTCCCTGATATATTTGTGTCCTCTGTGGGAGCCTGGCGCTTAGTTTTCCCTTGCTTGACGCCACAGTCACTTTCTGTCTGTCCCTGCATTGCCACTGTCTTGAAGGTAGGCATTTGGCATTGTCTCTGGCTTGGCTCTGGCTTCAGTTAAGACCAAACATAGTTTTCTTCCTCTTCTAAAAAAAGATAATGTTTTTGCACGTTTATCTAGACAATCCGGAAAATACATGAAAACACAAGGCAGAAAACTAAACCACGGCTGGGAGCGGTGGCTCATACCTGTAATCCCAGCACTTTGGGAGGCCAAGGTGGGCGGATCCCTTGAGCCCAGGAGTTCCAGGCCAGCCTGGCCAACATGGTGAAACCCTGTCTCTACTAAAAATACAAAAATTAGCTGGGTGTGGTGATGCACGCCTATAATCCCAGCTACTCAGGAAGCTGAGGCACAAGAATCACTTGAGCCCAGGAGGCAGGGGTTGCAGTGAGCCAAGATCACGCCACTGCACTGCACTCCAACTTGGATGACAAAGTGAGACGCTGTCTCCAAACAAAAACAAAAACAAAAACAAAAAAACAAACTAATAGGACCAGGCGTGGTGGCTCACACCTGTAATCCCAGCACTTTGGGAGGCCGAGGTGGGCAGATTCCCTGAGGTCAGGAGTTCAAGACCAGTCTGGCCAACAGGGTGAAATCCCGTCTCCACTAAAAATACAGAAAAAAAAAAAAAAAAAAAAAACATTAGCCGGGCGTGGTGGTGCATGCCTGTAGTCCCAGCTACCCTGGAGGCTGAGACAGGAGAATCTCTTGAACACAGGAGGCGGAGGTTGCAGTGAGCTGAGATGGCATCACTGCACTGCAGCCTGGGTGACAGAGTGAGACTCCATCTCAAAAACAAAACAAAACAAAAACAAACAAACAAAAACTCAATACACCTGTATTAGTATTGAGTTTAATTGACATACCAAAACATGCACAGTTCCTAAGCATTCAGCTGTTTGCATACATATGCACCCCTGCAGCCACCATCTGTGTCACCCCAGAAAGTTCCATAATGCCCCTTCCCAGCCAATACCCATCTTCACCCTGGAGAGGGAGCCGCCAATGTCACCTCTAGCGCCATAGATTAGGTGTGCCTGGTAATGAACTTCATGATGCCCAGAGATGACTACTATTCCCATTTTGCTGTGCTATATTTCCTTCCAGACTTTCACACATGGATTTTTTTTTTTTTTTCTTGAGACAGAGTCTCGCTGTGTTGCCCAGGCTGGAGTGCAGTGGCACAATCTCGGCTCACTGCAAGCTCCGCCTCCCGGGTTCACGCCATTCTCCTGCCTCAGCCCCCTGAGCAGCTGGGACTACAGGCGTCCACCACCACACCCAGCTAAATTTTTTTGTATTTTTAGTAGAGATGGGGTTTCACTGTGTTAGTCAGGATGGTCTCGATCTCCTGACCTTGTGATCTGCCTGCCTCGGCCTCCCAAAGTGCTGGGATTACAGGCACCTGCCACCTTGCCCAGCCATACATGGATTTTTAAAGAATATAGGATTCTAATGGACACAGTGATTTATACAGCATGCCATTTCATTCAATAGATCATGCGATCATGCATCTCCAAGACAGTTTCCTTCGTGAGCTTTTTTTTTTTTTTAGACAGAAGAATCTTGCTGTGTTGCCCAGGCTGGAGTGCAGTGGCACGATCTTGGCTCACTGCAATCAAGGCCTCCCAGGTTCAAGCAATTCTCTGCCTCAGCCTCCCAAGTAGCTGGGACTACAGGTGAGTGCCATCACACCCGCTACTTTTTTTTTTTTTTTTTTGAGACAGAGTTTCACTCTTGTTGCCCAGGCTGGAGTATAATGGCGTGGTCTCAGCTCACTGCAACCTCTGCCTCCCTAATTCTCCTGCCTCAACCTTCTCGAGTAGCTGGGATTACAGGCATGTGCCACCCCGCCCAGCTAATTTTGTATTTTTAGTAGAGATGGGGTTTCTCCATGTTGGTCAGGCTGGTCTCAAACTCCTGACCTCAGATGAGCCGCCTGCCTTGTCCTCCCAAAGTGCTGAGATTACAGGCGCAAGCCACCGCGCCTGGCCTAGTTTTTTAATTTTTAGTAGAGATGGAGTTTCGTCATGTTGGCCAGGCTGGTCTCAAACACCTGACCTCAGGTGATCCACCTGCCTTGGCCTCCCAAAGTGCTGGGGTTATAGGCGTGAGCCACCATGCCCAGCCATCTCTTCCTCCTTTTGATCAGCATATTGTCTTGGGATTTTGCAAAGTAAATAAGTACTGTATTTGCACCCACTCTGCCCTTGAATCATCCAGTGTCCCCAAACGGTCCTTCTTTCTCCATCTTTTCTGCTAATGTTTACTGAACATCTCCTACATACCTGGCACTGTGCCTCCAGCCTTAAGACCCCTCTGCAAGCATCTCACATATATCAGGTCTTTCGGACCCATGAGACCCCGTGTCATTGCTTTACCTCCCTGAGTCTCAATTTTTTCATCTGCAAAATGCATTCAGAGGGAAGCCCCCATTATGAAGGGTTCCCTGCTCCTGACTGTAAGGCACTCTGTGGCTGTTAGCCACAGTCAGGGCGAGCTGCTTTGTAGGGGTTGATGTAGTTTGGAGGCCCTAGAAGAAAAGACTACAGGGCCGGGAGTGGTGGCTCACGCCTGTAATCCCAGCACTTTGGGAGCCCGAGGCCGGTGGATCACCTGGTGTCAGGAGTTCAAGACCAGCCTGGCCAATATGGCAAAACCCCGTCTCTACTAAAAATACAAAAACTAGCCGGGCATGGTGGCACACGCCTGTAATCCAGCTACTAGGGGGGCTGAGGCGGGAGGATTGCTTCAACCTGGGAGACAGACGTTGCAGTGAGCCAAGATTGTGCCACTGCACTCCAGCCTGGGCAACAGGGCTAGACTCTGTCTCAAAAAAACAAAAACAAAAACAAACAAAAAAACCCCACAAAAGCAAAGAAGGTCCAGAGCCCGGAAGGCGGGAGGGGCTCTGAAGACTTTATCACACTTTACCTCCTCTGTTCCTCCCAACAGCCCAGCTCTTGGTAGGTGCTGTTGTCCATTTCACAGATGAGAACATTGAAGGGGAAGTAATTACCCTAGAGGTGGGAAGAACAGAGTGAGGGTACCCAACAGGTAGCAAACGACAGAGCTGGGGGAGGGGAACCCCTGTCCCTGCCCCTCCCCTAATCTCTGAGGGGATCAAGACAGAAGTAAACAAGCTTTGCCGTGCCCAGGACAATTGTTACTTTGTTATTCCAGGAGCGCTCTGCCTTCTCCCACCCCCAATATACCCCAGGGCTGGAGTTAGGTCCTACCCATCCCCGCGTAGCAGGCTGCCCACCCGCCCACCCCGCCTGGAAGCTTTCTGATTTCTCTGTTCGCCCCGCCAGGCGCTGTGGGGTCCGTCTCACCAGGTCTGCACGTGAGCCCCCTGCCCCCAATCCCTCCCAGTCCCGCCCGCCTCTCGCGGACCCGGAGCCCCGACGGGAGGGGGAAGGCAGTGGGTGTGTCATGCAGCTGGAAGGCTGCGGACGGGCGGCAGTGGAGGGGCAGCCCCCTGGCTTCGGGTATGGATCACTGGATGCTGCTGCTAACCAAATGTGAACCTCGGTTTTCATATTTGTGAAATAGGCTTTAAAACACCTAAATCCCAAAGCTGCCAGCCTAAGGAGCACACGTCTTTGAACGCTGGCTTCACGCTGTCATTTAAGTCATTTCGTCCTCTTGGAGCCTCGGTTTCCACGTGGGTAAAATGATCGTGAAAAAAAGCACCGAGGAGTACTTTGAGCTCGAACGGAGGCCATCCGTGTAAAGGGCCAGATTCTGTCAATGGATCGATCCCCCCGATATTGATGGAAACCCCTGAGTGCACGCCCGTGCTGGGCGCAGGGGAAACAGCGACGCACGGGACAAAACAAGCTTGCAGAACAGCAGGGGGCAGAGAGGCTGTAAACAAGCCAACGGGCTGCACTTGTAGCGGTTCTGTTGCCAATGCCATTCAGACCCCAGTCCGGGATTCCGCGCTCGGGGTGCGAGAGGCCGCTCCCGGGGAGGGGCGGGACCCGGGCGGGGCGGGAGGGGCGGGGCGCCCGGGCCTATTAGGTCCCGCGCCGGCAGCCGGGCCGCAGACACGAAGCCTCCCGGGTGGCTTACAGACGCTGCCAGCATCGCCGCCGCCAGGTGAGTGCCCCCGACCCTGCTGCCGCCCGCTGCTCCGCCCAGCTCGAGCCCGGCGGTTAGCGCCCAGGCCGCGGCCCGGGTGCCGAGCGGCTGGAAGTGTGGGGAGCCGTGCCCAGGTTTTACCGCTCCAGCAAGTCGCTGGCGGGGCGACGTCTCGGGACTCCGGCTCCGAAACGTACCCTCTCTGTCCGGGGCTCCAGGTCCCCGACGGGCGATCGTGCCAGGCGCGGCCCCTGCGGGCCTCAGTCTCCGCGCCTGTGCAATGGGGTGGTCCCTCTGCGTCTCGCCGCGACGGCTGGACGCCCCATCGCCGCCGCACAGTCCTCCAGTGCGGCTTCCGGGCACCCGGCTCCGAACTCTGGGGTCGTGCGGACCCGGCCAGACCGTAGCGCGGCAACGCCAGCCCACGGCCGCGGCCGCACAGCCCCGGTGCCCTTAAAAGAGGGAAGATGGCGTCGTGCCCGGTGCCGCCGGGACCGGCTCCCGGAGGCGCTGCGCACCTGAGGAAGGGCCGAGGAAAGGCTTCGTAACGGGACGCCCAGAAAGTCCGGAACAGGAACGTGCACACGGAGCGGCGCGCAGCCGCCCGCCCTCGCTTGCCCACGCGCCCTGCACAGGTGCGCCCCAGACTGGGCGGGGACTAGAGCCCGGCTGGGGCATGCGACCTTGTTTGGTAAATTGGAGGTGCGCCCCTGCGGGTGACCCGCGAGGGGGCCCCCCGCCTGCGGGGCGCGGTCACGACAAGGCTTGTGGGGTTCGGAGCTGGTCGTCGTCTGGGCTCTGGCCTCCTAAATGCGATCGCTTTCAAGCCCTTCATTGTCAATTTTGCTAGAATGAGCCACTCGTGGGGTAGGACGTGGTTGTTGATGTTACTGTTGTAGCTCTTACTATTGTAACATTTTTGTTGCTGTTTTAACGCAGTGTTTACTGTGGTCTGGGAGCCCGAGCTTCCCAGGGAGCATTGGTGTCAGCCTCATGTCCCCGCATTAGGAGGAGCGCAGTCTGGTGGGCACTAGCGCCGGGAAGTTCTTAACATCTGTCTGCCCCTGGGAGCAGGAGGCCTCATCTTCCAGGTGGAGAAACAGAGATTTCAGTCCCAGGAGGCACAGAAATGCCAGGGTTGTCTAGCTAGAAGCCAAGGGCCCTTTATGGAACCCAAGCCAAAACCTCTTTCCACTCTCCAGCCCTGTGGCCTCGGAAGGGCCACTCCATCTCTCTGAACCTCAGTTTGTTCTGTTCACTCTGCAAAATGTATCCCTGAGGTTTCTGGCCAGGTGAAAGCCCCTCTCAAGTTAGTAGCCTCCCTGGAGTTAAGACTCACCCCGATTTCTACTTAATTTGGGCACGCCTTTGGAATAAGTTCTCAGGAATGGCACAGTTTGGGTGTTTTTTGTTTCTTTTTGTTTTTTTTTGAAACAGAGCTTCGCTCTTGTTGCCCAGGCTGGAGTGCAATGGCGCCGTCTCGGCTAACTGCAACCTCGGCCTCCTGGGTTCAAACGGTTCTCCTGCCTCAGCCTCCTAGTAGCTGGGATTACAGGCGCCTACCACGAGGCCCAGCTAATTTTTTGTATTTTTAGTAGAGATGGGGTTTCACCATGTTGGCCAAGCTAGTCTCGAACTCCTGACCTCAGGCGATCCACCCGCCTCAGCCTCCCAAAGTGCTGGGATTACAGGTGTGACCCACCCCGCCCGGCTTGAGTGTTTAAATACTCCTGCCTCAGCCTCCCAAGGTGCTGGGATTACAGACGTGAGCCCCTATGCCTGGCCCTTTTTTTTTTTTTAATTGTCTTAAGGATGTTAAGACTAAGATTCTCACACATTTGACTCGTGCCTGTAATCCTAGCACTTTGGGAGGCTGAGGCAGGAGGATTGCTTGAGCTCAGGAGACTAGACTGGGCTAGACCAGACTGGGTAACATGGTAAAACCCTGTCTCTACCAAAAATACAAAAAATTAACCGGGCATGGTGGCATGTGCCTCTGGTCCTAGCTACGCAGGAGGCTGAGTTCAGAGGCCTACCTGAGCTTGGAGGGGTTGAGGCTGCAGTGAACCCTGATCATGCCACTGCACTCTAGCCTGGGAGACAGAGTGAGACCCTGTCTCAAAAAAAGGAGCATTAGGCTGGGCATGGTGGCTCACATTTGTAATCCTAGCACTTTGGGAGGCCGAGGGAGATGGATCACCTGAGGTCAGGAGTTGTGAGACGAGCCTGGCCAACATGGCAAAACCAGTCTCTTTTAAAAATGCAAAAATTAGCCGGTCGTGGTGGCGTGTGTCTGTAATCCCAGCTACTTGGGAGGCTGAGGCAGGAGAACTGCTTGAATCTGGGAGGCAGAGGTTGCACTGAGCGGAGATCACACCATGGCACTCCAGCCTGGGCCACATAGGGAGACTCTCTGTCAAAAGAAAATTTAAAAAAGCATCAAATGGTAGATCCCCAGTGTCTGTTACAGCTTGGGTACTCTATGGCTGGATAGAGAGGCTGCATACATGTTAGTTATTGTAAGTTTGTTTGTTTTTTTGAGACGGAGTTTCGCTCTTGTTGCCCAGGCTGGAGTGCAATGGCTGGGAATACAGGCGTGAGCCACCTCACCCGGCTCAAGATTCTTACACATTTGACTTGCCTGTAATCCCAGCACTTTGGGAGGCTAAGGCGGGAGAATTGCTTGAACCCAGGAGGCGGAGATTGCAGTGAGCAGAGATGGTGCCACTGCACTCAGCCTGGGCTAACGTGAGACTCCATCTCAAAAAAAAAAAAATTACGTCTTGTGTCACAGAGCTGCAGATAAACCAGAGACTACTCATAACCGTGTACTTTTTTTTTCCCCCATTTCTGATCCCGTCTCAACGGAAGGATGTAATTGAGGAAGGGCTTGATTGGCCAGTGAGTCTTGAAGCTGACACCACTGCTGGTGGTATTTTCCCCTCTCCCTGGAAAGCATCCTGTTTTTAGTGAACCTATTAAATGTGTAGACAATTAATGGCTTTTTGCTTCCCCTGCTGCAGACTTAGCGGATCCCATGAGATTTTGACTACCGTCTGTGCTCAGAACAGTTTGAGCCGTATGGAGGAAGTCTCCGCACCAGTCTTACTGTTGGTGGTCACCAGGAAGCCAGCAGTGTGTCTGAACTGGACACATGTGGCCACTTCCTAGCCTCCCTTTGTCCTGCCACTGGTTGGTTGGGGCTGGGCCCTGGGAGAAACATAGAATGTGAGCAAATCAGTCCGTGGCCCCTAAGTTCCTTGTTGGCCCCGAGGCAGGCAGGAGAGGGGCGGGCACACAGGGCAGCTGATTTTCCTAGTGTCAATATTAGGATGTGACAATACAAAACACCACTGGGCCTCGCCAGGCACTGCATGGTAAACCTGTTTTTCTGGGGGTGGGACAGAACTTGGCACCCAGTTAGCCAAACTGAAAAGCCATGCAGCAAAGAGAGAAAAGCTCACTTGTTTATTTGAGTGAGGGTCCCTGTCATTTTGGATATTTAAGATCAAGTATTCTTGACCGCCCCCTCCCCGAGATGGAGTCTTGCTCTGTTGCCCAGGCTGGAGTGCAGTGGTGTGATCTCAGCTCACTGCAACCTCTGCCTCCCGGGTTCAGGTGATTCTCCTGCCTCAGCCTCCCGAGTAGCTGAGATTACAGGCGCGTGCCACCACACCAGGCTAATTTTTGTATTTTTAATAGAGATGGGGTTTCACCACGTTGGCCAGGTTGGTCTTGAACTCCTGACCTTGTGATCCGCCCGCCTCAGCCTCCCAAAGTGCTGGGATTACAGGTGCGAGCCACCGTGCCTGGCCAAGAGATGACATTTATTGTGTGTGACAGTATCTTCGAGATT
Source organism: Homo sapiens (assembly GCF_000001405.40). Taxonomy (NCBI): domain Eukaryota; kingdom Metazoa; phylum Chordata; class Mammalia; order Primates; family Hominidae; genus Homo; species Homo sapiens. Next base: position 43,114,642 of record NC_000022.11, read on the forward strand.
AGAGGCTCCCTTTCATGTGAGGGCAAAGAGAGCTACCTGATTCCAGGAGGAGCTGAAATTCCCTGTGCAGACAATGGCGCATCATGAAGATAAATCCGAGCTCGGACCGTGAGGTGGTCAGCACGGGTGTGCGCCTCGCAGAGCAACAGGCTCACAGAATGAGAGCTGCCTCTTAGTGGGCACTTACTGCATACCATGCATGCAGCATTTCACCTCCTTCTCAGGGCTACATCTGCCCATGGGGCTTTCCCTCCTGCCCTTTAACAGAAGGTGATACTGTCCAGTCCAGGGTCTCCCAGCCAGGAACAGCCTGCCATCGTGAGCCCAGCACCAGAGTAACCCCTTCCCTCATTCTCAGGATTTTGCAGTGAACTCTCAGGCTGTCTGCATCCTCTCACCGGCTTTCACTGGGTCCCTGCTCTGTTCTGGGGCCATGCAGGTTCCCGACTGGCTGGGGCAGACACACAGGTAAACATTTAACGAGACCTTGATGGGCTGAGTGCCCAATCCAGGTCTGTTTACCCAAGGTGCTGGGACAACACAGATGAGGAGCATTTAATTCTGTCCTGGGGAGGGTGGGGAGGAAGTGACTTGTGCCTGAGCCCCAAGGAAGCAGTGAGTCCCCCGTGCCTGCCTGGGGGATGTTGGTAACAGAGGGAGGATGTAAAGGAGGAGCTGGGGTGTGAAAGGGCTGGGTGCAAGTTCATAGGGGAGACCCAAACACTGAAGTGGAGCCCAGGGGCCGTACCTGCCTCTCAAGCCTCAGGGTCGGGGCCAGGGTGAGCAGTCTTCATATTCTTCAGCCTCAGCATTTCAGAACTTGTTTTATTTTTTTTTTGAGATGGAGCCTTACTCCTGTCGCGGGGGCTGGAGTGCAGTGGCGCGATCTCGGCTCACTGCAACCTCCACCTCCTGGGTTCAAGTGATTCTCCTTCCTCAGCCTCCCTAGTAGCTGGGATTACAGGCGTGCGCCACCACGCCTGGCTAGTTTTTGTATTTTTAGTAGAGATGAGGTTTCGCCATGTTGGCCAGGATGGTTGTGAACTCCTGACCTCAGTTGATCCACCTGCCTCAACCTCCCAAAGTGCTAGGATTATAGGTGTGAGCCACCGCGTCTGGCCTATTTTTTATTTTTGATTGAGTCTTGCTCTGTTGCCCAGGTTAGAGTGCGGTGGCACGATCTTGGCTCACTGCAACCTCTGCCTCTCAGGTTTAAGTGATTCTCCTGCCTTAGTCTCCCGAGTAGCTTGGACTACAGGTGCCCGCCACCACGCCCGGCTAACTTTGGTATTTTTAGTAGAGACACTGTTTCACCATGTTGACCGGGGGGTCTTGAACTCCTGACCTTAGTTGATCCATCTGCCTTGACCTCCCAAAGTGCTGGGATTACAGGAGGGAGCCACCGCGCCCCGGCCCAGAACTTGTTTTAAATATGAACTTTTGAAACTTAACAACTGTAGGCCCAGGTGGTGGCTTGGCATTCTCTGCTTCCTTCATGGTGATAAAAAGGCACAGGCTTCCCCTTTTTGGGGTCATTTCAAAATCAGTCAAGAGAATTATTAGTCTGTTAGACTTCCTCTACGGTTAGGATTATTTTTATAGGTGTTCGAACAGGAAAGGACATAGAATAAAATCTCCTCCCCTAACTTATTGATACAGGGTCTCACTCTGTCGCCCAGGCTGGAGTGCAGTGGCGCAGTCACAGCTCACTGCAGCCTCAACCTCCTGGGCTCAAGTGATCCTTTCGCCTTGTGCTCTTAAAGTGCTGGGAGCCTCCAAAAGGCTAAGCTGTGACGTTGGGTAGGTTACATGTATTAAATGCATTTTTTTTTTTTTGAGACAGTTTTGTTCTTGTCACCCAGGCTGGAGTGTAATGGCATAATCTCGGCTCACTACAACCTCTGCCTCCCAGGTTCAAGTGATTCTCCTGCCTCAGCCTCCCGAGTAGCTGGGATTACAGGCGCCCACCCCCACGCCCGGCTAATTTTTGTATTTTTAGTAGAGACAGAGTTTCACCGTGTTAGCCAGAATGGTTTCGATCTCCTGACCTCGTGATCCGCCCGCCTCGGCCTCCCAAAGTGCTGGGATTACAGGCGTAAGCCACCGTGCCCGGCCTGGTGAAACCCCGTCTTTACTAAAAATACAAAATTAGCCAGGTGTGGTGGCGTGCACCTGTAGTCCCAGGTACTTGGGAAGTTGAGGTGGAAAGATCACCTGAGCCCAGGGAGGTGGAGACTACAGTGAGCCATGTTCATGCCACTGCACTCCAGCCTGGGTGACAGAGAGACCCTGTCTCAAAATAGTAATACTCCATATTGGGCCTCTCACAGGGGAATCTTGGGGGGAGCTGCAGCTCAGGGTGACTCCCATCTTGTCACTAGCCAGGTGACCCCTTCATTCTGGAGCCTTAGCTCTGAAAGCCGCAGGTGGGGGTGCCGTTTCAGATGCCCCTTTTCCATTTCAAAGGCTCTGATTCTAGATCTTGAAGCCGGATGCGGCACTGGCACTTGGCTTCAGTTTCCACTGTGACGGACGGAGGTCTCCCAGGCCCAGCCCAGGCAGCCAAGCCCATCCTGGAATCAGAACACGCTGAGCACATTTTGTAGGGTGGCACCTTTTTATCCAAGTTACTAGCTACACATCAGTGTTTAAAGAGAAAAAAGTGAGCTGTCTTTTTTTTTTCTTGAAACTTGAGGAAACAAGGTACATACTACGGATTTTTTTTTTTCTTTTTCTTTTTTTTTTTTGAGACAGTCTCACTCTGTCGCCCAGACCGGAGTGTGGTGGCATGATCTCGGCTTACTGAAAGCTCTGCCTCCAGGGTTCAAGCCATTCTCCTGCCTCAGCCTCCCGAGTAGCTGGGACTACAGGCGCCCGCCACCACGCCCAGCTAATTTTTTTTGTATTTTTAGTAGAGACAGGGTTTCACTGTGTTAGCCAGGATGCTCTCCATCTCCTGACCTTGTGATCTGCACGCCTCAACCTCCCAAAGTGCTGGGATTACAGGCGTGAGCCACCGCGCCCGGCCCATATTTTTTTTTTTTGAGATGGAGTTTTTCGCTCTTGTCGCCCAGGTTGGAGTGTAATGGTGTGATCTCGGCTCACTGCAAACTCCTCCTCCCAGGTTCAAGCGATTCTCCTGCCTCAGCCACCCGAGTAGCTGGATTACAGGCGCGCACCACCACACCTGGCTAATTTTTTTTGAAACGGGGTAGAGACGGAGTTTTATTACCATGTTAGTCAGGCTGGTCTTGAACTCCTGACCTCATGATCTGCCCACCTTGGCCTCCCAAAGTGCTGGGATTACAGGTGTAAGCCACCGCGGCTGGCCCATTTCATATATTTTTAAAATTTTTTATTGTTAATTTATTTTTAGAGAGGGGGTCTCGTTGTATTGCCCAGGCTGGTCTTGAACTGGGCTCGTGCGACGTGCCCGCCTCGGCCTCCCGAAGGGCTGTGATGACAGCACAGCGGTGCCTGTGATCTATGGCTTCAATTTTTCAAGGCTGCCAGGTCCATGCAGGGGTGTGTGTGGGATGCATCCCTAGAAATCAAAGGTCATGTGCGTGTGTGACTGGTGGATGCTGATGGTCACACTACCCTCCAGAAAGGCAGCAACATGTTCAGTCCACCGTGGCGTCCTGAGCTGTGAGTGGCCTCTGGTCTCCTCTCTTCTAAGGCTGTTGATTGTGTTAACCAGCTTTTATGGAGCCCCTGCTAGGTGGTGGAAAATGGGCAGTAGTGTATGTTTTCATCCTCTCAGCAGCCCTGGAGGCCCGGCTGTTTCTGCAAGGCTCAGAGGTGAGCTGGTTGTTCTGCCTCACACAGCAGGGGCCGAGCAGGGGGTGGAACTGAGGTCCAGCCTGGCTGCAGGCTCAGGGCGTTTCCTGCTGGGTTACACTGGAGTTGTGTGCGCTCCAAGGGCTTTGTGCCACCCCACCCTCATGGTCCAGGGCCAGGCTGTGACTGGGAGGGTGGCACGTGGAAGACTGGACCAGGGTTTTCTAGCTGGGCCCACTCAGCTGGCCCTCCCTGTGACCCCAGCGTGGCCCCTGACCCTCTCGGTTTGCCTGCCTGTGAAACAGGAAGTGTCAGATCCCGCCTGCTTGGCTTTGACAGGACTGGGCGAGGTCATGAGAGTCTGAGGGTCCCTACCAGGAGTTCGACCTCATCCTCAGGTCCAGCCCCATCCACCTCTGCCCCCAACCCCGCTCTGACACTCCTGCAGCCTCGGCCCTCGAACACCTGCTGAGGGCTGAGCAGAACACATCTCTACTTGCTTGTGCTTCTGGGCAACCTGGGAGGGGCTTGGGAGGTAGATGGCGTTTCCCCATCTTCCAGATGAGCCATAGGCGAGCTGTCGAGTGCAGAGCTGTTCACCAAATGTAGGCTGCTCTGTCCAGAACCTGCCCTCCCTCCCACTCGGAGCCCTGCAGGTGCCCTCAAGGCCGTGGGTGTGGTACTCTTTTCTGCACATACTAGATTTGCATCCTAACCTCTTAGGGTAAAATAGGGCTTCTGACTGGCGCCTGGTGTTTCCACTGGTGAGTGTGTAGGAGGCTAAGTGCGGGCTGTAGCCTGGGTGGGGACACATGGCTAGGTGTGTCTTCCTTCACCAAAGAAGGGTTTCAACTACTCATTTGCAAGTTTGCTGGAAAAAAAAAGATAATAAAAACCAGTCCAGTTTCCTGTATCTGCAGCTGCAGTGACCTCACAGTGGGTCCTCTGGGAATAGGTTGCCTTCATGTCTTCAGTCAACAAACATATGTCTGCTCTATGCCAGGCCTTGGGCTGACAACCAGAAACTGATAAGAGCAGCAGCCCCTCTCTTAGCGGTTTACTCTGTGCCGGATCATTTCATCCCCACAACAGTCCTGTGCAATAGGTGTTACTAGTATCTCCATTCTAATTTTTTTTTTTTCTGATATGGAGTCTTGCCCTGTAGCCCAGCCTGGAGTGCAGTGGTCAGCTGGAGCCAGAGGGGAGCAGAGACAGGGGCTGCAGGACCCCCAGGAGGCCCCCAAGCAGACTCTGAGGGTCCAAGAAGGTGATGCCCGAATAGGCCAGCCTCATACCCATCCTCTCAGTACTTTGGGAGGCCCAGGCGGGAGTTGAAGCCAGGAGTTCCGAGACAAGCCTGGGCAACAAAGCAAGACCCTATCTCTACAGCAATTCTATAAAAATGAGCCAAGTGCAGTGGTACATACCTGTCGAGTTACCCTGGAGGCTGAGGTGGGATGATTACCTGAGCCCAGGAGTTTGAGGCTGTAGTGAGCATGATCAGGCCACTGCACTCCAGCCTGGGCAAACGGGTGAGACCCTGTCTGTGAAAAAAATAATAATAAAATTTAATTTTTAAAAAAGGACCAATAGGCGTAGGCATGGGCCGGTCTGAGGTTGGCTGGTGAGCTCTGCACATTTGAAGACTTTGGAGGCATGGCAGGACCAGGCACCATCCATGGAAAGCATACTTGAGTGTGGTTAGCGCGGGAACCAAGATTGGGGTGGCAGGGCCACAGGGGGAGGGCCTGTTAGTGGATGTGGCACAACCCCCCACTTGTTTTTGAGACAAGTCTTGCTCTGTCACCCAGGTTGGAGTGCAATGGCGCGGTCTCGGCTCACTGCATATTCTGCCTCCTGGATTCAAGTGATTCTCCTGCCTCAGCCTCCCAAGTAGCTGGGATTATAGGCGAGCGCCACCACACCTGGTTAATTTTTGTATTTTTAGTGGAGATGGCGTTTCACCATGTTAGCCAGGCTAGTCTCAAACTCCTAAGCTCAGGTGATCCACCTGCCTCCACCTCTCAAAGTGCTGGGATTACAGGCGTGAGCCGCACTGCACCAGGCCAGGTCTAGGGAGCCGAACAGAGCAGTGACAGGGTCAGGGTTGAGGCTGCTACCTTGAGATTAGGTTGGAGAGAGCTCCACTGAAGGCTGGAGACCAGTAAGGCATTCAGAGCTGGTGCCAGGTAGGAGCTGACAGGACTGGGCCTCCCTTGGGCTGGTGGGGTGGCCAGGAGAGACCAGAGCAGGAGGTCGCTGCTGCAAGGACCCTCCTGGGCAGGCTCCCCACCTTCCGCTCCCTGGCTCCACACTTTTCCCATGCAGATCTGGGCCCTAAGGCCAGCCTAGGCCCAGTTGGTGATGGGATCTTTGCCATTCATATCAAGTCAATCTGAGGGCCTGGGCCCAGAGGCCAGATGGTTAAAGGTTCAGATTAGGTCCCTTCTTTGTGGTAGAGGGTAATGGGTATTTAATAAATTAATCCAAAGTGCTGTAATCCCAGTACTTTGGGAGGCTGAGGCGGGTGGATCACTTGAGATCAGGAGTTGAGACCAGCCTGGCCAACATGGTAAAACCCCGACTCTACTAAAAATACAAAAATTAGCCGGGTGTGGTGGCATGTGCCTGTAATCCCAGCTACCTGGGAGTCTGAGGCAGGAGAATCACTTGAACCTGGGAGGCGGAGGTTGCACCTGAGCTGAGATCACACCACTGCACTCCAGCCTGGGCAATAGAGTGAGACTGTCTCAAAAACAAACAAACAAACAAACAAAAAAACACTACCACCAACAAAAACACAATAGATGGGGAAACTGAGGCTGGTGCAGGAAGGGTTGGGCTAGGGTATCAACCTAAGGTGAGATGTGGTCCTGGGTCTACTCAGATGGGGAGGTTGGCAGGGTGGGGAGCTTGAAAGGGTCTTGCAGGCAGAGCGTGGGTGACTGACTCCTCAGGTAGGCCTGACCTGCACTCTGCTGCAGACCCTCGGCAGCGCAGCCCACTCTGGTGGCTGGGGCCTTCTTCCTATCTGGCGCCTAAGGATTCTCGGAATGCCTGCTGGGTAAGGGGGCTGTGGGCACAGTGGGTCAAGGCGAGGCTCGGTGCAGCTCACAGCTCAGCTCACAGTGAGGTGAGGTTCCACTGTTGCTCTGGCTTTGCGGGGCGTGGAGGTACTGGGGTCTCCAGGAGCACAAAGCAGGAGACTGCCTTTTCGAGGGGAAGGGAAAGGGGGGAAAAGCAAACAAGGGCTGGAGCTGCTTTCCTAGGGAAATGCCATTTGCATAGACACCCAAGGCAGCTGGAAGTTCTGGACACAGTTCTTCTAATGCCAGCTTAACACGCACACTGCTGGCCGTCTATACAATGTAAAACATCTCATCTGTGAAACCTTATTTTTTCTTTTTGAGTCAGAATCTAGCTCTGCCTCCCAGGTTCAAGCTGGGATTACAGGCGTATGTCACCACGCCTGGCTAATTTTGTATTTTTATTAGAGGCGGGGTTTTACCATGTTGGCCAGGCTGGTCTCAAACTCCTGACCTCAGGTGATCCGCCTGTCTCAGCCTCCCAAAGTGCTGGGATTACAGGCGTGAGCCACCGCACCCGGCCCATCCATCTCCCTTGAATGCTGAAAGCAAGTCGTGAGCACACACTTGTGCCTAGGCCTGTGGGAGGGCGGCGCTGTGGGTCCTGCCTGCCGTCAGTTTTCTCTCTCCTGGGGGTCAGGGAGACTTGGAGCTCTGTCCCTTCTTGGCTTAGTCATGAACCTCTCTAAGCCTCAGTGTCCTGTGTGAACAAACAGCTCAGTGAGATGGTGGGAGGGCGGAGTGTCCTGTCAGCAGGCATGAGGAATTAAAAATTAAGAACACCCAGGGCATTATGGTAAGAAAATAATGAGTTGAAGCATAAAGGTAATGGTTAGTGCCAACTTCCTCCCAGCGTGCCAGGCCCTGTTCAAAGTACATGAAGGAGTTCCTTATTTCGTCTTCCCAATAGCCCAGGGCGGGGCTCTCAGACCATGAAACCCATTTCACAGATGAAGAAATTGACACACTGCTGCTAACTGCCAGAGCCGGGCTTTGAACTAGGCCATTAGATTTCCGTGCCACAGTCATCGTCATTATCGTCATCTACATCTAAGGCTGTTTGGTACCCTGTAGGGTAAATGTGGGGTACATGATGGTGAATCAGGTCGCAGAACCCTTCTCTGCCATCATGATGAAACATGTACTGGCATGGGATTCGCAATGATCATAGTTAGGAAGGCCTTTGGTGGCAAAGAAGAGGAAACTCAGTGAATGGTGATGAGGACACATTTGGGTTCATTTTTCTTACACACAGTTGGAGGAGACAGCTCAGTGACACCCTCAGGCCTGGCCGCTCTCTGCCTCCCCACTCTGCTCTTCTTGGTCAGCCACTGCAGCTCCATCTTTGAAGGAGCTGCCCTGGCTGTGTCTACTCCCTGGCATCCAACCCCTGCCTCCAGCCTCTGAGCCCTCATTGACCAGAACTGGGTTACATGGTTGTCACCAGCTGCAAGGGATGCTGGGAAGCTGAGGGAGAGGAGGGCCATGGTTGGCTTAGATGAATGAGGATGCAGGGCCACCCCGAAGAAAATTGGGGTTCTATCAGCAAGGAGCCAGGTGGAATGGATATCGGAGAGGTAAATAGCATCTGCCAGTAAAGAAGGCTGTAAGACACTGTATGGGGTGATCCCATTTGTGAAGAAGGATGTGTGATGCGCACAAGTGTTTAGGAAAAACACTAGAAGAATTAGCGATGGTCTCTCTGGGAATGGGGATTGTGATACGTTTTTCTCATGCTGCCTCTCTGCCTTTCTTCTCAAGAGAAACAGCAGACACCAAAGAACAGGTGTAGCCTTCTGTTAAGTGGTACAGAGGAATCGCCCTGCAGCCTGGCCTCTGTCCCCTGTGCTGACAGCAGGTGCCTGGGTTTTCTGCTTTGACAGGTTCTTGAGGGCTGGTGTCCGAGGAGAACTTCTAATATTTATTTATACTCTGATTTTGTTTCACAAAGAAGAAAAAGGCTGGGCGTGGTGGCTCATGTCTGTCGTCCCAGCACTTTGGGAGGCCGAGGTGGGGTGGATCACTTTGAGGTCAGGAGTTCAAGACCAGCCTGGCCAACATGATGAAACCCCCGTCTTTACTAAAAATACAAAATAATTAGCCAGGCATAGCTCATGCCTGTAGTCCCAGCTACTCGGGAGGCTGAGGCAGGAGAATTGCTTGAACCCAGGAGGCAGAGGTTGCAGTGAGCCAAGATTGTGCCACTGCCCTCCAGCCTCCAGCAAGACTCAGTATCCAAAAACAAAGAAAGAAAGAAAGGGCCCTTATGAATCATCTTCAAGTTCCTCCCTTCCAAGAACAGAGATGCTAGGCGACTTGCCCAGAGGCACACAGCCAGCATGTAGCAGGATTCATGCCTGTGGGAGCTGGGGTTGGGGGATATTGACGGCTTTAGCGGATCAAAAGAGCTGGTGAGTAGGGCTATACAATCTGGGGGTCATCCTGTGAGAGAGCCCCCAGACTGCTCAGTTCTTAGGGGTCCAGTCATATGCTGTCTTTTTGCCCCAGAGGAGAAATGTCTGAAGTAAGACCCCTCTCCAGAGACATCTTGATGGAGACCCTCCTGTATGAGCAGCTCCTGGAACCCCCGACCATGGAGGTTCTTGGCATGACTGACTCTGAAGAGGACCTGGACCCTATGGAGGACTTCGATTCTTTGGAATGCATGGAGGGCAGGTAGGTCCCCATGGCCTGCCCTACCCCCTGCCTGATAGTGACTTCAGGGGTGGGCTGGATGAGCAGACATTCTATGAGCGGGGGAGCGCCTGCAGATGCCTCCCAGGCAGGGCCTCCGAGAGGAAGATTTCCCGGATGTGGGCATGGAGGCTTCTGCCCTGGGAGCGGCTTCACTTTGCTGCCCCACCCTCCCCTGATACCAGCTCACAGACCCCTGGACAGCCAGCATGTTCACAGTCTCAAGATGGACCTGGGGCCCCTGGCTGTCAAAATGGCACAGTGTTTGGGCCTCAGGGAGCTAGACAGGCCCTTAGCGACCTGCTGAGGACATCAGGGCCTCTTGAAGGAGGTGACTCTGTTGCCAGAAAGGGGACCCGATCCAGATCCCAAGAGAGGGTTCTTAGATCTCAAGCAAGAAAGAATTTGGGCCACACGCAGTGGCTCGCGCCTGTAATCCCAGCACTTAGGGAGGCTGAGGCAGGCGGATCACTTGAGGTCAGGAGCTCGAGACCAGCCTGGCCAACATGGCAAAACCCTGTCTCTACTAAAAATACAAAAAGTAGCTGGGCCTGGTGGCACATGTCTGTAGTCCCAGCTAGTCGGGAGGCTGAGGCAGGAGAATCTCTTGAACCCAGGAGGCAGAGGTTGCAGTGACCCAAGGTTGCAAAAATGCACTCCAGCCTGGGCAACAGAGCGAGACTCCATCTCAAAAAAAGAAAACCTACTCTATAGGCAGAGCAGCGGCATGGGCTGCTCAACTGAATATACTTATAGTTATTTCCTGATTACATGCTAAACAAGGGGTGGATTATTCATGAGTTTCCGGGTAAGGGGTGGGCAGTTCCCGGAACCGAGAATTCCTCCTCCTTTTAGACAATATAGGGCAACTTCCTGACGTTGCCGTGGCATTTGTAAACTGTCGTGGCACTGGTGAGTGACTCCAACATGCTAATATAGTTGGTGCACAATGAATAGTGAGGATGACTGGAGGTCACTTTTGTGCCCATCTTGGCTTTGGTGGGCTTTGGCTGGCGTCTTTGCCGAATCCTGTTTTATCAGCAGGGTCTTTGTAACCTGTATCTTATGCTGATGTCCTATCTCATCCTGTGACTTAGAATTCCTAGCCTCCTGGGAATGCAACCCAGTAGGTCTCAGCCTTTTGTTACCCAGCCCCTAATCAAGATGGAGTCGCTCTGGTTCAACTGCCTCTGACGGCTCTCATTTTAGAAAACCAGAACCGGGCCGGGCGCCGTGGCTCATGCCTGTAATCCCAGCACTTTGGGAGGCTGAGGTGGGCGGATCACCTGAGGTTGGGAGTTCGAGACTAGCCTGGCCAACATGGTGAAACCCAACCTCTACTAAAAATACAAATGTTACCCAGGTATGGGGCCGGGGGTGGGGGGATGGGCGCTGGTAGTCCCAGCTACTCAGGAGGCTGAGGCAGGAAAATCACTTGAACCCGGGACGTGGAGGTTGCAGTGAGCCCTGAGATTGCACCACTGCACTCCAGCCTGGGTAACAGAGTAAGACTCCGTTTCACAAAAAAAGAGAAAGAGAAAAGAAAGAAAGAAAAAAGAAAGAAAACCAGAACCTATGGAAGAGCCTGAGGAGGCCATGCAGTTCCTGGTCCCGGCTTCAAAGAATCACTGAGGCATGAAGAAGGGATCTTCCTTGGACTGACAAGGACCCTGGAGGCAGCAGGATTTGCCTGGGGTTTCAGGGGCCAAGGTCCAGTAGGACCTGACCCTTGCACTCTGCCAACTGCTCCCAGCTATGTCCAGCACACGGCAGCATACCCAGATGTCCAGGCACACCCGGCCATCCCAGCGGCAGGAAGGACCTGCACTTTTTTTTTTTTTTTTTGAGACAGAGTCTCTGTCACCCAGGCTGGAGTGCAGTGGCATGATCTTGGCTCACTGCAACCTCCACCTCCCGGGTTCAAGTGATTTTCCTGCCTCAGCCTCCTGAGTAGCTGGGAGTGCAGGCGTGCACCAGCATGCCCGGCTTTTTTTTTTTTTTTGAGACGGAGTCTCGCTGTGTCGCCCAGGCTGGAGTACAGTGGCATGATCTCTGCTCACCACAAGCTCCACCTCCCTGGTTTACGCCATTCTCCTGCCTCAGCCTCCTGAGTAGCTGGGACTACAGGCGCCTGCCACCACACCTGGCTAATTTTTTGTATTTTCAGTAGAGACAGGGTTTCATCATGTTAGCCAGGATGGTCTCGATCTCCTGACCTCGTGATCTGCCTGCCTCGGCCTCCCAAAAAGTGCTGGGATTACAGGCGTGAGCCACCACACCCGGCCAGGACTGGCACTTTCATTCTTCCCCTGGTACAGATGAGGAACGTGAAGGCCCAGGAGCAGCTGACCTCAGTAGTTTCTACCCTGAGCCTGGAAGAGAATGGTCAGGCCTGACCTGGGCTGTTGCTTTCTGCTGGGGAATCCTGTCTCTGATGTGGCACCTCCCACAGGCCAGGGACCAGCTCCATGTTCCACAGGATTCTTTTCTGCTCAGGATTTTTTTTTTCAGCCTCAGGATTTTTAGTCATTAAGGATTTTAGAACTGGAGGCACCTGTCCATTAATGGACAAGGTTGGAGGACATGAAGCCTGGGGCAGTATTTTCCTGAGGTTTCCCAGGGTAACAGAAGGTAGGACCACAGCCCCCAACCCTGATTGCCAGCCCACACCTGTACCCCTCCCACCCGCATCCCCTCCAAGTAGGGAGTGTAGGCCCAGGGCATTGGCAGGTCAGGTGGGTGGGGCCAGGGCCCAGGGCCGGCCTCAGCTCAGGGCCCCTAGGAGTCCCACTTCCCTGGGAGTTCCCCCGGTGTAGTCACTGGGATGGAATGCACACAGGTCCCTGGTAGAGGCCCAGACCAGCAAGCTGGGAGGGTGGGGAGTGTCTTAGTCTTTGTGTGGGAGTGAATGCGGGTGGGGTGTAGGATCAAGGATGTGGTTTAGTGGGGGGCCTACTAGGGGCTTCTTAGTCCCCCCATTTGGAGAGGGGTGGTGCCAGCAGGGCTGGTTTCAGGATTGGGACCAGGACACAGGTCTTAGAGCCCCCTCACCTCCCACAAAGGAAGGTAAGCTGCAACCCCTGTGGGAAGGGGGCTCAAGGGGGCTCAGCCATCCGGGGGACTCAGCACCACCAGACCTGTCCATTCCCCTTGGTCAGCCTCAGCCATCCGGGGGCTCAGCACCCCCAGACCTGCCTGTTCCCCTTGTCCACCATTTCCACCAAAGCCCACAGGTGGGCCTGCCCCAGGATTCTTTTTGAAATAGCTTGCACCTCTGGGGCCACCCACGGATGGGACCTCATGGGTATCTCTGAATCCAAGTGGGAGCCGGAGGAGGGATACAGGGAGGCCCACTCACTGCCTGCCCCAAATCTGACACCATCTCTTATCCTCTGGGCCACTCCCAGCTGCACACAATCCGTTGGCTGGGTGGGTCCAGGTGCATGTGGCCTCCACGGCACAGCCACACCCGACTCCTGTGTGTGCTCCCTGCAGTGACGCATTGGCCCTGCGGCTGGCCTGCATCGGGGACGAGATGGACGTGAGCCTCAGGGCCCCGCGCCTGGCCCAGCTCTCCGAGGTGGCCATGCACAGGTAGCCGGCCTATGCCCTATGCCTCTACACCTGGGGAGGGGCCCTGGGCGGTGGGTGGAGGCCCTGAACACAGCACAGGGCTGGGCCCTGAGGAAGCTCTGTGGGGGATGTGCCTTGACACTGGGGCTATACTGAAACCCTTGGCTGCTTCCCGCACCTCTCCTGGGAGCCCCCAGCTCCTGGCACTCGCCCCCTGCCACCTGTCCCTGGCATTCCTGGGCAACAAAGCAGAGCCCAGGGCCCTTTTCTCTCTCGCCGTCCTCATTGAGCCCAGATGGTACATTTCCACCGTGGTCTTAAGAGGGGGTGCTACGTGAGCTCGGATCCTAGATCCTGGGGGCTGGGCCTCTCAGCGAGTCTCCGGTGGGGGAATAGAGTGGGCAGTGGCTTGTGAGGGCCCTGTAGAATGGGGGTTTATTTTCCACGTGGCCAGCTCTGGAAGACAGGGCCAAACACCCGGTGGGCTGGCGGGCGGCTGGCTGGCGGAGGAAGCAGGAAGTTGGAATGAATTTGACCACAAACAGTCCATACCACGCGGCCCCTGCAGGTGGAGGCGCCCACGGAAAGGGCCCCGGGTGGCTGTGGGGTGGGAGGGCACAGGCCCCTGCTCCCCACAGCTGTGATGGTGTCATCTAAGTACAGGCTGCCCCTACCTGCTCCTGCAGTAATGGCTTTGTCCCCCCATCCTCTTTGTCTATAGCCTGGGTCTGGCTTTCATCTACGACCAGACTGAGGACATCAGGGATGTTCTTAGAAGTTTCATGGACGGTTTCACCACACTTAAGGAGAACATAATGAGGTTCTGGAGATCCCCGAACCCCGGGTCCTGGGTAAGAGCCTTGAGATCCCTGACCCTGACTTGCGCTGCGGCCAGTGGGGGCTGTCAGAGCCGCTCCTTGGGGCGCCACAGTCCCCACCACTCCGTATCATCATCTGTGTCACCTGTGTCCACATCTGCCTGATCCCATGGGCTTTTGGGTTTGAGATGCCTGGTTCTGAGTGCACAAACCAGTGCATGGTCCTGGGTCTCCCTCTGGTCCGAGAGCCTTCACCTGGCAGGCAGGACTCCCGTCTCCTGGCCAGGGCAGGGGCCTCCCTGAGCAGCCTTCCTGGTAGCCTGGTCCCATGGTGTCCACTCGGCACCGCCCACCACAAGGGCAGCTGACTGCCCTCACCTGTGCCCACCGGGTGTCTTTGCCTGTGTCCCGCAGACTGGCAGGCCCAGGCCACGCTGGCCTCTCTGGCCACGTCCTCAGGGCCACTTTCCCCCTCTCCTGAACTCCTTCCTTCTCTGGTCCCCTCGAGCTCCTTCCCAGTCCCCACCCTCCTGGGCTTCCCCTTGGCACTCCGCTGTCACCCGTCTGGCCCCATTGCCGGGGCCTGCCCCGAGCCTGACTCCTCTGCTTTGCTCCCACAGGTGTCCTGCGAACAGGTGCTGCTGGCGCTGCTGCTGCTGCTGGCGCTGCTGCTGCCGCTGCTCAGCGGGGGCCTGCACCTGCTGCTCAAGTGAGGCCCCGGCGGCTCAGGGCGGGGCTGGCCCCACCCCCATGACCACTGCCCTGGAGGTGGCGGCCTGCTGCTGTTATCTTTTTAACTGTTTTCTCATGATGCCTTTTTATATTTAAACCCCGAGATAGTGCTGGAACACTGCTGAGGTTTTATACTCAGGTTTTTTGTTTTTTTTTTATTCCAGTTTTCGTTTTTTCTAAAAGATGAATTCCTATGGCTCTGCAATTGTCACCGGTTAACTGTGGCCTGTGCCCAGGAAGAGCCATTCACTCCTGCCCCTGCCCACACGGCAGGTAGCAGGGGGAGTGCTGGTCACACCCCTGTGTGATATGTGATGCCCTCGGCAAAGAATCTACTGGAATAGATTCCGAGGAGCAGGAGTGCTCAATAAAATGTTGGTTTCCAGCAGTCTCTGGTCCTCTCTGGGGGGTTGGCAGCACCAGCACGGGCTTCCTCTCGCCCCAGGGAGGCACACTGTGTTGGTGGGGAGGGCAGGGCCTGTGTGCTCCTAATCAGATCCTTCCCTGCAAAAGGGGACCGCAAATGCTGCCTTGGTTTGGCCCGACGGTTTGCCTTCTCCCTTGTCCCGGTCTGTGGCCTAAAATCCACTGTTGGGGGTTATTTCCTTTGGGCTTTCAGTTCCTCTTTAGGGGATGCCTGCCTCTCCCTGCACAGACTCCTCACCACAGGGATGCAGCCGTGGCTCCGCTCACAGGGAGAGGTGTGGTGGGGATTGGGGAGCAGGACAAGGGGCACCAGGGGCAGGAGGGCCAGGACCCTGCTTTGTACCTTTGTAGGCTTGGTACCTGCCCTGGGCCTTGCCTCGTGCCATTTGTAGACCCCACCAGGCCTCCCTCCCAGGACATCGGCTCTGTGTCTGCCCTCCACCCCAAATGTCAAAGCTGGGCTGGGCCGGCCACCATTCTCCAGCCCCCAACCCCCCTCATCCCCAGAGCTGGGAGATGCAGCTGTTCATACCTCCCAGGCTGGCTGGGCAGACCCTGCATCCTGCTCACTCCTCCCTCCATCCTGGCCTCCAAACCAAAGGGGACCTCCAATAGGCTTTCCTGCCTCCTTATGTCTTCTCTCCCCAAGGTCTGGCCCTTTGCAGCCTTTTTTTTTTTTTTTTTTTTTTTTTTTTTTTTTTTTTAATTAAGAGACTTGGCTTTCCTGTGTTGCCCAGGTCGGCCACCAACTCCTGGGCTCAAGCAGTCCTCCCACCTCAGCCTCCCAAATAGCTGGGTCTGCAGGCACACACACCACTGCACACAGCCCTTTGCAGCTTTGAGGCCTGACTTCACACACCGTTTTTTTTTTGTTTGTTTTTGTTTTTTGTTTTTGAGATGGAGTCGGCCGGGCTGGAGTGCACTGGCGCGATCTCGGCTCACTGCAACCTCTGCCTCGTGGGTTCAAGCGATTCTCCTGACAGCCTTCCGAGTAGCTGAGACTACAGGCATGCACCATCACGCCCAGCTAATGTTTGTATTTTTATTTTGAGATGGGAGTTTTGTGATGGTTGCCCAGGTTGGAGTCCAGTGGCTTGATCTTGGATCACTGCAACCTCCACCTCCTGGTTCAAGTGATTCTCCTGCCTCAGCCTCCTGAGTAGCTGGGATCACAGGCATGTGCCACCAAGCCTGGCTAATTTTGTATGTTTAGTAGAGGTGGGTTTCGCCATGTTGGCCAGGCTGGTCTTGACTCCTGGCCTCAGGTGATCCGCCCACCTCGGCCTCCCAAAGTGCTGGGGTTGCAGGCCTGAGCCACCATGCCTGGCCAATTTTTGTATTTTTAGTAGAGATGTAGTTTCACCATGTTGGCCAGGCTGGTCTTGAACTCCTGACTTCAGGTAATCCACCCGCCTCAGCCTCCCAAAGTGCTGCAATTGCATGTGTGAGCCACCGT
Organism: Homo sapiens; assembly: GCF_000001405.40. Taxonomy (NCBI): domain Eukaryota; kingdom Metazoa; phylum Chordata; class Mammalia; order Primates; family Hominidae; genus Homo; species Homo sapiens. The sequence continues at coordinate 43,131,207 of NC_000022.11, forward strand.
GCTTGGCTGGAGACCACTCTTGTTGGCCAGAGGTGGGCGGGCTTGTGAGTGAAATGTAAAGGCATCAGGCCAGGCCAGGATGTGCTCAGCAAAGACAGGCTGAGCCCTGATCTGGACAGAATGTTGTTCCATGGAGAACACTTTTTTTTCACAATGGAGTCTCGCTCTGTCACCCAGGCTGGAGTGCAGTGGTGTGATCTCAGCTCACTGCAACCTCCGCCTCCCAGGTTCAAGCGATTCTCCTGCCTCAGCCTCTCAAGTAGCTGGGATTACAGGTGCGCACTGCCATGCCCAGCTGATTTCTCTTACCCCTTCATGGGCTTGGATCTTGCCCCAGGCCATGAGGACAAGGGTAGTGCAGAGAGAGCAAGTGGTAAGGCCTGCTGTCCCTTACTGCTGTCCTCCTGGAGAGGCAGACCCCTCCCTTATTTGGGATTTTGTTCCTCAGAGCTGAACGTGGCCATCCTTCCTGCAGCGCTGCAAGAGAACCTGGACGTGGAGAGCCTGGGTCTCCTGAGGCTGCCATTGCTTGAAGCTTTCAGGGAAGGAGCTTCAAACATGCTCAGTACTTAAAATAATCAAGTTCTCTGTGCAATACAGATTTAAGACATAGTTCTTTCCAAAGAACTGTCGCACTCCCAGGGACGCGCATGCAGGCTGCAGTGGGAATCACATCGCATCGGCTTTTGTGTTTTCAGCCAGGGCTTCGAGACATGCAGGGTGTCTGGGGTCACAATGCCTGGAAGTGCTGCTGGTGTGTAATGGCCCGGCACCAGGGCAGCTGCCCAAGAGTGGGACATTCCCATATAAGGAAGGAGGGTTCTGCCCAAAGGCCAGCTGGGCCCTGCTGAGAAACACCAGAGAACTAAAAATGTGAAAATGAGGAACCCTATCCAGGACTTGACGTGTCTACACAATGGTAACATTTTAAGACAATCAGAGAGTTCATTCCCAATAATATTTTCCCACTATCTCTGTATAATGAACAACCACCCAAGCAGCTTGGAATGTCTCATACTTAATATTGGCGCAGGAGCTGCTCTGAGGACGGGGCATGGAGCCAGGGGTCAGCTCCGAGGCAGGTATGTGCTGTGCTCCCTCTGGCGCCCCGCAGACCCGCAGTCCCAGTGGGTGACCAGGGTGTTCCTCCATGGTTCCACCCCTAGGACCAGGGCCTCAGTCGCCCTCCCTACCTGGCACTCCCCACACCCCGCACCTCACTCAAGGACCTTTCTACCAGAACAGAGCGCACTCACTCTCTAGCACACAGCAGGCAATACATATCTCTTGGGTATGTCCATAAATGTGGGCCTCTGTCTCCCAGCTGTCAAGTGAGGAGGTGAACAAAACTGCCAAGGCCAACTGGGTTCTAAAACCTTTCAGATTTGTGACAAAGGAGCCCTGGGGGGCAGGCTGGGGGTGGTGGAGGGGCTCCCCTGGCACTGGCTGAAATTGAGGCCACACCAGCATGTTCTCAGCACTCACAGAGCAGGACAGGCTGCAGCAGCCAGTCCTCCCCTTCCCGCTGAGATGGCACACCTGCCTATGGTGCAGGGCTGGCAGAGGCGGGGCCAGGATTCTAGCTTCCCCACACACCAGCCCTGTGGCATCATTCTTCCCAACGTCCAAACGTTTTTCCAAGGGGGAGAAATGGACTGGGTCATGTAAAGAAATACTCATTTTTAGGGCTTTTTATGTGGCCTTCAAAGCACGTTGCAAACAAATCCCTTTCACTCCTCAGAGGAGGAGCCATTAGGAAGGTAGGGGGCGACAGGCACAGCCTACAGCCTCTCCTCAGGAGGACAGAGGGGGTCATCGCATTTGAGCCCCCTGCAGTCATCTCGGGGGCTCCTGAGGGTCCAGGTCCACATGTTCGAGGGTCTGCAGCACATCCACGGCGCTGTAGGACTTCCAGGCCTGCATGTTACAGCTCTTCAGGATGGCTCCCAGCTGCCTGCCAGGGCCTACTTCGAAAGTTTGGGGGAACCCCCTGCCCTTTTTCCTTTCGTATATGGCATGCATCGTCTGCTCCCACTTCACTGGGGAGACCAGCTGCTGGGCCAGCAGCTTGTGGATGTGCCCGGGATGCCTGTATCTATGCGCGTGGACGTTGGAGTAGACAGAAACCAGAGGCTTCTTAATGTCGACTGCCTTTAAAGCTTGCGTCAGGGGCTCCACGGCTGGCTCCATGAGGCGGGTGTGGAATGCGCCACTAACCGGCAACATCCTGGTGCGTCTGAAATGAAACTTAGAGGAATTCTTCTGGAGAAACCGTAGAGCCTGGGGAAGGAAGGAGGTTTCAGCCGAGCAATGTCCCAGAAATCCGCCTTTACAGATCTGACCATTCACAGGGCCAAACTGGGAGGGTGACCACAAAGAGACCCACAGCTGCTAGATGTGGACATGTGACCTGTCTGTCCCAGCACCATCCCCAGGCAATTCACTTAACATCCTGGAATCTCTTCTGTCCCAGCCTTCAAATAAGCACAGTTCCATCTACTTCACAACGCTGCCAGGAAGAGCAAACCCTACAAGGCATGCAACAGTGTCTGGTAGAGGAAAACGCACTATCTAAGAAGTGTTAGTTCTCAATGAGAATTCTTTTTTTTTTTTTTTTGAGACGGTGTCTCGCTCTGTGGCCCAGGCTGGAGTGCAGTGGCACAATCTTGGCTCACTGCAAGCTCCGCCTCCCAGGTTCACACCATTCTCCTGCCTCAGCCTCCCAAGTAGCTGGGACTACAGGCGCCCGCCACCACGCCCGGCTAATTTTTTGTATTAGCTGATCTCCAGACCTCGTGATCCACCCTCTTCGGCCTCCCAAAGTGCTGGGATTACAGGCATGAGCCGCCGCACCCGGATCTCAATGAGAATTCTATCACTCCTTTCATAATTTTTGACCAGTCTGTTTGCTTTTTATTCCATAATCTTCAAAATAAAAATTCAGAACTAAAATTCAAGCCCCATTTCACAATGCAGGGTCTAGGATATTGTCACTTTCATCTGAGGTTTCTCTGGAGAAGGAAAGAGCTCTCCTCTTGATGCCAAAAACCTCCCCTGAAGGCATTTGAGCTCAGAAGGGGCCTCGGGCGAGCCAATAGCTCCAAAACCCTTGCAACAGTGAGCAAGCAACAGAACTTGCAAAGGTCTTTATTATTTTTTGAGATGAAGTCTTGTTCTGTCACCCAGGCTGGAGTGCAAAGGTGCGATCTTGGCTCACTGCAACCTCCACCTCGCAGGTTCAAGCAATGCTCCTGCCTCAGCCTCCCGAGTAGCTGGGACTATAAGCATGTACCACCACGCCTGGCTAAGTTTTAGTAGAGATGGGGTTTCACCATGTTGGTCAGGCTGGTCTTGAACTCCTGGCCTCAAGTCATCCACCTGCTTTAGTCTGTCAGTGTTCCCTAGAGACTGTTCCTGTTGCCTGAGTCCTGGGCTGAAAAGCAGAACCCAGCCTGGCGAGCACAGACCAGGAGTGGGACCGGTGCTTGTGTGCTGTGACCACTGAGGTGTGGGCTACTTGTCACTGCAACAAAACCTGGCCTGTACTGACTCACCCGTGCTTCCCCTCCACCATCACCCTCCATGTGGCTCCATCCCACTGAGGCTGGACCGCAGGAACCAGGAGCCTCTTTGGTCTGGGCCTTCCAGACTCTGGAGCCCAAGCCCCTCCCTCCACACCTAGATTGTCTGAGTGACTGGCAGGTATGGGGATGGCTACTCAGTAGCACTTCCTGGAGCATCTGTGGTCTCAAAGTGCTTTCCGTGTAAGATCTCTGGACTCTGGCTCAACAGCTGAGCCCTCTCAAGTCCCAGGCTAGGGCCACAGGGCTCAAGGTCACCATCACAGGGGCCAGCAGTCTCCTCTCCAATGGCCAGTCCTTGGCCCAGGCATTGGGCGAGCAGGGCCCAGGAGCCTTTTCACATCAGTTGTTGGAAAGGGGCTTCCCCCCTGAGGGGGTACCCCTGCCCTCACCTGAGCTCTTTGCTGTGGCACTACCAAGAATACCAAAGGGAAGCTGGGCACAGTGGCTCACACCTATAATCCCAGCACTTTGGGAGGCCGAGGTGGGCAGATCACCTGAGGTCAGGGGTTCAAGACCAGCCTGACCAACATGGTAAAACCCCGTCTCTAATAAAAATACAAAAAATTAGCTGGGTGTGGTGGCATGCACCTGTAGTCCCAGCTACTTGGGAGGCTAAGGCAGGAGAATCACTTGAACCCAGGAGGTGGAGGTTGCAGTGAGCCAAGATCGTGCCACTGCACTCCAGCCTGGATGACAGAGTAAGACATTGTCTCAAAAAACAAAAAAAAAAAAAAAAAAAATCAAAAGGATGAACCTAGGAGTTGTCACCTAGACTGGGTGCACCTGTCTGGGAGCCTACTGGGGAGACTCCTGCCCTGACTGGGAAGTCCTTCCTGAGCCACTTCTGGGCTTCCTTCCAAGGCTGGTAAAGGGAACGCCTAACTAGCTCCAAGACTGACCTGGGGCCACCATACCTGACCTGCCCACCATCTCAGAACAGTCATAAGAGGCTCCTGCCAGCTCTCACTACTTCAGAGGAGGCAGTTGAGGACGCCTGGCACACGGTGAGCCCTCAAAGGGGAAGGGGAGCCAAGCACGGTCAAGTGGCGGAAACAGACTCCAGAGTGAGACAGACTCAGGTTCCCATTCTGCCTCTACTATCCCCAAGCACTTGCCTCTCTCTGCCTCAGCATCCTTGTGTGGAAAATGTGATTAAGAATCCCTTCCTTTAGCTGGGTGTGGTGGCCTGTGTCTGTAGTCCCAGCTACTTGGGAGGCTGAGGTGGGGGGATCCCTTGAGCCCAGTAGTTCAAGACCAGCTTGGGCAACACGGTGAAACCCCGTCTCTACAAAAAAATACAAAAGTTAGCCAGGTGTGGTTGCCCGTGTCTGTAATCCAAGCCACTCAGGAGGCTAAGGTAGGAGGAACACTTGAGCCCAGGAGGTCCAGGCTGCAGTGAGCCGTGATGGTGCCACCATACTCCAGCCTAGGCAACACAGTGAGACCCTGTCTCAAACAAACAAACAAAAAAAGAATCCCTTCCTTCCATATAGCACAGGATGGGCTGTGAGGGACATGAAGTAAGACAGAAATGCCTGGCCCGGGCAGCAGCCCCTCACACGGGCTGCAATCTGCGCTCACTCAGCATTCCCTGAGCCAGGCACTCAGCACCCACTGCTCTTTCTGTAGGGGGCTCCTGCCGCTCTGCTCAGGGTGCCCCCTGCTGGCAAACACATGCCCGTCCTCCAGCTGCTGCCTCCTGGGTTGCTCTTAGGCCCATGAGTAGCCAGCCAGACCCTCACTGCACCCCTCGGCCTGGAGTCATCCATTCACGGGGCTCTTCCTTTGACGGCAGGAACCCTGGCTAATCAGTCTGTGCGTCCCCAGCCCTTGATAAATGTTTGGGGAAGTAGCAAATGGAAGGAAATACGGTGGAAAGGAAATGAACTCCAGGGCAAAAACAGACACCTAAAAAAAGCAGGGCAGGCAGAGCAATCTAGCAGAAAACAAATCTCTTTTCTCTAAGGAAGCAACCAGATCACAGGCTCCTCAGAAGCCCAGAATGTACTACGGGAAGGGCCCTGGAGATCAGCTGGCCCTGCCCCTTTACTTTAGACATGGGCTGGCTGGTTGGTTCCAGACCCCATTCTACACGTGGTGGAGCAGGGCAGCATTCTTGCTCCTGCCTGCTTTGCAGCACTCGGTCTACCTCACTGCCCTGGCCCCAAAATACTTCCTAAAGACCGGGCTGGACCCAGCACCCGCCAGACTGCTAGGCCTCACGGGTGTGGAGCAGTTCCAACCCTCCGTACTGGACTGGCCTATGAAGGCAGTTCCCATCAACACCCACCTCTTGGTGTCCTGAAATCACCCTGCAATCTGGAAAGAGGTAGTTGGACACTTCACATACGGGGTTCTCTATGCCTAAAGACTTGCAGTGTTCCCGGGCTTCCAAACAGGCGAAGTTGAACTTGGACTGAGGCTGGCCGAGGACAGACAGCATCCCACTGGGGACAGCTTCTGAAGCTTCCTGCATGGCCTCAGCTCGGATTTTCACTGCATACAAACCTGGCCAGAGAGAAGCGCATTTGGAAAAATGAGGGCACAGAATGAAGGAGAAAAGGCCAGGCCTGAGAAACAAAGCCCAAGCTCCACTCTGCACTAGAGACAGGGGCACTGGTGTCTGCCACCAGCCAGCAGGGCCACAGTTCCACACACCTCCATCGACTGCACAAGCGCTCACCACCAAAAGTATGCTGCTGTGCTTGGCACTATACAAACTAACCCAAGGAGCTTCCTGCTATAAAGCTGGTTTGGAGTAGGACAGTGGTGCTCAACAGGCCGGGGGCAGTGTCCGGAGACGTTTTCCGGTTGTTCTGACTAGGGGAGAGTGCCACTGACGTCTAGTGGGTAGAGTCCAGGGATGCTGCTCAACATGCTGCACTGCACAGGTCAGCCCCCCTTGCCCCCAACAAAACAAATGACCTGGCCCAATAGCGCCACTGTTTTTTTTTTTTTTTAAATAGTGCCACTATTGAGAAACCCTGGTAAAAGGTAAAGAGGAACAGGGTGGAAGCCACATTGCCTTAGCCAAGTCACAACCTCCTTGAGGTTCAAATTTTTAGTTAGTAAAATGAGGATAATAATATCTAATCTGCCTGGGCTGTTGTGAAAGCTGGGAATTATTATTAGTTAGTTTATTAAGAGAGATCAGGCCGGGCATGGTGGCTTATGCCTGTAATCCCAGCACTTTGGGAGGCTGAGGCAGGACGGCTTGAGCCCAAGGAGCTCGACACCAGCCTGAGCAACATAGGGAGACCCTGTCCCTGCAAAAAATAAAATACAAATTAGCCAGGCATGGTGGTGCCTGCCTGTAGTCCCAGATGCTTGGGAGGCTGACACGGAAGGATCACTTGTGACCAGCAGGTTGAGGCTGCAGCTGTAGTAAGCTATGATTGCTCCACTGCACACCAGCCTGGTGACAGAGCAAGACCCTGTCTCAAAACAAGAACAACAAAAAAGAACCATCAGAGACATGGGCTACTGTACTACATGAATTTCAGTGACATAATTGTCATAAGTCAAGTGTTACTGTCCCCACTTAGAGCTGGAGAACCTGACACAGCCAATGCAGATGAACGAAAACCTATGACTCCTGATTCAGTGTGGCTCAAGAGCATGGAGAGAGGGCAGGCAGTGCCAATGATAATAAGAGTGGCCTGAGGGCTGGTCGCTGTGGCTCGCACCTGTAGTTCCGGCACTTTGGGAGGCCAAGGCAGGCAGATCACTTGAGCTCAGGAGTTCGAGACCAGACTAGACAACATGGTAAAACCCTGTCACTACCAAAAATACAAAAATTAGCCGGGCGTGGCAGTGTGCGCCTGTGGTCCCAGCTACTTGGGAGGCTGAGGTGGGAGGATTGCTGGAGCCCAGGAAGTTGAGGCTACAGTGAGCTGTGTTCATGCCACTGTATTCCAGCCTGGGTGACAGAGCGAGACCCTGTCTCAAAAATCCCTACAAAGCCACACATAAGAATGGCCTGAAACTACCAGACCCCTGACACCCTGGTCCTGCTTCCTGGGCAGAGAGAAGAGATGACCAGACTGAGAAGAGATTAAGGGACCTGCACAGTGTTTCACAGGTCAACAGAGAGGTCTAAGGAGCAAATCCTGACATATCTTCATTCACTTAGCACTTCTATGTACTGGACTTTTAGCTCCCTTACACAAGAACAGGAGGACAAATACATAAACAGCCTGTGACATCAGGTACTTAGGAGGCTAAGGCAGGAGGACTGCTTGAGATCAGGAGTTAGAGGCTGCAGTGAGCTATGGTTGCATCACTGCACTCAAGGCTGGAAGACAGAGGAAAACTCTGTCTCTTAAAAAACAAATGAACAAGAGCCTGTGACAAGAAGTAGAAGAAAACATACAAGAAAAGGGAGGAGAGCACGCAGACATCCTCCCACAGAGACATTCAAAACTATGTAAAATGTCAAGGGAAAAAAGTAGGCCAGGCACAGTGGCTAATGCCTGTAAGTAATCCCAGCACTGTAGGAGGCTGAAGCTGGAGGATCACTTGAGTCAGGAGTTCCAGACCAGCCCTGGCAACATAGCGAGACCCCATCTCTACAAAAACTTCTAAAATTAGCTGGGCATGATGGTGTGAGCCTGTAGTCCCAGTTAGTCTGGAGACTGAAGCGGGAGGATCACTTGAGGCCAAGAGGCTGAGGCTGCAGTGAGCTACGACTGCACCACTGCACTGCAGCTGGGGTGACAGAGCAAGATACTGCCTCAAAAAAGAAAAAGAAAAAGAAAACACAAAAGTGTAACTATGCTATAATTCTGCACTTTTTTTTTTTTTTTTGACACAGAGTCTCATTCTCTAACCCAAGCTGGAGTGCAGTGGCACAATCTCGGCTCACTGCAACCTCTGCCTCCTGGTTCAAGTGATTCTTGTGCCTCAGCCTCCCAAGTAGCTAAGATTACAGGTGCACGCCACCACACCCAGATAATTTTTGAATTTTTAGTAGAGATGGGGTTTTACCACGTTGGTCAGGCTGGTCTCAAACTCCTGCCTTAGGTGATCCACCCACCTTGGCCTCCCAAAGTGCTGGGCTGGGATTACAGGCGTGAGCCACCACACCAAGCCTAATTCTGCACATTATGTACACATAAAATGATACATGTAATAAAATTGTTTCATAAAATGTGAAATTATGAAACTTTCCTTAATAATGTTATAACGCTTAAAAAAAAAGCACTGCAGTGAAATTCACATAAAATATAATTAACCACTTTAATGTGTATAATTCAGTGGTATTTGGGGTATTCATAATGTTGTACAACCACCAACTCTCTCTAGTTTCAAACACTCCATGTCCACTATGTAGGCACTCTCCATTTCTCCCTCTCCAGTCCCAATAACCTCTCGTGTTTCTATACTAGATTCTTTTTTGTTTGTTTTGGACAGGGTCTTGCTCTGTCACCCATGCCGCAGTGCAGTGGCACAATCGTGGCTCACTGCAGCCTCAGACTCAGGGGCTCAAGTGATCTTCCCTCAGCCTCCTGAGTAGCTGGAATTACAGATGCATGCCACTAAGTGCAGCTAATTTTGTGTATGTGTGTGTGTGTGACAGGGTGTCACTCTGTCACCCAGGCTGGAATGCAGTGGCACGATCACAGCTCACTGCAGCTTTGACCTCCTGGGTTCAGGTAATCCTCCCACCTCATCCTCCCAAGTACTCGAGCTGGGACTACAGGCGCACACCAACATGCCTGGCTAATTTTTGTATTTTCGGTAGAGATGGGGTTTTCACCATGTTGCCCAGGGTGGTCTAAAACTCCTGGGCTCAAACATCTATCTGCCTCTGCCTCCCAAAGTGCTGGCATTACAGGTGTGAATCACTGCACCCAACGTAATTTTTGTTTTTTGTTGGGGGCAGAGATGAAGGTCTCACTATGTGGCCCAAGATGGTCTGGAACTCCTGGCCTCAAGTGGTCCTCCTGCCTTGGCCTCCCAAAGCACTGGGATTACAGACGTAAGCCATGGTTCCTGGCCAGCAAAAATCTTAAGAAGTAAAACTGATATGGCTCCAGATCCAATATTTATTTACTCTTTAATTCAACGAATATCTACTGAACACATACTCTCGTGTTGCAGGTGCTGCAGGTATGAGTGCACAGGATAGCGGGTTAGACAGTTCAGCAAGCAGATTTCATGAGATTACAAAAATAAGGGAAATCCCTAATGAATCCTTCAGTCTTGAAAAGGAATCACAGCAAAGCCCTGTCCTCATGTGCCAATGTCACCCCTGTCCATGTGCTCCCTTCCCATCACCTGAGTGGGTCCAGTATCATTTTTGGCAGTGTCCCTTACCCCTAATGAGCCCAAGACCACAGCCTTGCATAAAACCAAACTCCTTCCTGTACCTTCAGCAAATTCCATGGCTCCGGCAAACACTAGGGCTGCAAACTCTCCCACACTGAATCCAGCAGCAGCAACACAGTTCTCAATCACCTGTGGGGACAGATGCAGAACGTGAGCCCTCACTCTCCTGGGGATCCCAGTTCCAGGGCTCTGTACCTGAGAGCTGGCGGGGTGTTCAGCATCTCAGTGAGCCAGGTTCTACGAACTTGGTGCACCAGCTGGAAGAGGACACACAAAAGTGACCTTGACAATCATTGAGTCCTGCCCCTTTATTTAGGAGGAGCTTTCCTGGTTAGTTACAGTCCATCAACTCCGTCCATGGTCACACTGACGCCAACCCAGGGCTCTGGATTCCCTTGCCATGGCCCTGCAGCAGGCTCTCAGGCCATATCGTTGTGCACAAGTTAAGAGCATGACTTTTTTTTTTTTGAGGCGGAGTTTTGCTCTTGTTGCCCAGGCTGGAGTGCAATGGCGTGATCTCGGCTCACTGCAACGTCCGCCTCCCGGGTTCAAGCAATTCTCCTGCCTCAGCCTCCCGAGTTGCTGGGATTACAGGTGTCCACCACCACACTTGGCTAATTTTTGTATTTTTAGTAGAGACGGGGTTTCACCATGTTGGCCAGGCTGGTTTTGAACTCCTGACCTCGTGATGCACCCACCTCAGCCTCCTGAAGTGCTGGATTATAGGCATTATAGGCGTGAGCCACCTCGCCCGGCCAAGAGCATTTTTATCTCATCTGTGAAATGAGGGAAGAACAGGGCCTACCCCAAAGGGCGGATGAGAGAATTATGTGAATATAATGTCTATACAGTGCTTAGCACAGACCCAGACTAGGGTAAGCAGTGAATGAATATTATGATGACGATTCAACAGGACCACTTAACTAATTCTTTTAATATCCCTGAGTCTGCATTCCTCAACCATCAAATAACAGTATTAACCTCACAAGGTGGTGTGAAGGTGAAATAGGGTAAAGGATCTCAAGTGCTAGCTTAACATTTACCGTCTTATTAAATATTAATAGCAATCAATCCACCACCTTCAAGTGAAGTGACATTCTCAACTCATCTCAATGTTCCTTCATTTAGGCCAGTGCAGTGGCTCATACCTGTAATCCTAGCACTTTGGGAGGCCGAGGTGGGTGAACCTGGGAGGATTTAAGTAAAGAATAAAAAAATTAGCCGGGCGTGGTGGTGTGCACCTGTGATCCCAGCTACTGCGGAGGCTGAGGCAGGAGAACTGCTTGAACCTGGGAGGCAGAGGTTGCAGTGAGCCAAGACTGCGCCATTGCACTCCAGCCTGGGTGACAGAGCAAGACTCTGTCTCAAAAAACAAAACAAAACGGGCCGGGCACGGTGGCTCATGCCTGTAATCCCAGCACTTTGGGAGGCCGAGGCGGGCAGATCACGAGGTCAGGAGATCAAGACCATCCTGACTAACACGATGAAACCCCGTCTCTACTAAAAATACAAAAAATTAGCCGGGCATGGTGGCGGGCGCCTGTAGTCCCAGCTACTTGGGAGGCTGAGGCAGGAGAATGGCGTGAACTCGGGAGGCGGAGCCGAGATCGCGCCACTGCACTCTAGCCTGGGCGACAGAGCGAGACTCCGTCTCAAAAAAAAAAACAAAAACAAACAAAAAAAAAAACTCGATCGAATGAGTAAGACGTGGGAGCCCCCGGAATGGCAGGCGGAAGCCTCTGGCAGGGCCAAGAGCTCAGGCAGAGCTCACCTTCCCCCTCCTGTCACGGGGCCTCGGGCCTCACCGAGGGCTGCAGGTGATGTAGTTTCTCGACAGCGGCCAGCGATGCCACGAAGATCGCGGGCTGACAGTGCACGGTGCGGTCCAGGGTCTCCTGCGGCCCGTGCAGGCTCAGTTCCAGCAGGTCGTAGCCCAGCACGCGGCGGGCGGCGGCGTAGAGTTCGCGGACGCGCGGGTAGTTGAGCAGACCGCGGCCCATGCCCACCACCTGGCTGCCCTGGCCCGGGAAGAGCAGCACGGAGCACTGGCCCGGCATTCGCCGCTCCGTCGCCGCCCAGGGCGCCTCCTCCTCCGCCCCGGTCGCATCTCGCAGCAGCTCCGCTACACCCTGGGCGCCCGGCGGAGGCACCGGGAAGCTCGAGGCGCCGCGGCGGTAGCTGGCGCCCAAGCCCCTGACCCACGCTACCCGTGCGACCCGGACGCTCATGGTCGGACACCTGCCCGCGCGCGTTACCGTGGCGACCGAGGCCCGACTGCGGCGGCGCGGCGCAGCGTGGTCCCTGACGCATTTCCTGCCGGGGCTTCCGGGGCACCGGGAGCGGGAAGAAAGGTTCCGCAGACGCTGGTTCCGCCCCGGCTCTGAGGCCCTTCGGGCTGCGTTCTGGGGTCCTGGAGGGACTCATGCGTTTACTTAAACAGCCATAGCCGTTGAACGGAACACGATGCCACACCACAGTGGGTCCTCAACAGATATTTATGGAATAAATAACGCAACGCAATGTAGTATTTACGCTTTCTACCTGGCACATGAAGAGCACTTGAAACTCTTCCACATTGATGGTTTTTGTTGTTGTCGTTGTTGTTGTTTGTTGTTGTTTTTTGAGACGGAGTCTTGCTCTGTCGCCCAGGCTGGAGTGCAGTGGCGTGTTCTTTGCTCACTGCAACCGCCGCCTCCCAGGTTCAAGCGATTCTCCTGCTTCAGCTTCCCGAGTAGCTGGGATTAACAGGCGCCCGCCACCATGCCTGACTAATTTTTGTATTTTTAGTAGGGACGGGTTCACCATGTTGGCCACGCTGGTGTCGAACTCCTGACCTCAGGTGATCCACCCGCCTCGGCCTCCCAAAGTGCTGGGATTACAGGCGTGAGCCACCGCGCCCGGCCAGCAACCACATTTCTTGCATATGATCCTCCCAACCACAGGAGTTGGCATGGCCGACCATCCGTTGCCAGTTCCCAACTATACAACAGCTCTCTTTTATAATGTTTTCTTACAAACCACACAGTGCTTGGCACATAATAAGCATCCAATAGATCTTTATGCTATTGAACAAAGCCTTGAATGTGTTTCAGATATTAGCTTATTTAATTCCTCACAGCAACGCTGTGATGGATAGCTGCTCAGAGATTGAGTGACAGGTGGTTAGTGACAGAATGGAGGTTGGAAATTGGGGTTATCTAATGTTAACCTAAAAGCAACTCAAGAGACACAGGCTCGGCCAGGCGCAGTGGCTCATGCCTGTAATCCCAGTACTTTGGGAGGCTGAGGCAGATGGATCACTTGAGGTCAGGAGTTCAAGACCAGCCTGGCCAACATGGAGAAACCCCGTCTCTACTAAAAATACAAAAATTAGCTGGGCGTGGTGGTGGGCGCTTATAGTTCCAGCTACTCGGGAGGCTGAGGCAGGAGAATCCCCTAAGCCCGGGCAGCAGAGGTTGCAGTGAGCCGAGATCCCACCACTGCACTCCAGCCTGGGTGACAGAGCAAGACTCCGTTTCAAAAAAAAAAAAAAGGCTGGGTGCGGTGGCTCATGCCTGTAATCGCAGCACTTTGGGAGGCCGAGGCGGGCAGATCACCTGGGGTCAGGAGTTCAAGACTAGCCTGGTCAACATGGTGAAACCCCCTCACTACAAAAAATACAAAAATTAGCTGGGCGTGGCGGCACATGCCTGTAATCATAGCTACCTGGGAGTCGGAGGCAGGAGAATTGCTTGAACCCAGGAGGCAGAGGTTGCAGTGAGCCCAGACTGCGCCATTGCACTCCAGCCTGGGCAACAAGAATGAAACTCCATCTCCAGAAAAAAACAAAAAACAAAAAAAATATATATATATACACACACACACACACACAGAGGACACTTTCAGGTTAAGACGCATAGAGAGAGCACTGCCTCTGGAAGCCCATAAATCCACAACAAAGAGATATTTAAAGATATAAATCCACAAGGACAGGAAGAACAGGAAAGGGGACCGCCAGCAGCAGAATCTCTGGAAGCTGGAAAGCAGGTAGGCTGGTATTACCTGACTGAGCTGATCTCAGACAGCTAAATCCCTCCCAGGAGTGGGGAAGGCTGCGAGCCAATCCTTATGCATACAACAGAATCCTCAAAAACTTAAGAACAGGTAGCAGCTGCTGCTGCTTCTAGATCTAAGAGTGAAAGAAGGCTAAAACAAAGAGGATTGTTTGGAGGTGCCTTTGAGAAACAGATCTTTAGGTCCCCTCCACCTCCCTAGCCACTGGGTGATGCCCCTCCCCCACTTTGGGACCCATCTGGGGTTTCACCGGAAAGGGACAAACAAAGGGGTCTCTGGGCCAGGCACAGTGGCTCATGCTTGTAATCCCAGCTACTCAGGAGGCTGAGGCAGGAGAATCGCTTGAACCCGGGAGGCGGAGGTTGCAGTGAGCGGAGATCACGCCATTGCACTCCAGCCTGGGCAACAAGTGTGAAACTCTGTCTCAAATAAAAAAAAGAAAAAGAAAAAAAGAAAATTATTGGCCAGACACAGTGGCTCAGGCCTGTAATCCCAGTGATTTGGGAGGCCGAGGCAGGAGGATCACTTGAGGCCAGGAGTTCGAGAGCAGCCTGGGCAACATAGTCACACTGTTTTCTTTTTTATTCATCAAAAGCAGATACTTGAAAGACCCTGTTTCTACAAAAGGAAAAAAAAAAAAAAAGCTAGGTACTGTGGCTCGTGCCTGTAGTTCCAGCTACATAGGAGGCTGAGTCGGGAGAACTGCTTGAGCCCAGGAGTATGAAGCTGCAGTGAGCCAGGACTGAACTATTGCACTCCAGCCTGGGTGACAGAGGGAGACCCTATCTGAAGAAAAAAGAAAAGAAAAGAAAAAAAAAAAGCCAGCGCAGTGCCTCACACCTGTAATCCAAGCACTTTGGGAGGCCGAGGCGGGCGAATCACCTGAGTTCAGGAGTTCAAGACCAGTGGGGCCAAACATGGCAAAACGCCATCTCTACTAAAAATACAAAAATTAGCCAGGTGTGGTAGCACATGCCTGTAATCCCAGCTACTTGGGAGGCTGAGGCAGGAGAAGTGCTTGAACCCGGGAAGTGGAGGTTGCAGTGAGCAGAGATCGTGCCACTGCACTCCAGCCTGGGTGACAGAGTGAGACTCCATCTCCAAAAATAAAAAAAAGGGCTGGGTGCGGTGGCTCACACCTGTTATCCCAGCACTTTGGGAGGCTAAGGCGGGCGAATCATGAGGTCAGGAGTTCAAGACCATCCTGGCCAACATGGTGAAACCCTGTCTCTACTAAAAAATACAAAAAATGAGCCGGGCACGGTGGCACGCGCCTGTAGTTCCAGCTACTCAGGAGGCTGAGGCAGGAGAATCACTTGAACCGCGGAGGCGAGGTTGTTGCAGTGAGCCGAGATTGCGCCACTGCACTCCATCCTGGGTGACAGAGCGAGACTCTATCTCAAAAAAAAAAAAAAAAGAAAAGTCGGCAAGAAAAGGAAGTTACGTGGATGCAGCTAGAGGCCATTATCCTAAGCAAATTCAGGCAGAAACAGAAAATCAAATACCGCATGTCCTCACTTACAAGTGGGAGCTAAACATTGATACACCTGTACATAAAGATGAGAACAATGGACACTGGGAACTCCTAGAGGTGGGAAGGAGTGAGGCAAGGGTTGAAAAACTGCCTACTACTGTTATGGTCACTATCTGGGTGACAGAATCAATTGTACCCCAAACCTCAGTATCACACTGTATACCCATGTAACAAACCTGCACATATACCCCCGAATCTAAAATAACAGGTGATATTAAAAAAAAAAAAAAAAAGACGGCCGGGCACAGTGGCTCACACCTGTAATCCCAGCACTTTGGGAGGCCAAGGCGGGTGGATCACCTGAGCTCAGGAGTTCGAGACCAGCCTGGCCAACATGGCGAAACCCTGTCTCTACTAAAAATACAAAAATTAGCCAGGCGTCATGGCACATGCCTGTAATCCCAGCTACTCGGGAGGCAGAGGCAGGAGAATCCCTTGAACTCGGGAGGCAGAGGTTGCAGTAAGCCAAGATTATGCCACTGCACTCCAGCCTGGGCAATAGAGTGAGACTCTGTCTCAAAAAAAAAAAAAAAAAAAAAAAAAGAGAGAGAGAAAAAGGAAGTTAGAAAAACAGCCCTAGAGGCCCTACATTCTGAGTAATAGGAGTTCCAGAAAGGAAGTGATTGCTGCACAACATAAATTTGAAAAGAAAGAGAAGTGAGAAAATAGAGGGAAGGAAATCAAAGAAATAATCCAACTTCTGAAAAGTAAAGAATGAGCTTCCAGCGGGAAAGTGCCTGTTGAGTGCAGGCACAGTGGAGGAAATGAAGCTGGGTGTGTTGGAGCTCGCCTGTAGTCCCAGGTACTCGGGAGGCTGAGGGAGAATTGCTTGAGCCCGGGAGGCAGAGGTTGCAGTGAGCCGAGATCGTACCACTGCACTCCAGCCTGGATTACAGAGTGAGATGGTCTCAAAAAAAAAAAAAAAAAAAAAAATTAGTCCCACATAGGGGAATATCAGTGTGAAACTGCAGAACTCTGGGGCCCAAAATCTTAAAAACTTTCCAGGAAGAACAAAATCGGTTACATATAAAGGATCCACAGCGTGGCCGGAGCAGGATTGCTTGAGCCCAGGAGTTGGAAACTTGTCTGAGCAACATAGCGCGACCCTGTGTCTACAAAAAAATAAAAACAAAACAAAAAACAACCAAAGACTTCCGAAACAGAATGGCTTTAGCCTGCTCAACCGCAGTGTGGCAGCTGGCCAACAGCATCTCTTCATGATTCTGAAGGACAACGATCTGCAGCTCAGCCAAGCATCAGCCATCTATGGGGTAGGATGCAAGAATTCAGCAATGTTACCTTCCGGGCAGTCTTTCTCAAGAACTCCTGGAGGATAGGCTCAACACAAGCAAGGGGGGACCAAGAAAGAGGAAGATGTGAAATCCAGGAAATAAGGACCCATGCAGGAGGGGGCGGAGGTGGTGAAGAAAGACCCGGGCATGGTGTGTGTACTGGACCTGTGCAGCCTGTCCAGCGGGGAGCAGCGTGACTTGAGATGTGTTGAGAGCTGGCATTACCAACATCCCTACTGCCATGCTGCTCATTTAGGTACAGAATGCCCCACAAGCTTGGCCCAGATTCTTTTTTTTTTTTTGAGACAGAGTCTCACTCTGTTGCCCAGGCTGGAGTGCAGTGGCATGATCTCGGCTCACTGCAACCTCCACCTCCCGGGTTCAAGCATTCTCCTGCCTCAGCCTCCCGAGTAGCTGGGATTACAGGTGCCCGCCACCACACCCTGCTATTTTTTTGTATTTTTAGTAGAGACGGGGTTTCACCGTGTTAGCCAGGATTGTCTTGATCTCCTGACCTCGTGATCCGCCCACCTCGGCCTCCCAAAGTGCTGAGATTACAGGCTTGAGCCATTGCACCTGACGCTGGCCCAGAATCTTGCCTGCACCTGACTGGTCCCTATCACAGGCTGAGGAAGCCCTGTTCTCGCCCTGCTGCCTGGGTCTGCTGAGGACACATGGCTCACCTGACAGGCCTCACCTTGCTCCTGAGGTCTGAGCACCCTACTCCTCAGGGCACTGTGAGCTCAGAAGCAAGAGACAGAACAGCTCATGCCCCTGACCATTTCCTGCTGAATGCGCATGCCACAGCTGTGCTCAACGTCCTCACAGGGGAGCCCCACCCACAACCATGCCCTCTGCCTGCCCCAGAGGGGCCTCTTGTCAGTGCCCACAGAGGCCGGGCCCAGCCTGTACCCCAGGCGCTCAGCTGAGTTTATCTTCCCGGGAGTCTTCTGGCCTGGCCATGGTGCCTGTTCTGCCCCAGCTGGGGGTGTGCTGCCTCTCTGCACACATAGTACTCAGGGAAACACACCCGGGTGGGATTCATAAAACCCTAAAGGAAAGCAAGGGCGTGATCAACCCAAGTCAAAGTAAAGGTGATCTCTGGGGAGGGGAGGAATCGCTGGGGAGGTCACCAGGGCGCTCCTAGGACTCTCGTAATGTTCTGGTCATAACTGGGGAATGGGCACACCTGGTATTATTGTTGTAATGTGTACACGTGTGTGGTTTTTTTTTTTTTTTTTAAATTGAGTTTTGCTTTATCACCCAGGCTGGAGTGCAGAGGTGTGATCACGACTCACTGCAGCCTCCACCTCCCGGGTTAAAGTGATTCTCATGCTTCAGCCTCCCGAGTAGCTGGGATTAAAGGTGCCCGCCACAACGCCCAGCTAATTTTTGTATTTTTAGTAGAGATGGGGTTTCACCGTGTTGGCCAGGTTGGTCTCCAACTCCTGACCTGAAGTGATCTGCCTGCCTCGGCCTCCCGAAGTGCTAGGATTACAGGCGTGAGCCACTGCAACCAGCCACATGTGTGTCTTATTTTTATTTTATTTTATTTTTTGTTTTGTTTTTTTGAGAAAGAGTCTCACTGTGTCACCCAAGCTGGAGTGCAATGGCGTGATCTTGGCTCACTGAAACCTCCACCTCCCGGTTCAAGCGATTCTCCTGTGTCAGCCTCCTGAGTAGCTGGGATTACAGGCGCCTGCCACCATGCCCAGCTAATTTTTGTATTTTTAGTAGAGACTGGGTTTCACCATGTTGGTTAGGCTGGTGGCGAACTGCTGACCTCAGGTGATCCACCGGCCTCGGCCTCACAAAGTGCTGGGATTACAGGTGTGAGCCACCACGCCCGGCTAAGAAGGGATTTTTTTTTTTTTTTTTTGAGACGGAGTCTCGCTCTGTCACCAAGCTGGAGTGCAGTGGCACCGTCTCAGCTCACTGCAACCTCTGCCTCCTGGGTTCAAGAGATTCTCCTGCCTTAGCCTTCCAAGTAGCTGGGATTACAGGCACACACCACCATGCCCAGCTAATTTTTGTATTTTTAGTAGAGATGGGGTTTCACCATGTTGGCCAGGCTGGTCTCGAACTCCTGACCTAGTGATCCACCCACCTCGGCCTCCCAAAGTGCTGGGATTACAGGCATGAGCCACCGTGCCTGGCCAGAAGGAATTTTAAAAAAGAAAAAAAAAAAAAAAAACAAAGCTGCCAGGTGCGGTGGCTCACGCCTGTAATCCTAGCACTTTAGGAGGCCGAGGCAGTGGATCACTTCAGGTCAGGAGTTCGAGACTAGCCTGGCCAACATGGTGAAACCCCATCTCTACTAAAAATACAAAAATTAGCCGGGCATGGTGGCAGGCGCCTGTAATCCCAGCTACCGGGAGGCTGAGGGAGGAGAGAATCACTTGAACCCAGGAGGCAGAGGTTGCAGTGAGCCGAGATTGTGCCATTGTACTCTAGCCTAGGAGACAAGAGCGAAACTCCGTCTCAAAAAAAAAAAAAAAGAAACCCAGAAGAAAAAGATGAATGAAGAATGGAACCAAGCCTGGGTTATCCTTGTCTTCAGGCCAACACAGTAAAAAATAGATTTATGTATGTTTGTTTTTTAATAGAGGAAGAGGCTCACAAAGGCAAAAATGCCAGGTCCTAGGAAAGCCATACTGCAGCCTGGCTGGTCCCCAAGGAGGCTCCTGGCTTCTGTGTCTGGGTAGAAGTAGCCACAGTTCTCCTTGGACCCTGCAGGATCAGTTTGGGCCAACGTGGCTGGTTCAGGCTGATGGGGCGTTGCCAGGCTGAGTTGTCTGGAGGGAGCTGGGACAGCCTTGAACTGCAGCAAGACAGCCATAGTGCCAAGGGCCTGGGGCTGGACACACCCTGCATGGGAGTGGACCTGGGCAGCTGGAGGCCACCTCTGGGCTGTGATGATGGCAGCCTCCCCTCACTGAGCGCCGAGCATCTGAGGGGTGTCCTGCCTGCATCACCGCGTTGCGGCCTCATCAGTCCCACGACTTTGTGCCCATTTTACAGATGAGGAGATGGAGGCCCAGAGAGCCAGTCAGAAAGTGGCTGGGCCAGGACTAAGAGTGCAGCGCGCTGCCTCCGTGCCCTGCGTCAACAGCTCAAGGAACTGGGGTGCTCCGGAAATGGGGCCAAGGCTGCTGGGCAGCAGGACGCTCAGGGCCTTGGCCTCAGGAGAGGTAATTCCCCACTCGGAGATCGGTCTTGTTGCTGCATTTTATAGATGGGAAAAGTGAGGCTAGAAGAGACGACAAACGACACGCCGTTGGACACACGGCAACGTTTTAGATGTTGGGTCTGGCCGGGCGGCCGTCACCGGTCACCATGGGGAGGAGGAGGAGCCGAGAGACTTGCTCGCGGCCGGGGGGAGGCAGAAGCGCGTCCCGCGGGAGAGGTGGCTTTGAGGAGTGAGCTCCCGGTCCCGCGGGGACGCGAGTGGGCCCAGTGCCCGGGCTGCCAGGCGGGGCGGGGCGGGGCCGGGCGACTGAGAGGGGCGGGGCCTGGCGGCTGGGAGGGGCGGGGCGGATGCGGGGACAGCGGCCTGGCTAACTCCTGCCAGGCAGTGCCCTTCCCGGAGCGTGCCCTCGCCGCTGGTGAGTGAGGACGGGACGCGGAGGGGGCAGCGGGAAGTGGGGGCCCGCATGGCTGCGACTCTTGGCAGCGCCGCGGGACAGAGGGAAACTGAGGCCGGAGCCGCAGACTGGACACCCGAGGGGGCGACCCGGGGCAGCACTTGGGGCTCGGCTACCGGGTCAGGGGGCGGCGGGCAGCAGAGTCTGGGCCTCCGCGGCCGGGGTTCCAGCGCGGGCCGCCTCCGGCTGGGGGTTCGGGAGGGAAAACTTGGACAACCCTGCCACGCCCAGCCCTTGGCCGCGTGGCTTCTCCTGCAGGAAGCGCGGTCCCAGGAGTGGCCGACGCTCCCTCTCCTGCCCATTCCGCGGATGGGCAATCCCAGGCGGAACTCCCTTGAGGGTCTCAGAATATCTGGGAGACCTCGGGCTCTTGATCTCCGAGACACCCCGTTTCGTAGTGGAGAACAGTCCAGATCGGGGAAGTTTATTTTGCCCAAAGCCGGTTAGAGGCCCCCTGGCCCTCGATTCCCAGTGCGGGGCTCAGGTGCGTTGCAGCCTAGACGGGTCTTACTGTGAGCCGAGCAGCCTCTGGGACCTGTCTGCTTCCCCTACCCCTTGCAAAGAAGCCGGAGCCCAGGTAGGAGAAGCGGGGGCTTCCTGCTGTGAACGCGCTGCTGGCCAGGGCAGCTGCCAGAGGCCATGGCCTGGCGTGGGCCTGGAGCCCCTCTGGCCAGCCTGCCAGGGGCCAGGGCTACGGGATACCAGCAGCGTGCCCTGGGCTGGATGGCAGGAGAGACAGGACTTGAGGCTGTCCCAGAATGGGCTCAGGCAGGGCGAGGATATCAGGGGAGGTGGTGTACAGGAAGCAGCCGCCCAGCTTGCCTGGCACACAGCAAGCCCTGCCCATGAAGGCCTACTGCCAGAACAGTGGGCGAGGCCCGGCGTCTCTGTGGAGTCGGTGGGGCCCGGGACAGGGCAGCCTGAGGCAGGTTTCCACTGGCGGTGAAAGGGGCCGTGTGGCAAGGACAGGAGAGCCAGCCTCAGCCCAGCAGGGGAAGGCGGCCCCTGAGTCTCCACCTGGCTGCTGGCAGCCCCACAGGGAGGTTCGGCGAAACTGAGGCTTGCCAAAGAAGCCTTTGTCCAGAGTCACGCAGCTGGCGCGGTGGAGCCAGGGCCAGAACCCGTGCAGGCTGATCCCAGCCTGCCTTCTCCACTGTGCCCCGAGGACCACTTTCTTTCCTGGGAGTGTGTGTGTGCACATGTGCTGTGTCCTGTCGTCTGTACACACTTGTGCCTGGCGTGAGGCAGGATGTCTGGCTGGATCTACCAGAAAGTATTCACAGCGGGTTCTCCAGCTGGGGTGAGGGGCTTGGGCTCGCAGGGAGGGAGCCTACTTTTCACTTTAGCTTGCTTTCTTCCTTTCTTCCGTCCTTCCTTCCTCCCTCCCTCCCCTCCCCTTCCCACCCCTTCTTTCTCTTTCTTCTTTCTCTTTCTTTCTTTCTTTCCTTCCTTCCTTCTTTCCTTTCTCTTTCTCTTTTTTTCTTTCTTCCCCTTCCTTCCTTCCTTTCTTGTTTTTGTTTGTTTGTTTGAGACAGGGTCTCACTCTGGTATGCAGGCTGGAGTGCAGTGATGCAATCATAGCTCACTGCAGTCTCCTGCAGAACTCCTGGGCTCAAGCGATCCTCCCACCTCAGCCTCCCAAAGTGCTGGGATTACAGGCATGAGCCACTGTTCCTGGCTTATTTGTGTTTTCTTTTTTTTTTTTTTTTTTTTTTTTTTGAGACGGAGTCTCGCTCTGTCGCCCAGGCCGGACTGCGGACTGCAGTGGCGCAATCTCGGCTCACTGCAAGCTCCGCTTCCCGGGTTCACGCCATTCTCCTGCCTCAGCCTCCCGAGTAGCTGGGACTACAGGCGCCTGCCACCGCGCCCGGCTAATTTTTTGTATTTTTAGTAGAGACGGGGTTTCACCTTGTTAGCCAGGATGGTCTCGATCTCCTGACCTCATGATCCACCCGCCTCGGCCTCCCAAAGTGCTGGGATTACAGGCGTGAGCCACCGCGCCCGGCTTATTTGTGTTTTCTTTACTTTTGATGGTGCAAACAATGCTTGGATGTGCTCTCTGTTTAAAACGGTAGTCTTTTTTATTTTTTTTTTTAACCACTAGACCACTAGGGAAGTCATTCTTAATTTCTTATTTTTATTTATATATATATTTTTTGAGACGGTGTCTCGCTCCATTGCCCAGGCTGGAGTGCAGTGGCTCCAGCTGGGCTCACTGCAACCTCCGCCTCCAGAGTTGAAGTGATTCTCCTGCCTCAGCCTGGCTAATTTTTATATTTTTAGTAGAGATGGGTTTCACCATGTCGGCCAGGCTGTTTCTTTATTTTTTACTAAAAAAAAGTTTAACCCCCGAACCTCGAAGGAAAGGGAAGTAGTCTTTCTTAACAGAACCAATTCCCCCTGGATACCCCACCCTCACCCTACCCTCTCCCAGGCCACTCGATGGCCAGGTTCGCTGTGGATTTTTCCAGACCTGTGGGCTGTTTCACTGGTTACTTTTGTAATGAAAAATGCACACAAAGGTTACGATGAGGACGATTAGCCATGAATCATTTTTAAAAAGCCTGAAAACAAGTCCCTGGGACAGTGCTGGCTTCGTTGGAGAGACAAGGCTCAGGGGAGTGGGTGCAGCTGGGGGTCGGGGTGGGGATCAGAGAAGGGACACATTCCTTATTGTGTTTCTGGGTCGCCTTCTTTTTTTTTGTTTGCTTTATTTATTTATTTATTTATTTTGAGACAGAGTCTTGCTCTGTTGCCCAGGCTGGAGTGCAGTGGCGTAATCTTGGCTCACTGCAACCTCCTCCTCTCGGGTTCAAGCAATTCTCTTGCCTTAGCCTTCTGAGTAGCTGGG
Organism: Homo sapiens; assembly: GCF_000001405.40. Taxonomy (NCBI): domain Eukaryota; kingdom Metazoa; phylum Chordata; class Mammalia; order Primates; family Hominidae; genus Homo; species Homo sapiens. The sequence goes on from NC_000022.11 coordinate 43,154,495, forward strand.
ATTACAGACGTGCGCCACCACACCAGGCTAGTTTTTTATTTTTAGTAGAGACGGGGTCTCACCATGTTGGCCAGGCTGGTCTCGAACTCCTGACCTGAGGTGATCTGCCTGCCTCAGCCTCCCAAAGTGCTGAGATTACAGGTGTGAGCCACCGTTCCTGGCCTTCTGGGTCACCTATAGGGAGGTCTCCAAGAACAGAAAGACACCCTGAAACCCACTGGCTCGACCACCACCTCATAGATGGGGACACAGAGGCTCAGGAGATGAGATACCTTGGGGCAGCGATGGGTCTGGGGTCTTCGGGCCAGGAGTGAAGCCTCACAAGACCTGGAGACCCTGGGTCCCACCCTCAGTGGGGAAGGGCTCAGATTCTGCAGGGCCCGATGCTCTGTGGGGGCTGGGATGTTGCCGCGGCAGGTGGAGAGAGTGATGCTACTGGCCCTGAGAGAACCTTCTGGCACCGTTCAGAGGTGGGGTGGAGTGGCCTGCGGGTCCAATCCTGGCGCCGCAGGCTCTATGAGCCCTGTTTCAGATGAGGAAGGAGGCTGAGACGGGCGGTGACACAACTCCTGGCAAGTGGTCACGCGGCCCAGAGCAGCCCGGCAGACACCCAGCTCAAAGGGAGGGGTGGGGTGGGTTTTGGAGTCACTCGGACCTAGAAAGTTCTGTGACTTCTCATGTCTCAGTTTCCTCATCTGGAAAATGGGACCAGTCACGAGTCCACCATGGAGGCCGAGTGGGCCGTGTGGCTCAGGGAGAAGCAGCTGGTCCCCTGTGGCTGCTGTGGGGACTGAACAAGGCGGTGACCGTCGGGATGAGCACGGACTCCACCACGCAGGCCCCTGCCTACCAGAGGCCTGTGCACAACCAGAGCTGAGCAAGGCTTGGAACCTTCTCCTGCCTCTACGTCCTGCGCCCTCTACCCTGCCCCGATCTTGCCCCTGTTTTGGGGGCGCTGCTCCGTGCAGGGCATTTTCACCTGTGGAGTGTCCAGGGGCTCTCGTGGCTGATAAGGTCTCGTCACAGGTCCAAGCCTTGAGGCCCTGTCTTCCCCTGGAGGAAATGGGGCTAGTGGCCCCACACTGATACCCACAACCCCTCTCTTCTCTGGAGTTTTCAGGGAAACGTTGTTGTCCCACCCCTTCCTCCCTTGAGCTACCCCAGCCCCCCAAGAAGCAGACACAGCGGGTTTACCCACCTGACGTTGGAGGAAGCCAGGCCCAGAGACGAGCCTTGGATGGAGGCAGAGCCGAGGTCTGGATCCCGATTCGCTTTCTGAAGGAGACAAATAAAGGGTGTATAGGTGGCTTCACCCCTCTGCCTGAGCCTGAGTCCTGTCCCTGCCATGTGTGCCCCCTGGCCTGGCCCACCCCAGCTTTCCCTGGACTCATCCCAGAGCAGATATCTGGATCCTGCCTAGCCTGGCTCAGCATGACTCATCATGGTGGGTACCGCCCCTGCCCACCTGTTCCCCATTTGGGCAATTCAGGAGCTGGGCAGTTCCCCAGAGGCCCTAGGAAACTCCCCGCCCCCGACCAGGCTTTCTCCTTGTGGGGCATCTGACCGCCTGTTTTCTGGTGGGGCAGACCCTCTGAGCCCCTTGGCCCTGTGGGTCATAACCACAGCCAGGCCTGAGAAGGGGGCAGCCTGGGGTGGGAGTGTGAGCACGGGACTCAGAACTGGCTTCAGACCCTGCTCTCTTGCTGTGGCCTTGGGAAAGCCACCATGCCTCTGTGACTTTTATTCGTTCCATACAACGGGGGACCTGGATGGTGGTCTCTAAGGCCCTGTCAGTGGGAACACTGGGTGAGTCCCATTGTGATTTCCTGGGGACCGAGTGTGTGCCTGGCCCTGGCTGGGTGCTGGAGCCAGGTGACAGAATCGTGGGGAGTTCTGCCACGTGCTACAAGGTGAGGACCTCTAGAACATGGCGCTCAGTGAAGGAAGCCAGACACGAGGGCCACACACTGCGTGATTCCATTGATACCAAATGTCCAGGATGGGCAAGTCCCCAGAGAGAAGTCAGATTGCTGGCGGCCAGGGGTGGGAGGGAGGGGGAGGGGAACCACTGCTGATGGATACGGGGTTTCTTTTAGGGGTTGAAAATGCTTTGGAACTTGATACAGAGGGTGGTTGCACAACATTGGGAATATACAAATGCTGCTGAATGGTGCACTTTAAAACGGTTAATTTTAGGCTGGGCACGGTGGCTCACGCCTGCACTGGGGGTTTCCATTTGTGGCATGAACATCACTGAAAGCGCACCAGCTTCCATGTCGTATCAAGGGGTTCGGGATGTCCACGTGTCTTATGCTGGTGGTATTAACCTTGCTCGCCTGGACAGGGACACCTGTGAGTGAGAGCAGGCCATTAGTGTGGGGCAGGTGGGCCTCAACTGAGGGTGTCCTGGGAAAAGGCACGTACAGGCACCCTGGTCCGGCTCGTTTCCAGTGGAGGCTGAACGAGGCTCCTTATGGTTCCCCCACAATGTCACTCAGCTGTGGACTCACGCAGGCTCCAGCAGAGCAGCGGTTATGTCTTGGTTGCCCAGATGAGCAGTAGGCTGAGCTGGCCTGGGCTTACCTGAGAGGATGTAGTGGGAGGCTGAGCTGGGAGGTGGTCCCAGGGCTGTGGTCCAGAGCTCCATATCCACTTGGCGGTGGTGCAGGGCCAGTGCTCAGCAGTACCTCCTGCCCCAGGGAGGGTGGCCTTTCATATGTGTAGTGACATCAGACCCCCATCCCCACCCCATGAGCACGTGTACCCTGGAAGCTGGAGGGCGGGGCAGGAGGGCGGGGCGGGGCAGGAGGGAGGGGCGGGGCAGGAGGGAGCGGGAGGGAGAACACAGGAACGTTTCTTGCCGGGACATAGGTCACATGCCCACCCCCCCAGAATGTCCATCCTTACTGCTCATTTTTGCAGCGACCTTGGGGGATGGGGTAACTGTCCCCATTCAACAGGCGAGAAAACTGAGGTCCAGGGAGGGGAGGGAATCATAGTAAGTGGCAGCACCGGAATCTGCTGGATGCCTGACACTCTGTTCCTTTAAAACGTGCCGGGCGCGGTGGCTCACGCCTGTAATCCCAGCACTTTGGGAGGCTGAGGCAGGCAGATCAACTCAGGTCAGGAGTTTGAGACCAGCCCGGCCAACATGGTGAAACCCTGTCTCTACTAACAATACAAAAATTAGCCCGGCATGGTGGCACATGCTGGTAATCCCAGCTACTTGGGAGGCAGGAGGCTGAGACGGGAGAATCCCCTGAACCTGGGAGGCAGAGGTTACAGTGAGCTGAGATCGCGCCATTGTATTCCACCCTGGGCAACAGAGCAAGACTCTGTCTCAAAAAAAGCGCATATCTATGTTATCCATTTTTTGCCAAAATTGGGGTCATTCTGTAGTCAATGTTATATTCTGCTTTCTTCGTGTTATGTTGAGAACAACTTTCTCGTTACTAGAAAGCCTTCAGAAGCTTGGTTTGTGGGGGGCCAGTCTTTAATAGTCCCTGGCTGCTGGGCACTGAGGTTGCTTCTGTGCTCACCCAGCTCCATGGATCCCAGGCCAGCAGCCGCCCCTTCTCCCTGGGGCCAGATTTGCCCTTTGCCCTTTGCCCCTGCCAAAGCCCAAGTTCAGCACAGTCTCTGCTGACACCCCTCTACCCCCGCTTGGCTGCCTCCATGTCCCCTGGACTGCTTGTCTCTCGTGTTCCCCTGGGACGAAAGTGCTCAGTATTCTTCCTGTGGCATCTCCTCCCTGGTCCCTGGTCAGAGGGTCCCTTTCTGAGGTCCAGGCTCCCTCAGCACCAGTCTGTGCCCACTCAGGGCCTCCCCAGCCCTGTGCCCCCCTGGGTCCTAGCCCTCGCCCCAGCAGGCCTTGCTGCAAGTTGGCAGAACTGAATCGGGTTGTGTGGCTTCTTGTCTCAGACAAGAGCAGACGACTCCTGATTCTCCACCTAGAATCAGAGTGAGTGGGAGCTTAGCCCTTTGTTTTTGGATGAGGTCAGGGTGGGAGCCATATTGCCACCAGGGCAGAGCCTGGGCCAGAGTGCAGTGTGGCCCCAGGCAGGCTGCTCTCTGTCTCCGGTGCATGGGGAAGGGGCGGTGGTTTTACTGGGGCCCGTGTGGGGTGCTGAAACAGCTGTGTAGAGACCTTCCTTGCTGCTGTGCACTGAGCTGTGCTCAAGGTAGGTGAGCATTGATATCCCACTCTACCGAGGGGGAAACTGAGGCCCTGAGTTGATGTGATTTGCCTGAGGTCACAGTGAGGCAGTGAGGAAGGGGATTAGACCCAAACTCTGTCTGATACCAGTCACCAAATGAATGAGTGAGTGAGTGAGTGAGTGAAAGGTGAATGTGAAGTGCTGGAACGTAAAGCACTGGCCTGGCAGAGCTCCCAGGACGGGGACTTGACCCAGGGAGGCAGGCTGGGAAGGCTTCTTGGTGGAGGGGACCCAAACTGGCCTTGGAAGAGAGGAGGGGTCAGTGCCAGAGACCCAAGGTCGAGGTGAGGGTGGGCAAAGGTGAGGCGAGGCAGCTGGGGCAGGAGCAAGGCTGGAAATGCGTTCACTCAGCCACTCCCACCCCGCACATCTCTGCGCCTCCTGATCAGCTGACTGGTTGATCTGTGGGTGACAGGCCTTTCGGGGATGCTGGAGGAGACACGGGCCTGACCCCATGGCCTCAGGAATGCCCTCACCCAGCCCTGTCTTCTCTTTCAGAGCTCCCCTGAACAGCAGCTGCAGCAGCCATGGCCCCGCCCTGGGTGCCCGCCATGGGCTTCACGCTGGCGCCCAGCCTGGGGTGCTTCGTGGGCTCCCGCTTTGTCCACGGCGAGGGTCTCCGCTGGTACGCCGGCCTGCAGAAGCCCTCGTGGCACCCGCCCCACTGGGTGCTGGGCCCTGTCTGGGGCACGCTCTACTCAGCCATGGGGTAGGTGGGCGTGCACTGGCCTGGGGATAAGCCTGGCCCTTTGCAAGGGGAGGCCTGGCCCAGGACAGAGGGTCTTCTCCAGGCGGGCCATGGACCATGGCATGGTTTCCCCAGCCCCATTTGGCAAGCCAGGGTGGGGAAGCTGTGGGCCTGTCGATTGCACAACTGAACTTTCTCCTCCTGGGCCCCTGGGGGGATGGGTCAGATGCTCACCCCACCCTGGCATCCCCGCCATGTTCACAGCTCCAGGCAGAGGCCGGCTTAGTGTGTGAAGGTTGGTCTTGGGCAGAGGCATGGACGCTAAGATTAACAACGGCAGCAACAGCCCCAAGAGCAGCTCCTTTGTTGAACGCCTGCCCAGTGCCAGGCTCGTCTCATTCATACTCAACGACCCCCATAATAAGAGGCCTCCCAAGGACACAGGGCTTGCAAGTGTGGACCCCCCACAGCCCCTTCAGGCTCAGTCTGGCCTGAGTCCCCTGGGAATAGACCAGGGGAATTCCACCCGGAAAGGACGTGCTGGGAGGGGCAGGGCGCCTCTTGGTGGCTGTAGCGGGGACCACACCCAGGAGGCAGGGAATTGACTGCCTTCTGAAATGTTCCCTGCATCCTGGTTCTGTGCCAGCGCAGTGCAGGGTGGGGACGCAGGTGCCAGGCACTCTAGGGGGCGGATAGCAGAGGCCAGGCCAGGTGCCCGGCTCTGATGGGAATAAGGCCCTGGAACTTGGGTGTCACGTGGGCCTCACCCCTCCTGGCCCAGGCCCTGCCCAGCCAGGGTCCTGCACTTCCCTGGCTCCAGTGTCCCCACCCTGCTTGGCCTTCCTACACCACCCAGTCCCAGCCTCTCTTCGGGGGAAATTTTGGGGCTCCCTGTGGCTCTGGATAAGGCGAACCCCTCATTAGTAGGTGACAGCCGGGGCTCTGGCCCTGGCTGACCAGACTTTATCCACTGATGGCCTGCCAAGAGATCTCAGTCACTTCACCGCCTCAGTCTCCTCACTGTAAAGGGGGTGCTGATACTGCCTGCCTTATGGCATCATCATGAGACTGAAATGAGTGAATGCTTGGGAAGTGGTAGGGCCTGGCTCCTGTGAGTGCTGGAGGGCATCGGCTGCTGTTACTGGTGGTGTTATCGTTGCCCTGTGTTAACAGCTCCCATGATCAGGCCTCCCCCTGGACCTCACCCTGCAGTCACAGACTGACTCAGGGTCTCACATCTGCCTCAAAGCCTTTGCATGTCCTGTTTCCTCCCCTGGAAAACTCCTATTCATCATTTAAGGCCCAGGCCAAATGTCCCATCCTCTATGCAGTGCCCTGGCTAGGTTAAGAGCCTCCTCTCTACCTATTCACACCATGTGCTTCCCTTTCATAGCAGTGACAGTGATAATAATGGCAGGTATTTACTGAGTGTCCTAAATGCTGGGTATCGCATGAAGCACTGCCAATGTGCTAACTAGAATCTCTACAGCAACCCTATGAAAAATGAAGGCCCAGACAGGTCAAGCAACTTCCCTGAGATCACACAGCAGTCAGTGTCAGGTCACGTATGAACCATCACTGTGCCACTCGGAGGTGGGCAACGCTCCTGGCCTTGTTCCTAATGGTGCTCTGAACTGCGGCCTCTGTTTCAGGTACGGCTCCTACCTGGTCTGGAAAGAGCTGGGAGGCTTCACAGAGAAGGCTGTGGTTCCCCTGGGCCTCTACACTGGGCAGCTGGCCCTGAACTGGGCATGGCCCCCCATCTTCTTTGGTGCCCGACAAATGGGCTGGGTAAGTGTGGCCACAGCATGTGTCCCTGATCCCTGGATCCGACCCTTGGAGGACGTGGGGCATCACATATGACACTGGGTCAGTGTCTATAGGCGGGGCCAGGGGAGACAAAAGGCCATGTCTCTCTAGCTGTAAGCAGCCCACACCCTGGAGCCTCCCCTCTACTGACTCCTCCGGTGAGGGAAGCTATTAAAGCAGAAGGGGTTGCAGGGGTGGGTTTGGGGGCCACTGTGTAGGAAAACCCACACGAAGCCTGGTACTGTGTGGGCAGGGTCACTGGCCCCTCTACATAACAGCTTCTTCTTTTTTTTTTTTGAGACAGAGTCTCACTCTCTCACCCAGGCTGGAGTGCAGTGGTGAGATCTCGGCCCACTGCAACCTCCACCTCCTGGGTTCAAGTGATTCCCTTGCCTCAGCCTCCCGAGTAGCTGGGACTACAGGTGTGCACCACCACTCCTGGCTAATTTTTGTATTTGTATTTGTATTTTTTTAGTAGAGATGGGGTTTCACTATGTTGGCCAGGCTGGTCTTGAACTCCTGACCTCAGGTGATCTACCCGCCTTGGCCTCTCAAAGTGCTGGGATTACAGGTGTAAGCCACCGCGCCCGGCTGACTGCTTCTTTTTTAAAGTTTTAAACTTTTTTAAGAGATGAAGACTCGCTGTGTTGCCCAGGGCAGACTCGACTTCCTGGGCTCAAACGATTGATTCTCCCGCCTTTACCTCTTGAGTAGCTGGGACTCCAGGTCACGTCACTGTGCCCGGCAGCCTTTTTTTTTTGAGACAGAGTCTTACTCTGTTGCCCAGGCTGGAGTGCAGTGGCATGATCTCGGCTCACTGCAGACTCCACCTCCCAGGTTCAAGTGATTCTCCTGTCTCAGCCTCCCGAGTAGCTGGGATTACAGGCATGCAGCACCATGTCCAGCTAATTTTCTGTATTTTTTTTTTTTTGAGACGGAGTCTCGCTCTGTTGCCCAGGCTGGAGTGCAGTGGCGTGATCTCAGCTCACTGCAACCTCCGTCTCCCAGGTTCAAGCAATTCTCCTGCCTCAGCCTCCTGAGTAGCTGGGACTACAGGCACGTGCTACCACGCCTGGCTAATTTTTTTATTTTTAGTAGAGACGGGGTTTTACCATATTGGTCAGGTTGGTCTTGAACTCCTGACCTCAGGTGATCCACCCGTCTCAGCCTCCCAAAGTGCTGGGATTACAGGCGTGAGCCACTGCACCTGACAAATAGCAAGTTTTTGTTTGGGCCTTGTAGTAATGCTGGGAGGTCAGCATCGCTCTCAGTGGAGGCTCTAAGCTCAGAGAGGGGAAGGGACGTGCAAGACCTCCTAAGCCACCACCGCACCCTTGAACAAACCGAGTTCACTTCAGGCATGTCATGTGCACCCCACACAAGGCATGGGTCAGGTGGCATGACTGTTCCCATTTTACAGATGAGGAAACTGAGGCTGCGATGGGGGAGGGGCTTGGCCAGGTCACTCAAGGGTGGAGTGGGGGTGAGTGAGGCTCCTGACTCCCAAATCCAGTGGGAGTTGGGCAGTGGGACAGGCACTTGGGTGAACGCGGTGCCTCAGGCCTCCCCATCCTCCGTCCCCCAATCTCTGCAGGCCTTGGTGGATCTCCTGCTGGTCAGTGGGGCGGCGGCAGCCACTACCGTGGCCTGGTACCAGGTGAGCCCGCTGGCCGCCCGCCTGCTCTACCCCTACCTGGCCTGGCTGGCCTTCACGACCACACTCAACTACTGCGTATGGCGGGACAACCATGGCTGGCGTGGGGGACGGCGGCTGCCAGAGTGAGTGCCCGGCCCACCAGGGACTGCAGCTGCACCAGCAGGTGCCATCACGCTTGTGATGTGGTGGCCGTCACGCTTTCATGACCACTGGGCCTGCTAGTCTGTCAGGGCCTTGGCCCAGGGGTCAGCAGAGCTTCAGAGGTGGCCCCACCTGAGCCCCCACCCGGGAGCAGTGTCCTGTGCTTTCTGCATGCTTAGAGCATGTTCTTGGAACATGGAATTTTATAAGCTGAATAAAGTTTTTGACTTCCTTTACCATGGCCTTTTTGCTTGGGTGGGACCCCTGGCCACAGGGAAGAGGGGGAGCTGGGGCTGCACTGGAGCTCGTCTCTGCAGGATCTGCCTGGGCTGCCTTCTCCAGACAGGGCTGGATCCAGCTGGGGCTGCCCCACGCTTCCTGGGACGCTCCCGAAGCCCTGCAGGAGATGAACAGAGCAGCCCTGGGTGCCACCCTGGGGCCCACACTGGCGCAGACCCAGCTGGGGCCGTGGGCTTCAGCAGAGGGAGGGGGTCCTGTCCGCTTCCCATGGCTTCCGGGATGCTCAGCCCGGGCCCTTTAATGGCCGGGCCCACAACCACTGTTCGACGCCTGGTCCTGCCCAGTGCGTGGCCCTCAGCTGCTTTTACCCAGGACAGAGTTGGGGGTGCTGACTGCCCTGTCCCCCGGGGGCCCAGGCTTATGGCAGCCTCACTGCACCAGGGATAGCCCCGCAAACACCCAGTTGGCTCGAGGGGGAGTCAGAGGCAGGAAAGGTTAGGTCCCGACTCCAGCAGACAGGGCCTCCTTGCTGGCCCAGAGCGGCCAGGATTGGAGGTGTCACAGCCACTCACTCCCTCACCCCGGCTTCGAACTGGGTGACCCATGGCCTCTCCAGGCAGCTGTTTGGAGTAAATGAGCCGAGTCCCATACGCAGCACTCCTCCGTCTTGCTCTCGGTCACCACACCCATGCAGCACTCAGCAACACAGCCCGCGGCTCCCTCCCCTCGGCCAGGCCTGACCTGCCGGGCTTTTTGTTTTTTGTTTTTGGCAGCTAAGTTCATTCAAATTGGCAAAATGTTCATAGACAGCTCGTCATCACTCAACAGCCCGCGGCTGCTGCTTCCTCTTTTCTCCCCCGGCTCCTGTGTCCTCTCCCGACCTGTACGCTCAGACACAACCTGACGTTCACAAAAGCTTGGACACAGTGGCTCACACCTGTAATCCCAGCACTTTGGGAGGCTGAGGCGGGAGGATTGCTTGAGGCCAGGTGTTTGAGACCAGCCTGGGCAACATAGGGAGACTCTTGTCTATACCATCCACTCTGGTGCACGCACAACACACACACACACACACACACACACACACACACACACGAAAGAACGAACAGCTCAGGGAAATGGGTAGACAGTCGACTGCATTCTTCTGACAGAAGGGATGGCTCCCGCCCAGGGGCTGCGCTACTCCACCCTGACCCTCAGCCTCCCGCTCCCTTGACTCTGGCAGAGTTTGATGCCCAACAGATCACGCTCTGCAGGATCCAAAAACTCTGCGGCCACGGGCACTCAGCTGAGCCCTCAGCCCTCATGGCTTTCCCGATGCTCACCGGTGCAGAGGAGCCAGCTGGGGAGCCTCTGTGTATCCTTTTTATTAACTTATTTCTGAAGTTCTCCAAGACGCCCAGAGTTGAATTCCTCCAGAGCTCTGTGCAGACAGTCCAAGCAGCGGATGGCAGAGAGGTCCTTGCTAGCAAGAAACTTACAGGCCAGGCTGTCTCCTGCTCCAGCATGCCGGTGAGCATGCACCGTCCCCGCAGGGCACAGGGGTATCCTTTGAAGTGTCAAGGGACACCTGAGTCCGTGCCAGACACTTAGGGATTGGAGAAAGTGCAACCCAGACTTCTGCCATCTCCGCAACTCGTGGGGTTGTTCATCTGTAACAAATGTCCCACATAGCTCCTGCTGGCCACAAAACACGCACTGCCACAAAACGCCTTGGAAAAATGGGCGAGAGGAGAACGCATTTAGCATTTCGTCTGCCGGCTTCCTTTTAACAGCCTGGCGACGTTTCCCCAGGAAATGCTCGTAACAGACAGCATTCTCTCCTTTTCTAAGCTGCTGTCATCCACTGGGAACTTAAGGTTTTGATGCTTTCTGAGTGGGTTTATTTATTATTTTTTTTTGAGACAGTCTTGCTCTATCGCCCAGGCTGGAGTGCAGTGACGCCATCTTGGCTCACTGCAACCTCTGCCTCCCAGGTTCAAGTGATTCTCCTGCCTCAGCTTCCAGAGTAGCTGGGATTACAGGTGTGTACCACCATGCCTGGCTAATTTTTGTATTTTTAGTAGGATGGGATTTCAACACATTGGGCAGCCTGGTCTCCAACTCCTGACCTCAAGTGATCCGCTCGCCTCAGCCTCCCACAGTGCTGGGATTACAGGCGTGAGCCACTGTGCCTGGTCAATTCCGGCTTTGGATGGCTTCTTAACACAGTGATGAGGGTGCAAATGAGTACCAGGAAGAAGTATTTAGTGGGATAAACATCTCCCGGCAACTGCCTCAGCACCTGGAGCCGGCTGGTCTTCCGGCTCATGAAGTCCCTGGCTCTTGGCCTTCCTTGGGGGTGTCCATTTGCAGTGAGCAGAGGTGCAAGGACATGTGGGGACAGAGAATAGCCATCTACAATCATGGAAAGCCTGGACCATGTGGTCTTGATTCTGGGGGCTGTCCCAGCTGCTCCCTGGGCAGGACTATCTCCTGGGCACCAGGTTTTAAGTGAGCTGGGAACTAGTGAGAGCACCAGCTGTTAAGCTTCTGGACAGAGTCCGTGTGAGCATCAGTCCTGAGACCTGCCCTGGAAGGGAGGCTAAGGAGAGAAGCAGCACAGTCCACAGGCAGCCTGCCTCAGGGCCGCTCTGCCTTCCGCTTTTTTTTTTTTTTTTTTTTTGAGACGGAGTCTCACTCTGTCGTCAGGCTGGAGTGCAGTGGTGTGATCTTGGCTCACTGCAACCCCCGCCTCCTGGGTTCAAGCGTTTCTCCTGTCTCAGCCTCCTGAGTAGCTGGGACTACAGGCGCGCACCACCATACCCGGCTAATGTTTGTTTTTTTTTGTATTTTTAGTAGAGACAGGGTTTTATCATGCTGTCTGACTGTCTCGATCTCTTGACTTTGTGTGACCTGTTCTCTGTCCTGCCTCGGCCTCCCAAAATGCTGGGATTATAGGCGTGAGCCACCATGCCTGGCCTGCCTTCTGAGTCTTAACCTCCTTGGTCACCATGTGGCGCTGCTTCCACCCACTGACGGTGTCCATGCACCTGCTCAGCAGTGGCCCGAGGAGCCCTGCAGACGCCCCAGCAGCCAGGGTTTCTCACCGTCCCCACCCCAGGACAAGGAGGCAAGTGTGGGGAGGCTGCTATCTCCAGGGCCACTAGAGCTGTGGGGCCACTCGAGGACCGAGGCTCCCGGCCGGCTTGGAAACAGATCCAGCACATGGAAATCAGACTGTGGGGTGGAGGCCTGCGATATAAAGGCCATCTTATTTCTTCTCCCACTTTTTGTGGGTGACTTCTTGGTATCCGGGGCTTTTCAGTGACAGCCGGGGCGACAGGCCAGGCTGAGCCTGTGGCTCCAGGGTCCAAAGAGAAAGGAGGGCAGAAATAAGAGAAGATGGCCTTTATTGCAGCACGAACTGAGGGGGACTGCATGTCCACAGCTCTCCAGGAGCTGCCAAAGGCGACGGGCCCGCCCTGCCCCTGCAACAGGCCCTCCAGGGGCTAGAGCATGGCTCCCCTCAGGAAGGGTAACGCGTGCTTGTAAACAAGGGCCCAGACAACACAGAGAGGAGAGGCAGCATCATCAGGTGCAGCTTTGCTACAAGAAAGATAGTTCTTAATTTCAAAGAGGAGACACCGCTACACCTAGCCCTGCCCTCCCATGCACTGGAAGGCTCTGGAAGTAGCTCTCGCCTGCCTGGGCAGTTAGGTCCACCCACTGCCCGTGAGCTGGGCCCAGGCACACTGCAGCCACACAAAAACGCTGGCAGCTGACTCCTAATTTCAGAAACACAATTAGAAAAGAACTGGAATTTTACATTTTTCTCCCATACATTAAAAAATAAGAAAAAGCCAACATTTTGACTGTAGACCCTGGTAGGTGGCATCTGACTTTAACCTGAAGTTCTCATTGGAATCCTTTTCTGTCTGGCGCTCCACCGCCCACAATCAGCCCCAGCCCCAGGCGCCCCTTGCCGAAGGATCCTGGCCCATCTCACACAAGGGCGGGACCCCGTGGAGTGCCCGGCGAGCAGGGCAACCACTGGGAAGACAGATACTGATTTCCCTGTTGGGGTCTGTGACCCTCAGCAAACGAAAAGGAAACGGTAACAAGACGGTGGCCTCCTGCCAGGACCTCAGCAGGAGGTTTGCTGGTGAAGGTTCTGGGTGAGCTGGAATGGGTGATAAGGCGGGCTTGCTGGGTGGTGGCCTCAGGCTGTTCCTGGGCCCCTGTCGCATAGAGCCCTGTGGGTGCAGTGTGGGGCCCCACAGCCGTCCCGGGGTCGTCCTGATGCATAAGAGCAGAGACCCCGGAAGAGAAACCCGCCTGCCCCGTGTGATACAGGGCTCCCAAACGCTTCCCGGTGGAACCCTGCTCCCGAGGACACCTTGTCTCGCTCCACGGAACCCTTCCCCCAGCACCCCCTGGAAACACAGCAGCCAGGAACAAATTCTCCATGCCAGGAACAAAGCCCTTGGCTAAACTGGAGACTCATCAGTGCACAGATGGTGGTGAGGGGTGAGGGCAGGGCGTGGGGTGGTGCTCAGCCCTGGGGACACCATCACTGTCCTGCTCTGACCCACAGGTGAGAGGAGGATGCTGTGCTCCCGGAGTGTGGCGCCGGGAGGATGGCTCGGCAGGACAGAGGCCTGGGGCTGAGGCTATGCCCAGGGCCGGTGTGGGGAGGGACATGGGGGCCTTTGCAGAAGCAGCTCAGAGAACTGAGGTTGGAATCCTGCCCCAAGCACAGGTTTTGGGGACAGCGAGTGCCTAGACAAGGCAGGTAACGTGGCAGCCACCGGGCTGGTCCAGAAACAAGGTGCTGAAGACGTCGTTGAAGAAGGTGGGGTGGTACCTGCAGGCTCGCTCACAGTCGGGGTTGAAGTTCACCTCCAGGATCTGCGGCTGCATCACCCGCCTTCCTGATGGCAAAGAGCGCAGCAGAGTGTGAAGGCTCGTTGGCCTCCACTCTGCAGGGACAGTGGCCTGGGGATCCAGCAAAGGCTGGGAGGCCATGAACCTGGGCCCTGATTCCCAGGGGATGAGCAGGACAAGGCCGGGCCTAGAACTTGGGTCTCTTGACTTTGCTGGGGAGGCCTGGCCTGACATCTGCTTCTCTAGGAGAGGCCAGGGCTGCCTCCAGCCCTAGGGATGACAGCCTGGCCCTTTAAGCTTGGATGTTCAGTTTAGTAAAAAAAAAAAAAAGTAGATATGCAGCAGCAGTGTACTGTGTGGGGGTCTGGCACAGGGAAGGCCAGCCAGGGTGGTGTGGGTTGGGGTCAGGGTGCCTTTCACACGGGTCTCCTGTCCTGTGAGCTCTCCCCCGACTCAGAGGCCCAACCCGCAGCCTTTCCCCTCCAGACTCTGCACCGCAGGCACTTCCTGTGGGCCAAGCCAGGGCTTTCCCCAACCCAGATTCCTGGCTGATTCAAGCCAGAGGACAGCCTGGGGCAGCTGCCTGCCTTCTCCAGGCTGTGGCTGGCTGGCGGAGGGGGCGCCTGCTGGTTTGGATCAGGAGATGGGGAGCCCCTCTTACCATCTGGGCCGTTGTCCCACTTCAGCATGAGGTCGACGGCATACATGGCCCGGGATGAGGGGTAGTCGCAGAGGCCCAGGGGTGGTGGCTTGGCACAGGCCACCTGGAACAGCTCCGTGAAGGCCCGGAAGATCTCAGCCTGGGGACCGGGGAGCCTGAGTTACGAGGCCTGCTCAGAACAGCCTCTCAAGAGGGGGTCTGCTGCCCCTGCCCAAGTCCCGGGCCCCACGTGGCCCAAGTCACCCCCTCCCACATCTTCACGTCTCTAGACCTCACCATGGCCACCTCCGCCCAGCACCTGCCCTCTTACTCCTGACGCCCACCTTCTGCAAATCTGCCCATCTCCTGCCGCAGACCCCGTTGCTCCCCACTGCCCCAAGGAGCTCAACACAGCACCCAGAATGCCGCTGCTGGACATGGAGGCCCAGCCAACGTCTCCATATGACTGGGAATCTAGGGTCAGGCAGTGCCGCCACCCTCTGGCTGTCCCAGGGGTGCCCCACATGCCCCTCCAGCTCCCTCCCTCTCAGGAGCACCCACAAATGCCCAGGGTGGAAGGGAGGGGAGCCCACGCTGTCTTGCCAGCCTCTGGGGAGAATGACCAACTGCAGGGGACAAAGGTCCCTCCCAGCCCATGCCAGCAGAGAGGGAAGGGAGCAGCTCCTGCAGGCCCCCAGCCCGGGACCCGCCCCACCGGCCTGCGATGGTGTGCAGGACAGGAATTACCTGGACGTCCGTCCAGGGAAATTCTGGGTATTGCTTCTCAAACTCGGGGATGAACTCTTCACAGTGCACCTGCAACAGACACAGGGCCCATCACGCTCTGTACAGGCCTCCGCTGGGCCGGGAGCAGGCAGCCTGCTACTGCCTGGACCAGGAGCTTCTGACACTGGGTGGGGGTTCCAGGAGCAGGCAGCCAACCCCGAACCCTCAGGGTCCAAACAGGAGGCAGGAGATGGAGTCTGGGCTCCAGGTCTTACTGTGTGACTCTGGACCAACGGATTAACTTCTCTGAGCCTGTTTCCTCCTCTGTGAAATGGGAAAATGTGCTCTGCCCAGTAAACTGACTTTGCCACGCAGCTGTGAGGCTCACGCGAGACAATGAACATCGAGGGCTCCAGAAACTGCAGGGCCTGGGCTGGCACCATCCTCACACTCAGCTCAGTACAGTGCGAAGGAGGCAGAGCTCAAGACTCCGCCGCGGGACCTGCCTGTGCCCTGGTTCAGCACCAGCTCAAGAGTGCTTGAGGGATGCAAGATCTTTCTGGCCTCAAGACTTTACCCAAAACACACCCGAGGAAGGTGGCAGTCGGCTCAGGTTTCTCCCAGAAAAGAACAAGCCAGGAAAGGCCCCTATGGAAGCCCGCCATCCATGCCATGCTGGACGTACCTCCCCAGGCACAGAGCTCCAGGAGAGGACTCCCGGGATGACCCCCACAGTACAGAAGGGAGGGGCTCAGAACCTGAGGGCGACTTCCAACAATGTCCTGGGGCCCTGCTGGGGGGTCTGGGTCCTAGGGAGTAGGCTTCAACACAGGCAAGGATAAGACAGACAGAAGCAACAGGACCACTCGGCCCCTGTGGGGAGTGTGTGCTGGTATAGTCACCAGTGCATGGCAGGGCCCTTTCTCCAAGTCCTCCTAGAGGACTCCTCGGACATGGGCATGGCCAGGTGCCTCCACGCATGTTCACGCGCCATGATTTATCATTAGTGAAGACCTCAGATGACCAATCGCCGCCACAGTTAGCAACAAGCCCGAACCTCAAAACCTCAAAACACGCCACTCAGCCAACAAAGCAAGCTGCAGAAGGATCCGTTGAATAAGATGATATTTACATAAAAACCTAAGTAGGAGGCCGGGCATGGTGGCTCACGCCTGTAATCCCAGCACTTTAGGAGGCTGAGGCAGGCGGAGCGCTTGAGTCCAGGAGTTTCAGACAAGCCTGGGCAACATGGCGAAACCCCGTCTCTACTAAAAATACAAAAAAATTAGCCGGGCGTGGAGGCACGTGCCCGTAGTCCCAGCTACTTTAGGGGGCTGAGGCAGAAGGATGGCTTGGGCCCAGGAGATTGAGGTTGCAGTGAGCCCAGATCATGCCTCCGCACTCCAGCCTGGGTGACAGCGTGAGACATTGTCTCTCAAAAAAACAAAACAAAACAAAAAACCTAAGTAAGCAAAACAGCAGCTTGAATGGTCAGGAACATACTCCTGCTGAAAAGAACCAAAGACATGCCTGGGAATGACAGCCACACGTTCAGGGGTCGGGGAGCGTTGGGGCTGGCTGCATGGGGAGTCCGCGGCACCTGCAAGGCTGGCGACAGGCAGGGTGGGGTAGGTGTTCTGTGCATCTGAAACACTCATTAACCAGCCAGGCCACAGAGGCCTTCCAGGACTTCCTTTCTTCCTTCCTGTACCCAGAGCTGGCCTCCTGCTTCTGTGCAGGCTGTGCCTACCTGTCCACGTACACTGGCTGGCCAGCTCTGGTTTCTCGCCCCCACCTTGGAAGGGCCTTTGTCCAGATGCCCCTGAGCTCCAGGTGCTCAGATGGTGCAGCTGCCATTCACTGAGTGCCCACTGCATGGGGCACCGCTCAACACTGTGCACCAGGGAGGACAGGAGGTCCTAGACCCGGGCAGGGTCACGGGCCAGCAGCCAGCCGGACCAGGTGGGGCCTCCCCGCCCCCGCCTGCCCTGGCACTCACAGGGTGGTCTGCTTTTCCGGTTGAAGTGGTGGTGAGGAGTAAGCCCCGGCTGGGAACACACTGTCTCAACCTGCTGCTGGACCCATCCCCCTCTGTGTCCACATTATCTCAAACACAGCCAGTGGCCCTCTGTGCCGTGGGGAGACCTACCTGAGACAACACAGAACCCAGCCTGGCTCATGATGGCAGCGCTAACAATCGCCTTCCATAGCAGGAACTCAGGAGGCGGCTCCTGGGACTGGCCTGTGTGCCAGTCCTCCTAGGAGGCAGTGTGGGCGGGGTGGGGTCGGGTGTGCCCTGGCCTCTGTGTGAACCTGCTCTGCACCTCCCTCAGGCCCTACCTGCTTCAGCACCACATCCGGGTCATAGTTCATGACCGTGAAGTGCTTCTCGTAGTCATCCAGGTCGTTGAGTGCAAAGGCCCTGGAAGACAAGTGTGCAGACACATATGGGTTCTTGAGCGGCCTTGTCCCTGCGAGGGAGGTGCCACCCACTCAGCCTTCCCAACTAGGGGTTCAGGGCTCAGGGCAGGACCACCTGCTGCTCAGGCGGGAGCCTGTTCCCTTGTCTGTGTGGCTGGGGGAGCCCCACAGCCCCACTGAGCTGGGGTGGAGGTGAGTGAGGTGCTAGCTGTGAAGCCTCTGCAGGTCCATAAAAATGGCACCTGGTTCTCATGTTGGTGCCCATTTTACAAAGAATGTTCACATCCATTACTGTGGGCAACACCAGAACTCTGAGGTGGGCAGGGCAAGTCACCGCCAATTAACACCAAGGGAGATGGGCTCCAAGGGCCGCTAGCTGGGTGAGTGATGGAGGGTGCCTTCCAACAACATTTTCTGATTCCAAAAAGGGCCCATCACCCACCCGCTACCTCCACCCGGTCACCCAGCTCCCCGACCCTGGACCCAGCCGGCCCTCCACTTACCGGTTGGAGAACCGCAGCCAGAACACATCATACACGAACAACCGTAGGGGCCTCACTGACCGCAGCAGCACGATGTAGCGGATGTCGAACTTGACCTTTCCCACGTCTTCTCGAAGGAACAACACGGGACTTTCGATGTACTTGGACACAACCTGGAGGACACAGGTGCAAGCTCGCTGGTGGCCAGGACAGAGCCCCCTGGGGCTCCCGAGCACACAAAGCCACGCAGGGGGCACAGACATGGCTGCACTTTACTCCTCCTTCTGCCTTTTCAAACCTGCCTAAGTTGCTGCAAAGTCTTTTTTTTTTTTTTGAGACAGAGTTTTGTTCTGTTGCCCAAGCTGGAGTGCGGTGGCACAATGTTGGCTCACTGCAACCTCTGCCTCCCGGGTTCAAGCGATTCTCCTGCCTCAGCCTCCTGAGTAGCTGGGATTACAGGTGCCCGCCACCACCCCCAGCTAATTTCTGTATTTTTAGTAGAGAAGGGGTTTCTCCATGTTGGCCAGGCTGGTTTCGAACTCTTGACCTCAGGTGATCCGCCCACCTTGGCCTCCCAAAGTGCTGGGATTACAGGTGTGAGCCACCGCACCCTGAAGCAAAGTCTTTATATCCATTTTTAATTGAAATGAAATATAAATTCTCACCCATAATTCCATCCACCCCCATCCCATGGCCTGAAGTCTCCACGACAATCGTCCTCATGATGCATTTCCCGCCAGCCTCTGACTATGTACACAGTCCAGGCAGATCCTGTGTCCTGCAATCCCAATACTGCTTCTGGATGTCCCCTCACTATGAATCTTTACCACGGCTCTGAGAGGCTCCTTGTCCAGGCTCAGCCACCTCACCCTGCTGGGCAGCCATACCTGGCACACTATGTGGTAGGAACTTTGCGATTAGACGCACCCAGGACAGTTCTTTTTTTAAAGACTGGGTCTTGCTCTGTCGCCCAGGGCGGAGTGCAGTGACGCGATCACAGCTCACTGCAGCCTCAACCTCCCGGGCTCAAGTGATCCTCCTGCCTTAGCCTCCTGAGAAGCTGGGACTACAGGTGTGTGCCAACATGCCCAGATAATTTTTAAAGTTTTTTCCCTTGTAGAAACGAGGTCTCCCTATGTTGCTCAGGTTGGTTCCAAACTTCTGGGCTCAAGTGATCCTCCTCCACTTCCCAGAGTGCTGAGATTACAGGTGTAAGCCACCCTGCCCAGCCTGGACCTGTCCATAAGGACCATGATGCTCGGTCCCCTTAGCCCCACCTCTCACTGTCCAGCCAGGGCCCTGAGCCCTGGGGCTCCTGGTCTGCGGGGCCCACCTTGGGGGTGCTCTCTCGGTGCCGGATGATGCTGTGCAGGCTCTTGGTGACGTGGGTGTCCAGGCTGCGCGCCAGGTTCCAGGGCTTGCAGATCCAGTGGTTGTCCTCGCCCCTGGGGAGCAGAAGGGCTGTCTGGGGGGCGCCTGGGGCCTGTGTTCCCAGATGGTGCCACCCCAGGACCCAGAGGCAGAAGAGGGCAGCCCACTTCTCCTTGGGAGCTGAGGGGGCACCAGAGAGCTGTCAGAGGCAGGGGCATGGGAAACAAGGAGGGGTTTGCCAGAGGCCAGGCAGCTGCGCTGCGGTGGAGAGGACAGCCCCAGCAAAAACCTGGAGAGGTCCTGCGGTCCGTGAAGACGGCCGTGACGTTCGGGGCCCACAGCTCGGCTCCTGCACCACGGTTTCCACAGTGGGTGCTCATGGAGGAGCAGGCGGACACAGACGCTGGGCCGGGGAAAAGGGCCATGGAGCACACCGATGCCGTGTCTGGGACTTACCACCTTTCCCGCTGCTGGAAGTAGCTGACAAACTGGGGCAGCTCAGTGCGCAGGTTGAAGGTTCGGGGCAGCCAGGGTGGGCCCTCGGGGCCACCTGCCCGGCGCGCGATGGAGGCCAGGCAGTCCTTGACAGTCAGCAGGTTCTCGCAGGGGAACTGGTTCAGCAGCACGCCTGGCCTCTCCTGGCTGAGTTTCCTGCAGGGCGGAGGCAGGTGCGCCAGCTCAAGGGGAGGCCGGCAGTGCCTAGAAGCCCTGACTGGGAGGGCCCCTGCGGCCAGAGGTGCCCTCACCTGTAGTCCTTGAAGTGTGAGAAGTTGAAGAGGATGTCGGCGTCCGCCTCACTCTGGGTGAGGGTGAAGCGCGGGTGGGTGAGGCTGCTGGCCACCTGCTGCACGTCCGTGTAGACCCTGTGGGGAGAGCCCGAGCTGGGTGATCCCGGCTCCCAAGTGTCCAAGCGGGACTCCAGCACTAGCCCTGGCTCAGGGACTCCCTTCCCTGTTTTGAAGCTAATGAGGCAGAGGCAAGTCCTGGGTTCGAGTCATGATGCTGGACAGCCCGGGTTCAGACCCCGCTCCCTCCAATCTGCTGAGGGAGGGGCGCAACCTGTACCCTTGTGACCCCTGGTTCCCCATCCGCAGGACTGGACCACACCGTCCACCTCACATTTGTCATTAAAATTAAATGGCATAATTTGGGTGTTTATTATGTGCTAGTTCTTTCCTCTCACATGCAAAACAAGAGGATGAGGCTGGGGCCACCAATCTCAGACAGGCACACCAAGGGCCTCCGTGAGGCCTCTGCCCCAGAGGAGGTGGAGGGACCTTAGGCCCTGGCCAGGTCACCACAAGACTCACGTCTCAGCAAGAGCCCCTGGGCTGCCCAGCTGGGGCAGAGGCCAGCAGGGAGGAAAGCCCTCAGGCCCGGTGGAGGGGGCAGAGTGGAGCAGCCTGCCTGTTCTTGGCTAGACCAGGTTTGGGCAGCCAAGGGGAGTGTCTGGGAGCCTCAGGGAGGGGCTCCTGTGAAGGCTGAGGTGGAATCTGCTCTGCATCTCTGGGTCCTCACCTGTGCCTGCTTCTGCAAGGTGTCCCGCCTGGACCTGCCGGCCTGGCTTTCCTTAACTCAACAGCCACACCTGCAGCCTCCTGGGAGGGGCCCCTACTGGCAGCCCGGGTGCCTGTTGTGGGTGCCCAGCATGTTCCTGGCCAGCAAAGGCTCCCTGCTGTGGGGAGGGCTGGCATGCACAGGCCTGGCTAGTGTCGGTTTCCAGGACTGGATGAGCATCGTATCCAGGTAAGCGGAGCAGCCCCATGACATGCAAGGTTGGTAACAGGACCCCTTGGTGCCCAGAGGACAGGGGTGGGATGGGGACCAGTGGTGGCCAACGCTTCTGCCCAGGGGGCCCTTTACCCACTCACTGCCAGCATTTCCATGGCCTATTCCTATTTTTAACTTTCAAAGATGAATTTATTTTATTTTTTTTTAAGGAGTCTTGCTCTGTAGCCCAGGCTGGAGTGCAGTGGCCCGATCTCAGTTCACTGCAGGCTCTGCCTCCCAGGTTTCAAGTGATTCTTCTTCCTCCTTGGCCTCCCGAGTAGCTGTGATTACAGGCGCCAGCCACCATGCCCTACTAATTTTTTTTTTTTTTTTTTTTGTATTTTTAGTAGAGACGGGCTTTCACCATGCTGGCCAGGCTGGTGTTGAACTCCCGATCTCAGGCGATCTGCCTGGTTTGGCCTCCCAAAGTGCTGGGATTACAGGCATGAACCACTATGCCTGGCCTCATAGGTGAGGTGTGAAACCTGGGAGGTGGAGGTTGCAGTGAGCTTAGATCGTGCCACTGCACTCCAGCCTGGGTGACAGAGACAGACTCTGTCTCAAAAAAAAAAAAATCTCCAGAAAGCCCTGCTCGCTCTCTCACTTTCTG
Source organism: Homo sapiens (assembly GCF_000001405.40). NCBI lineage: Eukaryota > Metazoa > Chordata > Mammalia > Primates > Hominidae > Homo > Homo sapiens. Next base: position 43,176,133 of record NC_000022.11, read on the forward strand.
CGGCATTTTCTCTGGGGTCCCAAGAACTCCACTCCCTGCACGTGTCACTGCTGTGCCCAGACAGGATGCGGCTGACTTGCTGCGTGCCACGTGCCAAGCACTGTTCTGGGGCTGTGGGAACCACGAAGCATGGGAGGCGGGGACTGCGGACAAGTCCCAGCCCAAGCAGTGGGGGGGGGCTACGCACTTGAAGATGTGGCCGTGGGGGTGCACCACGGGGTTGATGTCAAGTGGCAGCTTCTCCTTGTTTTCCTCCAGAATGGCCTAAAAGGAAACACACCGGAAGTAGAGATGAGGTCAAGGAAGGGAGGGAAAGGCCGGCCGTGGTGGCTCATGTCCATAATCCCAGCACTTTGAGAGGGTGAGGCAGGTGGATCACGTGATGTCAGGAGCTCGAGACCAGCCTGGCCAACATGGCAAAATCCCCACTCTACTAAGAATATAAAAATTAGCCAGGCATGGTGGCGCGTGCCTGTAATTCCAGCTACTCGGGAGGCTGAGGCAGGAGAATCGCTTGAACCCGGGAGGCGGAGGTTGTAGTGAGCCGAGATTGCGCCACTGCACTCCAGCCTGGGAGAGAGTGTGAGACTACATCTCAAAAAAAAAAAAAAAAAAAAAAAAGGAAAAGAAGGAGGGGACACAAGCCTCACCACCTGGCATCAGGTTCTATGGCCTCAAGGGGCGCATGGCTGCTCCTCCCTCCCAACACCCCAAAGCCTCTAACCACCCCCCTCACCCCAGGATTCTGGGGCTCCAGGCCCCTCGGATGCCGAACAGTCCTAGTTTGGTGTCAAAAGAACAAGGTAAACATTGTTGCACATCTTCTCGGTGCTACCTCAAAATCGCAGGGGGCGAGAAGGTGCCAAACCCCTCCTGAGAGGAGCCGCTTTGTCCTAGGAGCCACGAGGGCTGTCGGGAGCTTCTGCAGTGTGATGATTTAAAACATGCCCACGTGGCTGCACATGGTGGCTCAAGCCAGTAATCCCTGCACTTTGGGAAGCTGAGGTGGAGGAGTACCTGAGCCCAGGTGTGTAGGACCAGCCTGGGCAACATAGTGAGACCCCGTCTCTACAGAAAAGTTGAATAATTAGCGGGGCTTGGTAGCAGTTGCCTGGAATCCCAGCTACTCGGGAGGCTGAGGCAGGAGGATTGCCTGAGCCCAGGAATTGGAAATGGCAGTTAGCTAGGATCATGCCACTGTACTCTAGCCTGGACAAAAGCAAGACCCTATCTTTTTTAAAAAATTAAAAAAAAAAAAAGATTAAAACATGCCTACAAACTCTTTGACACTATCTTCCAAAGGCAGAGCCGCATCCATCTCTGAGGGTGGGATGGGCCTAATGAGTTGCTTCTAATGAGCAGGAAAAAGGTGGAAGGGACAGGGTTGCTTCTGCAACAAGGCCATGAAGCCTGAGGCTTCCTCTCTGCTCTCTCCCTCGGATCACTTGCTCTGGGAGAAATCAGGTGCCACATCCTGAGGACACCTGAGCACTCTTATGGAGAGGCCCACAAGGCAGGGAGCCCAGGCCTGCTGCCAACAGTCAGCACCAACACAGCAGGCATGCACATATGCCATGCAGAAGCGGGTCCACAGCCCGACGGGCGGCCTGTGTACCTCAAGGGAGACTTGAGGCCAGAGGCACCCCGTTGAGCCACTCCTGAACTCCTGTCCCACAGAAATCGTGTGAGATAATAAATGTTTACTGTTTTAAGGTGCTAAGTTTTGGAGTTACTTGTTACCCAGCCATAGCTAATCAACATAGGCAACCCTGGGCCCAGAGCACAGACCTGATTGTAAAGGGTCAAATGGGAAAAAACAAGGATGCGTGGCCTTGTATCTCCTCCTCTTCCTGGTCAGCCCAGAGCTTCCCAAGGAAAAACACAAACTTTAGTTCATGTTCCATTAACAAACAAACCCGAGACCAGGAAGTGTTTGTCCCTCCAGTTGCATCCACGAAGGCATTCACTTTTTCAGACAAACGTGTACTAAGCACCTTCCTGGTGCAGGGGCTCTGGGAGGCTTGTAAGCACCCTTTGAACCAACAAGACTGAGCCCCTTGTTTTTGGCATGGTTGGTTCAATCACCACTGACTTAGACCGAAAGTGAAAGGAGGCCCCCCCACCCACAGCCCACCCCTGCAATCAGCAGCGCCCACACAAACACGCCACCACTCCACACACGCCCGCTCTATTTTTTTTTTTTTTTTGAGACGGAGTCTCGCTCTGTTTCTCAGGCTGGAGTGCAGTGGCGCGATCTCGGCTCACTGCAAGCTCCGCCTCCTGGGTTCACACCATTCTCCTGCCTCAGCCTCCCGAGTAGCTGGGACTACAGGTGCCCGCCACCACGCCCAGCTAATTTTTTATATTTTTAGTAGAGACGGGGTTTCACCGTGTTGGCCAGGATGGTCTCGATCTCCTGATCTTGTGATCCGCCCGCCTCAGCCTCCCAAAGTGCTGGGATTACAGGCATGAGCCCCCACGCCCAGCCTCCACGCGCCCACTCTCACATGGGTCAACTCGTCTAACCCTTCCCGAAACCCTCCGAGGCACTTAGTGAGCGCCTGGTGTGCAAAAAGGATGACTTCAGTCGCCGTGGGGGCAAGCCTGCAGCCTCAGCTGGACTCCAGCTCTTCCCCCTGCTGTGTGACCCCTGGCAAATGACTTAACCTCTCTGTGTCTCAATGTCCTCATCCTCAGTAAAATGAAGATAAAAACAGAACTGTAAAATTGTAAGGAACTGAGTGGCACACGCCCACAAAGTACTAAGCACAGGCTCCCTTGTAGGCTGGTTCCAGCCTACGGAAGCAGCAGCAGATGGGAGAGGAGGGGAAGGAGGAGAGATGGGTCAGGGTAGGAACCTCCTACCCAGCCCTGACTGGTTCTGGAGGTGGCTACGCTCCCACAGGCTCCTCTTCCTCCCCCGGCACTGGGGCCTCGACAACTCCGACTCCCTAACCCGCCAGCCTCCTTGTATGGGGCCTGGATGAGCTCTTACCTCCAGCCAGGCACTACCGAGTGGGCCAGCTGGGTCCCTCGGGGCCCTGACCAAGACTGAAAGCACCTTTGTTATCAATAACAGTGACCATGATGGTAACTCGCAGGCCTGCAGAGGGAGGGAGGCACGCGATGTGTGAACACAGGGTGTTTCCATGCCTCGGTGAGATGAGGACAGGGGGCTGAGTGGGGCTCATGGCCAAGACCAACTGCACAGCCCCCTCCTTCCCAAGGGAGCAGCGTGGACCCCCTGAGGACGGATGCCAGCACCAGGCACCCTGGGATCTGGAGCCCCCACCGTGCAGCCACAGGCAGCTTGTGTTCACTCTCTGAGCCCCTCGTCTCTCAGAGGCTCCCAAAACTCTATGCCTCCCACGGTAACTGGCTCAGGGCCTGGCACCCGGCTGGGGTTTGATAACATTTGGTGTGTGCACAGAGAACATTCTGGAAGCTACCAAGCAGACAGGCCTGGTGGGTGGAGGAGGGCTGCACCTGGTAGTGCTCGGCGGGCGGCTCGGGTGTGCAAGAGCTGAGGTCCAGCATGTCGGTGGGGGCCCAGGGCAGCAGCATGCACTTCCGGATCAGGGGGTCCGTCTCTCCGTAGGCAAAGTCTCGGGTCACCTCCTCTGTGCCAAGACATGAGTGCCCATCAGAGGGGGTGACGGGACACTGGGCTGAGGCCCCTCCTCCAGGGCGGGCAGGTGCTGGACTTACCGCCAGTGTCCAGGTCCCTCAGGGGCCACAGCAGCGTGTAGGCCACCTGCTGCGGCATGTAGAAGAAGGGTGCCGTGGCGAAGCTGGGCACGTCCGCGTGCTGGATCCGCGAACCGAACTCGTCCATGATATACCACACCGGCATCTTCTCCTCAGCTGTCTGCAGACAGAGCACATATGGCACCTCTCGCTCACCCATCCACCCACCGGAACTCCCTTCCGGAACCCAGACATCGACCACCAGCCCACAGCCATTTCTCTGATCTTGGAGGCCCTCTCACATGTACCCCAGGCCCTTTAGCTAAGCTAGGGGCTCCGGGACAGCAGCCCTGCCTTTGCAGACCAGGACACAGGCCTGGGTAACACAGCGTGAACACTCGTGGTAAAAGGGCGTTTGGTAACAAGGCACTCAGCCCAGCACCCGTAGGGGTGTATATGGGTTTGAGGGTAATGGGGGGGTCGGGGGAGTCGTCTTTGAGCTCAGGGAAGGGTCCCTGGAGGAGATGACATCTAAGCTAAAATCATGAGAAACAAGCAGGTGTCTTTTCCCAAACTAAGAGTGGTGAGGGGCTGGAGCATGGGGTGAGTCCCCGGAGAGGCCAGCAGGGGTGGGTGAGGAATGGTTGAGGGCTTTTAAGAGAGTGACAGAATCAGGGGGGCCAGGAAAGAGGCGGCTGAGTCATCTGGGCCCCTTCAGTTTAGGAGTCTGAGAGGGCTGCGTCCTGTGAGCTCAGAGGCCAGCTGGGTCCGAGTCCCCAGGATAGCACTCTCCTTAGGAAGCCACAGGAGAAAGTGAGTTGCTTGCTCTGGCCGGCCCCTCACCCGGCCTGATGGCACAGGGCAGCGGAGGTCTGTGCCCATGCCTGTCCTCCCCCTCCCCGGGGCCCAGCTACCCACTCACCCCATGGGCCAGCTGGTAGGTCTGGTTGAACTTCCACATCTCCTCCAGCACCAGGGCCACAGCCTCTGTACTGGGCAGCTCACCGTGGAACTCAATGCCCATCAGGTTGGCCATGCGGTGCAGCAGCCCGGGCACCTGCTGCAGCTGCTGGCGCGCGTGCTCCACACGGCACGTCCAGGCGTGGTCGATGAGGAAGATGCTGCGGGCACAGGCCACAATGTGAGGCTGCCGGGTGGGCATGGGGCAAAGGGAAGTCGGGGGAGCAAGAGGCCCAGGGCTGTGTTGGGACCAGGGCCCAAGCTTCCTTAGATTTGGTCTACTGGGTGCCATAGTTATGCCTAGTTTTGGACTCCAGTGGGCCTGGGTCAGGTGCTGGCGCTGCTGCTCACTCCCTGTGTGATCCTGAGCAAGCACCTCCTCCTCTTCAAGCTTCTCAAACAGGGCAGCAGGGGTCTCTACCGCCTGTCACCTGGCTGTCACAAGCAGCAAATGAGACCAGATATGTGGTACACCTACTGTCCACCAAGCACTTGTAATAAACACACCAGCAGTCACTAGCGTGAAGTCCTCAACTGGACCTCGGGCCACTGCAGGGCAGGCCCATGCTGCCCATCTTGTGGCCTGCAGGCCTGGCACACCACAGCTGCTCAACAAAAGCAAAGGCCCTACACGCCAGAGGCCAACGCACACAGACGGCACAAGGGCTACCACACAGGCCTCACCCACGCAGCCAGGTCTTCTGGAAGCACCAAGGCCTTTGTGTGGGAGAGGCTTCCAGTCCCCACACACAGGACCCCTGCAGCTGAGCTGCTACAGAAGCATGCTGGGGCTGTGGCACAGGATCAACTGTCCCTACCCTGTAGGACACAGGGCTGACCATAATCCTCCCAGAGCTCTGCCGGATCAGGAGGCACCAAACACACAGGTGCCTAATAGACAAAGCCGCCCCCAGCTTGCCCCCGTCTCTGTTCCCCTTTTAAAATGAAAGGGACAGCCAGTGTTCCAGTTCTTAGGCTGGGGGGCAAGTTCAGGAGTATTTATCTTATTGTGCTTATATGAGTTTTGTTGGCCTGTCCTAAAATAAGTGGGTTTACTCTTGCACTTGTGTTAGAGTGGGTGACCACGTGATGCAGGGCAGAGCCAGGCCTTCGGGGTGACCCTGGGCAAGTGCAACAAGGGGTGTTGTACAAAGATAGCTATGGGGATGAGGATGGAGAGCTTGTTAGGGCCTGGCAATCAGGGGAGACTCAGGGGGATGAAGGCCCGGAAGCAGAAAGGCCCGGAAGCAGAAAGGCCCGGAAGCAGGTGGGGCTGAAACAAACACTCAGGCTCCAAATCCAAGACTCTGGATCCCTAGCCTCCCCACCACCCAAAACAAGGCTGGCAGCGGGGTATGTGGTTGTAGGCCCGAGAGAGAACATGAGCTGGGAGCTCCCAGGGCAGCCACTGCACTGAATTCACCTGTTCCTGGGCCTGAGCCGCACAGGAGAACTCACTTCACTGAACCTGAAGGGGACGGTGAGCCCAAGCACGCATGGGCGGGGGTGCTGGGCTGTCCGTATTTCCGGGGTGGCTTGCTACTGCCCACTCCCAGCTGGAGGAGGAGGCGGGAGAAGCTCTGCAGAAGAGACCAGACCCCTGCCCAAAGAGCTGTGCGTGGACACAGGGGCCCAGCAAGTTTCTCTGAGGGTCCACAAAACCTTTGGCAGATGGGCCTGCAGGCCTGACCTAGGGATAGCCACTCTTGGTCCCTGGGGGCAGGAAGCCTGGGGTACAGTCTCAGCTCTGCCCTAACTACACCGTGGTCCTTGGCAAGGCCAGGCCTGCTCTGGGTCTCAGGTCCTCAGGTGTTCCAGGGCCCACCCCAGATTCCAATTTAGCAGGACCAGAGAGGGGCTGTGACTGGGGAGGAGTAAGGCTGACCTGCACCCTTAACCTGGAGGGTGACCTCGAGCAAAACTGGAACTTCTAATCCCCTGTAGCAGGACCACTGTGACAATGAGACCGCTGGGAGAGGCTCTCAGGCCGCGGTCCATCCGGTCACCCCAGGAACGCTGTGTTGCCACGGACAGTACTCTGAAGCCCTGATGGACACACCGCTGGCCACACGTGCTTGCCACAAAGCTGTCCTAAGGAAGATGTCCAGCGGCGGTGCAGGGCCCAGGAGAATCTGCATTACTGCATCTCCCACCTTTCACCAAGTGAAGGTTGTGGTGGTGTCTCTGGCCAGGCTCCTACCTGTTGGGGTGGGCTGCCTGGAGCCCGCTCTCCCTGGTCACGATGACCTTGTAGCACAGCTCGTTCCCCGGGTTGGGCTGCTGCTTCCGCACCTCCCGGGCTGCCTCGTCCTCCTCCTCTTCTACCTCCTCCACTTGCATGATCCCAAACACTTCCCCAGCGTCGAAAACCTGGGGGCCAGAGTTCCCGTCAGCAGGGGTGTGGGCAGGAGACCCCACCCCAATGCCTTCACCACTCCAGAAAGCCACCCGAGGTGCCACACCCAGGCCTCAAGGACAAACTTGTCTCCTTCAGAGGTGTGGGACCTGTTTAATGCAACCACACAGTCTTACGGGCGGGGAGACTGAAGCTCCTGGAGATTTCAGGCTCGGAACAGGGACCTAATGTACCCCACCGTCACCTGAGCTGTCATCCAGAGCCTCGTCCCACAGGATGCTGTGCATGGAGATGGGACCTTGAGGACTTGCTGGAGGTATCTGTAGTCCACCCCACTCACATTACACAGAAAGAGAGGCCCCAAAGGCAGAGAGGGTGGCTCCAATTACACTGGAGGTCAATGGAAGAGTCAGGATCTTGGTGGCTGGGGGCACACCCCAATGCCCCCCTCACCAGAAGAACCCCTCAACACTAGGACAGCTGAGTCAACTCACAGAGAAGCCTCCTCCAGCCCAGCCCCACCCAATCCAGGCCAACAGGAAGCGAGGCCCCAGGTCAAGGTGGGATGGGGAGATAAGGGCCTTGGTCCTGCCTTGTGCGGCTAGTCAAGCAGGCAAGTGACCTCTTCTGGTGTGTGTGGAGCAGAGGGGTCCCTGGCACAGCCACACTCACGCCCTGTCTGCCACAAGCCGGCAAGGGGGGCTTCTGGGCAGATTCTGGAGCCAGGCTGTGTGGGTTCAAATCTTGGTTTCACCACTTCCTAGACAAGTGACCTTGAACAAGTTACTTAACTATCCCATGCGTGTTTCCTCATCCACACAATGGGAATAACAGAACCTCCCTCTGAGGGCTACTGGGAGGATTAGGTGATTCATACCCAGAACTCAGAGTGGAGCCTGGCCACAGCAAATGCTCTATAAACACGTGGCGCCATTGTTACACTTCTGAGACTGTTTCTTCACTTGTGAGAGGGGGTGTCATCCACCTTTCAGGACACTGATGGAATGAAATCAAACAGCGTGCATAAAGTCCTGGCGCACAGTGGAGGCTCAACAAAGGCCAGTTCCTCCCTAAAACGTATTTCCCACTACTCGATTAAAAACGGCAGTTGGAAACTAGCTAAGTACTCAGGTGCAGGCAGCTTTTGTGCACTGGGCAGGACTTGCCCTTTGGTGGCGTGAGGATGAATCACTCAAGGTCTCGCTCAGGAAGCTCAGGCTGAGTAAGGTCTAGGCCACCTAAGAGTATCAGGTAAATTGCTCTGGGGCCTGGAGGGCCTGGGAAGACTTTATGGATGAGGAACCATAACCAGAGGCCAGCTTTGAAGAAGGGGAAGATTTAAACATGAGGCTACGGGGTGAGGATGGAAAGGAACTCCACGCAGAGGGAAGAGTAAGAGCGAAGGCCTGGAGGCAGATAGCCCAGGGTGGAGCAAACCAGGGGTCACATGAGAGACAAGGCACCTGAGACAAGAGCCATCCAGTTCTCCTTTAGCCCTCAAGGTGGGTCTGGGGAGGCTACTGCCTTCTCCAGTTTAGGGCTGGGGGGAGGCTCAGAGGGCTGGAATCCAGACCTCGGGCTTCCGCCCCAGTACTCCAAATCCCTAGGGGACAGCGTGAGGCTGAGGGTCAGAGAGCCTGTCTCAAGCCTGGCCTGGATTCAACCCAGCTGTGAAATGGGGTGCTGGGTTTCTCCTTCACCACAACCCCTTCATGGCAGGACTGGAAGAGCTCCCCAGGAGATAAGGGGAGTGGTTTTGCAACTGGGAAGCTTGTGCAGACAGAAGAGTAGACATTTTAAAAACATCTCTTCGGCCGGCCGTGGCGGCTCACGTCTGTAATCCCAACACTTCGGGAGGCCAAAGCGGGCGGATCACGAGGTCAGGAATTCGAGATCAGCCTGACCAACATGGTGAAGCCCCATCTCTACTAAAAATACAAAAATTAGCTGGGTGTGGTGGCGCACGTCTGTAATCCCAGCTACTCGGGAGGCTGAGGCAGGAGAATCATTTGAACCCGGGAGGCAGAGCTTGCAGTGAGCCGAGATCATGCCACTGCACTCCAGCCTGTGTGACAGAGCAAGACTCCGTCTCAATTAAAAAAAGAAAAAAATTATATATATATATATATATATATATATATATATATATATATATATATATATATGTATGTATCTTCAAGTTTCCCCATCCTTTCCAGGGCAGCCGGCCTAAGGTGAGGCAGGAGGGCTGATGGCCAGGGGTGTAAGGGCCCACAGCGCTGGCAGGTGCTGCTGCTGCTGGCGGCCTCCTCCACACCTGGGCCAGTAGCAGCAGGAGGCTTCACTCAGGAAGAGCTGCAAGTTTGTGAATGGTAAAGCAGTGATTCAGCTCTGTCCTTAACGGCTGGGGAAGGGTCACGGAAAAACACTGGCTGCCCCTTAGTAGGGCAACAGCAGGCAAGGCGGCCTGGGCAGGGGACGTGGCACGGTGGCGACCACCCTCTGTGTGCCAGGCATATTTCTCATGCCACCTCCCATCCTTCCAATACTGTGGGAGCCAGATGGTGTCTCACCATCCCCTTCCCAGATGGAGAACAGGTCTCAGACGGGCGAGTGACCGCCCGAGGGAGGGCGTGCTGCCGTGGAGGCTGGCTGGGCAGGAGCTGGTCATTCCCACTGTGCTCCTTCCACGCAGCCCATGGGAACCTTTTTGTCCTCATGAACAAACCAAGGTCCCTTCCACCCAGCACAGGCCTGGGACCAGAGTGGTCCTCGGAAAGCATATGGCAGAAGTGAGGGGCAGAGGAAACTCTCTGTTACACTGTAGCATAAGGAGGTGCCACTCACTGCACGTTTCCAGCAGGAAGGTTCCTAGTCCAATCAGGATTACACAGAGAAAAACTGGCTCAGAGACCGTAGAGTCTGGCCAGCAGCCAGGCTCAGGGACTCCTAGTTCCCGGCCCGGGTCCCTGTTCTTGGCTCTGGGGTTTCCACTTCATCACCTGCGCCACTAGGCTCATCTCCGTCCGGGAGACAGCACCTGGAGGAGATGTCGGGTCCCAGCTAAAGAAAACACCCCCCCCCCCGCCAGCCCGGGAAGGTGCTGTGGCCTCAGCCTCTGGGCACGCAATAAAAATCCAGGGCTCATCCCCAGCCAGGACAGTGGGGAACGCTTTGGAGTGGAGGAGGCAGGTGAGCCGGATGGGCCGTCCTCACAAAAAGGGAGAGAACCTAGAGGCTTCTCAATCTTTTCCATTTTTCTTTAGATTTCTCCTCCACCTCTCACAGCCTGTTTTCTTTAACCTGCAAGATGAGGGGACCCCGAGGCTCAAATCAAATGAAAAAACACCGAATTCTGTGAACCCAACAGTTACAGCTACACAAATTCACGGGGTTCCCGTTGTCCCTGTGAGGCAGCGGCTGAAAGAATCCCTCTGAAGGGACTCTCGGAGCCGCAGTGTTCTCATCTGTGAAGTGGGGGTGATGAGTTTCACTCCTCGCAGGGCTGTGTCAGGCTCGGGTGTGTGGAGGACCTAAAGTTCCCAACGCAGCCCTCAGCCGGTCTCGGGCCCGGGCAGATCAGGGCCGCAGGTACCCCGGTCTCCTGCTGTCACTCTTCGGCCCCCAACTCCACGCCGCTCCAGAGCTGCCCAGGACGCGCTCTGGGTGGCTCACCGCGGCTCCCGCCGCCCGGGAGCGCTCTTCCCTGTCCCGCGCCGCGGGCTCCCGCCGCGCTCCCACCCCGGCCGCCGCACGTGCCCGCCGCCCTTCCCCGCACCTCGTGCTCCAGCTTGTGCAGGAGGCGGCCCCAGTAACGTTCGGGGACCCCCGAAGCGCGCAGCGCCGGGCCGTGCAGCGCCGCGAACTCGGCCAAGGCCTGCGCGCCCTCCTCCGGCGTCTGGCCCGGGCTGCTACGCTCCGCAGGCCGGCGCTCGGGACCCCGCTCGGCCTCCATGGCGCCAGCACCCGCGCCGACTCCAGCGCCGCCACCGCCGCCGCCGCCCGCCGTCCGTCGGCCCTGCCCTCCCGCCTCCGCCCCCTGCCCCGCCCCGCCCTCCTCCCAGCGCCCCCCCCCCCGCCCCGCCCTCCTCCCAGCCCCCCCCCGCCCCGCCCTCCTCCCAGCCCCCCCCCGCCCCGCCCTCCTCCCAGCCCCCCCCGCCTCCGCCCCCCGCCCCGCCCGCCTCCCAGCACCCCCGCCCCGTCCTCCTCCCAGCCCCCCGCCCACCGCCCCGTCCTCCCCCCAGCCCCCCGCCCCTGCCGCGCCCCCTGCCCCCGCCCCCTGCCCCCCTCCCCACCGCCCCGTCCTCCTCCCGGCCCCCCCGACCCCTCCCCTGCCCCGCCCTCTTCTCGCCCCCTCACCCCGTCCCGCCCCGCCCCCAGTCCGCCTCCAGCCCGGTTTGCCGCGGCCCCCGGGCAGGCCCTGCGCATCGGCGGGGTGCGTGCGAGAGCGCGCGAGCTTGCCAGGAGGGGGCGCGCGTCTGCGACCGCGCCTGTGGTTTGGCTGCCGCCGTGTGCGCACGCGCACCTGATGGTGGCTGAGCTTTTCTCGCTCAGCGCGCGGCGACCCCGGGGAATGCCGGGAGGGCGGGGTGCCTACGTATAGGGCGCTGTCAGGACCGGAAAAGGCCCCACCGACGGCCCGGAAGGTGTCCTGGGGCCCGAACCCGGTGAGGCGGCGCTTCTGTGCCTGCACCGGGCACACAGAGCTCGCAGGCCCCCTGCCTTGGGAGCTCTCGATTCTTGTGAGCGTTTCACCAGATTTGGATGCTGCAAAATCGTGGCCCTTCTCAATTACTTATATTTGGATTCGGAATGTCAGTTGATCCAATTAAGACCAAGTGTACCCGTCAGAGGAATTTACTCCTACATGTCGGGATGTTTCGAAGTGCAGTTGAGCTGGGCGTGGTGGCCGCGTCTGTAGTCCCAGTTACTCGGGAGGCTGAGGCGGGAGGATAGCTTGAGCCCAAGAATTCAAGTCCAGCCTCGGCAACATAGCCAGACTCCCTCTTTAAAAGAAAACAGTTCAGTTATAGAATTTCAAAAGACATTCTCTTTTGAACTCTCATTGAGTTTTATTGCTCCATAGGGATACATTTCAATGTCTTCCTTTTTGCAATTTTGTAAGAATTGTAATTTGCTAAAAAACAAAGGCTGAAAATTTTTTGGAGCTTCAGATGCTATTTTGATAACATTTTTGAACTGAGTTTGAATAAAATGCACCAATTCACGGACTTGTTCAATTCCATTGTAGGAAGCAGGTGGGTCTGCAAAGGCAAAAATTTCCAAACTCAAGTTGGTGAGGGCTGCAGAGAAAAACATTTTATTTATTTATTTATTTTGGGATGGAGTTTTGCTCTTGTTGCCCAGGCTGGAGTGCAATGGTGCAGTCTCGGTTCACTGCAACCTCTGCCTCCCGGGTTCAAGTGATTCTCCTGCCTCAGCCTCCCAAGTAGCTGGGGCTACAGGTGTGTGCCACCACGCCTGGCTAATTTTTTGTATTCAGTAGAGACAGGGTTTCACCATGGCCAGAGGAAAACCCTGATTCCTCGGTTTTTGTTGTGGAAGCCAAGGCTGAGATTGTACCATTGCACTCCAACCTGGTCAACATAGCGAGACTCCATCTCAAAATAAATAATATAGTAAAACAGCATCACAATGCTAGGATGGGGCATGCTGGCTCACACCTGTAATTCCAGCACTTTGGGAGGCCAAGACAGGAGGATCACTTGAAATAAGGAGTTTGAGACCAGGCTGGGCAACAAAGCAAGACCTCGACCCTACAAAAAGAAATTTTTAATTAGCCAGGTATAGTGGTACACACCTAGTGCACCTCCCGCTTCCACAACCCTTCCATCGGTCCCGCTGGGGAAGACAGACTGAGTCTCAGTTGTGTCAGGTACTGGTCAGATTATGTGAACATTCCTGACCCAGCCCCTTTGACCAGGAGAATGTGAGGCTCTGACAGGGCAGTCCTCTTTCACATGCTCCTCCCCAAATGTAAACCCAGTTGTATCAGATCCCTACTTGGAACCCTTTGTGGTTCAACTCTTCACCTGAGCTCCAAGGCTCTGTGTGAGCTGGCACTGCCAACTTTTCCAGCCTCTTTTCATTACACTCTTCCCCTCACACTGTGAGTCCCTGTATCTCTGGTTGTCTTCAGCTCCTGGAAAGCATTGTGCTCTGTTTTCTGCCAGAAAGCCTTTCTCCCCATGCTCACTTTGTAAATCCTGACTCATTCTTCTCAGCTGAAATGTTGTCTTCTAAAGAGGCACTGAAGAATGTGTATTTAATCAACATAAAATTACTGCTCTGCTCCCATTACTGCCACCAACCCCCTCCCCCTCCAGACAATTGAAAAAAAGGAGAGAGAGAAACAGGGAAAAAAAAAAGAGTTTAAAAGTCCCTTCCATAGCCGGGCACAGTGGCTCATGCCTGTAATCCTAGCACTTTGGGAGGCCAAGGCGGGTGGATCACCTGAGATCAGGAGTTCGAAACCAGGTTGACCAACATGGTGAAACCCCATCTCTACTAAAAATACAAAATTTAGCCGAGCATGGTGGTGGGCACCTACAATCCCAGCTACTCAGGAGGCTGAGGCAGGAGAATTGCTTGAACCCAGGGGTGGGGGTATGGAGGTTGCAGTGAGCCAAGATCGCATCAACTCACTCCAGCCTGGGGGAAACTCCGTCTAAAAATAAAAAAGGCCCTTCCATCCTGAAAATCCAAGCCCAGGTTGACCTTTGGTCCCTGATAGCTTTTTGTTCTGAGAGCTTTGCCAAGGGTACTCATACAAAATGGGTTTTTCATACAACATGGAGCCTAAACCCAATACAATGACTTTGTGAAAGTTGATCATAAGAATTGGGTCACCAGGCGTGGTTGCTCACCCCTGTAATCTCAGCACTTTGGGAGGCCGAGGTGGGTAGATCACTAGGTCAGGAGTTCAAGACCAGCCTGGCCAAGATGGTGAAACCCCCGTCTCTGCTAAAACTACAAAAATTAGCCTTGGTGCGGTGCCTGTAACCCCAGCTACTTGGAAGGCTGAGGCAGGAGAATTGCTTGATCCCTGGTGGCAGAGGTTTCAGTGAGCCGAGATCGTACCACTGCACTCCAGCCTGGGCCACAGAGTGAGACTCCAACTCACAAAAAAAAAAAAAAAAAAAAAAAATTGGGTCATTCTTGTCATAATTAAAACAGAGTTGAGAAGCCAAGAGGGAAAAAGCATTTGGGGTGCAAGGCATTGTTCCCAAAATGTAATTCTCTGTAAGCCCGACTGCTGAAACTGCTTGTGGTAACCTAAAACCATTTATTGATAACTTCTGAGATAACTGACTGCAACTCTAGGACTAATAAGGCTCACCAAGCTGAGCTTACTAACTCCCCAAACCCTTACAAGTACCAGTGAACTTTCTCAAAGAGCAATATGTAACATTTCTTCTTCTTTTTTTTCTTTTTGAGGAAGGGTCTCACTTTGTTGCCCAGGCTAGAGTGCAGTGGCCAGTGACGCAATCATAGCTCACTGCAGCCTTGAACTCCTGGGCTCAAGCAATCCTCCCACCTCAGCCTCCTGAGTAGCTAGGACTACAAGCATGTGCCACTATGCCTGGCTAATTTTTAAGTTTTCTGTGGAGACAGGGGTCTCATTGTGTTGCTTAGGCTGGTCTCAAACTCCTGGCCTCAAGTGATCCTTCTGCCTTAGCCCAGAGCACTGGGATTGTAGGCATGAGCAACTGTGCCTGGCCCATTTCTCTGTTTTAAATAAAACTTCTAACCTTCTCTTTGTTCTTCGGACAAAGCAAAGACCACCTGGTCTGTAGGTGCACCCTGAATGGCAGTTCCTTCTTCACAAATAAAACATTACATTTAGGCCAGGCATGGTAGTTCATGCCTGTAATCCCAACACTTTGGGAGGTCAAGGTGGGCAGATTGGTTGAGCCCAGGAGTTTGAGATCAGCCTGAGCAACACAGTGAAACCCCATCTGTACAAAAAATACAAAAATTAGCCAGGTATGGTCGTGGGTGCCTGTAGTCCCAGATATTCGGGAGGCTGAGGCGGGAGGATTGCTGGAGCCCTGGAGGTTGAGGCTGCAGTGAGCCATGACTGTGTCACTGCATTCCAGCCTGAGCAACACAGTGAAGCCCTGTCTCAAAAAAACAAACAAAAAAACAAAAAACTACACACATTAAGTTTACAGAGCTGTCTCTACATTTTTGATTTTGACATACATGGTGTCAGCAGTGGGACCAAGCACTGAACCACTTTGGGGAGAATCTCACACTGGGGCCCTCTGACACCCTTCTACCTTTGTGAGTCACCTCTTCTCCCACCTGGTAAGTCTCTCTTGGACAGAACTCCTGAATTTGGTTTGAGTTCTCTCTTATTTGGGAAATGGCTGGGGAGGTGACTTTCCCTGTCCTGTGTGGGATATCTGCTGTTGGGGAGGGTTATTTTCCTCCTGTTGATCTCAGCTGTGAGGTCTGGATCTTGAGGTTTGGATGAGGGGATTTTTTTCCCCTCATTTGAAGATGACTATTATTCTTCCTGGTGAGTACATACTTATATTTTCTGTCTGTTTGTGTTTCTTTGGCCTTTGTGTACTCAACATTAAACTAAATCACCTTACTTGCTGGATAAGCCACTAAAAAAAAAAAAAAAAGGGAAAAAACCAATCTCAGTCACCTAGATATATTTAGTTAAAATGAGGTCTCAAAGTTCAAAGGCATGCCAAATTTTCTAGGACTCCAGCTAGTAATATATTCAAACATTATAGGGATCATTCAGTTTATTCTTTAAATTAAAAGACCATGGTTATAAAATCATACACTCTAAGTATGTATTTCTCATTGATACCTTGAGGCTAAAAAACAAGTCCATTCAGGACTCAAAGATTGCCTTCCTACAAAACACTGAGTCAAAGCTAGCTGAAACTGTTCCTTTCTGGAGCCTCCCCAATCCTTACAATTCCTCCTTTTTATCCTCTAAATGGCTATTCTGGAATACTGACTATTTAAGTAAAAACACTTGACAACCAGGAGATACAAAAAGAAAATCATTATGAACTTCATGCTGTTTCTTAAAAGCAAAAGATGAAATTCTCATGGAAAGACTTCCTCCTTATACTAAAAGAAAGGGCAACACTCTTTTCTTCAAGGACAAAAAATAGAGTCCAAACGAATACTGTAAAGACTGGTTAGAGTCACTCCTATCTTTTGGGCCTCATCACATAATGCAGTCATGTTTTCACAGTTAACTATTCTTTGTCCAACACAGTATATTGGTAACTGACTTAGGCTGTGTTACCCAAAATTTGGCTCACAACCTTTATAAGGTGGCGTATTTTAAAAATTCTTAAAGTTTAATCTTACCCCATTTTGTCAGAAAAATAATTTGGATTCAACTGTTTTTTATAAACTGGTAAGTATATATATATATGAGTATATATATATACGTGTATATATATGTGTATATATATATACGTATATATATATATATACGTGTATATATATATATATATATATTTTTTTTTTTTTTTTTTTTTTTTTTTTTTTTTGAGATGGTGTCTCGCTCTGTTGCCCAGGCTGGAGTGCAGTGGTGCGATCTTGGTTCACTGCAACCTCTGCCACCTGGATTCAAGCAATTCTCCTGCCTCAGCCTCCCAAGTATCTGGGATTACAGGCATATGCCACCACGTCTGGCTAATTTTTGTATTTTTTGTAGAGACTGGGTTTCGTCATGTTGTGAAGGCTGGTCTTGAACTCCTGGCCTCAAGTGATCCACAGGTGTCGACCTCCCAAAGTGCTGGGATTACAGGTGTGAGCCACTGTGCCTGGGCCATGGCTAATTTTTTAAGTTTTATTTTTAATAGAGATGAGGTTTCGCTAGTTGCCCAGGCTGGTCTCAAATTATTGACCTCACCTGATCCTCCTGCCTTCGCCTCCCAAAATATTAGGATAAGCATGAGCCGTTGTGCCTGGCCGAGGGTTCTAGTTTTCCTGCCAGCACTTGTTATTCCCTGACTCTTGATTATAGTTCTAGTGGTTGTGAAGTGGTATCTTACAGTTTTCATTTGTATTTTCCCTAATGACTAATGATGTCAATCATCTTTTCATGTGCTTATTGGCCAATTGCATATCTTTTTAGGAGAAATGTTTATTCACATTCTTTGTCCTTTTTTTTTTGAGACAGAGTCTTTCTCTGTCGCCCAGGCTGGAGTGCAGTGGCGTGATCTCGGCTCACTGCAAACTCTGCCTCCTGAGTTCAAGTGATTCTCTTGCCTCAGCCTCCCTAGTAGCTGGGATTACAGGTGCCCACGGCTAAATTTTGTATTTTTAGTAGAGATGGGGTTTCACCATTTTGGCCAGGCCGGTCTTGAATTCCTGACCTCAAGCGATATGCTGGCCTTGGCTTGCCAGAGTGCTGGATTACAGGTGTGAGCCACTGTGCCCAGCCTCTTTGTCCATTTTTTTGTTGTTGATATAGAGACAGGGTCTTGCTTTGTTGCCCAGGCTGGTCTTGAACTCCTGGCCTCAAGTGATCCTCTTATCTTGGCCTCCCAAAATGCTGGGATTACAGGCATGAGCCTCTGTGCCTGGCCTTCTTTGTTCTTTTGTTTTTTGTTGTTGTTTTTTTGAGACGTAGTTTCCCTCTTGTCACCCAGGTTGGAGTGCAATGGTGTGATATTGGCTCACTGCAACCTCCTCCTCCTGGGTTCAAGTGATTCTCCTGCCTCAGCTTCCTATGTAGCTGGGATTACAGGTGCATGCCACCACGCCTGGTTAATTTTTTGTATTTTTAGTAGACATGCGGTTTCATCATGTTGGTCAGGCTGGTCTCAAACTCCTGACCTCAGGTGATTCGCCTTCCTTGGCCTCCCAAAATGCTGGGATTACAGCCACTGCTCCCAGCCTGTTCTTTTTTTTTTTTCTTTTCTTTTTTTTTTTTTTTGAGACGGAGTCTTGCTCTGTTACCCAGGCTGGAGTGCAGTGGCCCGATCTCGGCTCACTGCAACCTCCACCTCCTGGATTCACACCATTCTCCTGCCTCAGCCTCCCGAGTAGCTGGGACTACAGGCGCCTGCCTCCACACCCGGCTAGTTTTTTGTATTTTTAGTAGAGACAGGGTTTCACTGTGTTAGCCAAGATGGTCTTGATCTCCTGACCTCGTGATCCGCCCGCCTCGGCCTCCCAAAGTGCTGGGATTACAGGTGTGAGCCACCATGCCTGGCCGCCTGTTCATTTTTAAATTAGGTTATTTGTCTTATTGTTGAGTTGTAAGAGTTCTTTACATATCCTGGATACTGGAGTCTTATCAGATATGTGATTTGTAAAGGTTTTTTTCCTATTCTGTTATCTTTTCACTTTCTTCACAGAGCCCTTTGAAGTACAAGTTTTCAATTTTGGTGAAGTCCAATTTATATATTTTTTCTTTGGTGCCTTATTATTTGTGTGTTACATTTAAGAAGGCATTGCCTGGGTAGAGGGTGTACTGCTCAGGTGATGGGTGCACCAAGGTTTCAGAAATCACCACTAAAGAACTTATTCATGTAACCAAACACCACCTGTTCCCCCAAAACTTAACGGAAATACAAAAATTGAAGTTAAAAAAAAAAGAAGCCATTGCCTAATTCAAGATTCCAAAGACTTATTTATCTGTCTTAGTTTCTAAGAGTTTTATAGTTTTAGCTGTTACATTTCAGTCGTTGATCACTTTGAGTTGATTTTTTGTATAGGAGGTAGGGGTCCAACTTCCTTTCTTTTGCATGTAGATATCCAGTTGTCCTAGTACCATTTGTTGAAGAGACTATTTTTTCCCCATTAAATGGTTTTGGCACTCTCGTTGAAAACCAACTGATGGATGATAAATTTAAGGGTTCATTTCTGGACTCTGAATTCTATTCCATTGATCTGTAGGTCTGTCCTTCTGCTAGTACCACAAAATCTTGATTAATGTAAGCTTGTAGTAAGTTTTAAAAATGAGAAGCGTGAATCCTCCAATTTTGTTCTTTTTCAAGACTGTTTGGCTACTATGGGTCTCTTGCATTTCTATATGAATTTTAGGATTCGCATGTCAGTTTGTGCACGAAGCCAGCCTGGATGTTGATGGGGATTGCACTGAATCTCTAGACCAATTTGGGGAGTACTGTCATCTTGACAATACTGTCTTCCAATCCAAGAGTACAGATCTTCTTTAATTTCTTTTCTCTTTTTTTGAGATGGGGTCTTACTTTGTCACCCAGGGTGGAGTGCAGTGGCTGGATCTCGGCTCACTGCAACCTCTGCCTCCTAGGCTCAAGCGATCCTCTCACCTCGGCCTACCGAGTAGCTACGACCACAGGTGCGTGCCACCATGCCTGGCTAATTTTTTGTATTTTTGGTAGAGACAAGGCTTCTCCATGTTGCACTGGTTGGTCTTGAACTCCTGAGCTCAGGCTCTCCACCCACCTTGGCCTCCCAAAGTGCTGGGATTACAGGGGTGAGCCACTGTGCCCACCGTACAACTGATTTTTATATATTGATCTTATGTTCTGTAACCTTGTGAATTTCATCAGCTCTAGTAATTATTTGTGGATTCCTTAAGTATCTTCCATATAGAAGATCAGGACATGTGAAATGGATAATTTTGTTTCCGTTCCAATCTGGATGCTGTTTATATTTTTTTCCTGCCTAATTGTCCTGGCTAGACCTCCAGCAGAGCGGTGCAGGCACGCATCCTGGTCTTGTTCCTGCACATGTTGCTTTTAAGATATATCCCTTTTGTTGCAGGATGTTAATTAATTGTCATAGCTACATAATATTTAATTACGTGACTATGATGCAGTTTTCCACGAAGAGACTTAGGTTATCTTAAGCTTTTTGCTCTAATAAACATGAGGCTATGAATAGTTTTGTATATTTCCTGGAACATATATGTAAAAAAGAGATTCCCTATTTGTATACAGTAAGTTGATCCATATCCTCTCTGATTCTGATTTTATCACACTTATTATTGTTTTTTTGCCAACCTAGTGCTAACATGGCATATTTTTGTTGTCTCAATTTATATTTCCATTTGTGTGTGTGTGAAAGCAAGTTTATTAGAGAAGTAAAGAAACAAAAGCATGGCTACTCCTAGGCAGAGCAGCCTGTATTTCCATTATTATTAATGAGATTGAGCACCTTTTCAAATGGTAATTGGCTGTCCTGTTTCTTCTTCTGCGAAATGCATGTATATATCTTTTGTCAGTTTTTATTTTTTATTTTTCATTTTTTGTAGAGATGGGGGAGTCTTGCCATGTTGCCCAGGCTGGTCTCGAACTCCTGGACACATGCAATCCTCCTGCTTTGGCTTCCCAAAGTGCTGGGATTATAGGTGTGAGCCACTGCACCTGACCCTAGATTTCTTTTAGAACCTGAGGAAAGCTGTGGGCCATATTCCCAGAGAAATAGAAATGTGTATCTGTACATGCATGTGTACACACACACACACACACACACACACACACACACACAGCATTGCGTGCCGAATTTCAATGAGTCATAGATTCCCTGAGGCTCACTGTGACCATGACTTCCAGATTAAAGCCCCAGTGTCAAAGAACAACTCTTGGCCGGACACGGTGGCTCACGCCTGTAATCCCAGAACTTTGGGAGGCTGAGGCGGGCGGATCACGAGGTCAGAGATCGAGACCATCCTGGCTAACACGGAGAAACTCCGTCTCTACTAAAAATACAAAAAATTAGCCAGGCGTGGTGGCGGGCGCCTGTAGTCCCAGCTACCCGGGAGGCTGAGGAAGGAGAATGGCGTGAGCTCAGGAGGCGGAGCTTGCAGTGAGCCGAGATCACGCCACTACTCTAGCCTGGGCAACAGTGAGACTCTTGTCTGAAAAAAAAAAAAACAAAAACAAAACTCTCATTTCATCATGAGTTATGCGGGGAAATGGGATTTGAAATATGGACATTTTGCCTTCTGCCAGTTAGAAGCATGTCTGTTCCCTAAATGTGGGCGCCCCCTGCGTCTGTACGTAGATCTCCACCTCGCTGCTTTATTTTCCAGAGGTTACTGTAGCTCCTTACTTTCAGTCCTCAATAGCGTCATGAAATTTCTTCCATTATTTTTTCTTTTCTGGATTCCAGTTAGCATTTCCCCCCAACTCATGACTTCTGCTGAATAAGAGAAAAGAGCAATATTTAGGTTCATTTCCTGTTTATTATTAAAGTGATTTTCACAAATGTTTCATTACATGCATATGGGGGACATGATGGATAAAACAAAACTGAATATTTGTGGCAACTAAAAGGAAGATGTGGTTATGTTGGTATTTGCCACTTGCAGGCAGAGTCGTTGCCAAGCGTCTGGACAATACAGTGCCCTCACAGGAGCCAGAAGTGAAGTCTGCGGGCCGCTAGCACAGCGCCCTGGTGTCCTGTTCCCCGAGCAATGTGGCCTGCGTCTGCTCGGCATGTTGGAGGTTCTGATCTCAGCGGAGTAAGACACCCGGCATCGGTCAGCTCCCTCTTCCTCCTCCTGCTTTCTGCCACCCATCTGCCGAGGGCACTGGGCACTCTCTTACTTGCATCTCTGCAGGGCTGTGCCGGGGCCTCCCCAAGAGCAGTGGGGACACTCGGCAAGGGCACTTGAGCCTCTGGCTGTGTCTGCTCACGTCGGCACAGTGAGTACCCTGTCCGCCTGGTAGGGAAGGCAGAAGCTGTCTTTTCTCCGAACGAGTTTTTCGTGCTTGTGAAGGAGGGAAGGAATGTCACTGAAGTCACCCTGGCCCGGGATCCTCCTGTTCTCTCCCCTCCCTGCAGCCTTCTCTCTGTCTCTGGACTCCACCGCCAGGGCTGACCTGGCCCAGTTTCCAATCTGTAAGCTTCAGATTGATCAACGTTTTAGAGACATTTCCTACCCTTGGATTAGATGGGCTTGAGTTTGATTCCCAAATCCAGGGACTACCAACTCTTTGCCTTGGGCATGTCCTGTGGTCTCCCAGAGCCTTCATTTCCACATCTGAAGAATGGTCTTAACCCCACCATCTACATGGGGCTGGGGGGATGGAATGTGTGGATATTAGAGGGTTGAGCCCAGAGCCTGGCACCCAGTGGGCACTGAGTGAGCGTCAGCTTCCCCACCTTTCCCTTCTTCCTGTTGGGGCTTGGGGGGTGCAGACAATTCCAGGGGGCTCACTCAGGGGCTCTGAGTGGCATGGTGCAGCAGGGGACTGGAGAGGCCTTGAGGCCATCGCAGCAGATGCTGGGAGGGCACGCAGGCCATGCCTGTGTTGTCTGGGCTTCAAGGATGCTTTGCCCACACCTGATGTCCTTTCCAAGAGCAAGGCAGGTGGGATCAGGCCAACCCCAGCTCTGCCTGCCCAGGACTTACTCCTGGAAGGGCCAGGGATCTGTGGGTGCTGTGGGGGCAGAGGCAGCCGCGGTAGAATAGGAGGCGCTCTCTGCTCTCTCTCCACATCCTCACTCCACCCCTCATTACATCCTCTGCCCTTGGCCTGAATGATGTCGGCTCGGCATGGACACCTTGTGCATCTTTGGTGAAAAGGGACCTCAATGTCAGGTGCAGTTTGCCAGGGTGACCAGACTTCCTGAGCATGGACCAGGGGAGGTGAAAATGGCTGGACTCCCTGGGTGAGAAGGAAGGCTTCTCCCTGTGGGGCATGCACTGTGGCAGGCAAGGTGAGCAGGCTGTCCAGGGCAGCTTGTCTGCTGTCTGGGGCAGGGTGTCTGTCTATCTGCTGTCTGGGGAAGTGTGTCTGTCTGTCTGCTGTCTGGGGCAGTTTGCTGTCTGCTTTCCGGGGCAGTTTGTCTGTCTGCTGTCTGGGGCAGTTTGTCTGTCTGTCTGCTGTCCGGGGCAGTTTTTCTGTCTGCTGTCCGGGGCAACGTGTCTGTCTGTCTGCTGTCCGGGGCAGTGTGTCTGTTTGTCTCTCTGCTGTCCAGGGCAATGTGTCTGTTTGTCTGTCTGCTGTCCGGGGCAGTTTGTTTGTCTGTCTGCTGTCTGGGGCAGTTTGTCATCTGTGCAGGGCACCAACTCCCTGTCTTTCTAGGAGCCTGGCACACAGGAGGTGCTCAGTAAATGTTTGCGAAATGACTCAACTTATTTCAGTATCTTATTTTTTCTGCTGGGGGTGGTGGAGGCACCGGAATAATATTCAACTCCAAAAATGTAAATTAAGCATCGGTATGGCTTAAACAGGCCAGGGGCCTCCTGCCGTGGACAAGCCCAGGGGACAGGCTTCACTGAGACGCTGCCTGCGGATGGTGCGTCTCTTAAGAACGAGCGTGCATGAAAAGGGGGGCCATTCAGACAGAAAACTACGCTCGTTAGAGGTAGGGGAAATGGCTTCTCTCCCAAGGCCTTCAAATTTGGCCTCTTGTGCCATCCTTGTCTGGGGATGTTTTGGCCCGTGTTTCAGCTCTACTTTATCTGTGTGTCCTAAGCCAATGGGTAGCTGGAGAGAAAGCTGCCTGAGGCCTCCACCGTGGGCCCACCGTGAGCCCTGCAGCCTGGGCCACCATGGAGGTGGGGGAGGACTGGGCCACACTGTACCCTTGGGGATCCAGCGTTTCGGAAACTGGTCATCGCCTTGCCAGCGTGACCTGTGTGGGGCAGGGGCACTGAGGCTGGGGAGCGTAGGCTGATTCTGCTGCTTGAGAGGAGGGAGGTTGGTGTGGCTGTGGCTGTGAGGCTCTGGCGCGGGGAAAGATGGGGAGAGGCTCTGGCATGGGGAAGGACTGGGAAAAGGCACAGCCTAATTCTGGGCAGCAGGTGAGGCCACCTGGCTGCAGGCTGCCCTCAGCGGCTATATGAGCCCTCAATCACGGAGGGCCTGGCTGTCTTCGAAACCCTGCTGCAGGTTCCTTCCCTTCCCGTGGCTTGTTTCTGGAAAGTAGAAATAAACTTGGGGGGAATGCCAGGAATGTGGGGCAGAAAGGTCCCCCCACGCCTGGGTCCCACCTGACTCCTGGGAAGCTGTGCGGGAGACACCCCGGTTTTCCATGCCTTTCTTCACAGAGTTCCTCTGGTTCCCTGGGGTGCCATGCTCCATTAGGAGCTGACCCAAGCTCAGAGGAGCCTGGAGACCGGGCAGGCGCCTCCGTCCCGGCCAGATGGCAGTGCAGGGACTCCCAGCAGCCCGCTTGCTTCTTGGCTCCTCTCCCTGGAGCACAGCGTGCGGCGCTGGGGACCTCATCAGCTGCTCAGGCGACAGTCGAGGAGGGGCTATGCCGGCCTCCCCTCAGACAGCATGGGGGCCTCCTGGACTCTCTGCCCCCAGCTTCCATTTTTTCTTGGGCCTCGTTACGTGGATCCGTCCTACCTGGCCCAGTCCTTGTTCCCCACTTCCCTTTTCTCTACACCTCCATCTTGAACCAGGTGGAATAGCCACCTCACATCAGTCAAGCTGCCATTGGCTTCGACAACATGCCAACTGGAAGAAATGCGCTTTGCTGTCCACGGAGCTCACCTTGGGACCATCCCGCCCTGAGGCCCAGGGTCAGCTGTAGTTTAACGGGGGACCCCCAAGTTCCCTGGTGTGAGACTGATGTGGAGACTCAAGACAGAGCCCAACCCTGGAATTCAAGTCACTCAGATGGTGTGGGAGGCCCAGTGGGGCTGCTGGCGACCTCGCGCTCCTCATGGCCTCTCCCGTGGGCTGGGAGCTATAGAAGGGCTTGCGAGGGAAAGCAGGATGAAGGCTGGGCCTCGTCTGCACCTGCCCATCCAACTTTGCCCTGGGCACACTGGGCATGGTCTGACCACGGTGGTGAGTCCTGGAACATGAGGGGAGGAGAGGCGGGCAGTGGATCTGTGAGTACGTGGGTGGCAACTTTCAGAAATCGCCCAAAGGAATTGCAGAAAGAGCTCAGAGAGGTTAAGAGCTCTTTCTGTTTCTGGAAAGGATTAAAAAAGAAAACCCTGGCTGGGCGTGGTGGCTCACGCCTGTAATCCCAGCACTTTGGGAGGCCGAGGTGGGCGGATCACGAGGTCAGGAGATCGAGACCATCCTGGCTAATATGGTGAAACCCTGTCTCTACTAAAAATACAAAAAAATTAGCCGGGCAAGGTGGTGGGTGCCTGTAGTCCCAGCTACTCGGGAGGCTGAGGCAGGAGAATGGCGTGAACCCGGGAGGCGGAGCTTGCAGTGAACCAAGATCGCGCCACTGCACTCCAGCCTGGGTGACAGAGCGAGACTCCATCTCAAAAAAAAAAAAAAAAAAAAAAAAGAAAACAAAAAAAGAAAACAAAAAACAAAACAAAAAAAACAAAACAAAAACATTTAAGTGTGATGGTTGATTGCATGGTCGTCTTGGTTGGGTGAACGGATACCCAGCTAGCTGGGAAAACATGCTAGGGTGTTTCCAGAAGAGGTTAGGATGGGAATTGGCAGACTGAGTGAAGACATCCACTCCATCCAATCTGTTGAGGGCCCCAATAGAAAAGAAGGAGGAGGAAGGGAGAATCCTCCCTTTGGGAGCTGGGACATCCATCTTCCTCGTTCTCGGGGCTTTGGATGCTGGGACTCACAGGGTGGCCCCTGGCTTCTCGGGCTTTGGACTCAGACTGAGTTACGGTGTGGCTTCTCCTGGTCTCCCAATCGCAGACAGCCGATCGTGGGACTTGTTGGCCTCCAGAATCTGTGAGCCAGTTCCCATAATGCAGCCCCTCACACATCTACGTCTGTATCCTCTGGGTTCTGATTCTCTGGAGAACACTCGTGAAGAGGCGACACCCCTCCCGGCACCTTCCTCAGGAGCTGTTGCTGCAGGCTCACTCGGCAGGATGCTCGCCTCTCATCTTGGGGATGACTGACGGCTCCACAAAGGGAGGGAGGGAGGCCTCTTTCCAGAAACCAGGGCTGGCCTGCGTGGACTGTGACCAGAGGAGCGGCAGTGGCCCCTGGCAGGGCTTGTTAGTTGACACTGACCTACTCCCCAAGTGCAGAGGCTCCACTCTCTCTCCGACTTGAGTTGGACTTCAGCAGAGAAGGCAGCTGATGGCAGCAGGAGCCACGCCGCGGAGCCCGCTACTGTGGGCACATGTGACGGCGTGAGTAATTGCTGAGCTCCGGGCCCTCTTTTGGACTGTAGAATATGTGATCACGGCCTACCTCGTCACCAAGCCCTGAACCTCCAGGGACCTCACTTGGCTGCCTCCATCTGTGTGGTCCTCAGTGTGCCACAGCCTCTCAAACCGTGTTTGTTTCTCGCCAGCCAGGCTGGGCCCGGGGGTGACCAGGAGGAACCCTAGAGGCAACTTCGAGCTGAAGACTGGAGTTCATTTTCAGATTCTCCCAGGTTCCTTGGGATTTTCAGTATTTGTTAACCTGAAACACACAGACCATTTCCCATGCAGGTCCTACAGCTCGCAGGCAGATGAAGAGCAGGCAAGGCCTCCTGGACCTCGGCATGGGGTTCTGCTGGCTCCATCCCAGGCGCTGGCCTTCCGGCTGGGTGGGACACATGCACTCGGTCACAGCCCAGACTCTCTTTCTCCCGACATTTCCCTGCTTGCTTCTCTCTCCTGCTGCCTTGTGAAGAAGGCGCTTGCTTCCCCTTCACCCTCCGCCATGATTGTAAGTTTCCTGAGGCCTCCCAAGCCATGTGGAAATGTGAGTCAATTCAACCTCTTTCCTTTATAGGAAGGAAAGAGGTTTCCCTGTGAATGGGGGTGGCATGGCGTAGCAAGAGGAGGCTGCACTGGGAGCCTGGCCTCTGACAGCAAGCTCTGCTCTCTCCCCTTTCCTCACTGGCCGCTCTGAGGCTCCTTGTGGTGGTACAGCCTGTGCTCCTGTGAGCAAGGCCTTGTTTCCTGCTGACACCTGGGCATAGTACGGACCCCAAGGTCACTGCCACAGGGCAAGAGCCAAGGCCCCTTTCGCCGTTTATTGCTGGGCCCCTGCACCTCCTGGGAACGGGTCCGAGGGGAAGTGTCTTCCACTGAGTCTCGTCCAAGGGCAGTGATGTTGCTGGCAAGGGGACTGGGGTGAGGCCAACACTCCAGCAGAGCATCTGAGCCTAGTTCTCGAAGAATTCGTGTTCAGAAGCAAGTCCAAGGCAAGCTGTGCTCTCCCCAGCCCCAAGGGCTGCCGGCCTCACAGAAACAGAAGGGCAAATGCAAATGCTGGGAGGAGCTGTTTAATCGTTCAGGGAGGCTGATAGCTGCTGGGACTCACTGGGCTCATGCGGGAAGGGATGGGGTCACAATTCATATTTACAGTGACCAAAGGGCATTTTCCTAAAGTACCCACAAATAGAAGTATATATATATATTTATATATATATTTATATATATATATAGAGTACTTCATTAAATGTTCTGTTGAAGGAATGCAGAAACTTCCAGTCTCCTCCCCAGCAGCTCTGTTCCATCCAATCACAGAACCCTTAGAGCGCAACAGCCCGGAGCCGTGGCCTTGCCTGTGGCTGGAGGAGTTGGCAAAGCGTGGGGCCCGCGGATGCCAGCACAGGCTCATCGACCTCCCCCAGACGGCGCCTTTGTCCCCTCCTCTCTCCCCTGGACTCCTGTCTCGGATGACCACGCCTCCCAGAGCACAGGCCCCACTTCCCCTCTCTCCTGAAACGCCAGGCCAGGCAGAGGGTCCTGCAATCCTGCTACCTGCAGTCGGTCTGCCAGGGCTCAGGAGAGGGCGCTCTTGGTGTCCTGGGGAAGGGAGGCAGAGGGAGGGAGGGAGGCTTCCTGAAGCAGGGTGCTCCCACAGGGGCAGCGGGTCCGAAGGGTGCCTGGGCTCGGTCTCCATGGGCTGGTCGGCTTCCCTGAAGGGCAGTGCCATGGGGTTCCCAAGGTGGTGTGGAGGCCCATGCAGCTCCCACTGTGGAGGGCAGGTGCACCCTCCGCGGACCAGGCCACCCCCAGGCAGGGCCGCTCCCCCCGGTTATTTGTAGGGCCGCAGGAACCGAGACACTTTGGAGCGCAGCAGTTTGATGAAGGACCGTGGGAACATCTCCTTGGATTCCTGGGCTGTGTACTTGAAGTAGTTCTGGGGATGCGCCAGCACGTCGAAGAGGGCCTTGATCAGCTTCTTGTCCTGTAAGATAGAGTGGGTGGGAGGCAGGGGAGGCTTGGGGCCTGTAGGGTCTGTGGGGTGTTGCCAGGCTGGGGGAGGGGAGAGAGATGCGCTGGCTGGTGGGTTTCAGGACCCCACAGACCTTCTTTTGGTTTTAATAGTATAACTGGTTTTTATTTGTTTATTTTTTTTGAGACAGTCTTGCCCTGTCACCCAGGCTGGAGTGCAGTGGCGGGATCTTGGGTCACTGCACCTCGCCTCCTGAGTTCAGGTGATTCTGCTGCCTCAGCCTCTCGAGTAGCTGGGATTATAGGCATGCACCACCACACCTGGCTAAGTTTTGTCTTTTCAGTAGAGACGCATTTTCACCATGTTGGCCAGCTTGGTCTCAGGCTCCTGACCTCAGGTGATCCACCCACCTCGGCCTCCCAAAGTGCTGGGATTACAGGCGTGAGCCACGGCGCCTGGCCCGTAACTGGTTTTTAAATAGATCATTGGCATTAACTCTTGGGATTCCAATAAGATTTTATTAAAGGCCAAGTGTGGTGGCTCACACCTGTAATCCCAGCACTTTGGGAGGCTGAGGCGGGCAGATCACCTGAGGTCAAGAGTTTGAGACCAGGCTGATCAACATGGGGAAACCCCATCTCTACTAAAAATACAAAATTAGCTGGGCGTGGTGGCGCATGCCTGTAATCCCAGCAACTCGGGAGGCTGAGGCATGAGAACTGCTTGAAACCGGGAGGCGGAGGTTGCAGTGAGCCGAGAGTGTGCCACTGCACTCCATGCTGGATGACAGAGCGAGACTGTCTCAAAAAAAAAAAAAAAAAGATTTTATTAACAAAGGGTCCCGCTGCAAAATGACACAACACAACCAACATCTGCAAACAGAGAACACCCAGCCAAGAGCACAGGCTTTGCAGCTGGCAGATCCCAAATCATCACTTCAGGCCTGCTCGCTGGTCCCTGGACCTCGGGAACATCGCTTTGCTGCTCTGACTTTCATTCTTCCCTGCACAGAGAGGTCACGATGCCTCTTCCCGGGGCTGCGAGGAAAATGATCTGCACTGGCGTGAGCAGAGAACCTCTCCTCAGCGGTGCTCAGTACAGGTTTGCTGCAGGGATCTAGGCAGCAAACGGGGCTGTCCTCCGGAGCAGTCTCTGGAGGGCAGATGCAGTCCCCGCCCTCTCTGAGCCCCAGTGTCTCGTCTCTCTAGTGGGGCACTGGCTGCCACCCTGGGCAGAAACTATGGAGCAGAGGTGAGGCCTGGCGGAGGTCTGGTTCCTGACAGAGTCCCCAGAGCCTGGCCCAGGGAAGGTGTTCAGCAAATGGCGACCACCACCTGCTGGCGCGTGAGAGCTCCTCGCCCTGTTGACTGTGACTGCATCTGCTGTGTCTGGGGTGGACCTGTCCTGGCACACACTCATCTCTGTGTACACACCCACCACACCCCACACCACACACCCACTCACCACACACCCACCACACCCCATACCATACACCCACTCACCACACACTCACCCCCACACACACCACACACCCACTCACCACTCACTCACCCCCACACACACCACCCACTCACCACACACTCACCCCCACACACACCACACGCCCACTCACCACTCACCCACACACACACCACCCACTCACCACACACTCACCCCCACACACACCACACACCCACTCACCACTCACCCCCACACACACCACACACCCACTCACCACTCACCCCCACACACACCACACCCACCACACACCCCTCACCACAAACACCCCCACCCCCACTCACCACACACACCCCTATATACACACCACACACCCACTCACCACACTCACCCCACCTCTATTCACACCTCCACCCCCACTCATCACACACCCTATATACATACCACACACCCACTCACCACACACTCACCCCCACACACACCACACACCCTCACCTCCATCGACCATACACACCCCCATACACACCACACATCCACCACACCCCCACCCACTACACACACCGCCTCCATTCACCACACACCCCCCCAAACACACCACACACCCACCACACCCCCACTCACTACACCCCACACACACCCACTCAACACACACCCCTACACACCCAGCACACACACCCCTACATACCCCTACATACACACTATACACACCCACTCAACACACACCCCTACACACACACCACAGTCACCACACACACTGAACACCTCCAAACTCACCACACATGCCTCCACAAACACACCACACAGCACACTCCCCCACCCCCCGCACACACACACGCGTGCCCTGAACCCACACCCTGGAGACAGATGCTCCTGCCCTCCTCTGTGCTGTGGGGGCAGGGACTAAATATTCACAGAACAAACCTAAAGTGAGTGCTGGTGGGCGCCAGGAAGGAGGGGCACGCGGGACCTAAGGGGCTGCAAAGGGTGTGCCCAGGTCAGGGGGTCCGGGCAGGCCGCCCAGAGTACGACAGGATGTCCCAGCTGAGGGCGGAAGGATGGGGGGAAAGAGGTGGGGGAAAGAAGGGGCCGAGAGGCTCTGGTGCGTGTGAGGAGCTGGGAGCTGCTGTGGAGGAGGATGGCCCTCCGGCTGAGGTTTGTGTCCCCAGAGCAGTGTCAGGATGCTTCCAGTTTGGGAGCGATGCTCCCAGGGCGGAGCTGGGGGGACAGAGATTGCGGGGAGAGAGCCCAGGACGCATCCCTGGTTTCTGCCTAAGCAGCTTGAGGAGGAAATCAGGAGCCGAGGGCGGCAGCACGTGACTGGCAGACTATGGGGAGACTCAAGTGAATCTTCCCGAACTCTGCAAACCATCCTTTTCTCAGAAGAAGTGACAGCGGGAGCGTTCCAGCCCTGCCCTTGTCCTCCACACCCCGGGGCTCCTGGGCTGACAGTGCTGCTGCCCAGGGCTGAGCTGGGTGAGTCCTGGGTCCCCAGGCCTCTGGCCAGTACCCACCATGTGACACACCAGGCGGCCCTGCCTCTCCAGGCTGGAAGCAGGAAGAGGAGGGAGCCTAGTCCCAGCGGCAGGGGGGCTCCAAGTGACAATGGCACTGGGTAGATCCCACTGATTCTGAGACATCCCCCAGAATACCCTCATTCTACAGATGAGGAGAGTGAGGCTGTGAGCTGGTGAGGAATGTGCCTGAGGCCACATCACCAGGTCCTGGTCCCCAAGTCCTCACCAAACAGCTTCCCTCAGGCCTCCTGGTCTGGAGGAACAGATGTGCAGGACCCAGTCCCCACCATTAGGGCTCTGGGACCCCCAAGCCTCCTGCTCCTCTCCCATCACCACCCACCCTCCCTTGCTCCTCCAGGGGCCAGGGCTGGGGCAGGGGCGGTCCTGGCTCATCACAGGCCCCATCCCAGGGTTACGTGGATTCCCTTCCAATAAACTCACTCACTTTCAAAATTTCCTGGTGGTTCTCCGAGGCGTACAGGCGCCCATCGCGCACGATGTCCTC
This sequence comes from Homo sapiens, assembly GCF_000001405.40. NCBI lineage: Eukaryota > Metazoa > Chordata > Mammalia > Primates > Hominidae > Homo > Homo sapiens. The sequence continues at coordinate 43,207,594 of NC_000022.11, forward strand.
TATGAGTTGCTGGTAGTCCTCTGGGCAGCGGGTCAGCAGGGGGAGAGGAAGGCGAGGGGCTTGAGGCCCACGTGCTCCCCTTTCACCTCCAGCCTCTGCCCTCCCTCCTGTGCTCCAGCCACGGGCTCTGGGCTATGGCTGGCCGCAGCTCTGCCTCTGTGCCTTTGAACCTGGGGCTCCCTGCACCTGTATTGTCCTCCTCGGGGTTTCACTAAGAACCCCCTATTTAGCCCTCAAAACCCTGCTTGGGCAGCACCTCAGCTGAAGCCTGCAGAGGCCACTAACCGCTGTCTTGCCTGTACCACCCGGTACCACCCTCAGCCTGTCTGGCTCTGGCCCCTGACAGTGTTCGTTCTGCTTCCAGGTCTGTACCTGCCAGGTCGCAGCTCCCTGAGGGCGGGGACGTGCGACTCATCTCTGTGTCTCCAGGGCCCCGCCTGAGCCGTGCACAGTGGGCCGTGAAGACAGTGGATCTTACCATCGTAGGTGACATAGGGCACTTGGAAGCCTTTGCCGCTGTTGCCTTCATTGGATTTGAACTGGATCCAGAGCTTGCGGGAGCGGGAGGTGAAGGCGATGGGCCTCTCGTAGGTCTGGCAGGTCTCATAGGTGGTGATGGACGTGGGAGAGGCTGCGGGTGAAGCATCATTGCTGAGCTGCCACAGGTAGGCAGCTCCTCCTGCCCTAGGCCACTCGCCTCCCATCCAGTCCACCACCCAGCACCTGCACCGAACGCCTGGTCCCCCAAACACAACGGCTTAGTCTTTGTGCTTGCTCCCTCTGCCTCTGAGGCCCTTCCCTACCCTCAACCCGGGTTCTTACTTGTCCTTCTGAGACCCATCTCTGTCCCCTCTTCCAGGAAGCCTCCCTGACTCTCCCCCCATCCCCTCCCAAGATCTTGCTCTGCTCTGGTGAACCCCTTATCACAGGCCCCTCTGTCAGTGGGTCTCCATCTCCCTCCAGCTAACTGCTCCTCGGTGACAGGGCTCAGGCCTGCACTTGGTGCAAGGCCAGGGTGGGAGTGGAAGCTGGGGGAGGACGTGGGAGATGAACTGGCACTGACTGCTGGGACCAGAGGCACAGACTTGGGAAGTCCCTTCTCCCCGAGAGCAAATACACCAGCAAGGCCCACTGAGCCCTGATCTCCCGAGGAGGAAATCAGGAGCCGAGTGCGGCAGCGTGGGTACAGCATGTGACCGGCAGGTGAATCTTCCCAAACTCTGCAAACCATCCTTTTCTCAGACACGGTGACAGTGGGAGCACCCCAGCCCTGCCCAGCCTCTCCCCGCTTAAGGGCTCCTTGGCAAGGCCTCACGGCTCCCTGGGGGCCTTCCCGAGGAGCCCTTCATGGGGGACAGGCTGGGCTTCACTTCAGCTCAGGCTTGTGGTGGGGGACAGAAGGAGGGGATGCTGGGGGCAGGGGAACGGGTGAGGGGAACGGGTGGGGAATGTGGTCCCAGGCCGGTCCCTTGCCCATCCGCACACTGCGGCTTTTGGCTGCTCAGCTGCGTCAGCCTTGCTGACATCCGTCTACTCATTAGCTATGCTGAGCAACTCCTGCCCAGGATAACGCAACTCTGGAGGAGCAGCCCTGGCGCAGACCTCAGGCCCCTCCCCACCCCCTCATCTGGCCGGTCTCTGTGGTCACTGGGTACCCAGAGATGTTCTCTGGCCAGCGTCTGTGGGTGTCTGGGTTCCTGCTCTTCCTTCCCTAACACTCAGACATGGAGCTCGCTCACATGGGCACCCACAGCCCGACAGCAGCGAGGTGCCCTGGACAGGTGCGCTGCAGGTATTTGGCTGGTGCTCGGGTGGCTCAGGGGCCTCCCAGGCATTCCTGCTGCTGTGGCCAGCTGGGCACACAGCGGTCACACCCACTGCTGAGTCCAGTCCTCTCTCATGCCATTCCATCCTTCACTCCCTAAAGTCTCAAGAGGAGCCCTGACGGGGGCGGATGAGCCAGGAGTCCAGGGCTCACAGAGGGGTGGGGAGGGCTCTCTGAGCTGTTATCTTGTGTGGTGCATGGGACGGCCGTGTGGTCCCCCAAACCTCAGCGGGCGGGAGGAGACCCATGGAGCTGGAGCCTGAGGTCTCGCCCTGAGCGGTGCGGCAGAAAGTGGTGGCAAGGGGCCCTGCGGCTGGTCCCGCCACTGGGATGAGGGCCCGGCTCGTGGCCGGAGTTGAGACCAGGCCTGACCATGTCCCAGCATCCACTCTCGGAATACCCTAAGCTCTCCAGATCTTTCCACAGAACTCTGTAAAGCCAGCTCTTAGACCCAAGTGGGTTTCAACCCTGCCTCCCAGGTGGACTCTGAGGGGCTGGTCCTCTGAGCCCCAGGGCCCTCCTCTCTGCCCTGTGAAGGCAGCGATCCCGCCTGGCAGAACCGCAGCGAGACGGGGGTGCACACGCAGCTGAGGCTGCCTCTGGTCCCCTCGGCCCCCAACATACCACTCTTCCTCATGACCAGAACATCGCCGCACTCATCCTCGATGGGCAGGAAGATCTCAGGGACCACGATGAGGATCCTGCGCTTTGGGGGAGGCGCGATGTGCCAGACGCATTCAGCGTTGGCTGGGTAGTCGCCAGGGTAGTTGGGGGACTCGATGTAGCCGGTGTAGTCACCAAGCTCGCCGCCGCAGTGCTGGTCTGTGGGCACAGTGGCCCGAGGGCCTCATCAGGCTCTGCTGGGCAGGGGCCCTGGCCGGCCAGGCCTCTAACCACCTGGGAGGCCTAGGGCAGGGCTGGAAGGTGCTCTTGTCCCCCCCCACACTAGCCCTCGGACCCTGAGCCCATCCTCCTTGGGGACCCTGCCTGGGCTGCCCCCAGAGCAGGAGGGCAGGTCCCCTGTTCAGGCCTGTGGTTCCCTGAGGCCCAGCCTGGGGGCTTCTTCTTACTGGGCTGCCATGCCTGCAGGCCCACCCTATTTCTCTGTGGCTGGGCCTTGTCAGGGGCACTGAGAGGGCCTGGAGCCCTGCTCTCTCTAGAGGCCCTGTCAGTGCCCCTGTAGGCTGTCAGCCCCCCCAGCAGACCCAGAAACTAGAGCAGGGCCTGGCCCAGGGCAGAGGCTTGGGCTGTGTTGGGTGAGCAGTGGGAACTGATGAACGATGGCCACCACTGTGGGCTCCGTAGAGTGGGCCAAGCCAGGGCTGCCCCTTTGGTGCCACAGGCCTCCAGATGGATGCAATGCACCCGAGAGCAGACGGGACGGAGCGGGAGGAGTCCAGTGTCCTCGTGGAGCTCGTGTGAGATCAGGTCTCCTCCCGCCCCCACAACCTGCCCAGCCCCTCCCGTGTTCCCAGCTTCCCACGGCAGAGCAGCAGCACCCACTTTTGCAGTGTGTGACGTTGGTGGAGCCATCGAAGTCTGTGCTGGTGTTGCCCGGACAGGTGATGCAGTGGTTCTGGCCAAACTCGGGCTGGTAGGTGCCGACGGGGCAGCGGATGCAGCGGTGGGTGGTGGTGTTGTAGTGGTGGCCGGGGGAGCAGTGCACTGCCGGGGGACACAAGGCAGTGTGGTGGGTGTGGAGGGGTGCAGGGAAAGGGCAGCACTGGGGTGCTGTCCCCAGGACCTCTCATGCCCTCGAGGTCTGTTTTGGCACAGAGTTCAAGGCTCCTCCCCACCGCCCCATGACCTCCCACCACCCTCACTCCGCCATGGCCAGGAAGAGCCCTTGGCGTGGGGGTCACATGGCAGATTGATGTGATGTTGGCTCCAGCAAAACAGGGACCACACAGGCCACCTTGATGGGAGCCATTTTCAGGGAGAGCGGGGGCGATGATGTGGCCGGAGGCGTGCGGGGGAGACAGGGAGGAGGGGAAGTGGAGCCAGCTAGGCCAAACCCTCTTTCTACAAGGTTGCTGGGGCAGGAGAGACAGGCGGCCGGAGTCTGAGGGGTGCCGGGGCGGGGGGCTAGAGATGGGCAATTCTTTTTTTTTTTTTTTGAGATGGAGCTCGCTCCGTCACCCAGGCTGGAGTGCAATGGTGCCATCTCGGCTCACTGCAACCTCCACCTCCTGGGTTCAAGCGATCCTCCCCTCCCAGTCTCCCGAGTAGCTGGGATTACAGGTGCACATCACCACACCCGGCTAATTATTTTTGTATTTTTTTTAAGTAGAGACAGGGTTTTGCCATGCTAGCCGGGCTGGCCTCAAACTTCTGACCTCAGGTGATCCACCCCCTTTGGCCTCCCAAAGTGCTGGGATTATAGGTGTGTGCCACCGCACCTGGCTTCTTTTTTTAAATGGGCAAATTCAGAACAGTTTGTATGTGCAGGGGAGTATCTGGTGATGTGGCTGGCTCCAGGGGGCTGAGAGCCAGGCCACCTGGACAGACAGACAGACACTGAGAGGGAGCACGGTGGGGAAGCAGGGTCAGCAGCTGAGAATGGGGAGGATTTGGGGGAGTTGGTGAGTGAGGGAAGACGGGATGTAGACCTGGGTGGGACCAGATGCCCTGAACAGACAGCAGTTGAGGTGATGCCCTGATCCCGCTCCTGCCCCCACACTCCTGCCCCCACACTCCTGCCCCCTCCTCACCCTCCCAACCTCCCTTCTAGATGCTGCTCAAGGCCTCCTGTCCCCAGAGCCCTCCCCAGTGCTCCGAGGAGCTGCTGTTCCCCCTGGAGCTCAGAAAGCTCTCAGCTATAAGGTGTCCCTGTCCTAATGCGGGGCACAGTGGGTCACCCACGCCCACGCCTGACAGCTCCAGGCTCCTCCTCTGAGCTGGGAGGTTCGCCACATGGAGGAGATGAGAGGGGTTCGGGGAAGCCTCTCGGAGCAGTGCAGCCCTGCCTCTCGGGGTGGGCGGGCGTGGTGGGGAGGGCATGCTCACCTTTAGCCTCGCAGTCCTGGAAGGAGGTGGTGCCTTCGTGTTTGGTGAGCAAACCCCCTCCACAGGGGAAGCAGCCGGTGCGCCCGGGCTCAGGCTGGTACGTGCCCACGGGGCAGGCCTGGCAGGGCTTGAAGCCATCGGCCGAGAAGAAGCCTGGAGAACACTGGCCTGAAAGTCAGAGGTCATGGCTCAGGCGGGCAGGAGGGCACCGCAGGGCCGAGGCTGTGGGTGGTCTCAGGCCCCGCTCTTGGCCCTTGCCCGGCCCTGGAAAAGGTACTGGGCACCCGAGGCCTGGGGTGGGGACGGGGTGGGGAAAACGCAGCAGCCGGGGTGCAGGAAGCTGGGCCCTGGTCCGGATGATGCCAGCGGTTCATGTGCGGCCTTGGTCAAGCCTGGCTCTCCTTCTCCCACCAGCAAGAAGGCCTGGGGGTTGAAGAGCAAGAGGCCTTGCTGCTGAGCTGGGAAGGGGACCCACAGGTGGAGGGGCAGGTCACGTGTCTCAGAGGGGCTGTCCCCGGGGGGTAGGCTGCACCGGGGTCTCCGCAGAAGGAGCACCTGCTCAGCTTCAGGGTGACGCTGCCTGGTCTACCAGCAGGGCCAGGCCAGAGCAGAGGGAGGCGGGTCTGGGGAGGGTTTCTGAGGTACTCAAGGGCACCCCTGGGACAAAGGGAGGGGACCACAGGAAAGCCAATTTCAGCTCCGAGTAAAGAATGTTCTTGCGTTCCAGCAGACTCAGGATGCAGAGAGTATTCTGGCATTGAGTGAGAGGCGGGTTTAGCACCCTCTCAGCCCAGACCCTGGGATTCTCAGCTTCTACCCAAACACGGAATCTCCTACCAGTGGCCACTCCCCCAGGGGTGGAGACCACACTCCTGGAGTGGGCGTGGGCCAGAGAGCAGCCGGCAGCCTGGACGGACTCAGGGCTGGGCTCTGAGCCCTTCCATCACCGGGAGAAAGCTGGAGGTCTCCAGTATCCTGGGACCCCACTCCCCCACCCTCACAGGCACTGTGCTTCTCAGGGTGCTGAGAACCTTCCCCGCGGATTCTCTTGGGTGAAACTCACAGTGGCCTGGGAAGAAAGGCTCATGGGGAGACTGAGCTAGCTTCACAGATGGAGTTAAGTGGGGAGAGGGAGGTAAATGCAAAAGCTCTTTGCAAACCTAACTGCATTTGGTAAATTGAAAAAGGGCTTTCTAAACCGTCTGTGGGGCACATAATAAAGTTCTTTGTGTGGAGCAAAGTTCTTGCTCAAGTATAAGATACTCTCTGCAAAGTGTTCCAGTTGTAATGGAATGTTCCGTAAAATGTAAGCTGTCTAGTCCACCATAAGGCACTTATGTACCTCCCTTAGAAACCGTAAGTTGCACACTGTGAAGTCCTTTCCAAAGGGCACAATGCAATTCTGAGAGCACACCGAGTGCAGTGCAGCGCTCAGCACTGTAGTGCAGGCCGGGACTGCTGACGCTTTGGGATCTGTCACGCACTTTGTAAGTGATGACTGCACAGACATCGTGAAGGGTTTTGGAAACGACAAGGAACTTTAGAAAATACCACACTCTCTGGCCACACCAGGCACCTGGGCCTTCGACAGGAGGGCCTCATCAGAGACAGGAGGAGCCCCCGCCCACCCCCCACCCCCACCTCTCCTTCTAGGCCCGCACTTGCCTCCACATTCCGACACGTTGCGGGCACCAGGCAGACCAAGCCCGTCGCTGCTGGGGCACGGTGTGCAACTGAGCTGGCCTTCCATGTCCTGGTATGTTCCTGGCATACATGACACACACTGGCCGAGCTCACCACCGAAGTGGGTGCCAGGCCCACAGGCAACTGCAGAGGCAAAGCGGAGAGGCTGCTGGAGGCAGAGGTGGGGAGGCCAGGGGTGTCTCCTGTGTGCTCAAGCCCAGGCTCTCCTGATAGACACAGTCCTTGTCCCCTGGGGCCCCAAGGACACAGAGGGGCCCCTGACCTATCCCAGAAGAGCCTGGGGCAAGACCCAGGAGGCAGCCATCTGTGAGGGCCATGAAGCCTGGCCCCTCTGGCTGCTGCACCTCAGAGTCCTCTGTGGACCCCTCCATCTCCACCCGCTTATAGAAGCCTGTGGTCCCCACCTCCCCCATACGTCTGTCCTCTGTCTGCTCCACACCCTGCCCTCCAGCTTTAGCAAACTGCCTCCTGGATGTCGCCACTTGGATATGCTACAGTCATTTCACCCCGAAGCTCCCCTGTCCTTCCTGAGTGGAGGAGTTAGGGGCAGTGGGGAGGGACTGGGGCTCAAATAGGCAAGGGCAGGAGGGCCTGGCGGGCGAGGTGGGAGGGGCGTAGCGAGGAGATGATGGGCTGAAGACAGCGCAGTCTGGTTGGCTACACTGAACAAATACGTCGACTGATGAGTAAGTAAGGAAACTGAGTAAATCAGTAAATTCAGGAGAAAGGGAGCCGAGTTTCTCAGTGCTGGAGAAGATGCTTACAAATGCGGAAATGGGGAGTGAAGGTTAGAAAAGACCCTGAGGTGTGGAACGGGAGGCACTGGCATGAATTCATGGTTTTAGAACCCCCCCACCCATAGATTCCCATGCCTGTGTGTGCACGTGTATACACATCTATGCTTTCCAGTTCTGTCCGATGAGAGGGCCTAGAGGCAGTGGTACTCCAGGAGCAATGAATATCCCAGATTTTGGTTTCTACCCATCATCCTCCTCTCAAAGGAACCAGGGGTCCTTGGGGATTTGGCTGATGCCAGGGGATGGAGAGTGTCAGTTGGATCTGAAGGGGAGGCTCGCAGCATGTGTGTGGCAGGTCAGACAGACCCAAGAGCCAGCTTGGTGGGGCATCCCTGGCTACCCTGGGGACACAGTGAGCGCCGAACTAAATAACATCAGGAATGGATCACCACGCAATGAGTAAGGGGAATCTGAGTCTATAGGGATACAGACCCAGAGGTAAACGGCCATGGCCACCCACTTTCCTACAGGAGAATGTGACTAGTGAGCGTGGAACATGGAACAAATGGTAGAGGTGGCTGACATGGCGGGAGCTGTGCAGAAGTTTGATGAGGAGGAGAATATTGGTCCAAACTCAGAAAACACTCATCAATCACAGAGAGAAAATGGCGAGTGAAAGTGAAGCCAGTGGCGGGCTGGGGGTATCCTGTGCCTGCTGATGGGGCACCCAGGATTAGGCCTCGAAGCTGAGGTTCCTGCTGGACCCTGGGCCCTGAGTCAGGTCCCCAGGAAAAACCAGAGGGAGCTCTGAGCGTTAGCCTAGAGGAGGTGAGTTTGGGACAAGGGCAGGAGAGGCAGGGAAAGGGGAGAAGCGGCTCCAGACTGAAGGAGCCTGAAGACACAGTGGAGGGTGACATGTCTTTCTGGATGGGAGCTGGGACCAGAAAAACAAAAGGGACATTGTTGGAAGGATTGCTGGAGCTGAATGGGGTGGGTGTGTGGGTTGGATGGTGAAGACTACACACTCACACATGCATGCACACTCACACACATGCACACGTGTGGGAGACGGGGCAGATGTGGTCAAATGTGCACAATTGGGGAATTTGGATGAAGAAAATATGGAAGTTTTTTGTTCTGCTTGACAATGTTTCTGAAACTTTGAAATAATTTCAAAATAAGTTATTTATTTTTATTTTGGGATGGAGTCTCGCTCTGTCACCCAGGCTGGAGTGCAGTGGTGTGATCTCAGCTCACTGCAACCTCTGCCTCCCAGGTTCAAGTGACTCTCCTGTCTCAGCCTCCCCAGTAGCTAGGATTGCAGGCGCTCGCCACCACACCCAGCTAATTTTTGTATTTTTAGTAGAGACGGGGTTTCACCATGTTGGCCAGGCTGGTCTCAAACTCCTGACCTCAGGTGATCCACCTGTCTCGGCCTCCCAAAGTGCTGGGATTACAGGCGTGAGCTACCATGCCCGGCCCAAAATAAGTTATTGAAAGTAGAAGAGGCTGGGCGCAGTGGCTCACACCCATAATCCCAGCACTTTGGGAGGCCGAGGTGGGCAGATCATGAGGTCAGGAGTTTGAGACCAGCCTGGCCAACATAGTGAAACCCTGTCTCTACTAAAAATACAAAAATTAGCCGGACACGGTGGCGCGCACCTGTAGTCCTAGCTACTTGGGAGGCTGAGGCAGTAGAATAGGTTGAACCTGGGAGGCAGAGTTGCGGTGAGCTGAGATTACACCATTGCACTGCAGCCTGGCTACAGAGCGAGACTCTGTCTCAAAAATAAAAACAAACAAACAAAAAAAGAAAGTAGAAGATGACATCACCAAGCTCCCTTTGTCCCCCCTTGTCAGTACGGCTGTCCCCCTCCACTGTCTGAGCCAGAGTCCCAGCTTCCCCAACCTGGCCCTTCCCCTGCCAGGTGTCATCTCTTTACCAACAGCTTCCCCGCCCTCTCCAGGTGTCACCTCTTTATCAACAACTTCCCCCCACCCACCCCCCGCCAGGTGTCATCTCTTTACCAACAGCTTCCCTCCCACCCCCACTGCCAGGTGTCACCTCTTTTCCAACAGCTTCCCCCAACACTGCCGTCACCTCTTCTCTAACAGCTTCCCCCCACCCCGCCAGGTGTCACCTCTTTACCAACAGCTTCCCCACCCCGCCAGGTGTCACCTCTTTACCAACAGCTTCCCCACCCTGCCAGGTGTCACCTCTTTACCAACAGCTTCCCCCAACCCCCACCCCCCATCCGCCAGGTGTCACCTCTTCTCCAACAGCTTCCCTCCTCCCCCGCCAGGTATCATTTCTTCTCCTCCGGCTTCCCAGTTTACACCCCTGGCCAACCCTATTGTTTGAGGCTTCGGACTTGTGGCTGCAACTGCCCATCCAACATCTCCATGTGGATGACTTGTGAGCGTCTCAGACTGAACATGTCCAGCCTGCGCACCCCATCCCCGCAGCCCACTCTTCATCAAGTTTCCCTCCCCCCAGCCCACTCTTCCTCAAATCCTTGGGGATTTGGCCGGCGTCAGGAAGCGATACCACCTCTGCCCAATTGGCCAAACCCTTGGAGTCGTCCTTGAAGTCTGTCTCTCCCTAGGAGCCCCCTCCATCTCATGCTCCTCCCCGTCCTTGCTCCGCCCCCGCTACTCAGCCTTCCCGTAAGAGCGCGCATGAGCCTGCGTCCTTGCTCTAAGCATTCCTATGGCTCCCCATCCAACTCAAGAGTGGTGTCTGCCAGGCCCCATCACCTCTGGCCTCACTGTACCTGTGGGCATGTTCACTGGCCCACTGTCCATCTTCCGCACGGGCATGTGAGCTCCACTAGAACTAGGACTGTCTCGTGTGCTGGTTCTGCCTGTCCTGCGTCCAGGCTCTCCCCTCCAGCGCACACCCGCCCGCTGGGGGCCGGCCTCACCTGCTTCCCTGCAGCACGACGCTGCCCTCCTGGGCGGCCCTAGGCCTCACGACATCCCTGCTCTGTCCCCCGACCCTGACTCAGGCTCCCCAACTCCTGGAGCCCTGAGGTCTTAGCTAACGTGACTTCTCCTCCAGGAAGCTTCCCTGAACCACATCCCAGACTAGAGAGGGCCTGTTCTGGTTCCCGTGCCCCCTCGCGCCCCTCGACTGTGGCCTTGCTGTCCTGTCCACTCCTTGTCCCTCCTCAGACTGTGATCACATGCCCGAGGCCCAGCACAGAGGAGTGCTCTTCAAATGACAGTGATGACCATGAGGGCTGCAGTCCTTCTCCCCGGCAGGCCTCTGCATCTCTCTGTCCCCTCCCCAGGTGTCTGTCTCACCTGCGTGCCCACCACTGTTTACCCCGGCTCATGTGCAAGGAAGGACAGAGTCAGCATCTGAGTGGCCATGGGCAAGGACTCACCGCATTTGCTGTCCTGTAGCACCTGGCCTGCGCCACATGCCCCCTGCCCCTCCAGCGCCTTGGCTGGCCTCTGGGCTACCTCGTACTCAGTGCCTGAGACCTGGACATAGAACTGCTGCCGGCCGATGGACTTGCGCAGGGTCTTGATGGCGGCCTGCAGGCTCTGTTCTGCTCGCTTCCGCAAGCAGTCCGCTTCGCATGTGTCTGCAGGGGCAGGAGAGACAGAACATGAATCGCTGGCAACCTTGCTAGCCGCTGCCTTCTTAGCTGAGGGCTCCCCCGTGCCAGGCCCTGCACTGGGCTCGGACCTCCTCAGCACATTCTCACAACAGTCCTGGGGCAAGGGGCCACTGTCATGCCCATCTGACAGATGAGGAGGCTGCGGACCTGGGAGGCAGGGCCTGCCCACGGCCACGCAGCAGATCTGAGTGCAATCCAGGCAGCTGCCACTGCACCACATCACCCCCCAGGGTACGACTCACGGGGCAAGAACGCCTTTCTGTCACTCAAAGACTCTTGGGGACTGCCACTGTCCCCAGGATAGTGTCCAGCTCTCTGGCCTTGAATCCAAGGCCCTTCAAGGTCCAGCCCCGTATGGCCTTGCCAGCCTCATCCCCTCCACTCTGACACTCCCTGTGGATTCCAATGTCTAGCCACCTGGCCCTACTTACTGCTTCCTGGACACCTCCTCCTCTCTCTGACCTCTGTGCCTTTGCCTATTCTATTCCCTCTGCCTGAATGCCATTCCTTGCCACCTTTTCCACCCAGTGAGCTTTGATTCTAAGCTCTCATTCAAATGGCACCTCTTCTGGGAAAGCTTCCTGATATGGTTTCAATATTTGTCTCTTCCAAACCTCATGTTGAAATCTGATCCCTAATGCTGGGGGTGGGGCCTGGTGGGAGGTGTCTGGGTCATGGGGTAGGTCCCTCATGAATGGCCTGGTGTGGTAGTCAGTTCTTGCTGGCTCTACTAGTCGCCACGAGATGTGACTGGTGAAGACATAGGCACCCCCTCCCCTCTCTCTTGCTCCCTTACTCTTGCTATGTGATGCCAGCTGCTCTTCACCTTCCTCCGTGAGCAGAAGCAGCCTAAGGCCTCGCCAGGCAGATGCTGCTGCCGTGTTCTCGGACAGCCTGCAGAGCCGAGAGCCAATAAGCTCTTTTCCTGATAAATTATGCAGCCTCAGGTGTTCCTTTTAGCAACGCAAATAGACTAAAACATTTCCTTTTTTTTTTTTTGAGATAGAGTCTCACTCGTCGCCAGGCTGGAGCACAGTGGCGCGATCTCAGCTCACTGCAATCTCTGCCTCCCAGGTTCAAGCGATTCTCCTGCCTCAGCCTCCTGAGTAGCTGGGATTACAGGTGCCTGCCACCACACCTGGCTAATTTTTGTATTTTTAGTAGAGACAGGGTTTCACCATGTTGGCCAGGCTGGTCTTGAACTCCTGAACTCAAGTGATCCACCCACTTTGGCCCTCCCAGACTGCTGGGATTACAGGCGTGAGCCAGTGTGCCCAGCCAGACTAAGACATTTCCTAAGCCCTCCCGTGGGGGGCAGACCTCAGTTCTATGCATTGTTTGTTCTTGTGCCCCCACCACCGAGAGTCCCACCTGGCAATGGGTGGTTTGCACGTGCGTCTGCCTCTCTGGCTGAGAGTGTTACCTGGGTGGGGACTTTTCTTTCCACAGCGCCCAAGCCCACAGCCAGGCCCATACCACACTTATCTGCTGACAGATCCCATCTCTTCAACATCAACGACTCACAGGTTGACACTCACATATAGCCAAGAGCAAAGTGCTGCTGTGACACCCGAGCCAGCATTAGAACCTCCTTCAGGAACCAGGAAAGACAATCCTTGGCTCAACCATTCTAGGGGGGCTGCACCTATTTGTCCTCCCGGGTCCCAGCAGGAGTGTGGAGGGGCAGATAAGGGTCATGTGACTTTTGAGGTCACCTCGGCTCTTCTGTCTCATTGCCCTGGGCTGCCTCTTCTATCCTGGGCTGCAAGCGTTGACCCCTGCCAGCTCCCTTTGCTTGTGGGCCTGCCTCTGTCTCCAGAAGCTGGGCTCCCATCCCAGCCACAGCTGTGCTCTGGTGGGAGCCTAGCTTCATGCCTGGCAGGCCCCCGGCAGCGCCACCAGCCTGTCGTCCTCCTTCAGGCCTGCAGAAGCCCCCAGGAGAACCCCTCACCTACCTGAGGCCTCTTCCATCTTTGTCTCGATCTCAAACTCTGCTGTGATGTGGGACACCTCCTTGGATGGGGACTTGCGGCCACGGCGCCTCTTCTTGGAGGAGTCACACTTGAGGGTCACGAAAGTCACATGGCAGTGGTCTGGACGAGGAAAGGACCACTGTGGCAAAGGCGGCATGGGGCAGGGAGCAAGGTCCTACCAAGCCCTGCATACAGAGTGCCATTGGCAAGGACTTCCTGGTCCGTGGTGCAGACGGAAAAACTCAGGCTAGAGAAGGTCAGGGCTGGCTCGGGGTCTCAGGAGGGGCTGGTGGCTGAGCCAGGTCTCACGCCCGGTCCATCACGCTGCTGCAGGTGGAGGCATCTCATACATATTCATGAATGAGGCTGTGCCCCCAGCTCTGGGCCTGCTGAGGGTTTGGCCAGTGCAGACTCGGCTCTGGGCAGAGCCTGCTGCGTGCTGAGAGCTCTGTTAGGTTTGAGAAGGAATCTTCACGGGGACAGAGCTGGTGCCTTCCTCCGGGGCCCCTCGTACCAAGCTTGCCCTCCGCTGTTTCCCCAGCCTGCAATGTCCTTGGAAACTCTCATTCAATAAACAGCTGCCAGGTGAGAGAGACCTCCACCCTTGGAAACCAGACTCGCTGGACCCTGGGGCCCCAGCTCCCAGGCATGAGGACTCTCCTACAGCCCCGTTGGTGTGGGTTAGGAGCAGGGCGTCCCACTCACCCAGCAGCGGCTGCCTGGCGGTCTCCTTTGCTCGTGCCTGGCTGTGGGGCCGGAGGTGGCACTTGGCATCTCGGATCTTGAAGCGGGCCTTCTGTTTGATGGGGGTGGTGGGGGCATCTGGGGAAAGCCAAAATTCCCCCAGGTGGTGGCCTCTCCTGCAGGCAAGGAGGTGGTGGGGGACGGGGGCTGCCAGGGGACAAATCCATCTGGAGCTGGGGGTGGGGCTTGATCTGAGTCCCTGTGCCCCGACAGCTCTCCTGGGGTGGGGGACCCTCTCCTGCCCCATTTCTCTCCCTGCAAGGCCTAAAACAGGTGAACACATGGATGGTGGGGTCAAGCTCAAGCCCAGGGGCCACCCGCCAGAGGTCTTCTGAGAAGGAGGACAGGGATCCTCCTACCTCCTCCCCATCAGCAAGCCATGATTGTGCTTTAGGAAAGAGCGTAGAACAGAAGAGAGATAGGACAGCAAGGAAGGGAAGGGGCTTTGAAATACTATAGATCCAGGACTGCCGGTTCCTTGCAAGAGCAAATCATAGCCCTTGGACTAAAGAATCCTACCACCACAGGTGCTTAGAATCAAATCACATATGCATTAAATATATAGAAATGGGCAGGGTGCGGTGGCTCACGCCTGTAATCCTAGCACTCTGGGAGGCCGAGGCAGGCGGATCACTTGAGGTCAGGAGTTCCAGACTAGCCTGACCAACATGGTGAAACCATGTCTCTACTAAAAATACAAAAATTAGCCAGGTGTGGTGATGGGCACCTGTAATCCCAGCTACTCAGGAGGCTGAGGCAGGAGAATTGCTTGAACCTGGGAGGCGGAGGTTGCAGTGAGCCGAGATCACGCCACTGCACTCCAGCCTGGGTGACAGAGCGAGACTCCGTTTTAAAAATAATAATAATAATAATAAAGAAACATACAGAAATGCACCTATCTATCAAATCCAGCATCCTGAATAAGAAAAGCTGCTGAAGACACAACCCTCAGCTCCTTAGCTGGCAGGAGCTAAGGCTGGCTGTGCCATGCCGACCAAGCCCAGCGGGTCACTCCCAAAGGGCTGGGACTGTGCTGCACCTCGGCGCTTCTTGGCATGCTCTGCACGGCCAGGCCAGCTCTGACTCGGGAGAACCTAATAGCCACAGCAGATGTGGCTTGCTCCACCCATACAGTCTGAGATCTGTGCACTCACAGCACGTTAGAGTCCCTGAACCACTCTGGCTGTGACCTCAGAGCCGGAAGGGCCCTCCCACGGTCCCCTGACCCTGGGCTAGAACTCGGCCTGCAGCCTGCTGGCTTCTAGGTCCTGGGCCTGGCTCATCGCCAGCACCCCAGGCCACACGGAGCAGGGCCGAGAGCAGGAAGGTCTTCCCTGGGCGGTGCCCTTTCCTCCCCCGCCAGCATGTTGCTGGATGCAGTCAAGTCACCCAGTGGCATGCAGCATGGACAGGCCGGGGGGGTTACCTGAGCAGCTGGGCCCGAGGCCAGAGCTGGTGCCGTTGCGTTTCTGCAGCGCCTTGCCCTGCGGCCCTGGAACTCCGCAGCTCAGGACGTAGCTATTTTCCGAGTCTGCAGAGAAGCCGGTGGGTGAGGTGGGCCTGGTGCTCCTCCCTCCCACGGCCCTCAGATTCTTGGGGCCTCAGAGGGATTGTGGAGTGAGACGAAGATCAGGACAGATTCTTCTGCCAGTTTCTGCTACACAACCACAGGGAAGTGGCCAGGAGGAAGGAGCCCACTGGGTTTACTGAGAAGGACAGCGAGGCCCACAGAAAACCAGACAGCTGCCTTAGGGTCACTCAGTTATCAGAGACCCTCATTCCTAGGTCAGACTCTTTCCTGGAGGACAGCTGGGAGCAATGGTGGGACCCCAGGGAGGAAGACCCCCCTGCCACAGCATCCCATCTCAGGGACGGCCCGGGTTACCTGGCACGAAGAGTGTGTGAGCCGGGCAGGAAAGGAAGCAGCTCTCCACACCGCCTGCCTTGCTGCAGGACAGCTGGGCCCGGGGGGAGGTCTTGGCGCGAGAAAGACACTTGCCTGTCTCTATGAAGGGAGATACGAGAGAGGGCTGAGAGAGGCCAGGGCGGAGGCTTCCTGGAGCCAGGAGGGTCCTGGGTATGGCCTAATGGGGACTCCCCCAACTCCCTTCTTCCATGGCTGGGCTGGCTTGGTGGGAAGGCGCCTGGAGATCGCAGGTCCCTTGGGCGTGTGGGGATGCTGGGCCCAGACAGCTGGCTTAGTCCCTCCTCCCCTTCAGGCTCTAATCCTGGCTGTGAGAAGGTTCATGTCCCCATCCCCAGATCAGAAACTCCCTGAGGGCAGGGCTGAGCTCTCCAGGGCAGGCGTCCATTCCCACTGGGGAAAGGAACGGCGCTAAATGAACACTGGCTTCCTGGGAGGGGCCGTGGGGGGGATCGCTCGGAAGCACCTCTTTGGGGCAGCCTCTGCTACAGCCATCAGGTGTCTGGAGAAACAGCCCTCCAGAATTTCTCACTTGCTTACTTATCTTTAGAGGATGAAAAAGTCCCCCGGACTCCTAGGAAAAGACGGACGGTTCTACAGCCATGGTAAATACCAGAACTGATTTTACAGATGGCTAATTGGTCGGTGACAACCGGCTTATGTGGCACGCCTCTGAAAGCCACCTCATGAGTGACAGCCTCGCACTCTGGTCAGTCATCAATGTGGAGTTACTCCAGTGTAACCAGGCTTCCAGGTTCAGTCAAGTCACCTCCCTTCTGTAACCCACACAGGCCATGCTTCTAGACTCCCATCAACCTAATCCCAACCTGCCTGGAATAAGCTTTGCCCCAAATCCCCAGGGAAGATCAGCAGTTTGCTTTGCTCCCTGAGCCTGCCTGACCAACACAGCTCCCCCTTACTTAAGCGACAGCTCAGCTTTCTGGTTTCAGATACTGAGCGGTGGCTGATCTCATCCTTTGGTAATTCTGGAGGTTCCTCCAAGATTGTTTTAGAAACCCTTGCTTCCCAGTGTCCTTTGGGTGCCGTGGGCCACAGGTGTCCTTGGTCAACCCCCGGGGCCCACATTTTGTCTGTCCTGCTGATTGCTTTCTGCGAGGGCACCGTGTGACAACACTCTGAGCTCTCACTTGCTTTGCTGCTCTCTCGTGCTGACTGCTTTGTTAGCAAGTGGGCCTCTGGCTGGGGAGCAAGACCTTGTGTTCGGAGACACACATTTACCTGTGTGTTCTGCTGCTGGGCACTTTGCTTTTGCTTGACTATTAGATAAAGGTTTATCCCATGAGTTTTGTTGTGCTCTGACTTGTCTTGTGTTTGATGGATAGATAACAGGGTGCTCCTTGGGGACCAGATGGCGACACAGGCCCTGCATGCTTCCAACTCAATCCAAGCTGGCCCCCAGGATCAATGGTCAGAGGTCTATGATACTAGGGGCCAATTCCTGTAGGCAACTAGGCAGGGCTTTCCTTGGGTCCCTTCTAAAATCTTCCTCAGGGCGCTCCTGTTCTGCCAACACGTGAAAGGAGGCCCCTTTGTTTTCTCCATATTCTGGGGTCACAGCTGTCAGGTCACTGACTGCACGGCCCTTTCCAGCCTGTGTCTGGTTGGGGGAACCGGAACGTCATGCTAAGCACACACTTTTGACTGATGAAAGTGATGATCATGGGCTGGTTATGCCAAGGCTGCAACTTCCCTGGCTGAACTCCTGCAGCCTTATGAATTTAGACTATTATCCTAACTTGTGCTTGTCCTGGTAAATGGCAAACTGCCCCCTACTCACCACAAAACCTAAACAGCGACAACTACCACCACCAGCTTAGAATAACGTTGGTCATTGTGGGAACTTCTGACACATCAAAACTAATACATTAATATATTTAAGAGGAGCTCTAAAATGTTAGGAGACAAAATTTCATCATTTAATAGCTTCTGCCACTGGTATACCTTGGCCTCAGTTTCCTCCCACTCAAACCTTCCGAAATCCACTTGCCACTCTCTCTGCCCAGCTCCATCTTCACCAGCCACTTATCGCATCACCCCCCCACTCCTGCCCCTCCATCTCCTACACAAGCAACTCCTCCCTTAGGGTTTATCCCAGGAAAGCCAGAAATCAGATCTCTAATGCTGGATGTAAAGCCACGTCTAGAGCTATGCTGAGTGCTGAAGGAAATTTTCCTAAACTCCAGGAGACAGACAAACATTTGCTTAAGAATTCAGGATATCGCTGGATAGTTATTGTCCCGGATGATCAGATCTGTATCACAATGAGTTCACCTAAGTGTTAGGATCTTGGATGGAAGAAAAAGTTCAAAAGCAACAGATGGTAAAGAGCAGTAGAAGCGGCCGGGCTCGGTGGCTCACGCCTGCAATCCCGGCACTTTGGGAGGCTGAGGTGGGTGGATCACAAGGTCAGGAGGTCGAGACCAGCCTGACCAACATGGTGAAACCTCGTCTCTATTAAAAATACAAAAATTAGGTGATCTGGTGATCTGCCCACCTCAGCCTCTCAAAGTGCTGGGATTACAGGCGTGAGTCACCGTGCCCGGCCAAATGTTTCTTTCTGAGAAACTAAATGTGTCAGCCTCTTTCTTCTGCCACTCAGTTTCTTGCCCTTTGGAGGCAGGTTTGCGTAAACCTGCTCACCACAGAGCAATGACCCCCTAACACCCTCAATGAACAACGCTTTCCTGCAAAGAATCTGAAGGTACCATATCCTTCCTATGCTTGTAAGACGGAGATCCCCTCATGCTGCCTCCGCCACCCGTACAACCCCAAACAAGCTCTTTCCCAAAACTCAGCAGAAGAGCAGCAGTTGACTTTGTTCAGTGAGACTTTGCCTGAAAAGCACAGCAAGTCCTTCCACAAGTACGTGATAAACTCAGCCTTTGGATTTCAGATATTAAATGATGGTTTGTATTCGTTAATGTGTTCACTGACAAATATTTACTCTGTGTCTGTGATTGTCAGGGTCTGTTCCAGGTGCTGGGGCTCTAGCAGTAAATGGGACAGGCCAAGAAGACCTGTTTAACTGTGTAAAGCTTACATTCTAGTGAGGAGAGAGAGATGGACAGACAGACAGACATACACCAACACGAACCTGTAAAGTGCACATTACTTCTGGTGGCTGGGAGTGTGATGGGAGGGAAAGCAAGCTGGAAGCACAGGGGGCCCAGATGGGTGCGGAAGTGGCCAAGGCTGCGGCTCTGGGTGGGTGATGGGGCAGGCCTCACTCACAGACCCTCACAGCAAGGGAGGAGTGAGGAGTGCTGGTGTGGGGGGGCCCTCCAGGCCAAGAGAAGCGCACAGCCTCGGGCTGAGGGCTGGTGGAGGCCCTGCGAAGTCAGTGAGGCTGGCGTGAAGCGAGGGAGACAGCAGAGGGCAATCCTGTCAGCTGGCGGCAGCCTTCGGGCCATTCCAAGCGCTGTGGCTTTGATTCAGAGTCAAAGGAGGAGTTACCGGGGTTGGAAGGGGCGGAGGGTGGGGGTGGGGGCGGGGTTCTGAGCCCAGAGGGATGTTCTAACTTACATTTAAAAGGCTCACTTAGGCTGCCCTGGGGATGTCAGAGTGTGGCGGGGCAAGGACCCGGCGTGGAGGTTCCAGGAGGGCAGGCCCACAGCCCCAGCACCCAGACAGGGTCCCATGTACAGGGAACCAGGGAACGCAGGGGCCCGTCCAGAACTCAGCCTAGGGGCACCCAGTGCTGCGAGCATGCCTGCAGAGGGGGCAGGGACCATGGGCTTTCCAGGAGGCACTGCCACATCCCCTGCAACTGTGCCCCACTGAGGCTGCTGCACCCCGAGTGACCCTCCTCCTCCCCCTCAGCCTCCTCAGCAAGACAAGGGGAAGCTACCAGAGGAGAGGCCTCCACACCCACTCCCTCTAAGCTTCCAGCTCTATGGAGACATCAGCAGGGTCCCTGTGCCCCACGGCTGGGCTGCACATGGACCTGCAGATCTCCTCTGTGCCCTCCTCCCCACTTCAGGTCCCTGTTGCAGTGCCTCTGGCTGACACTGGCATGCTCTGCCTGGGACCCCCTCCTTTTCTGCAAGTCCTCATTCCCATCAGCCATACCCCAACAGCAGAGAACCTCTGCCTGGGAATGCAAGGCCTAGAGGAAAGGGAGGGGCTGTCCTGCTCACCCCCACCTCAGAAAAGCCACTGTCCCTCCCATCCAAGCCCAGGTGCAGGGGAGGGGCCAGCAGCACAGGGCGGCCACCTACCCACGCAATCCTTCCCGTTCCAGTGGAGCCGCCTCCCCGGGGGACAGACGCACTCGTAGCTGCCCTTGGTGTTGACGCAGCCCTGGTCACAGCTCCCGTTGCTCATGCTGCACTCGTCCACATCTGGAAGCACAGCGGGCGTAAGGGCAGAGGGGAGGCTGGCGGCTGGCGGCTGGCAGGGGAAGGGACCACCCAGGGCAAGAGGGCAAGAATCTCCTGACCCCACCGAGTCGGACAGCATCACGGGATGCAGATGAGCAGTGCACACGCCACACGCACACACACGCGTGGGTTTATAAGGCTCCTCACAGACCCCAGCGTCCCTTCCCCCAGGAACCTGGGTGGTTTTCTGAACTCAAGCAGCTGCACCCCAGGCTAGGGGGCAGAGGAGGTAGCACACGATTAAAGTTCCAACCCAACCAGGTTTTGTGGCGCAGGGAATGAGCACTGCTCCAGGGATTGTGAAACTGATTTTACCGTGGGACTCTGGACAAGCCCTTTTCTAGCCCCGGGTCCCCTGTGGTACAACAGACACCAGGGTGAAAGAGGTCACCGCTAAGGCCTTTCCTCCTCTGACCAAAAGCACCCGCTGAAGCTGGGGGAAGGGGCTGGGCCCCACATTCTGTTAGTTCTTGAGCTGCCTGCACTCGGCAGGCCCAGGGAAGGGGTGCCCAAGTTTTCGAGAGTCTTTCCAGAAGAATCTGTAGCCCGCCTCCAGAAGCCCAAGCACCAGCTATGTCCTGATCACATTCTTGCCTGACCCTGTCTGATCTTCAAGTGGCCTGGCATCGTGAGTGTGGCTACCCCCAGGTCACAGAAAAGGAAGAGAGAGGGGGACCGTCCTTGGCTTCCTAATCTTCACCCACCATGCCCATATAACACCAAGTCCCAGCAGCCTGGCTCTGACTCCTAAATACATCTAGAATCTTCCTCTTTGTTCCGTCGCTGCCCACCCTGCCCCGGCTCCAGCAGTGCATGCTCCCATGCCTGGAGCTGTCTTCCCAGTGGTACCCTGGATTCCACTCTCCTTTCCATGTGGTCACTGGGGCATCTAGTTCCATGAACTTGACCATATCACACCCCTGCTTAAACCCTCCACAGGCTTCTCATCTGACTGGGAATAAACCCTCAACTCCCCTGCGGGCTCACGCAGCCTGCATGGTGGGATGGCGCCCCCTATCCGCATCTTCCTCTGAGCTCCCTCCTGTGGGCTCCAGTCCTGTGGCTGCCTCTCGGTCCTTCTGTCCACTGCTTTCTCATGCGGATCCCTCTGGAGTGCCTCCCTACCCCCAGCCAAACACTCCCCCTTGAGGATCCCGAATTGCCCCTCTACTCTGCCCCTCTCTGCTGTGAGCCTCCCTGGAACGAGCTGTCTGGAATTTCCATGTATTGGTGCCCCCGCTCCTGGCCCGAGTTCTCTAGTAAATGGGGTTTCCAGCCCCGTGCCCATCTGGCCAAGGCCTGGCACTGGCAGAGACCTGCTACCCACCTCTAACCGTTCCCTGCTACCCCTTGTCTCCCCAGCCCTGCCTCACTTGTCCTTGGCTGAGCCCCTCTGCCCAGGAGTCCCCATCCTTGCTGAGGCCTCAGGCCCCCCAGGGTTGAGGGCAGGGTTGGGATGCGGGGTGCAGTGTAGGTGGCCGTGCGGCCAGGCGCGTGCCTCGGGGGGGAGGTGGCCCTGGCGGGCAGGCTGCAGACCTCCGCAGTGGGTTGTCCCGTAGAGGATGTAGCCGCGGTGACACAGGCACTGGAAGCTGCCCGGGGAGTTGATGCAGATGTGGTCACAGGTCCGCTCGAAGGAGCACTCGTCGATGTCTGCGTGGCCACAGGGAGACAAAGTTGGGGGAGGAGTTTGAGGGAGTGGTGGGTGGGCACGGCCTGTCACTCTCAGTCACTCAAGGCACATCTGTGGACACACAGTCCCTGGGCGCAGGCGCAGCACAGCACCGACCCACAGGAAATGGGAGACTCCTTGCTGCTCGACTTTCCATTGTGTCTCCATTAGCCTTCTGTTTCTGGGTTGGGAGCCACC
This sequence comes from Homo sapiens, assembly GCF_000001405.40. Lineage (NCBI taxonomy): Eukaryota > Metazoa > Chordata > Mammalia > Primates > Hominidae > Homo > Homo sapiens. Next base: position 43,229,406 of record NC_000022.11, read on the forward strand.
TCACGTCTTTTCTGGAGACGAGCAGGGCAGAAACATTGTGAATGGAAGGGATTATTATGAATCTCTGCCATTTTACTATCTCACAGTCAGCTCCAATTAGGAGTGGTAGAGAGGCATTGAATCCACGCCTGCAGGAAACGGACTGCAGCTGGCCCCAGGGCCCTGGGGAGGCAGCTGACTTGGGACATAAACCTAGGCCTCTTGGATGCTGACCAAAGCATCTTTCCCCATCACCCCATGATGTTTCTTGAGAAAATAAGGAAAACCACACAGGTAAAAAGAGAAGAGGAAATATGCCACCCATAAAGGTCAAAAAGGGAGCTCTGATAGAATGTGAAATGTGATGATGAGCTTCCTGGCAGCCAAGGTAAAAAGGGAAAGAGGGAAGGTCATGGGGTGTTTGTTCCTGGAAAGGAAAAAATGAACCACCATGTTGACTGGAGACAAGTCTGTCCTGGCCATAAATTCTGAGGAAAATGGCTGTTATGGGACAGTTGATGGGGACCCCTGAAGGCAAAACAGACGCCAACCTGCCCCTCCTTGGGCATAGCAGTTAAGAGTTCATTCTTTGAAAACATTAGCTCATGTAATTTCACAAATATTTGTAATATACGCGTATTTATAAAACCACTAACACAAGGAAGAAATTGTGCATGGTGCTCAAAGGCGAGTGTGCTCCCTCCCAGGGAGGATCTGGGACCTCCGGGTACTTGCGGCACCTGGGCTAAAATCTGAAGGATGGGACCAGCCTGGAATGAGCGAATGAATGTGGAGGAAGGGTGCTCCAGGCAGTGGCTAGGAGGTAAGAGCATGGGGTGCCCAGGGGATGCACCTGTTCCCTTGGGCCCAGCCCCATCTGAACTCCCCTCCCCTCCTAGGAGCCACCCTGGCAGGTCCACTTGTGTGGAGCCCAAGGGGGACTGGGGTGGTGTCTGGGGTCCCCTGAGTGCCAAGCAAAGGAGCATGGACGCTTCCCTGCTGGACCTGTGGAGCCCAGAGCCCCAAGGCCTCAGAAAGATGAGCCTGGAAGGGGGTGGAAAAGATACAGGTGGGGGTGGGGCGGGTGAGGACAGGGCCTCACAAGCGATCTCACCTCCTCCTCGACAGCCGCCTGCCTCTTTCAGGGGGCAGCTGGGATGCAAGGTCAAGGGCTCTCCTCAGCCCTCTGCAGAAGAACTTGGCAAGGCCAACAGAGAAACAAAGTCAAAGTCAGAAGAACCCTGATAGGGCCTGGACAGACACTGTGCTCCTGTCTAGACCTCAGGCCCTGAGGAGAAGACAGGGCCAGGATGCCCGTCCAGGGACGAAGAGGCTGAGCCTGGGGAAGGCAGCGGCTGGCCTGGGGCACACATGATTCTGAGGACGGCAGGCCCTGGCCCTACTCTCGCCAGCCTCCTGCTTTTACATTCCTCAGGGACCTTGTGGGAGAACAGCCCTCGCTCCTCAGGGCCTCACCCTGCCCCGTGCCAGCCCCTGAGCTGCACTGACAGGCAGAAGCACAGCCTGGTACCCAGACAAGGCCACATGCTGCCCGCAACTGCTGGTACCCCGTGGGCAAAAAACCACCAGAGCACAGCTGGATAATCGTCAGGGAAAGACAGCCCCTGCCCTGCTACATGGGGTGCCCCACCCCCTGCACTTTCTCCCAGTGTGGGGCCCACAGGGTACCTGTCTCCTTCCTCATGGCCTCATCCGGCCCCACCAAGTTCCTTGTGGTCCCCTAAACCTCCTCAGGCCGGCAGCGCCATCTCCTGGGTGGGTTTACCTCCCTGGCTCCTCCTGGAAAATCGCTACTCACCCCTCAGGCATTTCACCAACGGACCCTCCCCGTAGCCTTCCCTGACCCCGCTCTGCACTGCCAGCCTCTGGGCTCCTGCTGCATCCTGGATCCCACTAGACTCTTCCTGGGCCGGGATTCTTGGCTTCTGCCCAGACCCCTCCTCATTATCCTTGTTCCCAGCAGGTGAGGATTGTTTGAGAGCGCCTGCCTGCAATGTGCAACGCTTTCCAACAGATGGCAGCATCCCACCTCCGAAGCCAGAGGAGTTCGATGCTGGGAGGCCCGTGGGCCACCTGGGAAGGGAGGGGCTGGGTGAACTGATGAGCTGGGCCACCGGCTCCCTCTGCCACCTGGGACATGTGCTGAAGCCCTCTCGAGCCTCAGTGTCCCATCAATAAAAGGAACAGATTGGACTGGATGTCCCCTAGAGTCGTAAAGGACCCCATTCCCTCGGGCCCAGCCCCATCCGCATTCCCCTCCCCTCCTAGGAGCCCGTGTCAGCCCAGGAGGGGAAGGGGCACGATCCCGCTGGGCCCGAGAGCCACCCGGGGCATGGCAGGGGCTCACCCTGGCAGGTGCGCTCGTCGGTGAGCAGCTTGTAGCCCTTCCGGCAGCCGCACTCGAAGCTGCCCACGGTGTTGCGGCAGAAGTGGTCGCAGCCTCCGTTGTTGACCAGGCACTCGTTGATGTCTGTGGGAGCCAAGGGGGATGGAGGAGTGAGAGCCAGGAGAATCAGCTTGTGTGACCAGCGGGGGGACGGCAGGCTAGCGGCAGGGGATGACACTGCCCTGAGTTGCCTGGTGCCCACTTCCCAAGCTGGCTGCTGGCTCCCCAGCTGTGCAGAGGGGTGGGGGCCCTGTCTCGCAGGGGTCAGGGTCGGGGCTGGGTTGTACTGGGAAGGGCCAGCTCCCCAAGCTTCACCACTTCCCCTGAGACTTGGCAAGCCTGGGATGTGAGACATTGAGTAGAGAGGAACTGATGGCTGCTGTGCCCGGCAAGAAAGCAGGGACAGCGACTCTCCCATGTCCTCTCTTCTGCAGGTTCAGGGAGGCCGCCTGGCCAGCAGGGAGGCTGGAGCAGGCAGGCACCACTTCTGGTGACCTCGGCAAGCTCCCGGACCCCTGAGCCTTGGTCTCCTGCTTGCAGAGCGAGGACAGGAAGTGCACCCATTTTGAAGGATATCACGAGGACTAGGTGAAAAAACACTTCCACGGTGCCGGTGCTTGGTCAGCGCTCAAGAAACTTTTTTCAAAAAGTAGGTGTTTTTGCCTCTGTTTGAGGAGTAGACTGAGGCTTAGAGAGGGAAAGCACCTGGTTCAAGAGGCTTCAAAAGGTAAGTGGGGAGCTGGGCTATGCAGCGGGCCTGACGCTCCCCCCTTTCCCAGCCTGACTCCCCGCCTGTTTGTTTGAGCTGCTTCTTTGCTTAACAGTGAATGAGTTGTAGTATGCTCCGAAGGTTGCCTGGCCCGATCCCGTGTAATAAATGATGCCATCCTGAGCAACTCTGCCAGTCAGCCTCTGCTTGCACACCTCCAGGGACAGGAAACTTTCTCCCTCCCAGCATGGCCTGCTGGCCGATGCCTCACAGATGTCTTCCTCACCCTAAACACAGCCCTGACCCCTGTGAGCCCCCATGCTCCTGCTCCCTTGTCGGGCCCATCTGGGCTTTGCCCTTAGGCCTTGGGCCAGCCTGGCATTCTGTGCCATTAGAGGTCCCTGTCCCCAAGGGGCCTCTTCTCCAAGGGACACAGTCTCAGCTACTCCCAAATTCCTCCTGGGTCCCGACCTCCAGGCCCCCATGCTGGCCACCCCCTCCAGACTCTCTCCAGCAGTGAGTAACAAAAATAAGAGGTTTTATTTCTACACTGCAGGGTGGCTTAAAAAAATAATCAGTGCTGGCCGGGCACGGTGGCTCATGCCTGTAATCCCAGCACTTTAGAAGGCTGAGGCGGGCGGATCACCTGAGGTCGGGAGTTCCAGAGCAGCCTGGCCAACGCGGAGAAACCCCATCTCTACTAAAAATACAAAATTAGCTGGGCGTGGTGGCGCATGCCTGTAATCCCAGCTACCCGGGAAGCTGAGGCAGGAGAATCGCTTGAACCCAGGAGGTGGAGGTTGCGGTGAGCCAAGATTGTGCCATTGCATTCCAGCCTGGGCAACAAGAGTAAAACTCCATCTCAAACAAAATAATAATAATAATCAGTGCTGCCTTTCACGACGGTGGTCTCACCCTGACTTGCAGAAGCAAAAAGGAGGTAGCGGAAGAGGCCCTTCCAAGGAGGACAATGGGAAGATCAGCTCTTGTTGGTCACCAGCCACGTCTCAGCAGACCTGCCAGACGCAGATTCCAGCATCTGCAGAGCCCGTCCTGGGCATGGTTGCTGAGCCAGGTACCTGAAGGGCCCTGTCCAGTGTCACTGGCACCGCTCTGTACAGAAGGTAAGTCTGCCCCCACTTTAAAGATGGCACTGAGCCCCGTAGAGGCAACTTGTTCCTGGCACTGCTACTCTGACCTCAGGCCGGCCCATGTCGCTCTCACTTTTTCTTCTTCAAACCAAACAGGCTGGACTCCATACCTGCCCAAAGTCCTAAAGCAGTGTTCCCAGGCAACATCCCCCAGTGATGACAAAACCAGGCTATTAGAGGTCAATTTCTGGTCAAGAATATTAGAGGAGTGCAGGGCTGGATGCCCACATGGCTCTCTGGGAGCCTCGGGGAGGGACATGGCATGTACTTTCTGGTATCATCTCGTGTGACCTTCAAAACAACCCAGACAGCAGGCTCCCATTTTACAGATGAGGTCACAGCACCACACGCAGGAGCCGGCTCTCAGCCAGCACCATCCGAACCCAAAGACGGGCCTGCTGCAGCACATCACGCTGGCCCTGCAGCCACCAAGAAAGAGATATGAAGCCCAGCTGTGCTGGTCCAGGGCGGAGGCTTAGGAATCTCTATCATTCCTTCCCCCCGAGCCCCGGGATTATAGGCAGATGGGGAATTTCTAGATAGAAGTCTCAGGTAGAAGAACAGAGGCCCATCTTGACTCTGCCTCAGTTGGCTGTGTGATGCTGGGCAGGGAAAGGCACCTCTCTGAGCCTTAGGATCCCATCTGCAAACTGGGCTGCTAAATGGTGCCTCTCCTAGCATCGCCTCTCCCAGCATCCTTAGCAAACTGAAATGAGCTGAGGCTGCTAAGCAGACAGGGGCAGCACGTGATCATTCTCACCACTCCTGCCTCCTCAGTGGAGCCTCAGGCCTTCCAGAGCCCCCAGCCCCATCCCCTGCCCCATCTGGGCCTGTCTGCTAAGGGGCTGTCATAGCAACCAGACAGGCAGAGGGAGGCATGTCTGCCTGAGGCCCGGGCTGGTGTAGCTGGCTGCCTGGGGGTCAGGATGGAGGGAAGCCCCCTCCTCACACTACCTCAGGATATAGTGAAGGGGGTGCTGGGCTCATGGCCCCTGGGGTGCAGCTTTTGCACCTCTCTGCCCTTCCGCTCCTTCCTGGGTTCCCACCCCACCGCCCCACACCAGGCAGCCAGCACCACCTTCCGCACACAAATCTGGCTGAGTCCCTGCCTGCTGGCCAGCATTCTGAGGCTCCTGAGTCTGCTAGGATGTGGGCCCTCCCTCTGCAGAGGCTCCCAGAGCTTCCCTTCCAGCCCGGCCAGGCTGCTTTGCCTCCTTTCTCCAGGCTGCTTGGCTCCTGCCCTGGCAGCCTGGACTCCAGTGACCGCACCCAGTACAGCCACAGCCCCCCTCTCACCTGCTGACCCCAGCCCTGGGAAAAACGGCCCTTCCAGAAAGCCTTTCCCAGTGTTTTTCCAGAGCCAGTAGCTCCCTCTTCATGGGAGCTAATGCCTTTGGGGGCATGAGAGGGCCTTGGGACACAGACTTGGGGGTGGCTGTTCCTGTCTGGTGCCCCAGGGCCCAGCGTGAGTGTCTAGGAACGCTCACCGAATAAAGGAATGGGTCAGGGTGATTCCAGACAATGGAGCGGGTCTGAGGGTTGAGGGAAGGGTGGGGTCTTGGGCCACTGAGTGGACTCTTTGGGTACATCACCCAGGGTTGGAGCTTGAGTGGGTGTGCATGGGGGCAGGGCGATGGGGTGAGCTATAGGGACGCACAGGACACTGGTTCTGGCTCCCTCCTGCCCATCTCACGTGGGGGACCATGTAGGGGAGGGCTTCTGGGTGGGAGCAGAGGGAGGGCACAGGGTCATGGGCTGGCACCATCCTGGAGTGCCCAGCAGGGAGGGCCAGCTGCTAGGCGGGGCTGGCCAGGTGGCGGTCACTCGAGGGCACCATTGCTCCCACTCGGGTAAAAGCCCTGGCTGTGGCCTGCCTGGCCCAGAGCACTGCAGAGGGGGAAGAGGAAACAGGCGGTAGGTGGGGGGTTCTCCCAGATTGTTCTGGAGATGCTGGGAAGAGGGGCAGGTGACCCTGAGGGAAATGCAGGCTCCCGCTGAGGAAGGGAAGATACACGTCTGCTTTCTCTCACTGCCAGCCACCGGCAGCCCAGCCCTTCCCTGCTTCCTTCAGCTACAGTCACTTTCCCATCCTCCCAACTCCTCACTTGCCAACGGCAAGCAGCAGTCCTGCATCCTTATTCTTGAGGCCCAGAACCCCCTTCCTCTTGGAGGGACCGATTAGCAAGATAACCACCTCCCAACACCAAACGGGCACGGTACCCAGCAGGGAGCCCTTGAGACGAGGGCTTAGGCGCATCTTCCAGGCCCCCCTCGTCCCCGACATTTGGACAAAACCTCCCAACTCTCCCAACCCTGCCTCCACCTGCCCACGTGACCCCCACCTGCCCGGGGTTTGCAGCCCTGGGTTGTCCAAGCCCGCTGTGACCTTTGTTCTCCAGCCACTCCTCTTGCTTGACATTGACATTTTGGCTTTCAGAAAACGTGGAGCCTTTGAACTCTCTCCTTTGAGATCCTCCCCAGACCCTGCCAAGATCAGGGTGTGCACCTGACCGAGGAACCAAACCCTGGGGCCAGGGTCTTCAATTTGTTGGGAATCCTCCTGCCTGTGCCTCTCCAGCCAGGGCTGGGAACATACCAATGACACCAACCCTGGGGCTGGAGGCCACCGTCTGGTTTCTCAGGCTCCCTGAGGTGGTCCTGTGGGCAGTTCTAGCCAGTCCCTTGGTGCTGAAATGTGGGCATCTATGGACATGTCTAGTCTCTGCCTTCTCTATGTCTGCTGCCAGTCCTGCCTTGGCACTGCCACGAGCCTGAGTGACAGCAGCTGTGCCTGGCTGTTGGTCTTCCAGACCCTACTGTGACCCCACTGTGGCCAGTGTCAGTTCAAAATGAAAACCTGGGTGTGAGCCTCCCCTGCCCAGTGCTGACTGGGACCTGGCCAAGCTTGTAGGGTAGCCCTGGGCCTTGCGCCATCTGGCCCGCCTCCTTTGCGTCCTTCCCAGTCCCAGGTCCTTGAACCCACAGGCCTCTGGCAACAGTCACAGTGCTGAAAATGCTTCCCCTGCCCCCATCATTGCCTGATAAATGCCTCTTCCCCTCAGCCCTCCCCGGCCTCCCCCAGCCTCCTGCCATACTGAACTTCTCTATCCCACACCAAGCAGCCTGTGATACTCAATTATCTCAGTGATTTTAAAAATGAAAACCTGTCTTCTGCACTCAGTAGAGGACCCCTACAGGCAGGAACCGTCTCTTTTATTCATCCTGTCTCACTGGAACCCGCATACAATAGGAGCCCAGAAAACACACCTGTTCCGTGAGCGAGCGAGTGAGATGATCTCTGACCTTGGCCAGTGGGAGCCAGGGCCCTAAGGGCTCTGAGTGCAGCCACAGGCCCAGGGCTGGGCGTCCATGGAGGAGGTCTGGCCAAAGGGCTGAGTGGGGCAGCCTGGTGAAAGGGCCCCGACCGCTTGAAGAGCAAAGGAAATGTGGTGGGGTGGGGGGGGTTGGGGGGTTGTCTTGGGGCTGTGGACATCACTCCTGAGCGCCACCCTACCCTCAGAGCCAGAACCAGAGTGGGAGGAAACGAGTGTCCCTTGGGCTACCGAGGGATGGTTAGGGGGCAGCAGTGGGAGCCCCAATCCCAGTAGCCCCCTCTTGGGCCACATGCCTGCCCTGCACCAGGCCCCTTTCTGGCCCAGACAGGGTGGCTCCTGGCCTCCAGACCCCATTCCAACAGCCCCAGCCTTGCCCAAGGAATTAAGCTCTGCCTGCCCCTCTGGCCCTCCGAAGGCAAATGCTGGCAGGCTGTGCCATCGCCGGGCTGTGAAGATGCCCAGATCTGCACAGACCTTGGGCTTCCTCGGCCAGTCACTCCTGGCACTGAGTCATGTGGCGAGGACTCAGATGCCACCCACCTGCCCACTTGCCTGCCAGGAACGCACCAAGGCTATTAACAGGCTGAGCGGTGGCCACAGAAGGGCTTTATTTTCAAATAAACAGGCGGAAGCACTGTTATTTCTGTCAATAATCACTCGGTTCTTCCCAGCAAGTTGGCAAGGAAGAAGTCATACACTGTACAAAAATACATTTATTTTTACAGGCTTAAAAAAAGTCCACCTCAAGCTATTTTAAGTCACCCTAACCTCCACTTTCAATATTTTCCCCGATGGGACTTTGGAAGTTCCAGTTCCTCTCCCCTCCACGCCCTGCTCTCTAGGCTCTCCCTTCCTGGCAGAGTGTGGGGGTACTGCCCAGCGCTGGGGTGGGGGCGTTTGGAGGGTGGTCTGGAGTGATGCTGGGGGCACTGAGCACTGCCCCTCACCCTTCTGCACAGAGGGCTCCGGCACTCAGGCCTAACACCCTGCCCCAGGGCCCACAGCTTCTTGGGGCTCCGTCTGTCCTTTGGGGGTAGCTGGACCTCCTCATCTGCAGGGCTGTCTCGAGAGCCCACCCAGCTCTCCTCTCCCAGCTCCCTGGGCTTCCTGTTTCCTGAGGGTCCCCTCAACCCAGGAGGTACTCAGTAAGTCTTTGTGGGGTGACTCAGGGGACAAGTGGGAGGATACACCTCTGCCTTCCCTCACTGCCAGCCACCAGCAGGCCAGCCCTGTCCCTCCTTCCTTCAACCAGTCACTCTCAGGTCTTCCTGACTCCTCATTTTCTGATGGCAAGCAGAAGTCCTGAGTCCTTATCTTTTCAGATGGGATCCCCCTAGCCTCGCCCCCCTAGTAGTGACACACTGTCCTTATTTTTCCTGGCATGAGTAGACCTGTGTGTCCCAGATGGCCCAACACCAGACTGTCCCCATCAGCTCTGCAAGACCCACTGCAACCAAAGGTCAAGGGGTTCGGAAACGCGCTACATTCTACGCGCCTTGGGAAGCCACACTATCACTGAGGGCCCAGGAAGTCCCACAGTAGAGACGCTGGCTTAACTGTTTAACCCAGCGTGCAGCCAAATTCTCTGACATCAGTGCCTTTTTGGCCCAGGAACCTGCTGATGTGCCGTGGGACCTGTGTTCTCTCGAACTCTGCTGGGGACCCTGCTGCTGGCCAGCCCTCCCTCTTCCTGGCCTCTCCAACAGCAAAGCAAATGATTGCCACGTGTCCTTTCCCACAGCTACACGTGGCCCCCGTTCAGCCCAGCCCTGGGCCCGGCTATGCAAGCACACGGAGGCTCTTGGCCAGGCCAGTACAGGCAGGGGCACCCACACAGCTCCACATGCTGACCTTTGCATGTCTTCCCGTCCGGCTGCAGTGTGAATCCAACGGGGCAGCTGCATCGCACGCCAGTGGCTGTGTCCTTGCATGTCCGGTCGCAGCCTCCGTTATTGACTGCGCACGTCTCTGGGGAGGGAAAGAGACAGAGACCTCAGTTTCCTTGGACAGAAGCCACTGGCTTTCCCCTTCCGTGGAAAGATCTTCTATGAGACAGGAGACGAGACCCGGGTTCAAGCTCTGGCTCTGATATACTCTCTGGCTGTGGGACTCTAGGGAAGCTGTGCTGCCTCTCTGAGCCTCAAGCTCCCCATCTGTGAAATGGGGGAATGACACCATTCCTGTGGGGTTGCATGTGGTGAGGGATGAGTACACCGCAAACTGCAGAGGGCTGTGCTTATACAGAGGCTGCTGCCAATAGGGTCAAAACTGCTATCTGGGGCCAGACTGGCCTGGCTGTATTTAACTGCCCGAGGCTGGATTCCTAAAACTTTGACCTGCCTGGACTCAGACTCCAAGTCCAGGCTAGAGGTTACTTGGAGGTGACTGGGGCCCCCAAATGCACCTCAGTACAGACTGGCTTGTGGCCCCGGCCAGGGAGCCGAGGGGTAGGTTCTGAGGGCTCACACACCATCCATCACCTTGATGAGGCTTTCAGCCCAACATCTGTTCTCACTGAGTGATATGCCAAAGGCATCTGGTTTTTGTCCACTTGAAGCTTGTCTAGTGCTTTTTCTTTTTTCTCCAAAATTCAAAGGGGCTAGAGTGGCTCAGGGCATAACCGAGGTCATTGAAGCCGTCATGCCGTGAGTGAGCCCCCTCAGGCCTGGAGGAGGGGCTGGCAGAGCTGGCACACCAGGATGCTGGGGGCTGGTCCAGCCCTTGGGTCTCTGCCACCTGGGTTTCTTCCTAAGCATCTGGCAGGCTTTTATCTTGTGGAAGCTGTGGCTGCATGGGCTTCCCTCTTCGCCTTGCTGCTGGGAGGTGGAAAGCCAATGGGCGCCCATCTCTTATAACCTGGATCCCCCTGCCTGCCTTCGCCTTGGCATCACCTGGACTCCTGGCCCTGGTGTGCCTTCTCCCTTAACGGTCTCCCTAATGGGTTTACTCTGTTCCTGTGCTGTGGGGTCTGCGTTTCTGCAGGCTGGGGGGAGTCAATGAATACATACCCTCAGCTGTCGGGACTCCCTGGTGCTAATTAAATGAAATGCATGGTGCCTTTCCTTTGAACTTCACCTTGTAGGCGTGTGCAGGGGGAGAGGGGAACCTCATGTTCCCCTCTGTGTGTGTGTGCGTGTGCATCTGAGATTCTGCAGGGCTGAGGTGGTGGGCGTCCTCCTCATGGTCACGGCTGAGCCATCACCACCGTAGGATGAGCTGCGGCTGCCAGTGGAAGGTGGGTGGTCTTGACCCTGACACTCTTCCTGGCTCGTCCTCTGTGTGTCTCCTCAAATCCTGGACCTCAGCTGGGCATGGGTGGTTTTTATGAACCAGTCTTTTGCCCTCCCATCTCCTGCCATGGCAGTGTGCTGGTCCCAGGGCTTGGACGCCTCCCTCCTGTTCATCCTTCAAGGCCTGGCTCAGAGCCCACCTCCGCAAGGAGCCTCCCTGATACCCCAGACACGGAGGGAAGGTGTCATCCTTCCTCAGGCTCATGCAGGTGGTATGACTGGCACTTGGCCGGCTTATGCCCTCTGGGCCATCTACTGGGACAGTGGAGGTGGGCAGGCCAGGGAATGAGTCCTGGCTGTCACTCACGGAGCCCCTCAGGCAGCCAACCCCTTGGGGCTGCACCTCCGCACTCACACCTGGAAATAAGGACGAGCCTTCTCTTCCAGGGCGGAGGTGAGGGTCAAATCAACCCGCTTACAAGGGCCTGGCTTGTTAGTTTCCTCCCTGGGCTGACAACCAGAGAGGGAACTCCTGCCTCCCACTCCCAATCCAGGAGCCAATGGGCTCCCCTCCTGCCTCCCACGCCCGAATCCAGGAGCCAATGTGCTCCCCTCCTGCCTTCTCAGCTTTTCCTGTGGGAGAGCCCCCCTCTGGAGAGGTGGGCAGAGAATGTGCCTGTTTTCCAGGTGGAGGTAATTCAGGCTCAGGCCTTGGAGAGATGGGGGAACATGGCAGGGTGCAGAGGGTGGGGGAGACAGGCAATGAAAACTCAGGGCTGAGGGCACCGGGTCTCTGCGGAGGGGGAGGTGAGGTGTGGTGCAGGCGCTAGGGGCAGTGACCCTGAGAGACAGACCCGGCCAAACAGACTCCAAGAATCCTGGAGGCTCTTCTCTTCCCTGAAGTCCCTAATGGGACTTGGAAGCTCCACCTGAAAGGTCACCCGCTCTCTGGACGAGGCAGCTTGAGTTCACGAGTTGCCTCAGTCTATGGCTGGTATGTAAACATCAGGCTTTGAACAAGGGGCTCTTAGTCCCTTAGGGCCCGTTCTTGGGTGCTGACCAACCCGCTCCACAGCAGGGGTCACGTGGTCACCACGGGCTGGGCCCTGCTCCGCCTCCCACTCTCATGCTCCCAGCCTCGTGGCTCCTGTGCCCTCCTCTTCCCTGAAGAGGATCCGGTACGGAGCATCAGAAACTCGGCCCAAGGCTGTGCAGCCTCAATGGCAGAGCTGGAGGGGACCTGCTCCATCTGAGTCTAACCCCCTTGGCTCCTTGCGGGCAGTGACCCACCTGGCAGCTCCAGGGCCCTACCACCAAGCACGTGCCGCTGGACTCTTCATCATCCTCCTCTAGCAGCTCCTCCCCCAGTGCTCCCTGTCTGCAGGAATGCTACTCCTACCTGCCCCAAGCCGAAGACGAGGAGCCCCCTCCTCTCCCCCTGGGACCCAGGGCCTGGGCCTGCTGCTTCCCCAGCACTTCCCAGCTCTAGCCCCTGCTCTTACTGTGGCCAGGCCACCAGTGTCCTCCTGCAACTGTCACTACCTCCCATGGTCCCTCCTTCAGACCACTGTGTCATCCTGGGCAGCCAGAGAAATGTGCCCATGTCAGGCTCATGTAAGAGCGCTGGGAGCCAGCAGTCCCCGGGACGCTCTCTGCCAGGCCCTGTGCAGGCAGGGAGGGTCAAGTGGAGGGAGCAGTCTGGCCTTGGGCCCGCCCTCACCTCTTCCCGCTTCGGGGCCTGGGGCAGGCTGCAGCCTCTTGCCTGGGGCTCCATCCCTCCTCTACAGCACAGGGATGGCCATTTATGCGGTGCCCACCTCAGCCATATTGTGAGGTTTTTAGAGGTTCACTATAAATGCAAGACGGGTAGAGGGAACAACAGTGAAACTGACCTAGGTCCTTTGGGCTGAAGTGAGGGCTGGGGACTGAAGTCTACAATGACAGGACAGGCGGGCCTGGTGGGGCCGAGCACCGCGTCCCTGGGAGTCTTCAAGCAGAGGCTCCGGTGCTGCTGCTGAGGAGGCCCCTGCCTTCCATGACAACCAGCCTGGCCATCGCTCCAGCTCCCCCATCTCTGAGATCCTCAAAAAAACAGCCTCACTCCTCCTGTTCCTCAGGACCAGAGGCCACCCAGACCTGGTATTAGGCCACAGCTGTCTCAGAGACAGTAAGAAAGCAGGCCAGGCCGCCTTTACCATGGGGCCCCTCCAAATACAAGCAGCAAACGGGGCCCCGAGGCTGCGGCAGTGGCATCTCTGCCCGGTGGGGAGGTTGGGGGTGGGCTCTGGGCCTTCCTCCTCCTCACCCATGGGCCTTCTCTGGGTCCCATCCCGGCCTCTGCCCCCTACCAGGGGCTGACATTATGGCCTCATGAGGAATCTCCCCCACCCTGAAACACACTTGTGGAGGGCGGCTCAGGCGCCTGGGACTGGGAAGAGGAGGAGGACGCAGAGCAGCCTCCAGGAGCTTTGTCCCGGGGAGCTAAAGACAGAATTTCCTTGTGGACCCTGGGGGCCCTCCAGTCTCTCTGTCCCCAGCCTGTAGACAAAAGCTACAGAGCTCTTGTCTAGAGGCTTTCTCTCTCCACCTGGAGAGATCATGGAACAATACAGCCCTTTGTAGTGGACAAGGCACCTATCATCCATGAACCTCAGCAGGCCTCACAGCAGCCCCGGGGGACACAGAAGTGCCAAAGGAGACAGGCCTGGAGGCATGGAGAACTTACATTGCCTGTCCAGGCAGGAATGGCTACATCATTTGTGGAACCCAGCGCAAAATAAAAATGGAATTGCCTTGTTCAAAAATTGCTAAGAATTTCAAGACAGAGACAGAACATGAAACCAATCGTGGGCCCTTCTAAGGGCGGGGTCCTGGGCCACCGCACACGCCACACACCCTAGAAGCTGGCCGTGTTCAGGTCACACAGCTATTGGGAGGAGCCAGTATTTGAACCCTGGTCTGCAACACTCCAGGCTGATAAGTAAGCCGGCCAAGGCCAGAGAATCAGGGCTTTGATGGGATCCTCACCGTGAGGTCTGCACCCGCTGGTGCCCTGGCTTCCTCCTCCAGCTGGTGGGGAGAGCGCTCACCCTGTAGGGCGAGGGTGGCCAAGGAGAAGGAAGGCCAGGCGCAGGGCTGGCTGGGGCTCGAAAGCATGTGGGGAAAATCTCAGACAAGTTAAAAGGTCTGGCCTTTGGTCTCTCTCTGGGGAGCTCCTGCTTTGGGCTGGGCCCTGCAGGGGAGGCCGGGCGCTCCACTGGACCCTGCATGCAGCCTGCCAGCGCTCTGACAGAGGGAAGCAGGGGCGAGGACAAAAGGATGCCTGGGAACAGCTGCAGCCACTGCTGGCCTTTGGGTTGGCACTGCCTGCTTACGCCGCCCCAGGTCTGGGACAAGGTCCTTAAAGGACAGTCTCAGTCACCGTGTGGTGGACATTAAGGGACAGGCGCTATGGAGGCAGAATGACAGGGTTCCACATGCCGGCTGTGTGACCCCGGGCAAGTCCCTTGGCTTCTCAAAGTCAGCTTCTGGATGTGTAGCATGGAGATGATCATATTTACCACACAGTTCTTGCAAGGCCCAGGCAGAACAGTGGATGCGACAGTGCTTTGGAAGCTGCTCTGCGATTGGGTCCACACTCTCACTGTTGGTGCCATTCTTGGAAGCTCTGCCTATGGAGACTCAGAACCCACAGGCAGTTGCTAATTCATTCAATGATTATTATCTGAACTTCCCTGCCCTGCTAGGATGCGCCTTGGACACAGCCACTGGTCTTCACAGGCGGGTCAATTTCACGGTGCTAGGTGGCCGGGAGAGGGGAGCTACAGAGATGAATGTGACATGCCCCAGGTGTCAACAGTTTATGGAGTGGCGGGGGGCATGAAATAAGGCCCAGACCTCGCCTTTCTCTCCTGGGTCTGCGCCTTCCTCTCACACTGCCCACCTCCCAGCCCATGCCCCGCCACACCCCAGCACGGTTCCTCAGGGTTCCACAGGGCACCCCCCTTGGCCTTGAATAACCAACTCCTCAGGACACAGCAGGCCCCACCTGCCTCCCCGAAAGCTGTCCCGAGCCTTACCCTGGGCTTCTGCCCCACAGGGCAGCGCTGTCTGTGTGTGCAGAGGCCTCTCCCACTGACCACACGCTATCTGGGCAGGGCAGCGTCAAGGTGACCAGCACGGCGGAGGTGTCTAATGAGTTGTGCTCAATGACTAGATTAATGAGCAGGGACTCTGGAGGCCCCAAGAGGAACAGAAGCAAGTCTGGGAACTGGGACCCTACCCTCTGTTGGGCCTGGAAGGGAGAGTGAGCTGGGAGGCGAGGTGGGCAGGACTGAAGGGCGAATGTGCCCCTGGTGGAGGAGGCAGTGTGGTGCTGCGCTGTGCAGGGCACAAGGGCGCTCTGTGGTGCACAATGGGAAGTGGGTGTGGGTGCCAGGCTCAGTGCCAGCACACGGGGGGACTGTGGGCAAAGGACCCTCCCCTCCCTAGGCCCTGGGTTTCCCACCTGTGTTGTGCCTGAACATCGCTGAGGTGCTTTTCACCAGGGCAGAGGCTCTGATCCGGTGGGTCTGGCATGGGCCCAGCGTCCCACAAAGGCCCTGCCATCCCTTCTTCCTCCCTGCCCCTCAGTGGCCTACCCTGATGATGGGGGCAGCCCGGGGTCCTCGCCAGAACCTGCTGATCCCTCAATCAGGGCTGGCCCACCTGCCCTTCTGTCCCTAGAATCAACAGAAGCTGCGGTGAAAAGGGATTGGCCGGCCCTTCCGGCAGATCTGGGGACCTCTGACCTCTGACCATCTTCCCACAGCTGGCTGCTGAACCCTCCATGGCTCCCATCGCTTTGGGATAAAAGCCACGCCGTGCTCCCTGGCAAGCCCCTGACACAGTGGCCCTGGTCTCCCTGGCTGGCCTATCTCCCGAGGGGCCCTCTGAACTCCGGGGAGGCCCTGTGGCCCGTCACTAGTGTTGTGCAGCAGCCTTATGGCCAGCGCTGTGCTGGGCACCACGAATGTGGCCTCCCTTGCGCCTCTGACAGTCAGCAGGGTGTGGTGGAGGGAACTTGACACCCTCAGCAGAGGGCCGCGCCTGGTCCTGACCACGCCTCCCCGCCTGCCTCTACCTCCACTGGGCAAATGGTCAATCCTGAGACCTGTCTGCTGGGGGGGTGCCGGCTGGGTCTGCCCCAGGGCTGCCTGGGGACACGCTGGTGACAGTGCATGCAGGTGGTGGCGCGGGTGGGGTGGGGCTCAAGTGTGGCTGGACGCAGGGTGACTGTGGAGGCTGCAGCCCTGACAAGGAAGTGGCTCTCAAGGAGAACACGGGACAGGACACCCCGGCAGGCTCCTCCAGAGCCAGCGCTGCTCGTGTCTAAGGCTGCGGGGCCCCAACGCCCATGATCCCCAAGGGCCACCCAGGCCTCTGAGGCAGCCCAGGGTCTCCTGGACTCTGCCTTTTTAGTACACAGCCCCGTGACTCTGAGGCCCATTTTGGCCCTCTGCTGACCTTAGCCCGGCCCTGCTGAAATAAAAGGCCCACAGGCCTGCACCATCCTTAGGGCCTCCGTCTACCTGAGAACCGTGCTGCTTGGGGAACAATTTGCAAGGCAAATTATTGTCAGTGGCACTGTCTTCCAAGGCAGCAGGCGGGGCCTCAATTCCAGGATGCGCTAGGAGTGTGGCAAGCCACCTTCTCTCGTGACTAGTGGGCGGGTGGGTGTTCCCGCACCTGCTCAGAAAGCAGAAGCCACTGGGATGGAGGGACGGTGCCCTGCAGGACTGTGGCATGGGGGCTGCAGGGAGGCCTGAGGGCTGGTGGCACCAGGTGTATGGAAGATGCCCACCCAGGAGCAAGACAAGCCGACCTCAGGAGAGGTCTCCTCACTTGGTTTGAGGGGTCCCGAGTGCCCCTTGGAGGACAGGGAGGTTTCATATTAAAGCAGGTGGCAGGAGCAGGGCCTCCAGTGGCCAGTCTCCCCCTGCCCTGCCTCCTTCACTTCCTGCCTCTACCCTGGCTCCTCAGTGAAGGGTGCTTAGGGCAGACAAGGGGGCTCCCCTGTGGGTGGGATCCCTGGGGCCCACCCACAGGAGGCATCATGGCCGTGCCCCAGGAGGCTTGGAGGGTTGAGATGCGGTAAGGGGAAGGAGCTGGTGAGGGCAGGCAGCTGGGAAGCAGCTGGGCCAGTGCTCTTCCGTGCACCAGGCGGACCCTCCAGCTGTGTGTGCCCAGGGAGGCTTGGGGATCTGATCAACAGCAGCTCACACTCACTGATCAGGCTCATGCCAGGCCCTGTGCAAAGCCTGGGGAGGCAGAGCTATCACCTGCCTGCCCCTGGAGGGGAAGGGGTGTAGGATAGAGGGAACTGGAAGAGCTGCTCTCACCTCTCTGAGCTTCGGTTTCCTTATCTGTAACACTAAACCTTGCAGGTTGCCGGGAACATTGAACATGTCTGGTTATACATACAGCTCAGCCTGGAGGCTGCTCAACAGAGGGAAGCCTTGCTCCAGGTTTTCGTGGGCTGCCCCGGAGATGTGGCTGAGGACAGATTAAACAACAACCTGGGGCAGAAGGAGGCAGTGCCCACCTCTGCTTTCAGGTGGGCCTCCGGCAGTGATGTGCTCCCCACTCCCACCCTCCCACCCTGTGACTTCGTGGGGATGGGGGCGGGGCAGGGAGTAGCTGGCACCTGGAGCCTGTGTCCATGCTCTCTCCCTCTCCCTCTCCAGAGCTTCAGCCTGGGAGCTGTGCAGGGCTCCTGGAGGGGTCCAGGTTACAGGCACCAGGCGCTGTTAATCCTGCTGGGTCTCCAGGGCTCCCGTCAGCCCACCACTATGACCTGACTGAGGCCAGGCTGGCTCCGGGCTTCTTGTCTCACTGTCTGGGACTTGCCATCAAGCTTTTGTTCCTCCCTGGCATTCCAGAGTGCCCTAGTGACATGCTCATGGCCAGTGATGGTGAAGAAGGAAAGGATGGAAAGTGGCTGAGCACCTGCTACGGGCCACACACAGGGCCAGGTGCAGCCTGTCCAGTGCCTCAGCTAAGCTTCTCCAGAGACTAGAAGCCATCTCTGTAAATGAGAAACTGAAGCTCAGATGTGAGCTGGCCCTGGGGTGCTGGTGGAGCTAGTGACTGGGGAAGCCAGGACTGAACCCCGGTCTGACTCTAGAATCTGGCTCAGGATAACCAGAAAGGATCACCGTGTGCTTGACTGGAGTGAAGCTCCAACCACGGATTTCTCTGCTCTAAGAACAAATGCACGGTCCTTACAGCAATGACACAGCCTGGCTGAGCAACCTGAAACCACCCACCTTCCTTGGGTCAGACCAGGAAATCTCGCCTCAGGAAGCTGGGAGCTGCTGGGAGCTGCTGGGAGCTGCCTGCTACTCCTCAGTCAAGTCAGGGCTAACCTTGGCCTGCAGTCACCACCTGGCCCGCCCTTAGCTGGATCCAACTAGAGAGAGGCAAGGGTGGCTTGGATGGGGAGGGCTGCAGGAGGAGCAGGCCGTTGCCCCCCAGGTAGGTGGGGTGAGAGGGAGCCAGCGGGCAGGGTGGCAGAGGGGCCCGGTCGGGCCTGTTTTTACACTTGGGCTCCTCCTGAGAATGCAGGTGAAGAGGGTGCCCTGTTCTTGGGCACCTTCCATTACAGCTCCAGTGGACATCAGTATTACCATGTGGGCCTGCAGGGCCGGGGGGTCAGGACTGGATTAGCAAAAATGGCAGGAGGTCACAGAGGGCACTGAGGTTGCATCTCGAAGGGCTTTGGGGCCCACTTAGACCAGCGGCCAAGAAACCTAGGGGAGGATTAAGGCAGGGCTGGAGCCTATTCAGATTTGTGCCAAAGAGGGCTCTGGCCGTGGCCTCACAGCTGGTGGGGCTGGGAGACAGGGAGGCTGGGCCAGAATCTAGGAGAGAGGAAACAGGGCAGGCAGTGAGATGTGGTCTTGGATGTTTAAACATTAGATGAGAGTTGAGGACCAAAAGGAGCAGATGGGGGTCAAGTGTGCCCCACCTCCATTGGGATGGAGTACAGTGGGAGGGAAGCTGGGGGGCGAGGGGTAGGGCCACCCAAGAGTGCCAGGCCCAACGCACAAGGTGGCCTGGGTGGGCCACAGCCCCTCTAGGCTTCAGCCTCCCATCTGGGCCAGGCAATGCCCCGAGCCCTCGTCTTTTCTCTACTAAGCCCTGCCTGGCACTGCGACTCCACCCACACTCCAGCCCTCCGCACAGCGGAGTCGCCATCACCTACTTCCCCCTACAAGCCCCAGCTGTGAGTGTGAGACAGTGAGGGACTCAACTGAGGGCAGGGCCCAGGACTCAACCTGGCTGGGGGCCCCAGCTGACCAGACACCAGCCATATTTGGAGCCAGTCCAGTGACTGAGGTGTAGCCTGACCACCTGATCCTTCTCTAACAGGAGCCCAGTCCCTGGAGCTCAGTGGGCAGGGAGGCCACGACTTGAGAGGGGCTTGCCCCCGCTTTCCTTCAGCCAGGCCACCTGATGAGCACTGGGCCTGGGGAGCGGCCCTGTGATATCACCTCCCTCACCAGCACTCAGACCTGCCTGAGTCCCTTCCCACTTCCAAGCACGTCCAGGCTGCAGGGCCTGCCCTCTCTCTGAGCTGGATACCTGCCTGCCTGGGCACTGAGGCCCCATCCATCCCCGGGCACCTCCTCCAGGAAGCCTTCATTCATGTGCTGAGCCAACTAGCCTCACCCATGCTCCCGCTCTGGGCAAGGCCCTGTGCTGTGCCCTGAGGGGGGGCACCAAGCTGGAAAAGACCTAGCTTCTGCCCCCAGTCAGGGGGTGCTGGTGGAGGAAGGGTGAGTGGTGGGACAGGGGAGGAAGGACAAGCAAAAGGCAGCCTTTGTCAGGTAGAACCACCCAAGATGGCACCTGGGTAGAGAGAAGAGGATGTGACCCCTGGAGGCAGGGAGTCCAGGAAAGGCTGAGCATGCAGGGCCAGAGGAACAGGCAGAGGGTGGCTTCCAGGAGTGGGTGAATGTGCGGGGTGGGGACTGGGACATAGATTGGTGAAATCAGGGACACCCGGGACCCTGGAGATGGTCGCTGCAGAAGAGGAGGTACGGGCGGGGTGGAGGGGAGCTGGGGTGGACGGGAGCTGGGGTGGAGGGGAGCTAGCGGGGAGAAGCAGGAATGCACATGTCCCGATGAGAAGTGACATTGGCCATGCCGCTCAGGGTGGCTGTGCACTTAAATGATGCTGGGGACAGTGTGGGACACAGTGTGTGCCCCCTAAGTGTCAGCCACCATTTCCACAGTGGCCTCCACTCTCCTCGGTCTTCCCTGGCCTCCCAGTTCTCCAGCCTCCCTGCCTGCTTTTCTCAGGATGAGCAGCCCCTTACCAAGCTCTGGCCTGTGTGCTGGGCCCTTCCATCCTTTCTTTCCCTTCCAGCTCCTTTGAGCCTGGCAGGGTGAAGCAGGTCATGGCCATTTGGGGGACGGGAAACCCGGGGCTCAGAGGGGTGAGGCTGTAGCCCCGTGAGCTGCAGTGGGAAAGCTCCTCTCTTCTCCCCCTGCCAGCAGGACAGTGGGCCCTGAGTGCAGCCACGCGGCCCAGAGGGCTTGGCTGGGGGTGGCCAGGACATAGATGGCGGGATGGCTGGGGAGACAGGTCTAGGGGCAGAAGGGCGGGGAAAAGCCAGGGGAAGCCTGGGACTCCACCTGGCCCTGCCTGCTCACCTGCAGATCTGTCCCTGGCGGCTTCCCTTTCTGGTGCTTTGCACCTCAGTGCCCCAACTGCGTCACACAGCTGATGCACAGTGAGTGCTTCCTACGTGCCTGGCACCGCGCTAAGCACCTGCTACTTAGTCACTCATTTCATCCTCAAATCGATAGGAAGTACACGCTATCACGATCACCATTTTACAGCTGAGGAAACAGGCTGAGGGAAGTTAAAAAATTCGCCTGAGCAAGCAAAGCTTCCAGGGAGTGGACAGAACTGGTACCCAGGCCTTGCTCCATGACCGAAGCTTTTCCCTCTCCTCTGGACGCCTGGGGGCTCCTGCAGGTCTAGGGCCCTGTCTCCCGGGAGATGCCCAGGCAGTGTCTGCTGATCAAGGGAGTCACAGATGCTGCGACTGCTCCCAGGCTTTGTCTGGCACTGGCCTGGGGAAAACTTATGAAGATGGCTCTAATAGTACGGAGGGACAGGGAAGGCTCAGGGGGCCCTGTCCCTGCTGGAACCCAAGGTCCCCTCAGGCCAGGCACTGCTTCTTGGGCAGTGTTCCTCTTTGCTCTGACCTCCATAAGCATCGCCAAGCACTCACTCCTGGCCAGATCCAGAGAGGAGGCAGAGAAGGTTGGGCCTATATCGGACAAGGTGGAGCAGTTCAGGCAGCCAGGCAGGAGCAGCCTCAGGGGTGCGGGGAGAGGAGTTCCCAGCTGCCTTTCTGTGCCCCCATGTCGTCATCTCTAAAACACTCGCACTGCTCTCAGGGTGGCTGTGAGGTTGAGGTAAACACGGGGCAGAGTGCAAGGCCCAGAGGGAGCTCAGGCTGAGGGCCGACTCAGATTGGGGTCCCTAGCCTGCAGCTCAGGCCCCACTGCTCTCATGGGGGTGGTGGGACCCCTGGAATGGGCTGGCTGTGAGTTCTGCTGATGTCGTGCCCACAGGAGGAACATCACAGCCAGAAATGCTACTGGGCCTGCAGAACCGCGTCCCTCAGGCCTGTTCTGCTCCTAACCTGGGGCCCCGGACTTGGGAGTCCACAGGGCTGGGACTTTGGCCCAGGCTTTGCTCACTGGCTATGTGGCCTCCCTTCTCAGGGCCTCAGGGTCTTCATCTGTGAAGTGGGGATAGCTGCCTCCCAGGGCTGTGGGGGAGACTCACTGGAAAGCTGCCTGGAAAGTCCCTTGCAAACTCTAGAGGGGTTGAGCAGTACTGGTGAGGCGAGAGAGCCGGGGCAGAGGGAATGGGCTGAAGATACACCCCCAAGGCTGCCTGAGGAAGAGTGGGTGCCCACAGCTGGGGCAGCCAGCGGAGGCTCCGTGAAGTGGGTGGGGTGCATCCCACATCTTCAGGACTGGTTTCAGAGGAGGCTCATGGTCCTGGGGCTCAGCCAGTGAAAAGGGCAGGTGTGGGCTCTGCCCTAACGGAGGGTTCCTTCAGCCCAAGCAGAACCATCTGTTTTAGGCAGAATAATGCCCCCTTAAAATGCCCACATCCTAATCCCCAGAAACTGTGACCCTACCTGGCAGAAGGGCCTCTGCAGATGTGCTGAAGGACCATGAGACGGGAAATTATCCTGGATTATCTGGAGGGGCCCAGCGTGATCACAGGGGTCCTTGAGAGTAACCGAGGGAGGCAGCAGAGGTGGGTCAGAAACAGAGCTGTGAGGACTGGGGCGGGTCAGGCTGCTGGCTCTGCAGGTGGAGAAGGGACCGCGGGACAAGGAACGTGGGCAGCTCTAGAAGCTGGAAAGGCAAGGAAGGGGATGCACCCCTGGAGCCTCCAGAAGGAAACAGCCCTGCCGACATCTTCAATTTAGCCCAGTGAGCCCCAGGTCAAATTTCTGACCTACAGAAGATAATAAACGTGCGTCGTCTTAAGCAACTGAGATTGCGGGAATCTGTTAGCAGCAGCAAGAGGAGCGGAATGCTCCACCTATCCTAAGCATGCTCCAGGGAGAGGGGCTTGATTGAAGACCTGGAGCTGACCAGCGTGGCGCGTAGCACCCCATCAGCCTTGCCACAAGCAGGGTCCCGGGGCCTGAGGTAAGCTCCCATGCAGCACCCCACGCTGGGTCCTCAGAGGTTTCATGTAAGTCTCCCAGATAATTGAAATTTATCACTTTAACCTGCAAATCCGACAATTTTAACTGATTGTAATGGGAGTCTACAATTGGTTACATGTTCTGGGGCCTCTTTAAAGTAAACATACTTACTCCGTTCTTCACCTGTGCTCAGGGACTGGGGTGACTATCACAAAAAGCAATTGCTGGGTGCAGCCGAGAACCCAGTGGCCCAGGCCGCCGTGCTCGAGGTATTCTCTCTCTCCGGCCACATTCTAGACTTACAACTGCGCCTCCCATTGAGGGCACTCCCCTCCCTCACTGGAGCCACAATCCCGGCTCTGTCCTGCCCAGCTGTGTGGCTGGAACCCTTAGCCCCTCTGAGCCGCAGTGTCCTCCCCTCCGTGGTTTCTAAGAGATGGCCACTTTGGCTTGCAGGTTCTGCCAGGGGACGGGGATCTGAGCATCCGAGCCGCTCTCCTGAGGAGCTGGCCAGTGCTGCAGTCAAGGGCACAGACTCTGGAGCCACGTGGTCCAGGTTCTGACCTTGCTGTGAAACTCCTCAGTGTCTCAGTTTTCTCATCTACTGCTGGCTCCTTCTGCCTGTGCCTGTCCTACCCTTCTCCCCTCCCGGAACCCCGAAAGGGGCTCAGGCTGCCCACAGGCTCAGGATCTACTGGGACGAACTGCCCGTGATCTCTCCCACAGGCCAGCAATCCTGGCAGCATGAACATATGAGGATGACCCAGTTCTGAGCCCCTCACCATCTGGGCTGCTCTCCCCACATAGGGACTGGCTCTGAATGTGATGCCCTGGTGCACCTGACCAGCATGGGGCAGGATGGGAACGGTCACCTCCCTTACTCTCCATACCTCGCCTCTATTAATACAACGTGGGGGCAGGATGGGAACGGTCACCTCCCTTACTCTCCATACCTTGCCTCTATTAATACAACATTGGGGCAGGATGGGAACGGTCACCTCCCTACCTAACTCTATACCTTGCCTCTATTAATAAAACGTGGGGGCAGGATGGGAACGGTCACCTCCCTACCTAAGTCTGTACCTTGCCTCTATTAATACAATGTGGGGGCAGGATGGGAACGGTCACCTCCCTACCTAAGTCCGTACCTTGCCTCTATTAATACAACGTGGGGGCAGGATGGGAACGGTCACCTCCCTTACTCTCCATACCTTGCCTCTATTAATACAACGTGGGGGGCACCACACCTCATCAGGAGCTACTGGTTGGGGCCTGAAGTCCAACAGGATCCTATGTCTTTACCCCACAGGCTGTTCTTAGAGGAGATGGTGCTAAGAATGATGAGCTCGTGAGAGAGGGGCTCACTTGTGCTCTAGACTTGAGGCCCCCGGACTGACCCTTCTCAGAAGCCCGGGTCTGGTTCCTAGTTCAGGGGGTGAGGCCTTGGCTATTGGCTCTCCCTTTGCTTCGTGTTGGAGGAAACCAGAGGAGGAGAAGTCTCTTCTGTCTGGGGCAGGACAAGCTCTAAGGGGTGGTATGGGAGGATTCTGATAATCATAGAGGTGGGGGTGCAGGGGAGGGTCCCCACCCAGATGCCTGGCACAGAGATCTCCTTGATGTGTTCCTTCAGTCTGCCTCCCAAACCCAGGCTGAGGCTACCTGCATTCTCAGGGCCTCCCTCCTCACCTCCTGACCCCACTCCGGGGTCTGGTTCTGGGCCTTTATCCACTGACTCTCATTATTGCATGCAAGCACAGAGGCCCTCCTCCCCCCGCCTGCACCACCCATTTACGTGATGCCAACACAGCGCGGCCCTCTTCCACCACCCATCCTCTTCCTGGGAAGGTCGCGGGGTACCTAAGGGGCCCAGCTCCTGGTCCTGCCTGGCTCTGGAGCTCTGGCCTCAGACAGTAGTGCCCGCTTCTTGTAAGTGAGACCGAGGGCCCTGCCCTGGGCCCTGAGACCTTAGAGTGGCCTCAGAACACTGACGACTCTGGGGCTCCCTCCACCTGCCTCCAGCCACCCTTCCAGAAAGTCCATAGCACTGACTCATGCCTGCCTGGAGGGCAGTGGTCATACCTGTTGGCTGGGGCTGAGGCTGGAGGCTCAAAGCCAACCCAATCTGCCATCTCCAGCTCTTCCCAGGCCAACCCGGACTGCCCAAGTCAACAAGACAGACCTGTCCAGAGAATTTGAGGAGAACTAGCTTCCAGCCTGAGCTTGCCCTGTCTGCCTGTGTGACCAGAGGTGAATGCTCTGATCTCTCTGGCCCTTACTCTTCTCATCCGAGAAAGAGGGCCACACCTGTCCTGTCTAGCATGGACTTAGGGTCATAGAGCACCGTCAGCCAGACCCATGAGCTCCTCGAAGCCCCTAAGGAGTGGGCAGGCCTGAAGCCTCCTCAGCAGCACACAAGGCCATATCCCCTGTGGCCCTGGACCTCCCTCCTGCTTCCTCTCTAGATGCCTGGGTCCCCCTGAGGTCCGCATGAGGGCCACGAAACAAAGCCACCTCTCTGGGACCTTTAGGCTCTGACCTTCACATGGCCCTGCAACCCTGATGTTTGAGACAGCCCACACGGTCAGGACTTTTGGGTAGAGCTCAGCCCTGCAGGGTGGTGTGGGACTTTGGGCAAGCCAGGGCACCCCAGAGAACCTTAGCCTCTTCCTCGGAGAAATGGAGACCGCGCTACCTGACCCCATAGCTGCAAACACTGGTGTGAGCTATCTGAGAGCCATGAAGAAGGTCGTGACAACCCTAGGCGACCACAGCTACGCTCAGGAGGTCTTGGGCAGCTGGCAAAGCCCAGAGGCCAGCAAAACAGCAGAACCGACTGATAGAGAAGAACGAGTAGATGAGGAAGTCTGCTTTCCACTGTGCACGCTGAGCTCTGTCCAAGAGCAGTGATTTCTCCTCTTCCTTCTCGTTCTCCTCACATCGGTGCCTGATCAGCCCTGCCAGCAGGCCTCCCAAAACACCTTGAGCAGCCTCTGAGAAGTAGGTGGCTTTTTCCCTGAGAGGTCCTGGAGGTCCTGGCCGGTAGCTTCCCTCCCAGGAGTGGAGATGGGTAAGGACTCTCCTGCCCTGACCCGTCTACTCAAATGCCCTCTTTTGTGGCTGAGTCTCAGTGCTGCTTTGCTGAGCCTGGGAATCCTAACTGTGAATGTGGGTGTTCACGCAAGTCGGGGAGCTTTACGACACACGTCTCCTTACACGCACAGGCCAGTGGATACTAGCCCTGGGTTCTTTGCTACAAACACACAAACAACGAACAAATGTGTTTGATGGAGGGTAAAAACTTTAAAAAGGAAAAAGTGAGTTCACACCTGGAGTGGAGCCCCCCGCACTCACACGACACGCAGGACTGCACACACGTGGGCACACCCCACAACACAGACATATGCCCCCACACGCACACGTCACACCCACACACAGCACACACACGCCCATGTCCACATGCCAGTGCGCACCCGAGACACACATGTGCACACACACACACAAGTGCAAGTACGACAAAGGAAGTGGAAGAAAAGTGTTACCCATGAGTAGCCGCCGTTTCACCCGCTTGTCCACATCAGCTACTGACGTGGCATTGAACTGAGAGCGCTCAATTGCAGCCTCATCCTTCTCTAAAACACAAGTAAGGGACAAACACGGAGCCAGTGGTTAATGACAGCCCACTTCCCGCGGCCCAAGACAGTCAGCCTCTCGGCGTGGCGCACGCAAAGCCAACACAACACGCCGGCCAGCTCGGCATCCTCGCCAAGGGGCTAATCCCAGGAACCTCCAAGGTGGGGGTGTTCAGGGCAAAGCAGAGAGGCAGCGAGGGCGGGGGCGGGGGGACGTGCAGGAAAGGAGGAATGACCACAAAGTGACCTGGGACACAGAGGGGACTCAGGGCCCATGGGCAAGCAAACAGAGAAGGAGGCTGAGGTCAGGGCAGACGGGATTCGTCCGCAGAGAGCCACAGAAGCAGAAAGCACCACCATGGTGCTTTACGGAGACACAAGTGATTACAGACCCCCGTGGCTCAGGCTGGAGAGGCAGGCACAGGACAAGGCACAGGACAAGGGGACAGGGCCACAAGGTCCGGTGATGGATGCATTGAGACAGCAGAGGCTCCGTCACAGGGACGTGAAGGGGTGTCAACACTCATGCAAAATTAAGAACAAAACATAGGACACACACACGCACACACATAATGGATCCAATAGAATAGACACAGAAAAACCACGGGATCGATTTGGGCAGCGCTGGTTGCCTGCTTGTCTATAGAGGACTAGGGCTAAACATTCAAGTGCTCAACAAGGGGATGCAAAGAGGGATCACTTATTTTAGGAGCATGCAGAGGAGAAGTGGCCCCGAGCTGGCCAGGGAGCATCCTGGCTATGCCAAGAGGCTTCCTGTGGAGGGGCAGGTGAGGTTAGCTGGGTTGACTTTCTTTGCTCAGAGGGAAATATGCGGAGACATTCGTTCCCAAGGGGGACACAGATGAACAGTGGGCGAAGGCAGGTGAAGGCATCTCTTCCTGGACAGGAGTAGAAGTAGCAGCAGCAGGGGCTGGGTAAGGAAGGTGATTTCTAATGAGAGGGGAGGGAAGGTGGGGCTGGGGAAGTTAATTTAGAAAGGAGATCCAAGCAGGAGCCTTCACATGCAGTAGACATCAAAAAATAAAAAAGCAAGAAAGGATGATTCAGGTGGACAAGACAAGATGTGTTAGACACAGGCTGGGTGCGTCTGGCCTGGCAGCCGTTTGCACTGCCCCCGGGCCACAGAGCTGGCTCCAAGAGAGGTGGCAAACCCTGCGGAAGACCTTGAGCAGACGAGACAGGAGGGAGGCTGGGTGGCCCGGGAGAGCCCCAGGCCGGACAGTGGAGGGAGAGAGGCCGGAGGAGAGGAGGTTCTAGATGGGATCAGGCTGCAATAGAGACACTGGTCTGAGACCGGGTTTGGCTTTTAATTCTTTTTTAATTGGTTGGTTGATTTGGTTTGGCTTTTGGCTCTGAAAATAATTAATGAACATCAGTTATCAGACAAGACAGGCAATCAGGGACCATCACCAGAAAAGCAAGAGAAATGAGATAAAAATGAAATAAAAAATGGTTGTCTGAAAGAAGAGACCACACAGAGGAAGGGAGAGCCACCGCAGGCAGCAGAACCCATGATGACAGCCCCGGACTACAGAGGTGACAGCCTGGTGCCCGCTCGGGCCCTGCTCCCTGAGACCCAAGGGAACAGCGTCCTGGGAGACAGAGCAGGGGCACACCCTGGCCTCATGGGCTTCTGTCTGCTGACCAACCCTGTCCTGTCCCCTGAGTCTCCCTCAAGAAGTATCTTCCAGATTGACGATAAGAAATGGGGCTTAAAAAAAAAATAACTGACTTGTGTTGGGTTTCTAAAGTTTGCCTGCACAGGAAGGGTTGAACTCCGGCACCAACTTTGAAACTCCACCCTTTCTCAGTTAAAAAATGTGCTGCTATTTTTAAGTGGGAGAAAAAAACCTACTAGTGATTATGGCATGAAATAATCAGAAATATTCAAGCTTCCCCTTGGAAATAGGGACCAGGAGGAAGGAGGTGACGGAGACTCAGATCAAGACTCCACGTGACAGGTGAGAGACGGGCTGGGGCAGCGGCGGGAAGAGCGGACTTCAGGTTGGGAAGAAAGGCCAGCAGGGGCCCAGCAGCTTGGAGAGACCAGCAGTGAAAACACCACACCCACGCAGGGCCCACACTGTCCATCTCCCCTGGAGTTTAGACAATGACCACTCAAAGCAAAGTTCTGAGGAAACCTCTTAGTTTTCCAGACGGCTGTGGGCAGCTCCCATGACTAACGTGGCTGTGTGCAGTTGCCTGAATCTGGCTGTCTTCCATATTAGGGGAGGAAACACCTGTGCTTCTGGAACAGAAGGTCTTAGGTGCATACACCTCCCTTCTCCCCACACACACCCTGCCTGGGGCCACCCCTCACTTCCAGGACGAGGACGTGCAGAATCCCTGCTGCTAGGGAGCCCACGTCAGGCGTCGCCAGGGAACACAAAGCAGAAAAGCCTGGTCTTGGGGGGCTGCAGGCCCCAGAGAAGCCTCCCCAGAAAGCCTCCCCAGGGGCGCCGGCCATCCCCGCCATTGCCATGGGCTTGCCTTTCCTTGTTTCCCTGAAGCTTCCTTCCGGGGAACCCGGACGTGGCAGGGTGCTGGCCCTGCTGGTGCACGCATGGGGGGTCGGGGGCGGGGGGCGCAAGGGTGGTGTGTGGCAGAGGTGCCTACTTACCGATGCACGTGCGACCGTCTGAGTGGAGGGCGTACTTCTGGTGGCAACCACACGTGGGGCCTGTGTCTGTGTCCTCACAGCTGTGCTGGCAGCCTCCGTTTCCATAATTACAGGTTACTAGTTAGGCCCAAAGTGTACACACGGGTGTATAAACAGAACAACAAAAACGGTTAGTTTGCCGGTGTTGGCGGCTGCCTTCAGGGTATGGGGAAACTGAGGCCTAAGGGCATCAGTGGGTAGGGTCATGAGGCTCGCCGGGCAACGGGGGAGCATTTCCCTGCACTTCAGCCCCTCCAGGGACCCTGGAGTCACTCACTCCCTAGAGCTGAACGGGGGTGGGACAGAATGGACTTGGGGTCGTCTGGGCTTTGATCAGAGCAGGCACAGAGGTGATGCGCTCAGATGGTGGTAGATGAAGACAGCTTCATCCTTCTCAGACTGCAGGACATTTTATAGCTGCCTGTCTTGATGGGGCAAATGTTTGCCAATGCCAGGACATACTTGTCAAGCTGTCGGGGGAGGGACATGGCGGCCCGTGGTTCCAGGTGACCCTCATTTCCTTAGTTCTGGCAGAGCTTTCCTTCCTCTGCCTGTCTTGGGGTGTGTGGATGTCTCCACGGAGGTCCCCCCTCAGAGTCCCAGGGGCCACCTCAAACTCTATCCCCTCAAAGCCCTAATCCTCCGGGAGCTCGGCAATGTCCGAACAGACAGACTCATGCAAGTTAATGTCATCTGAGGTACGGTTTTGAAAATCACCTAAATAATAACCACGTTACATTGTTTTCGATGCCTGTGGCCTGGAGGATCTGGTGCCTTTCAGCCCAGAATCCCAGGATGTTTCACAACATCAGCAACCTGGGTTGGCTGAAAAGGGGGCAGAACAGAAAGGAGTCTGAAGTAGAAAAAACTACAAATTCAAGTTTATTTAAACACATGGTCCATTTCCAGGGTGAGAGAGATCGCTAGAGGGGAGCAAGGTGACCCAAGTGCTCCCCAGGGGGTGCAGGGCCCCTGCCTTTTGATGCTGGCGAGACAGCTGCACGCCCATCATCCGAACGCAAATGTGCACCAGGGCCTCAGTATGGGGCGTGTTCTTGGATACTTTAACCATCTGTCCAGAATTCAAGCTACACTCTAATTTATTTGGCAAAACCCTAATGATCAAATATGCAAAAATAAATCTCAGACCAACTATGGTTAGAAGGGGCAAAAATCCCAAATCCTGAGAATTTGAATGAATTACGTTCTATTCGGTTGACCCCTGAGCACAGCTGGTACCAGAGGGAAGTCAACTGGTGGCAACTCCCAGAGAAGGATCTCAAATGTTTCAGAACTGACTTCTCCGCACTCTTCCTTTCACAGAGACCGACGCAGAGCCTTCCTGCCCACCTGTCCTGAGTGATGGGGCACCTCAGCCTTGGACACATGCCGTCTCCACAGCGGGCGAGGAGGATGTCAAGAAAATGGCTTGATATGGGGACAGGTGTCTGCTCAGTGCCTCAGATGCTGTCCGCTGCAACCAGAGGCTCTAAGAGGCTGCTCCCTCTTCCACAGGGAGCTGAGGACCATCCAGAGGACGGAGCTGACTTCTAGGGGGAAATTTCAGGGACCTGAAAAATGCTTCCAGAAACACAACTGGGCTTCAAGCACAAAGCCCTCCAGCCTCTTCTCCTCAGGAGTGACTCTTCTCCAGGGTGGAGCCGGCACCCTGGATGAGAGCTCAGCTTTCATCTCTCAACAGCTCACCTCAACGGCCAGGAAGGAACCCAGGGAAGCCAGGGATTCCGGGAGGCTGCAGCTCTGTGCAGATCTCAGGCGATGGGGAGAGACCCAGGTGGAACCCACTTTGGGCTGGACGTCGTGTGTCTTTCTAGGACCCAGGAGATTCCCGTTTCAGAGTGGGCAGGGGTGCAGCTGGGGAGAAGGCAGTTCTTCTTGAGCTCCAGGCTCCTGGAGACAGGCTGTGCCCCAAAAGTGACTCTAATGAGGATGGAGGCCTGCCTGAGGCAACTCGAAGGGGATCCAGGCTCAGGGACCCTTGTTCCCTCCACATAGTCATTTGTGCGTCTCACAGACCCCCAAAGGTCGAGCCTTCGAATACCGGAGAGTCTACAGCTTGTACACAGAGATGTCTGAGCTCAAGCTCTGGTGAGACGGATAGAAGGATGGAGAAAACCTCCTCTAGCTCCGGCCCTGGAGTGGGTCCTGGGCTCTGGACGGATGACAGCTTGGTTCAGAGCCCTGCAGTCCTCTTGAGCCACAGAGGCTGCTTGGCTAAGCCAGGCCTCAGCCCCCAACCCAGCTTGAGATCTGGAATTTCCTGGAATGCAAGTGACTTCAAGGACTAGAGCGAATGCCTCAGAGCTAACTTCTCACCAACCTTGTCTCATTAACCTCACAGAAGCAGCCAAAGCTGGGCTCGCTGGGCAGCTGCCTGTGCAGGCCCTTCACGGGAGGCCTCAGGCCCCAGAAATCACATCGGGCTCTCCATACCTTGGTGATATTCAGCCACCCACGGAGAGGGTGGGACTGCTGTTTCTTAAGCCAGCACATATTCCAGGCAAGGGTTGAGCCCTTCCCTGGCGGGGGCAGCTGGGGTGAGGGTTGTGGGGGGTGTCCTAGCTGCTCACAGGGCCCTGCCTAGTCCCTGACCTCTCGCACCAGGCTGGCGCTCAGAAGATGCTCTCTGAGCAAACTCCTCCTTGTAGTGCTTGTGTCAGATGTACTATGGGGTCAGGGAGCAAGCCGCCCACAGTCAGGCCACCTGCAGCCTCTCCCTGGCACTGGGCTCAAGGCCCAGTTGGAGCAGGCCCTCGGCCTGTCTTCTGCCTAAGAGAATGCACTGTCCTTCTGGCCAGGGCTATCCACAACCCTGCTGACGCCATGCATTTTTGACCTTGGCCTTTCTCGTGAGGAAACTCAGATCACACAACACGGGGGACTGGGAAAGCTGGAGTCAGCATTTCTGTTCTGAGGTGGCCGGGGGCAGAAGACTTCTCTGCAGCTAAAGGAATCCATCTGGTGTGGAGACGGGGCCTGGATGGAGCCCTGGGGCTGGAGGCTGGCACTTCCAATCGAGACTGCCCGTTTGGTCCTGCCCTGGGTGACAGTATACAGGCTTATCTTGGCCACCCCACAGGAAAGAGCCAGGAACACAGAGAAAGGTGGTCCGCCTCTTGGACCATACCTGGGACAGAAGGAAGCACCTTCACTTTGAAGAATGGATGAATCACATCTGGTACACGTGGGTCCCCAGGGCCTTGGTGACTATTCTAGGAGACCATGAGTTGGGAAAGGTATGGCAAGGCACCCACAGGAGAGCTGATGACAACTGAGAGGATCAGTGACTGTGGATGATGGACCAACAAGGGCCAGCTGTCCTCTCCACAGAAAGATGGGTGGAAGAACGGTCATTTTCTTTATGACAGCGGGGCAGCCTCAGTCTCTCATTTCCACAGCTAGGGTGAGGACCACCTTCTCTATTGGGAGTTGGAACTGGACACTTCTCCCTAGCATTTTTCTGCATTAGAATGTGGGCTTGATATGAGGCACTTGTCTCTTGCCAGAGATGGAAAGTGCTTCCAGCAGTCTTCTTTGGCTCTTTGTAAAAAGGGCAAATATGACATCGCTTTGGGTATCCCTGGTGCCCTCATCTCCCACGAGGAGAGGCCCACCCCACCATCTCCCCCACGTAGCTGTGGGGAGGATGCACTGGCTCCCAAGCTTCTGAGTTCAGCCATCGTTCTACTTGGTTTCCTGGCTCCTACTCCTACTGGGGAATGGGGTGACCCCATTAAGAGGCTGGACTACACGTGGGCCCCGTAGGCAGACCACCAAGCAGATCCTGAAATGGTGTCTTTGGCCAGAGGCCTCATTCAGCCCAGATCTCCCAGAATATCACCATCTGCAGTTAGCCTTGCAGGGGTCAAATTGTGAGTTCTGATCTTTACATTTTATTTTAGAGATGGGGTCTTGCTGTATTGTCCAAGCTGGACTCAAAGTCGGGCTAGAGTGATCCTCTGGCTTCTGCCTCCCAAGAAGCTGGGACTATAGGTGTGCAGAGTTCTGATCTTTGGTCCCGGAAAAAAGGTCAGCACAGCCCGGAATGGGACCACTTCAGAACCATACTCTTTTCCTTCTTTGTACTACTCATTACCAGGGGCTTCCCAGGCCCATCGAGAAACCTGGTCCTGTAGACCTCTGTGCCACGGCCCCACCATTCCTGCTGGACAGCTTAGGCTCAGGGGCTGCCATAAGATCCAGCCCAGCTCCTGGGGCTACACTGGTGGTGTCGTGCTTGGTGCGGAAAACCCCAAGGCTAGGGTTTACAACCCTTGTCCCTTATGCCCTATCAGGCCCCTTCCACAGGCCCTGCCCTTCTCTCCACCCCATGGGGCTGGGGACCCTCCCTGGCCAAAGTCCAGCAGACTGGACAGACCCTCCAGAAAGTAATGGCAGGAGACGCACGGGACGTTTGACCCATTTGTCTCCCTCTACCTACGTGTGCAGTCCTTCTGGTTTTGGGCAAGGTCAAAGCCGGGCCTGCAGTCGCAGGCCACCCCACCTTTGGGCGTCTCCCGGCAGATGTGGGCACAGCCATGGTCTTTGTTCATGCAGTTCATACCCTCTGGGAAGAGAGACAGACAAGAGACGGGTTGAAGACCAGGCAGAGAGGGAGAGAGAAAATTTCAGGCTGAAAGGGGATAGCCAATGATATGTAACAATCAAATGGGCTGTCATTGCATGTATCATGCACACACACGCACTTGCGCACACACACATATGCGTGTGTGCAGCAGCCATCTACATGGATATCCCTTAGGGAGAAAGCAAGGGCACGGTGCCTGGGTCTAGATTCAGGCTTTGCTCTGTGAGTTGCACTGTAAATGGCACCTCGTGACCCACGGAGACCAAGCTCTTGCTCTAGGTCAGATTGTGGGGCATGGTCTGTAGAACTACTTTTGTGTCAGGGTGATTTGCTCCCCTCTCCCGAGCCACCCATGGTTCTAGGGTACCCCCCACCCGCCCAGCAGACTGGATCTCCCCTCTCTGTCTGCCTGGAGTGGCTCATACCCCCTTCCGTTGACCTCAGTTGATGTTTATCTTCCTGGTGATTTGTGAGGCGTTTCTAGAATTTATGAGGTCAGGGGTCAAGTGAGAGGTTGTAGGTCACAAGTCCATCAAGAGGCCAAGGCAGATGAAAGGGAAGCGCCTCTGTCTGCCAACCCACCAGCTCTGTGACCTGCCTTCCACCTCCACCCACAGGAAGCTCAGGCAGGAGTGAAGCCGGCTCGGGGAGCGGCAGTGAAGGCTGCAGACGGCGAACACGCACAGGGCAACCTCCTTCCCCCGGGACACACCGGCCTCTTGTTCCAAGGGAGGACTGGCTCAATCCTGACCCCGTCCACTTTAAATACGGGTATGCAGCAACACAGAATAGATTTAAGAACACAAACACCCTGCTAGTTGTAATAAAGACAAAAACGTCTAAAGTTAAAAATCAAACAAACAAATGGAAATGAGGAAGCCTGCATTTTGCCCGGCACTGTAACTCCTGGTTTCACCTGATTTTGCGACTCATATTTCCTCACCTTGATTTTCTCACTAATCAATCAAATTGTTGGAATGACGCAGAGTCTAACTAAGCAACGAGTTAGCACGGAAAGCGCTTTCATGCTGCTGCCCTGCACAGAAGCTGCAAGTTCACACGGAAAGACCCTTTCCGCTGGCTCGATTCCAAAACAGCATCAGCGCCTGAGTCACACAGATAGTGGCGTGCGGTCAACGCTTAACAGCCGGCAGGGGTGGAGGCTGATTTGCAGTATTTACCAATTTACGTGGGATAAATACGCCAGCCACGGCTAATTTCAAGGTACCAGGGAGATGTCGCCAAGGGTAGAGCTGGGAACAAATGTGCACAGTTGGCTCTCACAAGCTGAGACAAGCCAGCCATAGCACGTCCCTTTCTTAGAAAGGTCGTTGTAAAGTCAGGCAGATGTAGGTGTGAATCTGGCTTCCTTCCTGGCTGTGGCCTGGGAGACAACTGCTTCCCTTTTCTGAGCCTAATCTTAGAAGGGGCAGGATCACCTCTGTCTCACAGAGGAGCTGTGCAAATTAAATCCAGTTACAGACAGGAAATGCCAGGCAATAAGAGACGAGGTCTGTCTGTGGGGGCACTGGCTCTTGAGGCCGGTGTCTCTCCTGCAGGTCTGGAGACAGCGTGGCTCCTCCCTGGGGCCTGGCTGGACCGGGTGGCCAGAGGCGGCTCTCGGTAGAGAAACCTTCCCAGGCTACTGAGACATATTCAGTCCCTCATCAGGTCCTCTGGGAGCCTCCTGCCCTGGTAAGGGTTTGGCCAGTGGGTGGTGGCCAGCAAGCCATCTCCCTGACCGTTACTGACAGCTGTTGTCGGCGGTGGGCTGAGTCCAGGGTCGCCCCCTTCATCCCTGTTCATTTGGCTTCCATGGCTCCCTGCTGTTCCAGCTTCTTCACAGCTGTACACACTCCACGGTTCGCCATCCCACAATGCCTGCTGGGCAGCCCCCGAGGGTGCTCCATCTCCCCTTGCTGCTCCTTCCTCCTGGGCCGGACACCCTCTCCTATCTTCCATAAACTAAATCCTAGGCCTGCCTCAAACTCCACCAGTTCCCCAAAGCCTCCTGGCTCCTGCCTTCTACTCCCTGTGTCTCCCCATGCCACCACCCATGTGAATTTCCTAGGGCTGTCCTATGGCCGGCACAGGAGATCAATGCTGTAAGCAGATCTGTGCTTTCTTCCTGAGCTGGGAAGAGCCCAAGGGCCCTTGTTTGGCAAAGGCTTATAGATGATGAAGAAAGGGAGATTGAATTTCCATTCCCAGCCAAAGAATCACAGTTTACAAGAAGCCTTGCTAATCATCACCAACCATACATTTGTCACTGGGGAGCTGATGCACGCCGGAGCCCTGGGTAATGGAATATTAAGCCCTAGAGGTCTTTCAGTTTTCTCCCTCGTCGTGGACTTGCCATCAAGTGATCTTTCTTCTTGAGACTCTAAAGACTTTAACACTGAGCCAAGATGTTGTTGTTTTCTTGGTGAAGGACACTTTGGGGACGTACTCTAGCATGACTATGGACTGCAGTAACCCACAGTCAATAAGACACTAAGCAACAGAATCGCAGAGCTGGGAAGGGTGAGCCCCAGGCCCTATCTGTAGTCAGCTGGTCTCAAAGGTCTCTACTTTACCTCTCAACAACTTGGGGAAGAGGGTGGAGCCCTTCGTCTCCCACCTAAAGACCCTGAGGTAGAACTGAGGTCCTGTGATTAGCCATCCTCACTCAACACCCCACGGTAGGCCCCCTGCACGCTGCCTCTCACCCAGCATCCCCAGCACGGGAGCCCCCACTGGCTCTGCAACGGAGAGCAAGGGACGGGCCAGTGATTGTTAGTGGGACTGGCTTCAGGACCTCTTTACATTCCTGACAATTATAAAGGAGCCCAAATCGCTCTGATGGACGTGTTTATGTGTTACAGCTATCGAGACTGGCTAGATACTACAGAGAGAAATTTACATTTACTTATTAACTTATTTAAAAACAAGATAAAAAACTTGTTACATGGGGGTGGGCATGGTGGCTCACGCCTGTAATCCCAGCACTTTGGGAGAGCGAGGCGGGGGGAATCACCTGAGGTCAGGAGCTCGAGACTAGCCTGGCCAACGTGGTAAAACCCCGTCTCTACTAAAAATACAAACATTAGCCAGGTGTAGTGGTGCAAGCCTGTAATCCCAGTTACTTGGGAGGCTGAGGCAGAAGAATTGCTTGAACTCAGGAGGTGGAGGCTGCAGTGAGCTGAGATTGCGCCATTGCACTGCAGCCAGGGCGACAGAGTGAGACTCCATCTCAAAGAAAAAAAAAATATTACATGTTAGCACAAGTCATATATTTGTATTAAAAGCTATATTTTCCAGAACAAGGAGGGTGCCCTGAGATGCCCCAGTCAGGCCCGCGCGAGCCAGGCTCACCCGCTGCATGGTGAGGCTGTGGTCAGGCTGGAGTCTGCTCAGCTTGAGTGCTTCTGAGGCGCCTCCTCCCCGAGAAGGGTGGTTGGGGGAGCATCACTATCACATTTCAAAATGACCCTACAACCACTGCAAGGATGGCTGCTACTGCCTGGCCTGGGGGCTGACTGTGGCTTCCGAAGCACTCATCAGCTCCTCTGTCAGCTGCATTGCTTTCACCTCCACTCACGGGCAACACTGGCTTTTGGAGGCCACAAGCAGATAGGCTCCGTGGCTGGCGGAACCACAGAAGGTCAGGGTTGGACCCCTCCCTGCAGCGCATCTTGTCTGTCTATCTTATAGAGACAGAAAATGAGCCCCTGAGATGGGAAATCAATGTCCCAGCACATACAGCAGGGCTGGAAGCTGGGCCACTGGGCTCCCAGCCTAAGTTCTCCTACCTTGGGGTCACTCGGCTACACCTGTGGGACCCAGATGGCTAATAGGGAGCAGACGTTTCCTGGGGGGAACCGATTTGGGAACCTGGTGCAGAGTGGGCGACTACACGGTGCCTGTTACTGGCCACTGTTTCCAGACGTAAGAGCCCAGCGAAATCCAAGGCCAGTTCAGATGCTACGTCCCCTGAAGCTCTCGGAGCAGCCCCTCCACGAAGCACATACCCTGGCTCCTCTTTTGACCTTCCACGGCTGTTACTGGCAGGCCCTGAGTGTGAGGACAAAGCCTCCGCTCCCCTGCAGCACAGGATGTCTGTTTTCTCGGCTGTGAAATGGGGATGTAATAATCTTTGCCCCTGAGAGTTGCTGGGAAGCTGAAACGAGGTGACAATATCGAGGGAGACACAGGGAGGGTCTTGGTAGAGCAAGGCTGCTACGACAGCACTCCTATCTGCCCTTGCTTCATTCTGCCTCGTAGGAAATCGGAATAGTTGCTTCCGTCACACTCTTTCCTGCCAACCGTGGGTAACCCGTTGGGGAGACATGAGCTTCATTCTTTTCAGTATCACGAGTACCCAGCACAGGGCCTGGCACAGGGTTAGGGATCTGCAAACAGTGGGTGAAAGAAGGAAAGGGAAGAATGAGTGGGGAAAGAGAGGGGAGAATGGAAAGGGAGAGAGGAGGGAGCAAGGAAGGAAGAAGAGAGAAAGAAAGCCCCCTATTTCGGAACAGATGAAGCGGGTTGTCTGTTATTTTAGGAGGCAAGGCTAGAATTTTGAAAATGCTCTTATGGCATCCCTAGCTGCGTGTGCTAGAAACACAGCGCTTCGGATGCCTGATGTGGGAAATTCGCAGCACATGATAAAGGCTCTGAGAAGTCCTGCGGTCCCTGTGGAACAGTCCCTTCCCCCTCACTTAACACAGCATGCTGGACAGGAAGAGACCCCAGCACTAGCAGGGTCTAAGGGTGGCCCATTCTAGCTCCTCACCAGACAGATAAAGCAACAGTGACACAGCGACCAGGGTGGCAGGCTGGGGCAGGGATAAGGCACTGGCCCCACCCACTGGAGCACCTGCGGTATCCTCTGTGCCTCCGAACCTCAGAGGGAGAGCGGGTGGCATGCCCTCTCTGCCCTCTCCCAGAGGGGCCATCTGAGGGCAGTGAGCTAACGGGAAGGAATGCCAACTCATCCCCTCCTGCAGGTGGTATCTCTGGGTGGCAGCTGGGGCCATGAGGGCTAAGTTGAGATTTGAAGGGGAAAAGGTGAACCCTGAGGCACGTGAGGTGCTGGGTTCCAAGCCCTTCTGCTCTAGGGATGGGCCTGGGCTCCAGATGGGAAAGGACTCTGTGGGTCTGTGACTCTACCCCCTCTGCTGTGAGCTTGGAAGGACCCCCCGGGCCTCCTCCAGCTCCCCTGAGCCAGCCAGGTCCATGCAGCCAGTGGCAGCTGCAGGCTGTGTCCACCGATGCCAGCCTGTGAGCTCTTCCAGAGCAGGGGCCCAGTCTACTCAGGCCCAACCCCAAGCCCCAGGCCCAGAGCAGGCTTCTGTGAGCCTGAGGGACGGAAGGGCCCCAGTTCAAACTCCGTCCTCCTGTGGCTCCCGGATTTGTGTCACGTCTGCTCTTGGGAGCCATAGGACAGCTCCCTTGACCTAGATATGGGGAGAACCATGGAGAGGCAAGTTCAGCAGAGAGCCCTGCTGGTCTCCCCTTCTTAATGGGAAGTGAGATAGAATTTCAGAGTCATTCCCAGAAATCCTGGTCTTCAGAGGCCTGATGCCCGTCAGGCCAGGCGGCCC
The DNA here is from genome assembly GCF_000001405.40 of Homo sapiens. Taxonomy (NCBI): domain Eukaryota; kingdom Metazoa; phylum Chordata; class Mammalia; order Primates; family Hominidae; genus Homo; species Homo sapiens. The sequence continues at coordinate 43,268,452 of NC_000022.11, forward strand.
GCCAGGTCGAATCTAATCTGATCCAACCACCCAAATCCAATTACATGCTACAAACTCAGACCAAGTGTCTCCTTGGTGCCCAAGATGGGCCAGGGAGCAAGGAGAGGACAGATGCTCTGCTGCCACAGTGTCAGGTCCACATTCAGGCTGCCACTTGCTGCGTGACCCTGGGCAAGCCCTTCACCCCTGAACCTCGGTTTCCACCTACGTAGAATTGGACAGTAGTAGCGCCTGCTTCCCAGAGTGTGCTAAATGTGCAGCCCCAGTCTCTGGGTGAGTGAGGTGCTGGCTAAGGGTGCAGATAGGCTGTTGTGGGACTTCGTACTGGCCAGAAGGAAGCCAGAGGGGAGTTGTCAATAGGGGAGCGACACGCTTGTGTGTCAGAAAGATCTCTGGAGGCTGTGTGGAATATGCCCTGGAGGGCCAGGACTGCAGGCCAGGACAGTGGAGAGGCTGTTGCTATCACTCTGAAAGGGACAAAGCCTGGTAGAACGGCAGTGGTTATGGGGATTGGGAGGAGGGCTGGATTGGACACATTTAAGAGCTGCTTCTGAGTTTTCTGGAAGAAGTGATGTATGAACTTGGGCCCCGGCTATACTTTCATTCACTTGGACCCTCACAACAAGCCTGATGAGCGGGCATCACCGTGCCCACCTTCCAGGCAAGCAGACGGAGGTTGGGACAGCGTCGGGGAAGACGTGCCCCGGGCTGTGTCTTCTTCTCCAAGTGGCCGGTGCTTCCTCCCGATGGGCCCTCCCCCAGGTCGCCATCTCCTCTGGACTCTGACAGGCCCTGGCAGCCCTTCCCCACCGGGGCCTATCTTCCCCCAAGGCCTTCGATCATTCTTGGGTACTCCACTAGAGTGTGCGCAGAGAGAAACGATGGCATGGTCTGCCTGGCCCCGAGCCAGTGCGTACATCACATCCTCTGCAATGCAAAGTTCACGGATGCATCTCAAGCAGGGCAGTGCGGCCCAGCGTGTTTGTACTTAGGAGTGGGGCCTTTCTTGCCGCCACGGTCGGATAACAAAGCTGGAATGTGTGCCTCCTGAGGGTCGTTGCTATGGCGACTTCATCAATAACATCATTTTCTGCATCCATGTCCCTTAAATACATGGGAAGGGATGGCAAGCTGGGAACGGCAGAGCAGGGAGAAAAGAACAAACACCTTGCTGCGCCCTTCCCCCTCAACTTGGGAGGAAGGGATTTTCCTCCCTTCGCCTCATCAATAGAAAGTTATGGAGCCAAGAAAGAGCCTGGAGCCTTGGGGGTGGCAGGGGGAGGAGGCGGCTGCCTTCCCCAACCCCGACTCCGCAAGCTGTCCAAGCCATGCAGGGAAAAACAAACACGAGCTCCCACCAACGTTGAAGGGGGGTGAAGGAAACCCGGGGAAGGTGGTGCCCAGGGGGAAGGCGCAGAACAGCTGTAGGGTCGGGGCTGGTGGGAGAGATGATGATGACAACAGTGCAGCCTCCCACGTTCATCAGGGCTGCCTGTGCGCCAGGCCTACCACACACCAGAGACTCCTTACCTCACGGATTCCCTGACAAGCTCAGGACGGGGTATGCTACGGCACAGGCTGAGCATTCCTCATCCGAAAATCCAGAATCTGAAATGCTCCAAAACCCAAAGCTTTTTGGGCATTGACATGATGCCACAAGTGGAGAATTCTACACATAAGTACTTCACACAAACTTTGTTTTATGCACAAAATTATTGAAATGCCATGTAAAATTGCCTTCAGGTATGTGTACAAGGAGTATATAAAACAAATGCGTTCCATCTTTAGACTTGGGTCCATCCACAAGCTACTTCATTATGTATCTGCAAATGTTCCCAAATGTGAAAACATCCAACACTGGAAACACTTCTGGTCCCAAGCATTTTGGATAAAGGATGCTCAACCTGTGTTACGTCCACTTAACAGCTGAGAACGCTGAGCGCACAGAGGTTAGTGACTGAGGTAAGGTGAGGGGGCTGAACCCAGCGGACAGAGCTGGAGCTGCAACACACTGTCTCGCCAAGGCCGTCTCCAACGACAGCTTCTCCAGGGTGCCGATTCCGATCCTGCCCTGCCAGTCTCCTCAGATCCATGGAGAGCCCCCTGTGGGCCGGGAACATACCCTGCAAAGCCAAGGCCTGGCAGAGACAGAGAAGCCTTTACAACATCGCCCTGCAGGGCAAGTAGCTTTATCCCCATGTAGCAGAAGCTCTTCAGAGAAGTGGAGCGATTTGCCTGTGGTCACTGAGTAGGACATGGGAGGCAGGTAGAGGCGAAACTGAAACCTGGGTCTGTCTGACTTGAAGACCTGCCCTTCTCCAGCTGCAGAGGGAACTTTCTAGTGCATAAATCTGACTGTGTCTTCCTACTGTAAACAAAACAAGCAAAACAAGCAAAAAAACTCTTCAGTGCCCCTGCACCCAGTGCCCAAAGGGTTAGGCTGAAAGTTCTCAGCATGGGACTGAAGGTCCTCCCTGACCCCTGCCACCTGCCTCTCCAGCTGACTTGTCCTTCTTCGAGCCCTGGGTGAGGGGCAGCCTCCCGGCCGCCCTGCACAACCCCCGCTCCCTTCCCACCCTAAGCCTTTGAGAAGGTGCTTTCCTCTGCCTGGGACACGCTCTCGCCCTCCTCTGAATGGCAACTTCTGGCTAGTTACTTGAGATGCTGTTTCTGTGTCACCTCTTCCAGGAAGCCCTCCTTGTTTCCACCCTCTCCACAAGTGCCTAGGTTGGACTGGGGCCATGCCTGGGGCTCCCCTGCTCCCTCCTTGCTCATAGCACTCACCACACTAATTGTACCTGTTACACATTGTCTCCCTCCCTCCAGATGGGGCATTCTCAAAAGGGCCCACACCTGAGTAACCTCTTTGCCCTCGTCCCCTGTACAATGCCTAACACTCAGTGAATGCACAGAAACCCAGTGAATGCACAGAAACCGTCTGATAAACACAAGCTCACTGGTGAGCGGCCTGGGATCAGCTACTCTGGATTTGGACTGTGTCGGAACAGGGGCCAACTCTCAGACAACGGTGGTATGCTTGTCTGCAGGCCCAGACCTGGCTGCCGTTCTGGCTCCCCCTGGATCCCCTAATTCCATGCTGACAGCATCTGCCCCTGGAGTGGCACACTGAGAGCCTCTCGCGGTGCGGCCTCGGCTTCAGTAGAAACACACGGCTCTGCCTTCCACCCTGTATCCCCCAGATTACATTCTCTGGGGCAAATCTAGGCCTGCCGGGAACCAACAGCTGGCGGTCCCGGACTAGACCCCCAGCTGGCCCCGAGCCCAGCCACCCCCAGGCAGCATCCCTAGGGGGTAGTCCCCTCTGGGAAATGCAAGTGACCAAAGACTGCGGGCTTCTACTTACCCAGAGCGCCCCTGTGTCAGGCCCCACAGTGGGCTCTTTGCAAACATTCCTAATTGAACATCTCAATGACCAAGTGCCAGGTACAACCAGCACTCACCGGACAGGTGAGGATGCTGAGGCTTAGACAGATCAAGAGACTTGCCGCCCCAGGTCTTCTACCTTGTGTGAGGGAGTAGGGAGCTGATGCCCTGGTGGCCACTCCATTGGCAGGCCCAAAGGGGTTCTAGCCCCTCCATTAAGTGCTCACCTCACACCTCATCAGCCCTGGTACCCACTTGGCAGCCTGGACGGTCCCTCAAGGGAACTCTGCTCCTCTCGTCGTCCTTCTCACTGCCCCCTCTGCTTTGACCAATATGCCATATTGGATGTAGGGGAAAGAGTTTATCCCCCAGAGCCTCTTGGGGTCCTGGGTCCCAGCTGGGTGTGTGACCCAGCAAAGAAGCTGGCCCACTCTGCCTGGTCCCCTTCCCACCCACTCCACACGCTCGCAGCACCGTCCCTTCTGCTCTGACACCGACTCTGGGCCCTCTTTCAGGGTTCAAAGGCTCCTGCCAGGCCCCAGAGGACTAGTCGTCCTGGGTGTGCACAGGCCTTGGCTCAGCACTCACCACCCAGCTGTTCCAGCCACAAGAGTCCACATCTTGTATTATCTGGCTCCCAACGCCTTCCACGTTCAACTGCTTGTGTGCTTACGTGCCCCTTCATTCCACAAATATTTAGGGAGTGCCTCCTTGGTTTCCAGCCCCAGGATTCCAGGCAGGCGCAGGCCTTTCTACCAACCAGCCCGCTCCTTGTCTGCGCCTCCTCCTGATCTGCTCTCCTAGGGGCCGGACCACAGTGAAGCCCGAATGGGTGCCCAATAAACACCTGCAAGGTGGTTGGTTGATGAGCTCACCGGGCACGGACATGGGCCACAGCTCCGAGAGAAATTGTCCTGCTTTGTGTTTACACGCAAGCAAAAACCAGAATGGATTGGTTTTCTGGAAAGCTAGAACTGGAAGGCGCCTTGGAGAGCATCTAGGTGAAGCCTCTCCATTTCCACTGAGGAGGCTGAAGCCCACGAGACAGTGACTGTCCTGGGTCACGCGGCTGTGACTTGCCCTGGTCACGCAGCTGTCAGTGCAGAGTTCACATGCAGCCTCCCACTTTCGGTCAAGCTCAGCGCTCTTTCTTTCACATCAAGAGGTGGCACACAAGGACTGCTGCCCTTGACCTTTCAGCTCACGCATTCCTTCACTCCCTCAATTGACAAACCTTTGCTAAGCACCAGCTGTGTGCAGGCCCTGGGCTGAGACCGAGGAGGAAGGGTGTCCAACCCCACACGCTCATTCTCAGTTTGAGACCCAGTCACTGCCATGCGGTTCACTGGCAGGCACGCACTGTGTACACAGATGGAGACAGACAGAGCTGGGACTGTGATTGGCTCCTGGCAAGCTTCTCCGAAAGCAGGATGGATGCCAGCCTCCCTTCAGCACCCTCTCCCCACCCCAGGGCCTTGACCAGTCCTGGCACCGGGAACCCCTAGAAAGCTGCCTCTGTGAAATGGGAGGTGGTTCTGTCTCTGACAGTTGGGAGGACCAAGAAACATTTGCAGAGCCACAGAAAGCTCTATGGGTTGGGCAACACCGAGGTGGGGCAGGTTGATTCGACAGCGCTGATTTGCGTCCCCATCCCAGCCCTTTCTAAGGCATGTGGTTTTAGAACTTGTTGTTGCCTAATTTATAAAGTGGGGAGACTAAAACCCTCTTTTTTTTTTTTTTTTTTTTTTTTGAGACAGAGTCTCACTCTGCCGCCCAGGCTGGAGTGCAGTGGTGTAATCAAATCACAGCTCACTGCAGCCTTGAACTCCAGGGCTCAAGCAATCCTCCTGCCTCAGCCTCTGGAGTAGCTGTGACTACAGGTGTGCGCTACCACACCTGACTAATTTTTGTATTTTTTGTAGAGATGAGGTTTCACCATGTTGTCCAGGCTGGTTTCGAACTCCTGGGCTCAAGCGATCCTCCCACCTCGGCCTCCCAAAGTGCTGGGATTACAGGTGTGAGCCACCACGCGCAGCTTAAAACTTTCTTTTGTAAGAGTGTTCAAGGGCAGTAACAGAGGTGATGGGCTCCAGCTCAGATCCCTCAAGCTGCAGGGGGTGCTCTGTAAGGCTGGCCCGCTCCCTCTCCCCTGCCTGCTGGCTCCTCACCTGGAGCCCCTGCCCTGCCTCGTTTCTTCCCCGTTCCTCTCCCTTGATTCCTGAAATTTCCCAGGCTGGTCACTAGGTGTCACCGCAATCAAGTTTTTCTGCCCCCACGGACCTGAGGTCTTGCACCAGAGAAGTCAAGAGTCAAGAGACTCACTCACCTCCTGAGCTTTACTCCCTCAAGGCCCGGGAGGCTGGAGGTGTCCTTCTTTCCTCCCTCAGGTTGCCAGGTTTAGCAAATAAAAATACAGGACGCCTCATTCAATCTGAATTTCAGGTGGACAATCAATACTTCCTGAGTATAAGTATGTTCAAAAGTTGCATGGGTCATACTTATAATAAAAAAAATTACTTGTTTATCTGAAATCCCAGTTTAAATGGGCACTCTGTATTTTATCTGGCAACCCTGCCCTGCCCTCCACAGGGACCCTAAAGGAAGCCATGGCGGACGGACAGGCTGTCTAGTGCCACCCTTAGCTCCTACTGCCAGAGAGCTCAGGCAGGTGCCCAGGCCATGGCCTGCCACGAACAGGGAAAAGGTCTGTTTTTCCTTTCCAGCAGGTGACGAGATGGAGGGCGCCCAGGCATGGGGGCCAAGGTGGTAGCATCCCAAAAGTGTTCCCACAGCAGCCCTGGGAACCCGGAAGGAGACAGTGGTAAGAGCACTGTGGACACACGAACAGGAGGATCTGTAAGGCTGTGAGCAGCGTCCCCGAGCCCCAGCCAGTGACTCTCCACCACTGTCCACCCACATGCCGCAGAAAGGAGCAGGGGCTGCAGAGCCACAGCCTGGGGCTGGAGTCCCGGCTGCGTCACAAGCAGTGGCGCTCACTTCCTCTCCCTCAGCTGTGCATGAGGGGCGGCAGCGGGTACTTCTCATGGCCCTTCGAGGACAAAAGGGGCTCATGGGCTCGGGGCACAGTAGGTACGTTTGGATCATCGGCAGGTACAGCCACTTTGGGGACATAAGCCAATTCCCGCCACCGACTCAAACTTAGTCTGGTGACTTGTCGCTGCACTCAACAGACAAACGTGTGGGCGATCTGTGATGTGCCCTGGGGGCACAGGAGTCAGGCGCTCTGTGATGTGGAGGCGAGGCTGGGCAGCGGGAGGGAAAGGTGTTCTGGAGCAGGAACAAGCCCATGCAGAGGCCTGGGGAGTGAGGCTGGGGGTCTCTGCGCTTCTGACAGACAAACTGGGGCTGGAGAGGCCTCGTGGAGAGAAGCCGGCAGACCTGCAAGCTGACCAGCTGTGGAAGGGAGCAAGGTGGGACAGCAGTGCAGGACCCAGCAAACCACGACGCGCTGGGCGTCCCTCTCCTGGCGGTGGGCTGGGCACACTGCTCTGCACGAGGGGTGTGAAGGCACTTTGTGAACGGATGATGCACACACTTCGGGCATGAGTCCCTCATGAGATGGTCTCATCTCCTCTACACTCCCATGCGGCATGTTTTCCTCTGCACCCTGCCCTGTGTGAGACGTGAGAAACACAAGGATGACTTAAACACATCCCTGCCCTTCTTGGGAGCTCATGGACTGGTCCTGCAGTAGAGGGCTGAACCATTTCAAACACATGAGTGCAAGTAAAGAGGAAGACGTGCACGCCTGCCTAAGAGTCAGAGACAGCTTCAGAGAGGAGGTGAAAGTGCGCTGGGTTTTGATGGATGACTAAGAGTTCTCCAGGAAGGGAGGGGAATGGGAAATGGCAGTAAAGGCAGAGGATGACACATACCGAGGTTGTAATCAGTAAAGGGCACGTGTGCCGTAACAGGGAGAACAACAGGCAGATGGGGAGGAACCAGGAGAGAGGAACTGGACTGTGGGAGGCCTTGGGAGGCAGGAAGGCAGCAGTGCCTGACAATGGAGGAACTCGGAGGGGGGCGGAGAAAGCGCCCCGGCTGCAGGATGCAGGAGGGAAGGGGGATGAGGCGGAGGTAGGGACACCAATTAGCAACCACAACCTTTGAAGAAGGCAGGGCAACAGGGGTGAGGAAGCTGGCTGGGTTTGGGAGGTGAGTAGAGCTCGGACGTGGGATCCGGTCACACTAGGATGTGGGAGCCACACAGGGGAAGGGTGAAGGCAGCACCCCAGCGCTGGTGCCCCACTGATGGGGGACGCGCTAGGAAGCACAGGTCTGGGAGGATGGGAAGATGCTGCGTTTGGTTTTGGGCAGGTGGGAATTCTGTAGCTGGGGTCCCCGTCTAGGGGACAGTTGGTACTGGGGTCAGAGCTGGAGAAGTGGCCACTGCTGGTCAGCAAGGAGACTCAAGAAGCTTAGGGGAGAGCTAGGAGAGGGCTGAGGCAGAGGAGGAGCCAGGATCGGGGGCTGAGGAGGAAGGGAAGAAGTCCCATGGGACGTACATGCTGAAAGAGTCTGGTGACATAATCAAGCAGCCACCAGGCCGGGAGACAAAAACCCACCTGGCTGGCCTCAGGCGGGTGACGAGGACCTGGGGAATGCTGCGGCCAGGGGTGGCCAGGCAGACGTCCCACCAGGAGATTGGCCTTGTGGCCACAGTCACAACCCAATTTCCCTAATGAGGCTAGGGAGGGCTCACACCACTCCCTAATGACCCAGGATGACCTCGGCTGCTTCCCCACTCTGCCAACCAGGCATCTGCCCGGTGGTTTCCGAACCCACACTCCAGATCTGCATGACTTTCCATGCGTAGGGCCTGTGCCCACAAACCCCAGGTGGGAAGCCAGGCTGTGGGCTACGGTGTAGGGGGTGGGCACTGGTCTGGAGCCTAGGGGCCTGGGACAAGTTCCAGCTCTGCCCCCAACATGCTAAGTGACCTCTGACAGGACACATGGTGTTTCCAGGGCCTCTGCTACTTCACTCTAGAACAGGCGTGCAGGCCAGCTTCCCTCCAGGGCAGCATGCTTTCGGTTCTCACGCACGTCAACTCCATGACCTCGCCTCAGCTTTTCCTGACTGCCTGCTCCCTACAGACCCCAGGCTGGACACTGGGGGGCCAGCGGGTCCTTGTGTCCAAGGGCATATCCTCACTTGGGGGAGAAAGGCCCGGGAGCAGAGACATGAGAGACAGGGCAGGGAGGCTGAGGGTGGAGGCCGAATGAGACAGAGGCAGGGATGCGTAGGTTCCACCTGGGGGATCAGGAGGTGTGCGGGGAAAAGGTGTAGAGGGTTCTCAGTGAGCGATGGTCAGTCAGGATGAGCGGGAGTTCCAGACAGAGGGAGCTGTGTGGGCAGAGGCCGGGATGAGAAGTTCACTATGGCTGGTTCATGACATGCCAAGCAAGGACAGGCTGCAGAGAACCACATTCCTCTCAGGAGCCATGGGAAGGTCTTGAGTGGGGAATGACAGAGCCAGAGGGTTGGGCAGAGCAGTGGTTCTGGCTGCTACCAGAAGGCTTGCGGGGCAGGGAGGCCTGTGAGGCAGCTGCCGCACTAACTCAGGCAAAAGACGGCAGCGCAGCCCTAGGCAGAGGGCAGCATGGCGAGACAGGGGCTCCTTGTGTCACAGGGCATCTGGGCTGCACAGCACCCCTGCCCCTGGCCCCCCATCCATTGGTTCATCAAGTGTCTTTGATCTTAGGAGGCGGTTGGGCCTGGGTGCAAATCTTGGCTTTGCTACTTCTTCACTACGGACAAGTCTCTTTGCTTTTCAGCCTCCATTTGCTCACCTGCAAAATGGGGTAGCTACATGACACAGACTGTTCTCAGGATCTGATGACTCGTGTCAGAGTCTATGCACTATGCTCAGCTATGATGCGTATGACAGCTTTGCACAGTTCTAGTGATCTGGACCGGGCTCTACATGAGGCGATGTCTTGTATATACGATCTCATTTTAATTCTCGTAAACAATTCTGTCATAAAATATATGAATGTTTGCCCCAGGACTTGTGGCAGAGAAGGACGCCAGGGCTGGGCAAGCTACCTGTTGGCCTAGCCCTCTGGGTTGCAGCTCTCCCTGCCCTGCACCCACAACTCTGGGAGATTTGAAAGTTCTGCAGCTTAGGGGAAATTTATACCACTGATGTGAAGTCAGTACTGGGGGTGCCCCTGGCGCCGGCTCAAGGCCAGGCCAGGAGAGGGGCGTGAAGCTGGGCTTACCAGCCGAAAGAGTTGTTTATGGAGTGGGAGGCTCATAAAAAATAATGGGCTGGATTTATTGTCCCCACCTTGAGGGCCATTCCGGACCGCACAGGGCCAGGACAGGCCTCCTCCGGTAGCACCATAAATCTCTCCAGTAAGCAAGGGAGCTGTTTATTCTCCTGTCCACCTGGTCTGCAGCAGGCAAGGGAGCGAGGAGAACCTGCAACCCCACATGTCCTGCCTGGCGCCCTTGCCTGGCTGATCTTCTCCAAGGAGTGGCTGAAGAAGGCAGGTGCTGAGGCTGGGATGGGATTCGGAGGCATGGCCACACCCTCTCTTTAAACAGGAAGTTCCTAGCCGTGCTGCCCCAGCACTCACAGTTGATAATGGAAAGCCCTGGAACAGGGCAGGGGATGTCTCTGGCCCTGCAGGAGCCGTGCTAGGGCCCCTCAGGTCAAGGCCTGGCCCAGATCCTATAGGAATCCCGTCCCAGGAGCCAATAGGAACCTGACAGCTAGGCACACTGATAGGATCCTATCAATATGTGGCTGAGGTGGCTCAGGAGGGCCCATGGGTCTCTGTCCATTGGCTTGTTTCTTTGAGTCTGCAAGTGGATGGTGCAGGGCAAAAAGAACTGACATTGGCCTCAGAATCCAGCCCCTGATCCTGAAGTCCTGCCCCCCCAGTGCAGCTCAGGGAAGCTCAGTTTTCCCTCCCATGATGGGGACATTAGTACTTATCCAAAGCATGTCACAGGGTGGCTGTGAGCATCAGGCGACCCTGTATGGAAACCACAGCAAAGCTCCAGGAGGGTGGAGCTGGGCCTGTCGAGGACACCTGAGCTGCGGGAGGGTGGGGCTGGGCCTCCTGAGGACACCTGTGGGCTGAGACAGGTTTGGGGGAAGGACAGTGTCCAGTCAGCCTGCAGGCCACAGACAAGCCAGAGTGGGAGAGGCAGAGTGGAAGACAGAGTCAAGAGGAAGCTCGAGGACCAGCCTGGAAGAGGCTCTTGGGAGGGCCCAGGACTAGAGTCTGGGGTGGGAAAGAGGCTAAGGGCAAGGGTTTCAGATACAGGCTGCCCCAGACGCTGCTGGGGAGAAACACTAGGTCTCTGCTCTGGCTCAACCCCAGGAAACCTGTACCCTAAAACTCTCAGGTAACCTTTGTCAAGGAGCCCCCAGCCAGTCCTGAGACAGCTGTGGACTTGGAACAGGGGGCTCAGGCCCCAGAGGCAGGGTGGGCTTGCTCTCTGGCAGTGCTTCTGACAGTGGCCGCCTCGGTGCATATGCTGTGCAGGGCCTCACCTCCAACCACTTAGGAGGCTGAGTGCCAGCAGGAAAGAAACCTTTATTTTTAAGCCCACCACAGAGTAAGCATGTGCTACGGTCTGCATGATTGTGTCCCCTCCAAAATGATGTTGAAACTGAACCCCTATTGCGGCAGCCCTCACCAGACAGTGAATCTGCCAGAGTCTTGATCTTGGACTTCCAAGCCTCCAGAACTGTGAAAAGTAAATTTCTATCTTTAGAAATTACCCAGTCTCAGCTCTTCTGTTATAGAAGCAGGAATGAAGTAGGAGGCAATCTTTTTTGCTGACTGATGGCGTGGGCAAGGGCATGCTCTCCTGGGCTCCCACAGCCCCTGTCCAGCTTCTGTCACAGCCCTCCACGCACTGTCTGGTCGGGACCTGCCTCAGGTTGGACCCTCCTACAGCCTGTGAGTTCCGAAAGGACCTGCCCTGGCACAAAAATGGGGTTTCCAAGTACTACCCAAGGGGGTGGAATGCAGAGGCTTGGACATGTGGTCACTAAAGTGCAGTACAGACGGCAGAAGAATCCTGATGTCCCCAGTCCCCTAGGGAGATCTGAAACTCCACAAGTGTCCCAAGCTCCTAAGCCTCAATGAAGCCTTGAATACTGAGCTTTTCCTCACTCAAGCCAATCAAGTCCCTGCAATTGATTACAGCCCAGGCTGGGCCAGGCCTGAGCCAGCCAGTCAGGAGGAGGAAGGTGGGCAGCGGCCCTCTGCACAAGGCTTTCCCGGACCGCATGAATCTGATGCTGAGCAAGGCGCTGGGCAGGGTTCGGCGCTGTCTGCCTCTTCCAAAGTAGAGACCAGTGGGCCCTGCCTTGAGCCCCAGGTCTCCCAGACCTCCAGCGTTCTGCGCTACGAAGAGAACAAGGCCCCACCTTGTCCAGAGCCACCGAAACTTAAATATTCCCCACCTATGTGACGCGGGTAACAGGCCTCGCTGAAGTGTAAACCCGGGGCAGACAGAGGGCTCTGCCGAGAGTCAGCTCACCAAGTCTCTCACCGTCCCCTCACCCATCCCCCGTCCCTTCCCCTCACCCATCCTCCTGTCCCTTCCCCTCACCCATCCCCCTGTCCCTTCCCCTCACCCATCCTCCCGTCCCTTCCCCTCACCCATCCCCGTCCCTTCCCCTCACCCATCCTGCTGTCCCTTCCCCTCACCCATCCTCCTGTCCCTTCCCCTCACCCATCCTGCTGTCCCTTCCCCCTGCAGACATCCTCCTGCTACCTTTCCCCTGCTACGCTGTCACCTCCTCTCTCAGCCATGCTCCTACCAACTTCCCCTATCAGCCCTCCTTCTGTCACCTTTCTTTCACACATCCCCACCACCTTCCTCCTCGGCCACCCTCCTGTCACCTTCCTCCTCGGCCACCCTCCTGTCACCTCCCTCATTGGCCACCCTCCTGTCATCTCCTCCTCAGCTACCCTGTCACCTCCCTCAGCCATCCTCCTGTCACCTCCCTCTTTGGCCACCCTCCTGTCACCTCCTCCTCAGTCACCCTGTCACCTCCCTTGGCCACCCTTCTGTCATCTCCTCCTCAGCTACCCTGTCACCTCCCTCAGCCATCCTCCTGTCACCTCCCTCTTTGGCCACCCTCCTGTCACCTCCTCCTCAGTCACCCTGTCACCTCCCTTGGCCACCCTTCTGTCATCTCCTCCTCAGCTATCCTGTCACCTCCCTCAGCCATCCTCCTGTCACCTCCCTTGGCCACCCTCCTGTCACCTCCTCCTCAGTCACCCTGTCACCTCCCTTGGCCACCCTTCTGTCATCTCCTCCTCAGCTATCCTGTCACCTCCCTCAGCCATCCTCCTGTCACCTCCCTTGGCCACCCTCCTGTCACCTCCTCCTCAGTCACCCTGTCACCTCCCTTGGCCACCCTTCTGTCATCTCCTCCTCAGCTACCCTGTCACCTCCCTCAGCCATCCTCCTGTCACCTCCCTCTTTGGCCACCCTCCTGTCACCTCCTCCTCAGTCACCCTGTCACCTCCCTTGGCCACCCTTCTGTCATCTCCTCCTCAGCTATCCTGTCACCTCCCTCAGCCATCCTCCTGTCACCTCCCTTGGCCACCCTCCTGTCATCTCCCTCAGCCACCCTCCTGTCACCTCCCTCTTTGGCCACCCTCCTGTCACCTCCTCCTCAGCCACCCTCCTGTCACCTCCCTCAGTCACCCTCCTGTCACCTCCCCCTCAGCCACCCTCCTGTCACCTCCCTTCTCAGCCACCCTCCTGTCACCTCCTCCTCAGCAACCCTGTCACCTCCCCTGGCCATCCTCCCGTCGTCTCCCCCTCAGCCATCCTGCCCTCTCCCCTTGCTGTCCCCATATGGGTTCCAGACCCTGATGGCTTCCAGTGCTCTCTCTGGCCCCACTCCCTGCTTCACCTGTACAACTGAGGCAAGTGTGATCTTCCTAAAATGGGCTCATTCTCCTTCTCCTCATGGCTGACAGGGCACCCTTCACTGTCACGGCACAGTCCAAATTCCTGCTAGACAGGGTCCTGTCCCTCTGAGTTCCGCCAGCTTTGGGCCTGGCTTCAGGCTCCTGGGCCCATTGTCTCCCATAGGTAACCACAGCTGCTGGGACGAGGACTCCTCTGGCCAACCGGAACAAGCTGGAATCTTCGGTGTCAGAGGAACCCTGGCCACGGTGCAAGGACAGGCTGGCCTGAAGGAGGCACCCAGGCATCGGGAGCAGCTGGACGGTCAACAGGGTGAAGGGAGTTGAGAAGGGCACCGGGGACGGGAGAGGCAGTGGCCCCAGGGTCTCTGCTAGGTTGCAAGTGAATCAAAAGCAACCACACAGGAAAAGTGTCAGGCACAGGGCAGAGGCTCAAGCACCCTCCAGTGAGGCCCATGGTGTAGAGAAACAAACAGACACCAGGATGGACACGGGCACCCATCCCTCCAGGCGCTGTGGACCTGGGACAGCCACGGAATTGCTTGCAGTCAGATGGCGCAGGACGGTGGATGGCATCTGAGGACTCTCTCTGCTCCAGACATCATTCCAGGAAAGTGACGGGACTGGCCTGTGCCTCTCCCCAGGGTTTCTGGCTCCCTGTCTCCAGAGTCCTACTTGAAGTGCTTTTTTAAGGCCAGCTGCCTCCAATCCGTTGCTGTCCACCAAGGTCTGGGCCCAGATGACGCTGCCAGCCCCTTGCCCTCTCTTTCTACCACAAACTCCTGCTGCTACCCAATCTCCCCCCTTAATCCTCCCAACAGCATCCTGCCTATGTCACTCTGGCCCCTCTGTCTGCTGACCACCCACCTTCTCTCCATCAGTTGGCCACCACCTCAGAAGCCACCTGCTCTTGCAGGCTTCTTTTTTTTTTTCTTTTTTTTTTGAGATGGAGTTTTACTCTGTCACCCAGGCTTGGGTGCAATGGCGCGATCTCAGCTCACTGCAACCTCCGCCTCCCGGGTTCAAGTAATTCTCCTGCCTCAGCTTCCCAAGTAGCTGGGATTACAGGAGTGCGCCACCATGCCTGGCTAATTTTTGTATTTTTTGTAGAGATGGGGTTTCTCCATGTTGGCCAGGCTGGTCTCAAACTCCTGACCTCAAGTGATCTGCCCACCTCGGTCTCCCAAAGTTCTGGGATTATAGGCGTGAGCCACGACACCCAGCCTCTTGTGGGCTTCTCCAACCCCTTTCCATATCCCACTGGCTCCAGCCCTGAGCTCAGCTTCCTCTGCCTTGAACAGCCCGCTAGCCAAGCCCCTGGCCCTGCTCCTCATCCAGCACGCCCTGCCCAGGCACATGTAGATTTGGGGACCACAGGTTGACCAGCATATTGGGCAGGAAGGTTCCTCTTCTCCTTAGAACCCAATTTCCACACTTGAAAAAAGAAGGGGGAATCCATGGGGGTGGTTGTGATTCCTTTAAACACTGACAGACAGCCGTGGGAGAGGGTCATGATTTGAACCCAGACCACTGGGTTCCAGTCCTGCCACTATTGGACACACTGTTTGCCTCTGTGAGCTTCTGACCCACATCTGCAACATGGGAGCGGCTAGTACTCAGCTCACAGGGTTCAAGGAATTGCAATGGATAATATTAGTATCCATCTGAGGGTTCGAGGGGTCAAATGAAGCAGTATTAGGGTGACCCAATGTCTTGCTTTGCCTGGGACAGTCCCAGTTGATATCCACAGCCCTGGCATAATTAATAATAGTATCTCCTTTCATTCTCACAAGTGTACTGATTTGGATATTGTTCAATTATAACTAAATGCGAACTATTGACTGCGGTGGTTGTGATGTGGATCCGTATGTCATAAATGGCGTGGAGCCACACTCACACACTGTACCAACGTCCAGCTACCGGTCTGGATGTTAAACTCTAGTGACGTAAGATGTCACCATTGGGGGAAATTGGGTAAAGGGCATCTGAGACCACTCTTCACTATTTTTTGCAGCTTCTTATGGATCTACAATTATTTCAAAATAAAAAATTCTAAAAAATCCTATTGTTTTGACTCTAGTTATCATCAGGTATTTGCCCTTGCAAACTTACAGATGAAATGAATGGATCCCCAAAATACTTCAAGCATGGGTTTTATAAGCAAAATAACTAAGTTAAATTTAACCAGAGGTCATCCAGCAAATACTCAGAAATGAGTGGCAATGGCTCCCATGAGGCCGGCAGCTGCTCTAAAGTTCAGGCAGTCTATCAGCAAGCCCGAGCCCGCAGGCTCTTACCTGGTCTGTGTATGGAGACACACGGCCGTGGTCTTCAGAGCAAGACCCGTGACAACACAGTGGTATGTAACAGTTAATAAGAGCAGTGTCGAAAGAAAAGCGTTTGCTTTTAGGCCAGAGGTCTGGGGACATTCAGTGTGGGGATAAACATTAGCAACCATTTTCTGTCTCCGTAACTGAGTTCATAACAAGAATCCTAAACTGTAGGAAGAAAGAGGCCAAGCCGACTCAGGCTGTTCCCGTGAAGGGAGAAGGGAAGTGCGTGCCACACTGCAGAAAATTTCTACCACAAGATGTCTTTTGAACTCTAGGTGCTTAAAGAGGCATACTCGGTACCTGGAGCTGCAGGTGGTGCCAGCTATAAAGGCATCTCCGTTGAACCTCAGGCCCCGCCTGAGTCTCACCATACTTGGGCCGACAACTGAGAGGGGTCCCAGAACCTTCCCCATTGCTGCTGTCTTCACTATCAGGCAGTCAGGAGCCCAGGCTCTGGGGCCAGATTGGCAGACCTCCAATCCCCCAAAGCCACTGGCAACCCTGCAGTTCCCTAACCTCTCAGTGCCTCAAGTTTCTTGATCTGGAAAATGGGGCACTGTAAGGACGCAATGAATGGAAATGCATGGAAAGTGCCTGGTAGCAGGGCCTGGCACACGCAAGCATGCATTGGATGCAGCTCTTGCAATCATCATCGTCATCGTCGTCGTCGTCGTCGTCATCATCATCATCACATTACACACAAAGGGACTGATTCCTGATGCCAAGCTTTCCTACTGCTGGCCCCCACCTCTGACCCTGGCTGTAGGACAACATCACTCTTGATGCCAAGTCTTGAGCTTTGTGAACAGTGGGCTCGAGACCCACGAGGAATGCCTGTGGAGGGAGGGCAATGCGGTTTCCTACACGTATTTATGCACGTGTTTAAACAAACTCCGAACGTTAACCAGAAGGTGAAACGCACTTGGGTAAACTCATGCAGTCCTTGCGGGGAGAACCTCAGGCTGCCCCACGGCCTGTTCCAGTGCATAAAACCCCAGCAGAGCAGCTGCACAGCAGGCTTTCTGTGCACGTGGCCTCATTTCTCCCAAATGGGGGCTCTCATCAATAGAGGACCCCTATTGTCTGGCCCCCTGCCTGGCCCAACCACATGGTCCACCAGCCCACACTGACCAATATCTAACAGCACGACCTGAGGGCGCTGTGAACTGAGTGCTGTCCCGACGCTCCTCAGTGTCCACGCTGAACTGCTCACCACCCTGCCTTGTTCCCAGACCCATCCTGGCTCTGCCCACGCCCACCTTCCTCTCTTCCTTCCCCTCTCTGTCCTTTCCAAAGGCCCAAGTTGGCAGTGGGACTCAGAGATGTGGGGAACATAGTCCCTGCCCACAGGGAGCTCCCAAGCTGCAGGGACACGAGCACCATGAGGCAGAAAACCACTTTCTGGAGCTTGCCGCCAGCAACAATAGGGGGCGGGGGACAGAGGTGGCCACTGGGGCACAGAAGAGGCAGAGCCCAACAGTTTTCCCTGAGGGCTCAGCTCAGAATGGGCTGTCCAGTGGGTGGGATACTCTCACAGGGGACTAAGTGCGGGAGCTGTCAGTAGACAGGGCGGGGTGAGGAGCAGGGCCCTGGTGCTCCCTCTGTGTTGTGACTCCTGATTACCTGTGCCCAGCAGGGACACCTCTGCAGGTGTACTCAAACCTCCGCAGGAAGGATGGGTGGTTGGGCACCCTGGAGGGCTGCCCCGAGGCCAAATAGGTGCGGGAGCTCAGCCGATGAATGAGGGACGATGGCCATCTTGTTGGGCCTCAGGTTTTGGCATGTACTACCTTGTGCACAGATGAACCTGGGTGCAAGGACCACCAGCTCGCTAGTTTGTCGAGGACAAAGCTGGCCTCTTGATCCTCTCCCTCCCCTCTCCCTCTGCTGAATGAACAGGCTCCTGTGCAGCACCTGGCACGTGTCAGCAGAGCCTCGTTCCAAGAGCTTCCAGGTCCTGACTCTGCGGCCGGCTTGTTGTGGGGCCCTGGGCCAGGCCCTGCCCTCTCAGGGCCTCATTTCCTCATCTGTCACAAATCACATGAATAAGAGCCCGTGTTTATTGAAACTGTCTTTTCAATACCTTTTTAACCCTACGAAGCAGGTATTATGACTATCTCCATTTTACAGATGAGACACAGAGAAGTTAAGTGACTTGCTCAAGGTCACGAGATGGTCCATGGTAGAGCTGGGGTTCCAGCCTAGGCCACTGGGCCTGAAGCCCCGCTGTGAGCCTGTGCTGTCTCCTACAATGATGGAGACAATGCGACGTTTCCTCTCACTTTGGTGCCTTCCACCAAGGCTGAGGCCAGCCCACAGGCGGCGTCTGATGAGGCTTCAGAGCAGAGCCCTGCAGGACAGCCTCCTGCATGGAGGGCCAGTGGCATCTCAAACCCAAAGCTGCTGGCAGCCAGTGAGGCCCAGTGTCAGTGCTGGACCCTCGGAATAGCAACAGTTCACCAGGTGGAGGAGGAGACCATGTCACGAACGTCTCTGCTGCTCAGATGAGAAGACCAAAGCCATAGAATCCCCAGAGCGTTTCCCCTCAGCTCATGACTGTACAGGAACTCTTAGGACCCCTACTTAGCATGTGATCCCCTGTCCAGGCTGAAAGCTTCCCAGTGGACCATGCCTCGGATCCTAGGGGCTGGCAGAGCACCTGGCACACGAATAAATGAATGAATGAATGAATGAGCAGGTAAATACAAGTGACCTGCATTCACGTAGCTAGTAAGACTGAGGCCTTCCAGAACCCTTTCTACTCCCGGATCGATTCTGGTCAGAATTCTACATTGAGAGAAAAGGAGACAGTTCCTCCAGGAGGCCACATCTTCCTGTGGCATCAATCCGTCAGAAGTTACAGACAAGAAGAGCAGTGTGGGAGAGGGAGAGAGCCTGAAGGTGCTGCCTTCTAGATACACCAGGCACAAGGGTGTGTGATGGGGGCAGCGGGTGGGCCCCTGGGGCTGTGGCCAGAGGAGGGATTGTCAGTACTTATTGGGCTAGGGCTGAGTGGGAGGTAGGGGGTGCTATCATGGGGCCAGAAGCAGTGCTCGGAAGTGCTGAGTGGAGGGAAACTGGCCAGATTCCAACATCTCGGACTCCCTCCTGCCCAGTGTGGGCACAGAGGAGGAGCCTGTGTGTGTCCCCCAAATCAAGCCTGTGTTCTAAAGACCTGAAGAAGCTGCCTGCATCAGTCGCTACTCCTAGGACAGGTGCTGCCCTTGATTGACCAGAGCAGTTTTCCGCGAATGGGGAAAATTCGACAGCTAGGCCCTTTTTACAGCTGAAAAGGCCCAAGGAGGCAAGAGTAACTGTGCAGAGGCCACATGGAGAGCTGGAGCTGAGAACCTAATCCTCCCAAGCCTAGCCAGGGTCGCAGCCATGCCTTGGCCCAGGGTGTGCTCTGGCGCCTAGAAAGCAGGGCCACTCAGACGGGCTGAGCCCTGTGTTTCTCAGCCAGGAGTCTGGACCGACCTGGGCCAACCCCTCTCATGCATCTGGTTCCATCTAATCAAAACCAGCCTGTGTGCTTTTCTCCCTGTTCAGGGGTAGGCTCCAAAGAGCTGGACAGGCATGAGGAAGAGTCAGGTGATAGGGGGAATCTAATTTGCCAAATGGCTCTGTCTCCTTCAGCCCTCCCAGGAGCTATGGGAATCAGAGGTCACTTGTCTGCAAAACAAGCTGAGTCTTAGCTCCTCTGACATGCTCTAATTTTGAGCTATAACAATCATGATTGCAGTTGACACTAATGGTGGGCAATTGTCACAACAGACTGAGGCTCAGAGAGGTAGACAACCTGCCCAGTCCCCAGGTCCCTGTCTCCCCAATGGGCATTAATGGGCCGCTGACCACTGTGCTGTGTGCTTGCTCTGCCCTCTTCAGGACTTCCACACAGCCGTGGAAACCCACTGGAATGCTGCACCTTGTCGTTCGAGAGCAATCTGATAAGTTATCTGTTGTTTTTTGGACTGATTTCATTGCCCAGATCAAAAAATCAGGAGAGGCCACACAAAAATCGTAAGGAGAGAAGGCACTTCTTTAACCGACACGCTGGTTAATGCAGATTGGGACTGAGGCCCCCAAATCCATATTCTGGTTAAAGCTGGACTCCTGGCTTCCTGAAAAATCAGGATCTGACCACCTGGGGCATCTGGGTGGAGTGAGCCATGTGTGCCCAGGGTCCCACCCAACACCAGCCACTGCACAATTTATGAGATGCCAGCCCCTGGAAGTGCTGGCGTTCTCCCAGATGGCCTCCCCTCTCCCCTAAGCATCACTTCCTACCTCTGCTCAACCAGCTTTCCCACAGCTGCCCTCCACCCAAAATCCAAACTCTTGCCACAGCCCACCAGGCCCCATGTTGTCCAGCCCCCACCTCCCCGCCTCGGGCTCCTCCCGCTTCGTGCTCTCTGCTCCTTCGTCCCACCCTTTGTTCAGCTTTTCACGTGCCCATTCCCACCCCAGGGCCTTTGCACGCGCCCAGCCTGGCACATTCCCCACAAGCTTCCCACCTGGCTTTCTCATCAGCTCCAGCACCGTCTGCTGCACCACCCGTTTCTTTCCTCTCACACCGCATCACCTCCCAAGGAGCGGGCCCCATAGCTAGCGTGCCTGGCTCAGATCCTGGCTCTGCCTCTTCCCTAACTTCGCTGGGCTTCGCCTTCCTCAGCGTCACAACCCAGCCTCGCCGGGCAGTGGCAAAGGTGGAGTGAGCTTGTCTTTGGGCAGTGCTCAGGCCCGTGCCTGGCTCAGAGTAAGCGTGTGGCCCCAGCAGCCCCTGCTGTCGCTGCTCCCACGTCATCCCCTCCCCAACCCCAGTCCTGTAGGGGACGCTAAGGTTTGTAACCTCCTCAGCACAGCAGATGCTTACAGGCCAAACCTGTAACAAACAGGCTGTGGCTGCGGGTGTGATCTGCCCACAGCACACCCTTCTTTCAACCAGGGGCCTCAGCTCCACCTGGAGTCCTGCTGGGGAGAAAGCCGGGCTTCAAAGGAACAGAGCACACACAGCCTGGCTGAAAAGGAGGCTCACGCCACCCTGGCCTGGGACTTTACAGCCTGCTCAGAGCAGTCACTCTGTGAACTCCCCTCCCTGGATGAAAGCAGAGGCCCCTCCCCGCACTTGCTCACTCTGTCCCCATCAATCTGCTTCTTATACAACCTGTTGGGCTCAGAGTCCTGGTTTATAGGGTTTGCCTCCACCGTGGGCAGCTTGGCCCCACAGCCCACAACTGGGAGGTCTTACAAGGCGCAAAACAAACTCCTGATGCCCGGGAGCCACCTGGGTGGAGTGTGGACAATGTGACAGCAGCAAGTGCCAGGAGCCACGGAGCTCGGGCTTTCTGTTCTTCTGGGGACACCACAGAGCCATGATTAGCAGGCCCGTCCTGCCTTTGAGGCAACAAACACTAAGAATTCTAAGGAGCCTGTTCGAGTATTTCCACTTTATTATCCTGAGTACTTTTTAAATGTTTTTGCTTTCACTTTCTCAGGAACTGTTTTCTAATGAAACTCATGCCTGGGCTGGCAGACTCACACCTCACAGCCTCCTGCCTGCTCACGGGAGGCTGGAACCTCATCCCATGGTCCTGCTCCATCTCTGAACGCCCTGCCGGGTAACACCACTTCCCCATTTTGCAGGCGAGGAATCTGGGGAGCAGTCAGTAGAGCCGCCCATGGGAAGGCTTCCAGCGTGGGAGAGGAGGAGCTGGATTCACACAGGGTCCGGCTGGCCTGGAGCCCAGTGCGTGCCCTTTGGTTCCCCATCTCTCAGCGTGAGCCCCTCTCTGAGCCTTCTGCAGGTGCTGTGTACCAGAGAGGGGCGACCTTCCCAGGAACGCCCTCTATGCCCGCAAGCCTCCAGCGCCTCCTCCTTGTTAAGGGTCAGCAATGGGGGCGTGCCTGAACTGGGGCAGTTCTGGCCTTCTTCCTTACATTTATTCCCTTGACAGCTCACGACAGCCAGGCCCTGGGAACCTTGGCTCCTGCCCTGCCCTCACAGCACACTCTGCTTTGGTACACAGCCCTGCCTCAGATGCCTGCCCTTGCATTATCTTAAGCAAGAGATGTGCCTCCGCAAAAGCTGTTCTCTGCCTGGAAGCCCCTCTCCTCCAAGCACATGTGTCCTGGCTCTCTCCTCCAAGCACATGTGTCCTGGCCCTCTCCTCCAAGCACATGTGTCCTGGCTCTCTCCTCCAAGCACATGTGTCCTGGCTCTCTCCTCCAAGCACATGTGTCCTGGCTTTCTGGACAGCTCTGCCGCCACCTCACAGCTCTGCTGCCCTGAGCCGAAACTCCAGGATCTGACCACTGATGCCGTAACACCAAGTTCCTTTGCCTGCTGGGCTTGGCTGGTGGCCAGGCTCCACTTCAGCCTGGGTCTGCCACCTAGTGCTCCAGCTGGTGGGGTGTCTTCCTGGGGCCCTCTGCACCTCCCCAGGCTGGCCTGCCACACTGCCTGGCTTCCAAACAGCAGGCGCCCGACCACAAGGACCCTCTCCTGGCGGGAAACCCAATGAACATGCAGCAGGGAGTCGCTGGTGCTGCCAGGCTCATGGAGACAGAGAAGTTGGCACACAGCCTGGATAGCCTCAAGCCCCCTTTGGAGAAGGAGCCCATGGAGAATGGGGCCCCACTCTTCCTGGCCACAGCCAGCCCCCAACTCAGAAAGGAAAACAGCTCCTCTGGTCACATGTGCTACTTGCGGCCCCACATATAAACACGAGAAACACCCGCAGCCCTAGTGTAGCAGGTAGAGGGAAGGAACTGGAAGGAGGCCCATGCAGAACCAATACCAGACGTGCAAAACAGTCATTCAGACTACCACCAAAATTCCCTGCCTTGACCTTGAGGGCCCCAGAATTGAGATGTGGAGAAGGGGACTCTGGGGGCTGCCCATCCTGGGGGGGGACATGCCTGGTCAGCATAGGCTGTACTCACCATTGGAGCGGTGGATGCAGGTATGCTGGTTGTCACTAAGGAAGAAGCCACTGTGGCACTGACACTCGTAGCTGCCCATGGCATTGACGCAGATCTGCTGGCAGCCACCATTATTGTCCTGACACTCGTCCACATCTGTGAGAAAAGGAAGAGAAGGGGACCAGAGATCACACCTAAGTTGGAAGCAGGGCATGAGGGGCTGGCGGGACAGGGATGCAGTGAATTTCCTCACATGGCCCTGAAGGGAGGGACTCCAGAGAGGGCCTCCCTGGTGCTGTGTGATGGTGATACTGTACAGTGGGCCTCCACGGCCCTGCACCATGGTGGCACTCTACAGTGGGCCTCCATTGTGCTGTGCCATAGTGGTACAGTGGGCCTCCATCGCTCTGTGCTATAGTGGTACGGAGGGTCTCCATCGCGCTGTGCTACAGTGGTACAGTGGTACAGTGGGTCTCCATTTTGCTGTGCTACAGTGGTACAGTGGGCCCCCATCAGGCTGTGCTACAGTGGCACGGTGGGCCCCCATCGCGCTGCACTACAGTGGTACGGTGGGCTCCCATGGCGCTGCGCTACAGTGGCATGGTGGGCCTCCATCGTGCTGTGCTATACTGGTACAGCGGGACTCCATGGTGATGCTGCACGGTGGTACTCCCGAGAGCAAGTCCTGGAAAGAGTCCAGTGGCTATGATGCTAGCTCACTCCAACTCAACAGTGCTGTCTGAGTGCCCAGCACTGTTCTAAGCATCTTACCTGTATTAATTCCTTTAATTCTCACAGCAACCCTGTAAGTCAGATCCAGGTACCAGTCCATTTTATAGATGAGGAAACTTAGGTGCGGAGGGGCAAAGTCACTTGTCTAAAGTCCTACGTATGGTAAGTGGCAGAGGCAGGATTCAAACCCGGTGGTCTGACCCTGAAACCTCAGCTCTCAGTGACGTCGCCAGACCCCCCACTCTAGGAAGACACAGCAGCCTGCAGCAGCTGTCCCCAACACATGGAGCTTTGCCAGCTGCAACCCCACGAGCCCCGTCTCTTGACTCAGCTCAGGTTTACCATCAGCAGCACAACACGATAACAGGCTGGAGCACAGCACAGTGCCCCAAGGCTCTGTGCCCTGCAACTGATTTCAAAAACTCCGAGAATGAGGAGGTTTTTATTAAGAAAAGGCCCTGACCTCCGGCTGCCAAGATGGCTGTGGAAGGCTGCCAAGTGGTCTTTCCCACTCTCGGGGAGAGGCAGACCTCAGGGCCGACACTCATTTCTGACCAGAGGCCGCTGGCACAAAGGGCGCTATTGGCTGAAAACAGTCTTTATGGAGTTCTGGTCTTGAGCACAACAGCGTGTTTCAATTACCAGAGTCATAACCCCCTGCTCTGTCAGTTTGTTTAATGAAAGAAGGGCTTCTTAAACCTTAATGTTCCATGTCTGTATTGTCATTTTAATAGGCAAATATATAAAACCACAAAGGCGGCGTGAGCTACTGGCTGCTTCTAGCCAATCCCCGGTCCCTAACACACACACACACACACACACACACACACACACACACACTCTTCGGTGTTGAGCTTTTGATACACTTCTTTTTAACATAGACATCTTTTACTATTGGAACCAAAAGGATGTGAAAAGGTAAAGAGTTGGTGACCTGCACTGAACTGGGAGAGGACTTGGCTGTGGAGCGATTTGAGCCAGGTCCTATTTAGACTCATGGACGACAGACCACTTTACCACCTAAGACACCACACGGCTGCCTTTGAGGCCGACAGCGAGGCCATTATTCTTTGGCAAGCTCAAATGTCAGCCGTGTGGGCAGTCAGAGGAGGCAGGCAGAGCTCTGAACTCTAAAAGCCGCCAGTGGTTACAGCTAAAATGGTAGAAGTGGCCCTCGCTGAGAGGAGCCAGGTGATCGCACCATTCTGACTGGGGAAGCCTGGGGAGGAGGGAGAGGGACTATCCTCAGCACCTTTCTCCATTCAACAAAGCCTTGCTTAGGACCCCCTAGGGGCCCAGTGCCCATGCCACCTTTGCTGGGCGCAGCCCCTAGGGGTGGCGAGTGGTCGCCTCCCTCCCCTCCAAGCCTCAGCCATGTCTGCCCCTGGGGTCTGTCTCCAGCCTGCACTGGACCATGAAAAGCACCAAGCCAGGCCCCGTGTCCTACTCATCCTGCTAACAACACAAAGCAAACATCTGTGAGTGTTTATTATGTGTTAGGCGCAGGCCCACGCGATCCTCACAGCTACCTGGGTGACAGGTCATGTTATTGACCCCATTTTACAGATGAGGACACGGAGGCTCCGGGAGCTGGAGTAGCTTGAGTAGAGTGACACAGCACACCAGAGTGAAGGCGGGACCCAGCCCTGCGGTCTGGCTGCAGAACACGCGCCTTTGGCCCCAGGCTAAGCTGGCTGCGTCAGCGCATGTGCTCAGACCAATGCTGCGAAGAGCCGGCTGCTCCTCACACGAGCTGGAGTCCAGTGTCAACTTGAGCACGTGCACGTCAGCCCCAGATGCAGCTTGCCGTGAGGAGCATCGGGAAGGACCCAGCATTCCTGGGGTTAGTCCCATCTCTGGGCCTATAAGACCCTGTAGAGAACTGTGCTGGCATACACTTAACAATGGGACCTGGACATGGGCAGCTGTCCCTGGGACTCAGTTCGGACCCCTCTCATGTCACGGTTGTTACCTTCCTTCTCATGGTTCTCAGATTCCCTGCTCTGCGCCTTGGCTTCCCCAGCCCTATTAAAGGTCCGACTGTAAAGCAAACCAAACAGACACAGACTCTCAAATGCTGAGTTCCCAGTGCAGAAATGCTACCTCATCCCTGTCACGAGGAAGCTCCCTGGCGCCGCCCATCTGCAGCCATCTGGCCTGGCCACTCCTCACCTCACTGAAAGCTTGAAGCAAAGGGCGGTTGACGTAAGGCATCTACAAACCCTCAGTGACCTGGCAGGGCGGCTGGGCCTTGGGACAGGGCTGTTTACTCTACTAGGGAACAATGACTCGCCAGTGCTGATGAATAATGGGAAACAAATGCAGGGCCATGTAAACATGTCTTGTCCCCACTCCCAAGTGATAAAGTCCTGAGATGAAGCAGGTGGGAAGAGGGGGCTGCCCCTCTGCACCCTTTTCCCACTGCGGTCCAAACAGGCCTCACCCCCGGCCCCCGAGGAGGGGAGGAAATCATGGCTGCCAAATCTCTTGGGTGGCTTGAGGCCATGACCAGCATCTCTAGGGAAGGGCCTGAGGCCCCACACACGCCTCTTGCACCCCTGTGTCTCCAGCACTTCAAGTGGGCCCCACACTGAGGTCTGAAGAGCATCCAACTGCAGCAGCTGGGTCTGTGAGATGCCGCCCATGAGCCCAGGACAGACTGGGCTCACTTGGAGGCCCTGGCCAGGCCTGGCAGGGCACTATGAGAAACAGTACTTTGGCCCTCTCCAAGAGGTGCTGTGAGCCCAGCACACACCGCCCCATGGTCCCCCAGCATTTGGCACACTCTATTATGAGAGGTGTCCTCATGGAAAAGGGGAACCCACACCTGGGAGTCAGGCTCCCTGAGTTCTGCCCCTGTCTTGCCCTGTAGCCTGTGGGCGATGCCCAGGCCTTATCCCTGGGAAGTGCTCCCAGAGCTTGAGGGATTGCAGACTGCGTCCTCCAGGAAGTCCTCCTGGAATGCCTGTGGTGTGTGCAGCCCTCCTCCTTCTCTGCCCCGTGGAACTGACTGTCAGTGCATGGATGGGTCCTGTGTGGCTGGCCCCGTGTGAGAATCCCAGCCCACCCCCAAGCCCTCACACAGAGGTGAGCGTTGAGGCTGGGCGGGGTTGCCAGCCTCACTACCATAAATAACGGCAATTGCTGCCAGCGAGGCCCCAGCTCAGGCATTATCTTAATAAATCCACACAACAGCTCCACACCGGGGGCATTATTCTTATTATCCCTGATTCTCAGGTGAGAAAACTGGGGCCTGGAGATGGAGAGAGATTTCCTCAAAGCTCTAAAAGAGGCAGAAAGAGAACTGGAAGCCCCATGAATCCAAAGCCCTCCCTCTCCTCCCGCAGGATTCAGCTGTGAATGACGACCCTTCAAGTCCGATGGCGGTAGTGACGAAGGTTCCCAGGTGCTGATGCTTACAAACCTCCCTGGCCCCTCCATGCCCACCTCTCCAAAGCCCAGTGCTCAGCCTCCTCCTCCGTGTAGTCTTTCTGGTGCCCAGCATAATTCACTCCACCCCGGCTTCCAGGCCAGGCCTGCCTTCCTTCACTACTTCCTTCCTCTGCCCTGGACCAGAGGGCTTGCCTATCCTGTCCCCGCCCTGGGGTGAGGACAGATCTGAGTCTCCTTTATATCCTTGCTCCTAGCAGCGGGTCAGGCCAAGAGTGATTACTCAAGTGACAGGAGGGTAAATGGGATGGCACAGTTTGTGCTTGCACACACCAGTGCCAGGGAGCTCACTACCGCCAAGGGACCAGTCCCAGGGGGCAGAGTGCTGTCCTTATTCCCACTGGGCACGAGGGGGGCTTCAGCTGTGAGTGGGCTCTCATAGCCTGCCCACTTCTTCAGCCATGCTCTAGGAATCCGCTGCGGCTGCTCTCTGAACACAGCCCACCCATTCACCTCTGCCCGAGTGTGCATGCCACCCTCCTCCTGGAACTGCCTCCCCTCCTTGTCCAGACCGAAGTTTTTCTTGCCTTCTGAATCCACCTGAAACGCCTCTGTTCATTCACTCACTCCGTGAACACCAAGCACCTACTCTGTGCCACACTACCCCTGAGCTGCCAGGGACACCAAGCTCCAGGGCACTGGGCCAGAGCACAGAGATGGGAGGCTTCCTGGAAGAGGCGAAGTACAAGCTGCTTTGAGGACAGCAGAGAGGTGTGACCTGAGCCTGGGGATCCTGGAGGAGGCGGAGGTGTTCTGAAAGCAAAGGCTCATGGAAGGGGCAGGGCAGGGCCCAGACAGGGAAGGGCCTGCAGCCTCTCTAACAGGAGGAGAGTTCTGGAAGCAACCAGGGAAAGGTGGCTGACAGGGTCCTGGATGCTGGGCTAAGAGGAACAGCAGAGCCAGGCCGTGGGCATGTAGAGTGAGCGAGGCTGCTCTGTGGCCTGCACCCTACCCTGGCGACCCCACACAGCGCTCAAAAACCCCAGCTCTGTTCGGGTCCCCACATCAGTCCAACTAGCAGGGGGACAGTCCCTGCAGAAAACATTTGTGCAGCCTGACACGCAGAGTGTCCCAAACCACTGAGGCCTTGGGCCAGGGCTGAGCCTGCGTGTAGTGAGGCCCCTGAGTGGGCCTGTTTCCAATCCGGGGTCCAGAATCCCTGGGCGGCTCTAGGAGGGGTAGGGGGAGTGTCCCGCCTCTGAATCCTGCTGGCAGCTCATGGTCCTTCATCTTTATTTATGACCACAGCTAAATGTTCCCAGAAGGCACGGAGCTCCTCAGCACAGCACAGGGACTTAGCTACAAAGAGACAGGAGGTCCCCTGGGCTCTGGGGCAGACTCTAGGAGGCTCCTTTCAGGAAATCCTTTCAACTGGTGAGAGAGACGGGGGAGGTAGAGTGGAGAGCGGGCCCTCCATGCCCGGTCCTGGGAGGAGCCTTTCACAGCTGTCTGGACCGGCGTGGTTGAGGCTGGAAGGCACTGGTCCACAGCCTCTTTTGATGTACAACTGTATCTGTGATTGTGCCATCGAACCGCCGGAGCCCTTCCCTCTTCCGGGCCAAGGCTGAAATGGCAGGCAAGGGAGCTGGGAGGAAGAGAAGGTGGAACCTTGGTGGGCCGTGCCACAGGGGCCTTCAGCAGGTGGGGCTGGGAGACCCCCTCGGAAAAAGACCACTCCAGTGAGGTATGGGACAAAAGACAGGGAGCCTGAAGGTCCTTGAAGGCTGCTCCCCGTGAGCTGTGAACTCCCATTCCTTCAGCCCGCAGAGCTGGGGGAGGTCAGAGGTGGGAGAAGGGAAGGACAGGAGTCAAGAAAGGCTGAGCATTTGGAGCACAAAAGAGGGGCCTCACTGGTCAGGGTCTGGCCCTCGTCCCACCCAGCCACCAGGCCTGAGGACCCTGTTGTTCTCGAAGCCCCTTTCTTCTGCCCCTCTCCCAAGGGTCTGACCAAGGCTGCTGACTTTTTCCACGCCACCTTGCCCGTCCATCTCCCTGGCTCCCATGAGACAGCCCTGGCTTGGACCTCAGCTTCCTCTTTGGGGTAGGCTGCACACTTCTCCTGGGTCTCAGCCTCCAGCCTCTCCCTCCCAATCCCTTCTCCATGGGCAGTGGCTGCTGTGATGAGTCTGGCTGGAACAGGACATGGCACCTTGGTCCCACAGGGTCTCTGGGGTCAGGTCCCACCTCCTCACTGTGCAGTACCCAGCATGAGCACAGCTCTGGAGGCCGGGGTGGCGGCGGACGGCCCTCAGCTGTGACTCTTGCCCATCTCCACTCGGTCCTCACAGGCGCAGGCCACCTCCACCTGCTGCCAGCCACTGAAGGGTGATGTGTGGGAGGGGACCCCTGTGCTGTGATTGACATGGTTGTTTTCCAGCAAGAAGAATTTCCAGAGCTGACATCAGCAGGCCATAGGTTGACCCGCTTCCGAAAGGCCTCTGCAGGCAGGACCAGTTTCCCCGGGAGGTGTGCTTCTTGGCCCAAGATGCTGATGTTTGTTTTTATTAATAGCTGGCTGTTTGTTCTACTTTGGACCAAGAGTCCAGGTTCACAGTTATTTATAACAACTAAAAATTACTTCTGGATCCAGCTCTGGCTGCTTTGTGTTTCCCGCAAATATTTCCCGATTTGAAACAGAGACTCCGTGTTCTGCTTGGACCCACCCATGTTTTCATGGCTGTCAAGAGCCTACTGTGTGTCAGGCCCTCCACTGGCTCCGGTGTCCCAGCTCCCACGGAAGGTCTAGAAACAGAGGCAGAGGTGCCCAGCCCATCTTAGGAAGCGAACTCCACCTCCAGCACGGAGAGCTCCCACCTGGTCCCAGGGGGCTGAGGCCCCCACCGCCTGCCGGCTCCTTTCAGAAGGGCGGCTTAGGCAGAAAAGCCTCTTGGCTATCTAGCGGCTCTTGCAAAATTGCATTTGATGAGTTAAGTGTAAATAAATGAGAACCAGATGGATTAGATTTTGGGTAAAATACACACGGGTCTTAGAGCTTTGGGGCCTGGGTTCTGCCAGATCCAGAACACTCTCCGAGCTGTCAAGAGCTGCTGGCACAGGCGGCAGGAGGTATGCCTGGGGTCTCCCAGGACCTGTCTGCTTCCTGGTCTGGGCATCAGCTGAGGTCTTCCCTGGGGCTCCTGATTCCCCAGCAGGTTGGCCGTGTGCAGAAGACACAGAGCCAACCTCTTGGCCTGGGCCTGAGTCCAAGCTCAGGGTGGGAGATGAGGCGCATGAATGGTAAGGTCAGCTTTCCAGACCAGCAAGCTCACTGCTCACGTCCAAACCCAGCAAGCCAGCCCAGGGAAGGCAGAGGTGGTGAAGCCTGCTGGCCGCTGGGGTCTGCTCACTCTGCTCTCCGCAACCTGAGTCCTGCCTTCCAGCCCAGCCGCTGCCCTGCCGCCCCCTGCTGTGCATCTCTAGGGAAGGACGGGAGTCTACCGCCCAGTGCAGACCGCTGGCCAGTCCTCAAAGGGGTCTGCGTGATGCTGCCCTGTGACCACTGCCCATGGGACCTGGCTGTTGCTCTACAAGTCATACCAGATGGAGTACAAGATTCAGTGAGTCGACTGGGCTTGGTGGCTCACGCCTGTAATCCCAGCACTTTGGGAGGCTGAGGCGGGCGGATCACAAGGTCAGGAGATCAAGACCATCCTGGCTAACACGGTGAAACCCTGTCTCTACTAAAAATACAAAAAATTAGCCGGGCATGGTGGCGGGTGCCTGTAGTCCCAGCTGCTTGGGAGGCTGAGGCAGGAGCATGGTGTGAACCCGGGAGGCGGAGCTTGCAGTGAGCCAGACCGCACCACTGCACTCTGGCCTGGGGCGACACAGCGAGACTCCGTCTCAAAAAAAAAAAAAAGAAAAAAGATTCAGTGAGTCTTTGCTGGTCACTTGCTCTGTGACCTTGAGCAGGTCATTTCACCATTTTGGGCCTTGGTTTCCTTCTCTATAAAACAGGGATAAAAGTCCCTGAGGTGTTTGGGAGTCAAAGGAGGTGATGGAGGTAATGTACTCTGCACAGCGCCTGGCACACACAGACCACCACCGAGTGTGAGCAGGTGCAGCACGAAGCCGCTGCTCATGGCCTCAGGGAATCACGGGTACGAACGTACTCCAGTGACAGCAAAGTCCCTTCCAAAATGCAAAAGCAACAACAAACCACATCAGAGGGGAGCACTCAGACCCGCCTCAGCCTTCTGGTCTCCAAGTGAAGCCGCTCGGCTCCTGACACTGTTCCCTCCTGAATAAGCTTCTGGCACACTCACCACCCAGGTCGCCCTTCTCTGGGGATCCCAGCTTACTGGGGCACTCACAATTGGCCCAGAAGTGGACAGAGCTGTGCACATGGTCTGCTTGGAGGATGTGGGTGGGACTTTTGATGCTATGTTCGTGTGACCTCTGCTATTTCTCCAATCCCGTTTCTGGTTGAGATAGAACTCATGGAGCACACAATTCACAATCTTTAAGCCGACATCTTAGTGGTTTTTAGTATATTCACCGTGTTGCACGACCATCACTACTAATTCCAGAATATTTCCATCATGCCAGAAAGAGGACCTGTGCCCGTTTTCGGTTAGTCCCAATTCCTACCCCTTCGCCCCTGGAAACCACATGTCTACTTTCCATCTATGGTTTGCCCATTCTGGACATTTCATGTAAAGAGAGTCATGCGATATTTGTCTTTGTGTGTCTGGCTTCCTTCACTTAGCATGTTTTCAAGCTGCATCCATGTCGTAGCGTGACTCAGCACTTCATTCCCTTTTACGGCTGAACAGTATTCTATTGCATGGACAGACCACATTTCATGTATCTCTTCGTGAGCTGATGGACATCCGGGTTGTGCTGGCTTTGTGGCTGTTATGAACGGTGCTGCTGAACACTGTGTGTAAGTTTTCGTGGGGGTATACGCCTTCAGCTCTCCTGGGTGGATACCTGGGGGTGGCACTGTCACATCATCTGGTAACTCCATGTGTGCCCTTTTTGAGGAAATGACTGTTTACCACGGGCGACACCGTTTTACATTTCCAACCAGCAAAGTATGGGGTTTCTAATTTCTCCATATCCTCGCCAACACTTGTTCCTTTCTGGGCTTTTTTTTTTTTTTAACAGCCATCCTAGTGGGTGTGGCGTGGTTTCTCATTATGGTTTTGATTTTCATTTTTCTAATGACTAATGATGTTGAACAGCTTTTCACATGCTTAGTGGCCATTTGTATGGCCCTGGGATACAGCGACGCTCAAGACAGACACGGTCCCTGTTCTCACGGGCTCTATGCTGTCTGTGGGGAGACAGAAACAGTCACAAAGACTCCAGGTGGGCGTGGCGTCTCCATCTCTTTGGAGATATGTCTATTCAGGTCCTTTGCCTATTTTTAAACTGGGATGTCTTGAGTTGTAAGAGTTCTTTATACATCCTGGATACTAGACCCTTACCAGATATATGATTGGCAAATACTTTTTCCTATTCTGTGGACACCACCTCCTTTCAAGCAGCCTCAGGCAGCACTAGGTACTCAGGAGTTCAGTGCAGGTCAGTGGGGCCTGGGCTTCTCTCAGGCTCTTCCCTCGCCCCCACCCCATCTACATTTTGTTCCTGGGAGATTTCGCACTGTCCCTTGGCTACCTATCTGCCAAGGTTGCCCCCAAACCCCCAGGCCTGCCAGCTCCACCACCCTCCAACTTAGACATCAAGAGCTGACCTGGTGCCTGCACGTGGACATCCTGCGGGCGTGACAGACTTCATGGGCCGCGTGCTGAAC
Source organism: Homo sapiens (assembly GCF_000001405.40). Lineage (NCBI taxonomy): Eukaryota > Metazoa > Chordata > Mammalia > Primates > Hominidae > Homo > Homo sapiens. The sequence continues at coordinate 43,300,965 of NC_000022.11, forward strand.
TCCCAAGTCCCCCTCCCACAAAAGCAGAATAGAATGAGACAAAGCTCAGTCTGCCCTCAGCCTTCCCCAGCTCAGCAAATGGTCACACAACCCACAGTTGCTTCAGGCAAAACACCTGGTAGTTATTTTTGATGCTGCTTTCTCCCCACATTGAAGCCCTTAGCAGGTCCAGTCCTTTCAATTCTGCCTGTGAAATTCACCACGAGTACAACACATTCGCTCCCCTCCAGGGCTGCCACGGCTGGGCCAGTCGCCCTCGTCTCTGGCCTGGATTCTCGAACTCCCTGCCTCCATCCTGCCTCTGTCCATCCTCCATCCCTCATGGACCTCATGCCATCCCCCTGCCTGAAAGCCCACAAAGGTGTCATAAACATGAACTCCCTTTCCCGGCCACCAAGCCCACAGGAACTGCTCTGCCCACGTCCCCCCGGGCTCCTCCTCGCTCACCCGCCTCCAGCCAGGCTGCTGTGTCCTGCTCTCCCTTGACCCCAGCTGTCCTGTTCCCATCTCCAGGCCTTGGCATTTGCTCCTCTGCCTGGAATGTTCTTTGCTTGTCTTGGCACGGCTGCCTCCTCCTTCTCCTTCAGACCTCAGCTCACGTGCCGCTTTCCCAGAGATGCTCTCTCTGACCACTAAGCTAAAGTGGCAGACAGGCCATTCTGCAACGTGTCCCTCCCCTGCTTCCTTCAGAGCACGCCCCCACCCACCTGGAATCTTCCTTGTGACTGTTTCTGTCTACCCCCAGGCAACACAGAGCCCCTGAGAACAGGGACCCTGTCTGTTTTGAGCATCACAGTATCCCAGGGTTTTGAACAGTGCACGGGGCACATGATGTATGTCTGCGGACTGGATAACGGACTGAGCACTTCCAAAAGTGTGGGTGGGGAACGGCGCTTCTGGCCTGGACATCCACAGGCCCTGGCTAAAGGCCGTCCCACCAAGGATGAGCTGCATGGCCTTCGCTGCCGTATGCTGCAAAGTGTGGCTGCAGAGGGGCTGCCATGAGGCCCTGCAGCCCCAGGACCTGCTCAAGGAAGCAGCTCTGGATGAGTGACAGGAGCATGTGCTGGCTACCAGTGGGCCGTGGGTGTGTGGGTGGGTCAGGGGCTGACATCAGGAGATGCCAGAGAAGGCTCTCAGAGAAGAGCTGTGCTCATCTGCCGCCTTAGCCTTGCCCGAGAGTGGGGAGCTTGTGCGGAGATCGCGATGGGGAACCAGGTACCCTCACAGTCATTGCCAGCCTGTGGCTTTGGTGCTCAGTGCATGACGGGATCCATGTTGGGGGGCCTCAGAAGAGGGGTGCAGCTCAGCGTCTCCTCCTGCTTTGTCGGCACCTTTACTGACATGAGGACCAAAGTCTCCCACTAAAGAAGCTGCTTGAGCTGGGCAGAGTTTCAGGAAGTGAGTGGAGAGGGAAGCGGTCTGGAGACACAGTGGGATCCCCTACCGAACTACATTTCACTCACTTTGCTAGACCACCTATGGCAAGGCCAGTTCCTCCTTGAACTTCTAGATCACAGGCAGGGCAGGGGGCGGCTGGGGCCCCTGCTCAGAGTCAGGCACTCTTTGTTACAGTTATCTCAGTTAACCTCAGCCCAGGGCAGTAGCTGTTTTGTAAATGGGAGCTCCAAGCAGTGTGCAGCCTGCCCACAGTCCCCAGCAAGTGAGTGACAGAGCCAGGCTGGGAACGGGGTGCTTTCATCCCCTCAGGCCTCTGACAGTGCAGCTGTGAATGTGATCCTGGCTGGACATCTGTAGGAGGCACTGGAGTTTTTAAAAATTTCTTTTGATGGGGATAAGAATGGAGGACTGGAGAGAGGGAAGGAGGAAAACCAAACAAACAAATCATGGAACCAAAGCGAGAAGCTGTAAGGAAAGAAGGAGGAAACGCTCCCACGGGACGCTTAATGAAGCGCCTCTGCGCCTACCCAGGCCCAGCTGCATGTGATTACCTCCAGGCCGGTGGATGGGGCGGCAGGGCAAGTCCCACTCCTGTTGAAAAACAAAACCAAACTTCCCCGAACCAAGGAGGGGCCCCGGAGCTCCCACGACACCCCAGGTGACACAGGTCCTCTGGCCAGTTCATCCTGCCAGACTCCAGCCAAGTCAGCTGATTGATTCCCAGCATCCATTTCCCAGCCTCGGTACCGTCGGAATTCTAACCTTCAGGGACTAATTCTTTCCCGTGGAAGTCCGCATTTTCTTCCACCCTCCAAAGCTATGTGAAATTGCCAGGCGGCTGTGCGGCTGTTCCTTCTCTTCCTCCTCCTTGCTAGCACCCTCCATGTGTACACCTGTCCTCACCTACCAGGTATCCTTGAGCGTGAGCGTCCTTGGCACACGCCAGGCCTGTGGCCATACCCTGATCCCAGCCGCTTGGCCTCCTGCCCCATCCATGCCCTGCATTGGCTCCCCAGCTGGGCCTGCCACATGTGGGCTTGTTCCTTCCTGCACTCAGCAGTCCCTCCCTGTCAGGCCCCGGGGTGGGCCTGGTGGCAACAACCAGGACTAAGGAATAGTTTTGTCTCATCAGAGCTGACATACCGGAGAAAGGCAGATGGCAGGCCACAGAAGGCAGTGGCAGAGGGCTGGGTGGGGGTGCCAGGAAGCTTCACGGAAAAGGGGGCACTCGCTTGGCTGAGGCACTGGCACGCTCGCAGGCCTCCCCACAGCCAACCTGTCTCTGAGTTTGTGGCCACATTCTGTCTGTAGTTCTCCTCCTCTCAAAAACCTAGCATGGCTTCCTATCACTTGACCAATACAACTGTTTTATTATTTAAGATTCTGAGCCGATAAGGAATTCTGAGAAACAGTGGAAAAGCTGATCAACAATCCTACAGTTTAGACAGAACCACAGTCAGGAGCATCTATTTTGTTTCCGTCTTTTTGCATGAGCTGATTTTCTCCTAAATGTAATGAGTTGATCTGTGCACAGCCACGGCGAGCTGAGCTAAAGCGCCTTCAGTGCTGTGGCTTGGCCCTGCCTCCACTTCTGACTCGCTGCTTTGTGCAGTCCACAGTGGGCTCCTCTTCCATGCCCTCGTGCAGTTGTTAATAAACTCCCCCGTGAAGGACGCAGCTGGGCAGCTACGGCCCTTTTCATTTAAGGGATTATTGCCTTCAGAGAGCTCCCCAGAAGTGGGATTCCTGGGTCAACGACTGTGAGCTTTTGTTTCTCATGACTCCCTGAAGACCCCTGTTAACCTGCATACAACTGACTGACTCTCCTGCCGTACAGCATCTGCACTTGCGGTGGCCTCATCTGCCACCGTCTTTTCTATTGGCCACATCCATCTCCAGCGAACTTCTGTGATTAGTCACATGTATTTGTTCACTCAGTCACTTGGCAGGGGTGCAAGGCACCACACTGGTGCATGGGTAAACAGGGAAAGACGAGGCCAAGGCCTGCCCTCAGGGAGCTGCCATTCTAGGAAAGAGAGGTGGTGAGGACACTGGGAGACCAGTGTCTATTAACCATAGTGGGGTCAGAGCCCTGCAGGACAAGAAGAGTGTGCTGTGAGAAGCAGGAACAGGCAGGCTGAACCCAGGCAGAGAGCGTCTCTCTAAGCCACGAGGACCAGTGCAGAGAAAGGTGCATTTGGTGGTGAGAAGTGCGGTTGGTCGTGTGTGTGTGTGTCTGTGTGTGTGTGTAATCTCTGGGTCTAAGACCAGGAGAGCACATGGTATATATGGCTCATTTGACAGAGACTGCCTTTTTACCACCACTACCTGCCCTGAACCCACTCTGCTCCCTGGCCGAGCCCTTCCCATCTCCAGGCTCTGCACATGCTGCTCCTCCCTCCTAAAATGTCCTCCCTTCACCCCATCTCCACCCCCCGCAGGGGACCCTCCACTCACTCCAGGTAGGGCGAGTCACCCACCCCACACCATCCCTTTGCACACCCCTAGTATTAATTACACAAAGGACACCATAGTGGGAGTATTTCTGCACATGGCCTGGGAGCTCCCTGAGGGCAAGAGTGAGTCTAACTAATCTCAGAGGCCCCTCACCTGCAGATATGGGCACCCGGGGCATGTCCTGACAGAAGAGCATTGGGGCATTCTTGCTGTCCCAACCCAATAATCACCCCCACTGCCCGCACTGTCCCGGGCTTTCATTCCATTCCATCTTGGCGACGTGATTCTGCATCAACAGTGAAGAGAGTCCTGCCGGAATACGGAGGAGAAGCGGCACATAAACCTCAATGGGTGACTGCCACCACACACAGTTCTGTCCACGCCCAGGTGACACTGGACACGGACATCAGGACATGAAAACGCTTGCTCTATTGGAGGGGTGAGAAATGGGGGAATGATTTTGTCTTTTCTCTGGATTTCTCTGAGTGTTTCTGTATAATTATTGCACGTGTGGCTGATGGATAAGTAAACAGACATTTGCAGCTTGGTCTGATTCTGGCAGGCCTGAGAGTTGGCAGGGAGGGCAAGGGAGCAGAATGCAGGGAGCAGGTCCCTCTGCCCGGGGGGCTGGGGAAGAGGCTCAGGCGGAAGAGCTGGGGTGTCCGGGACAGGCCGGGAGGAGGTTCTCCAGGTAGGGGAATGGTGTGTGCAGAGGCCCAGAGGGCATGAGGAGCCGGGGGACAGGCTTAATATTTAGTTTGCTGGGAGCACAGGGAGAAACAGAAAGGCTGGAGTGTCAGCAGGGCCAGCTGCCAGGCCAAGGAAGCCAGACCCCCACAATGGCAACACAGGCCCTGGGGAGGGTCCCACTCGGCAGGGCCTCCACCACGGGTGGGTCCCAAATGACTCCACTGGTGTCTGACCCCCTGGCGGTCAGCAGATGAGCCAGGGGAGGGCAAGCCTGTGGGATCCTCTCCCCATCATTAAAGTAGCACCTGGGAGGTTACTAAAGACCCCAGGCCAAGCAGCTGGGCTGCTGCCATGGCTGCCCACTTCCCACAAATAAAGAGTGCCAGCCAGGCACAGGGCGTCTCTGCCAGCAGTCTATTTCTAGCTGTATGTGGTTGGGATGAGGTGGGTGACAGGGAGGGGTGCCAGGGCAGCCTGATGCACAGGCCTGGCTAATGGCCACTATAAACAGCTGGAACCTGTCCCGGTGCTGGGGGAGGAGGGTCACTGCAGCATCTGCCCCGATGCAGCCAGGCCCAGCAAACGTCCAGGGCGACCCCAAACGCCACCCAGGGCCCAGGGTGCTCCAAGGTAAGCGAGACTATTGACAGACGCAGTACTGGACTGGGTTGAGATGCCCTTAATTGTTGCTAATGTCCCCTTTTAGGGCCACGGCTCCGTGTCTGGTTTGGGGGCATATGTTTTGCTGGCAGGGTATTTTTAAGGAGCCTTCACAAGACACTTATTTATTTATTTATTTTTTATTTTCTGGAGTTCTGACCAAGCTCTTGGCACAGGGACTGCAAACAGGAACAGAGGAAGGCAAGTGTCTGCAGCGAGTGTTTTCTTTGCTGTTTATGGACTCGGTATTCTCTGCTCTGAGACAGAGCGGGGCTTCTTCCTCAAGCCACCAAATTGAGACCTACAAAGGTAGGGTGGCACCAGGCACAGTGACAACAGATTTCAATCCAGTGGAGGGAGGATGGGATCACGAACACACACTCCTACCAAGGGGAAGGTGGCCTCATACAGGGATGCAATCCCTGACCTGAATGTACAAGCACAGGGAGAGTGGGAAGGGACGAGCAGGTGAAGGGTCCTGAGGCCCACCATGTGCCACCTTCCTTCACGTACACCCTTCTCTGTATCCCCAGAGCCCTGTCCTGGGAACACCAGCATGCCCCTTTCCAGGAAAGAAAACCGAGAGCAGAGAGCTAGGAAGGGAGTGGGAGTCAAGGCCAACGTGTCTGATGCCCAAGTCCATGCTCTCCCTGTGTCTAGAGCAGAGACCAGAAGGAGCCAGGCACGGAGAAGTGGACTGGGGAGTCACAGGCCATCGCTGGCCGAGGGAGACAGGGAGACTTTCCCAGCGCTTCTACCCAGCTCCAAGTGTGCTGATGACCCCCACGGCAGGTCTGTGCACCTGCCACCGTCAAGTCGTTTGCCTCCTGAGGGTCAGAATCCAACATTCTACCCCGTTACCCTGCCACCCGCCCATCCTCCACCACACAAACGAGCCTGCTGTGGGCCTGGCCTTTGCAGGCCTTGGATAAAGAGCTTGGCCAATCCAGAGCTCAGCACTCGAGGAATTCCCAAGGAAGGAAGAGAGATCTCCCCTGAGATGCCTGAGTGCCAGTCCCAGGAGCTCAGGGCCATGTCAGAGGGAAGCCTAGGGGAGGCTGTACAGCTCAGAGAGGTCTTCTCTAGGGGTTGACGCCTCACCTGAGTGAGCCCTGAGGAACAAGTAGGGGCCAGCCAAACTAAGCGTTCATCAGGAGGCTGGGGAAGGGCGCTCAGTGCAGAACAGCAGGTGTATGGACACCCTGGAGGAGGAAAGGGCGGGATGGTTATGGAGAGGAAAAGTGTTCGCCATGCTGGAGATTACAGTTCTGAGAAACAAGGAGAGCTGCGCAGACAACGACTGCATCCTGCTGGGACAAGGAGGACACGGAAAAGAGCTGAGCTGCCACTGTCCCTGGGGCCAATCACACGACCGCACTGCCAGGTCACGGGATGCTGGAAGGAGAAGGGCTCTGACCCAGCAGCCCAGCCAGGGGGTTCCAAACTGAGGTCCAGAGGCTCCAGGAACTTTGCAGAGGTAGAGACAGGTTCCATGGGGAGCAGAGCTCTAACTGTGGCCAGTCTTGTCTCCCGTTCAGCCACAGCGTGAGGCCCCTGCATGATTCCGCTTCGGAAAAAAGATTTCTGCTGCTATAAACCCCACAGCATCTGAAAACCACTGATCAAATCCCATCTTTTTATTTCACATATGACAGGGAAACTGAGGCATAAAGAGGCAGGGCATTTCCCAAGGTCTCCCAGCAAGTCAGTGGCCTAAGGAGCCTGACTTCTGCTCTGTGGGCCACTGATTCTGCCCTGATTGCTGGGCCAGAAGGGGGCTGGCAGGAAGAACCATCTGGCCCCCTGTAATAAACACCCCACAGTCCCCCCACCCAATCCCAAGCAGGCCATGGGCATGAGGCTGTCAAAGGCCACTCCACCCCGAAACACACAAAGGTCTGAACCAGTCTGCCTCCCTACACCCCACTCGAGGGTCTCCCCTTTTTTGTAGCGATTTGGGAAAAGAAGGAAGCGAGTCTATAAAGATGTACAACACTGTCCAGGGAGTCTCTTTCTCTCAGGCCAAATAATTTCTTTCAGATTAACAGCTGTAGAAGGCGGAGAGGAGAGGCGGGCCTGGATCTGTCTTGTACTCTGACAGCAAATCCCTCCAACTGAGCGTGTTTAGAGCACCTGAAAGTGGGCCAAGAATGGGAAAAGGTGGTGGGGTAGTAGGTGGGCATAACGAAAGAGACCAGGAAGAAACCTCTTGAGTTTACTTTAGAAAATATTGGTGTTTATGGAGTAAGTATATGACTGTCCAAAGCTGTTTAGTTTTACATTAAGATGATCAGCATTTTTTTTTCCAGCAAGAAATGTATTTGAGCTGTTGAAGTATAAAGACAAATAAACAGCAGCAACTCGAGCCTTCGTTAGGGGTTCCAGGGAGCCACATGTTGTCTCCAGCTGTCTTCCAGGACAAGAGGGCCTCCTTTAAAAGGCCGCGATGGCGCAGGCCCTTTCATCAGCCCAGCGGAGGGAGAGCTGGAGCGCGGCGCCTGCACGGAGCATCTGGGCACTCGCCGGTGACTTCCTCCCCCAGGGTGCAGCTGGGCTCCAGGCCCCATCGGGAGTCCCCCGAGGGCCCCTCCTACTCCTCCTTTTCTACCCCTCCACTTGGCAGCCTCAAGTGCCACTTGCACATCCATCTCCTCAACTGATCCTAACAGACAGGGACCGACCCCATTTCACAGAGACCAAAACTCCGACTCTGAGAAATGAGATGATGTGTCCCAAGTTACAAAATAAGAACACAGCAGAGCTCAAATTGAAGTCGCGATGTCACATGACCCCTCAGTCAACAGACAGTAAGTACAAGAACCAGCGCAAGAGGCTGGGAGAGCATTTGGCAGGTGGGGAGCGGACCGTGGGCAGCAGCTCATCTGGCAGGAATGAGGAGCAGGGCCCAGGCAAAGGGCTTCCCACACGGCCCAGGCCCAGGCTCGCCCCCTGCACCTTCACCAGCTCCAGGTATATCCATTTTCCCTAAACTGTGTTCTGGCTTTGCACACTAGGAATAAATGTTAATTAGCTCATTCGCATCTGTTGAGACCTTGCCCTGTGCTAGGTACTATGGTATGTGTTTTACAAAGCTCATCTCGTTGGCCTCTGCATCATCTCTGTCAAATAAGCACTGTTACCAGCCCCACCTCATGCAGGAGTACACAGAGGCCCAGAGAAGCAGAATTACTTGCTCAAGGTCACATAGTAAGTGATGGATCCAGGGTTCAAAGCCAGGCAGATCGATTTCTGATGCTCCTTGAGGGCCCGAAATAAGGCCATACCTCTCCTAATTGTGAGCTCCAAGCAAGGCACAGCATAGGGTGGGTGCTTGTGAAATCTTTACGAAATGAGTGAATATTAAAATATCTGGCTTCCAAAGCCATCTAGACGCCATGTAGAAACCCTCACATTTTCCCCCGGGTTTGACTACAGACTTCTAAGCTTGTGCACCATCTCCATTTCGATGGCTGCTTATCATTTCAAACAGAACTCAGACGAACAGACACCTGAGTCCTGTACCTCCGTGTCCACCCCCACACCCAGTCTGTCCTCCCCCTAGCCTTCCCCATCTCAGCCACAGCAGCAGAGCCCCTAGAAACTCCGGGGAAACCCAATCATCAGTTTTGACTCTCTTCTCCCTGTACCTCTCATATCTCATCCACTGGCTGCTCCCGTCAACTGTTTTCAAAATACACTGTGAGTTCAACGACCACTTCTCCCACTGTCACCCTGAACGAAGCCACCAACCGCTCTGACCCAGGCCACTGCAGTGGTTTCCCTGCTTAAGCCACTCTGCCTCTCTACTCAGCAGCCAGAAGCGCTTTTTAAATTAAAATGTCCACTGGAACATGTCAATCCCTGGTGAAAATAGCCCACGGCTTCCCAGGTAACAGAATAAAATCCAAACCCCTTTCTCGAGACGATATGACCCTGCCTGACCCAGCCCCGGCCCGCCTCGTTGCCTCATCTCCAGTCTGTGTCCCTCGCTCCTGATCCTCCAGGCATCCTGGCCCATCCCCAAACTCCTAACAGTTCCTACCACACTTGTCCCCCTTCTGCTTGGACAGAGGACCTTCCCTAGACCTTCATGTGGTACTTCCTCCCTCTCACTGGGGCTTCCTCCCCTTACCCCGGGCAGACCTCTGTTACCCCCCTCATTGGTGGAGGTGACTTCTCAGGCTAGACTGTCAAACTGCCAAGCATGGGATTCTGTCGTCTTAGGACCCAGCGGCCATGATGTGCGGAAGCTCCTACCAGCCCATGTGGAAAGACCACATAAAGAGGCTGCCCATAGTGTCCTGGCTGACAGCCAACCACCACCACCAGCTGTGAGCAAAGATGCTTCCAGATGATTCCAGTTCTTGGCTATCAAGTCATCCCCAGCTTTCAAGTCTCCCAGCTGAGGCCCCAGACACCGTGGAGCAGAGACTAGTTGATCCTGTCTGACTTCTTGCGCCACAGAATTCATGAGCAAAATAGTATTTTATGCCACTAAATGTGAGGTAGTTTTTTAAAAATTTAATTTTACTTTTCAAAATGGACATGTAATAATTGTACATATTTGTGGGGGACATAGTGATTTTTCAATACACATTTTTTAAAAACTTTTTTTAGTTTTACTGAGTCAGGATCTTGCTCCATTGCCCAGGCTGGAGTGCAGCAGTGCAAACATAACTCACTGCAGCCTCAACCTCCTGGGCTCATGCAATCCTCCCACCTCAGCCTCCTTAGTAGCTGGGGCCACTGGCGCACACCTCCATCCCTGGCTAATTTTTTAAATTTCTGTAGAGATGGGGTCTTGCTATGTTGCCTAGACTGGTGTCAAACTCCTGGGCTCAAGTGATCCTCCTACCTTGGCCTCCCAAAGTGTTGGGATTATAGGTGTGAGCCACCAAGCCTGGCCTTGATACATATTGAGGTGGTTTCTTATGCAGCAATAGTAACTGGAATCCTACCCTACCCAATGCTGTCACCCTGCCCCCATCACTTTGTATCACATTATTTGTTTTATTATTTTTTTCAGTGGCTCTGACCTGGCTGAAGTTACTGAGTTACATGTTCACATGTTCACTGTCTTTCTCCTCTATGTAAGTTCATAAGCAGGGAGATGTTGTAGCCTTTGTTCACCACCATAGTAAGCACTGAAAACCATGTCTGGCATATAGCAGGCACTCAGAACAATTTTTTTGGAATAAACAAATGGATGAATACTAGGTGGAAGGCTTTAGTATTATTCCTAATGTAGCACTTTTTTTTTTTTTTTTGGACAGAGTCTCACTCTGTCGCCCAGGCTGGAGTGCAGTGGTGTAATCTCGGCTCATTGCAACCTCTGCCCCCCGGGTTCAAGTGATTCTCCTGCCTCAGCCTCCCAAGTGGTTGGGACTAGAGGCGCCTGCCACCAAATCTGGCTATTTTTTTTTTTTGTATTTTTAGTAGAAACGGTGTTTCACCATGTTGGTCAGGCTGGTCTCGAACTCCTGACCTCATGTGATCCACCCGCCTCGGTCTCTCAAAGTGCTGGGATTACAGGCATGAGTTACTGTGCCTGGCCCTAATATAGCACTTTCTACCCTTCATTAGAGTTGTGAATATTTCTGGCTTCCTCATGGACCTAAGAGCCCTGCGAGAGATATCTCATCTAATTAATCTTTACCTCTGCCCTATGCCTACCACTCTACATTATATCCTGGGTATTTAGGACCCTAAAACTCCCCTCAAATGGTTCTAAGCCTATCAGACGACACTTAGGCCTGAGTAAGACTTAGGCAAAAGGTGGCTGCTTTCAGGGTAAATGGCCAAAGCTTGCATATTTGCGTTAGGGTGTGTTGAGGCTCATCGTGGTATGGGGTGGAGCCAAGGGTGGGAAAGGCAGGGAGGGAGCAGGCATTGCCCGTGCTACCACTTTCTGGTGCAAAATCAGAGGCTTGTTAGGTGAGAGGGTTTTTAGATTACAAGGCATTTTGACAAATCCATTCATTCATTTATTCTACAAATATTTACTAAATGCCTACAATATATCTGACACTGCACTAGGTTCCAAGAAGAAAGACAGAAAGGTAAACAAGACAAATTCTGCTTTTGGGGAAGAAGAGAGGACCATGACACAGAGCTGCAGTGGAGATGTAACTGTGTGGCGTGGGTCACAGCAGACCTCTGAGCAAGGGGAGGTTTGGTTGGGGCTTGAAGGATGAGCAGGACCTCACCAGATCCCTGCTGGGGAGTAGCAGTCTGTCAACAGATTTGTGTAGGACTCTGCGGGTACAGGGAAGGCTGGCCCAGTGGGCACAGCTAAGCAAGGGTGAGAAATGGGGTTGGGGGGAGGCTGGTGGGGCCCTGGCCAGAGGGGTCTCAAGCTACTGTGGAAGCAATGGCCATGAGAGGAGGGTGCTGGAGCGGAGGGCTCCGTACAGTTGGATGGGGTAAGACAAGGTCCCAAGGGTGGCTCAAGGATGATGTGAGGTGCCTAAACAAGGCCACAAGCTCTGCCCTTGGCCCAAGGAGGCTGAACGAGCTATGGGGTGGAGGCGCCCTTGGTATGAGCTCTCTAGAGCAAGGGGTGCCCGCTGGCCCTTCAGCACACTCCCTGCCTGTGCCTGGCCTGGCACGTGCTGGGATTTCTGGATGCTCTCAGTGACTCCCAAACTCACGGATAGATACAGGCGTGCATATCTAACACCCTACGACAAGGAGGCCCTGGCCAGCCTCCCGGAGCTGGTGCAGTTCGGGCACTATGGGGCGGGGGTGGGCAGCAGGGCAGGCTTACAGGCTGAAATTGGCAAAATCCCAGACCTGGGCTCTAGTCCTAGCTCTACCACCTACTGTCTGTGTGAGCTTGGGTAGGTCACTTCCCCTCACTAGGCCTCAGTTTCCTCATTTGTAAAAAGAAGACACTAATGTCTTTGGATGCTGTGAGCACTAACAAGAGAACTGAGCACAGCATCCCGGGCAAATCCAGGCACACAGGAGGCTCAACCAAAGCTCCCGAATCTCACTCAAGTAGGACGGTCTACCCAGCACAAGGCTGGGCATAGGGTTGGTGCTCAATAAATGTTAATGAAATGGAGAGAGCTGGCTAATAAATCAATGCTTCTGAACCTGGATACAGATGACTTCTCTTCAACAGGGAAAAAAAGTGCCAAGAGGCAGGTCCAAAATTCAAACTGTGAGCAACTTGAGAGACGTATTTTTCAGTAAGTCAAGGTAAAGATCGGGGTCGAAGAAAACATCTGGCTAAGTGAACTAATGGCTTTAGAGAAAGAGGAGCCTTGCTTTGTGGAGACGGGAAGAAATTATCCACTGCTGGTTTTAATTTAAGATGAAAACAATCTTATTCTATTAGCCTAAATATTGCTCTGCTGTCCAATTGCATGGAGTTTGGAATAATATTTTTCAAACAGAACTACTGCTATTTCAAGTAATTACACAGCTAAAAGCAGCCATTTGGGGTTGAGCAAGATCTCATCATGGTTTCAATTCCCTCTGGTGTCATTTTCTGTTATATTTGAGAAATTCCTCAATAAAGATGTCAAATAGAGTGAGGGCTTTGCTCCCCAGAGGACAGACTTGGCCACCCTCCAGGACACAGTCACAGGCAGGCCATCTCCACAGGAAAATAACCTCGCTTACTCGAAAGAAAAGAAAAGGTTCAACTATGAAAACTTAGGCAAGAAAATAACTTGTAAGCCATCAGCCTCATTTCTCCTAATCAGCTCAGAACACTTTTCAAACTGGCCTGTTTATTTCTAAGGTGATCAGGGTTTTATCCCAGCCCCCATCCCTAAGGAATTCAGTGGTGGTTCAGAGAGGAATGTTACAACTGGACAAGACTCTTGACCCAGACTTCTTGAGACAAAACAGAGGAGGTGCGAACGGGCCTAACTATTCCTGATGGGCGATGGGCTGTGGGGTGAGGTTTAGTGACTGCCCAGAGGCAGCCAAGAATGCACAAGGCAGCGGAGACAGAGAACCTTCCAACAACTCAGTGGGCCACTCACAGCCACCAAATGCCCACTGGGGACAAAACCTTGTGCAGGAAGCTTTGTCAGGCAGCACAAAGAATTCCAAACATTTCCAGGCAGCACAATTTCAAGCAGGTAGTTAAATGGCCAAAGCTGGATGCAAGTAATAGGGAGTGGTGGAGACTGTGGCGAACAAGAGAGTACACACCCCCTCTGAAGCAGGCAGCTGCGGTGTAGTTCACTCTAGCTGCTGCCAGCACCACAGTGAGATGTGAGCGAGAGTGCTGTTGCCCTGGGCCCCCACACTTTGGGGGTCCCTGTTCTGCCTCTCCTGTGGCTGCAGCAGCACCCCCCTGACCCCACCACCATGGAGTAAGGGGTCCACAGGGGAGTCATGAGCACCTGGAACACACGCCTACCACTCCACATTACATGCTGGGTATTTAGGACCCTAAAACTCCCCCAAAAGGGTCCTAAGCCTATCAGACTACACTTAGGCCTGAGTAAGACTTAGGCAAAAGGTGGCTGCTTTCAGGGTAAATGGCCAAAGCTTGCACATTTGCATTAGGGTGTGCTGAGGCTCGTCATGGTGTGGGGTGGAGCCGAGGGTGGGAAGGGCAGGGAGGGAGCAGGCATTGCCCATGCTACCACTTTCTGGCGCAAAATCCAAGCAGTCTTCTAAATTCCAGTCTAGCCTCTAGGTCATTAGTTAGGAATATTTGTCAAGGTAGAAGAGGCAGAGTCATTCTTGTTTGGGAGCTTCTTAATTACTTTAATATTTTAGCCATGTGGGATAGGGGCCTCCATCTGGACTCCTGTCCCAAGTCCCGCAAACGTCAGGGGCTGGGTAACTGTGGCTGAGATGGAATGATGCTAGAAATATTGATTTTTTTTAATGTGATAACCCCTAATTTTTAAGTGTTGACAAATAATTTAATAAGAACAAATGATACCACCATGGGGACAAACCAAACATGTCTGTGGGCCAGATGGGGACTGTGGGTTGCCAGCTTGAAGCCTTTGCTGGAAAGTGATGACAATATCCAGCACCTGCACAGAATTTACATCTGTACACAAGCTCTGCACAATCTCCTTTCAGATTTAATCATGACACCGACCCTCCGAGACAAGTATTACTGACCCATTTCACAGTTAGGGGAACTGAAGCTTGGTGGGCTAGAGGAACAGGTCCCGAACTATAAAACTCATGAGCGGTGACACCTGAATTTGAGCCTAAATCTTCAAACTCCAAGCCCAGCTGACTCTTACAGCATGATTTATTTCTGCCAACACTGATTAAGCCCCATGATCCTAGAGTACGAGGTACTCCAGTTCTTACAGCATTTCATGGATGAGGGAGCTGAGACTCCAAGAAGTCGGTTAACTAGCTTGAGGTCACATGGTCAGGATGGGTTGGTGCCTGTTGGAACCAAGGTCCGGCTTCTCTAGAGCTGGAGTTTTGTCTTGAGAAAGAGAAAGCCTGAACAGAAAGAACTCTGTTGGGAAGGGTCTGCCCTCAGCTAAAGGCAGAGGAGCAACAGAGAGAGCCTTTTCTTGGCTGCTGTGTGTGCAAGTTAGAGCCGCGTGAGGTTGCAATCTGTGCTCAGAGGTGGTGGGGCGGGGGAGGGGGGGAACCTTACCCAGTTCTTTTAAATTAATCAGTGTAAACATAATCCATTGTGAAAACAATGTTGTTGAGACAAAGGCCCACACAGACTCACTGCTAGTCTGCAGGCTGCTGGCGTCAGGCTCTGGGGACACTGGGAGTACTTGCTGTAGCCAAGAACAGGGTATTTACAAACAGGTGGTTCTGCACAGGTAAGAGTACAGTGGCTGGAAGGAGAGTTCCACGTGTCAGGCACAGCCGTGGGAGCGCACATGGTGGGGACTGGTCCCCACGAGGTCTTGGAGGCATCAAACCACTCCACATCAACACATCTCATCTGGAAGCCAGTGACCAGATGAATGCTGGTTACATGTTGAATATTTGGTGCCAGACACTCTGCTACATGCTCCACGTCCATGATCTCATTTAATCCTCACAAGAGCCCTACCAGATAGGGACTATGCCTTCCATTTTTCAAGTGAGGAAACTAAGGCATGGAGAGGTAAAGTGACTGGCCAAAGGTCACACAGCTGATAGAGAAGGGCTAGAATTTAAGCCACAAACTGGCAGTTCCCAAGGTCTCTCCTCTTGGCCGCTGGGTGATATTGCCTGCTTTTAACTGGCTGTCCCAAAGGGACTGTCGGCTCTGTCTTCACTGACTAATCAGAGACCAAAACATACTCTCTCTATCATTTGAAAATGGAGCAAACAACTAAGAAAGCCAAGCACTTATGTTTTGGGAGGATTAAATGAGATAACTCTTGGAAGATACTTCACCTGGCATCTGGCACGATCAACGTTGTGTGGTCCCAGTTCTTCACAATCTAGTCAATGCCCTGCTCACCTCCACAGCCCCACACCTGCTGCTCCCTGCACGCACCAGGAGCTGAGCCTCAGGGGCTGCCTGCAGGTCTATGTAGGCTCTGCCCTTGGTCTAGCAAACTTATCCCCAACCTTGGAGGTTCCACTCAATGCTACCTTCTCTTTGAAGACCCCTAGGGAGTTAGCCCCGCTTCTACCCCCACACTCACTGCATCCATGGGTAGCTCTTCACAGGCCTCTCTGGGCTTCAATAACCTGATGCTCGGACCTCTACTTGGGTATTTATTCGGGGTGTAATTACATGCTCACAGATGTTTTCCACAACAAACTTATCTGACATCCAACATGGGTTGGACAAAAACAGGCAGGCAGGTCTAAGGCTAACACCCCATTAAGAGGGAAAGTTCCAGAGCACTCAGGACACCCAGTATCCTCTACCACACACCCACAAACCAGCTGGCACAACAGAAGCTTTGCTGAGCCCTTTTAGAAAGCCATAAAAAACCAAATGGTCGTTTGATCCAGTGGTTCCACTTTTGTGAAGCATTCCTAAGGAAACGATTGGGAAAACAGGGGAAAAAAATGTTTTATGCCCAGAACCACCTCTGGATTCTCATGGTAAAAAACAAAAAAGCAAACAATCTAAATGTCTAACCACAGAAAGGCAGCCGAGTCAGCTGGAGTAGTAATGCCTGCGTTGACTATTTAGCACCTAATAGGGGCTAGTCACTTCACACTGTCACCTCATCCTCACACGCGATCTTGGGAAGTGGATTACGCAGTTATCCCTGTTGGAGACTGGAGAAGACTGAGGCTCAGACACCATGTAGATAGTAACAGTTCTCGGCTGCTGAGAGTCCCCTGTGCCGAGCCTTTTTCTCGGCCATCTGGACATTATCTCAGTCACTGCTCACGACAACCCTGTGAGGAAGCTGCTTCTCATAGCCTCCCTCTACCAACAAGGGCCTGAGACCCAGACAATCAATAATGTATCTACGGACATGCTCCTGCCAAATCCATGCCCATATCCCCTGGGCTCCAGTTGCTGTGCCCTGGTTACCCAGCAGCCAGTGGCAAAAGAGGGCCTTGGGGACAGACACGTCTGCTTTGAGAGCCACGTGTTTCCCATGACAAGATATTGTTCTTCTGTGACAGACTTTGAACTCCCTCTGTTACAGGTTGAATTATGTCCCTTCAAAAGATGTTGGATTCGCAGCTCCCAGTACTTGTGAATGTGACTTTTGTTGGAAATAAGGTCTTGGCAGATGTCCAGGTTAAGATGAGATTGTTAGGGTGGGCCTAATGCAACACGACTGGTGTCCTCATAAAAAAGGAAAATTTGGACACAGAGCCAGACACACATAGAGCTGAGACAATGTGAAGACAGAGGGAGGATGCCATCTATAAGCCAAGGAATCCCTGACATTACCAGAAGCTATGAGAAAGGCCTGGAACAGATGATCCCTTGCAGCTCTCAGAAGGAACTACCCTGCCCACACCTTGAGTTTGGACTCCTAACCAAGAGAATCCATTTCTGTTATTTAAGCCCTAGTTTGTTACTTTGTCATGGCAGCCCCAGGAAACTGATACAGGTTATTAGTAATTTGTCAGACTGTGGGGCAACTAGAAAAATAGTGGTAACAGGGGCCACATAAAAATACCTGAAGTAATGCCTGAGGTAAGGTGGCGGGTCAAGCCTGTAATCCCAGCACTTTGGGAGGTCGAGGTGGGCAGATCACCTGAGCCCAGGAGTTCCAGAGGCCTGGGCAATATAGCAAGACCCTGTCTCTACAAAAAAACCCAAAAGTTAGCCAGTAGCAGTGGAATGTGCCTATGGTCCCAGCTATTCTGGAGGCTGAGGTGGGAGGATCACCTGAGTTCCAGAGGTTAAGGCTGCACTGAGCCATACTGTACTCCAGGCTGGGTGACAGAGTAAGACTCTGTCTCAAAAGAAAACCAAAATGCCTGAGGTACGCATGATATTAAAGGGAACAGCAAAGGGCAAATGCATGCTGACTATCTGATCACCACTATGGTAAAAACACACTTGGATGCAGGTGGAAGACTGATAGAAAACACACCAGCACAACTAAGACGCCTGCCAATTTCTTCTCCCTACTCTTCTCCTTTTTTCCAATTTGATTCAGCAAATGTGGACTACTCTTGTAATTATTTTTTTGTTTTTGAGATGGAGTTTCACTCTTGTCGCCCGGGCTGGAGTGCAATGGTGTGATCTTGGCTCACTGCAACCTCCGTCTCCTGGGTTCAAGTGACCCTCCTACCTCAGCCTCCCAAATAGCTGGGATTACAGGCATGCGCCCAACTAATTTTTGTATTTTTAGTAGAGACAGGGTTTTGCCATGTTGGTCAGGCTGGTCTTGAACTTCGGACCTCAGGTGATCCACCCGCCTTGGCCTCCCAGAGTGCTGGGATTACAAGTGTGAGCCACCACACCCGACCTCTTATAAATTTTATACAATTGGCTTAAAAATGTATTTGGACCATGAGAAGATGGAGGTATATAAAATCATGGGCCAAATTGTGTCACTTCAAAATTCCTTTGTTGAAGGAATTCAACACCCAGTACCTCAAAACGTGACTGTATTTGGAGACAGGGCCTTTAGAGAGATAATTAACTTAAAAATGGAGTTTGTAGAGTGGGCCCTACTCCAATATGACTGTGTCCTTATAAGAAGAGAAGATTAGGGCCAGGCGCAGTGGCTGGCCGGGCAAGGTGGCTCACGCCTGTTATCCCAGCACTTTGGGAAGCCGAAGCAGGCGGATCACAAGGTCAGTAGCTCGAGACCAGCCTGGCAACCATGGCGAAACTCAGTCTCTACTAAAAATACAAAAATTAGCCAGGTGTGGTGGCACGCCTGTAATCCCAGCTACTTGGGAGGCTGAGGCAGGAGAATCACTTGAACCCAGGAGGTGGAGGTTGCAGTGAGCTGAGATTACACCACTGCATGCTTGGGTGACAGAGCAAGACTCCATCTCAAAAAAAAAAAAAAAAAAAAAAGAAGAGGAGATTAGGACACAGAGAGACACTAGACACTTGCATGCAAAGTGGGAAGACCGTATGAAGACACAAGGAGAAAGAAGGTAGCCACCTGCAAGCCTGACAGAGGAGCGGGCCCTCCGAAAAACCAACCCTGCCCCCACCTCGATCTTGGACTGCCAGACTCCAGAACTGCGAGGCAATACACTTCTGTTGTCTAAGCCACCCAGTCTGTGGTATTTTGTTATGACAACCCTGGCAAACTAATACAGGAAGCCAAAGGAAGGAGAACCTTCTCATGGCTCCCAACTCTGTAAGCTGGAGCAAAGCAACAGGCAGGGTGTGCCCAGAGGGTAGGCTACAGCTGTATCACTCACCCAGGCAGTTGTGTCCATCGTGTGCCAGCATGAAGCCATCAAAGCAGGTACACCTGTAGTTCCCCGGGATGTTGATGCACTCGTGGACACAGCCCCCATTGTAGTAGTCATTCTCACACTCGTCAATGTCTGCAAAAGGAAGGGCATGAGAGGTGTCAGAAGAAGAGCCTGGTGGTCCCCTCTCCCAACACCATGGAAGCCACCGGGATCTGAGTGATTAGGGGATGATTCAACAAGTATTCACTTCAGTCCTCCCTGGGAGCTGAGGACTCAAGTATTATAAAAATGCTAATCATGTGTGGGGTGCCTTCCAGTTCCTACCACAGTGAACAGGCAAGATTCACACCTAGTTCTGCCTCCACGGAGCCAGTGTACAATTTCTGAAAACTAGCTCTCTTGAAGCAGGGGGTATTGAGTAAAATTAACTGCACATCCCCAAGAAGTGTAATCTCTGGAATGAAAGAAAAGTCCACTAACTCCTCCAGTGTCTTTCCACATCAGTGTCTGATGCCTGCATTTCAACTGCTCCAGCTTCCTTGCTATAACAAAGGCTCCTGTCTCATAAACAATGGCCAGTAGCCTTGATAAAGGTCACCCTTTTTGCTGTTTTAAGGCTTTTTCAACATTTCCCATCAGGGGTCAAAGGGCTATCAATTCTGGAGTTCCAGAGAGATTTGAGATACCCTGGAGAATGATAGGAACACGCCTAGTTAACCTTGTCTGAGCTGCTTCCACGCCCAAGTCCTGCTTGTAAGGCCATGTCATTACCTCTTCAATCCCACATTAACTCAGTGATGCAGGCACCATTCTCACTTCCAATTTTGCAAGAGCACTGAAGAAACCAAGGCACAGTGAGGCTAAAACCTTGTGGAAGGTCACACACCTAGGAAGTGGCACAAATGGGATTCGAATCCGTGGGATTCAAACTCGTGGGTTTCAGAGCCCAAGGGGCCTAACCCCGGTCACACCTGGCGTCCTTGGGAGGGCACCAGGCACAGCGAGAATTTGCCAGCCTGGTGGTGCCGGCTCTTCTGCAGGGTCTTCAGCATCCCCCTGAGACCCCTCTGGCCTCACTCATCTCAACCGGCAGTCACCCTGACCTCCAGAGGCTCCGAGACACGATGGGGAGAGAGGAGGGCCGGAAGTGTCCCCCACAGGGGAACTGGAACCGGAACCGGAAGTGCAGCACTAAGTGGAACCGGAAGTGCATCTCACGAGACGACGGAGTAGGAAGCCGGGGTCACTCCCCTATAGTGTAGAAGAGGGATTTTTGAGGCTGGGTTCCAGCTACGAAAGTGGGGCTGGGGCCATCCTGTAGAAGAAGAGAGCCTGTAGAAGGCAGGCCTAGCTTCCCTCAATTGCTGGAGGAGCTGCCGCAGGGAGACACGGAACTCCTTGCTTTCTCCATGCTGGTCTGGAGAGCAGAGCTACTCACAGTGAGGGGAAGCCATGGGGCCAATGAACGTTCAGGGGTAGGAGTGCCGGTCTGCAAGGTAGAAGCTGTTGCAGGAGGTAGTGAGCTCCCTGACTCTGGAGGTGTAAGCACTGCCCTGATGCCTGCCAGAGATGCTGCAGAGCAAAGGGGATAACAAACAGCAGAAGTGAACGCGCCAGAGTAAGGGGTCTGGGCTGTGCAGCCACTCTTGGTGTCCGTGCAGCCACTCTTGGTGTCCACCCAGCCACAGCGAGGGAAGAACAAAGTAGCCTGGGCTGGGTCACCAAAGGATCAAGAGATAGAAGTCCTCTCCTAATCTGCCTATAGGGGCACCTGCATCAGTTCTCAATTCTGCAGCTCATTTGAATTGGTTTGTTTTGTTTGTTTTTAGAGACAGGGCCTCACTATGTTGCCAAGGCTGGACTCAAACTCCTGGGCTCAAGGGATCCTCCTGCCTCAGCCTCCCTAGTAGCTGGAATTATAGGCATAGGCCACTGTGCCTGGCTCTGGGCTGTTTTTAATTCTGATATTTAATACACTTATAAATTACAAATAAACTTAAGGGAGAATGTGATATTTTATGTTTATTGAAAAGGCACATAGATTTTATTTTATTTATTTATTTATTTTTTTGTCAGTGTCTCCCTCTGTCGCCCAGGCTGGAGTGCAATGGCGCGATCTCAGCTCACTGCAACCTCCACCTCCTGGGTTCAAGCGATTCGCCTGCCTCAGCCTCCCAAGTAGCTGGACTACAGGCACGTGCCACCATGCCCGGCTAATTTTTTGTATTTTTAATAGAGATGGGGTTTCACCATGTTAGCCAGGATGGTCTCCATCTCCTGACCTCGTGATCCGCCCACCTTGGCCTCCCAAAGTGCTGGGATTACAGATGTAAGCCACCTCGTCCGGCATAGATTTTAAAAAACTGAGAGATACTGATTACTTCCCAGTCTCTGTTTGCAGCCCTGACCTTTCTCCAGAGCCCCAGATAGACTAATGCAACCACCTCTTCCCCTGGGTATTCCAAAGGTACTCCAAAGGCAACAAAGCTCAACTTTAACTCATCAACCTACAGTTACCTGGGGTTCCTCATCCCGGTGAATATTGTTTTCCTTCCACTGCTTCCTTAACATCAAATCAGCTACCAACGCGTGGTTTTTCTACACCCTTAATATCGTTACAGTCTGCCCACTGGCCACTTATTTTCACTACCTGTCAGCATGAGTATCACCTCACACCCGATTTGACTCAGCAGCCCCCAAACTGTTCCCTCCCTCCTTTCCTCCTTCAAGCAGGTGATTCAGGGGGAAGCTGGCCTGGTCCTAACTCTGGGGGTGGAGACTTAACAGTCTTATCCAAACAGCACGTGCCACTAGCAATTGCTGTTGGTCCCAGGGTTGGTAGGTGACTTAGGTTGGATCAATCAGACTGAGGAAAAGGACTTTTATTCTATGCTTGGGTAAAAGAAGTTTCTCTCATCTTGTACCTCAGAAGGAGGTATCTACTCCTGAAATATACACCAGCCCTTTTAATTCTCACAGCAACATTTGGAAGTAGGTGTTTTAACTTCATTTTATGGTTGAACAAACTAAAGTGCAGAGAAGTTAGATAATTGCTCAGGGTCACATAGTAAGTGGTAGGGCAAGGATCAGAACAAAGGTCTTTCAGTCTAGGAAGCCCACGTCCTTTCTAATAAGTTAGAATGCCTGTGACATGCCAGTCATTGACAAAATGCTTTATACATGATACAGTATTTCACCCTTGGCACATTTATACAGTGTACTGAGAAAGTACTATCCAATCATCCAAATACCCATTTACCCATCTATCCTTCTACTTGTTCTGCATCTGTCTATACACATACACACATACACATGTGTGCATGCCTATCTACCCAAATAACCAGCCAGCCAGCCATGCATCCTTTCATCCAAACACCCATCTACCCTTCCACTATCCATCCATCTACTCACCCTCAACCTATCCATTCAAATATCTACTCAACCATTCTTCCATTTATCTATTTGTGCTAAAATTTATCCATCTAAATATCCAGTGTGCTGACCACCCTTCCATTTCTCCAATCACCTATTCACCCATCCATTTATCCAGCCAAATGTTCACCCATACATCCAGACACGCATGCATGCATCCATCTGTCTAAATATTCAACCAGATGCCTATCCTTCCATTCATCTAAGCACTGACCCATCCAAACATCCATCCATCCATCCATCCATCCATCCATCCATCCATCCATCCAGATGAGAAATCCTCTCATCTGTATATTCATTGATTCAAATACCCACCTTTCTATCCAAACACATGTACACTCACGCTCATGCACACACACGCACATTCAAACACCTACCTACCCATTCATCCATCCAAACTTCTATTAACTCACTGATTCCTTCAAATATCCCTCCAAACAGCTTACAAAATACATACAACAATTTTTTCTAATAGAATAAGATGTTAGTATGAAGAAAAATAAATGAGGGTTGAAGAATAAGATAAAGCTGGTGAAAATATACAAAAACACATTTGATAACTGTAGCACAATGACAGAAGGTGGGCTGTGAGCTTCCTAAATGCCAAGACAAAGAAAGAAACACAATCAGTTATGGAGTTGCTGCATCTATAAGATGTAATCCAACTGGCTATTTTAATGGTGGTAAGGTCTGAGAAACGTCAGACCTCCTAGTTAGGGGATGTCTTCCCCTAGTTAGAGAATATCATACACTTTAATTTTCCTGGCACAGTATCAGTTTATGCCTGTTGTCAGGGCGTAATTATTAACAGCAGTTATTAACCTTTTCATTATTAAAATGATAAACTATCTGATCACCATACCCATAAGGCATTATAAAGATATCGTTGAATAGTCAATAAAACAACTCTAGCCATTTCCTGCCTTTGACTCCCCATAACGTAGGCCACAGTAATTGCCAGTGGGCTGGAGAGTGCAGGGATATTTGCTGCTTGCATTTCTTTCCTTAATCCATCCCCAATTAGTTCTCCCAGGCTGAGCATCTCTCAGAACAACCAGTTCCTCTCCAATCCCCAGGCCTGCTGTGGCAGCCAGCTTTACCTCCCAGTGTCCTGGATGGAGGACATTGGCTCCTAAACCAAACCTTCCCTGATTTTCCATGTTTGTACCTTGAAATTTTGTTCTAAAATCATGTAAGCCTCCTCCTTTAATACTTAAGAGATAAACACACAAACAAACCAGCTAAAAAAATTTGCCAAAGCAAGTGGATTTATTATTATAAAAACATATCCAGGAGTCGCCGCCCCTGGAAGAGGCACCACAGACCTCCAAGACACTCATCAGGCTCAGACCACTTTTTCAGGACTGACAGCCAGAGAACGAGAAACAGGCAGGTGGAGCAGGGAGATGGTAAAGCAATGGAGGGGACAGAGCACAGCTCTATGGATGTTTATTCTTAAAGGGCTGTTGTGGATTAAATTGTGTCCCCGCAAAAAGATATGTTGAGGTCCCAACCCCCAGGACCAGAGAATGTGATCTGACTTGGAAGTAGGGTCTTTGCAGATGTAATCAAGTTCAGATGAGGTCATACTAGATTAGGGTGGGCCTTAATACAATGCTGCTGTCCTAAGAAGAGGGAAATTGGACACAGACATACAGGGAGAAGAATACCATGTGAAGACACACAGACACGCGGAGAGAAGGCAGCCGTGGGATGATGAAGGCAGAGATTGGAGTGAGGCAGCTGTGTGTGTGAGGCCAGGGTAAGAGCTGCTGTCACACAGAAGAGGCTGAGGCTCAGGATCGCTGAGGACCTTGTCTTCAGGCCCCCAGCCAGTGGTTGCATTCAAGTGCAGGCTCTATTCCCGCATTTGGAGCCACATCCTTGGGGTGTGTGAGATGAATATTTTAAAAAAGTACTTCATGCTCCTAGCCAGGCGTGGTGGCGCATGCCTATAATCCCAGCTACTCGGGAGGCTGAAGCAGGAAAATCGCTTGGACTCCGGAGGCGGAGGTTGCGATGAGCCGAGATCGCGCCGTTGCACTCCAGCCTGGGCAACAAGAGCAAAACTCCGTCTTTAAAAAAAAAAAAAAAAAAAAAAAAGTGTTTCATGCTCCAAAAAGTCATTAAGGAGAAAAGTGGGGAAGAGATTTCATGGGTATTATTACTTTTCTTTCCAAGATCTGTACCTACCCTTGAGGTTGAGGAGGGGTGGTGACAGGGATGGTTCACATGAATGGAGAAAGTGGCAGGACAAAAGATCTGAGCAGCTTTCAGAGCCCTGACACAGGAGATGAGAAGTCCAGCAATTCACTCCAAGCATCCCTGTTCCTTCCCCTGCTTGGATTTTTTTTTGTTTTTAATGAAAACTCAATTCCCAACAGAAGACAGCTCCCAGCATCTAATAGAGCAGAGAAAAGCAGCACAGAGAACTGCTCATTATGGAATTTTTGAAAGGTCACCCAGCTCCGCTTTTTGTGTATTGAAAGGCAGCGTGCGCACACACAACCCCATGGCTGTGCTTCCGTGCCAGCAACGCAGGTTTGGAACCCATATAGGGTGAGGTGTTTTTTTTTTTTTTAATCATTTAATTCAAAATTGATTCTTGCTGCTTCATAAAATATACATTTACTCTGTGGTGTCTAGATTCTAAAAGATCCTATTGCAATGAATCAGAGAGCCTTTTCATTTTATTTTAATACTATTTTAGGGTATTTTCCTCAAAATCGGGACTGACTAGAAACATTCTCAAAATTAAGTATTTTTAAAGCATCCCACTCTCTACTCTCGGAGATCATTACTGAAAATGTCTTCTCATTTCCCCCTGAAACTGGCATTTTTCTAGACATTCCTCAAGAACAGTGGAGACCAAACGCTCTAACAAAGACCCCTTTCCTGGCTGGGCGCTAGCACGTCCTCTCCTTTGTCTGGGGGCTTTAAGAAAAACCGTGCCCTCCTTAGATCAGGCAACCATTCGGGGAGAGATGTATGGCTTAGGAAGTTGAGTCCTTATTGATGAATAAATCTTAATCCGGTTTGTTGGCTAATTATGCTCCAGGGAAGGTAGTTTCTTGGGCTGCCTAGCAGGAAGGATTAAGCCCCTGTCTCCGGTGGCTCGGGGTTAAGCTCTGGGTTTGTAATGACTGAGTAATGAGACGCGCTCTCTGAGGGCCCCTGGCATCCATCGATCAGGTTTCCCTTCTGCAGAGACAATGCCAGAAGTGGGCCCAGCAGTTAATTACAGGAAAGGTCAAAGGGCACGTAAAACTAACACACATCTATATACTTTTTCATTCCTAACTGCACACAATGACCATGGCTCAGCCAGAGGGTGGGAAGGTTCCCTCCCCTTTCCCACTCTGTGATTCAAGATAACCGTGGGGTTGGAGCTGCTCAGTGACCTCTCCCAGTCCGTTATGTGGCTTCAGACCTCCACACTTTGACTCATGCTGTTCCCTCTGCCTGGAGCTCCTTCCCCTCCACAAACATCTACTCACCTCTGCATCCTGAGCCCCAGCATCACCTCCTCCCTGAAGCTTTTGCTCATCTTCGAGCAGATCTAGCCCCTCCCCCAGCCCAAGCAGGTACTAGCATTATTCTTGCTTGCTTGTGTCTGTGTCCTCTGATGCTGCAAATCCATGAGAACGAGAACTGTGTCCTGTGCAGCTTGAGCCTCAGAAACGAGCAGAGCCCGAGCATGTTCAAAGGCATCCTCTGGGCATTGCATGAATGAACAATCACGACGGTGGCCTTGCTGACCGACTCTCATGACATGTCAGGCAGTCTGCAGGCCCCACACACAGGACTGCCCTGAGAGCTGGGTACCACCATGTCTATCTCACAGCAGCAAACCAAGGCTCAGAGACATTGCCTGTCCTGCCTCAGATCACACAGCAAATGCAAGGGGAGCCAGGAAGGGAGCCAGGCAGCTTGACTTCAGAGTTAGTGATGTCTCTGTCACAAGATCACATAGTCGATGGTTCTATTTACATCAAGTCTCCAGAAAAACCAAATCTGCTGAGAAAAAAAGCAGATGAGAGGTTTCCTAACACTGGAAGGGCTGAAGACTTGCGGGGTGGTAGAGGATGGTCAAGGGGCATGGAGTTTCTTTTTGGAGTAATGAAAAGATTCTAACATTGGACTCGGCAGGGTAGCTCACGCCTGTAATCCCAGCACTTTGGGAGGCTGAGGCGGGTGGATCACCTGAGGTCAGGAGTTCGAGACCAGCCTGGCCAACATGTGAAACCCTGTCTCTACTAAAAATACAAAAAATTAGCCAGGCATGGTGGTGCATGCCTGTAATCCCAGCTACTCGGGAGGCTGAGGCAGAAGAATCACTTGAACCCGGGAGGCGGAGGTTGCAGTGAGCCGAGATCATGCCACTGCACTCCAGCCTGGGCGACAGAGCAAGACTCTGTCTCAAATAAAATAAAATAAAATAAATTAAACAGATACTAACATTGATTGTGGTAGTGGACTGGCAATGTGAATATACTAAAGGCATTGAATTGTATACTTTTAACGAGTGAATTGTATGGTATGTGAATTATATCGCGATAAAGCTGTTTAAAAATAAAAGTCAAACAAGCTAATGCTGTCGGTCTTCTTCTCCTCTGGGCTGGTTGCATCTCCAGGGATCTCTGCCTGGGTGAAGGGAAACCACAAGGAGGTTGGCTCTGAACTGACCTCAAATGCCACCTGCCCAGCTTGGGGTCACAGTGGGGTGTGTTGCTCCCAAGAAGCAGGGGAGATTTCCCACCAAACCGATATGATGAAGACCAGTTAATTATTTCCTTTCTCCCTCAAAAATGCCCTGAAGCCCTTGCTGGGGGCTGCTCCTGGGCTCTGGCATCAGGACTAATGGTTGCTGAGGCAGCCTGGTCAAGTGAAAATGGAGCCGTTGGCGCGTGTGAGATGGAAGCCAGGAGAGACCACAGGGAACCTGCCAGGCTTGAGTCTAGTTCTGCCAGCCCTCAGTCAAGGCCCCTATTCCACCCTCCTGCCAATTACAGGCAGTCATTCCCCCATCCCCTTAGGGAAAGGCCAAGGGGAGGCCCGAGACCCAAAAACTGCAGGCTCTGTGGGGCTGCTCCATAGGCCCAGCCACCTCCAAGCTCAGGAGGACAATCACAAACAAGAAGTTGCCTGAAAACCTGGGCCGGCCCTTAGAATTGGTAAGCTGGATCCTAGAGCACCCTGGATTTTATCAAGGTGTAACTGAGGCCCAAAGAAGGGAGCTGAAAGACAAATCTTAGCAGATCAGGGGCTCATGGCAATTTGAACTCAAGGCTCTCAGCTTGGGCTTCTTTCTCTCATCTCGGGATCCAGCAGTGGGCAGGGCCTGAGCTGGCCTAGTGCAATTCGGTTTCATTCCCTTTCTCTCCGAATCCCCGGGTGGACTTCCTCTCCATTGTAATAAAAATAACAGCAGTGGCAACTCCACACCAGGCACCACCTTGATGGTAACTGGCTTAATCCTCCCTACAGCCAGGCAGAAAGGTCTTCATTTCCCATGGCTCATAGAAAAAGAAACTGAGGCTCAGAAAACTTGTCTTTCCCAAGATCACCCAGCTAGAAGGTGGTGAAGGCAACATTTGAACCTGGGCAGGCTGGTCCCAGACTCTACCTTCCTCACCTTGACACAATTGTCTAGAGAAGACGGCATCTCTGTGAACCAGGAATCTGGGGCCTGCGGGCCTTGTGAAGGATCAGGCCACCTCCCTGCCTTCTTCCCTCCCATGCCAGTGCTGTCCTGGGCCAGGCCCCTTGCCCTTAGCCTGGACCCTGGCCACAAGGGGCTGCCAGCCTGGAGCGGGGAATGACTCAGATACAGATGCCCACAAACTCTCGTGCTCCTGCCTACAGACTGGCCAGGACCAGGTCTGCCCGCAGGGCTGGCAGTGGGAAGGGACAGTTGGCTAAGCCCCACTGAAGCCCACCCCTCAAGCTGACAGACTGAGGCCAGCATTGGGCGCCATGGAAACGAGGAGCACCCTGAGGAAGGAGCTGCCCACAGCGAGGGTCCCAGGGGCCTGAGATCTCCTGCCCCTGCTGAACTCTGATGTCAGGATGCAAAGGCCGGAGAGGCCCACAGACTTGGCCCAGGCCACATAGGGCTGGGACCCGGTCTCCATGGACACACTCCCAGCTCCACTTCCCTCTGTACGAGAGGCAGGAGGTCTAGACAGAAGACATGGGGGTTCCTGGAGAGAGGGGTGCACCTTGAAGACCCTGGAGGGAGTGGGGAGTGATCAACGCCAGCAGCTGCTGTTAACCTAGGCCAGGCGTCCAACCAGCTGGCTGGGGTTTTACACTCTTTCTAGCCAGAGGCTGCAGCCCTGGCCCATCTGGAAGCCTGTCTTGGAGCACCCTCTGAGACCTCCTGACCTTGCCCGTTCACACAAGGCCCCGAGTCCTCTTTGTCTCAAAGCCTTTAGGGAAGGCCATCATCCATTTCAGTAGCATTCAAAGGCACACAAGTCCACGGTTTATTTTCTTAGAAATAATGGTTTTTGCTGGTTAGCATTCCTCTGATGGAAAAACAAATACAGCCACTGTAATAAGAAGCGGCTAAGAGGAGGCGAGAGGGCCCAGAGGAAGGGGGCAGAGAGGGGCTGCTGCCTGGGGAGCTGGAGGACATGGAGGGTGGGAGGTGGGGGCAGAGACCCCTAACCCTGGGAGAAATGGGGAATTAGAGAAAAAAAAAAAACCAACATGCAGATACTGGTGCAGCCTTCAACACATTCTCACAGACAGCGAGGCCCCTTCCCTCCTCAAATCTCTACTCAAATGCACATTCTGTAAGGCAGGTGTTGTGGCTCCCATGTGATGGATGAGGAAACCAGGGCTCAGAATGGTTAAGTCACCGCTGGCTCACGGAGTTAGGAGGGACCAAAATGCAGACCTCTAAATCCTTGCTACAAATGCTTCCATTGACCATCACAGCTGGAAGGAGCATCAGAGACCTGCTTCTGCTATGCTTTTCTAACCTAGCCCAGAGGACACCTCCTCTAAGAAGCCCTCCTGAATTTCTTCCCCTCCTCAGGCAGAGATATACACTTTCTCTACTTCATCCTGTCTTGTTTGTATTTTCATTGCTGCACTTTCCACATCCTGTTATGATCACATCTTTTCCAATCTGTGTCTCCCACAAGGCAGGTCAAAGGCAGGAAACATGTTTTGGCCCCAGCACCAAGCTTGACACAGAGTAGGTGCTCAGTGAACATTCTTGATACTCAACTGAATCCAGTCCAGTGCACACACATTTTACGGATGGGCAAACTGAGGCTCAGGGGTGAACTTGCCTCCAGTGTTTAAATGCAGTAGCATGAGCTTTTTATTTTTCCTCCTAAAAGTGGTCATTGGCTCCAAGAACTCTGTAAGAGGCCTAAACTCTGCAGCAGAGCTGGCAAGCAACATTGCCTAATTGCTAGCTGACAGCAACTTGGAATTTTAAGTTATATCCAATTTCTTCCTTCCTGCTGGTCTGCTTGGACTTGAGCACTTTCATCTTCGGCAGAGCACACGTTAGCATGCATAATTGCATGTTTTAAGACTTGAAGGAGAAGAATTTCCCCTTCTCTCCCCGCTGAGCCTCCCACCGCCTACTGCCTTTCCTGGCCTCCCAAAAAGCAGGATTTTATCTGGAGTTTCAATAAAGTGTGTAATAATGATGATGAAAATGATTTAATAAGGTCATGGACATTATTTCCTAAGAAGGCCAAATTGGTTTTAAGATTTTGTTTTTCTGATGTTAAACTAAATGGATCACTGAGTATGTTACTAGGAATTTTGTTAAAACATTTTAATAACATGCTCTGTAATCTACCTAACTTCAGTGATTGACAAGTAGACGCCGGGGATATAAAATTCAGGAAGTGATTATTTACATTCATTACATACATGCTAATTTTGTGATATCTGATGGCCATAAGGTTGTCATGTTTTTCCTTTTCACACAAAAAGAGGAACATAGCAATATATTTGATATACTGTGGCCCAAACAACAAAGTTATTTCCCCCAAGAGTTTTAATTATAGCATTTTGGAAAAGGCCCGAGTTGGAACTTGCAAGTGGAATAAACCACTTGAATAAATGGTTTAAAAAATTAAGTACACATAGAAGGGGTGATGTGTACTGTTGGTTCAGACTAAACAGTGATTATCAGGAGGGTCTTAGTTATTTAAACAAGCCATTTGAGGGCGGTTTGCTCCTCGTTTGGGGCCTGGTCCTGATTATAAACGAGAGCTTTTAATTAAGATTAGTAGGACCCAATTCAAGCTATAATTTGGTCCTTTTCCCTCGCAAATGTCTATGAAAACAAGGCAATTAAGGTTAAATGAGTTGAAGCATTTAAAGGGGGTGAAATGCCCCTTCCTCACCCCCAGCCTGCCCCCTCAGCAGAATAAGCACAAACAGGCCTGGTTAATTCGGACCAGGAGGCCAGTGTGGGACTGGCCTGGTGGCTTCTGAAAGGCCCATGCCCCAGGGGCCGGATGAGCCGGGGATGAACACGCTTAGTTAAACGGAGAGGCAAGAGGAAACGGGGTGTGCAAAGGTCCAGAGGTAGGAACAAGCTGGCAAGTTTGAGGAACTAAAAAAAGACAGTGAGGCTGGGTGGGGAGGGATGGATAAAAAATGGCCGGGTGCGGTGGCTCATGCCTATAATCCCAGCACTTTGGGAGGCTGAGGCAGGAGGATCACTTGAGGTCAGGAGTTCGAGACCAACCTGGCCAACATGGTGAAACCCCATCTCTACTAAAAATACAAAAAACTAGCTGGGCATGGTGGTGCGCACCTGTAGTCCCAGGTACTTGGGAGGCTGAGGTATGAGAATCCCTTGAAACTAGGAGGCGGAGGTTGCAGTGAGCCGAGATTGAGCCACTGAACTCCAGCCTGGTGACAAAGCAAGACTTCATCTCAAAAACAAACAGAAATAACAATAATAGCTCCCAACACAGCGAGGCCCCAACTCTAAAATAAATCAAAATAATAACGGTATCACAAATGGTAGCTTCCAGCCCCTCCCATTCCCAGGTCCTGTCTCAGACCAGCCAGCAGCAGCAAGGGAGCGAGTCCGTGTAGAAGCAGAGGGGCTGTACAGCTCCCTCGATCCCTCCATAGTGCAGGAGCCTCCCCTAATGCTTTCCCATGGGCTGATGGGGGCCTGGCCTGATGCTGGGACCCCTTGGCTGGTGGGGGACGAAACCCAGGCCCTGCTCCCTCTCAGCTGGGAGGCCTGGCTAGAGACAGACCTCTCTGGACCCAGTTTCCCCAGGCGAATTCTGCCATCGGTCCACACCAGTTATCCTCAGACTAGCTCTCTCTCTGTGCAAGCCTCTGCTTCCTCATCTGTAGAACGCTCAGAGTCTGTGAGGTTCTGGAGGCCTTCCTGGGTCCTCCCAGCATGGATAAGGGTCATTCACTGTCCACCGACACCAGCTCTGGGCCCAGCCCTGAGGGAAGTTACATGGGTCCTCACAACCTAGTGTGACAGGAGCACTGAGGGAGGATGTTCACAGCTGATAACTCCCCTGTCTGGGGGACCAGAGATGGCTTCCTGGAGGAGGTGACCCTGTCATCCAGCAAATGCCTTCCACACCCTGTGCCAGGCCCAGTCCCTAGCTTCCAGGGATGGGAGCTGACAGGTCCCAGATCCGGTCTTTGAGGAGCTCACATTCCAGGAGGAGACGTGGGAAAACCTAAGTGCAGTGTGGCATGGGCTAAAATGGTGGTGTGTATGGACCTGGGGTGAGCTGCAAAGAGGGGTGGCAGCTGTCACTCACGGGGACTGCCTCAACGCCCTTCGAAGTTTCTTCCAACTCCACACAGCCAGGACTTTGCCTCAAGGCACTTCAGATTCAATCAAGAAAACAGTGCTTTATCTCCAGCCCTGCTCAGAGCCTTTCCCGGCTGTCTGAGGCACTCACCTGTCTGGCTACAGCAAGCCCTCTACCGGCATTAGGCTGACCGCAGGGGGCCCCAGGCCACTCCTGGACACAGATGCAACATGTCTCCACATGTGGAGGCTATGCCATCATCACACATGTCCACTGGCCATAAGACAAGTTGCCCTTGAAGGTGGGAAGAGAAACTGTTCCCAGAATGGGGGGCAGGTGGCCTCCAGGGCTGGATTTGCTAACAGGGATTTCTCAAGCAGCAGAAGTTTCAAGGTGACCTGGTGAAGTGGGTAAGAGGCTCGGTCAGCCTCACATCGGGCTTCCCACAATCCAGGCTCGGGTTGTGAAAATGATAGAGAAAGTACATTTCGGGCACTGATTAGTTGGTAAAGACAAATCTTACAGTCCCTATGGGACAGCCAGTTAAAAGCAGGCAGTATCACCCAGCGGTCAAGAGGAGAGACCTTCGGAACTGCCGGTTTGGGGCTTAAATTCTAGCTCTCCTCTATCAACTGTGTAACCTTTGGCCAGTCACTTTACCTCTCCATGCCTCAGTTTCCTCACTTGAAAAATGGAAGGCATAGTCCCTATCTGGTAGGGTTCTTGAGAGGATTAAATGAGATCATGGACGTGGAACATGTAGCAGGGTGTCTGGAAGCAAACACTCAACATGGTGGTGAAGAACTGGGGAGAATGTGGCAGCCATGTCCTCGGGGCATGCTCTGCTGAGAGTCCATCCTTTATTCTTATCACAGCAAAGAGCACAGTCAGTGAGATCTGCAGGACAGGGGGCTCACTGCCTCCAAGACTCCAACCCCAGCCTTGGCAGAACCCTACTCCAGCTCAGGACCTGCAGATGCAGGAACCCAGGGAGGGAAAGCAAGTTTCATCTACTGCAAAAATGACTGGAGGGTGCGGTAATTGATTATTAATGTCTGCTATGGCAGAAGGTGATGGCATATTTGCCATCCCCGAAGTAGGCTTAGTTGAACAAAGGAAAGTCTTCTTTCCTAAGTGTTTCTTATTGTATGTTCTTGATAAGCAGCCATCTGTGAATGACACACCTGACTGTTCACCTCTGTGGGGATATAAGTATATGCATATGGTTTATATGAACAGTCGATGAACCAGAATACCTCATTTCCCAACCATTTTAGGTCCCAGGAATTGTTGGAAAAGACAAAGCTTTAGTTCTTTCACATCTTGAACAACACTGTGATCATTGACATCAACATAGTGACGATGATGATGATCAGATACATCATCATCATCTTCTTCAGCACCATCATCATCAATATCACCATCATCATCACCCTCATCAACAGCACCATAACAGCACCATCAACATTATCATCACCACCATCAACATTATCATCACCACCATCAACATTATCATCACCACCATCAACATTATCATCGCCATCAACATTATCATCACCCCCATCACCCTCATCATCAATAGCACCGTCATCATCATCACAGTAAGGGCAGCTAGTGCTTATATACAGCATCATATGTGCCAAGCTATGTTCAAAGGCTTTAAATACATTAACTCATTTAATTCTCACACTATCTGTATGAAATAAGTACTAACATTATGCCTATTTTATAGATAAACAAATGGAGGTTAAATGACTTGCCCAGGCTACACGGGCAGGATTTGAACCCAAGCCATCTGGCACCAAAGTCAATGCTTTAACTCCTAAGCTGACCTTAATAGAGGCTGTTAACACCCTCTTCTCAGAACAGAAAGCCACAGATAGGAATAACCACCTGCAGAAACACAGTGTGGAGAAACAGGTCTGTCAAACCTGGGCTCTAGTCCCCACCCAGGAAAGACCCTGCCCCCTCAGGCCTCCATTTTTCCATCTGTAAACCAAGGATGTGAACATCTGGATGGTTTCCCAGCTCCCTCAGGCCACTGCTGCACATGGTGCCCCTTCAGATTTCAGAGCCCCCAGTTGTCTCTCCATAGTCCTCCCAGAGAAGCCAGCAGGGATCTGATGGTTCTCCGTGTTTATGTGTTGGGGGTATGAGGTATATATGTGAGCACTCTGGCAGGCTGACTTGATTCAAATTGATGACTGTAAGTAGGTCCCCAGGGATGAGAAAACCAGAGTGCTAAAAGAACAGGGTCTACACAGGCCTCCAGAATCCATGCCAACACTCACTCACTGAGGGTTTAGGAAGCCCATAACCAAACGATGTCCTCCTTTTGGTTCCTAACAATTGTTCTCATACTGTTAACATGGCAACTCAACAGACACTGATTCATGACCCATGCTACCCTAAGTCTGTTATCAGGAATTTCCAGCTCATGCAGCCCCACCAGACCACAAGCTTCTGGAGACCAAGGACTATGTTGCACCATAACTATCACCTCCCAGGTATGCAGAACTGAGCAATTTTCAAAGGTCTTCACCATTCATAGTCTCATTTGAGCCTGAAACTACTTTGACAGCTAGTGAGAACAGGTGATGATGATGATGATGATGATGATGGTGATGATGATGGTGATGGTGATGGTGATGATGATGGTGATGATGATGATGATGGTGATGATGATGGTGATGATGATAATGATGATGGTGGTGATGATGGTGATGGTGATGATGGTGATGGTGATGTTGGTGGTGATGATAATGATGATGGTGATGATGGTGGTGATGATGATGGTGATGAAGATGATAATGATGATGGTGATGATGATGATGGTGATGATGATGATAATGATGATGGTGATAATGCAGATGATGATAATGACAGGATCATGGTGAAGACTTTGCCATCTGTATATGGAGCACACTCTACGGAATGAGTGCCTACTGTGTATTGGATGCCAGCCCCCAGTGCACTATACTGTGCCTCACTCAATCTTCAGGCTGACCTGTGATGGGGAGTATTTTTGGCCCGCACAACCAAAGGAGAAACTAAGGCTCAGTGAGGGCAAGTTACCACCCAGATGTTCACATGAGAGGTGGGTTGCAACCCAGGCTCCCCTCGAAGAGACCAGCCTTGTCTCTGCTTTCCTCTGTCTCATTGCACAGGGTCAAGATGACACCAGGGCCAGAACGAGCCCTTCCACAGACCCCACACTCCGCACTCCCCTCTGTGGATATCTTACAGGTTGCTCATCTAATGTGAAGTCCTGTCCGGGCAAAGGAGAGCCAACTCAGACTAAATGTTTTCTGCAGACCCGCGCTAGTGCCAGGCCCTGCCCCGTGAGCTGGGAACACGGCTACAAATGTAAAAGAACCTCTAATTGAGGAGCTCACTGGGAGCTCCTGGGGGCATGGCCTGAGTTTGACAGCTTCGGTATGGTGGCCCTTACAGCAAGCTTATGGTGGGCCCTCAATAAATGAGCTCACAGTTCTGTGGGGGACCAAGACAAGTAATTATGACCTAGAGTCAGAAGTGTGATGATGGAGGGAAGCCCAGAAGCCTCTGGGAGCAGGGTAGGTACCCATTGCAGTCTAGCATGCATGTGTGTGCACGTGTAAGTGTGTGTATATAAGTGGAGGTATCAGAGAAGGCTTCCTGGAGGAGGCAAACCTAAAGAATGATTAGCCTTCAGATTTAGACAGGATACAGAAAGAAGGTAAGGAGCTCCAGGCAGGCGGAAAATCTGAGCTGGGGCTCACAAACATAGAGCAACCAAGTGTGTGTGCATGCATGTGTGTCTGTGTGTATGTCTGTGTGTGTGTGTGTGTGTCTGTGTGTGCATGCATGTGCCAGGACAGAGGTGTTGTTCAGTGTTTCAGGATGTGAAGGGTGGAGGCCCGAATTTGGCTGGAGAGATAGGGAGACCCCTGGCAGTTCCCGAAGCACATTCACAAGCCTCCTCTTGTCTCATCTTCATACCCAGCAGGACAAAACAATTTCCTTTTCTAGCAGGTGAGAACATGAAGCCTACAGAGCCAGTGAGCAGCAGAGCTGGGCTTGGGACAAAAGTCTGACTCCTAACTCGGGGGTCAAGCAGAGTAAGGAGTTAAAGCTGAACTCCGAAAAATTTTAGGGAAACAGGTAAGGCCTCCCGGGCAGGGGACAGCAGGAGAGGGCCTAAGGAGGAGCTGGGCTTGGGAAGGAAGAGGCCAGGTCAGTGGCTTAAACCAGCAGAGATAGGGGGGTCAACCATGGCCCCGCCTTTCCGGGACACTGGGTCTGGAAGGCAGAGTAGAGGGTCAGAAAGCGGTCACACCAGCCTCACATGTACCACTCGAACCAGCGAGCTAACCTCTGGCCCTGCCAGCAGCCGGGCCAGCCGCCCCACCAGGCTTCTCACTCATGGCCTCCTCTGTGTGCCTCCAGCCTGGCCTCCTTCCAGAGGTCTGTGGGTAGGCGCCAGCTCCCCACTTTGGGTTCTGGGCCCTGAGCGTGCCAGGAATATTACCCAACCAGGCATGATCCAGGGCGATGTCATCTGCCCAGCACTCAGCCTTAAATAAATGCTCAACAAATGTGAAGGATAAACACCACCAGCATCCCAGGGAGGAGTGGCTGCATCGCCCACAAAACTCTAGCCCTGTAAACGCCTTATACAGAAAGAGCAGGGACCCATCCTGTGCTCCCATGTCACTTTCCTAATACAAATATCAAACTTGGAAAAATTCAGCTGGCAGGGCCCAGGGAGAAGAAAACTAGCTGCCAGAGTTGTTGAGTGGGAGTTACAAGACCTGGATTTCAGTCCTTGTCATATCACTGTGAACATGGGAATCTTGCAAAAGATGCTTCTCCTGTCTGAGCCTCAGCTTTCCTCATTTATACGATGGGTGCAGACAGGGAAGACTGGGATCAGTGATCCCATCCAGGGGTGTCTGTCTGTCTCGGAGAGAGCTATTTCCAGCCCCCAGATGCCCAGTCCTGCCCCAGACCCATGGGGTGAGGACGGCCATGCAGACTCTCATGGACAAAAGCTCCAAAGGTTCCAATGGGCTTGCAGAGTCCTGGCACCAAACACAGCCAGAGCTGCTCTTTTCTCTCTAACTTTTAGCCTGCTGGGGAGGCAGTTTTTAATAGCAGGAGGGCTAACCAGCACCCCAGGTGCAGGGCAGAAAGGCTGGAGAGACAGATGGCACAAATCCACCAGTGTCTGTCCAAGCACTGGAACTTGAGACAGAGACCTACAGGGTGGTTTTGAACTTGACGTTAGGGACTCTGGGGGTCGGGGGGCAAGCCCAGGTCTTTGCACTCCACCCCCATATAGCCAGTCAAGGACAGATGCACAAATACCTCATTCAATGCTTCATCTTAATTTCTTTTTCTTTCTTTTCTTTTTTTTTGAGACAGAGTCTTGCTCTGTCGCCCAAGCTGGAGTGCAGTGGCGCCATCTCGGCTCACTGCAACCTCTGCCTCCTGGGTTCAAGTGATTCTCCTGCCTCAGCTTCACGAGTAGCTGAGATTATAGGCATGCACCACCACGCTCGGCTAACTTTTTTTGTATTTGTTGTATTTTCAGTAGAGATGGGGTTTTGCCATGTTGGCCAGGCTGGTCTCAAACTCTTGACCTCAGGTAATCTGCCTGCCTCGGTCTCCCAAAGTGCTGGGATTACAGACGTGAGCCACCGCACCCAGCCAATTTCTTAAAAAGAACAAAAAGTTTCAAGCCCAGTTGAGAATCAGGCACCCCATGACTCTAACTCCACCCTTCCAGGGAAGCAGCCGGCATTTCCGAAAAGTTCACTGCCTCCCTCCTGAGGCTGAGAGAAGCCTGTGCTGTCAGCAACCACAATGGTGGTGCTGGAGGCTCAGCCCCAGCTGGTGATGAATGGGGCAGGCATCGGCCACCTACAGCAGCCCTGGCAGCCTCAGGGTCTGCCCGGGAGGGCCGGGCTGGACTCACCTTCACACTGCTTGCCTTCCCCCTTGTAGCCTGGCTTGCAGAGGCATTTGTAGGACTTGGGCGTGTTCTGACAGATGGCATCGATGTGGCAGTCATCTGTGCCCTCTGAGCACTCATCCACGTCGACTGACCCTGTGGGTAGGGGTGTGGGGGGAATAAGAGGTAAGGTGTGGCCCCAGGGCAGGTGGCCGATAGTGTAGGGCAGGGGGAGCTCTTGCCTTTGCCCGTCCATTGATCGGTGGGCTCATTGGCAATAACAGCTGTCACAGGACAATCTGGTGTGACAAGTGGCAACTGGTAGCATCTTTGGCGCAGCTACTCTGTGGCAGGGACAATGCTATCAATACGCTTGGCCTTATTTATTGTCGCAACCATCCCATTGAGCTATTGTTCTGCTAAAAAGATGAGAAAACTGAGGCTTAAGGAGACAGTGAGGAAGAACCTCCTCCTCCGTCTGTCCTACTCCCCCAACAAGCATCACTCCAGCCCTCCCCTACTCTCCTCACTCTATCCCCTACTCTCCTTACTCTATCCCCCCACAAGCATCACTCCAGCCCTCCCCCATTCTCCTCACTCTATCCCCCCACAAGCATTGCTCCAACCCTCCCCCACTCTCCTCATTCTACCCCCCACAAGCATAGCTCCAACCCTCCCCCCACTCTCCTCATTCTATCCCCCCACAAGCATTGCTTCAACCCTCCCCCACTCTCCTCATTCTATCCCCCCACAAGCATCACTCCAGCCCTCCCCTACTCTCCTCACTATCCCCCCACAAGCATCACTCCAACCCTCCCCTACTCTCCTCATTCTACCCCCCCAACAAGCATAGCTCCAACCCTCCCCCCACTCTCCTCATTCTACCCCCCCCAAAGCATAGCTCCAACCCTCCCCCCACTCTCCTCATTCTAGAATTTAGA
Organism: Homo sapiens; assembly: GCF_000001405.40. Taxonomy (NCBI): domain Eukaryota; kingdom Metazoa; phylum Chordata; class Mammalia; order Primates; family Hominidae; genus Homo; species Homo sapiens. The sequence goes on from NC_000022.11 coordinate 43,340,021, forward strand.
GCCAGAAGGGTCCTTGGAGGAGTTTAAATCTAGTCCCTTTGGGTTCCAGATGGGGACACCAAGGCCATGCCAGGAGGCTCCTGCAGGTCACCTGAACGTGGGATCCCACCCTGCCCCTAGCCTGTGGAAACACGGGATTCATCATCTGGCTTCCACGCCCCCACACCAAAGTGTCTGGTGGCAGAACCACACCCTCAACTGGGCTAACCTGAGCCCATCCATGGTTCTGACTCCCCACATGGTCCTCCCTCCTCGGAAATCCACACGTGAACCTGGTTTTCATGTCCCAACTTATAAATGCAAGTTCAGTCTAGGCTTTGAGGGCTCCCGACACTCTCTACCTCCTGCCCCCAACACATATACACTTTCAGTCTGGAACAGCTGTTGGGGCAAATTGTGCAAAATAGATTCTGTGTATCCATTCCATCTATACACCCCAAGCCTCTCTCCTTGTCTCTTTTACACACACACACACACACACACACACACACACACACACACACACACACACAGAGTTCAGGCAGGGAGGGGACGTGCCTCTTGTCGGGCACAGTTCAGCACAGTCAGAGCTGTACCTATAATCCAGGTTGATTCCTCAGGTTATAGATGAGGAAATGAGGCCCAGTGAGGTGAAATCTGTTATGGGTCAGTAGCTCACTGGGGCTGAGACTGGACTCTGACACAGAATGAGCTTTCCTATGTGCCATGTGACTTCTAGCTAGCAATGCATGAAATGTAGACATGACAGACAGACAGAAGGACCCAGGAGTGCAGCAGTGCAAGGAACTCTCAGCAGCTGCCATGAGGGCAGTGCCCCAGGGGTAAGCTTGGAATGTCCCCATCTCTTCATGCCTCTGGTCTCACCTTAGATTGCTGGGTCCCCAAGAGTGTCCACTCTAAATTTCTCCCCTGGATAATATCTGGGTTCGAAATCTGCCAGTGGGGCCTATGAGATCCATGCCCCCCAGGGCTTCTCCTTCTTTGCCCTAGCCCCTAAGTCTCCTGCCCACCCCTGAAGGAAGAGAGGCATCAACAAGAAACACAACAGCATGACCCCCCTGCACACACACACACACACACATGCATGCACGTGTGCGCACACACACGGCAGGTGGCATTGCTTTCCGGGGGGGGCTACCCATCTGCTCAGGTGGGCGGCCTGTCCTAGACAGCTGCCCAGGGGAAGAGTGGAAAGGGGACAAGGAGGCAGGAACTGGAGGGGGCCCAGCCGGCAACTGGATGGCTGGGCCAGCAGGAACATCCATGAGGGCCTTCTGGGGAAGTGGCAACAGAGGGACACTGTGCAGGACTGGCACTGCCTCTAAGGCAGGGACCCAGAGGCCAGAGAGGGCCCATCTCCAGGCTTCTGTTTGGGAGGACTGGGGTCACTTATGAGACAGGACCAGCAGGGGCAGTGGGCCACAGATATGGCTCTTCCCACTTCCCAGGGGCCAGTATGTAGGAATGAGGGGTGGGAGCCCCTTGTGCCCTCACCCCTAATCTCCCACCTAGGCAGGTGTCTTCACTGGAATGGAAATGGATGGATGTTGATGAGGGGTGGGTGGAGCTATCTCCCAACACACCTTTAAACACTTGGGTGTCCTTGGTGTGGAGTGTGGGGAGAGGACATGGGAGTTTGAGGAGAGAGAGGGAGAAGCCACTTGTCCCCATCGGTTCTCTGCCATGCTCCCGCTCCTGTCTGGGCTGGAGACTCCCCTGCAGGGCGACCCAGCCCTCCTAGCACAGGCTGCTCCCTTTGACTCTGGTTTGCTTATGCTGGGGACATGCTGCTGGGGTTTCACAGTCACAGGGCTTCCACGGAGAGGGTCGTGGAGGAGACAGAGTCAGATACAGAGAGACACGAGGAGGGACACAGGTGGGGATAGGCACGCCCAGGAACAGTCACTCAGAGGTGAGGGACCCCAAAGCTTGGGAGAGACACCCACAGACACAAGGGGGATGATGGGGCAGCAGGGCTGGGCTTCCAGGAGGGGTGTTGCTGTGGAAGAGTCTCACAGGCCCAGCATCCTCACTCGGGGCACGCGGGACCACCAGGAATAGACCCTACGCCACCCATACCAGACCTCAGGAAGCCGGGAAGGACGTGCAGGACCCTCCCCCTGCCTCCCCCTCCAAGCAGAGCACCGGAGGAAGCGCCTCTGATGACGAGGAGGGGAGAATGTGACTCCAGCTTTTCGGGAAGCCCCTGAAGACAGAGAGCAGGAGGGGACCGGGTGGGAGGGTGGGGGGGTCCCCGTGAAACCCACGGGCCTGGGCCTGTGGCCTCCGGGTCTCCCCCTCCCCTTCCTGGGTCTGCTCCACCGACGTCCCGCGTCCGGACTCTCCTCCCTGTGTCTGTCCTCCGGATCCTCTGCCTTCCTTCCCTCTGTCTTTCCTCCCCGTCCTGTCAGACGGTCCCGGTCCCTCGTCTGCGGCTTTCCAGGTATCTCTGTCCCTCTCTCTTTCCCGGTCTCCCTCTCACCGCCCCCCCCAACCCCGTTTTTCTGCGGCGTCCATCTGTCCCCCGTCTCCTCCTCTCTCTCTCCCTTATCATCGGTGGGACCATCCCTCTTGATTCCCCCTGATCCACCGGCCTCCTCCTCCTTCCCCGGGCGGTGCGGGCCTCCTCTCTACCCTTCCGCATCTGTCTTTTCTCCGGGCTTCCTTTTGTCTGCTCCCTCGGCGCCGGCTCTTCTGTCCGTCTGTCCCGCACCTCCCGCCCCGTCCCGGTCTCTCGGTCCGTCCCTTTCCCCGTCCACCTCCTGGCGTGTCCCCCTCCGCCCGCCCCGCCCCGCGCCCCCTCTCCCAGGAGGAGCGCCCCTCTGCGCTCGGGGTCCCGCCCCGCCCAGGTCCGCACGCGGGGTCCCCGGGAACCGCCGCCTTTCTTCCTCGCTCCCGCGCTCGCGCTTCCCCTCCCGGGGCCCCGGCCCACCCACCCCTGGTGCGGCCCCGCCGGACTCAGGAGCCCCGGCCGCCCGGGCTGCGGGGAGGGGGCGCCCCGGGCCGGCCCTAGAAGTTACTTTGCAAAGAGGCAGGGGGCGCGGGGCCGCGCGGGGCGAGCTCGGGATCCGCGGGGAAGAAGCCCTCCGGGACCGCGCCTCGGCCGCCCGAGCCCCCCGCGCCCGCCGCCCCCCACCTCGGTCGGGGGCTTACCTGGGAGCCCGCTGCCCCCGGCCAGCCGCCCGCGTGTGCCCAGGGCCAGCAGCACGCACAAGTGCCAGCGCACGGCCGCCGCGCCCATGCTCAATGCGGGCCCCGCTGGGCGTGCGGGCGTGCGGGGCGCGGGGACCCGACCGACCGGCCGCTCCCGCAGGCGCTGCTCGCTGCTCGCCGCTCCGCCACCGCTCGGGCTCCCGAGCCGCCCAGCCAGCCCGGCTGATGAGCTGACAGCGCGCGCTCATTGGCCCGTGGCGTCGGAGGGGCGGGGCGTCGCCCAGGGCCGGCCAATGGGCGCCGGCCTCCGGCCCTCCGAGGAAGAGGGGGGCTCGGGCGTCGTCGGGGGGACCCTTCCCCTGGGGCGGGCGGCAGGTGGGGGGTGTGGGCCTGGCCGGCCGGCTCGCTAGGCGCGGGGTCTAGGCCAGGCTGGGGCTGCTTGGAGGCTGCGCCCTCCCCTGCCCGCGGCGCCCCGGCCCCCGCCGTCGAGAGTGGACGCCCCTCTGGGGTAACCCCTCCCGGCCCAGAGGCAGCCTCGGGGGCGGGGATCCTGCGAACCGGGGATCCCGTGAGGTCGCCCGCCATCCGTGGGCAGTGAAACGCGCCAGCGCGCAGAGCAGACTCGCCTGCGCTGCCGTTTGCTGGACGTTTCTTGAGCACCTACTGGGGACCGAGTGCGGGCGAGGCAGCAGCGAAGGAACCGGGAGGGGAAACCTCGTGAAGATCACTTGAAAATTGACGTTCAAAACAAACGAACTTTTTAGCACTCGTCAAAGGACAGTGGCCCGTCAGTGTGCTTGTCACGGGGCGGCCGCAGGACCTGCGTCTGGAACCGGGCGGGCGCCCGGGACGGACAATGCCGCTTGGCGGTCGGTCCCGCGGGAGGCCCCCGCACGGGGCTAACCTCGGCCGGCGAAGTTCGCTGCCCGGAATGCGAGGCCGAGGCCTCCCCCTGTGACAGACCGGGCGGGGCCAGGAGGAGGGGCAGGGCGGGCATCCCGGTCCGAAGACCCAGGAACTGCTCTGGCCTGGCCTGGGGTCTACACCTGACGCCTGGCGAGGGTTGGCTTCGGGTCTGGTCCCACCGGGCCTGGGAGGGACGGGCGGCTGGAAATAAATGGCCCCTCTCAGTTCCAGGCAGGACGCTTTAAGGGACGAAAGTTCAGCAAACCCCAAGGCCCATCTCCTTGACAACCACCAATAAGAGCTCCTTTTTTCTTCTCCTGCTCTCCAGGCCCAACTCAAAGACAACTCTTTTCTCTTTTTGTCCACTCTGCCTGCACCAGTTTGAGCCCCTCCACACCAGCTCCCTTTCCTGCCCCCAACACACACACGCACACACACACACACACACACACACACACACACACACACAGTCACACATGCAGACACATGCTCTCACGTGCAATCACTCAGACACAGCCTCACACCCTCACACCCTCCAGCACACACACGCTCACACATGCTTCTTCACGCCCTCATCCAACCTACCGTAGACGAGCTCCTCAGCCCTGGAAGGTTAAATCTGTGTCCAGCCAGCTCTCACACCCCATCTGACTTCACATCAGCTTGTGGCACGGGCCTGGTGGCTGAGGCAAGGGGTCCCCTACATGGGGATCGGGGGTGTGGGGGGTCCAGAGATGCCCAAAGAAGAAGGAAGCGCTGCCTGTTGTCTCCACTGAGCCCCCACCCCATTGCTCCAGACATTTCGGTCTGCACGGCTGCTCCTGGCTGCTGGTTTAATTTGGGAGATGCTGTTGACAGGCTTTATTTTGTCCCCGTCAATTGTGTAGCTTTGAGTTTCTGCAGGGGGTGGGGAGTTCCCTCAGAACCACATATTATCTTGTGCATTGGGCAACAGGGCAAGCAGTGTGAGGTGGTGGGGGAGGTTCTTCCAGGGGGCTCTGACCTACTTGAAACAATGCCCTCTAATGTGCCTGGTCATTAGGCACCCCCCCGCCCAGCCCTAGCCAGGTGCCCCTCAAGCTTGATGGCAGCAAGAGAAGCTTCTTCCAGGCTCCATCCCCACAAATCAAGGCAGGAATGGAGGCAGGTTACTCTGTGACCCCTCAGCCCAGAGGTAGCTGTCCCTTGTACCAAGTTGTAGTCCCCAGCCTGCCCCCAAGCGATTGCTCAGGTCAAGTTTGCTGGTGAATTATCACCCTCTAAGGTGTGCAGGCAGAGAGAAAGTGGTTCCTTCTAGGCAGCTGTTGTCTATGTGGAGGACTCAGCGAGCAGAGGAGGAGGGAAATGGAGAGAAGACACACCTGTAAGCCCCTCACAGGTGAAGGAAAGGAGGCGGCCTGTGGAGCAGAGAAAGAGGAGGTCACTTCTGCCCCAGGGCGCCGTCAGGGAGGCCTCTTAGGACAGGTGACCTGGGCTAGACACAGAACATAAAGAGGATATTTGCCTAATGGATGAGAAGAACAAATAGAGAATCTGCCAAGGTCCATGAGTGAAGGCGAGGACTGAATAAGTGAGCCAGAGAATGTTCTGGAAGCATCTTGAAAACTGCAGAGCACTGTATGCACATGACAGTGATGTGCTGGAGGGCTGCGTGCAGAAACGGATGAGTCTGTTTTGCACTGCGGTGGGCTGGCAGGTGGGAACCCATAGCCAGGCCTCCAGCACGGGATGGCTTGGAACCTCTGGATGCCAAGCTGGGATAGTGGAGGCCGAAGGCTGCTGAATTGCACAGTGACTTTGGCAGGGAGCACACTATGGCTCCTGTCACCTCCAAATGACCTATGAGCTCTCTGTGTTGCAAACAAGTCATCTCTTACCCCTTTGGGATGTAAGGGATGACTCAGCTTTATGTTCTGTCATCTTTCTAACGGTCCCTAGCCTCACCAAACTGCTGCAAAGGGAACCCCACAGCTGTCCTATTTTTCACACCCCAGAGCCTGCACCCTTTCCCCTGCCAGGAGCACCCTTGGTTTCCCTTCTTCACAGGGCCCACCCCTCCTCTTCTGCCCATACCCTGACCCCTGCCTCCAGCTGGGTGTGAGGCTTCCTCTGGGCTTCCGCAGTCCCCTGGAGTTACCTCATCAGAGCTTGGCTCGCTCTGGGTTTTACCTCTGTCTTCTCCTAGACTGGGGGTTCTCGAGGGCAGGGCTTGCAGCTGATCTATATCTGAGGCCACAGCTCCTAGTTGGGGCCTAAGAAATTATTGCTAAATTAGTGAATGAACGAACAAAGAGACAAGGCAGACATCATTTAACTGATCATTCTTATTGCTCCAGGAAAAAGGAACAATAAGCCAAAGGAGGATTTAAGCCAAATCTTTGGCTATTTGACAGGGTCTTGAGAGTGAATCCAACTGCCTACTCCGTCCTGCCCACCTCCACGTCTGTGCCTCGGTGGGGAAGCTGGTCCAACCAGTAGGATGGCAGTCGTCAGGGGCCCAGAGTGGCTGACCTGGGGCCCTTTGGCTCCCCCTGGTGACGCCTCACACAGGTCTCAGTGGAAGAGGAGGGAAGGAAGCTCCCCTCTTGCTTCCTTCCAGGTACACCCTCTCGGACCCAACCCCAGCGGCCGACCCCAGTCCTCAGCACTGGGAAAGCCAGAGGCCCTGGACCCGGCAGGTCTGCTCTCAGACCACACCCTGTAACCTTAGCTAAATCTACTGACATCTCTGTGGGTTCAGGTTCCTCCTCTGTATAGGTGACCTACCTCTTAGAGTTGTCGGGAAGATTCAACACAGCAGAAATGGTGTGGAAGCTCTCCAAACCTCAGTTTTCTCATCAGTAAAATGAGAGTGATGCTAGCTAGTGTTTTTCACTCACCCGTGGGGAGGATTCAGTGAGATCTTGTACATAAAGCCCTTAGGACATGCGATGATTATTCTTACTACTACTATCACTACTGCTAGTACTGGTACTGTTACTAATAGTAGCAGATGGTAGTAATATACAACCAGTTAAGAACACTTCACAATTTAAAAACTTCCTCATGAAGAATTCTCTTGCTTAATAATAGTTGTGGAAGTTCTTTCAGAAAATAAATTTCTTTGCCAGCATAAAATGTCATTACATAGATGTCAAGCTTCCATATTGATTCCTTTAAATGCTTTTGTCATCCTTTCTGTCTCTCTGTCTCTCTTTTTTTTTTTTTTTTTGAGACCCAGTCTCGCTCTGTCGCCCAGGCTGGAGTGCAATGGCGCAATCTTGGCTCACTGCGACCTCCGCCTCCCACGTTCAAGTAATTTTTGTGCCTCAGCCTCCCGAGTAGCTGAGATTACAGGCACACACCACCACGCCCAGCTATTTTTTGTGTGTGTGTGTGTGTTTTTAGTAGAGACGGGGTTTCACCACTTTGCCAGGCTGGTCTCCAACTCCTGAGCTCAGGCAATACACCCACTTCCGTCTCCCAAAGTGCTGGGATTACAGGCGTGAGCCACTGCACCCAGCCATCCTTTTTTTTTTTTTTAATTAAAAGTGAAATTGCATAATAGCCTCCTCTGGTTGCACATGTTTTTAGACCTTTGAGGGTAGACTTTTGCAATCCCTAAATGACCTTCGGCCACACAGGCCCATTTCTTGGCCTGACCTGTCAAGTGAGGGTCTTAGTTCCCAGGAACCCACGTTCCAGATTCTGAGACGTCCCACCTGAGTTGTGTCACCCAGCATATTCTGACCTGTTGCTGCTGTCTCCTTCCGGGGGGGTAACAATAGTTGACGTGTGTTGAGCATTATATATACCAGACACTCTGCTGAGATGTCCCGGGCGTTATATCTTCTAAGCTTGTGAGCCATCTCTGCTTCACACCTGCAGAGATGGGGACTCAGGCTGCCTGCCCAGGATCCCAGAGCTAGTAAGTGGCAGAGGTGGGATTTGAACCCAGGTCTGTGTGACCCCCCATGGCACACTCTTAACCATTCTTCTTTAATGAAACACACTCAGAGACTCAAAGGGCTGAGGGGCGTGGGGGTGGTAGGGCACTCCTGGCTGTAATGCTTCAAGTTTTACTTTTTTAGTTTAGATATTGAGAAAAGTGGTTTTCACATAGTGGCTGACAGTGTTTGAATTTGTGTTCCCACCTCTGCTAGTCTGTTTTCATCCTGCTGATAAAGGCATACCTGAGACTGGGCAATTTACAAAAGAAAGAGGTTTAATTGGACTTACAATTCCATGTGGCTGGGGAAGCCTCACAATCATGGTGTAAGGCAAAGAGGAGCAAGTCCCATCTTACATGGATGGCAGCAGGCAAAAAGAGAATGAGGAAGATGCAAAAGCGGAAACCCCTGATAAAACCATCAGATCTCATGAGACTTATTCACTACCATGAGAACAACATGGGGGAACTACCCCCATGATTCAATTATCTCCCACTGGGTCCCTCCTGCAACACGTGGGAATTATGGGAGTACGTTTCAAGATGAGATTTGGGTGGGGACACAGCCAAACCAGATCACCACCCAAATCTCATGTCCAATTGTAATCCCCAATGTGGGAAGAGGAAAGGCCTGACGGGAGGTGATTGGATCATGGGGGCGGATTTCCCCCTGGCTGTTCTCATGATAGTGAGTGAGTTACCACGAGATCTCCTTGTTTAAAAGTGTGTAGCACCTTCCCCCTTGCACTCTTCCTCCTGCTCCTACAATGTGAGACGAGCCTGCTTCCCCTTCGCCTTCCGCCATGATTGTAAGTTTCCTGAGGCCTTCCCAGCCATGCTTCCTGTACAGCCTGCAGAATTGTGAGCCAATTAAACCTCTTTTCTTTATAAATTACCCAGTCTCAGGTAGTTCTTTCTAGCAATGCAAGAACAGACTAATACAGTGGTCAAATTGTAACAGTTCATAACTCACAGGGTTGGTTTTAGGGATGACTCAGTTTTATGTTTTCTCATCTTTCTAACAGTCCCCAAATCTGTTGGAACCGCCCTTCCACATGCCAAGGAGACACAAAAGACGAGACAACACCAAGAAGGACTTCCCGGAGTCTTCCAGCGGGAGCTGGAGGATTAGCTGCTTTTCCCTTGTAGCCACACCACGTGGAGCCTTGCAGTGTACCAGGCACACCTCCACCCATTGCCTCATGGCTGCAAGTTCATGGACACATTTACAGGAAAAGCTGCAGATCAATCCTAGAGATAGCCCAGCCTATGCTCTTCATTTGACAGCTGGGGAAACTGAGGCCCAGCCTCATAGATCTGCTGTCCCTTGGACACATCCATTTGGAGCCCCCTCAGGCACCTAAAGTCCACCAAGTGGGCCCTCAGCTCCTCCTGCCCAAGCCTGCTTCTCTCAGGACTCCCAGCTGGGGTTGGAGGATGCCTCTCATCTCCTCTCTCCACTCCCCACCCCTTGTCAGCACTGTGTTCGTAACCTCTCCTCTCTATCCCCTCGCCCACTGGCACCAGCTCTCACCCACTGAGACTCAAACTCATAACACCAGAGTAGCTAGAGGCAGCTCTCAAAGGGCTTGCCTGACCTCGCCAGTCCCTGCCGCCAGTAGGACAAAATCCACTCAAGACCCTTGGACATGGTGCTCTGTGGGCCTCTCCATCCTCACCTGCTGTCTGGTAAACTCCCACGCTTCATCTCTACCCCACGCCTCTGAGCCACAGCTCACTCCATTCCCTCTTGTTGTGATGCCCTTCCCCATCCGCTGCCTCTGGAAGACAGACTCAGGCTCAGCTCAGGGGCCCTGTTTTCGGGCACCAGCCTCTGTGCTGAGCCCCATTTGTGCCCGGCGTGCCCCTCCACCATGAGCACCGGGAGAGTGTTGAAACCTGGAACCTGTCGGCCTGTCGACGTCTTCCCGCTTAGATCAAAATGTTGTGGTATACCCAGTGTACAGCTTAGTTAGACATCCTGGGCACCTAGTATCCCTTCCACGTGTCAACCCAAGCCCTCAGAAGTGAACAGGTGACTGGCTGAGCCATTCATTGTAATCTACCTCCTAGCCATGTAGACAGGGACACACAATGGCGCCACACCAGTGAGATGCCTTCCTTGGGATTCTCTAGGTGGAGCTGGATGTGTGTGTGGGGTGTCTTCATTCCTGTGTGGGTATGAAGCAGTAAGGGACTGGTGGCCAGAGCTGCCTGTCACTGTGGTCCTACCATTGTGTGGACGGCTTGCCTGGAGGAATGGATCCGCCAGTCAGAGAGAGGCAGAGAGGAGAGTTGGAGAGGGAAAGAGGAGAGAGAGAGAAAGTAGAGAAGGAGGGGAAAGGAGGAATGCGACACTGTTTGAGGCCCTAGTTGAGTCATCTCTTCTGCTCTTAAGACAGTTATGTTGGTTTCTGCCACTTGCAGCCAAAAAAGTCCTGCTCAATCATTGCACGGAGGGGTGGGGGGGTGGGGGGTGCTTCTGTGAAATAACGCCATTGACAAATAACAGACATGCCAGCCCTTGTCCTAAACACTTCACATATATTACAACCCTACTGGCACTAGTTGAGGTAGGTGCTATTATCCCCATTTACAGGTGTGGAAATGTGGCACAGAGAGGTCACACAGCAGAACCAGGAGTCAAACTTAGGTACTACGGCTCCAGAGTACATACTCTTTGCCACTCAAACAGGTATAACCATGATAGTCAATAAAAATGCTCCTATTGGCCAGGCATGGTGGCTCATGCCTGTAATCCCAGCACTTTGAGAGGTCGAGGCGGGTGGTCGAGGTCGGGAGTTCGACACCAGCCTGACCAACATGGAGAAACCTCATCTCCACTAAAAATACAAAATTAGCCAGGCGTGGTGGCGCATGCCTGTAATCCCAGCTACTCAGGAGGCTGAGGCAGGAGAATCATTTGAACCTGGGAGGCAGAGGCTGTGGTGAGCCAAGATCGCGCCGTTGCACTCCAGCCTGGGCAATAAGAATGAGACTCCATCTCAAAAAAAAAAAAAAAAAAAAAAAGAAAAGATCCTACTCTTTCCTTCCTAACAAAAACCCCATGATTTCTTGTTCATATTTTATTTATCCAGCTGTGACAATTCCATGACTATTCCAACAAGAGTAAGAAGTGGAGTTCCTTGACTACTTATGAAATGAATGGTTGAATGAATGAATGGGAAGTGTTGCCCTGGGTCACCCAGCCAGTCACCACTGGGATTAGAAGGAGCTGTGGGCTCCCAATTCCTTGTCCAGGGCTCTTCCATCCTCCTTCTGTCCTGCAGTCTCAGATGCTCCATCTAACCATCTAAGACTTAGATGAAGAGGTGAAGAGGAAGGGCAGGAACCTGGCAGATCAGAACACAGATGCAAGCTTTGCCGCTTACTGTGTGGCCTTGGGCAAACCACCGTGCCTCTCTGTATACTCATCTGTAAAACTGAGCTAAGCAGCAGGGTGCAGTGGCTCACGGGTGTAGTCCCAGCACTTTAGGCGGGCGGATCACCTAAGGTCAGGAGTTAGACACCAGCCTGACCAATATGGTGAAACCCCGTCTCTACTAAAAATACAAAAATTAGCTGGGCATGGTGGCATGCACCCGTAGTCCCAGCTACTCAGGAGGCTGAGGCAGGAGAATCACTTGAACCTGGGAGGTGGGGGTTGCAGTGAGCTGAGATCACGCCACTCAACTCCAGCCTGGGCAACAAAGCAAGACTCCATCTCAAAAACCAAAACCAAAACAAAACAAAAACTGAGCTAAGAATGCTAACCTTGCAGTGTGGGCATGAAACTCTCATAAGATCACTTTTGCAAAACAGCCTAGGCATTGAACATGAAGCAGCCATTCATTCAAAAGATGCTCTGTGCAGACACTCTTCTGGGTTGGGGATACAGCAGTGAGGGGGCCAAACAGGATTCCTGCATTCATGGGGCTTACAGTCCAGCTGGGCACAGCAGACAGACAAACAAGCCAGCAAGAAACAAACCAGAAACAAGACAAGCCTAAGTCAGTGATCAGGGCTTTGCAGAGAACTGAAGTAGGCTGGTGCGATCCAGCACAGAGGTGTGGTGGGACAGGGGCCATCATCCAAGGTCACTCCCAGGAGCTGACACTTGTACCAGACCTGAAAATCAAACAGAGCCCGCATGCCGAGAGTGGCTGGAAGGCTGCCTCGAGGAGTTACAGACTTGATCTTCAAAATTATCTTAGCATCTTTCCTTTTTCTAAAAAAAAAAAAAATGGTACAGTGGAGCTTACAACAAACCCCCTCTACCAGGAAGACGGTGCTGCCAACATTATTTAAACAGCATGGAGGGGAGCAGAGCAGGGGGTGTGGGTGAGTGAGTATAGTGTGTTTTGAAGCAGGCCCAAGGTGCTCTCACCCAGTTTCCCCTGCAAATGCTGATTTGTGCAACGACACCTTTTACGCAAAAAGGAACATCTTTCCAATTAAAAAAAATCCATATCTTTTCAATATAGAAATGACTGGAGGGCGCCAGTAGTCCCAGCTCCTCGGGAGGCTGAGGCATGAGAATCTCTTGAACCCAGGAGGCGGAGGTTGCAGTGAGCTGAAATCGTGCCACTGCACTCCAGCCTGGGCGACAAAGTAAGATTCTGTCTCAAAAAAAATAAAAAGAAATGACGCAGAAAGGATGTTGTTAACTCATATTCTCCTATATTTCCTCCCAGTCTTTTTGCCATGAGCATATACATTTTAAAAAATAAAACTAAGACCATATTGCATATACAGCATATTTTTCTGGCCTCTATGTTTATTTATTTTATTTAAATTATATTTATTGAGGCATACTTTACAGAGAGTAAAATGTACCATGTAAGTTCATAGTTTAGGCTGGGTATGGTGGCTCACGCCTCTAATCCTAGTACTTTGGGAGGCTGAGGCGGGCAGGTTACTTGAGGTCAGGAGTTTGTGACCAGCCTGACTAATATGGTGAAACCCTGTCTCTACTAAAAATACAAAAATTAGCCAGGTGTGGTGGTGCATGCCCGTAATCCCAGCTACTCGGGAGGCTGAGGCAGGAGAATCGCTTGAACCAGAGAGGCGGAGGTTGCAGTGAGCCAAGATCGCGCCATTGCACTCCAGCCTGGGTGACAGAGCAAGACACTGTCTCGAAAAAAAAAAAAAAGTGCATAGTTTGATGAATTTAAAACAATTTTTTGTTTCTTTGTTTGTTTTTTTTTGCCAGGCATGGTGGCTCATGCCTATAACGCCAGTGCTTTGAGAGGGTGAGGTGGATAAATTGCTTGAGGCCAGGAGTTCTAGACCAGTCAGGGCAACATAACAAGACTCTCATCTCTACAAAAAAATTTAAAATTAGCTGAGCCTGGTGGCGTGTGCCTGTAGTCTCACAGGAGGCTGAAGTGGGAGGATCTCTAGAGCCTAGGAGTTCGAGGCTGCAATGAGCTATGACAGCACCATTGCATTCCAGCCTGGGTGACAGAGACCCTGTTTCTGAAAAAAAAATTATCATGGTAAAATATATATAACATACAATTTACCATTTTAACCATTTTAAGTGTACAGTTCAGTGGTATTAAGTACATTCACGTTGTGCAACTATCACTACCATCCATCTTCAGAATTTTAATCTTCCCAAACTGAAACTCTGTACCCATTAAACAGTAACTTCCCGTTCCCCCTCCCTCTGCCCCTGGTAAATCACTATTCTGTCTTTTGGCTCTATGAATTTGGAAACTCATATAAGTGGAATCATGTGATATTGGTCTTTTCATATCTGGCTTATTTCACATAGCATAATGATTTGAAGGCCCATCCATGATGTAGCATGTATCAGGATTTTATCTCTTTTTTTTTTTTTTTTGAGATGGAATCTCGTTCTGTTGTCCAGGCTGGAGTGCAGTGTCATGATCTCTGCTCACTGCAACCTCCACCTCCCAGGTTCAAGTGATTCCCCTGCCTCAGCCTCCCTAGTAGCTGGGACTACAGGCGCACCCCACCATGCCCGGCTAATTTTTATATTTTTAGTAGAGACGGGGTTTCACCATGTAGGCCAGGCTGGTCTCAAACTCCTGACCTCAGGTGATCCACCCGTCTTGGCCTCCCAAAGTCCAAAGGGCTGGGATTACAGGTGTGAGCCACCCCACCTGGCTGATATTACCTCTTTTTTTTTTTTTTGAGACAGAGTCTCGCTCTGTTGCCCAGGCTTGAGTGCAGTGGCGCAATCTCGACTCACTGCAAGCTCTGCCTCCCGGGTTCACACCATTCTCCTGCCTCAGCCTCCCGAGTAGCTAGGACTACAAGCACCCACCACCACGCCTGGCTAATTTTTTGTTGTTGTATTTTTAGTAAAGTTGGGGTTTCACTGTGTTAGCCGGGATGGTCTTGATCTCCTGACCTCGTGATCCACCTGCCTTGGCCTCCCAAAGTGCTGGGATTACAGGCGTGAGCCACCCCGCCTGGAGGATTTTACCTCTTTTTAAGGCTGAGTCATATTCCATTGTATGTCTATGCCACATTTTGTTTATCCATTTATCTGCAGATGGACATTTGGGTGTTTCCACCTGTTGACTATTGCAAATAATGCTGCTATGAACGTTGCTGTACAAATATTGGTTTGAATCCCTGCTGCCAACTCTTTTGGGTATATCTAGAAGTGGAATTGCTGGGCCATGTAGTAATTCCAGGTTTAAGTTTCGGAGAAGTGGCTGTGCTGTGTCTTCCACGCTGGCAGCCCCACTCAGTGGCTTTTGACAAATGCATATACTCCTGTATAATGTCCACCACAGCCAAGATAGAAAACATTTTCAGCGCTCCCAAAACTTCCACCTGCCCTTCCCAGTCAATTGCCGCAATCCCTCCAACCCAGGCAACCAGTGATCTGATGTCTTTGAGTGTGGATGGATTTTGCCTGTTCTAGAACTGTATGCATGAATGGAATCATACATAATGATTCACCCTTTTCTTCCTGGCTGCTTTTGTTCAGCATGCTTTTCGAGTTTCATTCAACAGATGCATTTTTGCAACCTGTTTTCTCTCATTTCATTCAGAATTGTAAGCACAAAATCTTTTAAAATGTGGTTTTTGGCCGGACATGGTGGCTCACGCCTGTAATCCTAGCACTTTAGCAGGCTGAGGCAGGAAGACTGCTTGAGCCCAGGAGTTCAAGACCAGGTGGGGCAACATGGTGAGACCCTGTCTCTACAAAAAAAAAAAAAAAAAAAAAAAAAAATATATATATATATATATATATATATATATATATATATATCAGCTTGGTGGCATGTGCCTGTAGACCCAGCTTCTTGGGAGACTGAGGTGGGAGGATCCCATGAACCCAGGAGGTCGAGGCTGCAGAGAGCTGTGATCACGCCACTACACTCCCGCCTGGGCAACAGAGCGACACTCTGTCTCAAAATAAAATAAAATAAAAATTTAAAACAGGCTATGTACAGTAGTATTCCATTGCAGGGATACTACACCATAATTTACTTAACCAGTCTAGTTTGATTCCAACTTTTTGCTGTTATAAGCAGCACTGAGTGGAACATGCTTGTACCTGAATCTTTGCCCACCTCTCTCATGTCTTTAAAATGAATCTGTGGAGGTAGAACAACTGGGTGGAAGCGGATCAGGTGTTTGTCTCCTTGGACCTATTGTCAACTTGCTTCTCAGAAAGATGTTACCAACTGGGCATGGTGGCACAGTCCTGTAATCCCAGCACTTTGGGAGGCTGAGGCAGGTGGGTCACCTGAGGTCAGGAGTTCGAGACCAACCTGGTCAACATGGCGAAACCCCGTATCTACTAAAAATACAAAAATTAGCTGGTTGAAGTGGCAGGCACCTGTAATCCCAACTACCTGGAAGGCTGAGGCACAAGAATAGCTGGAACCCGGGAGGTGGAGGCTGCCGTGAGCCGAGATCGTACCACCGCACTCCAGCCTGGACCACAAGAGCAAAACTCTATCTCAAAAAAAAAAAAAAAAAAAAAGACGTTATCAAGTCCTGTCAATTTTACCTCTAAAGCGACTCTCAAATCCATGGAATCCTCTCCACCTCCTCAGTTTCCTCTACCCTTTGGAGTCATTATCCAGCACTCTTCCTGGGGCTTCTGCCCAAGGATGCTACCCACCTGGGCTGCAAGCAGCTCTCTAAACCCAAGACCAACACAGTCCTCCAAGGAGGTGACACCACTGGGAAGCCAGGTAGGGGCTTCAAGGCTGCAGATGGGGGCAGGAGCCTTGATATTAGGCACAAAGAGGGGACCTCATGAATTTGGGGGCATCAATAAATTAGGGGGTCACTGGTCCCCTTCCTTCTTTTCTTCCTCTAGTACCCAGCAAGTGGTCCAACAGAGAAAGTACTGAAAACAGGCATAGCAGAGGAGACATTTGCCTGGATTCCCCTTAAACATGTTTTCCTAAGGTTAATTAGTGGAAGTGACAATATAGAAATAGGAAGCGATGCTGCTGCTCAGTGACATCCCAGGGTGGGTCTCCCAGGATCCAGGAAGAAGTTAAGGGCTCTCAGCCCAGCGATCTGCAGCTTTGCCATCCTCTGGGGCCTTGCCCCAGTTTGCTGTTTTGAATGGAAGATGCTAACCCTTCTCTGGTCCCAGGTCGGGTCTAGTTCAATTCTTTCCTTCTTTTTTTTTTTTTTTTTTTTGACAGAGTCTCACTCTGTCACCCAGGCTGGAGTGCAGTGGCGTGATCTTGGCTCACTGCAACCTCCACCTCCCAGGTTCAAGTGATCCTCCTGCCTCAGCCTTCCGAGTAGCTGGGATTACAAGCATGCGCCACCAGGCCTGGCTAATTTTTGTATTTTTAGTAGAGACGGGGTTTCACCATGTAGGCCAGGCTGGTCTCAAACTCTTGACCTCGTGACCCACCCGCCTCAGCCTCCCAAAGTGCTGGGATGATAGGCGTGAGCCACTGCGCACGGCCAGGCCTAGTTCAATTCTAAGTCTGCCCAGCACAAGGGGAAGAGGGTGCAAATACCACCATGATAAAAGTCTCCCCACAGCTGCGCATGCCGGGCTGCAGGCAGACGTAGCACCCCATGCACAATGAGCCGTTATGGCCTCTTGCCTGACAGCCTTATCTCCGAGGAATGCCGGGGGAGTCAGGGCCAGCCAGGGAGAGCTTGACCAAGGGGCTTGAGCTCTTCTGCCCCCAAGGCCAGCTATGCTCTTTGATAACTAGCTTGGTGCTTGTGATGTAGCTGGGGCAGGTCATGGCGACAGTGACAATGGGCTTTGTGCAGGACTTCACAGTTTGCCAGACTCAGTCACACCCATCAGCTTGTTTGATCCTCACAGTCAAAGGCTGAGGTTGGGGATCTCATATCCTTTGTTTTGCAGACGGAGAAATTGAGGCCAAGAAAAGTTAAGTCCCCCTCACCCAAGGCTGTGCTGTTCCACCTAAGTCATTAGAGAAAGAAAAAGAGCTATTCAGTTGTTGGATAGTACCCAGCAGAAATGGAAAAAAATTCATTTCATTTAGAAAGAAATTGACTAAGCAGAAACTCCAGGCCCTGGGGCAGGCACTGGAGGCACGGGAAGAGTGCCTGGCCCCTGCCCATGATCAGCTTGAGGCTGGAGAAGGAGGCTCCAGCAATGAGTTCTGCAGCAGGGCCTGGTTCGTATTTTTTTTTTTTTTTTTTGAGACGGAGTTTCACTCTTGTTGCCCAGGCTGGAGTGCAATGGTGTGATCTTGGCTCACTGCAACCTCCGTCTCCCAGGTTCAAGCGATTCTCCTGCCTTAGCCTCCCGAGTAGCTGTGATTATGGGTATGCGCCACCACGCCTGGCTACAGACAGGATTTCTCCATATTGGTCAGGCTGATCTTGAACTCCTGGCCTCAGGTGATCCACCCACCTCGGCCTCCCAAAGTGCTGGGATTACAGGTATGAGCCACCACGTCCAGCATTTTTTTTTTTTTTTTTGGAGATGGAGTCTCATTCTGTTGCCCAGGCTGGAGTGCAATGGAGTGATCTCAGCTCACTGCAACCTCCGCCTCCCGGGTTCAAGTGATTCCCCTGCCTCAGCCTCCCGAGTAGCTGGGACTACAGGCGCGTGCCACCATACCAGGCTAATTTTTTGTATTTTTAGTAGACACAGGGTTTCACTGTTAACACAGTGATGGTCTCGATTTCCTGACCTCGTGATCCGCCCGCCTCGGCCTCCCAAAATGCTGGGATGACAGGCATGAGCCACTGCACCTGGCCTGGTTCATCTTTTCTAGACTGCAAATCTCCCATAGCTGACCACATGCACTAGTTTTGGACCTGAATGGACACAACAACTTAACCAGCTGTGTGTCCTCAGGAAAGTTACTTAGCCTCTCTGAGCTTGGGCTTCCTTATATATAAAATGATAATAAAAAACTCCCATCACTGGGGCTCATGAAGGAGAGATGAGATAACACATGTAAAGTTCCTGGCATGGTGGTTAGCATACAGCTGGCACTCAACAAATACTGATATAAACTTTATAGACAGTATAGAGTAAGTCCAGAGACATACATGTGAGGAAGCGTGCAGGGAGTGCCAGCCTGGGTGAAATGAGCCAGTGGGTCAGAGGTCATTGGTTGTGACTCTGGATAACTGAAGCAACACAGAATCTGCTGGAAGGCGGTACACACCTCAGTGATTAAAGGACAGCTTGTTTGAGAGACCGAGGCAGGCATATCACTTGAGGTCAGGAGTTCAAGACCAGCCTGGCCAACTTGGAGAAACCCCGTCTCTACTAAAAATACAAAAATTAGCCAAGTGTGGTGGCGGGTGCCTGTAATCCCAGCTACTCCAGAGGCTAAGGCAGGAGAACTGGGAGGCAGAGGTTGCAGTGAGCTGAGATCGTGCCACTGCACTCCAGCCTGGGTGACAGAGCAAGACTCCATCTCAGAATTAAAAAAAAAAAAAAAAAAAAGCACAGCCTGAAGCTTGGGCCTCAGAAGGGACAGACTCAAGGCAGCTCAGGGATTCAGGCAGCAGGAACCAGGGGCCCTGCTCTCCAGGGCCACGGTACATCAGCTCGAGTGAGTCTCTGGGTCAAGATTAGGGCTCTTAGGAAGGAGTCTAGTGGGTAGAGCTACAGTTGTGGGCCCAACTTGGCCAGGGCGGTTTGGGTGCCTTGCCTGATGAGCCCACTGGACTGCAGGTTGTGGAGGTGCCATGGCCAGAAGGGGCATCGCAGGCCAGGCTGCAGGTGCAGCTGGGACCCACTCTAGGAAAAAAGAAAGAAGAAAGGGGCCCAGCACGGTGGCTCACACCTGTAATCTCAACACTTTGGGAGGCCAAGGCAGGCAGATTACCTGATGTCGGGATTTCAAGACCAGCCTGGCCAACATGGTGAAACCCTGTCTCTACTAAAAATACAAAAATTAGCTGGGCATGGTGGTGGGAGACTGTAATCCCAGCTACTTGGGAGGCTGCGGGAGGAGAATCCCTTGAATCTGGGAGGTGGAGGTTGCAGTGAGCTGAGATCACTCCACTGCACTCCAGCCTGGGTGACAGAGTGAGACTCCATCTCAAAAAAAAAAAAAGAAAAGAAAAAGGAAACCTGTTGAGAACTTGCTGTGTGCCTCCAAGAGGGTTTCCTGGAGAAGGTGGCATTGGCTCTGGGCCTTGCAGGGAGAACGTCACACCCCCAAGGGTATGGGGAACGGGGGAAGGGATGCTGTCCTCTGTCTTCATGACCTACCCCGGAAGGCCTTGCCGAAGGATGCCACCCAACCAGCATCTAACGGACATGGCATTTTTGGCAATGCCTTCTTTGACAAACCAGTGACCAAGTTTTAACTTTCTCTTTGGGTTTCTGGTCCTGGATAATCAATTCCACAGCACTCAGTGCAAAGAAAGTAACGATCATCAAACCTCTGTGCTTTTCTTTGGGTAACATTCTTTTAGAGAAATAGTCATTTTGTCATTCAACAAACATTTAACCAAGCACCCACTATATGCCAAGCACTGTTCTGGGCACAGCTTCTGCTCTCCAGGAGCTCAGAGTCTACTAGGGGATAGAAATGAGTAGATAGTCACCTCTTGGAGACATAGGGGCTGGATTTGAGGTCCATACCATGTGCAGTTTTGTGATAAAGGAGGGAAGCATCCACTCAGCAGGACAGGCATGGTGGGGAGGAGCACATGTTAGAAGATAAAATTTCGCCAGAGGGTTAAGTGGGATTTTGTGGGATGAGCAGGAGTTCGACAGGTGCCTCGCAGACTAAGAACATTCCAAGGAGAGGAATAGACATGAAACATCCTGGGAAGCAGAGCAAATGGCAAATAGTGTGTTGGGCCTGGAGGCAACGCTGTGGGTGGGGAGTGAAGCGGGGGGGTTCCCACTCTATCCTGACAGTTTTGAGGAGCCACATGAGGGCTCGGGGCAAGGGCATGACATAGCAGATTTGTGTTCTAGGCTCACGCCTGTGATCCCAGCACTTTGGGAGGCCGAAGTGGGTGGATCACGTGAGGTCAGGAGTTCGAGACCAGCATCGCCAACAGAGTGAGACTCCGTCTCAAAAAAAAAAAAAAAAATCCCTCTGGCCTGCGTGGGGATCCTGCAAATAGGGTTAAGGTGTTTGTTTAGCTCCACCTAAGTCTTCTCTGAAGGTAGCTTTCTGAGAGCAGACATCCAAGCTATTTCTTCCACTGCTCTGGGAATCCAGGGTCATATCCACTTGGGAACTACCCCACACACACCTCGCCCTCTTGGAGAGCCGCCCTGGCTGTTGGCTTACTAAGGGCTCTGGGCGATCCTGCAGCAGAGATATCCTGTGTCTGCTTGGCCCGGTGTGCCCTGCGTTGGTTTGACCACCCCTGCCCCGTTTCTTTCAATCATGCAGCTGCTGTTTAGCTTATTTGGAACACTCTTTGAGGGGCAGTCTAGACCCTGCTGATCTAAGGTTGAGAAGATGCCAGGGTTTGAGAAGAATCGCTTTGAAGTAAGCCTTAGGACCCTCACCACGGTGGACCCGGAGCCTCTAAACTCCTCATCTTTCCTTGCCTTTTGGCAACAGGAATCCAATTCCAGGGGCTCCTCATTTTGGAACCCAAGAAAAGACTGGGAAAGTAAGTTCTTAATACAAGCCAGCTGTTCACAATCTCACTTTGTTTGCAAAACACTCTTGCCATGAAGGTGTGAGTCCCCCCAACTTTATAGATGCAGAAACTGAGGCTTAGAGAGGTTCAGCGACTTGTCCCAAGTGTTCCAGGGTAAAAATGGCCAGAAAGATGGGTGCCCAGAAGCCAATAAAGGTGAATCTTTAAATTATTCATTAACTAACAAGGTGAGGAGTTTGGAAGTATGAGGGAAGAAGATAATTAATCCAAGATAATTCTTTTTCTTTTTTCTTTTTTTTTTTTATGGAGTCTTACTCTGTTGCCCAGGCTGGAGTGCAGTGGTGGAATCTTGGCTCACTGCAACCTCCGCCTCCTGGGTTCAAGTGATTCTCCTGCCTCAGCTTCCTGAGTAGCTGGGATTACAAGCGTGCGCCACCACGCCCGGCTATTTTTTGTATTTTTAGTAGAGATGGGATTTCTCCATGTTGGCCAGGCTGGTCTCGAACTCCTGACCTCAAGTGATCCACCCACCTCGGCCTCCCAAAGTGCTGGGATAACAGGTATGAGCCACTGTGCCCAGCCCAACATAATTAATTTTTAGGGGACTAAAGTAAATGGACAAAGGATGTGAACCAGCAATTTGCAGAGGAGGAATTAATAAAAGGTGAAGTATTGCTAGAAACAAAAGTTTAGCTTCACTGTCATTCAAGTGGTCAACTAGGTCAACATGAGACACACATTTCCCTGTGGAACTGGCAAAAAAGATAAAGATCAGTAACAGCCAGTGCTGGAGAGGCTGTTGGGAGATGGACATTCTTGGACACGGTGGGCAGCATGTAAGATGGAGCAGCCTTTATGGAGGGCTTATCTATCAAAATGGAAAATTATTTTTCCTTTCCTCCAGGGAGGGGAACTGTCAGGGAAGACACCCAAGGGAGCTTTCTGGGGGTGAGAAAAGTGTTCTGTGTCTCAGCCTGGGTGGGATTACCCAGATATATCCACGTGCAAAATGCATTCAGCTAAATACTTAAGATGAGTGCCTAATGCACCATACTCTATGTATTATATAAAAATAAAAGTAAAACAAAATGCAGCTGCCTTTGAGTCAACAATTGTCCATTCAGGAATCTACAGAAATACTTACCCATGGACAGAGATATCTGTTCAAGGGTGTTCAGGACACCATCACTGATAACAAGGAAAACTTGAAAACAACATAAATATATTCCAGTAGGGGAAAGGCTGAGTAAATTATGGCACAAACACAATAGATTTTTTTTTTTTTTTAGACGGAGTCATGCTCTGTCACCCAGGCTGGAGTGCAAGTGCATGAACTCAGCTCACTGCAACCTCTGCCTCCCAGGTTCAAGCAATTCTCCTGCCTCAGCCTCCCCAGTAGCTGGGATTACAGGCACTCACCACCACGCCAAACTAATTTTTGTAGTTTTAGTAGAGACAGGGTTTCACCATGTTGGCCAGGCTGGTCTCGAACTCCTCACCTCAGGTGATCCACCGGCCTCGGCCTCCCAAAGTGCTGGGATTACAGGTGTGAGCCATCGCGCCTGGCCACTATAGAATATTAATATGCAACATTTAAAGAGTGTCTTGAAAAAATGGTCCTGCTACATTGTGACAAAAGCAAGTTTTGAAACAGGATTTGCCTGTGATCCTGTGTTTGCAAAAACACAACAAACTAAAAAACCCTGTTTGTATGATGTGAGTGTATGTGTGTATTTTTATAAAGAAAGTCTCAAAAAGCGACACATCTGAATGTGAATAGTGGTTTTCTCCTGGGAGTGAGATTAAGATCCCTAATAGGGGCTGGGAACAGTGGCTCATGCCTGTCATCCCAGCATTTTGGGAGGCCAAGGTGGGCGGATCATCTATCAGGAGTTCGAGACCAGCCTGGCCAACCATGGCCAACATGGTGAAACCTCGTCTCTACTAAAAATACAAAAAAAATTAGCTGGGTGCAGTGGCAGGCACCTGTAATCCCACCTACTCGGGAGGCTGAGGTAGGAGAATGTCTTGAACCCAGGAGGTGGAGGTTGCAGTGAGCCAAAATGGTGTCACTACACTCCAGCCTGGGCGACAGAGCAAGACTGTCTCAAAAAAAAAAAAAAAAAAAAATCCTTAATAGGGACTTTTGCTTTACTGTGTACCCCACAGTGTCATGGAATGGCTTTGTAATTGGCATTCACTGCTTTTGCAATTCAAACAATTTTTTAAAAAACCATAAAAGTAAAATTAATCCGTAGAGCTTCCTGCGCACATAGTAGGTTCTCACTTAATATTCATGGCAGGCGGGGGTCCGACGGTCTGTGTGCCGCGGCGCCTCCCCTGTCACACTGTGCCTGAGGGATGTTGCTGGGACGGATGTTAGAGAAGCCCAAAGCTGGCGGCCATATTTCTCTGGGGGACTGCTGTAAGTCCAGAGCTCTGTTTAGCTGGCCAAAAGTTTTATTTGTGAGTAGATTAAGAAAAAATAAAATAAAAAATGTAAAGCAATCCAGCCCTCCTTCCCGTCCCATGTGGGTGAATGGGGAGGCTTCAGGCAGGCCTGTCCCGGCGCCTGCAGAATCACCGGCCCACAAAACAAACGAATGGATTGTGGATTTGGATTTTGGATCGTGAGGAAAGAAACAGACATTATGCACGCCTGCCCGAGCTCCCAGGCTGTCACTCGCCAGGCTCAGCTTCCCCCAGTGGTGCCCTGGGAGACCCTCCCCCGCTCCACTCCATCCCAACTACCTCCTCCCTCTCCCACCTCCAACCCCACTAAAAGACTTTTTGAAGTTGATCAATGAAACATGTTTTATTAAAGGGCCCTATTCCTGAGCAGGGACTCTGCGAGGCCTTCATTAGTTCCACATAATGAAAGAATGGGCCGATTCAAGGAGACCGGGGAGAGAAAAGAGGGAAAATTAGAGTTCAGTCTGCTCACTTAAAAAAAAAAGGGGGAGGGGGTGGGGTGGAAATTGTGGATTTGCTAAATAAAGCTCCTGGCTGCATTCAGAGCTTGGGGAAGGGTCCCCCACTCAATCCTCTTAGGCCTGACAAAGTCGGACCTGGAGATGGTCTGTCCGAGCGGCCGGCATTCTATGTCGGGATGGAAGGGCAATGGGCTGTTTAAATTGCTACTTAGGTTTCCAGCTGTTTTACCAGTGATTTGCCCAACTTAATAGCTGTTTAAGGCTTTAAACAAGAAAATAGCTCTACTCACGACTCAAAGAAGCAGCTCCGGTTAGTTCAGACGGCGCCCATTGTCCAGGGCTTAAATCCTTCTCCGCAGCCGAATTCCCTTGCCCCCTCTGGTCCGCCCAGACTTTGTCCAGCTACAGAGAGGCTTTATTTATCTTTTTAACATTCTGGTTTTCCGAGCCTGCGTCCAGGGGGCTTCTTCCTAAGAGCTTATTTTGGGGGGAATGTCTGCCTGCTGCCTCTGAGCATTCCTCCAACACATTAACAACAAATGATGATGATAATGGTAGGACCTGGGTACTGAGAGCCTACTATGTGCCAGGCCTTGGATACAGCACTTTTCTTAACTCATACTGTTTCCTTCTCACCCAGGTCTACAAAGGAGGTGGCTTCTGCCATGATGGCCATTTTACAGATGGGGAAACTGAGGCACAGAAGAAGGGGCCACTTGGCCAAGTTCACATAGGGGCATACAGCAGGGTCAGGGATGGTCTGAATTCCAGAGTCTGGGCTCTTGACCACTACCCTGCTGCCGGATGGCTGTGGGAGCTTGGGCCACCTAAAACAGGCCAGGGGAGGAGACTCCAGGGATCTGGGGTTCTAGCTTCATTCTTCTGACAACGTGTATGAGAGCCAGCTGTTGGGCCCAGTTTTCAGGAAAAACTGCAGGGGTGTAGGGAGGGGGCAGCAGAGAAAGGGGGTCAAGAAACTTAGGAACCTCATCTGGAAGGTGGGAGGAGTCTGACCTTAGCCATCTCTATCCAGAACCCACCTTTCATTGCACGAAAATAATTCTCCATCCATCATGATTTAACCCTAATATGCTAAAAAGCAACACATTTTTCTTATGACAAAAGTTAAACACGTAAATTACAGAGAGCTTGAAATATATAAAATTAGGTAAAGAGAGCATATAAAATGTTTGGCGTTGTCCTTGGCATGGCGTGTTTAACATGAGTAAGCTATCATCATCAGCATTATCAATGTTTTTTTGAGTCGGAGTTTCTCTCTTATTGCCCAGGTTGGAGGGCAGTGGCACAATCTCGGCTCACTGTAACCTCCGCCTCCTGGGTTCAAGCGATCCTCCTGCCTCAGCCTCCTGAGGAGCTGGGATTACAGGCATGCATCACCATGCCTGGCTAATTTTGTATTTTTAGTAGAGATGGGGTTTCCCCATGTTGGTCAGGCTGGTCTTGAACTCCTGACCTCAGGTGATCCACCCGCCTCGGCCTCCCAAAGTCTTGGGATTATAGGCGTGAAGCACAGTGCCCAGCCTATCAATGTTATTATCTTGAAGATACTCAAAACCTGGGGCATTTTGGTGTATTATATTTCCTTCCAGTCTTTTTCTTCATCCGTGCATACCTACCCAACCTTAATTGTAATTATACTTGCTCTATTTTGAATATGCTTGCTTTGTCTTAGATTCTCTAAGAATCACCAAGCTGGAATGCTTTGATGAAGGCTTATAGATTTCCCTGTTATAACCCTATGGCCTCTGATTCCTGCACCTCATTGCACACTATAGATTATGCGGAAGGGCACACACAATTGGTGGTAAAGGAAGTCATTAGAGATGGGTGGGAGACCTTGTGGGTGAACAAAGGCCAGCAGGAGGGGGAGCCCCTGGATAAGGTATGTGGTCAAGGCTTGGTTTGCAGGAGATAGAAACTGGGTGTCTGGCCAGACCATGGAGAGAGAGGCTGGAGCCAGAATCTGGAGGCTCAAGGTCAGAATCAGTGAAGGGAGTCAGCCTTAATTCCCTAGGCGATGGGGAGCCACAGATGGTTCAGGTCAAGATTGGTGTTTGAATGGCTCACATTTAAGACACCAGGAAAGGCAGCCCTGGGGTCCAACATCACTTATGGCAGGAAAGCGACCACCTTTGCAACAGAATTGGCTTCCTAACCTTCCTCAGCTGCAGCTTGGGAATGAGACCAGAGTCCTGAATTCGTGGGCTGGGCCAGGCTGGAGCTCCCGATGTGTGTTTGCTTCTCTGGTGTGTAGGAGGGAAGAGTGGGCAGGGGTGACCGCCCACCCACCCCAGACACACAGAGGTAAGATCACCTCACTCAGCTTTGTCATTTGGTGAGTAAGTTTGAAAAATATCAATTTATTTCATTCTCCTGTTTCACAGATGGGAAAACTGAGGCCCAGGGAGGGAAGGGGATGAGCTGAGGAGCTTGTGGTAGGTAAGTGGCAAAGGTGAAGAAATCAAAATGTCTTACATTTGTACCACAACTTGCAATTTCCTGACAATCCCCCTACTCACCCCACCCCACTCCACCCCACTGCCCCCTTTTTTTTTTTTTCTGAGACGGAGTCTCACTGTGTCCCCCAGGCTGGAGTGCAGTGGTGTGATCGTGGCTCACTGCAAGCTCCGCCTCCTGGGTTCATGCCATTCTCCTGCCTCAGCCTCCCGGTAGCTGGGACTACAGGCGCCTGCCACCACGCCTGGCTAATTTTTTGTATTTTTAGTAGAGATGGGGTTTCACAGTGTTAGCCAGGATGGTCTCGATCTCCTGACCTCGTGATCCGCCCGCCTTGGCCTCCCAAAGTGCTGGGATTACAGGCGTGAGCCACCGCACCTGGCCCCCACTGCCCTTTTAAAAAATATACTTAACAATGAAAACAAAACAATATTAATGCTATAATTTTTGCTGCTGGAGAAGGTATAGGAACACAGCTCACATACAATTGGTCAGAGTATAAACGACTGTAACCCTACGGGAGGCAGTTTGGAAACATCTTTCAAAATTTTCATAGCAAACCAGCATTTACTGCGAAGTTCCATTGCCAAGAATTTCTACTACAAATGTGTTTACACATGGATGCAAAGATGTGTGTACAAGGATGTTCATCATGGTACCACTTTTCATTCTAAACTGGGAGGAAAAAAACCCTAAATGTCCATAAACAGGGACTGGTTGAATAAATGTTGCTACATCCACACATGAAGTATTATACAGCCATTAAAAGGAGTGGAATAGACCAATTCATACTCCCACTACAGTGTTTGAGAATGGCTATTTTTCCATATATTTGGGGTATTTTCAAACTTACAAATCTTGGCCAATTGGATAGGTTTTTAACCTATCCCCAAAGGGCATTGTATTGTTTCTTGATGATGAGTGAGCTTGAACATTTTTCATATGGCTACCATTTACTTGAATTTGTTTTTCTGGGAGTTGCTTTTTCATATTCAGATTTTGTCAATTATCTGTTAGGTTTTAAGTCTTTCTTTCATTTACTTGTATAAACATGTTCTAAATTAAAGCAATTAATTCTGTGAATGTCAGTCCCTGTTCAGCTCTGTCTTGACTTGGTATATACCTTTTTTATTCACCTAGAAATGAAAAAATGTTACGTAGTCAAAATTGTTGCACTTTGATTTTTTGATATAGAAGGTCTTTTCTAAATAGTTGAATCAGTTCTCCTTTTCCTTCATGATTTCCTCAATCATTTAAAGCTTGCAAGGTTCTCATTCCTTTAGAGTCCGGTTCAATATTCCTTTATTGTTTTGGCCAGCCTAAGATTTGATTTGCTTTATAAATAATTTATTCTTTAGTATATGTGGAAAATGGACTTAAACTTATGTTTCTTTTCATGATGTCCCAACTTCACAGTC
Source organism: Homo sapiens (assembly GCF_000001405.40). Taxonomy (NCBI): domain Eukaryota; kingdom Metazoa; phylum Chordata; class Mammalia; order Primates; family Hominidae; genus Homo; species Homo sapiens. The sequence continues at coordinate 43,367,881 of NC_000022.11, forward strand.
TGAATGTTCTTCCCATTGTTCATTGTCCAGAGAAGACACCATTATCACGTATTGAACTGTTTTATGGAGGAAAGCCTGTTTCTCATCTCCCCATTAATCATGTATTTTAATATCAGAGAGGGCTTATTCCCCATCTTTTTCAAAATATTCTTGGGACTTCTCACCCATTGATTTCCCCAAATGAATTTTATTGTGGCTTCTGTGTTCTGTATCCTGCCTATAAAGATCTTTCCTTTCCAAAGATTGTAAGTTCACCTATGTTTCTTTTAGAATTTTTAAGGTTCAATTTTTTGGTTTAAATTTTGGACCCATGTGGAACTGATCTGGGTGTAGGGGGTGAGGTAGGGATTCTGTTTTATTTTTTCCAGATGGCCGCTACCCACTTATCTCTATGCCTTACTTTGAACAATGCACCTTTCCCCTCCGATGTGAAATTCCTTCTCTCATTCACGTGCTGAAATCCTACATATTTCCATCCATTTCTGCACTCGCGTCTGGATGGAACTGTCTACTTCTTTTCCAGGGCTAAACTTTAAAAGTTATTGTACTTTCCTAAGATGTTTTAACATCTGGTAAAGCCAGCCCTCCTCCACTACTTTTGTTTTTCCTCAGAATTTCCCTGGCTGGTCTCGCACGTTTATTTTTCCAGATGAAATTTGGTATCATTTCGTCAAGTTCCAAAAAATAAAAGAAAATAAAAACCCTGTTGGTTTAAGGCTTTTCTTACCAGCCAGTGTAGTGTTTTCACAGATTATTGATATTAACCCTTTGCCATTCATTTGGTTGTCAATTTAGTTCCCCTCTACCCCCATTAGTTTTTTATTCTGTGGTATGGGAGATTTGTTTTTTGTTTTTATATAGTCGTCAATCACTTTTGCTTCTCCTCAAAAAAAAAATCTCCTTAATGATTTTAAAGCTCGAAGACTTCCCATTCCTCCTGAGATCTGGTTAATATTCACTTATATTTTTGACCAGCCCTCCTAGGGTTTGCTTTGCTTGATAAATAATTTATTTTTTTCAGCATCTGTGAAAGATATGAAGAAGGCATCCAAGCTGATTTTTTTTTTTTTTTGAGATGGAGTTCTGTTCTTTTTGCCTAGGCTGAGTGCAATGGTGTGATCTTGGCTCACTGCAACCTCCGCCTCCCCGGTTCAAGCGATTCTCCTGCCTCAGCCTCCCAAGTAGCTGGAATTGCAGGCATGCACCACCACGCCTGGCTAATTTTGTATTTTTAGTAGAGACGGGGTTTCTGCATGTTGGTCAGGCTGGTCTTGAACACCTGACCTCAGGTGATCCACCTGCCTCGGCCTCCCAAAGTGGTGGGATTACAGGTGTGAGCCACTGCGCCCGACCCCCAAGCTGCTTTTATATTGGCTACTCCTTCCATTGTTCTTTGCCCACTGAAGACAGCTTGGTCATGTATTAAATTCATGTACATGAGAACATTTCTCTGCTCTCTGGTCAGTTCCATTCATGCCAGCTCTGCTGTTTAATCAGAGACTTAATCATCTATTTGAACATCTGAGAGGGCTGATTGCGCACATTTCTCAAAATATTCTTTGGATTTCTCACCCTTTTATTTCCCAAAATACCCCAGCCTGCATGATTCATTTGGCCCTCGAAGGAACCCTGAGAAGTATTAATTCCACTAGCTGGATGTGCTGGGGTTCAAAAATTGCTAAGGGCCAGATGAGACGACACCGTTATCATAGCTGTGAGAGGGAAAAGTTTGCCTCTGCATCTGAAACTCCCAGAGGAAGGAGGTTGTCTCCATTACTGAGTTTGACAGGAAGAGAAAAAGAGGGGCGTGGTGGATATGCAGTGGTGTCTAATACTCAGCCTCAGATGATCTGTTGTGGGGGCCATCACTTGGCCCTCTTACGTAAAAGCTGCCGCCCACAGTGAGTCAGTGTGGGGGACATCTGGGAAAGAGGCAGGGAGTCCCATCTGGACTGGGGAGTGGGGACCAGGGTGGGATTGGAGATGGGATGAGGGTCTCCTGCCTCCCTGGGGCACCACTGCTCTGTGGATTCTACTTTGTCTCTGTGACCTCAGGTGCTTGGTGTGTCTCTTGGGGGCCTCTTATGTCCGTGCCCATGTCATTAGCGTGTGAGGTGACAGCCCTCTGCCGCCCCAGCTTCTTTTTTGGAGCACGGGTCTCAGATGAGGGGCTGGCTGAGCAGCTGTGGGAGGACCCCTCATTTGCAACTGACATCGATAGGTCAAGCCCAGCAGCCCCTGAATGAGCAGGAAGATTGGTGCAGCTGGGGTCTTCCACAGGCAGGCGATTCCCTCCCTGCTGGGATCGTCAACCAATCTGGGGCCGTAACTCACACGGGGAACCACCCCCAACCCCCAACCACCGTGCTTGGTGTTGGAGGGCCAGAGGGTGTCTCCCAAGTCAAAGACAAAGTCTCCAGGGCAAACAGGAAAAGCCATGGCTACCCCGTCCCCGGGGCCTCACCTGGCAGCCCTGGCTTGCAGGCTCTGTCTAGGATCCGGGAACAGTGTTTATTTCTTCTCTTTATTTTTAGCTTTTATTTTCATGAAACTTATACAGGCAAATAGCTCTACAAGGTTTGTTAAGAGGAACAGCAGTTCCCTGTTCCTGTCCTTCACCCCCTCCTGTCCCCTCCCCAGAGGCAACTATTTCACCTCCTTTAACCAATTATTTTGTTTTTACCCTGTGTCATTTGCCTCTGAGACTGCATCTTTTTTTTTTTTTTTTTGTGACGGAGTCTTTGCTCTGTCGCCCAGACTGGAGTGCAGTGGCATGATCTCGGCTTATTGTAATCTCTTCCTCCTGGGTTCAAGTGATTTTCCTGCCTCAGCCTCTTGAGTAGCTGGGATTACAGGCGCCCGCCACCACACCTGGCTGATTTTTGTATTTTTAGTACAGGTGGGGTTTTGCCATGTTGCTCAGGCTGGTCTTGAACTCCTGACCTCAGGTGATCTGCCTGCCTCAGCCTCCCAAAGTGCTGGGATTACAGGCATGAGCCACTCTGCCTGGCCTCTGAGACTCCATCTTGATTTTTTTTTTTTTTAGTTGTCAGCCTCATTGGTTGACCTCTGTTTCTGGAAGGTGAGGATATCGCTGCCTCCTGACCCCTACTCACTGTGCGCACCTGCCCCCCACCCTCAGACCTGTTTTTAGGACACCAGCATTGTCAGTGGTGAAGGGCATGGAGTTCTAAGCCACTTTTCCGGGTTCTAGTCCTCCTTCTGCCACTTAGCTGTGTGATCCTGGACAAATTCTTCAGCCTCTTGGTTGATTGCCTTCTACCTGGCCTTGCTTTCAATGAGTCAATTCATGTAAATGGCTTCCAGCAGCAAATAAATGACTGTCCTCTTTGTCAACCTTTTCCGCACAGTCGCACTCCCTACCCCGACCCCAGCAAATCATTTTCGTGGTTTCTCCTTTGCATCGTTCTCTAGACAATTGTTGCTAGTTCAGTCCTGCCCTTTCCTCGCAGGGCTTCGAGATGCACTGGGGTCTTCACGCCCATCTGCCCAGGGAAGCTGGAGCCTGGTGCCCCATGCCTATAGGGCATCCCGCCTCCAGCAACCTGGGATCCCCCTTGCCTTTCTCTTTTTCCCATATCCCATATTTTCCTCTTTCTTGATTTAGCCCTTATTCTAGTGAAGTATCTTCTCTAGTAATCTTCAGAGAAAGCATGTAAGGAAAGCAGTCTATTCTCATTATTCACACCAGTTACGGTCTATAAAGTCACCAAAAATGCTGAATTACCCAACACTAAGCCAATGCTCCAAGAGGGAAATACAGGGTTCCATTCCTATGAGTCTGGGGTCACAGTGTTGTCACCAACTGATCAACACATAACTTTGTTTTATATATATTTCTGTTTAAAGATACCCTATTTAATATATATTGTTGACTCATTAACACTGAGCTCATGGCCAACAGCACTCTAACTCCTGCCTGAACGAAGCTTCTCTAACGTGGGCTTTCCCTGTAAGGCATACCCCAGACTTCCTGCACTTAGGAACACTAGACAGCTGTATTAGTCCATTTTCATGCTGCTGATAAAGACTTACCTGAGACTGGGCAATTTACAACAGAAAGAGGTTTAACTGGATTTACAGTTCCATGTGGCTGGGGAGGCCTCATAATCATGGTAGAAGGCATGGAGGAGCAAGTCCCATCTCACGTGGATGGTCGCAGACAAAGAGGAAAGGAAAATTCCGCTTATAATAACCATAAGATCTCGTGAGACTCACTATCACCAGAACAGCACGGGAAAGACCTACCCCCATGATTCAATTACCTCCTACTGGGCCCCTCCCACAACACGTGGGAATTCAAGATGAGATTTCGGTGGGGACACAGCCAAACCATATCAACAGCCCTTCAGCACTGCGCTTGGGGGTGGGGGTCATTTAAAACAGTGAAATCAGCTGGGCACGGTGGCTCAAGACCAGCCTGGCCAATATGGTGAAACCCTCATCTCTACTAAAAATACAAAAACTAGCCAGGTGTGGTGGCGCTTGCCTGCAACTCCAGCTACTAGGGAGGCTGAGGCAAGAGAATTGCTTGAACCTGGGAGGCGGAGGTTACAGTGAGTGGAGATCACGCCGCTGCATTCCAGCCTGGGTGACAGAGTGAGACGCTGTCTCAAACAAAACAAAACAAAACAACAACAACCAAAAAATCCAGGCCAGGCACAGTAGCTCATGCCTGTAATCCCAGCACTTTGGGAGGCTGAGGTGGGTGGATCACATGAGGTCAGGAGTTCAAGACCAGCCTGGCCAACATGGTGAAACCCCGTCTCTACTAAAAATATAAAAATTAGTCAAGTGTAGTGACATATGTCTGTAATCCCAGCTACTCGGGAGGCTGAGGCATGAGAATTGCTTGAACCTGGGAGGCAGAAGTTGCAGCGAGCTGAGATCGCGCCATTGCACTCGAGCCCGGGTGATAAAGCGAGACTCCATTTCAAAAAAAAAAAAAAAAAAGCCAAAAGCAAAACCAAACCAAAACAAAAAACAATCCAGTGAAATATCAACAAAAAGCACAAAAAATATGAAAAACATGACACTAACTAGACTGCAAAAAGGACACTTGTTTACATCATCAGAGTCAAAACAAGAAGGCAGAGGGTCACCTTTTTCAACCTTAGCTGGAAACATGCACATCAAGTGACTCAAATTTTTGCTGCTGTACGCATGTCTGCAGATGACTGCAAAAGCTGTGTGGATACTAGTTTGGTGGTTACAAATATATTTTATTGATTAAATGAATTCAAAAATATGGAATCCAAGAATAATGAGGACTGACTATATGTGTTTCAAGACCTTGCATGTCTAAAAATCTCTTCATTCTATCCTCTCATTTGACTGATAGCTTGGCTGGGTAAAGAAATATAGGTTGGGGCTAGGCGTGGTGGCTCACACCTGTAGCCCTAGCACTTTGGGAGGGCAGATTGCCTGAGGTCAGCGGTTCGAGACGAGCCTGGGCAACGTGGTAAAACCCTGTCTCTACTAAAAATACAAAAAATTAAAAAATTAGCCAGGGATGGTGGCACGTGCCTGTAGTCCCAGCTACTCGGGAGGCTGAGGTGGGAGAATAGCTTGAACCCAGGAAGCGGAGGTTGCAGTGGGCTGAGATTGTGCCACTGCACTCCAGCCTGGGAGACAAGAGCGAGACTCTGTCTCAAAACAACAATAATAACAACAACAACAACACCACCCAAAGAAACCTAGGTTGGAAACACTTCTCCTTCAGCATTTCATAGCATTGCTCCTGCACCTGCTGGCTGTCAATGTTGCTGTCAAGAAGTCCAGAGCTATTCCTGCCATTTCTTCTTCCTGGAAGCTTCTCTTCATCCTGGAGGCTCATTTTTCATGATGATGTGTCATATTAGGGCTCTCTTTTTATGGCTTGCCTGAAGAAGTACTTGGTGGATCCTTGTACTTTTTAAAATTTAGGTCCTTTAATTTTGAAAAACTCCCCAAATTATTTATTAATCTCTTCCCCCACTTTCTCTGGTCTTTCTGGACCTTCTGTTAACTGGATGTAGGCTGGGTGCAGTGGCTCACGCCTGTAATCCTAGCACTTTGGGAGGCTGAGGTGGGCAGATTGCTTGAGTCCAGGAGTTTGAGACCAGCCTGGGCAACACGGTGAAACCCCGTCTCTACAAAAATAAAATAAAATATATAAATAAATAAATGGATGTCTTGAACTGCTCCATTGTTTTTTTCCCCACTTCTGTATGAAGTCTCTCCAGAGAAACAGAACCAACTGTGTGTGTGTGTGTGTGTGTGTGTCTCATGAGAGAAGTCCCGCAATCTGCTGTCTGAAAGCTGGAGACTCAGGAAAGCTGGTGGTATAGCTCTGAGAACCCAAGGGCTAATGGGGTTCCTGTCAGTCCTAGTCTGAGGGCAGAAAAAGACCCACGTCCAGCTCAAGCAGTCAGGCACACAGCAAATTTGCCCTTCCTCCACCTTTCTGTTCTATTCAGGGCCTCAAGATTTGGATGGTGCCTGCCCACATTGGGGAGGGCCATCTGCTTTACTCAGGCTACTGAGTCAAATGTTGATCTCCTCAGGGAGGACCCTCAACAGACACATTCTAGAATAATGTTTAGCAAAATATGTGGGCACCCCACGATCCAGCCAAATTGATGCATAAAATTAATCATCATACCTTCTGTTTTGCATCTCTGTCCTTTTGGTATATTTCCTCAAATTTATATTCCAGCTCTTCTACTAATTGTTTAAAATCTCTGCTGTTTTTAGTTTCCAAGAGCTCTTTTTAGATTCTCAGAATATTCATTTTTTGCAGTGTCCTGTTCTTGTTTCATGAGTATAATATCTTCTTCTTTTCTTTCTCTAAGAATGTCAATGGCAGCTTTTAAAATTTTTTCCTAGGGCGTATGTGGTGGCTCATGCCTATAACCCCAGTGCTTTGGGCGACCAAAGCAGGAAGATTGCTTGAGGCCAGGAGTTCGAGACCAGCCTGGGCAACATGGAGAGACTCCATCTGTACAAAAAAATTGTTTTTAAAATTAGCTGGGCATGGTGGTGCATGCCTGTAGTGCTAGATTCTAGGAAGGCTGAGACGAGAGGATTGCTTGAGCCCAGGAGTTCAAGGTTACAATGAGCTATGAACATGCCACTGTACTCCAGCCTGGGCAACAGAGTGAGACCCCATCTCTGAAAAAAAGAAAGTTTTCCTCCCCTAAAATAGTTTCTATTTCTTCCAAGTTACTTTTACCTGAGTCATTTGTTTCAGCTTTGCTGCTTTCCTCCCAAGTCTAACAATCCTTGGTTGCCTGTTCATGGGATTGGTCCTTCTGAGTGTGTGAGTGGCGCTTGGTGATAAGAGCTTTCCTGAAGGTCATTTGACTGGGAGGATTGGTTTGGGAAATGTCTCTGTATAAAGACATTTTCCCTGGGCTGGTAAGATTCCCTGAAGAAACCTCTTCCAGTCTCTTGCCTGACAGTGAAGGACCGGCTGCTAGTGTTCTAGGACAAGGGTGGGAGGAAAGTTGTAGGATTCTCAGCATTCCATATGCACCTGTCCAGAGGATCTCTCTCACTCTTTCCAGAGTATAAACCTCTAGGTCCCTGCCAGGGAGTGGTTGAGAGGTGTGTTGCATGGCTTCCTGGAGCTGGGGAGAAGACTCTGGGGCTTTAACATCCTCGAAGAGATGTTCAATTAGTTCTACTCTCATTTTATTTTATTTTATTTTTTGTTATTTAATTATTTTCTTTGAGACAGAGTCTTACTCTGTCACCCAGGCTGGAGTGCAAATGGCACGATCTCGGCTCACTGCAACCTCCACCTCCCAGGTTCAAGTGATTCTCCTGCCTCAGCCTCCCAAGTAGCTGGGATTACAGGCACGCGCCACCACGCCCAGCTAATTTTTGTATTTTTAGTAGAGATGGGGTTTCACCATGTTGGCCAGGCTGGTCTCGAACTCCTGACCTCAGGTGATCCATATTCCTCAGCCTCCCAAATTGCTGCGATTACAGGTATGAGCCACCGTGCTGGGCCTGGAAGCCCTTATGTATTTTAACTTTTAATGTCTGTCTGGCCCATTAGTCAGTGAGTGTCCTCAGGACAAGGAACGGTTCCAAATCCTGTCCAAGTCCCCTGAGTCAGCAGAGGACCCAGCCTCAATCAATCCTAGTTTGATGTTTTAGAAGACAAAACCAGGGTTGACCTTCCCCCAAGAGATCCAAGTTCAGACCCCAGTTCTGCTATTGGCTTACTGGAATTGGACAAATCATTTTATTTCTCTGCCTCAATTTCTTCATCTGCAAAATGGGTGTCTCCAGATTTCCTCACAAAGTTGACATGAAACAGTGCTAAGAAGATGTGCGTGGGAGCACTGAATGAGCATTAGACCCGTTTAGAACTGTTGGTGGTTAATAGTAATACTAAAAGAATGACTGCAATGTTAGTAACGGTAGAAAGAATACAGGACTGGAGGTCAGGAGAGCAAGGCTATAATCCTGTGTCTGCCACTGACTGTTTTTTAAAAATCATGTTATTTTTTATTTTTTTGAGACAGGATCTCACTCTGTTGTCCAGGCTGGAGTGCAATGGCACAATCGCAGCTCACTGCAATCTTGACCTCCTGGGCTCAAGCAATCCTCCTACCTCAGCCTCCGGAGTAGCTGGGACTACAGGTGCACACCATCAGGCCCTGATAATTTTTGTATTTTTTGTAGAGACGGGGTTTTGCCATGTTACCCAGGGTGGTCTTGAACCCCTGGGCTCCAGCGATCCTCACACCTCAGCCTCCCAAATTTCTGGGATTACAGGCATGAGCCAGTGCTCCTGGCCTAAAATTACTTTAATCATGTCTCTCTCTCTCTCTCTCAGATTCAATTTCTTCTACTCCTCCTCCTTTATCATCATCAACCTCATCATTATCATTATCATCTACTAAGCATCAGTACAACAATACAAACGCGGCATTTGTCATCGTGAGCACTTAGTAAGCACTAGCACTCTCTAAGCACTGTGATTATGTGTGATTGCCTATATAATTTTATCTGATTGCTGTGTTGACCTCACAAGGTGGGTTTTCTAGCATCAGTTTTACAGTTCAGCAACTGAAGGCTCAGGTCAAATGCATTGCCCAGGAGCACCCGGCTAAGAGGTGAAGAAGGCGTCAACCGCAGTGTGGTGAGGTTCACAAGCTTGTCTGTCACCTCCAAGCTTCGCTGTCCCCAGGGGCCTCTGGGACCTGCTGAGCTGCAATGCTTTGTGGTTCTTCTGATGCCTTCAGAAGGGGTATGTGAGACCACACGTTCAGGGGCTGGGGGGCTGCCTCCCGTTATAACTCATGAGAGTTCCTTTCTGACCCTCATTTTAAGTTCGTTTTACATCACGAGTGTTTTAAGGTTTTTGGTGTGTGTTTTTTTTTTTTTTTTTTTTTTTTTTTTTTGTAGAGTTAAAACACACTTTCCCAAGGTTGGCGGCTCAAATGTAGACTTTTAGACACTGTTTGGCTTGGCACAGCTTCCAAACGTCTCCCAGCCACTGTTGCTCTATATTTCTTTTTGCCAGGACATAGATCAGAAATAACTCAGCTGTGAAAAAAAATTATAAGCTTGCCGGCAGCCCGTGAAGGAGATGAATTGCTGGAGGGCTATTTTTCCCCCTTGAGTCAGAAGTGTGAAGGTAGGTGGGAGAAGGAGCAAGGTTTTGAAAGACCCATGTATATTTAGGGACCGGGATTGCTTCCATTTTAAGAAAGATGAGGGTTGAAGCATGCACGCTCCATCAGACAGTCCAGCGCTTTCCCTGCCAGGCTCTTGACGCCCGTCGGTTGGGCCTTCTGGTTAGGGCTGCTAAGATCCACAGGCCCAGCTTTGGTTGGTGTGATTCCAACTGGCAAGAAGCATTTTCATTTTGTGGCACGAAAACTTTTTTTTTGCAGGTCAGTTTTGAAGCTTTCTGTGACCATATCCTGGTTGAAATGCATTCCCCGGTACAGAGGGGAAGCTGTGATTAACAACGGGTGACGTGCAAATATGCTGCACGCATATAACAGCCATCACTCCATTATTCAACTTTCTCCATACATTTCTCCAGAGTCTTCATTGTTTCATGTCCACATCAAGGTTGAGAGCCCCTAACTTTCCCTTCCTCCTGGCCCTTGAAAAGCCCATGTAAGAGGACACACTGCAACAACAGCAACAGCAACCCACAGATACATCTGTGAATATGCTCTTGTGTGTGTTAAAAGAAAAGCATGGGCTCACGGCCAAGGCACACTCTGGAAAGTTCTCAGAGAGAGAGAGAGAGAGCTTCTGTTTCTGGCACTCTGCCAGATTCGATACCTTTAATCACTCCCCTGATTATAACCAAAATGCTGGATAAAATATTGTTTTAATCTTTGTTTTTTTTTTTACACATTGCTGAGTTAGCATGAAAGCAAGAAAGTTACGGATCTCCAACATGAAGCAAAGGTAGACGCCTTGGAGACTTGGAGCCTGTGTTTCCATAGCTGTGTGAGGTGCAAGGGACAGGAGATAAAGTCTGGGCTTCCCCCAAGGGGGGCTGTAATAGGAGACCTCTTCAAAGCCTGAGTCCAAAAGGTCTATGTCTAGAGTGTCAGAAAGAATGAAAAGCAAATCTCACCCCGCAGAGGAGAACAGAAAGGAAGCCTGCCTGCCCTGACCTTGACATTGGGTTGAGAGAAACATATCTCCACTGAGAATCTGTAACCACAAGCTGGCCCTCACGTGATTTTCAGTTTGAATTCCTGCTACTTGTGTGGTTTAAAAAAACTCAAGTTGAAAATTGAAACTGGCCCCTGCTTGATAGTACCCGCAGTCAGCTTGCAGAAGCAAACCTTAAACCTTCCTCGAGGAATTCAGCTACAATCTCAGCCTTATAGAAATGTCCACAAAGTCCCCAAGAAAATGAGCAGCTCCCAGTGAAAATTAATAAACTTCACAAGGAAGATAAGAGAACCAGCAGAAACAAGAGACAGTACAAGTGGAACCTTAGAGCTTTCAGATTTGAAATGATCACAGGCAGAATATACACTTAAAATAACTAGTTTTATGTTTTCAAACAATTAAAATTGAAGTTCAGGGAATAAGAGAGCATAAGGAACAACCAGGGCTGAGCGCGGTGGCTCACGCCCGTAACCCCAACACTTTGGGAGGCTGAGGTGGGTGGATCACTTGAGGTCAGGAGTTTGAGACCAGCCTGGTCAACATGGTAAAACTCTGTCTCTACTAAAAATACAAAAATTAGCTGGGTGTGAAGGCATGTGCCTGTAATCCCAGCTACTTGGGAGGCTGAGGCAGGAGAATGGCTTGAACCCGGGAGGCAGAGGTTGCAGTGAGCCGAGATCGTGCCATTTGCACTCCAGCCTGGGAGACAGAGGAAGACTCCATCTAAAAAAAAAAAAAAAAAAAAAAAAAAAAAAGGAACAACCAGATTTGAAAAAGAATCAAATAAAATGTACAGAAGTGAAAAATGTAGCATTTGAAATTTGAAATGAGCAGAGCGAGCAGCAGATTACACACAGCCAAAGAGAGGTTTAATAAGCTAGTAGAACCAAAGGAATTATCCAGAAAAATTAAGTGGCAGGGCCTAATGTACGTGTATTTAGAGTTCTAGAAGGAGCTAACAGAATAGGAGAACGGGCAATACACGAAGAGGTAATGGCTGATACTTTTGTGAAATTATACATAACAAATCTCAGATCCAGGAAGCCCAGTGAATCCCAAGCAAGATAAATAAAAAGAAATTCACATTTACATACATCCCAAGAAAACTATGGAACATCAGAGAAAAAGAGATGTTGAAAGCATCTGGCTAGGCGCCGTGGCTCACACCTGTAATCCCAGCACTTTGGGAGGCCGAGGTGGGCAGATCACCTGAGGTCAGGAGTCCAAGGCCATCCTGGCCAACATGGTGAAACACTGTCTCTACTAAAAATACAAAAATTAGCCTGGCATGGCGGTGGGCACTTATAATCCCAGCTACTGGGAAGACTGAGGCAGGAGAATCACTTGAACTCATGTGGCGGAGGTTGCAGTGAGCCGAGATCACCCCATTGCACTCCAGCCTGGGCAACAAGAGTGAAACTACGCCTCAAAAACAAACAAACAAACAAAAGCCCCCCAAAACAAAACAAGACAAGCAAACAAACAAAAAAACTCTAAAGGATCATTTACAGCTGATGTATCACTATCCTCAATGGAAACCAGGAGACAGTGGAATTATATCTTTCATGTGCTGGAAAAAAAACAACGGTCAACTTAGAACTCTTTACTATCCTACTGAACTGAGGGTGAAATGAAGACATATTCAGACAAAAAGAAATGGTGAGATTTTACCTCCAAAAGATCTTCACTAAGGACACATTTAAATGTAATGTAGTTCAGACAGAATCAAAATTATTCCAGAGAAAAGGCAAGGCATACAAGAAGGAACAATGGGCACATATGTTGGAAACATTTGATGGAAAACTAAACAACAACGGAGTATAGGACTCCACGATAATAATGCCTAACTTATGGTAGGAAAAATGGGCTAGTATTAAAATACTGGACAATACCATATAATATGGGACGGATGCTCAAAATTCAAGTTGTGAATGTCTTTCCATTATTTGGGGAGAAGGCAAATATATTAAGTTTAGACTTTGTTAAGTGCTCAGTGTTAAGATAGCTAGAGTAAGCACTAAAAACTAGTCATAGAGCTGATAACTTCTAAATAATTAGAAAGAAAAAATAGGATAAGAAAAAGAAGATAAAAATCTCAAATGATACAAAGGAAGATTAGAAAGGGGGCTGAGGGTAGGAAATATAGAATGAATAGAAAATACATTATGAGACCATGGAAATTAATCTACATTTATGTTGTCAGTAATTCATATTAAAGGACTAAACACTTTAGTTGAAAGATGACTGTCTGAATGAATTTTAAAAACAGAGATTATGTTCTGTTTACAAGAGAGCATAATCCCATACCTCAAACATAGGAACCAAGAACTGTTGAAAGTCCAAGTATAGAAAAAATATGTGGCCGGGCACAGTGGCTCACGTCTGTAATCCCAGCACTTTGGGAGATTGAGGCAGGTGGATCACCTGAGGTTGGGAGTTCGAGACCAGCCTAAAAAACATGGAGAAACCCCGTCTTTACTAAAGAGACAAAAAATTAGCCAGGTGTGGTGGTGCACACCTGTAATCCCAGCTACTCGGGAGGCTTAGGCAAGAGAATCGCTTGAACCCAGGGGGTGGAGGTTGCAGTGAGCTGAGATCGTGCCATTGCACTCCATTATCTAGTGATCCAGAGTCACTAGATAATGGTGGAAGGCTCAATTCACCAGGAAGCTGTACCAGTTCTCAATTTATATATAATATCATCATAGCTGCAAAAAATATAAAGCAAAAATGGAAGGGACAAGAATAGATATCTCCACCTTTAGGATGGGATATTTTTAGGCCATTTTGGTGAAGAAATCAAAGATTTGAGGAACACAATGACAAGTTTCATATAATCAACATGTAGCATATGAAACCCCGAAATGGGGGAGAACACATTCTTTTCAAGCATGCATGGGACATTTGGAAAGTATCATAGACTATAAAGCTAACCTCAATGCACGTCCAAGATCAGGCTGGTAGGTCGGATCTCCTGGGAGTCAGGCTCTGAGATGGGGATTGGGGTGCAGGAATTTTATTTGGGAACATTCCTTGGATCAGCACTTGTGGAATGCATGGGATGAGACAGGTCTGCACAGATGGAGAGGTGGAGCAGCAATGCAATACCCACGGAAGCCTCTGCCAGCTCCGCAGAGAGTGCTGGAGCTGGGTAGTCCTTCAGAAGGGTGTGAGTTGGTAAGGAACCAGGCCTTTACATTCTCACCCTGAGCAGCCATTGCATGCAGGCTGCTCATTGAAGGAGGCATGGTCTTGACTGGGCAAGTCAATTTCCTCAGCCCACATAACTTCCTAAGAGAGCAGACAGCTGGGGGCCATCCTCCAGCAGCTCTCGCAGCAGCTGGGGGACTAAGTCCTTCGTTCCGGAAGAGGAAGCTGTGCTGTAGTCATAGCTTCCACCACAATGTGTACACAGACTATATTCTCTGATCACAATCTAAACAAGTTAGATGTTAATAACCAAAAAGACAACAAGCAAATGCCTGTACTTTAGGAAAAACAGTACATCCAAACAACTCGCGGTCCAAAAACGAAATCACAACTAAAATTAGAAAATACTTAGAATTGAGCATTCACAAAAATGTTTTGCATCACGACTTGTGAGATCCAACCAAAGCAGTATTTAGAGGAGTGTTTATAATCTTAAATGCTTGTATTGGCAAATAAGAAATGCTTCATGGCCCAGGTGTGGTGGCTCACGTCTGTAATCTCAGAACTTTGAGAGGCCGAGGTGGGTGGATTGCTTGAGCCCAGGAGTTCGAGACCAGCCTGGGCAACCTGGCAAAACCATGTCTCTACAAAAAATACAAGAATTAGCTGGGCATGGTGGTGCACACCTGTAGTCCCAGTTACTTTGGAGGCTGAGGCAGGAGGATTGCTTGAGCCCAGGAGGTGAAAGTTACAGTGAGCTGAGATGGTGCCACTGCACTCCAGCATGGGCAAAAGAGAAAGACTCTGTCTCAAAAATAAAACAAAAGAAGAAGAAAAAAGAAATGCTTCAAATGAACGAACTAAGCATCTGACTTAAAAGTTAAAATAAGAACAGCAGAATAAACCCCAAGATATTAAAAGGAATCAAATGTTAAGAACAGAAATTAGGGCCAGGCGTGGTGGCTCATGTCTATAATCCCAGCAGTTTGGGAGGCCAAGGTGGGCAGATCATGAGGTCAGGAGATTGAGACCATCCTGGTTAACACAGGTGAAACCCCGTCTCTACTAAAAATACAAAAAAATTAGCCAGGCATGGTGGTGTGCACCTGTAGTCCCAGCTACTCAGGAGGCTGAGGCGGGAGAATGGCATAAACCTGGGAGGTGGAGCTTGCAGTGAGCCGAGATCATGCCACTGCACTCCAGCCTGGGTGACAGAGCGAGACTCCATCTAAAAAAAAAGCACAGAAATTAATGACGTAGAAAACAAACCTAAATGGTTGGGAATGGTGGCTTACACCTGTAATCCCGCACTTTGAGAGGCCGAGGCAGGTGGATCACTTGAGACCAGGAGTTCAAGACCAGCTTGGCCAACATGGCAAAACCCTGTCTCTGCTAAAAAATACAAAAATAAGCCAGGCGTGGTGGTGGGCACCTGTAGTCCCAGCTACTCGGGAGGCTGAGGCAGGAGAATCACTTGAACCCAGGAGTTGGGAGGCTGCAGTGAGCTGAGATCACACCACTGTACTCCAGCTTGGGCAACAGAGTGAGATGCCATCACACAAAAAAACAAAAAACAAACAAACAAACAAAAAAACCGGAAAACAAACCTAAGTAGGGAAGAGAATCAAAGACAAAATATTATTTTTTGAAAGGACTAAAAAATTATAAAAATCTCTTACAAGTTTAAGACATAAGAGAGAGCACAGATAAACAATACTAGGGATGAAAGAAGGGACATAATTCTAGATTTTTCATAGAGTAAATGAATAATATTAAATATCACAAGACTGTTATAAGTGACTGTATGCCAATACATAAGAAGTCTTAAACAAAATTGCCAAATTCCTAGAAAAATACAATTTACTGAAGTTGACTCAAGAAAAAACAGAAAACCTGAAAGGTCCTATAATCACTTAATACATTAATTTAGTAGTTTAAAATCTTCCTATAAAGAAAACGTCTGTCCCAGATGACAATTCCAGATATGTGAATTTGGAATTCACCAAATTAATAGCCCAGCTCTCTCTGGAAGATGGTGGGATGAACCAAATCCTAATTTGGCTAAACAGTCAAAGAACAAATCAGTTCAAGCTTACCCAAATTTCTACTCCACAGTGGAGAAACACAGTCAACACTTACCAGTTTACCTTATTCGGTTAGCATAAGCTGGCTAATCAGATGATGACAGTACAATAAAGAAAACTTTCAAGTCAATTTTACCCATGAGCATAGATTCCAAGAATTCTTGAAAATTATTAGCACAGTGAATTCAGCAATAATAATAAAAAATACAGTACAGGCCGGGTGCAGTGGCTCACGCCTATAATCCCAGCACTTTGGGAGGCCGAGGCAGGTGAATTGCCCGAGCTCAGGAGATTGAGACCACCTGGGCAACATGGTAAAACCCGTCTCTACTAAAAATACAAAAAATTAGCCAGGTGTGGTGGCAGGCGCCTGTAGTCCCAGCTACTTGGGAGACTGAGGCAGGAGAATCTCTTGGACCCTGGAGGCAGAGGTTGCAGTGAGCCGAGATCGTGCCACTGCACTCCAGCCTGGGCTACAGAGTGAGACTCCATCTCAAAGAAAAAAAAAACAAAAACAAAAAACCCCAGCATATTATGATGAAGTTATGTTTATCTTATGAATGCAATTCCTATTATTAGGAAATTAATTAATATAATTCATTCCATTAACAGCTTAAAGAAAAAACACATAATCATTGCAATAGGACCTGGGTGACATCAGGCACTATTGTTCACCTGGTTGAGGTTTGGGAGACTTTACGACTTATACTGTGGGCAGGAGATAGTGGAGGGGCCCCGTCTATGGGAATCGGGTGGGAAACTGAGAAGGGTGTGCATGGAAGTGGCAATGATTATGAATCTGGCTTTGGACAAAATAGGATAGGAGGTAGTACTCTACGCGCCCCCTTCCTGCTTTTTGGGGCCTGGAGAGGAAACCCAAGTTATCTAAATGGCTTGACTCTTCCTCTCCCTCTGCCCACACCCACCCCCATCTCGCTATCTCACTGTAAGTCTCTTCTGTGATTATTATCACCTGGGGGTTGCAACCTCCAAAGCCTACAGTGGCCAGACAGGTGGCAAAAATGTATAACGTGGGCTGAGCGTAAAAAATATTAGATATTACACAGTTTACATATAATGCATTTTGGTTGCATGCTTCTTAAAAATTGCCTTCTGTCACCTGAAGAAAATTGTTTCTGATTTTTTTTCTTCAAATAGGCAGACTTCTCTGCCCAGCTTTCTTTCCTGCACACTTGATGGGGCAAGGAAATACTCCCTCGCTGTAAAAAGCACATCAGTGAAGCCCAGTGCTCGACAGCAGCTGACCTGGGCCCCCAGAGCTGGGGATGCAGCAGGGAGCGGTGAAGCCTGTAGCAAACTGAAGAGTGTGTGTCCCAATCCGAAATCACAGCCCAGATGTAGTTCAAGGCAATTTTTGTCATCTTAAAAAACGGGCCTGGGGAGAATCCACAGAGTTTGGTGATGAGTTGGATGGGAGATGTGGGGTTAAGGAGCTCAGAGAAGTTTTGGGAGATGCCAGGTTTCAGGCTGGGGGTCTCTGTGCAGTGGTGCCTCCCACTGACAGAAGACAGAGAGGGAAGGGCAATGGCTTTGGACAAACTGAGTTTGCAACTGGCTGTAGGACATCCTGGGGGCTGTCGTGGGTGGGTCAGGGCTCCAGGAGGCAGCCCATTCTCTCTGGAAGACGGTGGGACGAACCAATACGGCCTCTGAGTCTGACTCTGCGTCTACCTCAGGCAAATTGCGTCAGCCTCTGGAGTCTCCTTTTCTTCTGCACGGAGGCAGTGATACCATGAAGCCTCCACTTCTGTGAAATGGAGACTTGGACCTGGTCAGTGGTTCCGTGCTTCTTTTGATTATTCGCCGCACCCCAGCCTGGCAGAGGCACTTGATGTTATCCGGAGCCTGGGCTGCCTGGGTGGGGACACAAGCCTCCATTTCACAGAAGAAGTGGAGTCTTTCATGCACCAAGGCAGCGGAGGGGGCAGGACACAGCCTGGGCCCCTCGCAGACCCTAGAGGTCCCCGACGTGGCCCCTTCCTCCTCTGAGCCTTGCTGGCTGCAACCGCCCAGTCGTTCTCAGCAGGGATGGAAGAAGCCTCAGTGCGAAGCCCGGCGATGGCCGGGGCGCTGCTGCCCTCGTGTGGCCGACATGGAGAGGTGCCGGTTATGATGAGCAGGGAGTGATTTTCTGGCGAAACGCGGCCGCACGGCTCAGGCTGTTCCACTGACAAACTGCAGCTGACTCTCCCTGTTGACCGGGGTTTGATTCCAGCACTGCCCAGCTGGAACCCAGCACTGCGTGACACTGGGAATGTCTCTTTTCTGGGCCTCAGTTTCCCCAGCTGGAAAATGATGGAAGCAGGGGTTTTATGGGGGCTAAGTGAAGTCACGGATGTGAGAGTACCAAGCATTGTGCAAGGTGGTTGGTGTGTGCACGGTCCAAATTTGCCCATCCAGTCTTTCTTTCTCTTTCTTACTCTTTCTTTCTTTCTCTCTCTTTCTTTCTTTTCTTTCTTTCTTCTTTCTTTCTTTTCCTTCCTTTTCTTTCTTCTTTCTTTTCCTTCCTTCCTTCCTTCCTCCCTCCCTCCCTCCCTCCCTCCCTCTTTCTTTCTTCTTCTTTTCTTTCTTTCTTTCTTTCTCTTTCTTTTCTCTCTCTCTTTCCTTTCTTTCTTTGTTTTCTTTCTTTCTTCTTTCTTCCTTTTCCTTCCTTCCTCCCTCCCTCCCTCTTTCTTTCTTCTTTCTTTCTTTCTTCCTTTCTTTTCTCTCTCTTTCTTTCTTTCCTCTCTCTCTCTTTCTTTCTTTCCTCTCTCTCTCTTTCTTTCTTTCCTTCTTTCTTTCTTTTCAGAGTTTCGCTTTTGTTGCCCAGGCTGGAGTTCAATGGTGCTATCTCAGCTCACTGTAACCTCCGCCTCCCAGGTTCAAGCGATTCTCCTGCCTCAGCCTCCCAAGTAGCTGGGATTACAGTCACACACCACCACACCCAGCTAATTTTTTGTATTTAGTAGATACAGGGTTTCAGCATGTTGGTCAGGCTGGTCTCGAACTCCTGACCTCAGGTGATCCACCCGCCTCAGCCTCCCAAAGTGCTGGGATTACAGGAGTGAGCCACTGCGCCCGGCCTGCCCATCCATTATTCATCCATCATCTGGGGAGGCTGACAAGGTCCAGCCTGGGCAGCCATCTCCATCAGGGCTAACTCTGTGAGCACCAATTCCCCCGAGGCACTCTGCCCTCTGCTGACGGGATCATCTCGTCTTACCTGCCACCACCTGGGAGGCAGGTGTCACCGACATCCACATGGGAATGAGACAGGACAGCAGTGGGTGAGTGAGGTGACCTGCCCAAGGGCACAAGGCTTTGAAAACAGCAGTGGTGGGTTGGGAGCTGGACTCGAACCTGGCCTGTCTTTTCCACCACTTTTAGAGAAGTGCAGGACTCACACATAGGAGGGCTTTGGATTCCAGCTCAAGGAGGGTCTGCAGGTTACAGTGAGGGCCCGAAACTCAGAAAGCGAGGGGGCCTGCCCAGCAGTCTGGCCCGCGGAGCCCTCCCAGCTGCCCATGGATTGCATCACTGTCCCAAGGGGAGACAGGGCTGTCCTGCCGGCTGCCTCTTTGAGTCACCGTGTGGCCAGGGAGTCCTGCTGGCCTCCACAGTCACCGCCAAACCATTTTGGCCTTGGTCTTTCAAAGCCAGGTCATTTTGGGAAAACTGAGGACATCCAGCACCATGGAGGGGCGTGTGTGTCTCTGCACTGGCTGATGAAGGGAGGTGGGTGGGGAGAGTTAGAGTGCTTCGATCAACCTTGACCTTTAGACCAGCCGGTCTGACCTCTCATTATATAGACAGGCAGGGAAACTGAGGCCAGGGAGGAGATGGCAATTTGTAGGGGGCCCAGGCATGCTATGTTTTACTGCAGGCCCCTCTTCTGTTATGAAGGATGGTGGGCTAGTTTGCTGAAAAGGGAGGTGAGCAGAGGCAGAGGAAGGTGGTCTCTCGGGGACAGTGTCTGAGGACTCCGTTCTGTCTGCTTGTCGTTTTAGACAAGAGAGTCTGCAGCTCTTGCAGGGGGCCTGGTGTAACCCCTATAACCCCTAGCAGTGGTTGCAACCTGCTGAAACCAGCCTTTGGGGAAAGAGCTGCTCCCTGGACCCTTGTGAGGGAGGGGGTTGGAGGCTATTTCTGCAAACTGGCAGTGGGTCTATTGGGGACCCTGCACCTTCCCAGCCTCCTGGGGCCTGGACGACCCGGGTCCCTATCTGAGCCCCACCTTCTCTTGCTGTGTGATATTAGGGGAGTCACTGCACCTCTCTGAGCCTCCTCTGTAATATAGCAATGAATCCTACCTTGCAGAACTGGTGAGGAGATCATCTTAAACCGTGCTCCGTTCTCTCCTTCTCCACTAAGCGTGATTGTGCTTGCAATTAAATGGTTCTTTGTGTAATAAGTTGTTTAATCTCAGCCGCCGGTCCTCAGAGCCTGCAGGGACCATGAACATCTTGTTGGTCACCATGTCACTGGGCTGCCCCGCTGCACATTTGGGGAGTGAATGGAGATTTTTAGTCTGACACACCTCCAACATGTAAAAACGTCATGTCTGGGAAAAACACCTGAAACAGCTGTTGGGAGAAACTTGTGGGGAGGAGGATGTCGCGCCCCCGGCGGGAGCCCGGGACACATTGCCCAGGGCTGCAGACCGCTGTGCCCGTCTCAGTCTGGAAGGACCAAGGAGATGAGTGGGCACCAGCGTGCACTTCTCGCTTGCGTCCAGCAGGTGGCGCCCGCCGGCCAGTGGGGCCTGCAAGGAGGGCGGCTAGGCGGGAGGGCTCTGGGTGTTGTCAAGGTCGCCCCATCCCAGTGCATTCGTGTTTGGGGGTGTGTCTGCTCACAGCTCCCTGAAAGGAGCAGCGCACTTTTGTTCTTCCCTCTAGAGCCAGCTCCAGGTCGACAGCTTCAAGGGGGGCCCAGGTGGAAGTGACAGCCCCTGGTTGGAGCCCGGCCCCGGGTCTGGCTGGGGCAGGTGCTGGAACGTGGGAGCCAGAATGTTGGCATGAGGCAGGGGAGGCCAGGAAGCCAGGGATCCAGGGTGGGGGAAGGAGGGAGGAGCCATGGGTCACATGTTTCATTTGTTAAAACTGAATAAATGTATAAAAGTATAAAAGAATGCTTTTGAGGGGTAATTGGGTGCACCTGATAGGAAGGAAGGTGGAAAGAAATCTAAGCCGTACAAAAAGCATTCGGTAAAAACTAGGTCTCTTTGCTCCCTCCCTCCCCACCTCCCCACCCCAGAGGCCCCCAGAGGCCCCTTGGCTTCTGAAACATTCTTCCAGAGAATCTACCCAGGGGTGTGTGTGTGTGTCTGTGTGTGTGTAGGGGTGCTGCAAAGAGCCTGTTTGCTATAATTGTGTGGGAAGAAATAGTTTCATCTTGAAAACCCCTTAGCCAGAAAGATTCGGGTCCTTCTAGAGAAAAACCTTCTAGGGAGTTTTTAGGGTGGGAGACACTGAGTGGGTTCTTTAGGGTCCGGGTCCCAGTGCTAGCGCCCTTCACCAGGGGACAGTGCTTTGTAGTTTGCAAAGTCCCCTTTTGTGTTTTACACTTGAAATGGACTTTGGTCCTCCCAGCAGCTCAGGCTGGGGGTGTTAGTTTTCCCCATTGCACAGATGGAGACCAGGGCCAGAGAGATTAAGGGACAGCTACGTGCCACACAGCTGGTGACAGAGGCTAGAGTGTGGATCAGGGCATCCTGACCCCTCCGCCTGCCATGGTGATTTTCCAGATGGTTAGGGGAAGGCAGGAGGAGTTGTAGGGTTGGAGGAGGGAATCTGGCCTGTGTTCCCAGGGAGCCGGCAGGCACCAATCAGCTGACCCTGCTTAATTTAAGCCCTTCAAACTTATGGGTTCCTAAAGCCACTTGGAGTCAGCCTTCAAAATGCTCTCCTGTTCTCCCTCCTCCTCCTTCTCCCTCCTCCCTCTTCCCCCTTGTCAGGAATCTGTAAGAAGAGGGGAGAGTGGATTATAATGGCCCCCCGCGGAACTCACCTGCCATGAAAGGGTGTTAAATAACACGCAATTTACATGTCTTCCCTGTAGGAAATTATAGAATCAGAGCTTTCAAATTAGCAATAGATTTTTCTAATTGAATCTCTTTCCCGTATGGCAGGTGAAGTGAGAAATGATCAGGTAGTTCAGTTTCCCCTGCAAATGGACCACCAGACAATTGAAGGAATTAAATGCTTCTTAAAAGTGCAGGTAAAATTGTTGTTATTTTCTGGGAAGTTTGTCTGCCTAAAGATATTGCAGGTGCATTTGTGTCCATGTGATCACTGTGTGACAAGATGAAGGGTGTCTGCACCCAAAGAGGAGAATGATATGGAGGAAAGTGGATCTGGAAAACAGAAACTGGGGTGGGTGCTCCTGGGCCACCTCCCGCCTCTCCCACCAGCTCTTAGCTCAGAGCCAGGCTCTGGGCCTTGCTCTGGAGCCTCTCAGTCATTTTGACCTTTCTGAGCCTCAGTTTCTTCCTCTGTAAAAGGTGACCATAGCATGGATATGGTTCATGTGAGGAAGGAACAAGACAAAGCCTGTGCAGTACTTAACACAGTGCCCGGCACATAGTAGGTGTTCAATACACAAACATATCTCTATACTACCACTACTAATTCTTCTTCCTGTCATTGCTATTTGTTTGCCTGGTGGATTCATTGTCCATTGGTGCAAAATAAATTAGCACAATACTTGGAGGCTTACAGCAAAACACATTTATGATCTCCTGGTCTCTGTGGGGCAGGAGGCTGCACCGTGTCTTCAGGTCCTTTGCTCTAGGGTCTTTTTTTTTTTTTTTTTTTTTTTGAGACAGAGTCTTGCTCTGTCACCCAGGCTGGAGTGCAGTGGTGTGATCTTGGCTTACTGCAACTTCTGCCTCCTGGGTTCAAGCGATTCTCCTGTCTCATCTTCCTGAGTAGCTGGGATTACAGGTACATGCCACCATGCCTGGCTAATTTTTGTATTTTTAATAGAGACAGGGTTTCACCATGTTGGCCAGGCTGGTCTTGAACTCCTGACCTCATGTGATCTGCCCACCCCAGCCTCCCAAAGTGCTGGAATTACAGGTGTGAACCACTGCACCCGGCCAAGCTCTAGGGTCTTTGACAAGGCTACAATCAGGGTGGGAGAACAGGGTCTGCAATCTCACCTGAAAGCACCACCGGGGAAGGATCTGCTTCCTAACTCACATGGTTCTGGCAGAATTCAGCTCCCTGCAGACTGTTGGACTGGAGGACCTCAGCTCCTCAGCTCCTGGCCCCATGGGCCTCTCCACAATGGCAGTTGCTTCATCACTGCTGGCAAGATGGAGGCCATACACTTACATCACCTCATTGCAGAAATGACATTGTCCCATCACCTTTGGTGTACCCCATTGGCTAGAACCGAGTGTCCACACTCCAGAGGAAGTGTGTGACTACTGGGAGGCAGACATTGCCGAGGGCCTCTTAGACTCGGCCCAACACAGTAATCACCAGGGGCCCAAGGCAGAAGTTTCGTCAGAAGAAAAGGTGGTACCTGAGCCGGTCATGGTTCCTTGCCAGGTGGGGTGACCCAAACCTTCATTCCTAACGAGTCTGGGCTCTCAGTCCTGCCTTAACAGGGTTGTTGTGGTTTCTGTTGACTTTTTTCCAGTCCTGATTCTGCTGTCAAGGACCTGGGCCCTCTCCAGACTCAGGGCACTTTGACCCTGGGGATGTCACTTTGACCCAAGCCCTGATAGGTTGCTCTATACCTGTGATGCTCTTTGCTGTGGTGACTCAGCAGGACTCCTAGTCCTTTAGGGCAGGAGAAATCTCACTGGGAGAATCATCCACCTCAAACCAAACCTGCACCCAGGAAAACCTCTTGATTTTGATTAGAATCAAACCTTCCTAACCAAATTTAGCACTTATGACATCTGTCTCGGAAACATTGACCTTGGGAGAAAGCCATGGCTAGCAAAGGAAACCCATGGTGGCAGAAGCTAACTTGGGATGTGGCTGGAAACTGTTCGGAGGATGAAGTCTTCAGTGGAAACGTCACAGGGGGAAATATGGATGCCAGTGAAAATAAGTTCAGTGAAATGGAAATGAACATACAAATAATAAGTTAGAAACTGTTTGAAACACACTCGATAGAAGACCAGCCAAGGAACTAAATTCACGTAAGGAGCTTCCATCTGCAAAATACTTGCTCATGAAAAAGATACAATGCTGACAAAATTCTGATTAAAATTAAATGTGGCCAGGCATGGTGGCTCACGCCTATAATCCCAGCACTTTGGGAGGCCGAGGCAGGTGGATCACCTGAAGTCAGGAGTTCAAGACCAGGCCTGGCCAAGATGGTGAAACCCCGTCTCCACTAAAAATACAAAAATTAGCCAGGCGTGGTGGTGGGTGCCTGTAATCCCAGCTACTCAGGAGGCTGAGGCAGGAGAATTGCCTGGACCCGGGAGGCGGAGGTTGCAGTGAGCTGAGATTGTGCCACTGCACTCCAGCCTGGGCAACAGAGGAAGACTCCGTCTCAAAAAAAAAAAAAAAAATTAAATGTGATTCATAGACAAGGAGGAAGGCCTGGCCAGGAACCCCATTCTTCCTCGAGCCCACGTGCTGCCCCACCAAGCCCCGCTCCGTTCCCTCCAGTGCATGGGGCTCCCTGGGATCTGGCAGCTGTCCTGACCCAGGGATTGTCCCATTCCCAGGGAGAGGGACTTGATGGCAAACCCAGGGCTCCCCAGGTGTCATGGGGCAGATGCTCCCTTCCCAGGGCCCCTCAGGTAGGGGGATTGGGAGTGGGGTGCTCAGGGCTGGAGCAATAACCAGGGTCCTGGGGCGGAGATCCAGGCACAGACACCAGGTGGCCCTGCTGGGGGCTCACGTATGAACATGCAAGTGCAAAAGCCCAGAGCAGGAGACAGCAGGTGCCCAGGCTCAGCCGGGGGTCACTGTGGTAGGGACCTTGCCAGATGGTGGGCAGCTTGAAGCAGCAAGGAATGAGTAAAGTCTGTAAAAGGAGAGAGAGAGAGAGAGAGAGAGAACGAGAGAGAGAGAGAACAACAGCACACGTATGTGTGTGCCGGAGTCAGTAGTGGGTGGGGAGGAATGACCATCAAGCCTTTACCATGTCCTTACCTGGCCTCTGTGATCTACTAGAGACCCCAAGACAGTCCCAGGTGGAAGGTATTATTATTTGCCATTTTACAGATGAAGATCCAGGCTCGGGGAGTCTCTGCTCCAAGCCTTCACGACAGGCAGGTCCTAAGCCTAGGTCTGTCTGTCTTTCTGTGTCTCCAAAACTCCCTCAAGAACATGGCCGTCAGGCCCAGTCTTCCTGTGGGATCCTTTCTTGGGATGAAATCTTCCCTCCCTCAAGTATCCCTCTAATGAAAAGCACCCTTGTCTTACCCCTGGAAACTCTCTTTCTCTATTTCTTCCTCCACCCCCAACCCTTGGCTTCACCCTCCTGTGGCCCTTTGTCCCAGGCCTCAGCCTCCAGCCCTTTCCCAGCCTGGGCCGGGCCACTGCCACCCCTCTATTCCCCACTCCCCTTTCCCCTGCTGGGCCCCTCTCAGGAGGCCCCCGGTGAGGTCATCCCTGTGTCAACAGGAGCTGCACAATGGGGCCGGCCTCTTTCTGCTGAAGAGGGAGAATTGGGGTGGGGGAGAAAAAGGCAGGAGACTCTGCAATTACAGGGTCCACAATGGGGCCGTAGTCGAGGGGGCTGGACTGGGTGGCGGGGGGGGGACCTCTGCTAATTAGAGCCGCTGCATGGGGACTCTGTGGTGGGGGAGGGGCTGTGGGCCAGGCAGGGCCTGGGAAGATCAGCCCAGGTGGGTCCTGACGTTCCTAGTTCAATTGTTCGTTCGTTCATCTGTGCCGTAAATATTGCCTGAGCACCTACTATGTGTCAGGCACTGTGTGAAACACCAAGGACACAGCAGGGACCTCAGGGATGGGGCCCTACCCTGATGGAGCCAACCCCGTAGAGGGTAAGACAGAAAGTAAACAGATAAACACACACAACAGATAAATGTGTGCCAGACTTTCAAGACGAGTCGAGTGCCATGAAGGAAATAAAATATCATGAAATCTCAGAGCAGTAGGGGTGTGTGTGGGGTGGGGAAGCAATATTAGCAAGGTGATCAGGGTGGGCTTCTTGGAGGAGGTGATATCTGAGGTGAGATCTGGAAAGCAAGACATGGCAGCCATGTCACAACCAGGGGAGAAATGTTCTGGGCAGAGGACATAGCAGTTCAGTGCAAAGGCCCTGAGGCAGGAACACCCCTGGCATGTGTGAGACCAGAAACATGGTGGGTGTGGCAGGAGAGCAGTGGGTTGGGAAGAGGGGTGGATGGTGGAGAAGGGGAGCTGTGAACAGCTGTGGTGTCATGGAGCTGGCTCTCATCATGCATGACAGTCATCTGTGCATAGCTATTCCCGACACTGCTTAGGTTGGTAGCTTGTGGTAGCTTGAAATCGATCATAGTGGGAGTATTTACACCATGGAAATTGGCAGATGATACAAATCAGGGTTTCTTTATTTTTTTATTTTTGAGACAGAGTCTTGCTCTGTCACCCAGGCTGGAGTGCAGTGGCACAATCTCAGCTCACTGCAACCTCCGCCTCCTGGGTTCAAGCGATTCTCCTGCCTCAGCCTCTTCAGTAGCTGGGATTACAGGCATGCACCACCACACCTGGCTAATATTTGTATTTTTAGTAGAGACAGGGTTTCACCATGTTGGCCAGGCTGGTCTCGAACTCCTGACCTCAGGTGATGCACCCACCTTGGCCTCCCAAAGTGCTGGGATTACAGGCGTGAGCCACCGGGCCTGGCCAAATCAGGGTTTCGAGCGAGATGGCGGGAGACGGAGAATGCATAGGTGTGTAAGAGCATTTTTTCTCTACTATTCACAAATCCAAGGAGTGAAGGGCTAATGAGACTGACATTAATGAAGCTTCTACTGTGTGCTGACACCTCCTAGACCCCTTCATGCACCTTTTCCCATTTAATTCTTGCAAAGAGGTCCAGAGAGGTTAAACAGCATGACCAAGGTGGCCCAGCTCTTACATCAGGGAGTCAGCTCTTGAGCTTATGTGTGCCTGACCCCCTCACCAGGCTCTTCCCACTTTGCCAGGCCTTTTTGCTCCCACATCCACCCTTCTTCATAAGCCAGCTGCATGCTATAGCACTCATCAAAGCCTTTCTCATGTAAGAGCTGGTGTGGGGGACCTGGATGGGGCAATGATAACAGGCACAGCTAATTTCCATTGAGTGCTTACCACCTGCTTGCTGCTGCCTGGAACTCCATCTTGGGTACTTTTTTCCACAGTCCTGTGGCACAGGGCCTGATGTTATCAGCCTCATTTTACAGATGAAGAAACTGAGGCTCAGAGAGGATGCCAGGCCTCCCCTAGGTGCCATGGTTCTCACCACACAGATGAGGGAATGAGGCTGGATCCCAGCTCCTCCTGAATCGCAGGCAGCCTTGGCCAGCAGGCTGCTGGGCTTTCTCTGCCTCCCTTCTTCTTCCTGCTTGTTCCAAGATATGTCATCCTGCCAAGCGCTGGGGCTTAAGGCAGTCGAGACGAGAGTTGGGTCTTGGGGAAATTCTGGGCAGGAGAATGCTGGTGGGGGGGGCTCTGAGAGCAGAGGGGGCTCCTTGTGGCTCCCTCCCACCCCAGCCGCTCAGCGTGGATAGTAGAGGTGACCTTGGTACAGACATGGAGTTTCACCAGCCTGGAAGGGAGGGCCTGGATGCCAGGGGCTGGTGATGTTGTCCCTGTTTCCAGCTCTGCCCAGCACGGCTCCAGCCCAGTGTGGGGGGGTCCGATGGGGCTGAAGCCTTGGGAAACTCGAAGGCCTCTCAGTGGAGGGGACAGCTGGGCCAGACATGTGGACCAGTGGGAGGGATAGCTGTCCTGGCTCTGCCTGAGATGGGACCCCAGGGCTGCCAGCCTCCTAAGGGACAGAGACATTGGGATCGGCCCTGGTGAGCCCTGGGTAGGTCCTCGGGAAGCCACCTCCCTACCACAGTAAAGCACTGTGCCCTCCTCCTTTCACCCGGGCTTGGTGGGTCAAATCCAGGCTCTACCCGGCCTGGTGGCTCAGGCGCGATTTCCTCTTGTATTCCAGGGGTCTGGCAACAGTCATCTCTCAGGGGTTGTGAGGATGAAGGCAGGTGTGTAAGGCACCCTCACCCTCCTCTGGGCCCACAGTTCCTGGCACCTCCCTTGGTCCCAGCACAGTGATGACAGTGAGGTACCACCATCTGTCACCTGCGGAGTTCACAGGCTGTGCTGGGCGCTTTTCTTTAGTTCTTCTTCTTCTTATTTTTTTTTTTTTTTTTTGAGACAGAGTCTTGCTCTGTCGCCCAGGCTGGAGTGCAGTGGCACGATCTCGGTTCACTGCAAGCTGCGCCTCCTGGGTTCATGCCATTCTCCTGCCTCAGCCTACCGAATAGTTGGGACTACAGGCGTCCCCCACCACGCCCATCTAATTTTTCTTTGTATTTTTAGTAGAGACGGGGTTTCACCATGTTAGCCAGGATGGTCTCGATCTCCTGACCTCATGATCTGCCTGCCTCGGCCTCCCAAAGTGCTGGGATTACAGACGTGAGCCACGGCGCCCAGCTGGATACTTTTCTAAATGCTCTACTGCCCTGACTTATTTAATCCTCATGCTGGCCCTGCGAGGTGGAGACTAAGATTGGCATCTTCCCATTTTACAGATGAAGGAGAAAGGGGCCCGGAGCCGCACAGTGATTGCCCGAGGTCACCACCCGGCCCCTGAGTGGTGGGGCTGGGCGCCTGGCTCAGAGCCTGAGGTCCTGGCCTCTCTTCCAGGCTTCTGTTTCGCCCCCTGGGTAGAAGCTGCTCCTTCACCTCCACCACTGGCAGGAGCAGAGAGGCCCAAACCAGGGCTGCTTGTCAAAGGGATGAGGGAGGGCTGGAATGGCCTTTGCTGGGGCGGCGCTCACAGTGATTAGAGTCTGGGGTGATGTGGCAGGCAGGGAGGTGAGGACAGAGAGAGTGGGGAGCTGATGAGGCTGGGGGTGGTGGGCCCTTGGCTGGGGCAGGGCCTGGGGCAGGAAGCAGGATCGGTCCTGCATCTCTGTTAAGAGCCGGGCTGCTCAGCAGCAGGCGCCATGGCAGCCGAATCCCAGGCAGAAGGAAGCAGCCTGCGGAGGGTGAGCAGGCACCAGCGGCTGCCCTGTAGCCAGGGCACTCCGCCGCCACCGCACACGGCACAGGCTGAGCGCTGGGGGCAAATACAGCTCAGCAATGCTCCGCGCTGCGGGTGGCAGCAAGAACCCCTGGGGCTGGGGGCAAACACCAGGCCTGGCACCTGGGCGTCTGCACCTCCCTGAAGCTGAATCCACGGCACAATCTCTGCTCAGCCTCTGTTTGCAGTGTAAACACCCGCTTTCCTGTGCGGGCCGCCTGGTCCTGCCCGCCCTCCCTCACTGCGAGGGGTGCAAGGGGAGGGGCGTCCACTTGGCTCCTGCAGTGTCCTGGGCCCGTGGGTGGCTGTGTTTGAACGTGAGCTTCAGATGGGCTGTTTGTGTGGCACCAATGACTGCCGCCAAAGAGAGGGAGAAGGCTGGGACCACGTTGGCACTGGTCAGCCTGGAGGGTGCAGACACAGGCCAAGGGCTAGCGACAGCCTGGAAAACTGGCATGGTGTGGGCACAGTAAGCAGAGGGCATGGTGCAGACGAAGGCAGGGAACCAGGAACTCAATCCTGGATCACATTTATAGGAAATATCAGGACCCTGGAGTGAGCGATGTGAGGCTGGGCTCTGCACTGGATCACCTGTGCCTCTTTTGCTGGTGCTGAGCTCAATACCTGACATAAACAGGGGCCCTCGCTCTCCAGGCAACTATCCAAAGGGGGGCCCCTTAATCCTCATCTTCCTGGCAGATGGGCATAGAAAGCCCATTTTGCAGATGAGGAAACTGAGGTTTTGACATGGTGTCCGGACTTGCCCAAGGTTGTGCAGGGGGCAGGTGGCAGGTGGCAGAGTCAGAACGGGAATCTTGGTCCAACAAGTGCCAAAGCTCCCACAATAGTCCTGGAATTGCCCTCGTTGAGAACTCAAATGCCCACTGCCTCCTTCCTGAGGTTGTTGGTGTGCAGGGCTGCCGGTGTGCGGGGCTGCTGGTGTGCGGGGTTGCTGGTATGTGGGGTTGCTGGTGTTGGCTTGCTAGTGAGTGTGGTTGCTGTTCTCTGGAGTTCATTTGCTGGTGGTGACCAGAGTGGGCATCTGCCCAGGACATCCGGGGCTTGGCAGGAGCTGACCCCACCTGAGGCCTCCATGTGAGAGCTGGGGCACCTGCAGGCTGGGCTCTTCCTGGCCTCCCCAGGCCGGGCTAAAGAGGGCATCATGGTCAAGCAGAGGTCTGGCTCAGGCCCCTGGAAGGAGGGCCAAGGCCTGAGGAGAGGAAGTCTAACCAGTCTCCCCCACTATGGCCATGACATTCACTGGAAGTAGCAGTTGGGATGTGGTCAGGGCCAGGAAGAGAGGCTGGACACCAAGGTCCTGATCCTGGTCCCAGCTCTGCCATGGATGTGCCCCTTGGATGAGCTGCTTCCCCTCATTTTCCATCTGTCAAATGTGGATGACCTTGGCTTTGCTAGGTGGCCCTGGGAACACAGCACAGCCATTTCCCAACACATTTCAGACAGTGGTCTCTTCTAGCCAAGGAAACCTCTGCCCCCGATGGACACTGGAGTCATTATTCTCAACATAATGGAGGATCGCTCCCGAGTGCTGGAGACTCAGAGGCATAGGGAGATGCCTCGTTTTTCGGGGGATGTCTCCCCTTCTTATCACCATCATCCTAGCCCCCATGGGGACCCTCTCCTCAAGGTCCCCTATGGCATCCCATTGCTAAGTCCAAGTTCTCCTACAGGATCTGGTCTCACCCCTCCCTGCTCTCCCCGCACTCCTTCCTCTGCACCCTTCTCCTGGATTTTGGGTTCCTCAGGACCCAGTCCTGGCCCCCTCTCTTCTGGCCATTTCCTATAAGATCCTGACTACTCCCGTGGCCTCCTGGGCCACCTGTGTCACTGCCAGTCACCCCTAAGTCCCCGATCAAAGCTCAGGCCTCTCTCCTTGTGGCCCCTGCCCTCTAGCCAGCTCTCTTGTGTACCCCACAGAACCTCATGCTCAAGTGTTTCCAACTGAACTCTTCATCCTCCCCCTAGCTGGCTTCCTGCCCTCGATCCCCCCATGTCACCCAGCGAGCCCCACTGGGTGTCCTGGAGGAGCCCAGGCCGGTGGCTCCTCTCCCTCTACCTGTCCTCAGTGGCCTGGGTTCAGCTGCTCACCCTCTATCTCTCCCTGTCCACTCCCTCCCTCCTCCCAGTCATCTCCTGGGCTCCTATTACCAGTGTCATTGTTGGAAACAGGGGTCTCTCATGTCTGTCTTGCTGCATGGACCGAAGTCCGTCGGCCGCCTCGGGGGTCCTCTCCATTGGGACATTACCCTACTTCCTCTCCACCAGGGCACACCTGGTACACACCTCCACTGGGGACCTACCACACCTCTTCTTCCTCCTCTTCACCAGGGCACACGTGGCTCCCTCCCACTGCAGGGCCTTTGTCTGGGTTGATCCAGAGACGCAAGGACACAGTGCCCAGGGATCTTTCCTTGGGGGCCTGTCCACCTCCCTCCTGTAAAATGGGAAGCTGCGTGTCGGTGACTGCCTCGCCCACAGGCTCTTTCTTCTCTGGGACTGGCCAGACTCCCTCCAGATGGCCCCACCCCTGCCATGGCTGATTGGTCCAGGCTGGACACGTGACCCAAGTGAAACCCAATGGGATTCTCTCCTGTGATTCTGAACCCGGGGAGGAGACCTGGAGCCTGGAGGTGGCAGCGACTTGGGAGCCGCGTGGGCCTGTCTGTTCCACACACTGCCTTCTTGCCCCTTCCTTCAACCTATGGCCCCCTCAGAGGACAACCTTTTTCCTTAAACTCCTCGGACGAGGTTCCTGTGGCAGCCGAGAGAGTCACGCAGCGGGGGTGCCTTCCCCGCCTGTGGGGGAGCCCCAGGCGGCCCGCACAGTCTCGTGGTGGTCGGGCCTGGCCACGTGTGCTCCTCGGTCCCCATGTGGCCCCAGCAGGGCGCCCGCCTCCCTCCCAGGGCTTCCTCCCCCAGGAGGGATAGCAGGAAGGCAGGCAAGGACAGGACCTGAGTCCACACCTCGTCCGCGGTCACCTGCCTGACCAGGAGGAAGGGGAGGGGACAGGAGTGATTCCACGGAGGTCACCTGGGAGCTGGGGCTGGGCGACCCCAGGGCTGGATGACCTCAGGGCTGGGTGACCTCAGGGCTGGGTGATCTCAGGGCTGGGTGACTTCAAGGCTGGGTGACCTCAGGGCTGGATGACCTCAGGGCTGGGTGACCCCAGGGCTGACTATTGGCGGAGCACCTGGGGTGGGTGCCATGGGCACCTGAGAGGGAACTTTGACCTGAGCGGAGGTCAGAACCCTCCTCTGAGGAAGTGCCCCACCCCACTGAGCTCCCAGAGGCTGGTGGCAGGTTGAACAGGGGACTATGCCAGCAGAGGGACTGCCTTCCAGAGACTTTGGATCATCACCACGATGGGTTGATTTTACAAATTTAGCCACTGTCACCGGAGGCCTGGCTGAACTTCAGAGTTTCTTCTCCAGCGTCGGTTTCTTGGTTTGTAATGGGGAGGGCTGGATCCCCCTGCACTGATACTCCCATGGCATGGCTGCGGGAGGGGCGCCCATCCTGCTGGCCTGGTGGCTGTGGAGCGGCCGGAGGTGGCGTGTGCCAAAGCTGCTGCTGGTGCTCCCTCTGGCTGCCTTGGGGTGATGACAGGAGCTGACGGCTTGGCAGCAGCTCCCAGGGAGGCAGCAGCCGGGCTGGCGGCGGGTGGTGGCGGTGGTGGGAGGGGGCTTCTGGAGAGAACAAAGCACTGAGGATGCTGGGCTCCAGGGGCGACAGAGGAGTGGGGGATGGGGGCAGGGTTCTGGAGTGTGTGGCCCACAGGGAGGCCATGGCACGGGTGTGTGTGCGGGTGTAGGATTTGGAACCCACCTCGTGGTTGTGTGAGCCCAGGCAGGTCACTTAGCCTCTCTGGGCCTCAGTTTCCACAGTTGTGCAATTGGAACAATACCATCATTACATTATTGTATCCCCAGTGCTGAGAGTAGTGAGTGGCACAGAGTAGGCATTCACTGAATTTTTCTGGAGTCAACAAATCAATAGGTTTGATGGAAGACGGAACTGGCTAATTCATGCTCAGCTCAGTGATGGGCCCATGTTCGTTCTAGAGAAGCAGTATCTTTGTTATTGCTGCTGTGATTGTTTATCAAGGGTGCAGAGGACTGAGCCAGCATGGAGTCCCAGGGCAGGAGAAGAAAGTTGGTCAGTGCATCTGGATGAGGCTGGACTCTGGGACCAGACCATGGAGACTTGAGGGCCACAGCCGGGCGGCTGAGAGTGGGGGAGGGGCCCATATGCCAGGAGTGAGCAGGATGAGGTCTGAGCAAGACCACACTAGACACCAGGGAGAACGTTGGTGGCCCTGGCCTGGCCTGAGGAGGCAGGGAAGCAGAGAGGGCACCTGCGATGGCTGTTTAAGGAAACTCAGTTGAGGAGGTGGATGAGATGGGGCAGGAGTAGGAGGGTGAGGTGGGAGGGACAGAGGCCTGTTTCTTAGGTCAGTTGATGCGAGCAAGTATGAATGCAGATGGAGAGGGGTGGGTGCACCGGGCGTACCTGAAGGTGTGGAGAAGTGGGGTACCAAGTAGAGGGCTCTTGAGGGAGGCAGACACTGGAGGGGAGAGAGGAGTTTCAGGAAGGGCTGCAGCTTAGGGTTTAGGCTGGTGAGGGTTTCCTTGGTTCAGTGAGATACAAAGTATGCTTGTCTTCAAGGCAGAGAACTGGAGACCCCACGAGCTGTGAGGAGAGGAAGGTCTGGGGAGAGATGGCAGTGTGGAGGTGGCAGAGCCCTGCTGGACCACAGTGTGGCCCTGGTCAGCTCCAGACCCAGCCCTACAGGGACGTAATTGCCTCTGGGAGCCCAGTGGGTCTTTCACAGGGAGATACCAGCTTCTGTGGCAAGCTTTGAGATAACCATCCAAACTTCCAGCTGCCATTTTGCCTGTGGGGCACAGGTTCTGGGGGCACCCTGCAAGGCTGGCAGTCCCCAGGGCTCCATTGCATTTTGGGGAAACTGAGTGGTGGACACTGGGGTGGGGACAGGGAGCAGGAACTCCAGGCCTGGCCTGGTGCGGAGGCTGCTTTACCAGTTTGCTGTATGCATGGGTCAGTTCACCTCTTTGTTCACTTATATGCCCACAGATTGCCTAAAGTTCCTTCCAGTCTAATACTCTGGGATTCTGGGCCAGTTTCTGGTCTGTCACAGCTGAATAAGAGTGCAAGGGCAGGAGTGGAATGTTCAGACTGCTCCAAGAGGACCTTGGCCCAGGTAGGAGTGGCGAGTGGATATTGTTTCTAGGGCCAAGCCCTCAGAATGGCTGCCTGGAGCCCTGTGCAAGGATTCTAGTTTAATAGGAAAGAGTTCTGTGATTGATTAGTGATGTCTGCTGTGGACACACAGTGGGAGGTATAGAGTTTGAGTAGTTTCTGCACTGCCCCTGCCTGGGCTTTTTCTTTTGCTAGTGGCACTAGAACTGGGTGCCACTCCAGCCCTACCAGAGACTCAAGGTGTGACCTTGGGTAAGTCCATTCTTCCAGCCCAATTTTGTCATCTGTAAACTGGAGATAATACTGCCATCTTTCCTGGTGGTTATGAGGATTAAATGCATAATTTGTGCAGAGTGACCAGCTCAAGGGGGATGCTCAAACATAGCAGCTTTGATCTCTGTGAGTGGTTTGCAGGGTCAGGGTGGTCAGGGGAGTATAGGGATGGGAGTCAGGAGGGAGGCTGAGCGCTGTCCCCTTGGGTGATGGCCTGGGGACTGCACATGCACACATACCTTTCTCCTCCCCTCTGCTGCCTGCAGAGTGGTGTCAGGGAGTGGAAGTATGTGGAGGTTGGGGTCATGCAGATCTGGGCAGGGTTGCAATGCACCCTTGGCCAAGTCATTCAGTGCCTCTGACCTCACTTGACTCATTGGCAAAATAGATTCTTTCCTGATGAATTAGATAGTAAAGTTTATCAGCAGCCTCTGCAGCCTCAGGTAATAGGCATTAACAATCCTGGACAGAAAACATAAAAGTTTCTTTTTAGTCTTGCCCTCACACCTTGACCTCCTCTTCAGGAGCCATTTATCCTTTCCTGGAATCTGAGGAGAGAATATTTCCTCTCCTACACTTCCTTCTTCTTCAGCATGGGTCTCAGTTTTCCTATTTGTACAGTGGAGGAATAGAGTGGGGTTGGAGAAGGGCACTGAGGTCCCCACCAGGTCTAACTTTATTCTTTTTTTTTTTTTTTTGAGACAGAGTCTCACTCTGTTGCCCAGGCTGGAGTGCAGTGGTATGATCTCAGCTCACTGTAACCTCTGCCTCCTGGGTTCAAGTGATTCTCGTGCCTCAGCCTCCTGAGTAGCTGGGATTACAAGTGCCCGCCACCACACGTGGCTAATTTTTGTATTTTTAGTAGAGACAGGGTTTCACCATGTTGGCCAGGCTGGTCTTGAACTCTTGACCTCAGGTGATCCACCCGCCTCAGTCTTCCAAAGTGCTGAGATCACAGGCTTGGGCCACTGGACCTTAATTCAACTACGCTGTTAGAAAATAGCTGGAAACATTTGGAGTAGGGTGTGAATGACTGCCATGGCAGACACATGACACTGCCTAGCTGGGTTCTGTGTCATCCACACCCTGCTAAGAGCTGCATTTGGCCTGAGCTGGTCTGGCTTCCTCACCTTGAGGGGAAAGAGAGACTGGGGCTCATCCAGAGAAGGGCAGGGGTGTGCAGCCAGGTTAGCCAAGACAGCTGCAGGGCAGGCTGTGGAGCCTGGGGAGGAAGAGGCTCAGGGAGTTCCACTGATGGCCCCAAGGCTCCCTGGGGAACCCAGGAGGGAGCTGAGGGTGCTGTGCAGTCCTGGAGGTGGAGTGAGAAGCAAAGGGAGAAGTTCCAAGCTCAACAGAAGAAAAAACTTCTCACAGGTAGATGTTCCCAAAGGTAGAACAGGTCCCAGGCAGGGGAAAAGCAGTGGGCAAAGGGAGCAGGTGGACCTTGCAGGAATGCAGGGGAGAGGCCTATTTTCTGAGGAGGGCAGCAGGGGGCAGCTGCAAAGTTTGTCTGGTGCTATTTCCCCAGCACTGCTCCTTCTCCCCAGCTCTACTGTCCCTTCCCCACCTCTTCTGTCCCTCCCCCACCTCTACTGTCCCTCCCCAGCTCTCCTGTCCCTCCTCCAGTCCTACTGTCCCTCCCCCAGCTCTACTGTCCCTCCTCCACCTCTTCTGTCCCTCCCCCAGCTCTCCTGTCCCTCCCCAGCTTCTGTCCCTCCCCCACCTCTACTGTCCCTCCCCCAGCTCTCCTGTCCCTCCCCAGCTTCTCTGTCCCTCCCCTACCTCTACTGTCCTTCCCCAGCTCTCCTGACCCTCCCCCCGGCTCCACTGTACCTCCCCAGCTCTCCTGACCCTCCCCACCTCAATTATCCCTTCCCTAGCTCTCCTGTTCTTCCCCAGCTCCTCTGTGCCTCCCCCAGCTCTGTGATCTCTCCCAAGTTCTCCTGCATTGTCTCCTTGGGAAAGTGCCTCTCACCATTGGATAATGGCTTCCGTTTTAGGGTGCTTTCCCAGGATCCTCTGTCTGATGCATCCTGGTGCATGCTGTGTTGACTGAGTGTCTTCTGGGTAGTAGGAATGGAGATGCAGGTCCCATAGTGCATAGCATGGGACCTGTTGTGGTTGGGGAGGCTGGGGCAGGCACCTGCTGGCTGTCCTGGGGACCACCGCTGATTGGTACTTGCTGGAATCAGAGCTGGCACTAGGCAGTTCACGGTCCTGATTCCATGCCATTGGCACAACCTTGCAGGGCAGTGTCTTTTCCTTCATGTTACAGGTGAGGCAGCAGGCCGGCACCCTGCCCACAACCACATAGAGGGCCCAGGCTTGTCTGACGCCTCAGGCTGTGCTCTCTCCAGCTCACTGCGGTGCCTCTCCCAGGTGAGGGATACTGGGAGTGGGACTTCTGGCAGGAGAGGAATGGGGTGGGGCTCTGGGTGGTGCTGGTTTGGGCTCTCAGAAGGCGCCTGCATGGCGGGAAGCCTCAGCTGTGTGCTGCTGGACCTCAGGCCCATCCAGCTGCCTCCTTCGCTCTTGATTCCACCCAAGGTTCACAGGCCCAGACCCTACCACTGGCCGTGGGCCAAGGTCGAGGACAGAGCAGCCACAGCCTATGGTGGGCCAGGAGGGGGAGGTTGCCTGGGTGAGCATATCTTTGGCAGGACAGGCAGGACCCCCTCCCCAAACAGGATGCTGGGCAGGGTGAGCCGGGAGCTCAGTGAGGCCTGAGGGTGGGGAGGGCCGGAGGGACTGCAGGCGGATTCGGGAGCAGGTGGACAGGACCTGGGTACTGCCCGATGCAGGAGTAAGGGACAGGGGACAGGGCATGGGGATGCACAGATTTTGGTTCTCACTGCCCTGGAAGAAGCTGCCCGCTCTGAGCTGCTGCCTCCTGCCTTCATCTTCCAGCCCTCTGCACCCCCGAACATTCGCTGCAGGGTCTGCTTGGTCCTGGCCAGGACACTCGTGCCAAGACTCAGGCCCATGTCCCGAGCCCTTTCTTATCCGAGCCACCCATGGACCTGTCTGGTGTGGGTGAGGGTGGTGTTTGGGGCTGGGGGTGGGCAGAGATCTGGGTCTGGGCTTTCATGGCTGGAGCCAGGACCTCCCTCACTCATCCCTTTCCTGGGTCCCAGGAGCAAACCCTGTTTGGCTCCTTCTTTCCCCACATTTGACTCTGGCACCACTGTTGACCTGGCTCTGGGGTCAGACTACTGGACTTGAACCCAGGGTTCCTGCTGCTGGCCCCCACACCTGGGCCTTCTGTGGGTGGCATGGGCAAATGAGCCTGCGGTAGGGGCAGCTCTGGAGATGTCAATCCCAGAGAGAAGAGGACACAGGGGACCTGCCATGAGCTGGTGAGCTCACCCAAACTCCCACGGTAGGGAAAAATGTCCCCAGTGATAAGGGCCTGGTTTTCAGAGCCTGATGCCCCAGGCTCTGCAACTTACTCTCTGGGTGGGGATACTGAGCTCGGGGATGTTAGACAAATCAGAAGCTCAGCTGGAGGGGGTGACTGGAAGCCTGTGGACCTCATAGTGTCCCAGTTCATGCCACCGTTGCCACCACTCCACAGTGAACAGGTTGGGTGGTCATGAGGATTGAATGAGGAGCCCAGCACAGCCCCTAGGCTGAGCAAATGCTTAGCAAGGGTCAGCTGGTGTTGTGGAGACTGCGATGCCACA
The DNA here is from genome assembly GCF_000001405.40 of Homo sapiens. NCBI lineage: Eukaryota > Metazoa > Chordata > Mammalia > Primates > Hominidae > Homo > Homo sapiens. The sequence goes on from NC_000022.11 coordinate 43,406,187, forward strand.
AGCCATGTAGCTCTGGCCTTTCTGCCTCGGGGGGACCCCTCCTCGCTATCCCTCTGTCCCCGCCCCACACTCTGTCCCTTGGATTGCTGCCTCTGCTTTGCACTTGGCTTTCAGTCTTCCGCCTCTGCCCACTGCCTGAGGGATCTCCCCAGGGCGGGTCCTGGCCCCGACCACTTTCCCTGGTGTTCTTCTCTGTGGCCACTGACAGTGCAGCGAAGAGGGGCCGCCTCTGCCTCCCAGGCACTCTCTGAGCAAGCCTCCCCTTTGGTTCCTGCCTCTAGGCCTTTGCTTCTGCTCCCTCTGCCCGTTATGCCCTCTCTGCCCTTGTCAAGGGCACTCTCCAAGCTCCTCTCCTCTCTGCTTTCCAGGAGGGACGGGAGGCCCCACTGTGCTCCTCAGCCCGTGTGCCCCTCGGCCTGGCAGGGCATGGTCATTGTGTTCTCAAGCCTCACAGCCTCTGGACCTCTTGCTCAAGGGCAGGGCTGGGCCCAAATGCCTCTGAGTCTCTGGCTTTGCTTGGCCCAGAGGAGGAGGCAGAGACAACTGCAGAGGTGGGCTGAGTCTGAACCACCTCCTGGCTTGCCCCATGCTGTGCCCATTTTTCAGAAAAGGAAACTGAGGCCCTGAGTGTTGAAGTGTGGTGTCCAAGGGTACACAGGCAGCATAGGACCGGAAGACCTGGGCCAGGCCCGGCATCACATAGTCCCACTTTTCTTTTTTCTTTTTTTTTAGATGGAGTCTTGTTCTTGTCACCTGGGCTGGAGTGCGATGGCACGATCTCGGCTCACTTCAACCTCTGCCTCCCGGGTTCAAGCGATTCTCCTCTCTCAGCCTCCTGAGTAGCTGGGACTACAGGCATGCACAACCATGCCCAGCTAATTTTTGTATTTTTAGTAGATACGGGGTTTCACCATGTTGGTCGGGCTGGTCTCAAACTCCTGATCTCAGACGATCCACCCATCTCGGCCTCCCAAAGTGCTGGGATTACAGGCATGAGCCACCAAGCCCAGCCACATGTTCCCACTTTTTGTTGCTACCCAGGAAGTCAGAGAGGTGGCAGCCAGGGAAGGATCAGAGAAGGCCTTGAGGCAGGGCTGGGCATGGCCAGGACCCTGGACAGCTCAGAAGAGCCCATCTGCCCGTAGCAGTGCTGGGATGGTAGCTGAGATGTGCTGGGGGCCTCAGCAGGGTTTGAAGGAGTTGGTCTGGCACCAGGTGGGGGGCAGGGGAGCTGGGTGGAGGGAAGAGCGGGTGTCTTAGAGTCTGAAGATGGGCCTTGTTATCTCAACTTTATACCAGCTGGGCAGGTCTCGAAACCTCTTGGAGCCTCGGTTTTTTCATCTATAAAATGGGATTTCTAGTCTCCCTTCACAGGGAGGGCTGCCCCTCACTGAGGTCCCAACCAGGCTGTTGTGAGAAATAAACCAGCTAGAAGCCATCTGGAGAAGTTCTCTCAAACAGCAAAGGGCTCAGAGGCAGCATGTGAGGGGCCAAGAGCCATAGGTACCGTGAGCTCAGGCCACCCACAGGGGAGGCTTGGAAGTGGTGACTGGAGGACCAGGAGTGGCACCAGGAGCAGCCCCCACCTCGGGAGCATATCCTCCTGGCTCCTGCAGACTGCACAGGAGCCCGGCCCTGCCTGGGCTTGGCCTCCATCCAGCTCCTGCCTGGCTTTCTGGGTGATGGCCTGGAGTTACATGGCAGGGAATGCTGCAGAGTGGGGTGGGCGTCTCATGTGGCCAGTGGTCCAATTGGAACTCTAGCTGGGGGCAGGAGGAGGGAGCTCCTGGGGTCTTTCCATAGCTTGTCATTTCATCTATGAGCAAGCTCAGGAGTGAGCCTTCCCATCCCCTTTCTCCTCGAGCTGAGGAAACTGAGGCTCAGAGAAACATGAGAATGTCCCAAGGTCCCAAGCAAGTTAGTAACAGAACTGGGTTTTAGAATCCAGATCCCCAGACCTGGTATCTAGAACTGTGACAGTGTGAGCTGCCACTGCTTGCTGAATGTTTACTGTGCACCTTGCACTCTGCATGTGCACGGCCCTTGAGGTAGGGATTATTGCATCAGCTTTACAGAAGAGACTGAGGTTCAGACTCATGAGCTGTTAAATGGCAAAAGCAGAATTTGGTTAGGGCATGGTTTAAGAGTAGGTATAGTCATTGCAGGCTGTACCTGAGCCTGCTGGAGGTGAGCAGGGCCCAGGGTCCCTGATAAGGTGTGGCTTTTCCACCTTGGGCTCTAGGCCTAGAGGAAGGCCCAGGATGAGGACCATGCCAGATAGCTGGACTAAAATTGACCCTGCCCTGGGCTGTGTCAGGATCCACACAGACCTGGCTGGCAGGTAGAGACCTTGTTGGGGTCTAATAGGGCCGAGGTGGGGATATGAAACTAGGGCTCCATCCTTCAAGACCCAGCTTGCGTCACCTCCTCTTGGGAGCCTCTCCCAAGCCCCAGCCCATGATGACTTTCATGTCCTCTGAACTCCTCTGCCCTTCTCTGCCAGAGTGATTCCTGGGGCCTAAAACAGTGCATGTGGATATTTGCTGATTAATAACATTTCTGGCATGCTGGCTGTGAGCCAGTCACCATGAAGGACCCGAGGAAGGCATGAAAGCTTAGGTCACTCTGTCAGCGAAGCCACCCAGGCCTCCAGCTCATCCCAGCCCTTGCCCTGCAGGGACCCCACACACCCCACACCCCTCCTTGAATGCCCCACACTCACCATCCTTCGTGACATCCTGATGATCGCGGGAAAGTAGGAGACAAAAAATTCCCATAAATAAAGTAGACTCCCCCAACCCCCACCCAAAATCTTATCATCAGGGTTGAAATTTTGCTGTATTTACTTCCTGACTTCTTTCTCCTCTTTCCCTCTATTTTTTCATTTTTCAAAACACAGATTCGGGCACACTCTGGTGTAACCTGCTTCGCTCGTTCGCGGGATGGGTGGTGAGCATGGAGCCCATTTTCCCATGTGGCATTTCAGCAACAGGACTTGGCTATTTGAAACTCCCCAGACATAGCAGGATTTAAAAAACGGATCCCCTCTGGCTGGGCATTTAGGTTGCTTTCACTTCTGGGCTGCTATAAACAGCCTGCAGTTACTGCCTCAGGACGCCTTTCTGGAAGGTGAGTTTCTTGGCCAGGGGATATCGCACATGCACTTTGGAGCCTCTGAGCCTTTGCACAGGCTGGTCCCTTTGCCTGGCTGCCCCTCTCCCATTTATCCCTAGATTCTTCTGCAGCACACACACTGCCTCCTCTGAAGTGTCCTGGCTGCATGTGCTGCTCTCCTTGCCCTGGGCTGCCCTCTTCTCCCTGGTGTCATGAGTATCTGCTGACCTTCTGCTTCTCCCATGACAGAGTGCCTTCCTTCTCTTCCTTCTCTGCCTTGGCCTCCAGCACGTAGTAGGCGCCTAGGAAATGTTTTCCAGCAGAACGAGCCATCTCCTGGCTGGTTTAGCAGTGTGGGATTGTGTGGTGTTTCTATTAGTCTCCATGAACAAGTGCCACTGTGTTATTAAATTTTTCCAAAAGCAGAATGTGTGCTGTGTTTGCCAGAATGGTTGCTCTTTTAGGAGTGGGTCTATCCTGCCCATCCCACACTCCTCATTCCCTCATCTTTTAGGGACCATTCCCTGGGCACCTACAGAGTGCCAGGCCCTGTGGGATGCAGCACTAGGCGCTGGGGAGGCTGACCTCTGGGATGCAGCCTGGCCCAGGGGAGGCATGAGGGCTACATAAGACAGTGTGGGTCAAGCTGAGAGCTCTGCGCCTGGGACTGGGTGGTGCAGGTAGCACCAGGTCCCTCTGGTGGAGAGCTCATGCTTGGCTTCAAAGCAAGTGCCGAGTGCCAGGAATATGGTAGATGCTCAATAAATGTGTACCCTGGGAAGGTAAGAGATGATGCTCTGGGACTTGAGGGTAGTTCTGGTAGGACTGGAGGTGGTGGGGAAGCTGGCCTTGGAGGACAAGTGTCACAGGAACCTCTGCTCTCGACCCAGGGACCAGGAAGGCACATTTGTCACTGTCCTTTGTGATCTCCAGAGGCCACAGCCAAGCTGTGGCTTTGTCCCAGGCAGGCGGCAGGTGGGGTCTGCTGAGACACTGAGTCCAAGCCGCCTTCCCAGGCAGGCATGACAGTTTTCTCCTTCACCTCCCTCGAAGTCACGGTGCTCAGGAAGCCTGTAGCCTAGGAGGAGAAAGAGGCTCCCGGGTTGAGTTTGGGATTCCCTGAGAGAGAATTGGGGTCTAAAGACAAGGAAGCAGGAGGGGGTGACTGCCTCAGGACTCCTCGGCCAGCCCTTGCCCCCCATCTCTGGCCTGAGGGCCCCAGGCCTCCATCCTCTCCCTCCATAGCCCAGCCTCTCCCCCTCTACCTCTGTCTTTAGAGGTGCCAGAACAAGCTGTAAAAAGATAAACGTGACCAAGTCACAGCCCTGCTTAAAAACCCTCTATGGCTCCCACTGCCCCTGATAAAGTCTATCCAAGGCTCTTCCCGATCTGGCTTCTGTTCCCTCACTCCCAGCCTTGCCACCTCATCTTCCCTCCCTTGCTTTTCCTTTGTCTCTAGCCCCAATGAACTCACATGCCAAGGCCTTTGCATGCCGCATTCCCTCGGCCTGGATGTCTTTTCCAGGCCTTCTCTCCTGGCATACACTCATTCAACTGGGCTGTCCCCACCTCCAGGAAGCCACACCAGATAGCAGTCCTCAGGGGCAGAATAGGCCTGAGGGGCCCGCAGAGGGTGTCCTTGGGGATTGTGTGATGTGTGTGTTGGTGAAGGGAGACCCTACAAGCATTTGTTGAGGGGCTTTGGGCCTCTGAGGAGCCACAGCCCCTTTTCATCTTCCTCTCAGTCTGGGAGGCCCAGGCCAGAGTGATCTGCACCCTAACTATACAAGGCCCTGGAATCCCCGTCCCACCCGCGGCAAGGGGCTGGAAGCCACAGGGCCTTAAACTCCCCAGGGTGACCCCCGACACTGAAGGCGATGGTCTCTGCTCTTCCCAGCAAGGCAGGGCCTCTTTACACTGGGTGTCGCGCCGTCTGAGTTCCTGACTTGTTTACCCATCCCGTTGGGGCTCCGGCCGCTGCAGGCTACCTGCTGTGCCCGGGATTGGGGACCTGTGACTCCCGAGTGGAAGAGATGGTGGCCCAGGAGGAGGACCCCGACCTATTCAGACTGGGAGCTGGGGTCAGAGTGTCTCCGTCTCCGGAGGGGGACCTTCCAGACCCCGGGCGGGAGGGGCCCACAGCAGGGTGCCCCGGCGGCCCCAGGAGGGGGTCCGGGCCTCGGGCGAAGGCTGCGGCGCCCCGGAAGGAGCCGCGCACGCCCCTGCACGCGGTGCCCGCTGCGGAGGCCACGGATCCGGAGGTGAGAGCGCCCCCGCCCCGCTCCCTGCCCAGCCCGCGCGCGGCCCGGTCCGGGGCTGGGGGCGGGCGCCAAGAGGGGCGCCGGGCGCAGTGGGGCGGCCCCCTCCCTTTTCCGCAGCGCGGGCCCCGCTCCTCCTCCCGCGTCCAGGCCCGCGGCCGCGCTCCCTGTCCCTCCGCAGCGGGATGCGGACTCCGAGCCCGGGCGGGGGCCGAGGGCCGAGGCCTGGCGGGCCTGGCGGGGGCCCCGGCGGGTGGCGGCGCAAGGGCCGGGACCGAGGCCGCGAGCGCGCCCCTCCCGGCGGCCGGGCGCGGAGAGGCGGGGAGGGCGGGCGTGGGGAGGCGGGCGGCGGCGGGCGGGGGGAGCCAAGGAGGCTCGGAGCCTCGCGGCGCGCGGGCGGGCGGCGGAGGGGGCGCGGGGAGCCCCCCGCCCCACGAAGGAGGAGTCTGGCTCCCACTTGCAGCCTCGGACGCGCGGCGAGGCGGCCGCCGCCGGAGGAGCCCCCGCCCCTGCGCGCCTCCCTCCCGGGAGCCCCTGCCTCCCTCGGTGCGCGCTGCTGCTCGCAGCCGCCGCGGCCGCCGAAGAGGAGCCCGGGGCCAGGTAGGACCGGAGGCGGGCGGGGCGCGGCGGGCGCGGGCGGGAGGCCGGGCGCGGGGCGCGGCCGGGACCCTCTCCAGGCGCTGGGCGACGCCCGCGGCGCTGCGCAGGGGCGCCCGCAAAGTTACTTTGGCCGCCTTTGCCGGGTGCGGGAAGCGGGCTGGGCACCCCAGCTGCCCCGCCTGCCTAGCGGGCGGCGGCGGGAGGGGGCTCCGCCAGGGCGCGGGACTCCGGCTGGGGCCGCGGGGTCAGCGAAACTTTTCCCTTGCTCGCCAGTCGCTGCTGCTGCTGGCGGAGTAGCTGGTGGAAGCAGCGGGCTGGTGGAGTGCCAGTGATGATGATAGTGGTAACAATAGCAGCCCCCGCTTGTAGAGAGCCTACTGTGTGCGCTGCCAAGCCCCTGCTGGCACTTGGGGGGGAAGAGATAGGGAACGAACGCTGGCCGAGTGGCCACTTTTGCTAGGTATTGCTGGAAACTTCATCCATTTCCTTCCATCCATTCATCCCTCCCTCCCATCCATCCATCCATCCATCCATCCATCCATCCACTCACTCAACACATATTTATTCCTGTCTGCTATGTGCTCGGCCAGGGGATTCAGTGGCTACCTAGACAGGTCCCAGCCCTCAAAGGGAATGTTGATCATGGAATGCCCAAACTAAGGAGCAGTTCTGTCTCCTGTGTGTTTGTTCTGGGACATGTTACGGGAGCGTGAATTCATGCTGTCTCCCTTCACCCTGGCAGGGCCAGAGGCGTGTCATTCAGAGCACTGATGTGCCCAGGAGTCTGGCAGGCCCCGGCCTGGCCTTCGGAACTCACCCTGCTCCTTTCCCTCCCACCTCTCCGGGCTCAAGCTGGGTGGCCCAGTTGGTGTCAGGAGGCTCCACTCCGGAACTGGCCCCCACCCCTGTCCAGCTGACCTCTCTGGGATGTCTCTTCCCCAGTGCTGGGCTGGCCTGGCTCCCAGCTCCCCTCCCAGAGTTTCTTTGCCTTCCCCCTCCCCATTTCCCCTGCTCTATTGAATGGCCCAGAGGAGAGCTTGTTAAGTGGCAAACAATTATGAAATTAAACTGGGGGAACAAAAGTGGGCTGGCTGTTGAATGGCGGAGCTGGCTCACGGGAGTTGAATGGCACTGGGAGACTTGTTAGCAGGGATCTGCGGCGCCGGGGGGCGGGGGCGGGTCAGGCAGACAGGCACTGTCAATAATCTGACTGGACTTTGCAAAAAAAAAAAAAAAATTAAACCAACTTGGTGAGAAACCTGGCACAGGGCGATGTTGGAGAGGCCACCAGCTGACTGCCACGTCCAGTCGGAAGCCAGATCTTGGTGTACAGGAGCCAGGGCTCTAAGAGACTATTTGGGGAGGGTGCTGATGGATTCGGCCGGGCTGAGGCAGGGGAGAACCTCAATGCGTTTGAGCTTGTGGTGCTAGGGAGGCATTCTGGAGCCAGGCGCAGTCTGCAGGGGCCCTCTGTGTGGGAACCACGCATGATAAACTGCGCTTCACCGTGCTGGGCTCCTTGCAAATTGGCTTTCTGAGTGGCAGCCCCACAACACTTGTAAAATCTTTTTCTGGAGATGGATTTCGGTGGAATGGTTCCATCGATTCTAGTGCTTGCTCACTGGAGGTACATTAATTGGGCGATGGCTAGTCAAAAGGCGATAATCCAGTCACGGAGGCTTAATCGTGTGTTCGGAAGTGTTTCAGTGTGGGACTGCCTTCCTATTTATTTCTCGGCCCCAGGAATTTCGGAAGACCTGGATTGAATGAGGTCCCTGTACTGGTGATGTGGATGGGTTCAGAGAGTCACCTACATGGCCGAGGAGGTACCTCTGATGTAACCACCCCGTGGTACGCTTAGAATCACTCACATCCACCCTGGCTGATGCCCCGTGGGCTATGCCTGTAGACAGATAGGACAGGTTTAGATCTAGGCGAACAATAAGAATTTTAGGGTGTTTTACTTGAGCCCCAACTGTCAGGAATACACAGACTGATGTAGGGAATCATCGTTCTTGAAAAGCCTGCTTTTAATAAATTCCCAGCTCACCCATGAGACTCTTAAATCTTCATCCAATGAATGTGGCTTAAGTTCATTTGTTCTTCTTTGAACTTTGCTACCTTCCCAACTAGGCAGTACGGGCCTTGGTATGCTCACTTTATACAGGACACATCTCTCTCTGCTTGTTTGAGGAATGACGGTGGTCGCTGGGATTCCGTGAAGGGCAGCATTAAGGAGAAAAATCAGCATTCTGGGTGCGGGTCTGGACTTCTGGAAAAAAAGAAAACCCTCCCCAAAGTGCAATCATCTTTTAGTCTATCAAAATGACTTCATTTTCCCAATTTCAGGCCTGTGAACTGATCATGAATACCGGGGGCAGAGGAAATTAATCAGCCAGGCAAAGACTTTTAACAAGTAAATATTATGCACAGAAAAACATGCAATTAGTGGAGGTTAGTTAATGCCTTTCAAGTTGCATCAGGCTGCAGTTAAGGGTGGAATTTCTGCGTTATCCCTGGATTGTCTGTCAAAGTCTTTAATGTGACAATGTGACATGTCTCTCCCATCGCCCCTCCCTCACCGGGAACAAAAAAGGGTCTTTTCACGAATTCCCCCTTTCCATTCTTCTTCTCCCTGAGATCTTTCCGTTCAGCAATAAGTACCTTTGTCTGCCTGCCCTTCTGGAGCAAGGGTCCTGGGGCAAAGGGCTCCCCAGGTGCAGAGGCCTGGGAATAGCTTCTCAGGCTCCCTCCGTACCCACAGATCAAAGTCGATGGCACCTCCGATAAGAGGTAGGGGCCTTCCTTCTGGCCTGGGCGCCTCACCCTCTAGGACCAGAAGTGTCCAACACTTGGGGGTGGCAGGGAGAAGAGGGGATGAAGGCACTGTTTCCCACAGCAAGAACCGTTTAATGTAGCCTGGGGCACTCCGAAAGCCATTCCCTGCAGCCCTCGTTCTTGCTGTGTGGATGTCCCCATGTAATGAGACCATCAGTGAGCATCCCTTCCAGACTGCCACTGAAGTTGTCTGACTTGAGTTTGAAGAGGTGACTAAAATGTCAAAAGCAAAAAAAAAAAAAAAAAAAAAAGGAAAGAAACAAAAAACCCAACAGGAAAAAAATAAGAGACCCCTTTTTGGGGGTGGTATTGGAGGAAAGGTATAAATTGCTTCTCAGTTAATTTGATTCACCATGGTTCTCCCTGGTGACCTGACAGGTCTGCTGCCAACACAAATGTTTTACTTTATTTTGACTTTTTTCCCCCTAATGAGACAAGACTTAGTTATACTTTATTTCCACTTAAAATATCTGTGACCAATGAGGGCAGCCCAATTTCATAAAAAAATCATAACAAATTGAGATTATAGGTATTAATTTTGAAATCAAATTGTGATTTGAGGTGTTCCGTGGCCTTTTCAGGCCTTTTCATGAATTACTCTGTGGGGGATTTTCTTGGACCTGAACTTGGCCAGCTTAATGTCAGAACCAGGTCATCATCATAAATAGAAGCAGCTGCGGGAAAAAATAAATAAATAAAATTCTCCCTTCTGGTTGACTCTGCTCTGCATCCAGTTCAAAGCCAGGGATGAGTAGGCTCCTCTTTCCACCACCCCAATCTACACCTGAAAGTTTGTTTCTATAAAATGTGACTTGTCTGTTGCCCACTTTCGCATTCCCGTCTCCTCCTTCCAAGAAGGATGTGAGGCTCAGCGTTGATGCACACGAAGAGACTTTTGGCATCGCCCAGGCTAATTTCATCACTTCAAGGAGAAAATGATGCCTGCTTCCAATTTCTAACACTCTCATCGTTTCCCCTTCATTTCATTCTTTTGCATTTTCCGGACAGTGCTGCAGTCTGCAAGCCTGCAAAATATATTGCACTGGCTACCTGAGAAATGTAATCCCTTCCTGCAACCTGCCTTTCCCTTCTTCCTGACAAAGCGCTTTTTAGTGTTTCAGTGTTCACAGAAGAGGCAAAGGTTCTCTCCCCTAACCCTTTTTCTGCCCTGGGTTCCCTGCACAATGCAGTGGTTGGGGGCTGGTGAGAATGGAGTTTTGCATTTGTAAGTTTGTCATTCAGGCACGTTAGTTAATTGATCATACTTGGGAGGTTTCATCCTTAATTGCAAATTCCTGCACCATCACAAAACATACACTTGAACTGATCATAAAAATGGCAAAACCCCAATATCAGACTTAAGTGTAGAATTGCCATAGTGCTGATTTGATTATGCTTCAGTGACATCTGTTTAATAGATTTCCACAAGAACTGTAAATCCACATTTACTTTCTTTGCAAATTGTATTTGAATCCTGAGCAACCACAGCCCTCTAGCCTCTTCCCCTCCCTAGCCATGTATGTGCTAAACCCCCATTCCTGTTGAGTGTGACTTGATATATAAGCGGGAAGGGGACACGATGCTGAGTTTTACACATTTACCTCCTATTTCCTTTTGTGTGTGGATATGTCTGTGTGCATGTTTGAAACAGATCTGAACAGCTTCCCATTTCAACTCCATAGATACGTGACTCTCCAAGTGCTTTATTTTGAAAACTAGGACGTAGCACTTTGCAGAAGAAAAATCAGTCCACTTGCTATTATTTATGTGATCGCTGATCTGCTAGATGGATATAGAAAGCACCAAGAATTATAATAATTTATGGAGTAGAGCACTGGTTTACAAACATATTTCTCTGCCCGAGCTTTGTGTGTTTCTTTGCGTCTCGGGGCTCGTTCTGTGCAATGGGAATGGAGAATATTCAGAATTTGAAGACAAGCCCGGCGAGCCGACTGCATTCATAGCTAAAATTAAAGGAATAAGTGAGCAGCTATTTGTGGCAGACAGGACATGATCCAGTAAGTAGCACTCTTCATATTCCGAAATAAAAGTACATAATTGGAAAATGAAGCGGCAGAGACTGCTGGGGGGTGGCGGTGGTGAGGAATTAGAAAGTGTAATTTAAAATCATGTAGTCATAATTCAAAATGGGCCCAGCTAAAAGGTTTTTAAGTGGTAAATGCTTTAAAGTCACTGTGGTTGATCCTTTTGCAAGGAATAGGGGCTAATTTTCACTTTATTTGTGGATTCCTTCATCTACTGAACTCATCAGCTTATTCAGCTTAGCTGATAATACCAGCTGCTGGCCAGTGTTTCTTTTCCTTGGGATCCCACACTTGATTGGGAAGGAGATCAAACACAAAGGTCTGTCATTTTAGGACATGGTGGGACGAGGTCTGATTTTTTTTCTCCCATTGGGGTATTTGCTTCTTTTCCTTTGAGTCCCTCTGCTTTTTTTTTTTTTTTTCCTTTTATGGCATTTTCTACTATGGGCTCATCAATTGCATATTTTCAAGCAGAGGCAAAACAAGGAAAGAAAATATGATTTAAAAGTGATTTTTGAGCTTGTGTGGGAATTGTCGCTTGTAAAACAATTCTCCCCAGACCCCCACACCTTGGTACTTTTCTGTTAAATATTATCTCCTGCATTTTGCTTGCAGGGACCACTTAGGAAGGGTTAGTGTGGTTTCTCTGTGACATTTCGCCACATTGCAACAAAAGCCCTAGTAAGCACTGCCTTTGCTGAGCCAAGCCGGCTTTTTCTCTGCATCGCCCTGAGCCACCGGCCTGAAGACAGGCAGCTGCACTTTTGGCTGTCCCATCAGAGAGGCTGGGGCTATTCAGTCGCTCCTACTCTCAGTTAAAGGCCCCAAGAGGAGACGGAGCCAAGGTGCGTCTAGGATCCTGGTGAAAGCTTTCCAAGGTGGGGTTCCTCAGAACGCCGCAGCGGGGATGGCTGTTGGGGGAGATGTTTCTCTGGAAGCTTCTCATGCTTAATAAGACAGTCGTTTCTGTGTGCTCATTGACTGTCATCCGAGTTTTGGACCCAGGACAGCACCATATTATGCTAGCCCCCCAGTGATTGTTAAAGAGCTGCCGATGAATGGAAGAGAAACACAGGTGTGTTCTGGGGATGGCTGCCTTACCGGCCTGGCACTGGCTTTGATCAGAGTGACCTTTTCCTTCCAAACGAGAGCACTTTCGAGAGCCGGAGAGGATGCTGGTAATAGTGGCACAGGGACAGCAGATGTGAACTGGGGCTGTCCTGGGCCTGCGCTGAGTTTGAGAGGCCTGTGTTGGCTGGAAGTGATGCTTCAAGTCACACGGTGAAGCAAAATCTATCTTTGGTCTGCAGGGCAGCAGCTCCTCTGGTAGTGCAATCCTCCAAGATCTTCCTCACACATCTTCGGACAGAGAGGGGCCACCAGAATGATCCAAGCATCTCTTTTGCAAACATTCATCTGCTGCTGAGATGCTCTGTGTGAGCCAAGGCCTCTCTCTCTCTCCTTCCTGGGCCTTCAGCACACACTGGCTGGCCTCGCTGTTTGGTGGGGGCCTTCTTAGGGGCCCACAGACCCCCTCCACTGCAACTCCTCAAAATAGAGTTCTGAGGAGGTCTGTTTTCTGCCTGGCTGGTTCGCCGGGTCTGAGCCCTTGGAGGGCTAGTTTCGTGTCTGGGTCCTGTGGCTCCCAGAACAGGATCTGGCCCAGAGCAGGAGCAGCAGTGGGTGCGTTGGGGCTGACCAGTGCCCTGCAGTGTCCAGATGGGGGTGGTGGTGAAGAATTTGCCTAGAAAAACGTGTCAAGGGTGGGTTGTAGTGGACGTGTCCAGCCACAACTCCCTGGGAAGTCAAAGCCTCAGAGTCTTACTCGGTGGGGCGAGAAGGAAGGGGCCAGGCACCATGGGCTTTCAGGCAGGAGAGGAGGGGTTGCTTGAAAATCCCTTCTGCATTCTTGAAATTTCCCTGGGGAGCTTCTGAGTTCATCAGAACTTTCTAACTAGAGGGGAAGAGACATGGAGTGAGCACCTCCTGTGTGCTAGGCCCTGGCAGGGGCTTTTGAATCTCCTGTGTCCTTCAGTGCTCCAGCAGCCCAGGAAGGAAGGATTGAGAATCCACATGTTTGTAGGTGAAAAACTAAGATTAAGGGGGGCAAAGCTGCTTTTGAGTCCTGCTGTCAGACTCAAAGGCCTGTGTAGTTTCTCTCATTCATTCATTCACATATCATTTTATTCTTTGGCGTTTCATTCAGTTCAGATAAAAAGCCGACTGTGTGTTGGGAGTTTTGTTACAGGAAGCCTTGGGGGCTGTGGGTGGAGGCTCCTGACCCAGCCAGGGGAGGTCAGGGAAGGTGTTTCTGAGGCTCTGAGCTTTCTGAGACTGAGTGGGCTTGTGTCAGGAAACGAGGGTGAACGCAGGGGTGGGGTTGGGTGCAGGGCCTTCTGGACAGAGGGAATAGCATTCGTGGAGGCTTCAAGGCAGGACCCCCTCTGTGCCAGGGAAAGCCTGCATGACTGAGCCGGGCCTGAGAAGTGGGAGTGGGGCTGGGGCCAGGTGCAGCCTCCTGAGCTGACCTGAGGTGCTGAGTTCACCTGAGGGCGGCAGCTGCTCTAGAGGGTGCTGGGTGTGCCAGAGGGAATGGCACGGGCAGAGGTGAGTTCTAGGACATTCCTTCGGGAGGCCGGTGTGGTGTGACCATGGTGATGGGGGGTCAAGACCGCCAGGAGACCAGACAAGTTTGGGGGTGGGGGGTGGTCAGAGAGAGGCACAGAGAGGTGGGTCCTGGAGTCGGACCTCTTTCCTAGACACCAGCTTTCCATACAGTTGGCGTCAAATGGGACCTGCTCCTTGGTGTCTTGGCTGACACCCAGGTTCTCCTTGGAGCACCCTGGCCTCACTGGACTCACAGTACCCAAGGAACAACAAATAAATGTCTCTGAGAGGAAAACGGAAAGAGAAACCATCTGATAAGAGAATCAGACTTTGGAAAAGCAAGCCCTTAGAACCAGAGGGAATTTTTCAAGGAGTGCTGGGCTGCGGGGACCTGGAGTCTCCCACTCTGGGTTCACTGGGCCTTTATGGGCAGGTACAAGGTTTGTTCCAGCCCCTCTGTAACCCCTCAAGGGGACCACTGAAGAAGTGGAAACAGAGAGGTTGAGTGACTTTCCCAGTGTCCTACCGCTCAGCAGCCTGAGATGGAATTTAATGGGAACCCTTCTTTCTCTGACTTCAGAGTCCAGGCTGTCCTCCATGGCAGAAGCATGCCAGTGACCCATGACAACGAAAGAGTGAGGCCACTTATCCAGGCCGCCCAGGCCTCAGGGACTTAGCACTTCCCCTCCCTCTGCCCAGGTTCTCATTCCCCAGGTCGGGGTGTCATTGGTGTGTGAGGTGATGCCGCTTCAGATAGACATTTTTTTTTTTTTTGAGATGGAGTCTCACTCTGTTACCCAGGCTGGAGTGCAGTGGCACGATCTCGGCTGAATGCAACCTCCACCTCCCCGGTTCATGTGATTCTTCTACCTCACCCTCCCGAGTAGCTGGGATTACAGGCGCCCACCACCACGCCTGGCTGTTTGTATTTTTAGTAGAGACAGGGTTTCTCCATGTTGGTCAGGCTGGTCTCGAACTCCCGACCTCAGGTGATCCTCCCGCCTCGGCGTCCCAAAGTGCTGGGATTGCAGGTGTGAGCCACCATGCCCAGCCCAGATAGACCTTTCTTGATCACCCAATTTAGTCAAACCATCACCCTGTTCTGTCTTTTTCCAGGTACTGATTATTAGCTGAAAGTGTCTTTTCTGTTTAATTCTTTGTTTACTTTATTGTCCCCCCTCCACCCCGTCCCATGTTCCTCAAGGGCAGGAGCCTCTTTGTTTTTCCATTGCCCTTTCTGGCACCTGGAACAGGGAGAGCATGTAGGGCCTTGGCTAATGGTTGTTGAATAAGTCATGCGTTCATTCATTCATTCCATCCATCCATCCTCCCCCGTAGTTCCATTTTGGGGAGGCATCTGCAGCCCCATCAGGATGCATGACTTGCTTAAGGTCACTCCGCTGGACTGAGAGCCAGGCTGGGAGCCCAGGCGGTCTCCCTGCGGCGGGTCCCGGGGCACCACTGCATCGCTCGCGTGCTGTGCTGTTTTGAGGACCGGGTGTAAACGCTTCCTAGCTCAAAGCTGTTTGTTTGGGAGATGCTGCGCCTCCTCCGTGGATCGGCTGCACGGCGGAGAATGCTCGCCTCCTCGCACGGTGGCTAACGTGCTGCTGCGGCTCCATAAATATTAAATGGGCATTAAAAGAAGCCGTTGCGTTTCCAGTTTCCCGGATTTCTCTGAGCAGGGCCCGTTGCGAACCCCCTTTATGTGAAATGCAGCATTTCAGCGCGGAGCGCCTCCGGGAGCCTTGCCGCCTGCCTTTCCCGGCTGAGTCCCTTTGGTGCAGAGCGGTTCTCCCTCGACTGCAGGCTGTCTGCATGCTAGCGCCTGCTCCTCTGGGGCAAAGACGGGTGGGGGCCCCTGGAACCCCTTTTCACAAGGGCTGTGCCAGCCTGGCAGCCTCCTTGCTGGATATGCAAGGTGGGTAAGATGGAGAGGGGGCAGTGACTCTTCGGTCTTCAGCTAAGCTCTCCTGACACCCACCCTCTGCCAAGCCTCTGCTGGGCACCAGGCAAAGTCTCCAGACATTCTGTATGTCCTTCTGTCCCCTCATCGTCTCTGCATCCATGCCTCCATCCATCCGTTTCTCCCTCCCTGCCTCCATCCATCCACTAATACTACTGATGAAGTATTTGTGATAGGCCGTGGGGTGATCATGTTATAACAATAATATTAGCTAACATTTATTGACCACTTACTGTCTGCTAGGCTCTGTGATCAGCAGCTTACATGTGTCATCTCATTGAATATTCATGACTCTACAAGGTAGGGACTGTTTTTCTTTCCATTTTGTAGAAGAGGAAACAGAGCTTCTGGAGGTTCAGCCGCTTGCTCAGGGTCACAGAGCTGCTGGGGGCCGGAGCTGACACATGGGGTGCACAAGGGGGGAGCCCGACCCTGCCCTCAGGGGACATCCGGGCTCTTCCTGGGACCCTGAAATGAAGGCCCCAGATCCAGGCCTCTCCGAGGAGACCCCGGCATTGCTGAGAGGAAGGGTGTCAGCTTCAGCCAGCGGGAGAGGAGGGCAGAGGCGGAAGCCAGGCAGCTAGGTCTGGGGGCCCAGCCCTGCCACCTACTCTCTGTGCAATGAGACGTCACTTCTGTGGGATGTACCCTTGATCATTTGTCAAACATGAGACATGGGCATCAATATCTGTCTCTTAGTGGTGAGCATTACAGAGGAAGACTCTCAAAAAGTGTTGGACTTGTGTGGCTCTGAACAAGAGCATGGCCCCTGTGAGCTGTAGGCCTCCAGGTGCAAGAGGCCACCGGGGGCCGGCCTGTGTGGCTCAAGTAGAGGCCAGACCAGTCGTAGGGCCAGACCATGCAGGGTCTTATGGTCAAGGGATTTTATCAGAGAAGCCACCGCAAGGATTTCAAGTAGAGATGTGATGTGGTCAGCTTGCATTTGAGAAATATTTGAGTTCTCCAGGGCCTGTCTGGCACCCCTTGCTCCTGGAACTGGCCCCTTGGTTCGCACTTGACACCCTCGTACCAAGGGTGTCCAGTACTCAGGCAGCACCTGCTGACAGCAGCTCCTCAATATGCAAGGATCAAATTGAGCAGAATAGTGACTGTGACCATCACAGCTGAGGTGAGCCGGCGCCTGGGACCCACCAGGCATTGTACTCAGGATTCCTGCTTACTTCTTCATTTAACCTGCACAACCCCCAGGAGGTGGCATTGCTACTATCAAATCTTTTCTTTCTTTTTTTTGAGATAGAGTCTCAAGGCTGGAGTGCAGTGGCGCTGTCTCGGCTCACTGCAACCTCTGCCTTCTGGGTTCAAGCAATTCTCCTGCCTCACCCTCTCAAGTAGCTGGGATTACAGGTGTGCACCACAGTGCCCGGCTAATTTTTGTGTTTTTAGTGGAGAGGGGGTTTCACTATGTTGGCCAGGCTGGTCTCAAACTCTTGACCTCAGGTGATCCGCCCGTCTCAGCCTCCCGAAGTGCTGGGATTACGGGTGTGAGCCACTGCACCGGGCCTCAAATCCATCTTCTAGAAGAGGAAGCTGGAGGCTCAGGGAAGTTAGGAAGTTGGCTTAAGGTCACACAGCAAGTCAGCCATGCTGGGGCTTGACCCCCGTCCAGATCTGGGCGGGCCTGGCTCAGAGTATGCGGCGTCCTGAAACTTGGCATCTGGTGCCCTGAGCCCTTTCCCAGGCCTTCTGGGTGCCGGGCAGCAGTTACAGACAAGAGGGGTGCAGGCCCCTGCTCCCCCACCTACAGTTCTGTTGCGTAGCACCTGCAGGGAGAGCCAATTCACTTTGAAACAACCCACAGGACAAAACAATGGCGCAAGTGTGTCCCCAGGAAAAGGGAGATTTTTTTCCCCCTTGTCTCTGCAGGTGGAGAAGAGGGATATGTTTTGGGAATCAGGAAGTGTCTTTAGAGGTCTGTGGGAGAAGGAGGATATTGCTATTTATTTCACCTTCTAGGGAGATGATCAAGATTTAAAAAAATTAATAACCCATTTCTCCTTTGCACATAATTAAAATGTTCTCCAGTCTCTAATTTTTGTCTTTTTCCTAATCTAATTTGTTTTCTGACTGTGTCGATTCTTCTTCCAAGCGCAAAGCAAAGGGGATTTTTCTTCATTTAATGTGATTGCGATATGAGTGTCCAGGAATAGTTTAAATGATGTTATTTTCTCCTTGGTTAAATACAGCGCAAAAGGAATCGTTGGAGGGTCTTAATGACCCAAACTGAAAACAACGACAAAAAGTCTTCAAGGCATTTCCCATTTACACAGTTTAAAAAATAATTATGAAAAGGAACAAGACAACTCAATGGTCTGACTAACGAGGCGTCGGCCATTGTGCTGTGTGTTGGGGTAGGATGGGGCCTCACCTGGGGCCTGCATTTCCAAGTTTCTACAGAGTTCTACACTGACCCCAAGGTGGGGTCGGTTGGAGGGATATTTAAGTCCAGTAAATATAAATGCAAACTGCACTTCCCCGTGAAAAAGATTTGAAAAATATTGCAGCATTCTCAAGCTGCAATTCAAAGATTGACGGGGCACATTAGGGTTCCCGAGATCCTTACGAGAGAGATGGTAGTGAGGCATCGGAGGAGGTTTTTGCAAAAGGTTCCTCCTCCCTCACCATCTCTGCCCCTACCTGCACTACCATCCCTGAGCCAGTGGGTATGTGACCATCTATGTCTGGGAAAATCCCTTCTCAGGGCACCACTAAAAGATATCTTTAGATGAAATCGATGTCGAGGGAGGAATTTTCGCCCGTGCTGTCTCCACCTGCTCAGGCTTGCAGGGGTGTGGGCGTGGGGCCATGTGGGTGTGTTTGGGGGTCTGTGGAGGATGGGGGAGGGTTGTAGGAGAATCCTTCCTGTTCCCCAATTCTGAAAAGTAAAACTTAACTCACCTGTTTACAAAATACCAGCCATTGTCTTACCCCAGCTCACTGTCACCCTGTAGGCTCGGGAGGATTTTGTTGAAGGAAAAAAAAAATGTCTTAAGTATTTAAACACGTTGAGCCATGCATGCATCCGTCCACAGTGCTGTGGGTTGTTTTTTTTTCTTTTTTTTCTTGTCCCCTCCCTCCCTTCCCTTTTCTTTTTACCAAAGTATATTCATCAAACTGCTGAGTTGGAAAGATTTGTAATGAGTTTTTGAGCTGTACGACTGTGTTTTTTTTTCCTCTCCCCCCGCCCTCTCCCTCTTTCTAAATCTTCATCTGACATTAAATAAAGCAAATCCCAAACAGATTAACTGTCGCACGGTTCTGCTCCGTCTCCTCAGTCTGTTTCCAGGTCTGGCGGGGGGCCGGGCTGCGGTGGCGGCAGCGGTGGGAGATGCCGGGGCGGCCGGCGGAGGTCCATGTGGCGCTCTAGGTGGGATGCCAGCGTCCTGAAGGCGGAGGCCCTGGCCCTCCTCCCCTGCGGCCTGGGCATGGCATTCTCCCAGTCCCACGTGATGGCCGCTCGGCGGCACCAGCACAGCCGGCTCATCATCGAGGTGGACGAGTACAGCTCCAACCCCACCCAGGCCTTCACCTTCTACAACATCAACCAGGGCCGCTTCCAGCCACCGCATGTGCAGATGTAAGTGGGACCGGTGGGGTGGGGGTGGGGGCGGTGACGGCCCCCTGGGGTGGGTGCATGGTCTCGGGTGCCTCCTGGTTCTGGGGGCACTGTAACAAGCATTGAATGTTTGTTGACTGCAACAATTCTGGAATTCTAGGATCATCGGGGCTCTGAGTTGGGAGGGACCGGCAAGAAGTTGCAGATGGATGGCCTGTGGGCCGATTCTGGCCGCAGTCCTGTTTCACTTGGCCAGGAGCATGTTTTACAAATATTTAAAGATGAGGTGGATGCACAGAAAACTCCAGACTTCTGGCTTCACTTTATAAAACCCAAAGGCCTGGAAACCCCAGGCCCACATGTCCTCCTGGCAGCGTCTGGCGGGGGCCACATTCCCGATCCCTTTCTTGGCATTTGGGTGGCGACCCCTGGTCTGATTTACGCTCCTCATTGTACACATGGGGAGACCGAGCCCCAGAGAGGGGAAGGGGCTCGCCACAAGCCCCATGGCAGGTTAGGACACCAGTCTTGGGCTCTTTGTTTCCCCTCCCTGCCCTTCCTTTTGTCCAGACCCTGTGCTTCTCTTGTGAAAGCAGAGATGCTTTTCCAAAAGGACTGGGGGATTCTGTTGTCTGCCCCTCGGGGCATTGGGGGTGCTCAAGCAGTGAGGCCCTGGGGAGCACACAGACTCAAGGCCCCCGTGAGCAGCAGGAGGACTTGTCCTGATGCCTGTGTGCGGGGCCAGCCTTTCCCTCTCTGGATTTCCCGAGGACCTGGAAAGCTGTGGGTAGCTTGGGGTGGCTCCAGAGGTGGTCGAGCTCCTGGCCCTGCTCTGGGTGGTTCCCTGAGTTCCTGGAGCCCCCCTCCTCCTTTATCCCCATTGCTTCTCCCATGAGCCCTGCACGACAGAGCTTACCTGGTGAGGAACCAGGGGCCCAGGCCCGTGAGGTGCCCCACCCTGCTGGCAGATGCCAGAGCTGGAGTTGAACCCAGGCTTCCTGAGTCCAGCCCGGGGCTCTCCTTGCTGGGCCTCCCGCATCCTCAGGCTGTGATGTGTGTGGATGTTCATGCTTCTGCTTGAGAGCGGAGGCCATTGTCCCCTTGGCTGTTGTACCTTCACCCGGCCACTCTGGGTGCCCACCCCCAAGCTGGGTCTGGATGAGGGATGACCCCTGCAGAGCAGGGAGGTGACAGCACAGGGAGGGGGGAGCTATGACAGGGGCTGATCCAGTGCTGTAGGGCCTACGGGAAGCCCTCCAGACTGCCCGTGAGTCTGGTGCCCCAAAAAGGGTCCAGGCCCTGGGCCGCCTCTGGGGCTGTGATCTCCATCTTAGGGCAGCGGTGCTTGTGGCATCCCAGCCGCTGTCCCTCGGACCACTCGGAGAAGGAGTTGACGGGGTTTCGAAACCCTGGCCTGGTGGGGTGTGTGTGAGGGCGCGACCTCCCGTCCCTGTGTGGCCTCCCTCAGGCCTGGCCTCTGTTGTGGGGAGAGGGAGCTGCAGGGAAGGGCTCTGCAGGGCAGCAGGCTCCAGGCGGGGATCGCCCTCTTCCAGTGGCACTTGCCCAGGAAAATGCTTGTCTCCGTGTGGGGCCACAGGGCTAGTGTTGCCTGTGGCTGCCTACTTTATTTTTTGGTAGATTTCTATCTGGGCTGCTGCCTCTGGTTTTCTGTTTTTGGAGCCCGATTGGCGGGTTTGGGCAGGAAGGAAGGCCCCGGGCCTCAGGCTTGCCGCTCCTCGGTCTGTGAGACTTGAGGCCTGGGAGGGGCTGCAGGGATGGGGGCCTTCCCTGGGCTGGGTTTTGTCTTTTGCTGGTGAGGTTCATCCTCCAACTGGGTGGGTCAGAGGTGACTGAGCCTGAGGTCCCCGGAGGCCAGGCTGAACTCCTGCCCAGTGGGCAAGGAGAGAGCAGCAAGGCCTCCCAGGGCAGGTGGGGTTTGTGAGGGTCCCAGCACCACATACAGTGGGACCATGGACAGCTGTCAATCACGGTGCCCCTGCCTGGGCCAGGCACACACTTAGGGAGCTCCTAGTCAGAGAACTGAGCCAGGGAAAGAGGAAGACAGAGAGTGGGGGCTGAGGAGGTGCTTCCCAGTTTCAAGGGATCCAGGAAAGACCCCCTGGAGAACTGGGTAATTTCTAGGTGAAGGCCAGAGCAGGAGGAATAGGCGTAGCAAGTTGGGAGAGGGTGTGAGGAGGAAGTGGGCCAGCAGAAGGGGCGGCAGGTCGGAGCCTGCAGGTGGCTAGAAGACAGGGGTCTCTGAGAACTGTATGGAGGCCCAGCTGGGCAGGCAGCAGGGGTTGGGGGCGTGCAGGAGACACCACAGGCCCCTGCAGGCCGGGCTGCGTCCTGAGGGAGGGTGGTGAATGACTGAATGAGAGGGGGTGATCTACCCCATTTAACCGAGCAACCCAGGGCCATTCATTCATTTGTTGAGTCATTCATTCACGCATTTGGGATGTCTGTGAGCTGCTGAGTTTCTCACTGTTTAGGACCTTGGGCGCTGAGCTTGCCTGCTTGGATGGGGTTCATGCTGCTTGGTGCCTCAGTTTCGCCAACCTGGAGCTGGCTACTCCAGGTCGAGGGACCACATGTTCCCCTGAAATTCCCCTTGCCGTGCCGCCCTCCTTGGATGGCGCATGCGCTCTGCATAGCTCGGAAAGCTGGTCCTCACCCCCCGTGACACTAGTCCATGCATTCTCAGTGGAGGAAACAGCACCTCCAAGGGGTGAAAACTGGTTCTTCGGGGGTGAAAAAAACGCTGCGCACAGTAATGCTGGGGATGAAATAGTTAAATCCTCGTAGAGAAGGCGCGGTGGGCAGCAAGCGTTCAGCATTGGTAGCACATGCCAGGCCTGGTGAGGTGCTTGGGACCCAGCAGTGATCGAAGGCACCCCTGCCTGTGCTGAGCTTACATCCAGTGGATGGCAGGCAGTTAGCAGATGGTCATGAAAGCGTGTGATGCTGGTGATGGTAAGTGCTATGGAGAAGGAGCTTAGCTGGGGAGCTGGAGCAGGCCCCGCAAGGATTCACACCTGGCCTGCCCCACCCCATCCTGGACTGCTCTGCACCACCACCTCCGGCAGAGGGGAGAGTTCCCGGCTTCTGCTGACTCCGAGGCAGCTGGGGTTTGGGTGGGACCCTGGAGGGAGCATGCTCCGAGCTCCAGCTTTGAAACACAACTTTGCACACAGCTGGGTAAAGCCAGGGTGGGCACAGGGATGAGGGGGCTGCTGCCTCCCACTGCCCCTTCATTCAGACTCCACACCCCGAGCTCGGAAGCATGGAGGCTGCTGGTGGTGGCTGAATGGATTTCCATGGCGAGTCGGCTGCTCCCTCCCAGGAGCGGTGGGGGGATGGCTGCCACTTCCCGACATGTGATTTGTTGCCACCCTGGGCTTTGTCTCCGGGGTGAGGGAGCGATGGAGCCTTATTTAATAAATCCACAATTTATATTTAATAACAACAGTGACAGTCCAAACATGGCCTCTGGTTGAGTCCTGTGATTTATGCAGTTGCCCCCAGAGACTCTGCTGGTGACGAGGCCGCCTTTGCTTGGGTAATGAATCTCCGGAGCTGGGCCTCTAGGTTGTGAGCAAGGCTGAAGACTCCTTGCCCCGGTGACTGAGAAACCCTATGGGGGTCTCAGGAGGCTCTTCCAGGCCCAGCCCTTCTGCTCTGGGTGGGTAGGCGGACCACTGGCCTGGTGGTCAGTAAGAAGGCAAGAGTGAGTGTTGGGGGACAGGGTTATCCTGGAGCTCTCACTGAAGTCCCCAGGGCCATGGCACCAGGCACAGCAACTCCTCTCTGACCTTTAAAAGTCGTTATGGCAGAGACTTGAGTCATCGCTTAAAGGCCCTTCGAGCCCCTCAGGCTGCACCGGGTCCTTGAAGCTACAGCAGAGTGGGATGGAAGGCCACAGCTGCGTGCCAGGCCTAGAGTAGTCCCTTTGTGCCTTGTTCCTGGCCTTTCCTGCTGTCTCAGGTCAATGTGGACACCCTCTCTACAGATGAGGATGCTAAGGTTTTGGAAGGTGAGTGTGGGGAGCTGGGATTCCCACCCAGTGCTGTGTGGCTCCTTGGCCTTTCCACACACTGAGAGGCTCCTGGAGACATGGAGCTCAGCCTGGAGTGCAGGGAGGGGGACAAGGAGCAAAGCAGGTGGGGAGGACTCACACCCCGGCACTGCCTGGCTCTCATCCTGTCCTGCTGGGCAACAGATGCGGTGGCTGCTTCCAGTTTCTCAAACATTCCAGTCTTCCTCCTGCCTCAGGTCTTTGCCCATGCTGTTCCCTCTGATCCCAGCTTTTTGCCCTGTGAGCACTGACTCCTCCTTCAGATCTCACCCAGGTGTCACCACCTCAGGGAAGTCTTTCCCGCTCCAGCTCTAGGTGCTCAGCACTGGGCCTTGTGGCCCACGCTTTGTGGCACCTGATTCATTCTGTGCTGACACATTCATTTGTAGGAGGATTTCCCAAGCATCTCTCCCCTCCACAAGCATGGGGCTGCATGCCTGGTGCCTAGCACAGGGAATAGGAAGCAGGAAAGAGAAGAGAGTGAGAACGGGACAGGCGGCAAGACTCAGAAGGAGTGTCAGGGATCACGGAGGACTTTCTGTGGGGGTGGGGGTGGCATAATCCCTGGGTGTGGAGGACCAGCTGCACTGTGGCCTCCGTGGAGTGGGCCACTTTAGGAAGAGGGACCAGCAAGAGCAGAGGCCAGGATGTGGGAAGGAAGGACAGGTGTGGGGATGCAGGAGGGTACTGTGGCCAGGGTCCCCTTGGACGCAGTGCTTTGTGGGAAGAGTACTGGGCAAGCGGTTGGGGCAGTTGTTGTGTGATGCTGATCCAGCCAGTCATTGTGCCTCCCCAGGCCTCAGTTTCCCCATTTGTAAAATGAGAGGAAGGGACTAGAGGTCCTTTCCTACTAAAGGAAAGGCTGATGCCCAGTCACACGGCTGGATGAGTTGTTAGAAGCTGTCCCTGCCTGGACCTTCAGAGCACCCCATGTCTGCAGGAATAGGGTTACGAGGGGTAACAGCCTCTGCTTCTGATGCCTCTCTGGGCTTTTGGCGCCAGGAACTGCACTTGCACAGAACCAGTGGCTTATGGGAGAGAAAGAACCAAGAGCAGGATCCAGAGTGCACTGCAGGGGTGTTGGCATCAGGGCTCCAGCTGTGAAGGTTGGTGAAGTTCTCACAACATGACAAAGAGGGAGTGGCTTGTCCCCACCCTACAGAGCAGGGCTGGAGCCTGGTGGGGTCCAGGGGCACAGCAAGGAGGAGGTCACTGAGCTGGGGTGCCAGCCTGGGGTCTGGCGTCGGAGGCCGTGTTCTCTCCTCTGTGCTGTTCCTGCTGCCAGGAATCCCATGGGAAGAAGATCGGTGTAGGCTGGGGAGAGCTTGAGATGGGTGTCAGGTCTCAGAACCACCCCAGTAGGCAGAAGCTTTGGGGAAGTTGAGTTTGGCTCCAAGAAATAAGAAGCCTTTGCTTCCACGTCTTATCTCTGGTCCCTGCAGAATGTCACTGAGAAAGAACCATTTTGCACTTTTTTTTTGGGGGGGAGTCACAAAGTGTTGAGATTAGACGCCCAGATTCCTGTTGTGAAGTCCTGGGTTTAAATTCCACTCTTTAACTTAGTAGCTGGGAGCTTGGGCATGGACTAACTTTTCATTGTCATTGCAAGTATCAGAAACACAACTTAAGTTGCCTTAAGGATGAAAAGGAGTCTACTGGCCCATATTAAGAATTTCAAGCTTGGGTCTAGCTTCAGGTATAGCTGGATCTTCAAATTATGCCCTCTTGTTCACTGTCTCTTTCTACTGTTGTTGTTAATTTTTTTTTTTTTTTTTTTTTTTTTTTTTTTTTTTTTTTAGACAGAGTCTCACTCTGTCGCCCAGGCTGGAGTGCAGTGGTGCGATCTCAGCTCACTGTAACTTCCGCCTCCCGGGTTCAAGCGATTCTCCTGTCTCAGCCTCCATAGTAGCTGACACTACAGGCGCCTGCCACCACACCAAGCTAATTTTTTATATTTTTAGTAGAGACGACGTTTCACCATGTTGGCCAGGCTGGTCTTGAACTCCTGACCTCAAGTGATCCACCCACCTTGGCCTCCCAAAGTGCTGGGAATACAGGTGTGAGGCATTGTGCCTGGCCTCTTTCTCCATATTTTGACTCTTTTTGCTCTTTCCTTCACTTGCAAACATAGTCAGGTTTCTGGATCTTCACACCGGTGGCCTCTGTGGGTGTCCCACCCACAGATGTATCCTTATACCAAGCAGGTCCCTGGCATTTAGAGGCATTCAGTAAGATTTGTCCATAGGTTGATTGAATGAAATGAAGTCCAGCCTGGTAACAGTCCAGCCTGGTGTGAGTTCTGGACCCAAAAACCAGCTTCAAATTTCAGCTGCACCAACTCCTGTAGCTAAGATCATGGACAAGTCAGCCTTTTCTGAGCCTTGGTTTGCTCACCTGTAAAATGGGGCTACCCATAGTACCCTGCTTAGATGGTCATTATGAGGGTGAAGAGAGCCACTGCCTGTAACGTGCCCAGCACATAATGAGCTCTTGATGCGTGGGGATCATTGAAATCATTACTGTTGTTATTATTTCAAAGTTGAGCATTTGTTGCAATCCAAATAGCTGGGGGACTGTGTCGGGAAATGAGAGTCTATTTCTTTCTCTGGGGATGACTAGGTCTGCCTCTTCGCTGTGCTCCAGAAGCCTCGGGGTGCAGGGAAATATGAGTGGAGTTAATTAAAGATCTCTGGCTCCAGCAGCAGGCCCAGCCCAACCAGAGCCCTCAGAACCGCACTGCTCTTGGCTGGCTGGTGGTGGGTGGGAGCTGAGGCCCTCTTAGGGCTCCTCTGCTAGGCGGGGCTCCCAGAGGGTAGACTGTCGGGTCCCTAGCAGCTCGGGGGTGGCATTGTGCTCCCTGTCTCTCCCATCTTCATCTCTCTTTGTCTCTTTGACTTAGTCTTTGTCACCTTATGACATCTTCAAAACCTCAGAGGCACACAGAGAGAGAGAGAGAGACACAGAGAGAAAGAAAGGGAAGAGAGGGAGGGAAAGAGAGAGAAAGGGAGGAGAGAGAGAGAAAGGGAGGAGAGAGAGGGAAAGAGAGAGAGAGAAAGGGAGGAGAGAAAGAGGGAAAGAGAGAAGGGGAGGAGAGAGAGAAAGGGAGAGAGAAAGGGAGGAGAGAGAGAGAAACGGAGGAGAGAGAGATAAAGGGAGGAGAGAGAAAGGGAGGAGAGAAAGGGAGGAGAGAGATAAAGAGAGGAGAGAGAGAGAAAGGGAGGAGAGAAAGGGAGGAGAGAGAGGGAAAGAGAAAGGGAGGAGAGAGATAAAGGGAGGAGAGAAAGAAAGGGAGGAGAGAGAGAGAAAGGGAGGAGAGAGAGGGAAAGAGGGAGGAGAGAGAGAGGGAAAGAGAGAGAGAAGGGGAGGAGAGAGAGAGAGAGGGAAAGAGAAAGGGAGGAGAGAGAGAGAAAGGGAGGAGAGAGAGAGAAAGGGAGGAGAGAGAGAGAAGGGGAGGAGAGAGAGAGAAAGGGAGGAGAGAGAGAAAGGGAGGAGAGGGAAAGAGAAAGGGAGGAGAGAGAGAGAAAGGGAGGAGAGAGAGAGAAAGGGAGGAGAGAGAGAGAAAGGGAGGAGAGAGAGAGAAAGGGAGGAGAGAGAGAAAGGGAGGAGAGAGAGAGGGAAAGAGAAAGGGAGGAGAGAGAGAGGGAAAGAGAAAGGGAGGAGAGAGAGAGGGAAAGAGAGAGAAAGGGAGGAGAGAGAGAGGGAGAGAATATGAATGAATGAATTTGATTGGCTCACTTGAATTCCTGTGCCAGGCCAGTAGCCCAGTAGCAATTGGCTGCCCTTGGTCTGATCAGCTGTGTGTGGGGGGGCGGCAGGGTATGTAGGTCACACCAGCTGTCTGTCATGGGGAGTGGGGGTCACTGGGGGCCCCAGAGGACAGAAGAGTGGTGGGAATTTCTGGGAAGGAGATTTCAGCTTCCAGACCAGCTCAGACACTACCCCTGATGGAAGCTTCCAGAAGACCCCAGGCCAGGTTAGGGCCTTCTCTGCGCCCTGTCCCCTCTGCTGCCCTGTCAAAGGTGCTGGCTGTATTGTCATCGTCTGGCCAAATCTGCTGCCACCATCAGTCCCTGGGCTTGTTGTGAGCAGGGGTCAGCCTGGTTCATCCCTGTGGCCCTGCGCTGAGCTCAGGGCTGGCACACGGTAGTCATTCAGGATGTATTGTATTCAGTGAATGAGTGAATGAGTGAGTGAATGAGTGAATGGAGGAGAAGAGGAAAAGCTCCTAGCACCTCCCTGGTTGGTCATCATCGGATTCATATTCATTTTCCTCCCAGCGTAGACCAGCTCTGACTTGCTGGGATTCTCCCTAGGCCTAGCAACCCCCAGGAAGGGGCCCCGGGTGCGCGCTCCCGCCGCGGCATCGTGGTGGGGAGAGGCTGGCTCGGCGCCTCCGGCTGCGGCGGATGGAGCGCGCTAGTGCGCCCTGCACATTAGCATGCTGAACCCACGTCTCTCGTAAGGTGTTAATTAAATTTCTTCGAAGTATATTGTCTGAAAAAAAAAAAAGGATAATTAGAAAGATGTCTTTAAAAGTATTTATGTAACTGATATGGCACCGCTTTTGGTTTGCCGCATAATTAGATTTAAACACAACTCCTCGAGCAGCATACTCATTTGGAGAGAGCTGCTGTTGAAATGTCATTGCGTTGTTTTTAAGAGTTTTGAGCCTGGTAAAACCATTCACCTGGGGAGGCAACGTGTAGTGGAGACCGCACTGGATGGAGAGCTGGGGTCTTAGCCCACGGGGTGCCGGGAGCCAGGGTCTTAGCCCACGTCCACATTTCTGCACTGGGGTGCCCAGGGCAGCTTGCTCAGCCCGGCTGGATCTTGGCATCCTCGTCTGTCAAACGGGAGGGCCACGATAGGCTCCTGAGGCACAAGAACCTACATTTGTGCCGCTTTTTAAAATGTTATTTTTGCTCAGTGAAGTAGCTTCGTTTTACAGATGTGCAGACCCAGGCTGTGGAAAGCCTGGTCTTCTGACTCCAGGAGTGTTTTCTGACACAGCCCTGGAAGGCCCTTGGTCTAGAAATGATCACACTGTCTTACGGTTTTGAGAAATGGACTCCTTTCCTTTAGGGTCTTTATTTCACACATTCTCCTGAAACTCCCCCTCCCGTGCTGCTGTCCTGCGACGGCGGACGTGCGCTGCACAGCCCGGGCAGTTGTCCTCATCGCCCGACCACAGGCTTTACTCCATGCGGTCTCAGTGGGGGCCATAGCGCCCCTAAAGGGTAAAATCTGGTGCTTGGGGAGTGAAGAAAACGTCTTGCTCTTCTGTCTAAAGCAGAGGTGGATGTGAGGTACCTAAACACACGTACGGCACCGCTGTGATGCCGTACTAAAGCTTCATGGGAGGGAAGTGAGTAGGGGAAAATAAAAGACATCTTGAAGAGGCCACTCTGGCGGTGATAACGAACAAAAGGCTGGAAGCTGTGCAGCACCTCAGCTCGGAGGGCAGATGCTCACTGCACCCACTTCTCACTCCCTTTAACCTTCCCAACAGCCCCCCAACCCGACGTTTCCATGTTACAGACAGGGAAACTGAGGCTTGGGGGCCAAACATGCTTTGCCTGGCTAAAGATGAGAGAAGTCAGGATTCGGGCCGGGGTGGACCCCTGGGAAGGCTGGGCGTCCAGTCCCTGGTCTGGTGGATCTGAGCGGGATTGATGGGGCTGTGAGCTGTGGTGGATGGGGCTGCAGACACACCACCCGCAGGCTCGCGGCTCCATGGCCTCCTGATCCGCAGTGTCATCTCTCCCTGCAGGGTGGACCCGGTGCCTCACGATGCCCCCAAACCTCCAGGCTACACCCGCTTCGTCTGCGTCTCTGATACCCACTCGAGGACGGACCCCATCCAGATGCCGTACGGCGACGTGCTGATCCACGCTGGGGACTTCACTGAGCTGGGGCTCCCGAGCGAGGTGAAGAAGTTCAACGAGTGGCTGGGTAGGTCCCTCCTGCCCCGGGCGGGCGGCTGTGCTGAGCAGGAAGGGGGCTCCCGCCAGCTCCCGAGGCTGCCTGCCTGCCTTTCCCTCCTGCGCTGCCCGGGCCCCCTCCTTGGCCTGTGCCTGCCTGGTCACCCTCCCTGACCTCTCAGAGCAGGTGCCCCTTTCTCTCCCATCCACCTTGGACCTCTCCTCCTCCAGCATCTGTCTTGGTTGTGACTTTCCATTTGTTTGTGGGATTTTTTTTTTTGGCCTGGAAGACCCCCTCCAAAAGGGACTTTGCTCATGTCTTTGTCCATTTATGTGTCCAGGCCCCAGTGCCTGGCAAAGGTAGGGCCTCAATAAATAATTGATGAATGAGGCCGGGTGCAGCAGCTCATGCCTGTAATCCTAGCACTTTGTGGGGCTGAGGCTGGTGGATCACCTGAGGTCAGGAGTTTGAGACCAGCCTGGCCAACATGGTGAAACCTTGTCTCTACTAAAAATACAAAAATTAGCTGGGTGTGGTGGCGGGCACCTGTAATCCCAGCTACATCGGAGGCTGAGGCAGGAGAATTGCTTGAACCTGGGTGGTGGAGGTTGCAGTGAGCCCAGATCACTCCACTGCACTCCAGCCTGGGCAACAGAGTGAGACTCTGTCTCAAAAGAAAAGAAATTGATGAATGAATGAATGAATGGCTGAGTGGGTGAATGCATGAGTGACACACAGAATGGTGGTGCCAGGGTAGGTGCTCAGCTGGTTCATCCTAGCTCAGTCACCCACTGCCATGGAGATGGTTTCTCCAGGGGCCAGATGTGAGCAGCTGCTGGTCTCGGCAGCAGAGCCCTTTCCCATGCACTGCGCCATGGTGGGTGATGACTTATAAGCACATCCTCTGGGTTTTGTCTTTGTGCTTTTTTTCAAAAATAAGAAATAAACCTAGGGGACCCCCTGGGAAAACTCGCTTGCCTTGGAATCCAGAGAAATCTCACAGTGAGGCATCTCTGTCCCCACCCGGGGAAGACAGATGGATGGCCCCTGTGCAGCCCAGCACCCAGGCCTGCTGCCGTGGAGGCGTGGGTGCGGGGCCGCTCACCTTCCTGCGCAGCCCCACGTGGCTGCCAGACGGTCCCTTCCGCCTCCCCAGGGGCGTCCCGCTGTGCAGTTGGCTGGGACTGCACAAGCAGAGGGCCAGGAGTGAGGCAGGGCAGCCGCGGT
The DNA here is from genome assembly GCF_000001405.40 of Homo sapiens. NCBI lineage: Eukaryota > Metazoa > Chordata > Mammalia > Primates > Hominidae > Homo > Homo sapiens. Next base: position 43,436,413 of record NC_000022.11, read on the forward strand.
GAGCCAGGGGCCCGACTCTGCCAGGCGAGACAAATATTTACAAGCAAGGCCTTCCCTTCTGTTTGGCAGGCAGAGGGCTTTAAATATTGATTTTTCAAACGGGAAATTCTAATCAAAGGCCCTGTTTGGGCTGCAGGAAGTGCAGGCCGGGGGACAGGGCTCCTGAAGTCCTTCTCTGGGATTCTCCCCTTGCCCACACTGGCTCCAGTTCTGGGCTGCCTCCCAGGAGGGGCCCCTTCCCCGAGGGAGGCTGCTTGTCCCGTCTGCTGTGGGTTTCAAAAGACAGGAGGTTCCACTTGGTGGAGTCAAGAGGCCGTTTCCAGGGCAGAGAGGCTGGAGTCGCTGTGGGCCAAGCCCCCGCTGTGTGCCAGGCACGGGGTGGCAGGCTCTTACCACCTCTGCCTTGTTGAATTTGGGAACAGCTACTTGAGGTGGCTACCATTTGCGTCCCTATTTGACAGAGGAGAATGGAGGTTCTGAAGGGTGGGGACTGTCTCTCACACACAGCCTGGCTTTCCAGGTGCCCATGATGGGTGGAAAGTGTGAACTTACAACTTGTAAAGGGGTCTTCCTTTTACAAAAGGTTCTTTCCCTCAGGCCTCGCCCCTTTGCTGCCTGGAAGTGTTTGCAGATGTCAGGACCCTCACTCAAGGAGGAATGGGCTTCAGACTGAGGGAGGAGGAGCATTTGCATGGGGGTGAGAGCATGAATCGAAGCCCATTTGCTGCTGGTATTTTGGGAACTCACCCACTGCACAAAGCGAGACACCTTGGTTGGCCGGTGGGCCAGGTCCCCAGAGTTTGGTGATCATGGCTGAGAGATGGACTGTGCACCTATTTGGTGCGTTTGGACAGGGTCGTTTTTTCTATGAAGCTCAGGTTTACTGAGCATTTAGTATGTGCTGGGTGCTGTTCTATACCCTTCGCATGTATTAGTAACTCATTTAATCCTCCTGACAATGAGGCAGGAACTATTATCATTCCCATTTTACAGAGGAGAAAACCAAGTCCCAGAGAAGTGAAGCCACTTACCCAAAGTCACACAGCTTGTAAATGGCAGAACTGGGCAGTGGGACCCCAGTGCTGAACTCTTGGTATAGCTCTGTGTTGCCTCTCCTTCTTGAGGTGAAGCCTCCCTAATTGGAAGTAAGGGTGTGGACGATGCTGATTGGAAGTAAGGGTGTAGGCGATGCATTTGGAGTCTGGATCTGCTTCCTGCCTGGGTGACCACAGCAGCCACGTGGCCCCTCTGGGCCTCATTTTAAAAGGGGGCGGTTAGGCTCCCCTGCCTCGCATCCCTCCAAATGTTGTTTTGAGGCTCTGTTGGAATGGAGGAAAGAATCACCTTGCAAAATGTAAAGTGCTGTATACCTGTTATGATTGCCCCCATGAACTGGCGTCTACCAGATCTGGGCTCCCCTGGGTAGGGGTGGGGTGTTGGGAGGAAGACATTGGACCTGAACCTTGAGGTTGAGTTGGCAGGGAAGGCAGTGGAACAACACATGTGTTACAGCATGTGGAGTTCCTGAGAGATGTGGACGTGTAGTCTCAGCTAGCAACCGCCCTCCCAACAGCAGACACAGAGAAAAAGAGACTGGAAAGAAACATTCCGTCATCCTATTGCTGAGCCTCACTGAGAGCCCACGAGGTGCCAGGTGTGTCGCAAGCCCTGGGGTAACAGTAGGCCCTGAGCACACAGGGCCCCACTCAGCCTGATGCGAGGGGACGGTGGCTTCATAGCCATGAGGGCGGCACGGGAGCCATTCATTAGAGAGAGCTATGGGGTCTGTCTGGGACCCACCTGGGGACGTGTGGTGATGGCCATTCAGCTGGGTGGGCACGGAAGGCCTCCCTGAGGAGGGGATGTTGGGCCAGGCCTGAGGGTGAGAATGAGGCAGCCTTGTGCAGCTCTGGGCAGGACCCGTTCCAGGCAGAGGACGCGGAGGCTGCAGGGGCCCTGGGGTGGGAGCAGAGAGCACTAGGAGTGTTGGGAAGTGGGAGAAGCAGGGCAGTGGGGCAGGCACTGGTCCACACAGGCCTCCTGGGCCTCGGACAAGAGTGTGGGGCTGATCCTAAGGGCAGGGGGAGCTTTGGGAAGGTTTTTGTATGGGGATGACCTTTAGAAAGCTTTTCAAAGGCCATGATGGATTGTAGAACCAGAGTGTACCTGGTGAGGGCTAAAGCTCCAGAATGTTCCAGAGTCGATGTCTGGGTGGTGGGCTCATGGGGTTTTACCTTCTTCTTTAGGATTGTCTCTCTCTCTCTCTGTGTCTGATTTTCTATAGGGGAGGGGTGTGTTTTTCTGGTAATTTCAAACAAAGGCAACGCTCCTGGGTGTCTGGTGCCAAGTGTGTCACAGAAGGGATGGGACAGCGCTGGGCCTTGGGTCAATCCTGGCCGCTCAAGGGCCTCCATGAGCCCCTTCCCCAGCCGACAGGGCGGGAGACCTTTGCACACCCACCTCATCACCTTGCCCACCTCGCCCACCCACTGGCTCAGCCCCTTCTCCTGGATGAGAAAGTTATAGATTTGAAATTCACAACTTGCTCCTTCCCTGTTCATTGATCTCATGGAAAGCATTTGAAATCATATTCTGGGAGCCACCTCCAGACAGACAGGAAGAGATTTAAAAAATTAATAAAGACCTACCGTATAAGACAAGACAAGACATCTAACGGGGCTCTGCGTGGTTAAATTCCTGCGGACTCTAACTTGCTGTGAGGTGCGTTGCTGTCAGCTCGGCTGTGACTGGTGTCTATGCATTGCCCGTTTGCCGGCTTCTAGCTGGGTCTGCGTTCATGGGAGGGGGACGGGTTGGGATGAAAGAGTCCCTCTGAGCAGCCCCTTTTCCCCCTTGGCCATTAATATCCCAAATGTATTCATGAAATAGAAGTGGCAGCTTGATTTGTAAATGTCGAGTAAGCAGCTAAAAGATGGATAAGGACAAGTTCTCCAGCTATAAAGAGTGAACGCAAAAGCAAAACTTGCTGAAAATGGCAAAGAATGTGCAGGTGGTTCCTTGCTCCTCACCAGCCACAGGGAGCTCACAGCCTGGATGGATCAGTCAGCAGTGCCAGTGCAGGGAGGTGGGGCGGCTGGAGGCCAGGCAGCTGTCTTCACCCCTGTTTCCTCCTCTTTGCTGTGTTACCTCAGTCCAGTCTCTCAACCTCTCTGTGCCTCACTTGTAGAACGGGGAGAATTATTTTCTTGCCCCAGGGCTGTGGGGAAGGGTTGATGAATAGTATTCCCACGCAGTGCTTTGCACAGTCCGGGCACCACAGGATCCCTGTCATTGTGAAACATCTGTCACGGTGAACAACTTGCCACTCCCAGATCCTTGCCCCACACAAAACAGACTCCTCAACTTCAACACCAGCAGCACCATTTCCCTCCAGCCACACCGTCCAGCTGGACTCCTCACTCGTAGAATAAGCTCCCCTCCCTGGTCCGGGGCCCACGCTCCACTCACCCCTCCAGAGCTGCCCCTTGTGAAGCCTCCCCCAACCCCGCTGGGCAGAGCTGTTCCCTGCTCCTCTGTACGCCCAGAGCTCCTGGTCTAGGCTCTGCTGGTGGCTCTCGCCTTGCGGCGGGGGCGTGTCTCCTACCTCCACTGTCAGCCCCTGAAGGGGAGGGTCAAGGCTTCATGTCCAGCGCCAGCCAGCGGAGCCCTGGACAGAGAGGAATGTGCAGCCGTGAGTGGCATGCTGACCCCGCTGACGCAGCCCTGTCTGTCAGCTGGCCATGGTGACCCCAGCAGGGCAGGGCATGCCTGAATGCCACTGGGTAGGCCACCAGTAAATGGGAGCTTCAAGGAGGGCAGCGCTGTGACACAGACCAGTGTGAGCCATCGCTGTTGCCACACACGACTTGGGAAGTGATCTGAGAAGACTCAGGGAGCGTAAGTTGAGTTGGGGTCTCAAGGACGAGGCTAGAAGCTGGGGCCACAGGTGCTCTGGACCTGATGAAATGTGCTAGCATGCAGGCCCCCCTGGAGGCCAGGGTGCTGAGGGCAGGAGGGGAGGCTGAACACCCAGAAGCACCCTCCTCCCAGGATGCCCTACAGAGGCAGCCACTGACCCCAAGGCCCTGGCACTGCCCACATCTTTCCCAAGGCAAGAATGCCAGGTCCAAATTCTGCTGCCATCTCTGAGTGACAGCCATGCCTGCAAGAACTGTCAGTTCCTGAGCTGGGATTTGCAAGATGCCAGAAAGTTCCCTCTCTGTGACTGGCAGGTGCCAGGCTGGCCTCCCCACCCCCAGCCACAGGAAGCCTGCAGCCTCCGCAGCCCTCACTGCACCCTCCACAGCCCTCACTTCACCCCTAGCCCCCACAGCCTGAGGACCCTGCGCCACCCTTGGGAGTGACTGCCAGAGGCCACAGGTGGCTTTGTACTGGCTGGCCTCTCCTCCCCTCAGCTCTGCGGCGCCTGATGCTGGATGCAGGTTCCTCTAGTGTGGGTTCTGCCACAGGCTCCATGTGGCCTCCCTCTCCAGGGCCCTTTTCCATCTCCTCCTTTTGTTCCTCATTCCCCTCCTGCCCACTGAAGGGGGCTTCTCCTAGGGTCCATCCTTAGGCCTCTCACCCACCTTCTTTCCAAATGACAACTAACCACTCAGACCCCCCAGCTCTAGCTCCACCCAGACCTGCAGAATGCCTCCATCTCTCTCATCCAGCCACTGCATTGTCTAGTCTTCTTACAAAACACCTCCTCCTGGGTGTCTGCCAGGGTTTTAGACTAGTTCTGTCCCAAACTGAACTCCCAAACCTCTGACCCATCCCCTTAGGCTATGTAGTAAGATGAAGCACTTCACTATGGCATTTGGGACCCTCTCAGTCAGGGCTCCTATGTCCCCTCTCCTTTCCCTTTGAGGCTGACGTCTGCAATCATCTATTGTGATTGTGACACTGCTATCGTCTGTCCTGCCCACTGTCCCCTCTGCCCACTGTGTCACCTGCTGAGCTGCTGTGGGTGCTCTGTGTGCCAGCCTACTGGCCTCCCTTCCTCCTGCAGCTTCTGTGAGCCACTCCAGGGCGGAGACCATACCCTGGTCAGCACGGGTCCTCAGAGCCCAGCCCAGCCTGGTGCCGAGGTGCCCAGGGGTGTTTGTTGTAAAAGCGTGGTCTGTAAAGCACATGATGGGCCCATTAATTAAGTGGCACTACCCTTAGCAGACTCAGGCAGGGGAGGAAGATGAGGGCCTGGTAATGGAGTATTTAGAAGTTATAATTAAGTTTGCACTGGCGCCTGAGCATAACACGATATATGAGACAATATAAAAGGGGTCCAAGGATTTAGTGAAATAGAACTAGGTCTTTTGCAAGTAAACCCTTAATTAAAATCCATGAGGGAGGAAGGGGGAGAAAGGGAAATGGAGAATTTACGTCAAGGCAGTTTCTTTGGTTCTTGCCTCATTTGCCACTGCATGGAAGGTCTGAGGCTGCAGGGGGTTTGCCTGGAAATGGGCCACACACAATCGTTTTGCCTCTTTGTGATTTAATCCCAGGGCGCCTGCCGGCGGAATGGGCACCTTCTCTGTTCAAGGTTCCAAGTGGAGGTCGGGGGCTTCAGAAAGGAGCAGGTGGGGCCTCGCCCTCCCCTTGCAGGAGCAGGAGGCAGCTCACAGGCATGGTAATTAGGATCATGTGTGGGAAACAAGTACTTTCTGGTGCAAGCTGGTGGTTGACCCCCCTCCACGCCCCTCTCATAATTTGTCTGTCCTTTCCAGTCTACTCTCTGGCCTCCTCTCTTCTACTTGGGGGTGCGGAAACCAACCTTGGATGCGGATGGGAAGGTCCCCATCCCAGAGTTCATGGCTGTCTGTCCCCTGCAGCTTGTGCAAGTCCCTGCTTTTGTTTCTTTATTTTTCCCCTCCCTTCTTCCCACCTCCCCACCCAATGAACAGCATGCACAAGCTCCCTCCTTCTCTCCCATGCTCCTTCCTGCCTGGGTGCACCTCGCTCTTCCTCCCTTTCCTGACTTGAGCACTGCAAGATCCTGCCCCGTGGCTGCCCCTTCTGACTGCTGCAGAGTGTGCTGGGTGGGCATCCCCCGTAATAGATCAGGACCTAAAGCTAGTACCTGGGCACCCGCCCCTGTGCGGGGCTGCTCCTGCCTCCGGGAGGTGGAGCTGTTCTCTATGCATGGAGGGTGCGGTCGGGTGGGACTGGAGTCTTCCTGGGAATGGGGTGCCAAGCTCTGCAGGGGCAGTCCATCAGGCCTCATGCTGGCTCTGTCAGGACTGGCAGCCTCTCCCCAGTGCAGGGCACCAAGCACTGGAGGTCAGGGATGTGGGGCCACTTCTGATTCTGCCCTCATCAGCCAGCTGGCCTCCCTTCTCCCTCATGGAGCGTCCACCTCAATCAGATGAGACCGTGTGTGCACCCTGTGTGAACTCAGCCCCTCCTGGCACTTAGGGCCCTGCCGGTTCACGTACCTCCCAGTGTCAGAGCCCCCAGCATGGGTTAGTAGATCTCTCGCCTCTCCCGCGGGGCTGTGACTGCTGGGGACCAGGGCAGGGGTCTACGTGCATCTCAGTCAACACAGCGTGAGGGGCTACTGTGTTCACTGCTTTGGTGCTGGAGATTCAGTGATGGATGGCACAGGATTGTCCCTGCCTGGGTGGCCTGAGGTTGAATGCAGTCATAGGTGGTAAATAGCAAGCAGAGTGAAGAGAATTGATCAATGCACAGGGTAGGCTGGTGGTGACTGGAGTGGAAAGCTCCTTGACATAAGATGGCTGGGGAAGGCCCCCCTGGGAGGGTCATGCACGGAGAAGGACCCAGCTCTGAATTCCTGCTGCACAGTGGAGGCCTGTGGGCCTGATCCTGGTGATCCTGGGCCGCTGACCAGCTGGGACGAGGGCATGGATTTTATTCTAGAGGCCACTGGGGGGCTTAGGCAGGGAGGACAAGGTCTGATTCGGGTTTCTGAAGGACCCTTCTGGGTGGAGCCTGACTGTAGCAGGCAGGAGAGGACGCCAGGGTACCAGGAGAGGCTGGTGCAGGTGTCTGCGAGAGGCCAGGGTAGCTCAGGCTGGACCTGGAGGTGGCCCAGGGAGAGTGCAGTAGAGGCTTGGCTCTGGTTTGGAAGTGGAATCAACAGAATTTGCTGGTGGGGTATGAAGTTAGGGGCGAGGGAGATGGCTGACCTGGTATACTTAGGGCCTGGCAGCCTGGCATGAGGTGGGCATTTGACAAATATTTGTTAAAGGAATGAGGAAAGAGAAGACAAATTTTATGATGTGATCACTTTGATAAAAAAAAAGTCCAACCAACTTTTTTTTTTTAAAGAGCTAACAAGAATTCTCTCTGAAAGTGTACAGCAGACTTAAAATGGATTCTGTTGCTACGGCCTGATTCAGACATTTCCAGACACACATTGTTATTCTTGCAAAGACTTGAGATTGAATATTTTAAAAATAATTTTACTTTTAAACTCTGGAGCCTCTTGTCACCTCCGGCACTCTCTGATGGGGCGCTGTTGGTGTCCAGGGATTTTGGTTGCGTACGCACATGGCCAGTGTGATTGATAAACTGAGTGACCACCTGGAGAGTGAGATCAAGGCTCAGAAGAAAAATGGATGGCTTGTGCAGCAGAGGTTTGATCTTCATTTAAAAAATTAATTTTCTATATTCTTCATCAAAAAAATTCCTCACAAGCCATGCTGTGTTGTAGGGGCTAAAAGGAAGAAAATTAACTTCTAAGAAAGATGAAAAATCTAGAATTCTAAGTTGTAGTCAAGTGATTTTGGCCAGCCATAATTACAGTATTTTCATGTTAATGTATAAACCCCTTGAAAGGTATGCTTAAGTGATAATTATCTATTTACAACAAAATGGCTTTGGAAATGAAATGAGACCCACTGGGGTGTGTGTGTGTGTGTGTGTGTGTGTGTGTGTGTGTGTGTGTATCAAACATGTTATGCAGTGGTGTTTTTTTCTTTCTATCTATCTTTTTTTTTTTTTTTTTTTTGAGATGGAGTCTTGCCCTGTCACCCAGGCTAGAGTGCAACGGCGCGATCTCAGCTCACTGCAACCTCCCCCTCCCGGGTTCAAATGATTCTCCTGCCTCAGCCTCCCGAGTAGCTGGGATTACAGGAGCCAGCCACCATGCCTAATTTTTGTATTTTTTGTGGAAACGGGGTTTCACCATGTTGGCCATGCTGGTCTTGAACTCCTGAACTCAGGTGGCCCACCTGCCTTGGCCTACCAAAGTGTTGGGATTATAGGCATAGGCCACCATGCCTGGCCCTTTATTTCTTTATTTTTTTTGAAGACCATTATCCTAAGTATCTCTGCCTTAAAATTAAAAACTTAAAAAAAAAATCTAAGCAGGGTAGAGAGATTCATTTCTCTGAAAGTCCTGGACTGTCTGAAAGTTCTTGTGTGGCTTAATTTTGTGTAGTTTGTTATTCATTTGGATTTTTTGTTTGCTTGTTTATATCTCATTTTGTGTCAAAGAGTTGGAGATAGTTTATAAAAATGACAAAAATAGTAAAATGGGTAGAATATTGATGATAAATTAAAAGCCAGGGTTGAAAAAAAAGTTAGAGTAGCTCAGACGGAGGGCCTAGAATTCCAGTACCCAGTGCTATGTGGGCTGTAAGTGGTTAACTAGGGTCTGAGCTTCCTGGGGGCCAAAGTGAAGAAGGTAATTTGATTAATGGCCCTGATTATTGGGAGATGTGCCAGCTCCTCTGATGGGTCCTCTGTAGCATGTTTGACATCCATCTCATTCCACTGGGAGTAACTTGAAGGCCTATTCCTGTGCCCTCCTTATTTCTGTGTGGAAGGACCTTGGTAAAGGCTTTTGTATTTGGATAATAACAACAAATATTTATTTAGTTACCTGGTGTATAAAACATGCCCATTTCTGTCATTCATTTTGTGCTTTCTATCCCCCCCACCTCCGCCTTCTTTTGGATTGATTGATTGAAGTTTCTTTTTTTCGCCTCTACTGGTTTGGAAATTTTGTATTCTTTTTTGATTTGTTTAGTAGTTACTCATAAATTTTTAACGTGTGTATCAGACTTAACACAGCCTAAAATTAATCAACATCTCCATTCCTCCCTGAAGAACCTGAGGACACACGTACCCTGCCCCCTCTTGCTGCCATCTTATCTATATCTTTGCTGTCTGATGTTTCCTTTTTTTTTTTTTTTTTTTGCAGACAGGATCTCACTCTGTTGCCCAGTCTGGAGTGCGGTGGCACAATCATTGCTTACTGCAGCCTTGACCTCCTGGGCTTAAGCAACCCTCCCGTCTTAGTCCCCCACCTCACCCCGAGTAGCTGGGACTACAGGCATGCACCACCATGCCTGGCTAATTTTTGTATTTTTTTAGAGATGGGGTTTTACCATTTTGCCCAGGCTGGTCTCGAACTCCTGGGCTCAGGCAATCTGCCTACCTCGGCCTCCCAAAGTGCTGGGATTACAGGCATGAGCCACTGTGCCTAGCCTGGTGTTTACATTTTCTTTTTTTTTTTTTTTGAGACAGGGTCCTAGGCTGGAGTGCAGTGGTGTGATCATGGCGCACTGCAGCCTCAACCTCCTGGGATCAGGTGATTCTCCCGCCTTAGCCCCCCTAGTAGCTGGGACTACAGGCATGCACCACGACACCCGGCTGATTTTTCTATTTTTTGTAGAGACGGGGTTTCACCATGTTGCCCAGGCTGGTCTCGAACTCCTGGGCTCAAGCGATCTGCCTGCCTTGGCCTCCCAAAGTGCTGGGATTACAGGCATGAGTCACTGCACCCAGCCTGGTGTTTACTTTTAATGCATTTTTAACTCTGCCTCAAACTAGTCATAGTTATTAGTATTTGTTTTCCAGGTTGCACTTGATTATTTACTCAACAGATGTTTCCTGAGCACATTTTCTGCACTGGGCGTGATTCTAGGCACTGGGGATGCAGCAGTGAACAAAACTAGTTCCTGCCTTTGTGAGTCAGGGGAGAAGACAGGCTGTGGATAAACAGCTGTCATATGATGGGGGTGTTCAGGCTGAGGGGACATGAAGGGATGGGGAAGGGCCGGACCCTCTGCTGAGGGGATGTTTGCATGAAGATCTGAATGGAGGCAGCCAGCCGTGCCCATGTCTGGGCAGAGGCAGCAACTCTGAGTTGGGGGTGTTGACGGCACATGGGAAGATGTGGCTGGAACCCCACGGAGAGTCTGAGCAAGTGAGTGGAAGAAACTGAGTCCAGATGGGGGATGGGACCCAGTAGGGAAGCTTGGGGGGCTTCATGCAGGAGGTGGCAAGTGAGGCGGCCTGGGCATTTGGGCAGTGCTTGGACACATGAAGTATGAGCACAGGCCTTCCAGCTCAAGGGTTGAGGCTAACCTAGGGCGCAAGGCTGAAGCTGCTACTTGCCTTTGGTTTGCAATCATTCATTCACTCAACAAACATTTGTGGCACCTCTGTGTTGTTCTACACCCTGTGCCAGACACCAGAGATACCGTGGGCAGCAAATCAAGCAAGACTTCCACTTGAGAGCCACACAAACAAGAAAACACCATGAACGATGGAGACAGGACAGGGGGAAGTGGTAGCCGGGGACCAAGTTGGACCATGTAGGCTTAACTTGCAGCTCACCTGCCTCCCAGTTGTGAGACGGAGGGCAGGTGACTTTCCTGTGTAATGGAGGGTGGCGGTGCCTTCCTCCCCCCTGCTGGTGGTTCTGCGGATGAGAGAGGATGTATGCCAAGCGTGCAGTCTGGGGCTGTGCCAGGTTCCCTCGTGTGAGTCTTCCTCTTCCTGTGCCGCTTCTCTCCAGCTCATTCAAGGCTGTGGACCCTTTGGGGAGAAATTGCTGGTTGGTTGTTCAGAAGTTGGTGGAAGCAAGATTTTCTTACTGACATGCTTTTTCTCTCTTTTCACAAACATGGAGAGAGGTGTTTGGATATGAAACAAGCCTGTAGATTTTTTAAAATGTCATTTTCATACAGGATTTTATTCCAGAACAGGAATAATGAACAAGCCAGAAAATCCTGGCCAGCACAGAATTAAAATACTGTGTCCCCGCGTGCACATAAACTTCTGAAATGTCTGGAAGTTTCCACCATCTCCCTGTCTATGCAACCTGCCCCTGCCTGCCTGCCTCCTGCACCTGCACTCAGCATAAACGTTGTCAGAAGCCCGGGGACTAGTTCCATTTGGAGAATACGATCGCCACTTAGAGAGAGTGGAAACCAGCAGGTGCTGTTATTGTTCATGTAGAGGGGCGTCTCCCCTCCTGGTCTCTCCTTTATCCTCACGACTGGCCTATCTCACACTTCAGTGCTCAAGTGCAGATTACATAGGTCTCGGGAGGGCATGACATTCTGCATTTCTAATGAGCTCCCAGGGTATGCCCCTTCTCTGTTCTCCCGAGGACTCTTGGGGAGCACACTTATATATATATATATTTATATTTTTATATAAATATAAAAATATTTTATATATGTAAATATTATATATATATATATATATATATATTTTTTTTTTTTTTAGACAAAGTCTCGCCCTGTTGCCCAGGCTGGAGTGCAGTGGTGCGATCTCGGCTCACTACAACCTCTGCCTCCCGGGTTCAAGCAATTCTCCTGCCTCAGCCTCCCAAGTAGCTGGGATTACAGGCACCCACCACCACGCCTGGCTAATTTTTGTATTTTTAATTTTTGTATTTAGAGGCAGGGTTTCACCATGTTGGTGAGGCTGGTCTTGAACTCTTGACCTCAAGTGATCCACCTGCCTTGGCCTCCCAAAGTGCTGGGATTACAGGCGTAAGCCACTGCGCCCATCCTGGGAATCACACTTTGAGTAACAGGGCCTGACACCAGCATTGTGCAACTTCCTGAGAGAGTGGAGAAGCTGTATATCTGTGCTGTCCAGTGTGGTAACCACGAGCCCCCATGTGGGTATGGAGCACTCAAAATTCAGTTAGTGTGACTGAGAAACTGACTTTTGTATTTTTATTTCATTGTAGCTGATTTGAAATTAAATGTCCACAGGGAGTTCATGGCTGCTGCATTGGACCACACATCTAGACATCCCTGGAGGTGTCTGCTGTTGCTGTCTCTGCTTTGCAGGTGCAAAAGCTGAGCTCAGCGGGGAGAAATCTTGTCTAAGGTCATACGGCAAAGAAAAGTGGAGTCAGGATTCCAACCCAAGGTCTAGGCTCTTTTAAAATCTTTTTATTTATTTATTTATTTATTTATTTATTTATTTATTTATTGAGACAGAGTCTCGCTCTGTCACCCAGGCTGGAGTGCAGTGGCATGATCTTAGCTCACTGCAACCTCTGCCTCCAGGGTTCAAGTGATTCTCCTGCCTCAGCCTCTTGAGTAGCTGGGATTACAGGCACCTGCCACCATGCTCAGCTAATTTTTGTATTTTTAGTAGGGACGGGGTTTCACCATGTTGGCCAAGCTGGTCTCGAACTCCTGACCTCAAGTGATCCACCTTGGGCTCCCGAAGTGCTGGGATTACAGGCGTGAGCCACCAGCCCTACATTTTTTATTTGTTTTTAATAGCTAAGGAGACCTTTTGTATATGGGAACTACTCTTGTGTATCTGGAAAATCCCCTGCCAGCCCCTGACTCTTTTTTTTTAGGCAAATTCTTCGTTTCCAAGACGGTTTTGATATTTATGGTCAGCAGTAAAGCTTTATAGGCTTAGGACTAACTAAAAAAAAGTCCTGTGTCAGCTGCTGATGGGATACAGGGATTTTTACATCCTACGTTTCATATTCGAAATACACGTTTTGCTGCAAAGCCTCGTATCCAAGTCACACGGGGGCTTAACAGCAATAATGACTTCTGGACAGAAGTTTACAGTTTACAGGCACTTTCACGTTGTTTTCTCACGATCCCTTGCAACAGATATCCTGGGCCCTGAGTATATTGTCCCCACTTGACAGATGAGGAGACTGAGGCCCAGTGCGGAGAGGTGGTTTCTGGAGGTCACGCAGGTCTCCAGGGCAGGGATCTGGATCGTCAGGTACACCGCCATATCTTCAGCACCACGGACAGTGCCAACCCCCCCCGCCCCCCCTCCAAGTAGGCTCTCAGTGTTGTTATTGGCTAAGTCAAGGAATGCACTCATCCCCTTATCCTATGGCCCTGAGTTCCAGATGTGGGCCCTGTGTGTGCCCTGGCAGACTGTGGATATGCTAGACCTCCGCCTGCCTCGATCCCCTGCTCGGCCCCATCCCCGCACCCTGGAACTCTTCCACCTGCCACCCAGCGAGGGAGGGAGTTGGGTGCCGAGGGCCACACACATGCATCAGGGGGACATGGTTGAGAGCTCAGACTCTGAACTGAAACCAGAGCTGGGCCACCTTGCCTCCTCGATGTGTGACCTTGGGCAGGTGACTTAGCCTCCCTGGACCTCAGTTTTATCATTTGGAAAATGGGGAAGTAACGGGATGTTTCTCACAGGGCCTTGGTGAGACCCGAACAAGATAATGCAGGTGAAGTGCAAGTTCCAGGCGATGCAGCATAAACTCTTCATTATTTCCATCCCTCCTGAGCGAGGTGGATTCTAGAAGCAGAAAGGCAGTGGAGGCAGCTGGAGAGATGGGGCTGCAGAATGGGCGGGCCCAGCCGGGTGGCGGTGGTTTGTAGAGCCAGGGACACCAGCAGGTACCATGGGGAGGAGGCATGCATGCAGGGCGTAGCGCCCCAACCCTTGTCCTCGGTGGGACCAGCCCCATTCTTCTCACGTGTCAGTGACCTCCCTCCCACTCAGTGTTCTCTGTGGCTTCTGGAGCCTTCCCCATTGCAGGGCTTATCTGGGTTTCAGAGGGAGCCATGATGTGGTCATGTCCGTGGACCTGGGCTAGTTTAATTCCTGAATGAGACAGGGGCCAGGGGAAAGGAATGGGCAGGCCCCCTCCCGGTCCTGCCTGGCCACATGCCTGCTGGGCAGCCCTGAGAAGGTCATCACTCCCCTGTGCCTCAGTGTCTTCACCTAAAAAATGGGGCGACACACTTGCTTTGGAGGGCTGTTGTGAGGATTGAATAAGGCATTGCAGCTGGGATTCTGCTTAGCCTCGTGGGTCCTGAGAGACCTCTCGAGTTTGGATCCTGGCTCTGCTCTTCCCAGCCATATGGCCTTGGGCATGTTCTGTCTGCTCTCTGAGCCTCAGTTTTCTCATCTATCAAAGGGAGCTGATATTGGGAGAGTTCAGTGAGGCAGCGGGTGATCTGGGCTCATCATAGGGCCTGGCATGGGGTAAATGCATAACACAGGCAGCCATTGCTCTGGTGGTGGTTTTGTGAACACATCTAAATCTAAAATGCCTGGCATAGAGTAGATGGCTCAGTTGATGGTAGACTTTTTTTTTCTTTCTTTTTTGAGTCAGAGTTTCGTTCTTGCTGCCTAGGCTGGAGTGCAATGGTGCCATCTTGGCTCACCACAACCTCTGCCTCCCGGGTTCAGACGATTCTCCTGCCTCAGCCTCCCGAGTAGCTGGGATTACAAGCATGTGCCACCACGCCTAGCTAATTTTATAATTTTAGTAGAGATGGGGTTTCTCCATGTTGGTCAGGCTGGTCTCGAACTCCCAACCTCAGGTGATCTGCCCACCTTGGCCTACCAAAGTGCTGGGATTACAGGTGTGAGCCACTGCATCTGGCTTTTTTTTTTTTTTTTGATGGAGTCTTGCTGGAGTACAGTGGGGCCATCTCGGTTCGCTGCAACCTCAGCCTCCCAGGTTCAAGCGATCCTCCTGCGTCAGCCTCCTGAGTAGCTGGGACTACAGGCGTGCGCCACCACACCCAGTTAATTTTTGTATTTTTAATAGAGACTGGGTTTCACGATGTTGGCCAGGATGGTCTCAATCTCTTGACCTCGTGATCCACCCGCCTCGGCCTCTCAAAATGCTGCAATTACCGGTGTGAGCCGCTGCGCCCAGCTGGTGGTAGCTTTAATTACTACTATTAATATCATCCAAAGAGGACTTCCGCTTTTTAAAATCGTGCATTTAAAAGTTAGAATTTAGTTCTTTGAAATTTGTTTTTAAAAGAAAAGCGGATTTTAAAAAGTGTATAGGTTTGTTTCTTTGATCTCTCTTAAGAAGAAGGATTTCACACCTTTCGGAGTGTGCACGATGCAAATGAAGATCCGAGAGCTCGCGGAAGGCCGTTTGGAGCTAATTCTGGGCTGGTTTGACAGCCACGACACTGAAGGGGAAGCATCGAGCTGACAAAGCGAGGCTTTCTTTGGTAACATCCCAACCTCTCAAAATAGTCACTTTCCAAACTAACATTTGTCATGTTGGTGTTTGAAAGAAGTTTTTTGCTCATTGATCCAACCATGCGCCGCACCCCCTTAAAACTCTGCAGAGGTTTCCCTCCTGTGTCCCGGGTGAGTCCAGGCACTGCTCCTGTGGTCAAGGCCTCTGGCGGGGACCCCATGGTCCCTACTAGGCCTGGCTCCACCCCTCCCCTTTGTCTGTCCGAGGCTTCGGGGCAGTTGTCACATTGTTGGAGGTTTTCCCGCCTCCATGCCTTTCTTGTGTGGGCTGCTCCTGCCGGAGTGCCAATCCTGACTGCCTAGGGAGCTGCTGTCCACTATGGATACCTGTTTCTGTAGTTTCTGTGATCACCTCCCTATATTTTTCTTTTTTTCTTTCTTTTTTTTTTTTTGAAATGGAGTCTTGCTCTGTTGCCCAGGCTGGAGTGCAGTGGCATGATCTCGGCTCACTGCAACCTCTGCCTCCCAGGTTCAAGCGATTCTCCTGCCTCAGCCTCCCTGGTAGCTGGGATTACAGGCGTGAGCCATCATGCTTGGCTAATTTTTGTATTTTTAGTAGAGATGGGGTTTCACCATATTGGCCAGGCTGGTCTCAAACTCCTTTAGGTGATCTGCCTGCCTCAGCCTCCCAAAGTGCTGGGATTACAGGTGTGAGCCAATGCGCCCAGCTGATCACCCCCTTTTATCAATCTTGTGGAACCTCTCATACTCCTGGCCAGGGAAAGGAAACAGCACTGCTGCCTGTGGTTCTGTAAAACTCAATACTCTCCCCACTGCTGCTCCTCAGCTGCCTGTGTGTGTCTCCCTCCACAACCCTAGGCCACAGAGGAAGGGACTGTAGGGGGCCAGTCAGAACTTACTAGGGCCAAGAAAGAGAACTGGGGAATGGGGAAATGAATAAACAGAGGGGGGAAGATGATTTCATTTTAGTGTATCCTAACATTCAAAATGTTTATTTAGCCTTAAAACCCTTGGCTTTAGGAATAAATATTTTATTCTTTTTTGAGACAGAGTCTTGTTTTGTCACCCAGGCTGGAGTGCAGTGGCATGATCACGGCTCACTGAGCCTCGACTTCCCGGGCTTCAGCAATCTTCCCACGTCAGCTTCCCAAGTAGCTGGGACCACAGGCACATGCCACCACGCCTGGCTACTTTTTTTATTTTTTGTAGAGACGAGGTTTCCCTATGTTTCCCAGGCTGGTCTGAAACTCCTGGGCTCAAGCAGTCCTCCTTTGACCTCCCCAAGTGCCAAGATTAAGGGTGTGAGCTACCACACCTAGCCAGAAATATTTTAAAAACAGGAACTTTTAGTCTTACTTTTTTTTTTTTTGATTCTCGCTCTGTCACCTAGGCTGGAGTGCAGTGGCTCAATCTCGGCTCACTGCAAGCTCCGCCTCCTGGGTTCAAGTGATTCTCCTGCCTCAGCCTCCCGAGTAGCTGGGACTACAGGCACCCGCTACCACGCCCGGCTAATTTGTTGTATTTTTTAATAGAGACGGGGTTTCACGGTGTTAGCCAGGATGGTCTCGATCTCCTGACCTTGTGATCTGCCCACTTCGGCCTCCCAAAGTGCTGGGATTACAGGCATCAGCCACTGTGCCCGGCCAGTCTTACTCATTTTTAAATACTTATTTCAGTTACTACTGCAAAGAACATCGCTATGGGCCGTTTCCCCGCACCACCCCCCCTGCCCCTTTAAATGGGTTTTCTGTAGCCAGAAGACACCTTTTACTCAGTGACACAAGGGCCAGATATCTGGCCCTGAAGCCATGCCTTTAAAATCCAGGGTCTTTGGCCAAACCCAGCACAATCCTTGCTGGGAATTTCCTGGTGAGTTGGAACCAGGTATAGCCTTCCAGTCCTGCGGCTTCGTTGTGGGATTTTCTGATGATGATGGGGGTGTGGGGGATGAGGTGGGCCAGGACTCTAGATGACCATTTACTCTTCTTTCATCCCGAAACCCCGTTGACTTCTACAGTTCTAGAATTGTTTATTTCCAAGATGAGAATGATTGGCTTCCAGGATTCTAAGATTTTAAAAACTGCATTGCTAGAACTCTCAGAGCTCCAAGAGCCTACAATTCTGCCTGCTCACACTTCTAGTTGTCTAAGATCCAGGCTCCCCAGATTATTTATTTAAATTGTGGTGAAATATACATGACATTGATCATTTTAGTCTTTTAAAAGTGTATAGTTCAGTGGCATTAAGACCATTCACATTGTTGTACAAACATCACTGCCTTTCCTCTCTGGAACTTTTTTGTCTTCCCAAATGGAAATGATCCATTAAACAACTTCTTCCTCCCTCCTCTCCCCAGCCCCTGGCATCCACCATTCTACTTTCTTTTTTAAAATTTAAATATTTATTTATTTATTTCTTTATTGAGACAGAGTTTCGCTCTGTCGCCCAGGCTGGAGTGCAGTGGTGCGATCTAGGCTCACTGCAGCCTCTGCCTCCCTGGTTCAAGCGATTCTCCTGCCTCAGCCTCCCAAGTAGCTGGGATTACCGGCACCCACCACCACGCCTGGCTAATTTTTGTATTTTTAGTAGAGAGGGGGTTTCACTGCGTTGGCCAGGCTGGTCTCGAACTCCTGACCTCAGGTGATCCGCCCTCCTTGGCCTCCCAAAGTACTGGGATTACAGGTATGAGCCACTGTACCCAGCCTATTTTCTTCTTTTTAGAGACAGGATCTCACTCTGTTGCCAAGGCTGGAGTGCAGTGGTGTTCTTGGTTCACTGCAGCCTTGATCTCCTGAGCTCAAGCAATCCTCCCACCTCAGCCTCCTGAGTAGCTGGGACTATAGGCATGTGCCACCATGCCCAGCTTATTTTTTGAATTTTTGTAGAGACAAGGTCTCACTATGTTTCCCAGGCTGGTCTTGAACTCCTGGCTTCAAGGGATCCTCCTGCTTTGGCCTCCCAAAATTCTTCATCTTAAAGGAACACCGGTACTATTAAGTTATAGGGCTCTATCATGGTTCACTGCAGCCTTAACTTTCCAGGCTCAGGTGATCCTCCCACCTCAGCCTCCTGAATAGCTGGGACTACTGGTGCACACCACCACACCTAGCTAATTTTTGTATTTTTAGTAGAGATGGGGTTTTGACACGTTGCTCAGGCTGGTCTCGAACTCATGACCTCAGGTGATATGCTTGCTTCAGCCTCCCAGAGTGCTGGGATTGAGACATATATTTCTGTTCTCTCACATCTTATGAAACATTTGTATTCAGATTCTTCAAGTGCATCTTCTGCATTGATACTGTGTTGGTTTGATAGGGCTTCCCTGACCATGTACCAGAGACTGGGAGGCTCAAACAGCAGAAGCCTATTGTCTCCCAGTTCTGGAGGCCAGAATCTGAGGTTGAGATATTAGCAGATTGGTTTCTTTTGAGGCCTCTCTCCTTGGCTTGCAGATGGCTGTCTTCTCACTGTGTCCTCATATGAGCTTCTCTGCCTCTCTGCCTTCATGTCCTTTTTTTTTTTTGAGACGAAGTCTTACTCTGTCACCCAGACTGGAGTGCAGTGGCGTGATCTCGGCCCACAGCAACCTCTGTCCCTGGGATTCAAGCGATTCTTCCTCCTCAGCCTCCAGAGTAGCTGGGATTACAGGTGCCCACTACCGTGCCCAGCTAATATTTGTATTTTTAGTAGAGATGGGGTTTCACCATGTTGGCCAGGCTGGTCTCAAACTCCTGACCTCAGGTGATCCATCCATCTCGGCCTCCCAAAGTGCTGGGATTACAGGCGTGAGCCACTGCGCCAGGTCAATGTCATCTTGTTACAGGGACACCAGTCATTGGATTAGAGCCCTCTCATATGACCTAATTTTACCTGAATTACCTCACTAAGGGTCCTGTCTCTAAATGCCATCCCATTCTGAGGTACTAGGGATTAAGACTTCAACATGTTCCTTTTGTGGAGGGGGAGACAATTTTTAGCCTATAACAGGTGAAACTGCCATCACTAGAGCTATTTTCTGTTTCCGACATACTTTTCAGAGCATTTTTGAATCTGTTGCAGGAAGCTATGGAAACCCATTCATAATCTCAGCAACATAACTACTCAGTGTAATTTCTCCATGTTGAATGATCAGCTATCAGCATTACTGTTGATTCTTTGAAGATAATGTGCCCTTTCCTCCACCCCAATTGCTTGAAAGTTTCTTGTCTTTGGTTTCAAGCACTTTGATTATTGTGTTAATTTCCTGAGGCTGCAGTAACAAGTTATCACAAGCTTCTTGGTTTAAGATAACAGAAATGTATCCTTTCACTGCTCTGGGGGTCAGAAATCTGACATTCAGGTGTCGGCAGGGCTGTGTTCCTTCTGGAGGCTCTGGTGAGGGAGAGGAAACAGGGAATCCTTCCTTGCCTCTTGTAGCTTGTGGTGGCTGTTGGCAACCTTTGGCTTCCTTGATTTGTGGCCACAAGATCATGTTTCTCTGTGAATAGAGACAGTTTTATTTCTTCCCTTCCGTTCTGGATGCTTTTATTTCTTTTTCATGCTTCATTGCCCCAGCTAGAACCTCAAGCATAATGTTGAATAGAAATGGCAAGAGTGAATGTCCTTGTTTTGTGACCAATCTTAGGAGGAAGACTTTTAGTCCTTCACTATTAAGTATGATGTTAGCTGTGGGATTTGTAATATGTATGTATTTATTTGTTTATTTAGAGACAGGGTCTCATTATATTGCCTAGGCTGGACTTGAGTGCCTGGGCTTAGGTGATTCTCCTGCCTCAGCCTCCCAAATAGCTGGGACTGCAGGTGTGCACCACCATGCCCAGCTCGCTGAGGGACCTTTAGAGATGCTCTTTGTCAGGTTCAGAAGATCTCTTCTATTCCCAGTTTGTTACGTGTTTTTTGTTTTGTTTAGAGACAGTGTCTTGCTCTGTCACCCAGACTGGGGTGCAGTGGTGCAATTTTGGCTAACTGCAACCTCTGCCTCCCAGGTTCAAGCGATTCCTGTGACTCAGCCTCCCAAGTAGCTGAGATTACAGATGTGCAGCACCATGCCTGGCTGATTTTTGTTTTTTTAGTAGAGACAGAGTTTTCGCCATGTTGGCCAGACTGGTCTTGAACTCCTGGCCTCAAATGATCCATCCACCTCAGCCTCCCAAAGTGCTGGGATTACAGGCGTGAGCCACCGCACCCGGTGTGTGTGTGTATGTGTTTTTAAATCATGAAAGGGTGTTTTATTTTGTCAAATGCTTTTCTGTGCCTGTTGAGATGATCATATGGTTTCCCCCTTATTATTACGGTATATTACATTAATTGTATGTTGAACCAACCTTACATTCCTGAGTTCAATCCCATTTGGTGATGGTGTATAATACCTTTTTATATGGTGTCTAATCCTTTGTTGCTTGATTTGACTTGCTAGTATTTTTTTGAGGATTTTGAGCCTATATTCAGAAGGAATATTGGTCTGTGGTTTTCTTTTCTTGTGATAGCTTTGTCTGGTTTTGGTATCAAAGCCTCCTAGACTGAGCTGGAAAGTGTTTTCTCCTCTTTTGCTTTTTGGAAGAGTTTGTCAAGGACTGGTGTTAATTCTTGAAATGTTTGATACAAATCGCCAGTGAAGCCATCTGTTGCTGGGCTTTTTATCATTATAAAATATTCTTCCTTTTCTCTAGTAACAATTTTTGTCTTCAAATCTATTTTTTTCTGATGCTGGTATAGCGACTACAGCTCTCTTTTGGCGTCTGGATACTGTTTGTATATCTTTTTCATTCTTTTACTTTCAACCCACTTGTTTCTTTGGATCTAAAGTGTGTCTTTTATAAACAGCATATAATTGGATTTTTAAAAAATTAAAAATTTTAATCTCTGCCTTCTTTTGACTGTACTGTTTAAGCATGTTATGTTTAATATAACTACTGACAAAGTAGGATTTATATCTGCCATTTTGCTTTTTGTTCTCTATATATCTTATATATTTTTTGTCCATCTTTTCTTCTATTACTGCCTTCTTTTGTGTTAAATAGATATTTTCTAGTTCACTATTTTAATTTCATTTCTTTTACTATATTGAAAAATTGTATTAGTTGTTGCCCTGGGCATTATAATTAAATTTTTTTTACCTTATAACAATCTAGTTTTGATTAATAGCAACCTAATTTCATAAATATACAAAAACTGTGCTCTAATGTAGAGTTCTATGCCCTCCCCCTCCTTTATGCTATTATTGTCATACAAATTACATTTTTGTGCATTATAAGCTCATTAACACAGTTTTATAACTACAGTCATGTGCTGTGTAATGATGTTTCTGTCAATGACAGACTGCATATACTACAGTGGTCCCATAAGATTATAACACTGTAATTTTACTTACTTTTCTATGTTTAGATATACAAATACTTACCATTGTGTTACGATTGCCTGGAGTATTCAGTACGATAACATGCTGTACAGGTTTGTAGCCTGTAGTGATAGGCTGTACTGTATAGCTTTGGTATGTAGTAGGCTGTATGATCTAGGTTTGCGTAAGTACACTCTGCTGTTTGTACAATATCAAAATCACCTAATGGTGCATTTCTCGGAATGCATCTCTGTCATTAACAGTCCATGACTGTATTCCTTAGTGTAGTTGTCTTTTAAACTGGATAGGAGAACAAAGGAGTTACAAACAGAAATACAATTGTACTGTCTTTTTTTTTTTTTTGAGACAGAGTCTCACTCTGTCACCAGGCTGGAGTGCAGTGTTGTGATCTCGGCTCACTGCAACCTCTGACCCCCTGGTTCAAGTGATTCTCCTGCCTCAGCCTCCCAAGTAGCTGGGATTACAGGCACGTGCCACCACACCCGGCTAATTTTTATATTTTTAGTAGAGACGGGGTTTCACCATGTTGGCCAGTCTGGTCTCTATCTCCTGACCTCGTGATCCGCCCGCCTCAGACTCCCAAAGTGCTGGGATTACAGGCATGAACCACCGCGCCTGGCCTGTACTGTCTTTTATATTTACCTGTGTAGCTACCTTTACCAGTGCTCTCTATTTCTTCATATGGATTTCAGTTGCTGTCTGGTGCCCTTTCATTTCAGTCTGAAAAAGTCTATTCAGTATTTTTTGTAGAGAGTGTCTGCTAGTGACAGATTCAGTTTGTTTCTGTTTATCTGGGAATGACTTAATTTCTCTATTTTTAAAGGATAGTTTTGCGGGATGTAGAATTGCTGGTCGACAGTCCTTCTTCCTAGCGTTTGTATATCCCACTGCCTTCTGGTTATTGTGGTTCCTGATGAGAAGCCAGCTGCTACTGAGGATTATTTGTGTGTGATGAGTGATTGTCTGCTTTCTGACAGTTTGATTATGATGTGTTTAGGTGTGGACCTCTTTGAGTTTATCATGTTTGGAGTTACTTGAAGTTCTTGGATGTGTAGATTAATGTTTTTCATCAAATTTGGGGAGGTTTTGCTATTGTTTCCTTTTCTTTTTTCTTTTTTTATTTTGTTTTTTTGATAGAGTCTCACTCTGTCACCCAGGCTGGATTGCAGTGGCTCAGTCTTGGCTTATTGCAACCTCTGCCTCCCAGGTTAAAGCAATTCTTGTGTCTCAGCCTCCCAAGTAGCTGGGACTATAGGTGCACCGTGCACACCACGATGCCAGCTAATTTTTGTATTTTCAGTAGAGACGGGGTTTTGCCATGATGGGGTATTGCCAGGCTGGTCTTGAACTCCTGGCTTCAAGTAATCCACTCACCTCAGCCTCCCAAAATGCTGGGATTACAGGCGTGAGCTATTGTTTGAGAATACAGCTATTGTTTCTTTAACTACTCTTTCTGTCCCCTCTCACTTTTCCTTTATGGCTCCTCTTACGCACACATGAGTGCACCCAATGGTGTCCCACAGGTCTCTGAGGCTCTGTTCATTTTTCTTCATTCTTTTTCCTTTCTGTTCCTCAAACTGGATGATTTCAACAGATCTGTCTTCAGGTTTGCTCATTCTTTCTTCTGCCAGCTTGAAACTACTGTTGAGACCCTCTAATGAAAATGTTGTTTTAGGTATTTTACTTTTCAACTCCAGAATTGGATTCTTTTTTATAGTTATATCTCCTTATTGATGTGCTTTATTTGTGAACACATCATTCTCATAATGTTCTTGAATTCTTTAGACAGTTCTCTAGTTCTTTGAACATATTTCTAATAGCTGATTTAAAGGCATTATTTAGTTATATCCACCATCTGGGTTTCCGCAAGGACGATTTCTATTGACTGCTCTTTCCCTTGTCTAAGGAGCATACATTCCTGTTTCTTTGTGTGTTTCATTTAAAAAAATACTAGATGTTTTTGTGGCCAGGCGTGGTGGCTTACGCCTGTAATCCCAGCACTTTGGGAGGCCAAGGCGAGTGGATCACGAGGTCAAGAGATCGAGACCATCCTGGCCAACATGGTGAAACCCCGTCTCTACTAAAAATACAAAAATTAGCCGGGTGTGGTGGCATGTGCCTGTAGTCCCAGCTACTCAGGAGGCTGAGGCAGAAGATTTGCTTGAACCTGGGAGGCGGAGGTTGCAGTGAGCCAAGATTGCGCCATTGCACTCCAGCCTGGCGACAGAGTGAGACTCCATCTCAAAAAACAAAAACAAAAACAAAAACAAAAACAAAAACAAAAACAAAAACAAACCCAAACCCCCCCCCCCAAACCCAAAGCAAAACAAAACAAAAAAAACTGGATTTTGTTTATTTGTTTGTTTGTTGTTGTTTTTTGAGACAGGGTCTCACTCTGTCTCACTGCTTCCAGGTTGGAGTGCAGTGGCACAATCGTGGCTCACTGCAATATCCGTCTCCTGGGTTCAAGTGATTCTCCTGCCTCGGCCTCCTGAGTAGCTAAGACCACAGGCGAGCACCAACACACTTAGGCTGTGGATGTTTTAAATAACATAATTTGCTGATTATGGGAATCAGATCCCACCCCCTGCACCAAGGTTTGTTGTTGTTTATTTAGTGAATGTCCTGGAAACTCTGTGGTGTTTGTATTCTCTGTCATGTGTGGCTACTAAAGTCTCTGCTTGGTTAGCTTAGTTGTGAGCTGATGACTGGTCAGAGATTTCCTTACATGCCTTGAACTGATAAGTCTCCCATCATTTGCTGAGGGGCTCCCTACCATTGTGTTGAGGCACATCCTCAACACCCTAGCACTTTACAAAAGCCTTCACTTCTTGCATGTGCTTCAAGGTCATTCTGAGGTGAGTGATGAGGGCCCCTTTCCTAGGCACACGCACAGCCCTGCACATAAGCATGATCCTCTAGATGTCCTGTGGATGCCTCATTCTCCAGATTTTCATTTTAAGTTTCTTGGTTGGCCTCTTGTTTGCCCTAACTGGTATGGCCTCCTTGGGAAGCTGTGATGTTAGACAACTGCTGCTGATTGTTTTTAACAAATACTTTGGGGCTAGGGCTTTCCTCATTGAGCAAGCTCTGAGTCAGGTCAAACAAAGACAAGTCCTGGCTGGGTGCAGTGGCACACACCTATAATCCTAGCACTTTGGGAGGCTGAGATGGGAGGATCACTTGAGGCCAGGAGTTTGAGACCAGCCTGGGCAATATAGCGAAACCTCATCTCTAAAAAAAGACAAGTTCTACAAATGAGGCTTTATATGCCAAATAGTGAAAGGGGCTTTCTTGGGAGTCTCAAAGCTGTTTTTCCCCCTCCTGTGACTGCTAGGCTGGTAGTTTTCACAGCTGCAATAGTTCTGAGACTGCTGATTTTCAGGCTACTACAGGCTTGCAAAGAGGAGGCTGAGAAGAGGGCAAGTTAGAATGCTGCACAACTCAGCTATTTTTCTTGCATCTATGCTCCTCGGATTGTTGGTTGATTTCCAGAATTTTAAAAAGGTAGATTTTGACAACTTTTGCCAGTGTTGTTGTTGACTTTGTGGAGGACCGTGTGCTCAAAGATCCTTAATCCTCATCCTCAAAGTGCTTCTCTGTATTGTTTCTTTGTTTATAGCAGCCACAAAGTCTTGCCCAGAGTGTTATGTTGCTTAAAATAAAGTCATTGAGAGCTGCTCATAGCAAGAGAGATATTGTAAAGACTCAAATGTATGACAGCACTCTTTTTACTTTTTTTTGAGAAATATTTAATGAAAAAACCTGAGAATATATGTCTAAGTGGTTGTGACTGAGGGGAAAATCATGGGTTTCAGCTTCAGATGCACCCAGGTTCAAATTCCCGCTTCTTCGCTGATCAGTTGTGGAGTTCATTAACTTTATTAGCCTCGATTTCTTCATCTGCCAAATATTAATAATATTGCCTGTTTTGTGGGACTATTGTGAGGATGAGAAATAGGGCACCGGGGAGGTGGCTGAAGTTCCCATCAGGTGGCAACAGTGATGTCATTAGTAGCTGCCTGATCTGCCCAGGTGAGGAGCTGCTCAGCTGGATCACCTGCCTTTGAACCTGGTGCCAGAGTCATCCCAGCACTCGGACCCTCAGAATCTCGGAGGAATCAGCCAGCTTTGATTTTCTACCTGCTCTGTCTTTCCATCAACCTTAATTGTGGCCCAGTTTGCTTTTGTTGTAGGTTTTGAGCAACAGGCAGAACAAGTGAAAGGTCAGGGTGGCCCTGGACAGAGTTGGGAAGTGGAAGAGAAGCACTTGACTTTGAAGATGCTTCTTTTTATTTAATCAACATTTTATTTGCATTCAGGCAATGAATGTGCACTGTAAGTCACAGAGTGCTACAGGGCTTATGCTCAAGATAGCAGCCTCCTCCCGAGGCCTGGTTCCCACTCCCAGTGCAGCTCTAGTGCTGCTTCTCTTGTTTCTCGAAGGAACAACCTGGGATTGCTATGTTTTGATTTTTCAATTTAGACATTACTTTTAGATTTCTTATAATGGGAAATGAAGATTTAGAGATTTAGCTTCCCCACTCACATATGCATCTTTTCACCTGTTAGTATTTCTATCCCAATTTTTGGTTGAATATTCATTATGTGACATTATTTTTTAAAAGTAGTTAATTATTTTGTTTGTTTGCTTATATTTTCATGTGTCCATCATAGTTCATCCTCAAGTCTTCTGCAGAGCTTTAAACACCCCTCTGTAGTGTGGTGAGATGTGCTAGGTCATCTGTCTTCTAGTTTTTCTTGGAGGCTTACCTCCTGGAGCCTCCAAGGCCTGCTCCCATTGGGACTGATTGATTTCCAGTCCTGCTCACAGTCACCATCTTCAGATGGCCATCATCTCCTTTCACCTTTCTTCTGTCTTGTAACCCCTGGTTCTGGGATCCAATGGTTTCCTTTTTCTTGGTTTACTCCCTCATTTTGGTGGAGCACACCCTCCAGTAGCTTTCTGAGAAAGTGCACAAGAGAAATATCTGGCAGACTTGCATGTTAGAAAAGATCTTTATTCTGTCCTGTCTTAACTAATAGTTTATCTAGGTATAGAATTCTGAGTTGCAGATCATTTTCCCCTAGAGTTTGGAAGGCATTTTTCCTTTTTTTTTCAGTGTCACTGTTGAAAATTCCACTGCTGTTGGGATTTCTCATCCTTTATATATAACCTGTTGGGTTTCTGGAGAATGTGCTTAATGTGGGTCTTTACTTCATTTATTTTTTCCAAGCACTCTGTTAATGGAAAAATTTTGTCCTTTAATTCAGGAACTTTTCTCATCTCCAGTTTTTTCTTCCATCTCTTTTTCTGATTTCTCTTCCTGCAACTTGTAGTACTCAGATGTTGGGCTTATGATTTTTTCTTTTTTTTTTTTTTTTTTGAGACAGGATCTTGCTCTGTCACCCAGGCCAGAGTGCAGTGGTGCAGTCACAGCTCACCACATCTTTGAATTCCTGGGCTTAAGCTGTCCTCCCACCTCAGCCTCCCAAAGTGGTGGGATTACAGATGGGAGCCACTGTGGCCAGCCTGATTTTTAAATCTTTTCTCACCTGTTATTTACTTCATTGTCTTTTTTATTTTAGTGTCTGGGAGATTTCCTTGACTTCGTCTTCCCTCTTTTGGTCAAATTAAAAAATATCCTGCTATGTTTTTATTTCTTTTGTAAAAGCACCCTGCTAAAATTTCATGGGTGCAATATTTTATTATCTCACCAAGGATGTCAATGATATAGTTTAAAAAAGCATTTTCCTGCCTCAGCCTTCTTTCCTCTAATTTCTTTTCCTTGTTTGATTTGGCCTCTGACTCTTTTTTCACTGTGGTTGATTTTTCATTTTTTCTTTTCTTTCTTTCTTTCTTTCTTTCTTTCTTTCTTTCTTTCTTTCTTTCTTTCTTTCTTTCTTTCTTTCTCTTTCTGTCTGTCTGTCTTTCTTTCTTTTCTTTTCTTTCTTCTTTTCTTTGAGACAGAGTCTTGCTCTGTTGCCCAGGCTGGGGTGTAGTGACGTGATCTCGACTGACTGCAACCTCCGCCTCCCAGGTTCAAGTGATTCTCCTGCCTCAGTCTCCTGAGTAGCTGGGTTTATAGGCGCCCGCCACCACTCCCAGCTAATTTTTGTATTTTTAGTAGAGACAGGGTTTCACCATGTTGACCAGGCTGGTCTTGAACTCCTGACCTCAGGTGATCAGCCTGCCTCAGCCTCCCAAAGTGCTGGGATTACAGGTGTGAGCCACCGCACCTGGCCTTCACTGTGGGGTTTTTCTCAGAGGCTTGATGACACTGCATTTGTGTATATGAATTGAACATCTGAAAGCTGTTGGTCAGCTCTGTGTGTGTGTGTGTGTGTGTGTGTGTGTGTGTGTGTGTGTGTGGTGGGCATAGGGGGATGTGATCATGGGGCCCTGGCCATGTCTTTGGGCAAGCCCTATATTGATACCTATGGGTTTTTCCTCCTGCACCTGTTTTTCTCCCCAGTTTTTGCTTTCCAAGTCTGGCTTCCAGATTTGATAGCTAAGTGGGTCTGGAGGCTGGGACCCCAGGGTTCATCCCCTTGCCTCGATGTTCCCTAAATGGGGCTCTCTGGAGTTTTTGTGTGACCCTGGTAGTGCTCCCCACTTTTGTGGGGATGAGAGGCAAAGGGCATGGCTGCTGGATGGGTGCAAGGTGGGAGGGGCCCGGGTCCCACCTGCTTCTCATACAGGTTCTAAGTCAGACTGCAGCTCTTGGGCTTCTAGTCCTTGAGACCCCCTGGGACTCTGGCCACAGCTCACCTTGCTTCTTGTAGCTCCACATTTCTCTTACCCACTCCCAGGACTTTGGTTTTAGTTTTCTTTGCTCAGCTAAGCCAGTCTACCCATCCATCTCTTTCCAGCTTCCAAACCTCTGTCCTTGGCAGGCCATGCCTTTTCCTTCCTTTATTGCTGATTTCATGGGATGTCAGCCACAACTGGGGACAAACATGGGCCTTCAGAATCCCGTCCTATACAAGGGCCCCTTGGTTCCCACCATCTGACCCTGTTAACACCCTCCGTGGGCACCCCACCCCGGTACCACATACACACCTGCCTGGAGGGTCTCAGAGAATTGAAAGAGCTCTCAGAGGTCAGGACCTTTATGTCACGTCTTCATGGAACAGATGGGGAAACTGAGGCACGAGGAGGGGAAAGGCCTCACTATCCCAGGTCGCATGGTGAGATAGTAGAGAGCTGAGCCGACTCTCAGGCCAGGGCTCTCCCACAGCCTCGTGGGGCAGCTCCGTGGCATGGGCCTTGAAGTCATGGACTCTTGATGTCTGCCGAGTGAACGGAGACCATGACAGTTGGGAGGCTGCCACCTGATGGGCTCATCTCATCCTAACAGTGTTGGTTACCATCCGTGGGCCAGCTATTTGGCCTCTGGGGACATCCTGTAGCCGATCACTTAGGAGACCTTGGTTGAATCATGTGACCTCCCCGGCCCTTGCCATGGGTTGTAAGGGACGACGGAACCTCATGGATTCAGTGGCTGTGTGTTGAGTGTGTACTTATCACCGAGCCCCGTGCTGGCGGTAGAGCGCTGAACAAGGCAGGGGCCTCGAAGGGGCTCCCAGGGTGCTGGGGAAGCAGACAAATCAACCCGCGGTTGGTTTGGTTGTCAGGGCTGTGAGAAGCACGTCCCTGGGTGCTTGTTGGGGGGCACCCATCATCCTGCTAGGGTTGAGTGAAGAGAGCGGCTCTTGGAAGGTGTCTTGGAGGAAGTGGCCCTGGGGTTGGCTGATAAAGTGCGAGTTGAATTGGAGTTGACTCAGAAGGAAGGGCGGGAAGAGGATCCTGGTGTGTGGAACAGCAGATGCGGATGCCAGGAGACCGTAAGCACCCACAGGGGTGCAAGGTTGGACGAGGAGGGCTGAGATCAGAGCACTGCAGGGAGTGCAGTAGCCCCTGGGGAAGCCGGGGGCCACCAGGGCCCTTTTGTGCACATCTCTGGGCACGTGTGTCCTTCCGGACTGCGACTTCTGAGGAGGTTCCCACAAAGTCCTGCTAGCTACAGGCAGCCTTGATTTTTGGGGGAAAACACAGAAAACTTTCGGCCTGAAGTCATATGTGCTCTGCAGTAGCAGTGGAAACAAGCAGTTGAAGATGATTAGGACTGAATGTTCCTGTTTTTAAAACATTTCCCAGGAAAAACAAATGTTTGAAAGTTAAACATTTTGGCTATTAGGATGGAACAGAAGAAAAATCACATTTGCCTTTTAAATCCAGGCACCAGAGCTGAGTTTTGAATCCAGCAGCCTCCCATGAGGACCCGTGGAGGCTGGATGAGGCCAGGGGGTCTGCAGCTCATTGGGGGGTCTGCCATCCTAGGATGTCTGTTCTATCTGGGGTGTTGTGGCACCGAGCTCTGGGAAGCCAGACCTGGGTCCCAGTGAGCTGCTGTGTGCCCAGGTAGGTGACCTGAACTTGTAGAGCCTCAGTTCTCATCTCCAGCTTCGCAGCTCACATTTCTGGGCTGTGCTATACATTGCAGCGTTAATCTTCCTGAATAGCCCCGAAATGCAATGAAAATGGCTAACATCCAGGTTGTATTAACCTTGCCTTTTATTTTCTGTATTCTGATGCTTTGACATCTGAGGGCCTTGCTGAGCCAGGGGGATTGTCTCTCCCTGGGTTAACCAGTTCCTAGATACAGCAAATAACTACACAAGCCAACCACTCCACAGCCCACAGTAGAGTGGACAGGGCCACTATCCACCTGCCCTGATCACCCCAGGGGCAGTGCCAGACAGTTAGGGACAGCCCTCATGTCCTAGAACCTGCCAGAATTATTCGAACTAGACAGTCCTAAGTCTCTTTCCCTTGCCTTGCCCAACCCTTCCTTTGGAAACCATGAAACAGGCTCCTGCCCATGTTTCCCCCTCACCCTCCACCTCCTGATTGTCCCTGGTGCTTCCCTGTCTGGCCAGGCATGGTGGAGCGTGGCTTGCGTTTTTAGAGAACTGTGAGTGTAAGCCTCCTTTGTGACAGCCATTTCTGTGTCCATGTGTCTTATCAAACTTGCTTAAAAACAAATCCGTGCAGAAGTATAGGTACAGCGTGGGGCTCACGTGTCTTCATCAGCTTGATCATTGCAAGAACTCTGTGGGGAAGCATGCGTGTTTTATAAATGGGGACACTAAAGCTCAGGGAAGTGAGGGTTCTCATTCTGGCCAGAGAGCCAGTGGGAGGTAGAGATGGAAGTCAGGCTACGCCCCCTGCACCCCTTGCTGCACTGCCTTTCATCTCTGTCATGGGGAGAATGGCCCGTGCCTGCTAAGGGTGTCTGGAAGCATTGAATGCATGATGCTGGTCGCAGTGCCTGGACAGGGCGCTCAGTACAGGGTAGCAGAATTCAGCTTCTGCAGGCGCAGCCCTGCACTGTGTTCCCCTGAACTCAGCCTTGGCTGTTGGCCCAGACATCTGACTCCAGAACTCTCCCGCCTGTTCAGGTTACACACAGAATTCCCTTTCTCTGCATGGTCAGCCACAGTCTTCTGTGTGTGCTTGGCCGTGTGAAGCCATTCCTGGCGTTCATGCACCGAGTTGCACCAAGACCCCACGGTGGCTCACAGCTGACTCTCGCAGCTTGCTCCATCCTGGTGTGTTTCTAGACCATGCGCCATACCGAGAAGTCTGCTAATGTGAATCTCCTAGACATCGGCAAGTGTTTAAACACAGAACTGTCAAAGATGTACTAAAAATGCAATCAGAGATCGTTATGCCGTCTCTTTATTCCATCCCCCTCTGCTGTGTTCTGCGAGATGGGAATGGGCGGAAGAAGCCATAAGTGGGCATTTTCCTGATTGTCACTGCATTTAGAGAACGCTAAAACTCCACCGGGCTCAATACTTTGCTCCGGGAATGGCATCGATGGTGGAGAAGCTTGCACATATCTTGTTGAATTTAACAGATTATGCAGTTTGGAGGCAGCACTTTCTGTTAAATGGGATGGGTAAGTGTTAGCGATAAAGAATTGTACCTTTTGGAGGGAGATTAATCTCGGAAGCACAAAAAGCAGAGACTTCCATGCACATCCCCCTCTGCCCCGTGCGGCAGCTGCACTTGTTGCAATGTGGAATCTGTGTGCGGATACACAGCTATTTGAATACACGTATGTGGCAAATGGAAAGTGAAAACAACAGGGCCATCCTCTAGTGCTCTTCTGGTTAATACTTAAATGTCTTTGCAACAAGAAATCCACGGCTAGCAAATGCCAGGATGTTGAATGATCTGGCTGGGAAAAAAGGAGGCATTTGGGGAAGATGGTCTGAATGTTTTCATGGAGAATACAAATGTGTAGCATTGCTCCCCAGCTCTGAAAAGCACTAGTTTTGGCATCAAGGACCTAGGGCTTGTGGCAGAGGCTGGGAGATCAGCGTTCTCGCCCACCTAGCAGAGTCCAACTGGCCTGTCTCCAGTTTCAGGGTTTGACCGGTGCCACAAGTCCCTGCTCCACTCTTCCCAGATGTCCTCATATCCTTCCAGTCCCCTAAACTGTCTACTCATCAGGCATGTCCTACCAGAGGCTGGTCATTGTTCAGACATCTCTGAGGCAGGAGGCCAGGGTTCAAGTCCTAGCTCTCTCCACTGTCTCGCTATGTAACCTTGGACAAGTCTCTTCCCCTTTCTGAGCTCCAGTTTTCTCCTGTCCAATCAGCAGCATGGATTAGGAGAGCTACAGGCCTCTTGGTGGTGTCTGATTCATGACTGTGTCCCCAGCGGAGCCTCGCCAGGGTCTGGAACACGGGAACACTGGGGGCTCATGTTTAATCAGGGCTCATGGAGAGCTGACCAGGGCAGGGGGCTTTGTAGTGGGTCCAGCTTCAGGGAAGAAGGTGGGCATTCAGCCTAAGGGGCATTCAGGATAGGCTCAGTGGATGCTTAGCTTCCGTTGGGTTGATGAGGGGAGGTGGATGAGAAAAGGCATTTGGACCCATTTGTGCCCTTGCTGAGACTTACCAAGGCAAGCACAGCCCCCAGCACCTGCACTGCTGTCCACCGTGCCCAGCCCGGGGGTGCTCTGTAGAGAGGCTTTTTCTTTAGCTTCCCCATGTTGTGCCCATCTTTGGTCCAGGGGGTCACGTTATGTTCTGGTCTCCAAGGTTGGTGCTGCCTAATCTCTTTCCACACCTGCTTGGAGAACAGCTACTTTCCCGGGGTTCAGGTACTTCCTGTGGCTTCTCAGGCAGCTCCCATCAGGGCAATGGGGAAGCTCCGCTGTGTGTCAGCCGTCTTACCTGCTGCAGGGAGGAATAGCAGCAGGAAAGGGCAAAGAGAACAACATCCATTTCCTCTGTGTTCAGTGCAGGCATTAGGCAGAAGAGTTTGTATTCATTTAATTTTTCCCCCATAAAGCCCCTGAAAATCAATTAGTTGGTTGAAGTCCCCAAAACACTCCCCTCATTCACTGTTTAGATGGAGGGTTGTGATGAAATTAAGCAAGCGAGCCTCTAATGATTGGTCACTGGGAATCGTATCTATGTTCGGGTTGGTAAGAACTGCAGGGCGATGGGAACACTGGAAAACTAATGCAGCCTTAGGCTCTAACAACAGAGGTGGCAGCCCTAGAACAGAGGAGGAGACTCCTCCTGCCCACTCCGTGATGGTCAGGCCATGCTGGGACTTCCGTTCTGTGTCCTCCATACCCACCTGCAAGAGAGCATGTTTAATTGGAGAAGATTCAGAGATGGACAATCAAGATTGTGGGTAAGGAGGGTGAGTCAAAAAAATGCCCTGCCAGGGACAGTTGGAGGAAACATTTGAGGAGAAGGGGCGACACAGAGGTCAGTTGGTGTAAAGGAGACAGTCAGACCTAGCTAAGGATGGATTGATTGATAAATGCATCCATCCACCCATCTGTCAGTTCACCTATCCACCCACCCATGTATGCATCTATGTATCCGTCTGTCTATAAACCATCTATCCGTCCATCCATCTATATATGCATCTATATATTCATACATATATAAAGCATCCATTCATTCATCCACCCATCCATCCATCTACCCACCCACCAACCCATCTATAAACCATCCATCCATCCATTAATCCATCTATATATGCATCTATATATCCATACATATATAAATCATCCATCCAGCCACCCATCCATCCATCCATCCATAAATCATCCATCCATCCATCCATCCATCCATTCATCCATCTATATATACATCTATATATCCATACATATATAAAGCATCCATCCATAAACCATCCATCTATCCATTCATCCATCCATGTATGCATCTATATATCCATCCGTCTACAAAGCATCCATTCATCCATCTATTCATCTATCTATAAACCATCCATTCATCCATCCATTCATCCATAAACCAGCCATCTATCCATTCATCCATCCATGTATGCATCTATATATCTATCCATCTACAAAGCACCCATTCATCCACTCATCCATCTGTCTATCTGTAAGCCATCCATTCATCCATCCGTCCATCTATAAACCATCCATCCATGTACCCATCCATCCATGTGTGCATCTACATATCCATCCATCTGTAAACCAACCATTCATTCATCCATGCATGCATCCATCTATCCATGTGTGCATCCATATATCCATCCATCTATAAACGATTTATCCATCCATGCATCCATCCATCCACTGAGAGGCGGGGTAGCATGATGGTGCAGAGTACACCTCAGGATACCGCCATAGGGTCTACCAAATGTCCATTGTCCTCTGTAATTGTCAGTCATTTTGCTATTGATTTGTCTCATCTTAGGCAAGCTCTCTCTGGGCCTCAGTTTCGCCAGGTTTACCTGGGGATAGTAACACTTAAGTGTCTGTGAAGGTTATGCACAGCTGGTGAATTGCCAAGTCCAGGTGGACACCCACAGGCATTCTTGTGACTTTGGACTCAGAGGGATGTGGTGCTGGACAGTTTCTGTGTTCATAAGTGGATGTCCCTTTGCCTCCAAGCCATGGAGCAGACAGTGTTTGAGGGTGTCACCCCAGCAGGTGGTGGCTCCTGCCCTGCTCCCTTGCATTATGTATGGGAGCTGGGCCTTGTGCCCCATCCACCCTTTTCTGGGAGGGAAAAAGCCTCAGTCATCAGCTGCTGAGGTGAGAAGAAGAGGGGAGAGCTGACAGCTTCTGCGCTCCGCCCAATCCCCAGTAGTCGGGAGCTGCAGAAATAAATGAAACTGTACAGTTGGAGTAATTTGCTAATTTGCTTCAGTAACACCCCCAGTCAAAGACATGACATAAATACATGAGCACTGGCTCTGCACCCCCAGCTTGGGCTGCAGGATGGATGGGTGATGTGAAGTGGAAATGTGGTGAATCAGAGCCCGAAGGCAGCGATGGTGGCCACCCCCAACCCGAGCTGGGGGCTCTGGCTGCCTCCCTGCTGCAGTGTGTTTGGGGAGGGGCTCGATGAGGGGTCTGCTGGCCTTGGAGGAGTCTGAGGTGCCCGTCTAGAGGGGTGGGGTCAGCTGGACCAGCGTCCCCCTCCACAGCCGTGGGGCCTGGGTGGGTTTCCCAGCCTTTGAGCCTCATTCTGCTCAGCTGCAAAGAGGAGATAATAAAACCAAGTACCTTGGGGGTGCTCTAGGGAAATGAGATCTCAGCTCTCCACCAGCGGTCCAGAAGTGGCCATCTTTCCTGCTGTGTCCTCCCGGACCCACTACCAGCTGCTCAGGCCCACGCAGCCCTCTTCCCTCCTCTCCGCAGCCTGAGCCTCACTGGAGAGGGCTTCTCTGTACCATGCCTGGTCGCACTGTGGGGCTGTGGGAGGCTTCATTCGCCAGACTCCTGCTGGGGCCTGCTAGGGACAGAGCTGGGGGAAGCAAACACGCCTGCATCCATGTTCTTGGAGCTCTCCCATGAGCACAGCAAGCAGAGTTCCCAGCGTCCATCAGGGTGGGCTCTGATGTACAAGAGGAGGGTCAGGGAGGTGGAAGGGGCTTGTAGAATCTCATCCCAGCAGCCTGACTGGAAGAACCTCGGGCCAGGGCCAGGCTGTTCCCTTCATGTCCCCAGGGACAGAAACCCAAATGCCTGTTAAGAGTGGGCGGTACCTTCAAATGAATGAAGTGGACTGGGTGTGAGACGGTAGGGACAGGTGGGGATTGGGGCCAGCTGGACGCATTCATCCTGTCCAAGGGGACACAGACACTCAGCACTTCCTGACTGGACCAGTTAAATTGTATTTATTTCTTTATTTTTAGAAAACAGAAGTAATGAAATGTTATTAGGAATCTCTCAAATTTTTGATGTTGGCAACAAATTCAAGTTTTAAAAAAAAGTTGTGCCAAACAAAATATGTCTGTGGATGGGTCTGGCCTGCCTGCTTCTAGTTTGCAAACTCTGGCCCAGGGAAGCTCTTTGGTTTTTTTGAACATCAAAATTTTGTACATTTCCATTGATTATCTTCTATAATATCAGAACAGTCCTGCAAGGTCGCTGTTACTTTTCTCATTTTACAGGTAAGGAAACTGAGGCACAGGGAAGCTAAGTCGTACAGCGGGTTGGTGGCAGAGTGGGTCTGGGATCCAGGCTGCTGGAGCTGAGATTCTGTGGCCTGCTAAGTACCAGTGGCCCCCATGTACCAGTGGTCCCCCGCCCCAGAGTTGATAAATCCCGAAGAAGAAAGAGCAGTGCTTTCTTTCTCAAACCTGTGAAGCAGTCTGAGGTGGTTGGTGAGTCAGCTATGAGTAGATTGGGATTTTCTGCCTGTTCTGAAGAAAACTTCTGTCTCGCCTTGGGGTTCCCTTTCTTACCGCCCTGGCCCACCCTCCCTGGCCAGGCTGGGACCTGGCCATTTGCCGTGGCCATAGGGCACGTGGTTAGACAGACGGCACAGGTCTCATCTAGCTGGGGGTAGAGAAGAAGCTTATAACGGGGCACTGGACCCTTCTATTTCCTTGCTATTAGGATATAATAATGGCTGTAGTTATAGGACATGTACTGCTGTAAACCTCACTCTACCCTTCCCTGGAGCTCACGTAAGGGCTGGGGAGGCGAGCTCTTCCTAGAGTGCTTCCTGAGAGCTGAGTGTGATGGCACATCTTCCGAGTCTCAGCCCATATTGCAAGCATCCGTTTCCAATAAGAAAAACAATCCTTAGTATTTGGAGCAGAGGCATTTCTGGAATTTGGTTCCCCATGGAATGCTCACACAGCGGAAGAGGTAGAGTTTTTGGTCATGGTGGAAAAGGCTCTGCTGTTCCTGGGCTGCTGTGTTGTCCCAGGGGACAGACCACGGTGCCCGTGCTGCTGGGCATTGCCCCGGGAGGGTGAGGAGTGAAGGGGGTGTCAGGGGCTCATTGGAGCCTGATGGCCAGACAAGTGTTCTGGCACCTTGCCCTGTGTGTGCTTTAGCAGATGAAGGTCATGGTCTTCCAGGGATAGAGGGGATGCCTCGCGAGGTGTCGGTCTTTGTTAGCCACAGTTACTGCTTTGTGAACTGGTTATGGAATGTCACCATTTTCCTGTCTGGGTCCCCATCCACCCCGAGGCCCCTGTGCTGTGCTGGCGTCTTTGCTACTTGCCTGACCCTCCAGGTCACTCTCGGCCCAGGAGGGGCCAGGAGAAAGGCTTGGGTCTCCAAGTGCACTTTCAACATTTCATTTTTTATCCAAATCAGGGCTTACAGGTACCATCTTGACTCTCCAGGCCCATGAGTGCCCAGCAGCTGAGGCTGGTGGGGAGTGGGGAGTCAGGGGCCCAAGCCTGGGGTCAGGCTGGCTCTCAGATGGAGTAGGGGGCAGGGGCGAGTGGCGTTTACTGAGACCGAACAGCTGTGGTGGTCTTGCGCCTGCATAGAGCCAGCCTGGTGGGTGAGGCCTGCCGGGCAGCTGCCGAGAAACCAGCCCCCAGCCAGTCTCTCTTGGGTGACAGTGCACACTCCTGCCTAGGGCATCCAGAAAACTGGACCCCAGAGAGAGAAAGATGTGTACCTTGGAAGAACTACCCAAAAGTTCGCACACAGCAAAGCTGGAATGACACTATTGTAATTCAGTGGCTGTATACATAGACATTTTTGTTTTGATTCCATCTAGATTTTGTTTTGGCTTTGAATTTCCATGGCAGTAGGGGTGGGTACTATAATGTTTCCTGAGTGTGGGGTCTCCAAACATTTGAACTGGGCTCTGCAAAGACCTTGCAATTCCTTTTGGAAAGTGGAGGATAAAGAGTCCAAGATACCCAGGGGGTGGGGGCCTGGGACCGTGAGGCCAGTGACAGCTAGGGCTGGGGATGCAGCGTGGGGGTCTTCTTCCAGTAGAAAACTAGTCCAGACAGAAGAAACTGAGGCAGAGAAGTCCCAGGATGAGGCCAGGCACTCTGCAGCTCAGCAGCCTGGGAGGAACCTGTCCAGCCTCTTCCCGATGATCTCAGGGGGCCGATGGCCAGTGGAGGCCTGGACAGGCAGGACTGTGGGGACAGTGATCAGGCTGCTGCCTCCTTTGATCTGATGAAGACACCTGTTGGGGGCCTGGCAGCAGGTACCCCTGTCAGCGATTCCAGCAGCTTCCTCCTGCCCGCCCCTCTCTCAGCCATGCTGTGGCTTCTGGACAAGCTGACAGCTGTGTGCTGTGTGTCTGTCTGTGTCCACCCCTGCAGGCAGCCTGCCCTATGAGTACAAGATCGTGATCGCGGGCAACCACGAGCTGACCTTTGACCAGGAGTTCATGCAGCTTCCTCCTGCCCGCCCCTCTCTCAGCCGTGCTGTGGCTTCTGGACAAGCTGACGGCTGTGTGCTGTGTGTCTGTCTGTGTCCACCCCTGCAGGCAGCCTGCCCTACGAGTACAAGATCGTGATCGCAGGCAACCACGAGCTGACCTTTGACCAGGAGTTCATGGCCGACCTCATCAAGCAGGACTTTTACTACTTCCCATCTGTGTCGAAGCTGAAGCCGGAGAACTATGAGAATGTGCAGTCGCTGCTGACCAACTGCATCTACCTTCAGGACTCGGAGGTCACCGTGCGGGGCTTCCGGATCTATGGCTCCCCATGGTGAGTGGGCCTGGGTGCTGGTCCTGCCTGCTGGTGAGACCAGAGCTGAGGCTGAGCGCAGGGGGTGTAGGGGATGGGAGTAGCAGCAGGGAGCTCCGGATGCGAGGCTCAGGACTGAATCTTGACCCCTTACCCTCTGTGTGACCTAGGCAGGTCACCGCTGCTCTCTGGGCCTGTTTTCCCACATCTCACTGAAAATAGTATTATCAGCTGTAACCTGTGTTATGCTATGCTGTACTAGCTCACTTACAGGCAGGTACTATTATCTCCATTTTACAGGTGAGGAAACTGAGGCCCACAGTGGGTGAGGACCTTGCCAAAGGTCACACAGCTAGGAAGGGGCAGAGCTGGGATTAAACCCAAGCAATTTGGTTCCAGAACCCCTGCCTTTAATGAATATTCTATAATGCTAGGAATCTTTCTCTAATGCTGTCTTCCTGCTCCATACAAAAAAAGATGCATATGTCAGGGGCTGGGGGAGATGATGATCGTAATAATGATGATATTGGTGATGATGGTGATGGTGATGATGGTGGTGATGATCATCATGATGATGGTTGTGGTGGTGGTGGTGGTGGTGATGTGATGGTGATGGTGGTGATGATGATGGTTGTGGTGGTGGTGGTGGTGGTGATGGTGGTGATGATGGTGGTGATGGTGATGATGGTGGTGATGATCGTCATGATGATGGTTGTGGTGGTGATGTGGTGATGGTGATGTGGTGATGGTGATGATGGTGGTGGTGATGATGGTGGTGATGGTGATGATGATGGTTGTGGTGGTGGTGGTGGTGGTGATGATGATGATGAGGGTGAGGGTGAGGGTGATGATAGTATGGTGATGGTGGTGGTGTGATGATGATATTGAGGGTAGTGATGGTGATAATGATGGTGATGATGATGGCGATGCTGCTGATGATGGTGATGATGGTGGTTATGCTGATGGTGATGATGGTGAAGATGGTGATGGTGGTATGGTGATGATGTGATGATGGTAATGAGGATGATTACGGTGGTGGTGGTAGTGATGGTGGTGATGATGATGGTGGTGGTGGTGGTGTGATCATAATGGTGAGGGTAGTGATGGTGATAATGATGGTGATGATCATGGTGGGGGTGGTGGTGATGATGATGATGGTGATGGCAGGAAATAATTTCTGAGCAATTACAGTAATCTGGGCCCTAGGCTAAAGGCTCTATAAACCTTATCTCTAATCCTTACTCAGCCCTGTGAGGACTGATTTATTATCCCTATTCTATAGGTGGACAGAATGAGCGGCCACAGGGTGCCCAGTGCTGGCAGGGTGAGGTGGGCTTCATACATGGAAGGGCAAGATCACATATGCTTAAAAGTGTGGCTTGATCCTGGAAGGCTCCCTGGAGGAGGTGGGGTAACCTGAGCCTTGAGGGAAGAGAAGGGTATTCACAGGCAGGGAGGAGTAACGTGGCCTGAGGCTGCACTATCAGGAAGCAGCACAGTCAGCGAGGCTAAGGAGCCCTTTAGAGGCACAAAGGGCTTGCCTGGGTGGAAGGACTTCAGAGAGAGCTACTGCCAGCACAGAGCATCTGGGAAACCCCTGTGGCCCTGGTTGGTGCCTCATGGTGACCACCTAGTGGCTGGAGGCGGCAGGCAGATTTAGGACCTGGTTTCATCTTGCCATAGCCTCCTCATGGAGCAGAGGGGAAGGTGGGGAGGTGCAGGGCTGTCTCATCTTCCCTGGCCTCGGCAGGTGCCTGCTGTCATCTCCCTGGACTTCACGATGTACAGGGTCTTGGTGAACCCTCCCTGCAGCCAGTGAGGTCCCAGACAAGGACCTCTGGGCACTTGAGGATGTGATGAGGTCAGTACCAAGGACAAGGAGAGGAGGGGAGGTGGCTGAGTCTGCCTCACCGGCCACTAGAGCTCAGATCTGGAGAAGTCTGATAGGCCAAAAACCAGGAGGGCCGTCTAGAAGGAGGACCCAGCAAGCTTTCCCCTTGACCCCCCTACCAGCCAGGTGCACACACACAGCCTGTGCCATGCCAGGGAGTGGGAGAAGCCGAAGGACAGAGAAGGGAACTCGAGCCCAGGAGGTGGGTTCAGGGGCCCTGCTACCCTGCTCCAGAAGGGGTTTGGTGAGATCCAGGA
This sequence comes from Homo sapiens, assembly GCF_000001405.40. NCBI lineage: Eukaryota > Metazoa > Chordata > Mammalia > Primates > Hominidae > Homo > Homo sapiens. The sequence goes on from NC_000022.11 coordinate 43,477,089, forward strand.
GGGCTCCCTGTTGGAGGGGGCATTTGAACTGGGGCCAAAAGAGGCATGAGATTTCCACAGGCAGAGGAGGCAGAGGGAGACCACATGTCTGAACCTCTGTTATGTGTCAGGCCCTGTGCCAGGCTCTTCTTGGGCCTGTCACTTGACAGCCCTTAACACAAGGGCTGAACGCCCCCTCTCTCCATCCCGCAAGGGAGGCTGTGAGCTGGTGCTCCTCCTGTTCCTCTCAGGCCCTGTCTGGGGCTGGGAGCAGGTGGTGGAGGTGAGACCTGGGCTCATTTGTTGGGCAAGTTTCACTCAGTTTCCAACCGGGGTGAGCAGATTGCCTGCGTCTGCTGCTGTGGTGCCACGGAATGGATGCCAAGCCACTCTGGCCGCTACCCTCCCCTGGGAGGCTGGGTCCCTGCCACCATGCCCCAGCAGAGAGTGTCTGGGAAACCCCTGGGCTGCCCTGGTTGGTGCCACATGGTGGCCACCTGGCGGCTGGAGGCTGTGGGCAGATTTAGGACCTGGTCTCATCTTGCCACGGCCTCCTCATGGAGCAGAGGGGAAGATGGGGAGGTGCAGGGCTGTCTCATCTTCCCTGGCCTCGGCAGGTGCCTGCTGTCATCTCCCTGGACTTCACGATGTACAGGGTCTTGGTGAACCCTCCCTGCAGCCAGTGAGGTCCCAGACAAGGGCCTTTGGGTACTGGAGGCTGTTCAAATTGGGATACCACCACTTTTCAGCTGTGTGACTTTGGGCAGGTGGCTCAGCCTCTCTGGTCTTTCTGTGTAGTGGGGAAACGACACCGCCTGCCTTGTTGGGGGGTTGTGAGGTCTGCTTGGGCCCATCCAGGTGAAGGCCTGGCTCAAAGGAAGGCCCTGGAGAGTGGCTGTGGTCATTTATTATTACTGGGGTGCTCCTTGGGGAGCGAGGAAGAGGATAACTATTTAGTTTTATTCCACAAACCCCAAGGCAGGGCTAGGCCTGCAATTACCCCATTTTACAGAAGGGCAGGTAGAGGTTCAGGCAGGGATGTGGCTTGTCCAGGGCACCCGCGGGGTGGCCCTTCAGGCTGCCAGTCCTAGCTCTTCCTGCTCCAGGGCGGAGGCCATTCAGTGGCCTTTTTGAACGTATCCCGTGTGGCAGGCCTCCGTTCTCAGAACAGCCTTTGGGTGCATATGGGCCTTTTTGGCCCCCTGAGGAGATTGAGGCCTGGGGATTGAGCTGATATCCTCATGCCCTCAGGAATAAACTTGTTAATTCATTCATCAAGGATGTACAGAGTGCCAGGGAGACCCTGGGGACATGGTGTGGACAGACAGACACTGCTGCTGCCTTCATGGGGTTTACGTTCTCGTGGGAGACAGTCAACAACCAATTCCATCATCAATAAGAGCCATGAAGGAGGGGCCTTGGGTGCTGGGGTCAGGGGAGGCTTCCCATGGGGAAAGCCAGAGGTTGAAGAGATACAGGCAGCTAAGTGCAGCTGAAAGGGTGTGGCAGGCAGAGGGAACAGCCTGGGCAAAGGCCAGGAGACTTGAGAGGGCCTGGGGCATTTTGGGGACCACAGAGCTGAGTGTGGCTTCCGGGGGCCTGGGTGGATGACAGCAAGAGAGCAGAGACTGGGCAGCCAGATTGTGTTTGGTGCCGCCAGAACCCAGGTCCCTGGGTCCCCGGCCATACCCCCGTCCACCCACCGTGCTGCTGGTAGCCAGGACTTTGCGGGGCGGCCTTCTCCCTTGAGGGTGTCAGGTAGCCTGTCTGAGCCCTGGGCTTCCCAGTAAGTGGGAAGGTGACATGACGTGATCTAGGGAGCGTGCGACACTACCCTACGAGAGTCTCTTGGTAGAGAGGGACCCTCAGCTGCCGGTATCCCCAGGTGATGCTAGAAGCTCCACAATTGGAAGTGGCATTAACCAGCCCCTAAAACTGTATTCACGGCTGAAGAACCCGCCGGCCTGGCTGCTGATCCTGCCTGGTGTCGAGTGGGGTGTGGGGGGGTTGTGCACCCCCTCCCCAGCTGTCTGTTGAGGTTCTGGCTGGGGCCCTCCACTCCCCTGGCGCCGGCCACCCGGGCATATGGCAGCTCATTCGGGGGGTGCAGGTGATGGAGCTGCTTGTGATCATTGTGAAGTTCAGATGTTCCAGATTTTCCTTTTCTTCCCCTCTGCCCTCAACATATTGGCTACCACGTGGACTGCAGGAGGCATTCCCTCCAGCTTTAGAAGCACAGTTAGACCAGCAGGCAGGGAGCAGGGATGAAACAAACACTAGCAATGAGTGACCTAATAGCTGCTGCAGCTGGACATGTGGGCAGGGCCGACCAGGCTGAGGGGCAGACGTGTTCACCATGTGGCCTTAGGAGGTAGACGGCAGAGCAGAGGACAGAGGGAAGTGACAGGAGGCAGTCTCACCAGTGAGGGAAGACTCCCCCATAGGCAGGCGCCCAGGGGAGAGGTGATGTGGCCTTACCAAGCAGTGAGCTGCCCATCACGAGGGGCATGCAAGCAGGGGGTCTGCTGTGGGTGGGCCTAGTGCCCTTCCAGCCCCTTCCCCTTTACAGGGCCACAGTTCCTCTGCCTGTGGCTGGAAATTCCCCCTTAAGCAGAGGGATGCATGGACCCATTCCCAGGAGGTCCTCTCTCTGCTAGACTTGGAGGCTAGCCTTGATATTGAGGGCTTTACATAGCAAGCTAGAAAGGGGAAGCAAAAAGCAAACATATGGTTATAGCAACTGGCTTTTCTTCTGTTACCACTAAGAGATACTCTGCTTGGGAGAATGGTAGGTCAGATTTTCTTTTTCCCTGGAGATGGGGTCTTGCTCTGTCACCCTAGCTGGAGTACAGTGGTACAGTCACAGCTCACTGCGGCCTCGACTGCCTGGGCTCAAGTGATCCCCCCACCTCAGCCTCCCAAGTATCTGGGACCACAGGTATGTACCACCACGCCCGGCTGATTTTTAAAATTATTTGTAGAGATGGGGTCTCATGTTGTTGCCCAGACTGATTTCAAACTCCTGGGCTCAAGCAGTCCTCAGTGGGTTAGATCGTAATGGTTTTGACTTCCTTGTTTGTTGAGCCACACACTCTGAGGCCCGCTGTGGTTTGTCACGTGCCTGGCTCTGTGCAGGGCTCGGGAGACCCTGAAATGGATCAAGCCTGCCTCCCAGGAGCTCAGGTTTGACAAGGGCCTATAACTACTGGGGGCAGGGGCCTGTGACTGTTGGCATCCTCTGCTTACCCAGCCTTTGCACAAGCCAGACCCCCTGCTCAGTGCTTGCTCGCATGTTCTCATTCAGTCCTTGCAGTGGGTTGATTCTCACGGGTGTGTGCTGGTGCAGTGTCTCTGGGTGGTTTTCATTTGCATTCCCCTAATGACCAGTGAGGCCGAGAATCTCTTCCCATGTTGATTGGCCACTTAGATTTCCTCTTTTGGGAAGTGCTCAAGTCTTTTGTCCATTAAAAACAATAATTGGATTGTTTGTCTTTTTCTTACTGGTTCATGGAGATTCTTCATGTATTCTGATTATGAGTATGAGCCTTTTCCCAGTTGTGATGTTACTAATAGCTTTTCCCCCTCTGTGACCTCTCTTTCCCCTGTCTTAGCAGAGCCTTTGGGTGAACGGAAGTTTTAAATTTTGGTGTAGTCAAATATCTTCGTGTTTTTCTTTGTGATAAATGCTTTTGGTACCTTATTGCAGAGATCTTCTGTTCTCTGAAATAATGAAGACTTATTTCTTTTTCTTTTCTTTTCTTTTTTTTTTTTTTTGAGATGGAGTCTCACTCTGTCGCCTAGGTTAGAGTGCAATGGCATGATCTCGGCTCACTGCAACCTCTGCCTCCTGGGTTTAAGTGATTCTCCTGCCTCAGCCTCCTGAGTAGCTTGGATTACAGGTAGCTGCCATCATGCCCAGCTAATTTTTGTATTTTTGTAGAGACAGGGTTTCACCATGTTGGCCAGGCTGATCTTAAACTCCTGACCTCAAGTGATCCACCTGCCTCGGCCTCCCAGAGTGCTGGGATTATAGGCATGAGCCACCTTGCCTGGCCCTGTTTCTATATTGTCTTCCAGAACTTTTGCTGTTTTGCCTCTTATGTTCAGGTGTTGGATCCACTGGAAATGATTGTGTTGATGGTGTGAGATAGGGATCTTGTTCAGGGTTTTTCCACATGGACACCCTCCTGGCCTAGCACCATGTGTAGAAAGCCTATCCTCTTTACTCCTACCACCCTTATCTGACACGTGGGGTCTGTGTCTGGCTTCTCTCTCCTCCATTGGGCCATTCAGTGTAGGACCGCCCTGTCTTTATTACTCCGGCAGTTGATTTATCTTCTCTTTATCCTACTAGGGCGTCTGAGGCTTCATAGGGGCAGGGACCCAGATCTCTCTTTCTCATAGACCTAACTCCAGTGCCCAGTACAGAGTCTGGTTCCTCATAATAAGTATTTGTTGGATGAATGAATGAGTGGATGAGTGACCAAATGGATGGATGGCAAGCTGTGGGGACTCAGTTAAAATCCAGGCCAGGTTTATTCTCCTGCGATTGAACCTTTCTGGGGTTCCTCCCAGGCCTGTCACCAGCTCCCTCCCCTCTGTTTCCTTCTTCCTCTTCCGTGCTGCTCTCTCTAAAGCAAGGCCTAACTGTGCCCCCTGCTGGCTTGCCATGTCGCCCCCTTGATACCATCCCCTTCACCCTCAAGCTGAAGGCCAGATGCCCCCTCCTGTGTCCCCTGGATCTTGGGCCCTGCCCTCCCCAGCAAGGGTTCCATCACAGCATCATCACTAATGGGGGCAGGGCCATAACCACCGCTGTGCCCTGCACTTACCAAGCCTTTCAGTCTGTTCAGGCAAGAAGGGATGAAAGTCTCATTAGGGTGGCGTGTTTGTGCTGCCCCCTCCCAGGGCGCCGTGACGTTCCAGGGCTCAGGGAGGCCGTTTGTGGACCCTCAGGTGCAGCCGGTGTTGGGCCTTCGCTGAGAGCAGCTTAGCGGAAGGGGGCGGGAACCAACTGCAGGAGAAGAGGAAGAACTCAGCTGGTACAAAATCCCAAGTGTTAAAAAAAATCCCGTATACATACCGTATTCATTTATGGGTTTTGGATGCATTTTTTGTTCTCATTTAACTGAAAACGGCCTTGATTTAAAAAAAAGAGTGAGGGAGAGAGTGAAATTGGCACGCAGCGAGTCCATCTGGTCTAATTACTTCTGGTATTTTGAAAGAAGGGATCCAAACCTGCTGAGACATTAAACTTTGAGAAGTGGCTGCCGGGCCCGTTGCTGGGCGTCTGCGCTCGGATCCTGATTCTCGGCTCAGGGGTTTCACTGTCTCCCGGCAGGGCTGGACCTCAAGGCCAGGCAGTGGTGCCAGGATGCCCTTCACCTCTCTGTGGGAGCCAGTGGCCTCAGGGGTCAGCCCTCTTCAAACAGCCAGGGCTGCTCCAGACCATTCTGGAATACACATCCTGGTACGTGGCTCCCAGCTGTTTAACCTTGGGTCAGAATCTTGGCTTTCTGTGAAATGCCAAGAGGGATAGTCCCCTTGCAGAACTGCCCTTGGGATTGAAGGAGGTCCTGTGTGCACACTGCTTGGCACATGGTGGGCATTCATACACCTGCTGCTCGACGTTTATGACCGCCCAGGCTAGGGCACGGAAGCAATATGGGTGGTTTCTCTACCGCCCACAGCCATGGGACAGAGCTGCAGCCAGGTGGCTCTGGGATGAGGCTGGGGTGGGTCGTGGCACTGGCCTTTGACGTCCGTTCCTTCCCTTCCCTTTTTGCGCTTAGCAGGCCTGCCAGTTGGATGGGGCCAGAACGGAGCAGCCTGGAACTTGAAATCTGTACCCTGAAAGAGCTCAGGGCCAGGGGTTGATGTGATTGCAGTGACAGTCCCTGTCTTATGCTGGCCCAGAGGCCCTGTCCTCTGAAACAGTCAGGGAGGCCTAGACTCTTGTCCACATTTTATGGCTGAGAGGTCTGAGACCCCAGCAGGGAAGTGTCTTGTGTGAGGTCCTGTGGGAACTGAACAAGCTGGGCCTGCATGGCAGGGAGGATGGAGGCCCCACCTGGTGTGCACAGTGAGCTGCCAGAATGCTTCTTTCTAACTTGATAAATATATATTTTAGAGAAAAAACGAGACAGGTTAATCTCCTGGCCCCATAGCTTCCACCTTGCCTCCCACCAGAACGGGGCCGAGTCCTGGGAGTGGAGGGCAGGGTGGCGGGATGCCTGGCCGGCCCCGAGGCAGCCCCCACTCCCCCAGCTGTCACTGCAGATGGGTGACAGTGATGAGGCTGGTTCTCCCGTCTCCACCCTGCCCCATGGCGTGCTCCACCCAGGATTCAAGGCGGCCGGTGATGCCACCCTTCCCAGGAAGCCCCCCAGGTGTCGGTTTGGACTGCCAGCTTCTCTGCAGCATGCCACGCCCTCGGTGCCTCCTCCTGTCTCTGCGTGAGACACAGGCGGGCCCGGCACTCAGTGCCAAGTTTCTGACCTGGAGTCCTTTGCCCTTTCTCTTAAGAACCCTTTTAAATCTTTTATAAAACATTTATGTTTTAGTCTCCAATAATTCCCTCTGAGGTGTTAGGGGTGTTGTCATTTTAGATGGCAGGCTCTTGGCCAGCAAGGTACAATCTGGGGGAGTCCTGGGCAGGCTGGATTGGGGTGTGGCTGGCTTAGGGGGTGTAGCCCAGTTTGAGGGTGCTCCCTGGGAGGCATTGTGTCTGCCTCAGTCTGTGGGCACACCCAGCAGGGGCCACTTTACGTGAGTTTCTTGGCTTGGGGCATCCTGGACCACACAGGTCTGCTGGCCTGAGAACAGCCCTGGGGATCCAGCTCCTGCTGCCCGTGGCCAGTGGGGGCCTTTTCTGTTCTGCTGTTTTCCTGAAGCCCTCTGGGGCCCAGTGTACCAAGGATGGAGGGCGAGTCCAACTCCCCTCTTAAGTGGCCGAGGCCTCCCTTCTTGCGGCCTCACGGCCATTAGGACTATGTCGCCTGGTTGCAGGGGCCAGCAGTCCCCGTTCACCTGGTGCAGTGCTGCTTGCATGTTGCCTTGTATTTCTGGATGATTCCAGCACAAGGCTGGCCTTTCCCAGTTTGTTTGGGCAGGTGAGGCAAAGACTTTCCCCGCTGCTTCATACTCGAGACCCGCATTCGGCCGACTGCCCCGTGTATTGTCCCATGTAGTCTGCCTAGCAACAGGCAAGGCAGGATGATCTCCATTCCCATCTTACAGATGGGTCAGGTAAGGCTTGAGTAGGTCTAGCATCTGGCTCAAGATCTCAGCCCTAGGAAGAGGCAGCCCCGGGTCTGGCTCAGGCGTGTAGACTTGGGCAGCTCCTGGCCTTGGCCGTCCAGTGGGCAGCTTGTTCTGGCAGCTGTTGCCTGGCTTCCCCTGGGCCCAGCCTCTGGCAGTCCCTGCTGAGCTTTGGGCTTCTGGATCCCTGTCCCCTTCTGTGACGGATTCGTCCTGAGCACTGGGTCCTGCATCTGTAGAGAGGATTCTCCCTCTCCCCTCACAGGGCCCTGGATGGTGAAACAGGGTGAGACACGCAAAGCCATGCGGCTGGGGTATTGTGGAGACCTGCATGGTGTTTCCCTTTCATCCCCTGCCTTGAGCCCAGATCAAGTCAGGAATTGCCCCACCTGCTTAGGGGTGGCTGTAGAGCCTGTCATCTAGGGCAGGTGTGAGCCCCGCCTGAGCCTCTCAGGGAAACGGCTGCTTGAGGGGCTTGGGAGCCAGCTGGTACGTGCCATGGATGAGGGGGCCCAAGGCAGCCAGCAGTGTCCACCCAGAGTGATCCCACAGCCACCCACCTCCGTCTCCTTCCCGTACTGGCTTCTTAGAATTCTGAGCCCAACGTGCAGCATCAGTTACATTCTGATGGAGGCAAAGAAATTCTTCAGTCTCTGGTAGCTTGCTGTGCTGCTTCTACAAACGCACAGACACACACTCACACACACACATATTCACATACACACACATTCATGTACATGCACAGACATTCCCATACCATACACACTCACATGCACGTTCACACATGTACACACAATATCATGTACACACAGAAACATTCACATATGACATTCACATATACACACATAATTCACACGCACACATACCTATACACCTACACACACATTCATACTCATATACACTTCCACACACTCATACACACATGCATTCACACACACATCCACACGCTCAAACACATGCATTCACACATCCACAACCACACACATATTCATAGACACATACACATGAACACACACATTCACACACACACATTCATACACATATGAATTCACCCATACATGTATATTCACATATGTACATTCACACATATTCATACACACATTCACACACACTAATACACAGTCACAAGTACACACATACACACTCACACAGTCACACACATACACATGGATGCACACGTCATACACATTCACACACACACATTCACACTCACACACAGAGTCACACACAGACACCGCCACGATTTCTCTTCTGCCCCCTTCCTATCTTCATCTTCCGTTCACCTGTCCAGATAAAATTGATTTCACGTGGCTGTTTTCCTTTCTAGAAGGCCCCTCAACACACGTGTGCACACTACTCCACATGAGATTAATGTTTGAAATGAATCATCTGCCTCCTTCCTGCCGCAAAGTCCCAGCGAAACAAAAGATGGATGATTCTGTGCATGGGAAGGGTGGGAAAATTAATTAGGAATGACAAAGGACCCTGTTCTTCGGTTCCACTTATCTTGCTGCTGACTTGCCGTACGCAGTTGTGTGCCCCGGCCAGGTGTGTGATTGACGGGCTTTGGGGACGCGTTGCCAGCTCCGCACTGCCCTGTCCCCTCTCGGGCAGCCATCGGGCCCCAAGGGCAGTGGAGCTGGACCCCTGCTGTCCATCTCCCCCAGCCTTTGCCTGGGCCCACCGGGCTAGGAGATGCAGAGGGAGGGGTCAGGGCAAACCCCTCTCACCAGGACTGGGCAGAGGACAGAGGAAGTTCGGACAGTGGGACATCCCCAGGAGACAGACACCAGCTGTGGTGTGAAGAGTCAACACACCGGTCTGGTCTCCATGCAGGCATGCCCTCACTTGGGAACCAGGCACGTCTCTGACATCTCTGAGCCTCAGTTTCCCCTGTTGCAGAATGGGAATACAGCCTCACTGGGGTGCTGGCAGTGTCTGGGGAAGGACTCGGGGCCAATGACAGATGTCATCTTCACCAGAGACACTCTTAATATTGGCTGTGGCCATGGCTGGCTCCCTGGAAAGCCCGGCCTCTTTGGGGAGGGGAGGTATTGGGGTGGGAAGAACAAACGGGTGGGGATCAGGACAGAGAGTGCTTGGCCTTGGGGGAAGGAGATTGGACCTGGACCTGGACAGGCTCCTCTGAAAGCTCAGGGGCCACTGCAGCAGCCACATGGCTGGAAAATGTCACACCCCTGCTTGGAGCTGCAGCTCCTGTAGAGTAGAGACAGCAAAGCTATCCTCAGAGGATTGTCAAGAGGAGGAAGTATAGGAATACCTGGCTGCTGGCAGGTCCTGTAAAAGGCCCTTCTTCCTCCACAGGACCTTCATGGTGGTGGCCACCCCAGCAGGCAGCAGAGTTGCCAGCACTCAGCCTGCACCCCGGGAAATGGGGGCCCTGGGGAGGCTGGGAGGGGCCCCCAGGGGAGGTGAGCCTTCCTGGGGGTCCAGATGCAGCAGAGGGGTGTGAGCATCCTGGATCTGGGTTTACCTCTGAGGCTTCATCTGTAAAATGGACACGTAAGTCTCCGGTGCAGGTTCATGGGAGAGGGAGAGAGAATGGGACACTCAGCAGATGGCAGAGGTCTCAGAGAGTTCTCGTGACTGTTTTCATCGCTGATATGGGTCTTGGGGCTTCCTGACTGTCAGGGACTCTGAGGTGAGGCTCCTGGCAGGATGGTGCAGAGTGAAGAGGGCTAGTGTGTAGTTCCTCCCACCTTCCTGTCGGGTAGAGCACCTGCTTGTTCATTTCATTCTTCGTTCATTCATTCATGGCCGTCTTGAGCAACCCCTCCCTGAAGCCGGCCTGGGCAGGAGGGGTTCAGGGATGGACCTCAGTCAGGGTGGAGAGGGGACACCTGTGCTGGGGGAGGCAGGTGATCAAGAGAAACTGCTGGAAGAGGTGGCCTTTGAGCCGGTCCTTAATAAAATACGGGTCGTGGATGATGGGAGAGGCTACGAAGGGCATTTCAGATTTCTGAACTAGCACAAGCAAAACCTGGAGGTACAGAAAGGCCAGACTGTGTTTAGGAAGCTGGAAGTGGATGGTTAAGGTTGACATGGGTGGTGAGCTCCGTGGGGATCCTGAACAGAATGACCTGGAAGGTGGGCAGGGCAGATCCTAAAGCCCCGTGTGCCACGCCGAGGGCTGGGCTTGTCCTGGAAGCAGCAGGGAGCCATGGGAGGCGCTGGAGTGGAGGAATGACATGCAGTAAATGTGTGGGTGGGGTCCTAGGAGCCAGGGGTGCAGGCCTCTTCCCCTCTGTCCAGTCGGGGTTAAGAGGGGAACTGGCAAGGGTCAGGGAGCTCAGAGGAGCAGGCAGGAAGTCATCTTGGGAGAGGGAGAGCCTGTGGCCTGGCACCCCAGGAATTGTCTGTGTGTCAGCTGCCAGCTTGGGCACAGGACGCAGGAGCTCTGAGCCCTGGCCCATGCCCTCGGACACACTGCTTGACTTCTCTGTGCTTCCGTTTCCTTGTCTCTGAAACGGGCGGGCCTCCCAACTGTTTTGCCCTGAGGATGAACTGAGCTACTAGACGTGACAGCGACTGCTTAAGGGGATTTGCTGTGGGCAGGGCGGTGGGGCGGGTGGCGCGAGGCTGATTCCTGGTCACATTTTCATCACTCTGGGATGGACACATAGAGTATAGGCCCTGGAACTTGCATTCCGGGTTTGAGCCCTGGCTGTGTCACGTGGGTACCTCTCTCCATCTCAGTTTCTGCATCTGTAGAGTGGAGGCCATGGTGGCAGCTGCCTCTCTTGGGGGGGTGTGAGGATTGAGTCTGGCTGTTCCTGGAGAGGCCGTGGGCACTGCATCTGTGTGGGTGTCTGCTCTGTGTCCCATTGAGGGCGGCCCCTACGCCGCCCTCAGCCTCATGCCCCGGCCCGGGTGTGCCTGTGTGCTCAGCACTTCCCAGGGCCCCCCAAGGCCCCAGCACTCCAGGAAATGGGGCGCAGCCAGGGATGGCTGTACTCCAGGGTGCTACAGTGACTCCTGGGGACACGACCTACCCAGCAGCTGTGTACCCTACCTGGGGAGGCAGAGAACCCGAGCAGGGTAGGCTCGGCTTCTGCCATTTCCTATAGACGAGTGTCTCCCCGCTTCCCTGTTTGCGGCTGAGGAACCTGGAATTCACGCTTCAGCAGGAGACTGTTTAACGATTGGCCACGAGGAGGTCATTTATATTGGCTAAGCAGGCTTAATTAGACGGGACTCGAAGGTTACCATAAGAGCACAAAAAAGCTGTTAAGGGGTTAACCTCTGAGAGATTACATTGTATTCAGCGCTCTGTTAAAGTTTGAATTAATTTTTCCCATGGGTTTGTTCACATTCTAATTTTCAACTAAATGAGACATCTGTTTCAGAAAAGGAAAATTTGCTCTGGTTGTCATGGCAACTATCATTCTGTAAGAAAATTATTCCAATGGTTACTTTAGAACAGAAAGACAGAAATTCAGGACATAAAGCCGCCTTCCATGGCTTAGCGGGAATTCGCATCCGTCCGCCCTCCTCAGGCGCTGTGGTGTGCCCCGCACAGTGGGGCTGGCACTGGGGATCCTGGACCCTCAGGGTGGTGAGGTTGGGTCCAGGCACTGGGTTGTGTTGGCAACAAGTACAGTGGCTCTTGGGGCACCTCAGCGTCGTATCTCAGGCATTCGTGAGTCTCAGACCATGTTGGCAGTGTGGGCAGTGAGGGGTGGGCTTGATCAGGGCTGACTGGGCCCCTGGAGCCCTTGTCTGCCCTAACCTCTGAAACACCAGGGGCCACGTGGACTTCGGGCCTGCCGGTCACGGTGGTTGATCCCACCTGCCAGGTCTGCCAGGTCTCACTGGACATGGAGAGGGTCATTTCATCCCCACACACAGCATGTGGGGAGGACCTCTTCGCACTTCGCCTCCAGGAGGGGCTGCTTCTTTTGTCTCCTCTGCCCAGGGCAGAGCCTGATGGTGGTTTCCATGAATGTTGTACAGGAGGCCGGGGGCTGTCCAGGCCTCATGTGTGGCTCAGAGGCCTCTAGGAGTGAGATCACCCCAAGGGGTCTACTCAGTCGTGCCCACCCACCTGCTCCTGCCTGCCTTTAAGAAGTCCCCCTTTCCCAGCCTGGGGATGGTGCTCCCCAGCGAGCAGTCTGTCCTGGGAAGTGTCTCTTCTGGATGTCTTGTGCATGACTTGACTCCTCCTGTCCCCTGACATTTTTTTTTTTTTGAGATGGAGTCTCGCTCTGTCGCCCAGGCTGGAGTGCAGTGGCATGATCTCAGCTCACTGCAACCTCTGCCTCCTGGGTTCAAGTGATTTTCCTGCCTCAGCCTCCTGAGTAGCTGGGATTACAAGCATGTGCCACTATGCCCAGCTAATTTTTGTATTTTTAGTAGAGACGGGTTTTCACCACACTGGCCAGGCTGGTGTCGAACTCCTGACCTGAGGTGATCCACCCACCTCGGCCTTCCAAAGTGCTGAGATTATAGGCGTGAGCCGCTGCACCCGGCCCCTGTCCACCAACATTCTAATAAAAGCTGGAACATCACCTCTTCCCATTGATGGAGCTCCCGGGTATTTAGAAGGCATTTTCACAGTGGTGGTGCCGTCTAATCCTCCTAACTGCTCTCCTCCTCCCTCCTTTCCTCCCCTGCGTCAGGCAGTGGGACACAGAGGAGAGCAAGAGGACTGGGGACAGAGGCATCATTAACCCCATCTTTACACAGGAGGAAACCGAGGCTGGAAGAGGTGCAGTGAGCAGCCAGGGGCAGAACTGGGGTGTCCGATGCCCACTTCAGTGCCCTTTCTACCCAGTAGAGGAAAACAAGGCAGGCTCTGGGCCCCCGGACCCAATGTTGTGGTGTCAGCTGCCCCCATGTCCCCAGATCCTGCAGGCAAGTCTGGTCCTTCTATGCATTTGGAGATGTTCTCATGGCTCCCCAAATGGGCAAGGGTGTGATGGGGAGGGAAAAAGGAACAAATTCCAGACCCGCTGCCCTGTTGAGATCTGGTTCTTCACCCAGCTCTGCCTGGGCCTCCCTGTGTGACCCTGGGAAGTGGAACAACCTCTCTGGGCATTGGGGTGGGGGAACAGGGCAGATTCCGGCTCCCCAAGATTTGAGGTCATGTGTTTCCAAGAAGCTGGCGGGAAACTGTCACCCCTAGAGGAAGGCTCCTTGGTGTTGGGTGAGGGGAAGGTGGGACAGGCAGCGGCTCTACCAGGGGCCAGCTCCTGGGGGTCCACAGGGTCTCTGATATGTTTCCGAGTGTTTCCTTCAAATAACTGCCCCCTGCCGTGGCTCTCGGGAACCAACAGACGTGTTCTCTCCATACTGATGAGGCTTCCTCCTGTCTTGTAAATATTTGATCAGATTTTTGAAAAATGGAAGCTGTGTTTGGAAGGCACCACCAGAAATGTGTTGCTTGTTTTTCTGTTGGCTGATGGGGCTGGGGCTCCAGGGAGGACCCTAAGTGGCTTCTAAGCCACTGAGTCCTTCCCAGAAGCACCTTACCCATTCCCCCTACCTGCCTGGTTCAGCCAGTGGGGCTCTGAATGTGTCTGGGACCGCGGCATCAGAAAATTCCAGCTGTGAACTCAGCAGGTTAGAACTGGGGCAGCCTTGGGAGCTGCCAGTGAGACGCTGTCGGCTCTTCTCCACTAGGAACCGCGGAAGGAAAGCATTTTACTCTGTGACTCAGTCCATGTGGATGTGGGTGGCTAATTAAATAGAAATATATTTAACTGAAGTATCCCTTTCCTGGCTCAATGGACTCTCAAATCTTGGGGAGCTGATGTTTTCTATTCTTTTTTTAAAAAAATGCTGTTGCCATTCATCAAAATGCAATTTGAAAGACCCTGCTGTAGGCCAAAGGTTTTTCATTCAGGCTCCGTGGGTGAGTCTCAGGAGGGCTCCATGATAATTATGATGATAGCAATAATGATGGTAGTGGTGATATAGGAGGTGATGGTGATGGTGGTGATATTGATAATGGTGGTGTATGATGGTGATGATGATGGTAATGGTGATGGTGGTGATGAGAGTGATGATGTTGATGTTGATAATGGTAGTGGTGATGATGGTGGAGGTGGTGGTGATGATGGTGGAGGTGATGGAGATGATGGTGGTGATAGTGATAGAGGAGGCGGTGGTGGTGATGGAGGTGGTGGTGGTGGTGATGGAGGTTGTAATGATGGAGGTGGTGGTTATGGAGGTGGTGGTAGTGATGGTAGTGATGGAGGTGGTGGCGGTGGTAGTGATGGAGGTGGTGATGAAGATGATGGTGGTGGTGATGGTGGTGTTGGTGATGGAGGTGGTGGTGATGGTGATGGAGGTGGTGGTTATGGAGGTGGTGGTGATGGTGATGGAGGTGGTGGTTATGGAGGTGGTGGTGGTGATGGAGGTGGTGGTGATAAAGATGATGCTGGTGGTGGTGATGGTGATGGAGGTAGTGGTGATGGAGGTGGTAATGGAGGTGGTGGTAATGATTGAGGTGGTGGTGATGGTGGTGATGATGGAGGTGGTGGTAATGATTGAGGTGCTGGTGATGGAGGTGGTGGTGATGGTGATGGTGATGATGATGGAGGTGGTGGTGTTGGAGGTGGTGGTAATGGAGGTGCTGGTGGTGGTGGTCATGATGGAGGCGGTGGTGATGGAGGTGGTGGTAATGATTGAGGTGCTGGTGATGGAGGTGGTGGTGGTGATGATGTTGGTGATGATGGAGGTGGTGGAGGTGGTGGTGATGGAGGTGGTGCTGGGGGTGATTATAGGGATAATTGAGGTGATGGGGATGATGAACTTGCAATGTGTTGAATACTTACTGTGTACCAGGCCCGTTTTAAGTACTTTACATGGATTAACTGATTTAGTCATTTCAACAGCCGTATTGAGTATTATCCCCACTTCACAAATGGGAAATTGGGGCATAGAAGTTAAGTTCTTTGTTCAAGATCACACAGGTGGTAAGGAGTGGACCATTGTAACCTAGGTCTAACTGCAAGATGAGCTCACAGTTGGGTGTAAAATCATGTGTGTGCATGTCAGGGGTGATACGTATTTCTGCAGAGAGAATCTTGGCTTCCTGCAGGCCTGTGTGGATGTGTCTGAGGGAGACGGTGCCCACTAATGGGATTAGCCACTGTCCTTGATGCTGCCCACCCAGAGGCCATTCCTTAGCCACAGCTGCCTGGTTTCCTCAATTGGTGGGCACTGCCTGTGGGTGGGGGTCCCTGAGAGAGCCCATACTGGGGGTGCAGGCAGCTCTTCTGTGCCCTGCCCCTCACACTTAATTTTTCCTCTCACAGGCCTGGGGGCAGATCCCCAGGCACAACCCAGAAAGCACAGCCAGTCTCATTCCCCAGGCCCCCACCTGTGCAAGGGGCTCTCCTGGAGCCTGCTCATGGCTGGGTGTAGGGGACTTGCTTTCTTCTTCTCCCCCAAGAACCGGGCAGGAGCGACAGCCCTCTTCCTCAAGGCCCAGAGCTTGGCTGGTAGGGGACTGGGGAGGTGGTGGTCTGGTGTGTTCTGCCTGCTTTTAGTACGTTCCCCTGGGGGTTCTGGGGCTTTTCTTTCAAATGAGGGGGATCGGTTTCAGCTTTGGCATTTTGGCTGCAATCCCAAGAACAGGTAAAGTCCTGCTCAACATCCTGTTAACAATTTATTCATTAATTCAGTCCCCTCTCACCCACCATCATTCGTTAAACATAGATTTGCGTGTCTCCTGGGCTGGTGTCTGAAACAATGAAAAGGCCTTTGACCCCAAATAACCAGTGTGGCCACCCATCCTCCTCTGTCACAAGCCCTGTGTCCCAGGAGATGGCTCTGTAGGCTTGAAGGCAGGGTGGGGCAGTGGGGAGAGAACATCAGATCTGGGTTTGAGAATGACTTCTCCACTGACCCACTGTGTGAACCTGGGCACTTTCCATTCCCTCGCCAAACCTCCATCTTCTAGTCCAGGACCTGCCAGCATAGGACTAAGTTGGGGTTTTCAAATGGGGTTCCAAGGAGGTGCATTGGGCACCTGCCAACAGGGTAGTATGTTGGGTTAACAGCCAGGGGTGTCAGTCACCCCACGGAACAGTGCATGGCCCAGGGAGGGATTTAAGTGGCAGCCTTGAGCACTGGTGCTGGTGATGGAGGTGGTGATAGAGGCACTGGCAATGGCAAAGCCCACCCCTCCCCCAGCCTCCACCAACTCTCACAGCATGTGGTGGCGGGAGAGTGGTAGTGAGGCACCCTGTTGGGGGCCGGCACGCCAGGACCCAAGTCCTGTGCCATCTCACTGCTGGGAGCCTCAGTGTCCTCATCTGTAAAAGGGGAATAATGCTAGTCCCTCTTTCACGGGGTTCTTGTAACAGCTGAGCCCATCCCAGTAATGTACATACTTGGGGCCTGGCAGAACAGTAGGTGCACAGGAAATGCTGGTGACTATTTTTATTTTCCCACCCCTGGTCCTCAATTTTCTCATCTACAAACCATGTAGAAGGAGACCTGTCTGACCAACAGTGCTGCAGGGGTGAAGGTCGTCCCAGGGCAGCAGGCGGGGAGGTGATGTGGGGATGGCAATTGCATTACTATGTAGGGCTGTGTAACTGAGGATCAAATCCAGTGGCGAAAACAACGGAAATTCACTCTCTCACGGTTCTGGAGGCTAGAAGCCTAGAGAGGCCTCTGCAAGATTGGTTCCTTTTGGGGGGCTCTGAGGGAAAACTCTTCCGGGCCACTCTTCTAGCTGCTGCTTTATTTTGAGACAGGGTCTTGCTCTGTTGCCCAGGCTGGAGTGCAGTGGCACAATCTCAGTTCACTGCAGCCTTGACCTCCTGGGCTCAAGCAATCCTCTCCCACCCCATCCTCTTGAGTAGCTGGGACTACAGGTGCGCGCCATCATGCCCGACTAATTTTTTAAAAATATTTTTGTAGAGACAGTGTCTTACTGTGTTGCCCAGGCTGGTCTTGCATTCGAGGGCTCAAACAATCCTCCTGTCTCAGCCTCCCAAAGCACTGGGATTACAGGCATGAGCCACCATGCTTGGCCACACTCTTGTGGCTTCTGATGGTTGCTGGTGATGCTAGTTGCTGGTGATCCTTGGCCACACTGTTGTGGTTTCTGATGGTTGCTGGTGATCCTGGTTGTTCTTTAGCTTGTGGAAGTGTCACTTCAGTTTCTACCTCCATTGTCACCTGGTGTCCTTCCCTCTGCCAGTTTCTCTATGTTATCACATGGCCCTCTTTTAAGGACACCAGTCATTGGAGGTAAGACCTACACGAATCCAGTATGACCCCATCTTAGCTTGATTTCATCTACAAAGAACCTCTTTATAAATAAGGTCATATTCACAGGTCCTGGGGGTTGGCAACATGTCTTTTTGGGGGACACAATTTGATTCACAGTGGTGGTGGTGGTGGTGGTGGTGGTGGTGATGGTGGCTGTCTTAGACCATTCGGGCTGCTACAAGAAAATGCCATAGACTGGGTGGATTCTAAACAACAGAAGTGTGTTTCTCACAGTCTGGAATCTAGAATTCCAAGATCAAGGTGCTGGCAGATTCCATGTCTGGTGAGGACCCACTTCCTGGTTCATAGATGGCACCTCCTTGCTGTTTCCTTACATAGTGGAAGGAGCAAGGGATCTCTCATGCCTCTCCTTATAAGGGCACTGATCCTATTTGAGAGGGCTCCACCCTCATGACCTCATCACCTCCCAGAGACCCCACCTCCTAGTACTAGCACCTTGGGGATTAGATTTCAAAATATTAATTTTGGGGGGATGCAAACATTTAGATCATAGCAATGATTGAGGTAGTGGTGGTGATGGAGGTGGTAGGAGGTGGTGGTGGTGGTGATGGAGGTGCTGGTAGTGATGACAGAGGTGTGATGGAGGTGGTGATGATGGAAGTGGTGATGGAAGTGGAGGTGGTGGTGGTGGTGGAGGTGGTGGTGGTGATGGAGGTGGTGATGGAGGTGGTGGTGGTGGTGATGGAGGTGGTGATGGAGGTGATGGTGGTGATGGTGGTGGTGATGGTGGTGGTAGTGATGGAGGTGTTGATGGAGGTGATGGTGGTGATGGTAGTGGTGATGGTGGTGGTAGTGATGGAGGTGGTGATGGAGGTGGTGGTGGTGGAGGAGGAGGTACTAGTAATGGAGGTGGTGGTGGAAGTGCTGGTGATGGTGGAGGTGGTGGTGGAGGTAGTGGTGGTGGAGGTGGTGGTGGTGGTGGAGGTGGTGGTGGTGGAGATGGTGGTGGTGGAGATGGTGGTGGTGGAGGTGATGGTGGAGGTGGTGGTGGTGGAGGTGGTGATGGTGGAGGTAGTAGTGGTGGAGATGGTGGTGGTGGAGGTGATGGTGGAGGTAGTGGTGGTGGAGGTGGTGGTGGTGGAGATGGTGGTGGTGGAGGTGGTGATGGAGGTGGTGGTGGTGGAGGTGGTGGTGGTGGAGGTAGTGGTGGTGGAGATGGTGGTGGTGGTGGTGGAGATGGTGGTGGTGGAGGTGGTGATGGAGGTGGTGGTGGTGGAGGTGGTGGTGGTGGAGGTAGTGGTGGTGGAGATGGTGGTGGTGGTGGTGGAGATGGTGGTGGTGGAGGTAGTGGTGGTGGAGATGGTGGTGGTGGAGGTAGTGGTGGTGGAGGTGATGGTGGAGGTAGTGGTGGTGGAGGTGGTGGTGGTGGAGATGGTGGTGGTGGAGATGGTGGTGGTGGTGGAGATGGTGGTGGTGGAGGTGGTGATGGTGGAGGTGGTGGTGGTGGAGGTGGTGATGGTGGAGGTGGTGGTGGAGGTAGTGGTGGTGGAGGTAGTGGTGGTGGAGATGGTGGTGGTGGAGGTGGTGGTGGTGGAGGTGGTGATGGTGGAGGTGGTGGTGGTGGAGGTGGTGATGGTGGAGGTGGTGGTGGAGGTAGTGGTGGTGGAGGTAGTGGTGGTGGAGATGGTGGTGGTGGAGGTGGTGGTGGAGGTGGTGGTGGAGGTAGTGGTGGTGGAGATGGTGGTGGTGGAGGTGGTGGTGGAGGTAGTGGTGGCGGAGATGGTGGTGATGGAGGTGGTGATGGAGGTGGTGGTGGTGGAGGTGGTGGTGGTGGAGGTAGTGGTGGTGGAGATGGTGGTGGTGGAGGTGGTGATGGAGGTGGTGGTGGTGGAGGTGGTGGTGGTGGAGGTAGTGGTGGTGGAGATGGTGGTGGTGGTGGTGGAGATGGTGGTGGTGGAGGTAGTGGTGGTGGAGATGGTGGTGGAGATGGTGGTGGTGGAGATGGTGGTGGTGGAGATAGTGGTGGTGGAGATGGTGGTGGTGGTGGTGGAGATGGTGGTGGTGGAGGTAGTGGTGGTGGAGATGGTGGTGGAGATGGTGGTGGTGGAGGTGGTGGTGGTGGAGGTAGTGGTGGTGGAGATGGTGGTGGTGGTGGTGGTGGTGGTGGTGGTGGTGGTGGTAGTGGTGGTGGAAGTGGTGGTGGTGGAGGTAGTGGTGGTGGTGATGGTGGTGGTGGAGGTGGTGGTGGAGGTGGTGGTGGCGGAGGTGGTGGTGGTGGAGGTGGTGGTGGTGGAGGTGGTGGTGGTGGTAGTGGTGGTGGAGGTAGTGGTGGTGGAGATGGTGGTGGTGGAGGTGGTGGTGGTGGAGGTGGTGGTGGTGGAGGTGGTGGTGGTGGAGGTAGTGGTGGTGGAGGTGGTGGTGGTGGAGGTAGTGGTGGTGGAGGTAGTGGTGGTGGAGGTGGTGGTGGTGGAGGTAGTGGTGGTGGAAGTGGTGGTGGTGGAGGTAGTGGTGGTGGAGATGGTGGTGGTGGAGGTGGTGGTGGAGGTAGTGGTGGCGGAGATGGTGGTGATGGAGGTGGTGATGGACGTGGTGGTGGTGGAGGAGGTACTAGTAATGGAGGTGGTGGTGGAAGTGCTGTTGATGGTAGAAGTGCTAGTGATGGTGGAGGTGGCGGTGTTGGAGGTGGTGATGCTGGTTACTTTATTGACATAAAGGGCCCATTCTTGTGGAATCATGTATGGGTGAAACCTACGGGATGATTCTGATGCTTTTGTTGCAAATGACTGAAAACCCAGTTCAAATGGCTTTGTGTTGGCCCGTATAATTGGGAAGTGCTGAGGTAGGGTGGGTGTCTGGTCCAGTTTGATCCAGCTGTTTCTTGGGTAACTTAACAGCTGCCGACAGCTGCCCACAGCTCCCAAGGCTAGAAGCTCACTGTTTATACACAGGGATGATAGTATCCACTTTTCTTCTTGAAAAGAGACTGCCTGCAATTGGAAGGATCTAGGTGATGTGTTCACCACTGAACTGACTAGGGGGAATATCTGGCATTGATGGGTCCAGGTCTTGGCTGGGGAGCAGGCTACCAGGCTGGGATTGCGTATAATGGTCTAGGTCCACCTGGCCCCACCCTCCCAGCTGGGGATGGGCTCAACTCTACCTGGACTCCCTGGCCAGAGCTTCCAGTATAAGCAAGAATGAGCAGCCCGCACCTGGAATCTGCTCTCTTTTGACTGGGGGTCCACACACCCCACCTGGGGGAGGGAGGATGGAGGGGCATCTTCCTGGGGGTGGGGGTGGGAGTATTGGAGAATGTATAATGTTCCCTGTGGATTTTCTTAGAAAGGCTTGGAGCAGGAAAGGTCTTAGGAAGAAGCTGATATATATATGTATATGTATATATATATATGTATTTAGCTTTCTTTTTTTTTTGGTTATGTAAATAATACTTACAGAAAAACAGAAACTGCAGGTAAGCAGAAGGAGAGAGGAAAGAGAATTGCCTGGGGACCCACAGACCGCCAGTGGGTCAAAGTCCTGGTGAGTCCCTGCCTTCCCTAGGTGGAGACCTTCCCTGGGTCTCCAGGTAGCGAGCTGGTCCTGAGGGCCCCCTGGCCCGTGGGGAGCTCCGCATTCCCTCTGACCACCCTGTACTTTCACCCGCCCTCCCTCAAACACCTGCACTTCTTCTACAGGCAGCCCTGGTTCTACGGCTGGGGCTTCAACCTCCCGCGAGGCCAAGCCCTGCTGGAGAAATGGAACCTCATTCCCGAAGGCGTAGACATCCTGATAACCCATGGACCACCACTGGGTAAGGCTCTGCTGGCCTGGCCCTCCAGCTCGCCCATCTGGGCTGGTGGGTGGGCTCTGGGATGGGGGGCTGGCTGGGCCTGTATAGGGGAGCCCTGGAGGGGTTCTGAGTCCCACTTGCTGGGGCACTGAGGACACGTCGCCCCATGGTCCCTCTTATTTCCTGAGTGCCCACTGAGAGCAGGGGGCTTGACTTGTTATCTTGTGGGCTCCTCACAACAGCACAGGAGGCCAGAATCACCTGCCCATTTGACAGGTGGGACCCTGGAGCTTCGGCTTATGCCTCTGCAGACCCCAGTCCCGGGTGCTGAAAATCACCAGAGCCCTGCACAGGGCTTCCTCCGGGCAGCCCTAACTCCCTCAGAAACCTGGGGTCCCCACTTCCTCACCCCCACCCAGCCCAACATCCCCAGGGCCTGTAGACCACCTCCCATCTCTCCTCTCTGCCCCCACCCCACCACCCAATCCACACTGAGGTCATCCCCTCATCTGCATACTGCCTCCTCCACCCCTACTGTCCCATCTGGGGGCTCTCTCAGTTCCCTTCCTTTCCTCATTCCCACAGCCTGGCCATCACCACATCCCTCCCATTCCACCTCCAAACTGCCTCCCACTCCCCCTTCTCTTCAAGCTGCTGACCCTGCCTCAGTCCAGGACAATGTCTTCTCTCTCTCTCCCATGGTCATGGTGGAGGTGGTGGTGATGGAGGTAGTGGTGATGGAGGTGGTGATGGTGGAGGTGGTGGTGGTGGAGGTGGTGATGGTGGTGGAGGTGATGAAGGTGGTGGTGATGAAGGTGATGGTGGTGACGGAGGTGATGGTGGGAGGTGGAGATGGTGGTGGTGGTGGTGGGAGGTGGTGATAGTCATAGAGGTAGTGGCAGTGGGGATGGGGTGGTGGTGGTGATGGAGGTGGTGGTGATGGTGATGGGGGTGGTGATGGATGTGATGGTGGTGGTGATAGAAGTGGTGACGTGGGAGGTGGTGGTGGTGGGAGGTAGTGATGGTGATGGAGGTGGTGGTGATGGTGATGGGGGTGGTGATGGATGTGATGGTGGTGGTGATAGAAGTGGTGGTGATGTGGGAGGTGGTGGTGGTGGGAGGTAGTGATGGTGATGGAGGTGGTGGTGGTGGTTATGGGGGTGGTGATGGTGGTAATGGAGGTGATGGTGGTGGTGATGGAGGTGGTGGTGATGGTGGGTGGTGGTGGAGGTGGTGGTGGTGGTAGTGGAGGTGGTGGTGGTAGTGGAGGTGGTGGTGGTGGTGATGGTGGTGGTGATGATGGTGGAGGTGGTGGTGGTGGTGATGGGGGTGGCGGTGATGGGGGTGATGGTGGTGATGGTGGTGGTGGAGGTGATGATGGTGGTGGTGATGGAGGTGGTGATGGGGGTGGTGGTGGTGATGGTGATGGAGGTGGCGGTGGTGATGGTGGAGGTGGTGGTGGTGGTGATGGAGGTGGTGATGGGGGTGGTGGTGGTGATGGTGATGGAGGTGGTGGTGGTGATGGTGGAGGTGGTGGTGGTGGTGATGGAGGTGGTGATGGGGGTGGTGGTGGTGATGGTGATGGAGGTGGTGGTGGTGATGGTGGAGGTGGTGGTGGTGGTGGTGATGGAGGTGGTGATGGGGGTGGTGGTGGTGATGGTGATGGAGGTGGCGGTGGTGATGGTGGAGGTGGTGGTGGTGGTGAGGGAGGTGGTGATGGGGGTGGTGGTGGTGATGGTGATGGAGGTGGTGGTGATGGCGATGGAGGTGGTAGTGGGGGTGATGAAGGTGGTGATGGAGGTGGTAATGGAGGTGGTGGGGGTGGTGGTGGTGATGGTGATGGAGGTGGTGGTGATGGTGATGGAGGTGGTAATGGAGGTGGTGGGGGTGATGGTGGAGGTGGTGATGGAGGTGGCAGTGATGATGGTGGTGATGGTGATGGAGGTGGCGGTGGTGATGGGGGTGGTGGTGGTGATGGTGATGGAGGTGGTGATGGTGGTGGTGGAGGTGGTGGTGGTGATGGTGATGGAGGTGGTGATGGGGGTGGTGGTGGTGATGGTGATGGAGGTGGTAGTGGTGGTGATGGAGGTGGTAATGGAGGTGGTGGTGGAGGTGGTGACGGAGGTGGTGGAGGTGGTGGAGGCGAAGGTCTTGCCCCTTCCAGTCCACTCGCTTTACATCAGCAGGAGGGAGTTTTCTGTATCCTTATGTGTGCCATGCCACCCCTCTGTGACCCTCTGTGGTTCCCTCAGTCCTCTGAATGAAGTTCAGTCTCCCAGCAGTTCGGCCCATATCAGTGTCTTGCTCCCACCGCCACCTCCAGAAACCCACCATCACTCCCTCAGTGCTTGGGACCAGCCCCTGTGCTGGGTGACACTGGTCCAGGATAACTCCTGCAGTGTGTGCCTGGGTTGGAGGGCCCCCAGGCTGCAGGGTAGAGGGTTCAGGAACAGCCAAGCCCCGTGGGACACATTCGGGGGTGAGGGAAGCTTGAGGAGTCAGGAGAGATGACTGCTGTTAGGCTGCATGGGGGACTTGCACAAGCTGTGATCCCAGAATTGGAGGAGGAGGGTGAGGTAGACAAGGGGAGGGGAAGGGTGTCCCAGGCAGAGGCCATGGGGGAGGGTGTGGGGTGAGGCGCAGGACAGCTTGAGTGTCACTGGCTCACACACCAGTTCAGGAAGAAAATCCTGATACCACTTTGTGCCCCTACCCAGCCAGTGCGCCACGGCCCCTCTGCCTCCTCACAAAGTCCAGGAAAGGAAGATTTTGTCAGCCTCACCCTCACAGGTGGAAGCGGAGGCCTGGGCCCTGGTGTGATTTAAGCAGCACAGAGAGGTTGTAGCCGGGTTTGTTTCACCCCCACCTGAAGCCGCCTGAGTCCTGGGACGGTTCCCGTCAACATTCGGTGTCATTGGTCACTGACAGTGAGGCTCAGCAGCAAAGGCATCTTGTTCTCTTCCTTCTCTTTTCATTCCCTCCTTTCCATATCTCCTTTTTTCCTCCTTTTTCCTTCTCCCCTCTTCTATCTTTCCTCCCCTCCTCCCTCTTCCTTCTTTCTCTCCCTCTCTCCTTTCCATCCATCCATCTCTCCAAACATGGTGTCGTTTGGCTTCCTGCTCTCCAGACGCCCCGCCCGGGCCCCTTCACACACCGCCCGGCTCCTGTCTCGGGGCTGCCCATGTGCCAGGCACTCCAGCTGGTGCTGCCCTTGCATCATCTCCGGACTGTGTGCGCCAGGGTGCCGAGGTGCTGGAGACCCTCCCCACAACACACACTCCAGAAGTGAAGAAGGATCCGGCCTCATGCATGGTGGGATCCCAGTGCCCAGCCCAGCACTCTATTGGATGAAACGGAGGCACAGAGAGGTTAAGTGGCTTGTCCAAGGTCACACAGCCAGTAGGCAGCAGAGCCTGGGACTTCAACCCAGTGTCTGCCCCCAGCCTGTGCCCAACCCATTCCTGGTCTCTTTTCTCTGCTTTCCCCTCCTTCTCCCCCTCCTCCTCCTCCCTCATCTTTGTCTCTATCTCTGTCTGTGTCTTCTCTTTATGCCTGTTGCTGCTTGCTTGGGCCTTTGAGTGGAAGCTTCCCCTGTCCCCTTCTTGGCAGTTGCAGAAACCTGTTCTGCTCACCCAAACAGAGAGGGGCCGCCATGAACCCTAATTGTTTGCTTGGAGTAATCAATTATTCTCCGTTTGTGTAGCCATGTGAGGATAATAAGCAGCCACCATCTGGGCGGCTCCAGGAGGCTGGCAGCGGGGGCAGGCGCAGGCGCAGCCACGTGAGCGATGCTGCACCCACGGAGGAAGTTTCTGCTCATGAGTCTGTGCTGTTTAGGAAGTTTCTGACATGGAAATCTCACTCCTGGGCTGTGTATCAGGACGCCCTGCTCTGCAACTAACCACCAGGGTGCCTGCCCTTGGGACTCACCCGTCCCTCTCTGGCCTCCGTTTGCTGATCTCTGCGGTGGGCGGATGCCACCCTTGAGGCCACTCGAGCACAGATGGTCTGGGGGGCGCCAGCAGTTACTGAGCACCCCACCCCAAGTGCCTGGCCCATGCTGAGCTCTTTCAAGGAGGCCCTCAGTGCAGCCCTATGGAGGAGGAGGGTGAGGCTGCAAGGTCCTGAATGGTTTCAGTCCCTGAAGCCTGAGGCAGGGCAGGGTTCCGGAGAGCTTGCTAGGGGAGAGTGGTGCAAAGCCGGAGTCCGGAAGCCCCATGCCTTCTCCAGGCTGCAGAAGCTGCTGCTAGGCGTGGGGCAGTGAGGGGCTGGGACAGACCGCGTCATGGCCTCCTGTTGTCTCCCCCATACCAGGCTTCCTGGACTGGGTCCCCAAGAAGATGCAGCGGGTGGGCTGTGTGGAGCTGCTCAACACGGTGCAGAGGCGCGTCCAGCCGCGGTTACATGTCTTTGGCCACATCCACGAAGGTCAGTACGTAGCGGAGACAGGCACCTCACGGGCTAGGGGCTCCTAATGGACCCTCCAGCAGGACCTCCCCTTCGTTCAGCCAGAAGGGAAATAAATAGCCCATTCCTACTGTTCGCTTTGTAACTGCTAACTGCCATACACACCCTGGCTGTCAATGAGCTATTGCTAAATGTTTAATAATAGGAAGATGATCACAACATCCTGCATGACTTAGGGGGTAAATTTTGCTTCCGGGGAGCCCTGCAACTCTGCTGTGCCTCCAGCCTGGGAAGCCGTCGGGAGGTGGGCAGGGGGTTTTCAGAGGAAGGGGCATTTGAGCCGTGACATGGAGGATGCATTATATTTGGTGGGCACACCATGAATCCCTTAAAACTGGTGGCCCTGTCTTGTTGCTTCTGTCCCCAGGGCCTGGCATACAATAGGTGCTTAATAAGTGTGGAGGGACTACCTGTGATGGTGAGGGTGATGTCAGCTCCGGTTCTATCATCCACATGGCCACGCCCTGGCCTGTTGCTGCGTGCAGGCGTTCCCTAGTAGACCTCAGCCATCCTCACCTGAGCCTCATTTCACCAGTTTGGCACAGATGCCTCTTTTTTTGCCCCTTTTGGATATTTATCCCACCTGCCCAAGGCCTCTCTGTCACATCCCTGCCAGGAAGCATATTGGCTGCTGTGGGATGTCTGGACTGACGTGGTTTCCCCCAGAGACATCTCCTGGCCTCCGGAACCTGTGTCTGGTTGGACCAGGGACCCCAGGCCTCCACATTGCCTGGTCCATATTAGATCGTTTTCCAGCTCAAAAGCAAGCAAGCCTCAAACCATTCATTCCCTGAGGGCCTCTGCAGCTCATTGTCAAGGGGAAGGAGTGATCAGACCTCACCTGGCCCTGGAGTAGCTCCTGGAGGAGCCCTAGGCACAGAGGAGTCATCAAAGCAGGATGTGAGAGGTCCTGGGAGAGATGGGCAGCTCACGTGCTGTGGGATAATAATAATAGCTGTCATTTTCTGTGGCCCTACTATGGGCATGTAGCTCCATCAGATCCAAAGTTGCCTTTGACCCAAACCACACCCCCACACAATTGGACAGGCACAATTGGACTCCAAAGAATAGGTCCTCACCCACCCACTAACCACTCCCTTCCTCCCCCAGCACCACGCAGGGAAGGGGAAATGTTCCTTCTATCTTGGAGATGACCTGAGCTGAAGGATGAGGGGGATTCTACCAAATAGAGGTGGTGAGAAGAGGGTATGAGGGAGGCAGAGAAAGTACATGACAATGATGATAATGATAGTGATGATGGTGAGAGGATGGTAGTGATAGTAGTAATGATGATGATGGCCATGTTCACAGTGGTGTGGGTAGTGATGATGGTGATAGTAATAATGTCAATGATGATGATGATGATACTGATGATGATGGTAGTGGTGACAATGGTGATAATGATAAACGCAATGGTGGTGATGATGATAATGGTGATGATGATGGTGATTGTGGTGATGATGATAGTGCTGATACAATAATAATGAGGGTGATAATAATGACAGTGGTGTTGGTGGTGATGATCATGATGACATCAGTGATGGCATCATCAATGATGACAATGATGATGATGATAGTGATGATGGTGGTATGCTGGTGATAACAGTGGCGATGATAATGATAAGGGTAGTGATGACGATCATGGTGACATTGGTGATGACACCATTCTTGATGATGGTGGTGGTGGTGATGAATGATGGTGGTGGTGGTGATGAATGGTAATTATAAGGGTGGCAATGATGATGTTGGTGGTGATAGCAAAGATGATGGCATTGGTGATGATGATGTTGATGGTGATGGTGGCGGTATGTTGGTGACGTTGATGGCACTAGTGATGGTGGTGGTGAGAATGGCGATGACAATGATAAAGGCAGTGATGATGATAGCATTGGTGATAATGATGGTGATGGTGGTGGTGATAATGATGATGATAATAGGAGCAGTGGTGATGATGTTGATTGTGGTAGTGATGATGATGGCATTGGTTATGATGATGTTGATGGTGGTGATGGGGATGATGGTGGTGATGATTGTAGTGATGATAGATAGCATTAGTGAAGATGATGATGATGGTGGTGGTGGTGGTGATGATAAGGGCGGTGATGTTGTTCATGGTGATAGTGATGATGATGGCATTTTTGATGATGTTGGTGATGGCGATGGTGGTGGTGATGATAAAGGTAGTGATGATGATGACGGTGATGGTAATGGTGGTGGAGGTAACAGTGAAGATGATGATAAGGGTGTTGGTGATGATGTTGATCATGATAGTGATGATGATGACATTAGTGATGATTATGGTGGTAGTAGTGGTGAAAAATAGTGATGATCACGATAAGGGTGGTGGTGATGATGATGTTGATAGTGATGATGGTGGTACAGTGGTGGTGGTGATGGTGACGAGGATGGTGGTGAAGATGATGTCGATGATGATGACTCACTGCGTGCTTCTTATGTGCCAGGCACTGGGCCGAGCACAGTACATAGATAATTATCTCATATAATCCTCACAGCAGGCTTGGAAGTGGCATGTATCATTATCATCTCCATTTTACAGATGAAGGGACTGACCTCGAGAGTTTACCAGCTTGCCCCAAACACATTCAGCCCACAGGGGCTGAGTGCCCTATGACTGCCACACCCCCCTGGCCACCCTCACTACTCTGGCTGCTGGCCTGATGGGCATGTGCTTACTTTCCAGGGTATGGTGTCATGGCAGATGGGACGACCACCTATGTGAATGCGTCCGTATGCACTGTGAACTACCAGCCCGTGAACCCGCCCATAGTCATCGACCTCCCCACACCCCGGAACTCCTGACTGCTCCCCACTGCCCCTGCCCTGCCCGCCCGTGTCAGCTCCACAGGCCTGGCCCGGCCACTGTTCCTTCCATGCTGAGTTGCCTGGACGACCCATCTGGCTGCGGGGACTGGCCTAGCAGGCAGGTCAGGGCCTTGGAACGACTCTTTAGCCTTCTGTCACCTGGAGTTGGGACCCTGCGCATCCCCATCAGGGGTTCTGTGCTCATTTACTTTTTCTGCGTGTACATCCTGCGTGTACCTCGTTAAAGGACCTACTAAGCTCATGGCCCTGTCATGTTTGGGAAATGACTAAATCTTCATTCTTCTCCCTTGGACGCCCTCCTGGTTTGGGAAGCTGCTGCTCTTGAATGGGTTTTGGAAGTTACACAAAATCTCCCTCTAACCACGGGTCTGTGTGGCGGCATGCCCCTGGGTTGGGGTGGGTGGGAGGATTCGTGAGCTGCACACAGACAGTCCCTTTCTCTCCTCCCAAGTGAGGGAGGAGACAGGCCCAAGGCGGAGGCCCTCCGAGGGAGCATTTAGGGACATCTCAGGAATTCAGACCGCACCTGGCCAGGCCCACAGCTGTTTGCCTGGCATTGTTCCCCCCTTTTTCTTCCCATAGGCATTTTTGTTTACTTGAACAATGACCTGAGTGTCCTAGGCATTCACTCGGAGCCTGGATGATGGGGGCTGGTTCTACAGAATGAGCCACTGGCATTCGTGCCCAGGACCAGTGAGAGCGTTCCCAGTCATGGGGGGATGACCCTTGGTCCCACGGGGAACACACTGCTCTGTAGAATGCGGTAGCCTGGATGGAGGGTCTGCAGGCTTAGGCTGCAGCAGGCCTGCCATGGGTGTGAACCCATGTCCAGGCACGCACCGACACACATGCACGCACGCACCCCTCTTAATTGAACCAAGTGGGTCCTGTGTTTCTCTTTTCTGCCCCGTAGTGAGGTTCTGTTCCTTGGTGCGGCTTCCCTTGCACCGTTAGGATTCTGTCTGGCATGCCTGCAGCCGAGGAAGCCCAGGACCAGCCGGCCCTGTGAATTGGAGGGTGGCACAGGGACCGAGCGGGCCCCAGGCTCCAGCAGCCCCACCTTGGACAGCTTCTTTTTCTTCTTTGAATTAGGACTGGAGGGGGTGGGGCCAGGGCGGTGGTGGGAACCGGTAGGGCCTAGATGAGGGGCAGGCAGTCAGGCAGAAATGGGCAAGTTCAGGGTCAGATTCTGTCGTTATTTAATATTTTGTTCATCATGGACTTTTTCTGCATTTATTTTGATTTTTAACGTTGCATTAAAGTAGTATTATTTGTCCTGATTGGTGACTTTTTTTGCACCCCTTTCCGTTGTACATCTGAGAGAAGGGTGTCACTCCCTCACCCAGGTCCCAGCCCTGGGAACCAGCCTACCGTGAGCCCTTTTGCAGATATAGACTCATTTCATCCTCAGATGGTCCTTCAAGGTAGGTACTTTAGTCCCATTTTAGAGATGAGACGATTGAGGCCAGAGGGGTGTGGTAACTTGCCTGGGGGCTCACAGCACAAAAGGAGCCGAGGCAGGATCTGACCCTTGTTCTCTGGCCTCACTGCCCTCACTTTGCCATGACCCGAAGTTATGTCCCTACAAAGCAATGCATGGTCCAAGGCTCTTTTTATTGTATTTTTATTTTTAAGGGTCCTGTTCAAAACTGGTGTGAGCTCTGAGGAGTCCTGAACCCTGGGTGCAGCATCCTAGCATCCTGGGAGTCCTTTTCTGCCCACACTGAGCTGGGCTCCTCGAGGGGTGGGGCTGCTGTCCCTGGAAGCCTGGCAGCAGCACTGTATCGGGTTGGCTGAAGCTGAGCGCCGTGGGGTGCAGGGCTCCAGGAATCCCGTTTGGCTGAAGGGGTTCCTGTAGCCAGGGATGTTTATGAGGTCTCTCTGATGCCCCAGGCGCAGGACATGTGTGCGGGTGGAGAAAAGCAGGCCCTTTCAGTGCCAGCTCCACTCAATTTCTATGTGGACCAAGAACGATAAACTTAAAAAAATTTTTTTCCTAAGGTATCTTCAGAATATGGTGTATTTTTATGTGGAAAAGAAAAGTTATGAAGGCAGCTGTTACTTTAAGAGAAAATTCATTAAAAGTCCTCGAGGTATGAAGATGACGGCGTGCTTCTCAATCATTTTGGCATAACTTGATTGTGGCTGTAATTTTTTTTTTTTTTTTTGTCAAGCATGTCAGACAATAAAGTCTTTGTAAAAAGAGAAGTCCACGCGGCACCTCTTCCTTCCACATCTCTGGCTGTTGTCTGGGACACATGGTGGCAGCGTGGTGTCCTCTTGCAGAATGCTGAGGCCTGGACAGAGCTTGGATGCCAAAGACCTCCTGTGTGGCAGCAGTCGGTGTCCCTCTGCTTGCTTTAACCTCCCCTGGGGTGGGGGGATCCCAGAGGTGGTGGTGTGGGCAGTTCTGGGTCCTCTTTTGTACAAATACTTGGCTGCCTGGTCTCCCAAAACAGAACACCTCCAGAGGCCTTAGCGCTGGACTCTTCCTGGAAATGGCATGTTCAGCCCAGCCCCTGTGAAACACAGGGTCCAGACATTGCCCAGGAGAAACACTGGCAGGTACAACGACCCTAGTCTGAAAGCCCCCAAGCTGCAAAAGTTCTGTCATTTTTATCCATCTGTCCGTCCATCCCTCTATATACCATCCACCCCTCCTTCCAACATCCATCCATCCATCCATCCCCCATCCTTCCATCTATCCATCCCCCATCCCTCCATCTATCCATCCCCATCTATCCATCCATCCATCCATCCATCCATCCCCCATCCATCCATGCCCCATCTATCCATTCATCCATCCCCCCTCTGTCATCCATCCATCCCCCATCTGTCCATCCATCCATCCTTCCATCTATCCATCCCCCATCCATCTATCCATCCATCTCCCATCCATCCATCCATCCATCTCCCATCCATCCATCCCTCCCTCCACCCATCCATCCCCCATCTATCCATCCATCCCCCATCCATCCATCCCTCCCTCCATCCATCATCCATCCATCCCTCCCTCCATCTATCCATCATCCATGCATTCATCCATCCATCCCCCATCCTTCCATCCTTCCCTCCCTCCCTCTCTCTATCCATCCATCCCTCCATCTATTGATCCCCCATCCATCCATCCCCATCTATCCCTCCATCCATTCCCCATCTATCATCCATCCATCCCCCATCCCTCCATCCATCCATCCCCCATCTATCCATCCATCCCCTCATCCATCCATCCCCCATCTATCCATCCATCCATCATCCATCCCCCATCTATCATCCATCCATCCCCCATCCCTCCATCCCCATCTATCCATCCCTCCATCTATCCATCCCCCATCCATCCATCTATCCATCCATCCCCCATCCATCCATCCATCCATCCATCCTCCATCCATCCATCCGTCCCCCACCTATCCATCCATCCCCCATCCATCTATCCATCCCTCCCTCCACCCATCCCTCCCTCCATCCATTCGTCCTCCATCTATCCATCTAACCATCCATCCGCCATCCGTCCATCCCTCCCTCCCTCCGTCCATCATCCATCCATCCATCTCTCCCTCCATCCATCCATCCCCCATCCACCCATCCATCCCCCATCCATCCATCCATCCCTCCATCTATCCATCCCCCATCCATCCATCCTCCATCTATCCGTCCATCCATTCCCCATCTATCATCCATCCATCCCCCAACTGTCCATCCATCCATCCCTCCATCTGTCCATCCCCCCATCCACCCATCTATCCATCCATCCCCCATCTACCCATCCATCCCCCATCCATCTATCCATCCCTCCATCCATCCATCCCTCCCTCCGTCCATCCATACCCCAGCTATCCATCCATCCCCCATCCAGACATTTATCCATCCTTCATTCATCCTTCCATCCATCCATTCACCCCCATCTATCCATCCATCTCTCATCCATCTCTCCATCCTTTCGTTCATCCCCCCATCCATCATCCCTCTATTCACCCCCCATTCATCTATCCATCCCCCATCTATCCATCCATCTATCCCCCATCTATCATCCATCCATCCATCCCCCCCTTCATCCCTCCATCCCTCCATTTGCCCCATCCATCCACCCATTCCCTCATCCATCCATCCCTCCATCCCTCCATTCATCCACCATCCATCCCTTCCTCCTCCTTCCCTCCCTCTTTCCATCCATCCATCCATCCTTCATCCTTCCCTCCCTCCCATCCATCCATCCAATCTACAAACACCACTGAGTACCTCCCATGGGTCTTGCTTGGGCTAGGGAAGTGGTGGCGGCGGCAATAGATTTAGGAGGTAGGATGGCAGTGAGGAATGGATGTGGGGCATGGGGGAGGGACAGCCAAGGACGGCAGTGGAAGTTGGGTGCTGTCACGGAGAAGGGGCACAGGAGCAGGAAGAACAGGGCTGAGGAGGGACGTGGAGTGCTGTTTGGGACTCATGAGCTGGGGGAGACTTTGGGCTACACAGGGGAGGTGTTCAGAGGATAAACAGGCCTGCAGGAGAAACAGTGTCTCTGGAGCCAGATGTGGGTCATAAGCAAAGATGTGGGGCAGGGGAGACCTCCTAGGGAGGTGTGCAGGGCAGGGGGCAGCCTGGGGCAGATCACAATGTGCCACCTCTTCATTGCCCTCTCCTGTTCTCAGACTGGCCCCACCTGTCACCTGCCCCTCCAAGAGTCCCCTCCACCAGGGTCTCACAGGGGTGTACAACAGCCATCCCAGGCCCTGGCTTCCCATCCAGAGGCCACAAGGAACTAATCAGTTTAAGGACCCCAGCTGCTGCTCTTGGCCAGCATGCACCCCAGCAGGGCTCCTGAGCAGGGGCAGGGAAGCGACTCTGGCTGCTGCCACTAGTGGTGCTGTCACGTGGTAGGTGCCGCCTGAATGCATCAGGGTCCTGTTGGCCCAGCTGAGATGCAGCAGCAGCTGAGCTGCATGCTTATGCAGGATGTGTAGACAGCTCTGAATTTGTCCAGGGTACTGCACCAACAGTGAGGGCATCCTGCAGCAGAGGTGCCTGGTGTTGGAGCCTCAGCTCTTGGGGGTGCAGCACTCTGGGCTCACCCAGGCTTGCAGCCATCATTCCCCAGGCAGCCCCGAGGCACAGGAGACAGAGCAGCATGGGGCCTGAGACCGCTCTCCATTGCCAGTGGGAGTCCAGTGGCAAATGCAGCAGGCTGCTTCCCCTCCCTGCCTCCTCTCTGATGGTGCACCCACTCCCAGAGCCCCAGCCCCAGCCCCAGCAGCTCCGTCTTGCAATTTGCTTCCATGGAGTTGATCCTTGAACCTCCATGAGGACCAAATTCGTAGGACTTTTTCTTCTAGGAGACTCACTTCCCAGATTCCTGAATGAACTGGCGGAGGTGACAAGCCCTGTGGACAGGGGCTCCACCCAACTCTCCCCGGATGCCACCCACAACTCCCACCTGGGCCTAAACCTGCCTGGCCAGCTGGGGGCCTTGTCACACAGACCTGAGAGGCTCTGCCCCACTTCCCATCGAAGGCACGACTGAAAAGGTCTCCACGATGTGGGGATTAGGCCTGGCATCTGGAAATTCTCGGTGCACTGTGGAAGGTTCATCTGACCCCAGAAGAAAAGCTGAACCCCTCAGGTCTTATATATTGGGGCCCAGTAAGTGGCAGATGGGTCAGTCTTGGGGGCCCTGGTGAAGACCAAACTCAGCATACTGGAGGAAGCTTCCTGGCGGAAGAAGTGTGGCTGGGCCCTGAACAGCAGGAAGTCATGAAGGGGTTGGGATGCCCACCTCTGTGTGCCGGGCACTCAACGCATCTGTGTCGTTTAAGATCCACAGCAACCTGCAGGGCCAACCTACCTTCACAGAAGAGGGAGCTGAGGCTCGGAGGGGCCGCGGCTCGCCCACGGCTCAGTGAGTATCCGAGCTACCAGTGGAATATGTGGCTGCGGCCTGCAGCCTGTCCACTGCCAAGACCCAGGACTCATTTTCACATTCGTGGAGAGGAAGGGAGGGGCTGTTCTGAAGGTGGGTGGTGGGGATATGAGGTTAGTTCCTCCAGAAGCATGTCCCAACACAGGGCTGCGTGTTTGTGATTCATTAAGGGCAAGTGCTCCAGAGGGAGGGACATGGGGAGCAGGCGAGGACAGGGAAAGAGTGAGGTTGGAATTCGTTTGGAATTCATGCTTCAACCTGATCCTCCGGGGTCATAGGATGTGAATTGCCCCACAGAGTTGGTCCACACTGCTTCCTACCCACACCCCAGCCTTTTATATCCCTAAGGAAGTCAGGGATTGGCTGTAGGCCGTCCCTGAGCAGAGATGGGGGGTGTCTTACATCCCAGGCAAGGCAGCTTCTGCTCAGTCAAGGGCAACTTTCTCTAGAAGGAGGCAGAGGAGAGGCCTCCTAGCAGCTGGGGTCTGGGCAGACCAGAGCATCCACCACTGTCCACCTCCTGCAGCCCCAGATCCGTGTGCTTCTCACACTTACTGCATCCAGGCTTCTCCAGTTCCCTGGTTGGTCAGAATTCCTGGGAAAACCTGGGTGGACGCTGTGCTGCTGCCATGGGTCCTGAGTCCGTAACCAACACTCCCTACCTTCCCCTCTACCTGGTCTGGATTCCCTCCCTCTGACCTAGCACTCATGCTGGCCCAGGGGCTTAACTGGTAGGGTGACCCTCCCGTATCCCTAGGGGCCGAAAGCCCTGGTTACTGTCCCCTGATAGGCTGTGGTGTGTGCACCTGCCCACTTACCGCTGGAACTGGCTGTGGGAGCACCAGGAGATGCCCCAGCAGGCCCCCGAGTGCCAGGCACACATCTCCCTGTCCCTCATGTGGCAGTAGTCCTCTTTCCCGGTGATGGTCAAGGCCATCCCCCTGCCAGTGGGGGGGCTTTGTTCTTCGCTGCCTGTCTCCTGGCTCAGGAAGCCCAGGTGGGCCAGCTGACACCAGAGCTTTCAGTTGAGATAGCCTTGATGGAAGCATGAACCTCTGGAATCCGGGGCCTATAGACTTACAGAGCCTGTGCTGCAAGGGACTAGAGGCATAAATTCCCCACGTTGGTCACAGGGTGTGATGGTGGCCTGGGCCACCTCCCCCCAGCCCTTCGTTCCTAATTCCATCTTTCACAGACCCAGCAGCAGGTAAGGCCACTGCTAAAGGTATATGCTGCATCATAAGGCAGAGTGCCCATTTCCACAGGGGCCACCGTGGCGGAGCACCCGTCCCTGCCCAAAAGATAGTCAACCAAAGTCAGCACAGCTTCCCAAGGGGCGTGCGGAGGTCAGGACCACTCTCAAGGTTGGCCTCCAACACATCTCCAATTCCTCTGTCCACCTGGCCCCCCTGAAAATGATGGTCACAGCAGGTGACAGTGCACCACCAAAAATTTAGCCAAGAAATAGTCCAGTTGTAGCTGCTGTGCCAAATATGGTGTGTGTACTCAGCAGATGAACAGTTTTAAATACGGGGCTGTGCGGCTGCTGATCTGATGAATGTGTTCTTTTCAAAGCCCATCAGGAAGGAGGAACAAAATGGGTTTGCATCCCACTGGATGACCAGTGATAGACATGTGTGGCCTTGGCATGAAACTATGCGAAGTGTTTCACTCTCTGTCACAATGTGGTCCAAAGAGGCGGGTATTCTGGCCGTCCTGACACTGGCCCACAGGTTTGACGGCGTCACGTTAATCCGACGTGAGCAGTAAGACATGGTTGGGATGCTCTCCAGATACCTGGGTAAAACTCATGCACCCTAGAGAGTAGGAGATATCCACAAAGATGCAGGAGTTGGCCACATTGGTTCAAATTTTAGGGGTCTGGAGGCATGGGGTGTTATGACCTGAATTGTGCATCCCCAGATCCATATGTTGAAGATCTAATCCCTACTGGGTGTGTATTTGGAGAAAGGGCCTTCGAGGAAGTAATTAAGGTTAAATGAGATCATAAGGTGGGACCCTATACCTTAATAGTACTGGTGTTCCTTTAAGAAGATGACGAACTGGCTGGGTGTGGTGGCTTACCCCCTAATCCCAGCTCTTTGGGAGGCTGAGGCAGGTGAATCATGAGGTCAGGAGTTCGAGACCAGCCTGGCCAATATGGTGAAACCCTATCTCTACTAAAAATACAAAAATTAGGCGTGGTGGCACATGCCTGTAATTCCAGCTACTCGGGAGGCTGAGGCAGAAGAATGGCTTGAACCTGGGAGGCGGAGGTTGCAGTGAGCCGAGATCACGCCACCGCACTCCAGCCTGGGCGACAGAGTCAAAAAAAAAAAAAAAAAAAGAAAGAAAAAAGAAGATGAAGAACTTTGGGAGGCCAAGGTGGGAGGATCCCTTGAAGCCAGGAGTTCAAGACCAGCCTGGGAAATATAATGAGACCTTGTCTCTACAAAAATTCAAAAAATAAGCTGGGCATGGTAGCACACACCTATAGGCCCAGCTACTCAGGAGGCTGAGGTGGGAGGATTGTTTGAGCCCAGGGATTCAAGGCTGCAGTGAACCGAGAACACCACTGCACTCCAGCCTTGACAATAGAGTGAGACCCTGTCTCTAAAAAGAAAAAAAATAGGCTGGGCGCAGTGGCTCACATCTGTAATCCCAGTACTTTGGGAGGCCGAGGTGGGCGGATCACCTGAGATCAGGAGTTTGAGACCAGCCTGGCCAACATGGAGAAACCCCATCTCTACTAAAAATACAAAAGAAATCAGCTGGGCTTGTTGGCGCGTGCCTGTAATCCCAGCTACTTGGGAGGCTGAGGCAGGAGAATCGCTTGAACCTGGGAGGCGGAAGTTGCGGTGAGCCAAGATGGTGCCATTGCACTCCAGCCTGGGCAACAGAGTGAGGCTCTGTCCCAAAACAAACAAACAAATAAATAAATAAAAGAAGAGGAAGAGACACCTGGTTCAGGCTTTCACTCGGCCTTTCCTGCTGGAATGGTTCTTACCCTGCGGGCGCAGGAACCAGCGTGGCCAGCTCCCACAGCACAAAGTTTCCAGTATTTGCGAAGTATTTGCGAAGCAAGAAGTGACCGTTGCCGGGGTTTGCGGACCCAGCGAACACATGGCAAGGGGCGGGCCTGGAAGGGACCCGCCCCCCGATTCCCTGACTCCATGCCTCAGTGAACACGCGGCAAGGCAGGCCTGGAAGGCTGCATTCCCCTGGCCCCCCGATTCCCTGACCTTACGCCCATTTTCTCCCAGTGGGCACGACGGTGTTTCAGTTTCCAGGGTGTCGGCATCAACTCCAGCCCTGGATTCCACCTCCTTTCCCCAGCATGTGTTACCGAAGCGAATGACAGAGATCCCTGCGGGGAGGCCCGGGGCGCCCTTCTCACATGCTGACCAGGGCATTGCAGGATCGGTGTTCACGCAGGCTCTGCTTCTTCCCCCGGTGATGGGTCCGGGTCTGAGAGCTGGATTCAAGTGGGGAAACTGGGGAGGGGATTGTTACTCCCCATTGGGGCTACTCCGTGAGGGCAGGGCCTGGCCTCCCAGTTCCTACTGCAGTCTGTGCCTGGCACACAGAGCCGAGGCTGGAGTGTGCAGAGGGGAGTAGATGGGGCCACTCTGGAAGGTCTCAGTGAGGGGCTCCCACTGACCCTGTGGGCACTGGGTGGAGGACAAGGGGGAGGTCTAAGCAGGGAAGCAGGCTCTGATTTGTGGTCTGGGAAGTTGGAGTGGGGAAGCTGAGGGGCAATGAGGCTCAGGCAGGGGCTGCGTGGGGGTGGTGCCTCCCAGACCCCTTCAAATGGGACCAGCTATGTCATATGTGGGGCCAGGTGCAAAACTGAAATTGCAGACCCCAGCTAGGGGTGGGGAGGTGAATCTCCCTTCCCATGGGCCGGCCACCCCAACCCACAGGTGGCCCCGAGGCGTCACACTCAACCTTAGAATTGGGAGTGGGCAAGAGGCCCCCACTCAGCCACCTGCTGAGCACAGCCTGGCACTGCCAGTCAGGCAGGGATGGCTGCTGCCTTCCTCATTACCTCCCGGACACTCCTGGGCACATACCTAACCCCAGTCCTCCTGGTGCAGGCCCCGGCTCTGGCTCCTGAGGGGCAGAAAGCAACAGTGGAAGGCAGGCCTCCCCCGCTGATGTGGTTCGTCCCCAGCCTGGGTGACATGCACCAGGGGTCATGGGACAAAGGTGGGGAGGGGAGCCCGGTGGCACTGGGGCACCAGTGGCAGGAAGTGCATGGCAAAGAACCTGACCCAGGAAGGCAGGAAGGGGCAGGAGTGCAGTGGAGGGTGGGACAGCTCAGGAGTCAAGGTGCCATGCTCCATTGTTTCATCAGACTTCACTTACAAAACATCTGTTGAAGATATAATTAAGAATAAGGAGACCACAGCAAAGCCTTAACCCCAAGTGCAGGCTCCTTCTGTGCGCTCGGCCCCTGGCAGCTGCCCTGGTTGCACGCCTGAGAAGCTGGCCCTGTCTGCAAGTCTGATGTTGGGCAAGGCCTTCAGCCCCTGTTGCAGCCACAGCGCCCTCCTGAGGCATGGGCGGGGGGTGCCGGCCAGCCTGGGAAGGAGCTGGGATAGACACCTGGGCTCGTCCTTCACACCTCCACGGAGATGTCTTCACCGTCTGAGCCGAGAACACCTGCCCAGAGTCTTGCTTTGGGAAGATATATTTGCATATCTGAAGTACCAGCTATAATAGAAAAGCCGCCGTGGAAACGTCTTCTTGGGGTGCCCCCGATCGCAATAACAGTCTGGGTGCACCATGACAGCTTTCGCTATGCACACAGTCACTTGGAAAGGTAAGCATATTTGAAAAGCGGGGTGGGCGGAGATAAGACGTATTTCCCAGCCTTTCAAACGCCCTTCATTCGTGCTTGCCGTCAGCTTCTGCCCTTCTCCTGCCTGGTCAGAAACGGTTCAGATGGGGATGGGACCCTCAGGGAGCGGGGTGTCAGGGGGTGCTTCTGGCCTCCTGGGAGAGGCCTGCAAGCAAGGACAGGGACCTTCCTTCCTGGCCCTGCGGCTCCTCCTGGAAGGTGAGAGAAGCTGGTGGGACCTGCCCACTCACTGTGGCCAGGCTGCTTCCAGCCACGGTGGGGGTTCGTGGTTATCGTGCCTCCGTTGAGAACCCCCTCTTCACATATGGCCTGGACATATGGTCCTCCATGCAGCCTCTGGAAAGAGGCAATCACCACTCCACTCTGCGGGGGTGGACAGTGTGGATCAGTGGCTTTGCCAAGGTCACAAAGGTGGATGGTTAATCCTGAGTTGGAGCCCAAGCTTTCGTCATTTGACAATCACTCCACATGGATGGTGTGCCCTGCTTTCAGGCTCTATTCCAGGCAGGGGGCTACTGCTGGAGTTTATACTTCCTGGGGAGAAAGACAATAAAGCCAGGGCCAAGCCATCTCAGAGCTGCCAAGTGAGGGTTCCGAGGCCAACAAAACAGTCACAGGGTATGGGGTGACCACGGAAGGGGACCAGGTCACATCAGGCTTCCCGAGGAGGACTCCAAGATGATAAGAGGGCGCCAGCCATGTTCAGAGCTGAGGATAGAGAGAACGTGCCAGGCAGAGGGGCTGGCAGGTGCCAAGGCCCTGGGGCAGGAGCAGGCTGAGCCTCTCCAAGGAATATAACAGAGCCCAGCATGGTAGAGTCAGACAGAGTGAGGGAGGGTGAGTGAGGTCCACAGGGGCAGGGATGCTCCCTAGGCTGGGTCCTGGGGACAGACAGGCAAATGGCCCAAGTTCCCTGCCCTTAAGGGAGGCCTGTTATCCAGTGCCACAGTAACTGTGTGACAGCCC
Organism: Homo sapiens; assembly: GCF_000001405.40. NCBI lineage: Eukaryota > Metazoa > Chordata > Mammalia > Primates > Hominidae > Homo > Homo sapiens. Next base: position 43,517,382 of record NC_000022.11, read on the forward strand.
CGTCTCCGTGGCACACAATGTGTTTAGGGCTCCCACATCTGGGGTCCGCGGGGTCAGTGAGGTGCTCTGCTGAGCCTGGCTGGCTGTTGCCTGACACAGGATGAATCAGTCAGGGTGACTGGGTGACTGGACTATGTCCCACTTCTCTCTCGCCCTTCGCGGACCTGCCTGGGTGTGCTTTCATGAATGACAAAGGGGCAAACCCAACGGTAAGTCGAGTCAGGCACTTGTTTTTTTTGGTTTTTGTTTGTTTGTTTGTTTTGTTTTTTTGAGACAGAGTCTCACTTATCTCTCAAGCTGGAGTGCGGTGGTGAGATCTTGGCTCACTGCAACCCCCGCCCCCTGGGGTCAAGCGATTCTCTTGCCTCAGCCTCCCGAGTAGCTACTATTACAGGCAAGCACCACAATGCCCAGCTAATTTTTGTATTTTTAGTAGAGACAGGGTTTTGCCATGTTGGCCAGGCTGGTCTGGAACTCCTGACCTCAAGTGATCCACCCACCGTGGCCTCCCAAAGTGCTGGGATTACAGGCGTGAACCACCGCGCCCTTTTTTTTTTTCTTTAAAAACAATCTTTGTATTTTGCCTGGCATGGTGAGTCATGCCCGTAATCCCAACACTTTGGGAGGCTGAGTCAGGAGGGTCTCTTGAGCTCAGGGGTTTGATACCAGCCTGGGCAACAGAGCGAAATGCTGCCTCTACAAAAAAATAAACAAAATTAGCTGGCCATGGTGTCATGTGCCTGTAGCCCTAGGAACTTGAGAGGCTGAGGTGGGAGTATTGCTTGAGCCTGGAAGGTTGAGGCTGCAGTGAGCTGGGATCATGCCAGTTCACTCCAGCCTGGGTAACAGAGGGAGACCCTGTCTCAAACAAACAAACAAACAAAAAAAACCGTTTTTTATTTTGAAATACTTTTCCTTTTGAGGAAGAGTTGTAAGGCTAATACAGGGAGTTCCTCCATACCCTTCAGCCAGTTTCCCCTGTATATTCATGATACATTTATCCAAACTAAGAAATCAACACCAGTACAACACTGTTAAATATAGTCTTTATTTGGATGTCAACAGTTTTTGACTAGTGTCCTTTTTCTGTTCCAGAATCCAATCCATGATCCCAAGCTGCCTTTAGTCATCATGGCTCCCAACTGTCTTCCAGTCTAAGATGGTTTCTCCGTATTTCCTTGCTTCCTCTGGCCTTGGAAGTTTTGAGGCGTGCTGGGTGAGTATTTTGCGGACTGTCCTTCAGTTTGTGTTTGTCTGCTGTTTTCTCATGATTAGTCCGGGGTTATGTATTTTTTAGAAAAATCCCACAGAGGGGAAGGTGCCATCTCAAGTCATCCATCTAGGGTAATGCGAGAGGAGCAGGATGCATTCCTGGCGATGTGCATCTTGATCCCTTGGTTAAAGTGACGTCTGCGGGTTTCTCCACTGTAAAGATACTGTTCTTCTTTATCCACATTCAATTTGTTAGAAGCGAGCCACTAGGTCCAGCTCCACTCAAGGAGAGAGGAGTTAAGCCTCTCCCCCTGGAGGGAGGAACATCAAAGGATTTGTGGGCATCTGTTAGAACCAGCACGGTAATTAATCAATATTTGGGGGAGATATTGTGAGGCCACGCCAATATCCCATTTCTCCTTCAAGTTTTGCCCACTCATTTTAGCAGCCGCCAGTCGATCTCGGCTTCAGCAATTGCCACTGTGGTGCTCACATGGTGACCTTCCATTTCCTCATTCCTTCTGCATTCATCCTTTGGAATTCTTCTGTAAGGAAGATTTGCCCCCTCTCTGCTGTTTATGCACTAATCTCAGTCTGAACTCATTATTTCATTCTTTAGGTTAGAAACTGATTCTATCATTATCTGTTTCGTTGCTTCAGTGGTTGCAGGTTTGTCCGCTGGAAGCTCTGGTAAATCAGCTCCTGATTCCTTTTGTTTATTAATTTCAGTTCCTTACTTTCAGGCACCAGAAGATGTTCTAGGCTCCTCTCATATTTACCTTGCCCTGGCCTTAGAATCAGTCATTTGTCCAGAGAGCCCTAGCTCCTTTTACTTAGAAACTGAGATCTAGGGCCAGGTGCGGTAGCTCACGCCTGTAATCCCAGCGCTTTGGGAGGCCAACGTGGGCAGATCACTTGAGGTCAGGAGTTCGAGACCAGCCTGGCCAACATGTCGAAACCCCGTCTCTACTAAAAATACAAAAATTAGCCAGGTGTGGTGGCACACACCCGTAATCCCAGCTACTCAAGAGGCTGAGGCAGGAGAGAATCACTTGAACCTGGGAGGCAGAAGTTGCAGTGAGCCAAGATTGTGCCACTGCACTCCAGCCTGGGTGACAGAGTGAGACTCCATCTCAAAAAAAAAAAAAGAAAAAAGATCTGGGTGGTAGGTGTGCTGGTTGCAACTTGTGGCATCACTGCTTCTAGGCCTTCTTAGACACAGAGCTAGGAAATATATTTAGTGTACTAACCCATTTATGCACACATATTTATCTATCTCTACCTGTATCCAACCATCCACCCATCTATCAACCTACTACCTATCATCTATCAATCATCTACCCCATCTCTCCATCCCTGTCTCTATCAATAAACATTAATTCATACTGATAGCCCCACCTCCCGTCCTGACCCAACAATGCAATCTCAGCAATGCAGCTGATTCTTGCTTTTCTACCTTGTTCATTTATAACCTGTTATTATTATTTGAGACAGGTTCTCACTCTGTCACCCAGACTGGAGTGCAGTGGTGTGATCTCAGCTCACCACAACCACCACCTCCTGGGCTCAAGCAATCCTCCTGCCCCAGCCTCCCAAGTAGCTGGGACTACAGGTGCATGCCACCACGCCTGGCTAATTTTTGTATTTTTTGTAGAGATGGGGTTCTGCCATGTTGCCCAGGCTGGTCTCAAACTCCTGGCTCAAGAGATCCATCTTCCTCGGCCTCCTAAAGTGCTGGGATTACAGGCGTGAGCCACTGTGCCCTGCTGCTCATTTGTAACTTTTTTCTTTGACAGTGGATGGTGAGAAGGCTGGCTCCCACAATTACAATTTACTTATGGATTTGTCCACCCCTAACATACCTACGGCTTATTGCTCATCTTACCCTTGTGAGAAGCACAGTTTCCAGCCAGAGTGCGTGTCCACGTGCAGGCTTTTCATTTGCAGCTTTATGAAGTTACAGTGGTCAGTTCCTCCCCCATCGCCTTTCAGTGTGGCTAATGTCATCCGTTTGCAATACAGTTGGATTATTTTGTCCCTGGTCTGCTTTCCATCCTAGGATCCCCTGACCTCCTGGCTGATTACTTATTTGCATAAAGTGACGTTCACTCTCCATCATGTACCGTCCTGTGGGTTTTGACAAATGCATAGAACCCAGTATCTATTATCATATGATCATGGAGGACAGTTGTTCCATCACCCTAAAAATCCCCTTTTTCAGTCCCTGTGTAGTCAAACTGTTTCCAAAATGGCTGTATGAGCTTGCAGTCCTACCAGCCATGAATGTGTATTCCTGCTGATTCATATCATCACCAGAATTGATCTTATTTTTAAAAATTGTAGCCATTTGAGTGTGCATGTGGGTGTTTCACCATGGTTTTAATTTCTATTTTCCTAATGACTAATGATAAGCACATCCTTCTTGTGCTTATCATTCTCATCTATTCATTTGTGGGAGTCTGTTTAGATCTTTCATCTCTTTTTAAAAAAATCAGGTTGTTTGTTTTCTTGCTGTTGAGTTTTAAGAGTTCTTTATATTCTGGATACAAGTTTTTTTTTTTTTTTTCTTCCAGTCTGTGGGTTCTCTTTTTACTCTTTTAACAGTGTCTTTCTTAGAGCAAAATTTAAAAATTCTGATATAGTTCAATTTATCCATTTCTTCTTTTATAGCTCGTGCTTTTGGTGTCATATCTAAAAATCCATTTCCCATCTCCAAACCCAAGGTCATGTAGATTTTCTCTCATGCTTTCTTTTAGGAGTTTTTTTTTAGTTTTGTGTTTTACATTTAGGTCTACAATGCCTTTTTTCTTTCTTTCTTTTTTTTTTTTTTTTTTTGGAGTCTTGCTCTGTCACAGGCTGGAGTGCAGTGGCATGATCTCAGCTCACTGCAACCTCCGCCTCCCAGTTTTAAGTGATTCTTCTGCCTCAGCCTCCCAAGTAGCTGGGACTACAGGTGTGCACCACTATGTCCAGCTAATTTTGTATTTTTAGTAGAGATGGGGTTTCACCATATTGGTCAGGCTGTAATTTTTGTATTTTTAATGGAGGTGGGGTTTTGTCATGTTGGCCAGGCTGGTCTCGAACTCCTGACCTCAGGTGATCCGCCTGCCTCGGCATCCCAAAGTGCTGGGATTACAGGTGTGAGCCACCGCACCCGGCCTAAAACTGAATATTTTAAATAATGTAGTTTGGCAACTTTGGAAGTAAGATCCCGTCCCCTCCCCTGTCCCCTCCCCCTTCAATGCCCTGAAGGATTTGTTGCTGCTGCTTGTTGTAGTTGGCTTTGTTTGTTTAGTGACTCTTCCATGTGAATTCTTTAAGGTCTGCATTCTCTGTCATGTGTGGCCACGGAAATTTCCTTTCAGTTATTAGCTTAGTGGTCAGCTGATGATGAGACAGAGGTTTCCTTAAACACTTGGAACCAATAAATTTTTCAGTCCCGCTCACACCTGTAATCCCAGCACTTTGAGAGGCTGAGGTGGGCGGATCACCATCCTGTAGACCATCCTGGCCAACATGGTGAAACCCCGTCTCCACTAAAAATACCAAAATTAGCCGGCCGTGGTGGCACACGCCTGTAATCCCAGCTACTCGGGAGGCTGAGGCAGGAGAATCGCTTGAACCCGGGGAGGTTGCAGTGAGCCGACATCACGTCACTGCACTCCAGCCTGGTGACAGAGTGAGACTCCGTCTCACATAAATAAATAAATAAATAAAATAAAAATAAAAAATTTCCCAGTCTCTGCTGAAATGCTCTGAGTGCCTGTCAGGACGCACCTTCAACATTCAGCCAGGTGGCTGGCCACTCTGCATCAGCCTTCACTTTCTGCTGGTGCAGCAAGTCAGCCAGAGGTGAGAGTGTAGGGCCTTTTTAATGTCTTTTCTGAGCATGCTCACAACCCCGGGCATACACACAGCACTGTCTACATTTGTAGCTTTCTAGATTCTCAAGAAATATGTTGGTGTTTTTTAAGGCCTCCACGTGACATTTTATTTCCCAGCTTTTCCTTTTAAGCTTTCTGAGTAGCCTTTTGATTACCCCAGCTGTTATCCATTGCCTTAGGCGGCCACCAAGTTAAAACACTTTCTTGTTTTTGTTTTTTGTTTTGTTTTTTTTTTTTTTTTTTTACAAATACTCCCTCCTTAACTCTGGGAGAAAGGTTTTTTACACCTGGGCAAGCTCCGAGTTAGGCCCAAAACAGCCAGCCTTGCAAAGGGCATCTTTCAGGGATCCACCATGCAGGCCAAATAGCGACCATATTTTGGTGAAATAGGCTTTGAAGTTGCTCCAGCTCTGTTCTGCTCTGTGTGGTGACTATCACACTGAACTGGGAATGCAGGCTGTTATTTTCTAAGGCTGTTGGGGACCTGGAGAGTGGCTGGTTGGACTAGGGCAGTTAAAATGCCACAAGTCGGCTGGGTGCAGTGGCTCACACCTGTAATCCCAGCACTTTGGGAGGCTGAGGCAGGTGGATTATGTCAGGGGTTCGAGACCAGCCTGGCCAACGTGGTGAAACCCCATCTCTACTAAAAATACAAAAACTAGCCGGGCACGATGGCGCATGCCATAGTCCCAGCTACTTGGGAGGCTGAGGCAGGAGAATCACTTGGACCCGGGAGGTGGAGGTTGCAGTGAGCTGAGATGGCACCACTGCACTCCAGCCTGGGTGACAGGGCAAGACTCCGTCTCAGAAAAAAAAAAAAAAAAAAAAGCCACAAGTCTTGCCAACGCTCAGCTACTTTTCTTGAATAAGTGCCCCTTCGGTTCCTGCAAGCCTTTGGATAATTTCTAGAGTTCTCAAAAAAGTTGATCCTGACCATTGTTGCCAGTTTTCTTGCTGCTGTTTTGGAGGAAAGGTCTTTTGGAGGGCCTTCCTCTGCCATTTCTGCTGATGTAACCCTTCATGATTCCCTTTTATCTCCTCTGTTCACTTGTTAATTTTACCTTTTGCAAGTCTATTTTTAAAAGTATATTTTTAGTGATTGCTCTATGGTTTATAAATACATTATAAAACAATCTGTCTTCAATTATATCATATTGCTTCACATGCAGTATAAGAAACTTTTAACAGTACACTCTGAATTCCTTCTGCCCATCCCTCGTGCTTGTTGTTGTACTTTTAAATGTGGTGTAAACACATAATACACTGTGACAGATTTTGCTTTAGATGGCTAACTTTTAAAATAATTTCAGGTATAAACATATTTTATTTTACCTTTGATTATATCACTTCTGATACTCTTCATTTCTTTGATAGATCCAAATTTCTGACTCAATCATATTCCTTCTGCCTGTAGAACTTCCTTTATTTATTTATTTATTTATTTATTTATTTTTTGAGACAGAGTCATGCTCTGTCACCCAGACTGGAGTGCAGTGGTGTGATCTCGGTTCACTGCAACCTCCACCTCCTGGGTTCAAGCAATTCTCCTGCCTCAGTCTCCCAAGTAGCTGGGAGTACAGGTGCCCACCATCATGCCTGGCTAATTTTTGTATTTTTAGTAGGGACGGGATTTCACCATGTTGGCCAGGCTCATCTCAAACTCCTGACCTCAAGTGATCCACCCGCCTTGGCCTCCCAAAGTGCTGGGATTACAGGTGTGAGCCACCGCACCCAGCCTAAAATTTATTTTATGGTAAGTATGCCATCAGTGAGTTCCTTCAGTTTTTGTGTGCCTAGAAAATCCAATGTATCTCTTTATTTTTGAAAGGTATTTTGCTGGTTACAAAATTTGAGCTTGATGATTTTCTTTCAGCACTCTGAAAATGTTATGCCATTGTCTGCTGGTTAGCATGGTTTCTGAGAAGTATGCTATAATTCTTATCCTTGTTCCTCTGTAGGTCATGTACATCTTTTTTCTCTAGCTGCCTTCTTTTTTTTTGCAGCAATTCGAATATGATATTCCTAGAGGTGCGTGTGTGTGTGTGTGTGTGTGTGTGTGTGTGTGTGTGTGTGTGTGTGTGTATCCTGCCAGGTTCTATATGCTTCTGTTCTCTGTTGTTTAGTGTTTGTAACTAATTTTGGAAAATCCTCAGCCATTATTTATTCAAATATTTCTTCTGCACCATGTTCTCTTTCTTTTCCTCCTGAATTATGTGCATGTTAGACTTTTTTTTTTTTTTTTTTTGACACAGAGTCTCACCGCTCTGTCACCCAGGCTGGAGTGCAGTGGTGCGATCTCGGCTCACTGTAACCTCTGCCTCCCGGGTTCAAGCAATTCTCCTGCCTCAGTCACCTGAGTAGCTGGGATTACAGGCACACACCACCATACCCCACTGATTTTTGTATTTTTAGTAGAGACGAGGTTTCACCATGTTGGTCTTGAACTCCTGACCTCATGATCTGCCCACCTCGGCCTCCCAAAGTGCTGGGATTACAGGCATGAGCCACTGTGCCCGGCCCCATATTAGACCATCTTATACTGTCCCACAGCTCTTATATATTCTGCGATTTTTCCCCACTCTTTTTCTCTCTGCATTTAGGTTTAGATACATGCTATTGACCTATCTTCAAGCTCACTCATTCTTTCCTTGGTTATGTAGAATCTACTGATGAGCGAGCCTGTCAAAGGCAATCTTCATCTTTATTACTGTGTTTTTTTTATTTCTAGCCTTTCTGATTCTTGCAGTTTTCATCTCTCTGCTGAAATTGGCTGGTCGTGTGTTGTCTTTCTTTTCCATTAGCGCTCTAACACATAAACCAGTTATTTAAACATTTTTCTAATGGTTCCAAAATCTGTCATGTCTGAGTCTGATTCTTGTGATTGCTTTGTCTTCTCAAACTGTTTTTATAATTGCCCTTGGTATACCTCAAAATTTTTTGTTGAAAGCCAGACATTTGTATAGCAGGGCCCAGCAAACTTGCTCTGTGGAGGATCAGATAGTAAATATTTTAGGCTTTGAGGTCCACATACATGCAGTCGGTTGCATTTCTTGTTCTTTTCTTCCTTCCTCTTTCTCCTCCTCCTTCTTCAACCCTTAAAAATGATGGACCCTCAAGGCTGCTGAACAGGTTCAGACTAATTGTACTGACTCAGCCTCAGGAAGTCAGGAAAGCTTCGTGGAAGAGGTGGCTTTGAGAGTTTCGAAGGAATACCCGGCATTTCCTGAGGAGTAGGTGGAAGAAACTGCTGGTGCCAAGTGCAAAGATATGTAAGAACAAGCATGGGGAAGCTGAAGTCCAGCACACAGGATGGGATCTGGGCACCCAGGTCGGGCCTCCAATGCTGAGGCAGGGCACATGGGCAGGGCATCCATCTGCCCCTCACCACTAAGCATGCAACCCTCCATCATGGTGGGGATTTTAATAGGTTACTTTGCAAATTTGGGGACACACTTTCAATTTCTGGGGTTGGAATAACAGCCGGCAGATGCCAAGCCTTCTTTCCAGAGCTCATTGAAAGCTCAGTGTCACCTGATTTGTTTTTACAGGGGAGACTGCATTTTAAAACTGTTATGTCAGAGTGTGGTGCCAGCAGTGCTGGTGGGACATGCATGGGAAGATCCAGAACTTGTTTTGCCAGAAGCTGGGAGATGTGGCCAAGAGAATGTGGGTCTGACCCCACAGCCACCTCCTAGTGCTATGGGGAGTCCAGCACTCACAGACTCCATCCACAGAGAAGCCCCCAACACCAGAGTTGCTCCCCAACTTGCCAGCACTCCCTGCAGAACCTGGTCAGCTTTCCTTCTGGGAAAGGGACCCAGAGGCTGTGCCCTGCCAGCATTAAAGCACCTGCTGTGTGCCAGGCTGGGGGCGCAGGTCAGTGTTCTCACCCTATGGGTGGAGTCTGGGCCCAGCAGTGGGTGCAGAAGGGAGTGACTCTCTCTGCCAAGCGGTGACAGCATCGAACGGGGAGCTCAGCCTCTGCCCAGGGGTTACAGGAGGATTGGAGCTGGGCCTCAGAGGAAGAGTACGCGGGCTGTGCAGATGAGAACAGAAGTAGTCCCAGAAGGAGGAGCCAGCAGGAGCCAGGGCTTGGAGGCAGGGATGTGGGCACAGGGCTGAGTGAGTCCTGGTGCTGCCTGCAGGGGAGCCTGCCCGCCCACCTTCAGGGCCTCTGACACTGGCTTGGGCTGTTACTCACTGTCTGGGCCAAATCCTGCAAGCTGTGAGACTCTGGAAAACTTCCGGTACCTCAGTTTCCTCATCTGTCAAATGGGGATGCTCACAGGAGTCTAAATGATGATGTGTGTGAAGCGCTGGGTTTGAGTCCCACACACCTGTGCTTACTGGGTGCTGGCACTGCCCTGTCCCAGCCTGAGCCCCGCACACCTGTGCTCACTGGGCGCTGATACTGCCCTGTCCCAGCCTGAGCCCCACACACCTGTGCTCACTGGGCGCTGATACTGTCCTGTACCATCCTGAGTCCTGCACACCTGTGCTCACTGGGTGCTGATACTGCCCTGTCCCAGCCTGAGTCCCGCACACCTGTGCTCACTGGCTGCTGATACTGCCCTGTCCCGGCCTGAGTCCCGCACACCTGTGCTCACTGACTGCTGGCACTGGCCTGTCCTCAGCCTGAGTCTGGCATGCCTGTGTTCACTGGGAGCTGACACTGCCCTGCCTCTGGCCGGAGTCTCAGGCTGGTGCCCCTGGCCCTCACAGGCCTTCCTTATTCTGGGCTGAAGCCTCTCTCATGGGAACATCTGCTGCCCACAGGCCCAGGTCCCACAACAAAGGTGACACAAGTGTGGTCCCACCATTTCTACAGATGAGGACGCTGAAGGGATGGGACCTGGTACAAAGTCACATGGAGGAGCAGCTGGGGTCCAGGGCGTCTCTGTCCCGTAATCACTGCATGGCCCTGTTGATGTGCCTACTCAGGGTCCCCTTCCCCTTCCCTGAACTTGGGGCTGCCTGAGCACCCCGTTCCCCCTGCAGCGGTCCAGCCTGAAATGAGGAGGAAACTAAGGACAGATGGAAACAAAGGTGACCCCAGGAAACATTTTCCAGGAAATAGAAGGCCTGCGCGGGCTGGGCGGGAGCCTGTCCTCCCAATCACACCCATCCAATGCGCGGCTCTGCCACTCAGGGAGAGATCTGCTCACCTCAGGGTGTGGCCTCATTTGGACCCTGTGCAGGGGCAGGGAAGGGCGTTTTGGTGGGCAAGGCCTGGGGCCCAGGTGGAGGGGAGGTGCTCCCCCCACACCCCATATCCTGCCTGCTGCTCCCCAGTTCCTTGGAGAACCTTCCAGAAGGTGGCAAACGCTGCCTGAGTCTCTCAGCTGAGTCACAGTCCATGAAAGCGGAGTGACGATTTTCAAACTTCTCTTGTCAAACCTGTCAGTTCCAAGGAAGGGCCCTCTCAGAACTGTCCCTGGTGGGGGTTACGGCCAGTGGCCACTAGGCTTGGGCTCAGGAAGGCGGAGGGAGGCCCAAAGCTCCAGGGGGTCTCACTCAGGCGTGAGTTGCTCTTCATGGAGTCAGGCTGGCTGGCATCCCTGAGCAAGACAGCGATGGGGCGGTCAGTGCCTGTGCCTCTAGGAGCAGAGACATGGCCACCCTGACTGCAGCAGGGGGCTCAGATGTCCTCTGATCCAGGACCCAGGAAGCTGGGGGGTCAAAGGAGGCAGCAGTCCTTGGGTAATGGGGTGCAGGGCCCCAACTGCTCTGGACTGGAGGAGACACCTGGCAGGGGCCATGAACAAAACCTCCGGAAAGTCCAAGCTTTTAAGAATGTTAGCGCAGAGGCTCATGCCTGCAATCCCAGCACTTTGGAAGGCTGAGGTGGGTGGGTCACCTGAGGTCAGGAGTTCGAGACCAGCCTGGCCAACATGGCGAAACCCTGTCTCTATTAAAAATACAAAAATTAGCCGGGTGTGGTGGGTGCCTGTAATCCCGGCTACTCGGGAGGCTGAGGCAGGAGAATTGCTTGAACCCAGGGGGCGGAGGTTGCAGTGAGCCGATAGCGCCACTTCACTCCAGCCTGGGCAAAAGAGCCAAACTCCGTGTAAAAAAAAAAGTTAGCATTAGTAATTATTTTATAGTGTCAAGAATCATTCTTGCAAAGATTATTTGTTCAGACTAACAAGTGAGGGTGCCCAAGACATAGTGGTAGCACCTGGCACCTGGAGAGCAAGCATCCTATGCCAGAACCCAGGGCAGCTGTGCCTACCCCCGACCCAGAGACAGGCGGGCTGGGCTTGGGCTTGAGTTTTGTTTTTTTTGAAAATTCATGAAACCCCCAAATTATAGGATTTTATTAGCCTTGAAACAGGCCCTGTGGCTGTCGTCCCGCTGGGCACACAGCAGGGGTGTCTACTGGAGGAATGCCCGGAGGAAGTCGTTGTAGGAGATTTTTGAAGACAGCGTCTTATCGTAATACTCCAGAATATGGAAGAACTCTTCCTCAGAGAGGTTGATGCTGTACTGTCTCAGGACCTGGAAGACAGAGAAAAGGGGCCTCTGAGGCTTGTTTGGTGCCCTAGGTTAAGGAGGCAGGCTGCCAGGAAGGGGCTGGGGGACACATCCACCTGATCCCCAACCCCACTTCCGATGTCAGCCTCCCATCTGTGCGCTCTCTCTATGCCCTCTCAACCTCTGCCCAAACAGGAAGCAGCCTCCAAGGGCAGCCCTGTGTGCATCTGGGTGTGAAACTGGAGCAGACAGGAGGTTGATCACCTTTGCCTCCCTGAGGGGCTGAAGGCTGGTCAACGTATTCAGACAAGGCTGATGATCAGAGAGGTGGGGGCTCAAGGGGAGACCTGGCCATGCAGCCCTAACTTGGGGCAGAGCCTCAGGGTGCGCCCAGGCAGGGGAGGGCAGGGCCAGTGGGTGCTGAGTGCAGAGAGTTGCTGTGATAAGACCGTAACAGAGCCTGGAGCAGAGCCTGCTGGTGGTAAACCCAATACTGACTGCCCCTTCCTCTTCAGTTATAGAACCTGACTCTCTCCCAGCTCCTCTGTATCCAGCTAACCGGGAACATGTCTCAGCCTCTCTTGCAGCTAGGTATGTTCTGGCCTGAGAAGCTAAGTAAGAATGTTATGTAGAACATCCAGGAAGCCTCCTTTAAAGGAGAGGGGCATGCCCTTTTCTCTCCTGTTTTTCCACCTGCTGCCTGGAATATGGCTGTGATGCTGGGGCTCCAGCAGCCACCTTGGATCATGAGGTGGCCTAGAGGAAGGAAGCCAGGAGTTGAGAACAGCAGAGCAAAAATGTGGTCCCTGATGATTGTCCAGCCACCACACCAGCTCTGACCTTCCTACCTCTGGACTTCTTTTATGTGGGAGTGAAATAAACTTTCACCTTAAGCTGCTATTTTCCCCGCCCCATTATGTGAAGCTGAAACAAATCCTGACAGACCCTCATAGTATATAAAGATGAGGCCATACATTTCCTATCCACATTTGCGTTATAACTTGTTTCTAGGAGGAGACTGGAAAGCAGGGCTAGATGGCCCAGAGGTCCTATGGGGCTGAGGTCAGCAGGCCTGGCCATTGGGCCCCATGGGATGAAGGCAGAAAAGGAAGCTGAGCCTGGTGTCTGAGACGGCCCCTCAATTACGCCATCTGATCTGTGACTCTGTGGAGGGCAAGGTTTCTTTTGCCACCTTCCCAGCACCACGCCCGAATTCCTGGGAAGTTGCCGGAAGGGAATAACAGAACCTGCCCTACTTCCTTCCTTTCTTTGCATGAGGGATAGGGAGAATCCCTGACTGAGATTTATACTTAACCCCGAAGGAAAGAGGAACGTGAATGTGGATTGGAAAACCACTGCGGGGTGTTTGTTAGGCTCTGGGGGTGGGACATGGAGGGCACCCAGGGACATCAGGGCAGATGCCCAATGGTGGAGCCCCGCTGTGTACTGCAGGGGCAGGGCTCACTTTGCAGGCCCCTTGGAAGGTCCAACATAGGTCAGAGATGCTCTTCAGAGCCTGCAGGAGAGCCCAGGTGTGGGGAGAGGGCTCGGAGCAGCAGCAGCAGTGATGGCAGTGCCTTAAGGAACCTGGGCTCAGGCACTGACCCTGAGGAGCTGGCGATGCAGGTATGGGGCATCCACGCAGGGCTCCAGCAACCTTTGGGAAGGAGAACCCGGGGTCTGAAGGTGAGGCGAGTGGACCCAGGACTGGATAACTTGGGGGTCCCAGGGAAGTGAGATCTGAAGCAGCCAGGTCACACCGGGCCTTCGGCAGCAGGTAGAGGGCTCCCCGTGGGAAGTTTCTGGCCGCTGGCATTTGGCAGCTGCTCCCTGCAGAGGCACTGGGCGCAGAGCTGTGCTCACCGTCCTGAAATCTGCGACGCTTAGCAGCCCTGTTCCAGCCTCATCATAGCTTTTGAACGTGCGCCGCATTGGCCTCCAGCAGTGCACAATTTTGGGCTGAATACGCAGCAGAGCAGAGTAAAAAGATGGCGTCTCCGCGCCGGCTTCTTTCTAGACACAAGACAAGAAGGGGTGAGGAGGGAGCTTTTGAACACGAGGGTTGGGGTGGGCTCCTCCTCGCCTCGCCCCCGCCTCGCCCAGCCCTGCTCCGGCTTCACCTCCCAACCTGCTCCGCTGGCTCTGAATCGAGGAGGGAGCCTGCCAGAACTCGTCACAAAGATGCGCACCCGCCCCCTGACCATTGTGTGGGCTGTTTAAAAACGTGTATTACATCAGCCATCTCATTTACACCTCCCCACTGGCAACCCGGAAAGAAGGCAGGTCTCTATCCCCACTTCACAGATTAGGAAGTGGAGACTCGGGGAGGTAAAGTGACTTGGGCTTTGACCCCAACACACTTCAGGCCACACCACCTCCCAGGGAATGCAACGAGATGGCCGGGCAGATATGGGCCAATTTGAAAATAGTTTGAGGAAAAAAAGAGATTTCAGTCTGTGTTTTCTAGTAAGTTATTATAATGAACAGTGTTAAAAAAAATTCACAAGGTTGTAATTATATCTAGTAATTAGAACACTACACTGTGATTACTTCATTTAGGTGCTATTAGATTGAAAACAAGACATTTGAACATGATTTAGCCCCAATGTGTTTGAATATCACAAAGGTGAACGGTAGGCAACAATGCGTAACACATCTTGGGAAAGTTGAATTTTAACATAACACTATGTAAGACAGATGAGCACAGGGTTAAGCTGCTTTCATTTTTTTTTTACATCATTTGGCACGTATGATGTGTGCTCCCCAGGTACCCAAGACTTCATGAGCTGCCAATTTGCCCAATCAGCTGATCCACAGGTGGGGAAGAGAGGGTGTGGGGCTCACATGACCTCCCACACCACACATCACAGGGCAGGACCACCAGCCCGGCCAGAGCCCCCACCTCTGACCCACCTTGCAGGGAGGGGCGGCACCCAAGCTGCCTTCCCCCGAGGACATCTTTCTGCTGCCTAATGGGGTGGAGAAAGCTCCCAAATCACCAGAAAATGAAGTCCCCTTTTTAGCTCCTCTGCAGGGAGACATTTGACCTGACCTCCACACTTACATGGTGGTGGCCTTGGCAGCTGCCAGATGGGACAAGGGCTGTGACCAGGACCATGTCAGGAGCCTACTCTCTCCTGAAAAGCCTTCAATCTCAATCCACTCCGGTCTGGTGCAGGGATTTGAGGAGTGGGGGCGGGAGAACTCTTCGGAACCACAGAGTGGTGCCTTGGGAGGGGCGGGGGGAGAGTGCCACAGTCTCTGTGGGCTGACCCGCAGCACCTAGCATGACCCCACTCTGACCCCAGCTTTGCGGGGTTGCTGAGGACGGACAGTGCAGCTGGAAGCTGGGAACTGGGGTGGCCCCTTTCACTGGGGAGGGCTCAGAAGGCGGCACTGGTGTGCTCTTCCGCAGAAGCCCGTGCACGTCCTAGCAAGGTCTTAGAGCCTCCACAGATCTCCAGAAGGAGAAACTGAGGCCCAGGGAGGCGGAGGAAGGATGGAATTGATGGCGGCCTTGCTGCCACGTGTCTCCATGTTCTCCACGTTCGTGGCTCCCGTGAAGATGGAATGGGGACAGTCTTTTCTCTGTGCACAGAAGAACTGAGCTGGCAGAACTGTCTAAAGTCTTTTTTTTTTTTTTTATTGTAAACTTGGTCTAAGCTTTTGATACTAGCTCCTGTTTGTCTAAACTAGAAGCTAGGCTAAGATGGAACCTGATTTTGCACAAAATTGCAAAACTAGCTGTGAAGAAACTTTCTGCATGGCATCTACTTAACTGTGGCTGGCTTAACCCACTCTCCATTCCCTAGAGTCTCACCACTGTGGCCCAGGCAGGTGTGGCCCTTGGGTGGGGTGAGTGGGAGCGGGGCCAGGTGGGGGGTGGGGCCAGGGCCAGGGCTTTCAGCCCGACACTTCTGGTCCCTCCATCTGAGTCATAAGGTGGTCGGAATCAGCTGTGTTTGTTCCCCAAATCGACAGCACCAGATGTACTTGTACTTGTTATTTAATTCAGCGTAACTCAATTCAACGTTAATTCAGTACTAAAAACATTTTTTGGCTTCATGTTTTGGAAGGGCTGGAGCTGACGCCATGATGGCACTGGGTGTGGGTTTCAATTGTGGAACTGTAAGTGGCTGAGAACCAAAGGTAAAAATCTGGAAGAACTGTGTACCCTCCAGCTGCCCTTTAAGTGGCTTTAGGTTTTCATTCCTCTTCAAAGAAACAGAGAAAACTGTAGACAATGCATGGTGGGTGTAGTTTCCGCCAAAAATGATGACGAGAGACTCCATCCACCACACACACTCAGAGGAAAGGGCCTGGCCCCATCTCAAATGGCTGGTGGATGAAGACCCTTTTAGTTCCAATGTTGACCAGTGCTGTGACCCACCCCACCCCTCACTTTGCCTTTTGGGTCACCTGAGCAGGCACTGCCTCCAGGGCACTGTATGACACCTTGGTCACACAGACGCCTGGGAAGAGCCACCATAACCAGGTGTCTGCCACCTGAACAGTTGGAAAACCTGGGATCAAGGCTACTGGTTCCCATTCTGGGGTCTCCAGACCCTTATAGGGTTCTAAAAGGAGAGGAAGAAAATCTTAAATTACTTTCAAGAAAATACATTTCTGAGCTGTTTTCAATATCCCCAAAGCCTAGTAGAGGCCTTGTCTTTACCGCAGCCCTTGCCTCCCAGGTGCGAGCCCCCAGCACACAGGCTGTGGGCTTTTTGCCCCCTTCGACAGACCCTGGCGTCTCATGCTGACCTGACAACTGCCTGGCCCTCTTGAAGTAACGGAGCAAATGGGGTGGCTAAGTATTGCTCACGTTATCACATGCGTATAGAGATCATCTGAGTAGGGTCTATGGGGCAGGTGGCAGCAAGGCCGGGGACATTTCACAGATGAGTCCTGGCTGGAAGCAGGACTGGGCTGGGCTGGGCTCTGGCCTCCTGGAGCCTCTGAGTCCACCTTTTCTGTGAAGCTAGGTGATCCGCAAGTGCGACAAATTAACAAAAACAAGGCTGGGTGCGGTGGCTCATGCCTGTAATCACAGAACTTTGGGAAGCTGAGGTGGGTGGATTGCTTGAGCCCAGGAGTTCAAGACCAGCCTGGGCAACATGGCAAAACTCTGTGCTATGGTTTGACTCTGTGTCTCCACCCAAATCTCTTCTCAAATTGTAATCACCAGTTGTCAAGGGAGGGACCTGGTGGGAGGTGATTGGATCATGGGGGAGGTTCCCCCTTGCTGTTCTTGTGAGAGTGAGTGAGTTCTCATGAGAGCTGATGATTTTAAAAGTATTTGGCAGTTCCCACTTCACTCTCTCTCTCACCTGGCACCATGTAAGACGTGCTTGCCTCCCCCTTCACCTTCTGCCATGATTGTAAGTTTCCTGAGGCCTCCCCAGCCATGTGGAACTGTGAGTCAATTGAACCTCTTTCTTTTATAAATTACCCAGTCTCAGGTAGTATCTTTATAGCAGTGTGAAAATGGACTAATACATCCCATCTCCACAAAAATACAAAAATTAGCTGGATATGGCAGCTTGTGCCTGTGGTCCTAGTTAGTTGGGATGCTGAAGCAGGAGGACCACCTAAGCTGGGAGTTTGAGGCTGCAGTGAACCGTGAACCACTGTTCTCCAGTCTGGGCAATAGAGTAAGACCCTGTCTTGAAAAAAATAAAAATGAAAGCGCCCCTTTCCACCTGGCCCCACATTTCCTGCAGGTGGGCAACATACCATCTTGTGTGCATTCTGGATCTTCATCCTGTGCATCAGTGAGCTTTCCTTTGCTTTTAGCAGGAGGACACAGCTCTGAATGAAGTCACAGTATGCAAATTTCCCGTTGCTCTTTAAGTCGTATTTTATAATGAGCTGCTGACACTCCTCTTTGCTTATGTCCAGGTTGAATTTCTCCACAAGAGCTACAGAAAAAAATGGCAGTTCAATTGGTGGCGATTCATTCATTCATTCATTCTTCACTCATTCATTCAACACTTGCTGAGACACCTTCTCTGCTTCAGGCCCTGGCTTGGTCCTCACATCAAAGAACTCACGGTTGGTGGCTGGACATATGTGGAGACAGACATGTGACAAACTAAGTGCCGCAGGGAGGGGGACCCTGAGTCCCGCTGGCCCACACTGTCCTGGGTTTGCATGGTCACAGCTTATGGACAGAGACTATGGGAGCTATGACCAAAACACAGAGAGGGAGGTAAGGGGGTGTTCCCCGCCGTGTCAGGGCAGAGTCAGGTGTGTGAGGAGCAGGGGAAGGTTCCCTGAGCTCATAGTGAGCCTGGCTGGGGCTGGACTGTGGGGATGGAATTCAGACTCAGCCCTATGACCAAGTATTTCCTAACGGCACCAGAGACAGGTTCTCTAGTGTCTGTTATGCAAGGCAAATTCTCGCTTTAAGTTTCCATTCCATTGATGATCTAAAAATATATACAACTTATTCTGGATACAGGGACCACCTTTAGGAGATAACAGCTGTGCAGCCTCAGGGGCTGAGTCCAGCTTTCTGATCAGGCTCATGTGGATGCTCCACGGGGAGTGTTGCTGGTGGCCGAGAGGCTGGCCCACCGGAACCTCTGAAGAGCAAGGCTCGCCCCACGCTTGGCACTCATCCTCATGCCGCATTCTCCTGCCAGTTGTAAAGACAACACTTCTCTGGGAGTGACAACTCATAATTGAAGGAGGCTTATGTAAGATAAGATTTGAGTTGAAGTTTCATAGACTAGACTTTGTTTTGACATCCTGAAAGAACAGAATGTCAGGGAGTGGAATGCTGTGTGAGTTGTTGAGGCAAATGAGGAAGGCCAGTGGAAGCAGACTGCAGGCAAACGACACCTGCATGCCAAGCCAGGCCAAGAGAGGCTGTTGCACGTTCTAGAAGCAGAGATTTCTTTGCCCTTGCACACAGGGAAGCAGCAGCAGGTCACGGTGCCTGTCAGGACATAGCGGGGGCCCATGGAACCCCAAGGAACTGGCCCATACATGCCTCTGATGCTCTGACTCACAGAAGGCCATCAGCAGTGAGGAGAAAATACAGAATGACTTTTGGAAAGCAATCGGCTTTTTTTTACAGTATTGAATTTTGGATGCATGACTAACATCTGACAAGCCTATCATAATAACTGAGTGGGGACTTAAATGAGTTCATGGTTGAAAAGAAAAAGCCAGCAGTAGCAATAAGGACAGTAACACAGTGAAGGTTTATCACTCTCAAAATCAAAGAATTAACTAAAAAAAAAAGGGAACGCCAATATGTGTGACAACCAACATGCGTGTTTTGGCTTCAGCAAAACGTTACATTAAATCAATGAACAACATTTGAATATTACTGATTTCAGATTTTTTATACTTAATTTACAAGTGTTTTTTAATAGGCTCTAACTTAAAGAGTTTACACCTGGTTTCATTTGTGCATTTTAAGGTCATGATTATGATAAAAGTAATTTATATTAATATTGGAGGCTCTCAAAGAAAACATTTTCCTTTAAAAGGAGTCTGTATATTAGTCATGTGTTGGGGGAGCTAAAAAGCCAAGGAGTGACATGGTCAGATGTATTTTCCTGTAATGTAAAATGTTGAATAAACAAGATGTAACTGGGCCGGGTGTGTTGGGTCACACCTGATCCTAGCACTCTGGGAGGCTGAGGTGGGCAGATCTCTTGAGATCAGGAGTTTGAGACCAGCCTGGCCAACATGGTGAAACCCGTCTGTACCAAAAAATACAAAAACATTCAGGCATGGTGATGCATGCCTGTAATCCCAGCTACTTGGGAGGCTGAAGTGGGAGAATCACTTGAACCTGGAAGACGGAGGCTGCAGTGAGCTGAGATCATACCACTGTACTCCAGCCTGTGTGACAGTAAGACCCTGTTTCAAAAACAAACAAACAAACAAAAAACCAAAAAACAACAAAACAACAAAAAACAAAAAAACCAAGATGCAATATTTACTGGAAGTATAAATCCCACTGGTTTAATTTTAAAAGTTTACCAAAGTGATACATGCTGAAAAACGAAACAACATCAAAGAGTGAATGTTGATGGGAATGGAGCCCCAGGAGTGTCCCCTTCATCCCGCCCTCCTCCACCTTTTCCATTTCCTTCTGCAGTCAGAGTCTGTGAACATTCACACTCTGCCCAGGGTGGCAACCACTGTGATTTCTAAAGCTCAGAGTTAGTGCAGCGCTGACTTTACCATGCAGATGGGCCCCCTGCTGGGAGGGCCGGGTAGTCGGAATCCTCCTCCATGGGGACCTTTGTATAGTAAGCTGCACAGCCCACCCAGAAGTTCCCACCAGTTTCCTGTTCTGCTGCTCCCTGGCCTCCACCCGGGGTGTGGCTTTGTACCCAGTGGGAACAGCCTCTTGCCACAGGGGCTGACCACATATTACCAAGCAGATAGAATCTGAACGAACCCAGGAAATCGGAGGCGTTGATGTCCCCCTGTCTGGCCACGTCCTTCTCCTTGCATTCTTTCAGGAGCTGGCGCCAGCAGCCCTGGATTCTCTTCCGGAGCCTGCTCTCTATGGGATCACAGTTCTGCAAGGGTGGAGTGCCCGGGATCACGGTGGTGCTCGCTGGAGTCTAGCAGGGAAGAAAAGAAAAGGCTCTTTTCACTTAAGATTTAAAACGGAAGTCATCAAAAATACCTCAATACCTCCAGTTTTGAGGTTCACAATTTTAGAGGCAGAATTAGCCCAGAAATAAAATGAAGAATAAAACATAGATGGTGATTTTACAATGTAGCTTTTATTTCCATTGGTGGGCTATATGTACTTATGCCAAGCCATAATAACCAAAATAATTTTGGAAATAGCCATGTAGCCAAGGTTCAAATCTACACAGATGAGATGTAAACATATTTCTGCTGTGTGTGTGTGTGTGTGAGAAGTGACAACGACAAATTTTTTCACTAGCGGAAGAGTCTTATCCAAGAAAGGGATTTACTTGTCCTGGGCACAAGACATCCAATCCGTAAACATTCACAGAATATCTGTTATTTAGACATTATGTGGATCAAGTACGAGGCTGTTCTTTGCTTTATTGTATTTCCTATTTAAAAACAAGGGAGTGGCTCTAATCTAGCCCAGGTTTTTTTTCCTGAAGTCCCCGTTGACAAGTGGTTATCTAAATTAGTAACTTATGCAATTCCATTGGATTCCTGGTTTTTCTCTCAAACCTCAGAGCCTCCTGCATCTCAGTTGATAATTAGGTCCTTCTTCCAGTTGCTCAGCCTGAACCCTTAGAAGTCTTCCTTGACTCTCCCTCACCCTCTCCATCCCACATCTGATCCCTCAGGAAATCCTGTTGGCTCTACCTTGATGATACATCCAGAGTCTCACCAGCACCCCATCCCAAGCCACCATCGCCTCTGCTAGACCTCCTCACCGACCCACACCCCCAGCATCCAGAGTGTTTTTTGTTTTTTTGTTTTTTTTTTTGTTTTGAAATGGAGTCTTGCTCTGTCGCCAGGCTGGAGTGCAGTGGTGCAATCTCGGCTCACTGCAACCTCCGCTTCCCAGGTTCACGCCATTCTCCTGCCTCAGCCTCCCAAGTAGCTGGGACTACAGGCGCCCACCACCATGCCTGGCTAATTTTTGTATTTTCAGTAGAGATGGGGTTTCCCCATGTTGGCCAGGATGGTATCGATCTCTTGACCTCATGATCCACCTGCCTCGGCTTCCCAAAGTGCTGGGAGTACAGGTGTGAGCCACTGCACCCGGCTCCAGAGTGGTCTTTAAAGAGTCCCTCAGATTATGTCACTTTGCTGCTTAAAAATAAGCAAAGGCTCCATACCCCTTGAGTGAATGCCAAAGTCCTCATCATGGCCTCCAGGCCTCCAGCCTCCTACTGCTGCTGTAACAGATTTCCGTGAATTTAGTGGCTTAAAACAACACCAACTTATTATCTTACAGTTCTGGAGGTCCAAAGTCTGAACTGGGTCTCATTGAGCTAAAATCAAGGTGCCCAGTGGCTCAAGGGGAGAATCCATTTTCTTGCCTTTTCAATTTCCAGAGGCTTCTCACAATCCTTGGTTTGTGGCCCCCTCCTCTCTCTCCAAAGCCAGCAGTGTTAGGTGGAATCTTTCTCAGATTGCATCTCTCTAGCCCTGAGCCTTCTGCCTCTGGATTCCCAGTTAAAGACCCATGTGATTACCCTGAGCCCACCTGCTTACTCCAGGATACTCTCCCCAAAGCCAGCTGATTAGCAACTTCAGTTCTGTTTGCAACCTTAACTTCCCTGGCCATGTAAGACAACATAGTCACAGCTTCCAAGGATTAGGACACAGGCATCTTTGGGGTGCTCCTGACCCCTCTTCCCTCTGCTCTACTTACCGCCTTTTAATGTAATAAACACTTATGCATACTGCTTTTCTTGCCTATTACCCCTAAAAGAACACAAACTCCACAAGAGCAGGAACCTTAGTTCATTCTCAGCTATAGAAAATACCCAGCACACAGTAGGTGTGCAATAAACTTGCATGGAGTTAATGAGAATGGACTAGCCAAGGTCAAGGTCACGCATAGTGATGGTGGCTTCATGTGCATGGTGTGGCATTCTCTCAACCACCCTGTCCTGATGACATTGCCATCCCTTTCTGCAGACAAAAAAAGAGGCTTGGCAAGCCTGGGCACCTTCCTCCGTCCCAGGCCTGGGGTGGCTCAGCCAGGGCTCCAGGCTGTGCAATTTGACAGGCCTGGGCTTAAAATCAGGTCGCTCCACGTCTGAGGGACCAAGATCACATGAGAATGCCTCTTAGAGCCTCACTGTGTTCAACTGGAAAATGGGTATAACTTGCTTCAAGGGACGGTGGCCCGCAGTTGACCACAGGGCTTTGCCTTCTGCACAGAGTTGCCGGCAGCACCACTGCACTGCGGACAGGTGCCTCCCGCCCTGCCTCTCGCTCCCTTTCCCACCTTGCACCCGCTCTTGCCTCCTTTCCATCCCACTCCTCCACCGTTCCTATCCCCACGTCTGCCCCCCTCCCAGGGAATGGATGCTAAGGACCTGCCAGTGGGATCCTTGCATGTGCCCCCACCCCAGACTCACCCGTCTTCTCAGCCACTCAACCCTGGGCCATAGTAGGGCCCCCAAAGTCCCCCCAGTGGGATTTGTGGATGTGGCATGAGGAGGCCTGGGACACCTGGCAGGATGGAGAACTCACACAGGGGTGGCTCTGCGACTTTGACCCTGGTCTCAGCTCCTGAGTGGGCAATGAGAGGGCAGATCTGGTGCCTTCCGAGACGTCAGGGACACTGCTCCCTCTCTGGGCCACGGCCGAGTCACCAGTGGCCATTGGTGTGGCTGCTGTCTCGGAACTGAACCTGCTCAGGAAGTCCGGGTATTTCAGCCTCCCCTTGGCATTGACTGGCATCTCGTTCCAGAGTCTGTCAAACTGGAGAAGGAGCAGAAGTCATTTCCCAGGTGTCAGTGCAAACACAGGCAGCGTCGCACCTGTGCCAGCGAGAAGTGGGACAGGCCGGCCTCGCAGGAGGTGAGCACTCACGTGACTGGTGAAGAAGAAAATTAAAAAAATAAAACGCCCATTTGGCCTTCGCTCGGCGGAGGCCTCAGGAAGACTCTGGAAAAGCAAAGACAAGAGGATTATTCATGGCTTCTGCAGGACATTTTTTAATTGAATTGGGCCCTCAGTGAGCACTTTAAGGCCATTAAATCTTGTGATTAGTCACAGTGCCTGAGCTGCAGTGTATTCGAACATTTGGGAGAAAATGCAAATCAGAGCCCCCACCCACCTTCATCCCAGGGAAGCCCAGTCAGACTCATTTCTCACCCTTCCAGGTACACCTGAGTTCTGCAAACAGCTCACCAGGTGACGCAGCCCTCAGCCCCTGCACTTGCATCCACGATTTATTTCACCCTAAGGGCAAAAAATGTCTTCTCACAAGATGAAAAGGGAGGCATTTGGAAAACCAGGGAGCGGTTTATGGCTTTGTATTTTTGCTGTCTGATGCCACAGACTGTATCAAAACCACACACCATGAAGATAGAAAAAAAAATGAATGACTCAATGCATCCTAAATGAGCCACTTTTGGTAACTGGAGGGCTTTCAGGGAGTGAAGAAGGGCAACTCCTTCCAATTTGATTTTTGCACAGCCCCAAAAACCAGACGGAGCCCCAGCCTCCAACACAGCTGATGGAGAGGCAGCCTCCAGAGAGGCGAGGGGAGGCTCAAACCCTGGTTCCTTCCTTCCCATCCTGCGCTTTCCCCTGGAAGCCTGGGCTCTGCCAGAAACCGAGTTGCTTCTGGGTCTCCACTGGGGTTTTCCAAAGCAAATTAGAGTGACTGTCTTGGGCTTGATTTGAATCCTCAGAAGAAGCAGGGAGAGGTACGGAAGTCGGGGTTGGGGGGTGCAAAGGCAAAAAGGTTTAGTTTGGGACAAGGTTCTCAATTTATCTTTTTACTTTTTATTTAGAAATAACTATAGACTTGCAGGAGGTGACAAGGACAGTACAGTGAGGTCCCTGCACCCTTCCTGCAGTTTCTCCCCAGGCTCTGTCTTAAGTGAAAACACCAAAACCAGGAGGTGGGCATGGGCACAGTGCGGGTGCGGTCTGATGTCATTTTACTACACGTGTAGATTCGTGTTGATTGCATTCTGACCAACGAGGAAAAACTATTTTGTGGAGAAGTGAGGGGACCTTGAGGATGTGACTGCGGTGTCTCAGACCTCACCGGCACCAAGTACAGTAACCTGTCAGACAGGAATCAGCTCCCCCACCTCTGTGTCCTCCAGGACCACTGGCCAAAACCACTGGGCAGATGGCCCCCCTGACACCTTCCCATGTGGTGCCAAAACCACCTCTGCAGCTAATCTCTCCCCCTCCCTCCCCTGGCCTGGAAGCTCCCTGCAGGGTCCTCTGAGAATCAACTTTAAGTGTCAAACATCTGGCAAAGGGGAAGGCACACAGCAGGTGCTCAATACATGTTTGCTCATTGGCTGAAGTTCCTAAGAGACTCACATGGTCAGACTGGTCAGACCCAGGGGAAGGATGCTTCAAGGTGAGGGCAATGGAAGGTGCAGAACGCTGTTCTGACCCCTCCTCCTGAGGCCCTCTCATGGAGCAGGAGAGGACGAGCCCCGTAGGGGAGGACCCGGTAGGCTTGCACCCTCCTGTTTGAGCTGGACTCGGAGCTGAGGAGGCAGAAGATCATGCCGTGAAGGATAAACACTGAGGGAGGTCGGTGTGCATGCTGACAGATGCCGTGAAAATGAAGCTTGGCAGGAGACAATCCCAGGGCTCCCACCTAAGGATCTCCTCTTCTAACAGGGTGGCTGGGGCTGGCCAACTCCCTAATTAAATTCTGTGGTGCAGGCTGGGTGCAGTGGCTCACGCCTGTAATCCTGCCACTTTGGGAGGCCGAGACAGGAGGATCACCTGAGGTCAGGCGTTTGAGACCAGCCTGGCCAACATGGTGAAACCCCATCTCTACTGAAAATACAAAAATTAGCTGGGCGTGGTGGCAGGAGCCTGTAAGTCCAGCTACTCAGGAGGCTGAGACGAGAGAATCGCTTGAACCTGGGAGGTGGATGCTGCAGTGAGCCAATGTCGCACCACTGCACTTCAGCCTGGGCAAAAGAGCAAGACTCCATCTCAAAAACAAAAAATTCTGTGGTGCGGAGGAGGCCATGAGGGACCACAGGATTCCTATTTTCATCCTATTTTAACTGAAGAGCCTCAGAATGGGAGGGTGGAGGAGGCAGCACCGGAGGAAATAGCCCCCAGCCCGCATGTGGCCTCCAGTCTCCATGGAGGCACCTAGAACACCAATGGGCCTAACGGCACCAGGATGGGGGCTGAAGGGCACAACGAGGCTGGACAGACACTAGGGAGACTGGATTCTGAAAAACTGCCAGCCAGTGAGCTTGACATGAAACGTGGGCAAGACGCTGCTGGACTGTGAAAGCGTCAAAAGCAAGTGAGTTTCCACATCAGCGTGGTGAGGTCTGCGCACGCTCAATCATCCCGTCTCCTTGAGCCACCAGCTGAACCCTGAGAAAGACACCACCATGGGTTCCCACTCTGCTTACGATGTAGAAAAGTGGCAACAGAGGGCTACTTGCCATCAACAGGGACAAGCCAGGCAACCTGCAGCCACAGTTCTTCCCCTGAGCCCATGAGCGCGGGGTCACAGGGAGCCAAGGGGAGGGACGGAATTACACAGCCCCAGGCTCCAAGGAGAGCCGGACTTGCCACCAGCTCTCACCCCTGGCAAAGTGTGGGAGGAAGTGGTGGCAGTCACCGAGGAGGGGAGGAAGAAGTCAGTTCATCTTTGAACAAATTCTGAAGGCCACGTGCAGGCTGCCATGTCAGTCTAGGACAGCTGGGGGACCCAGCCACCAGGGCGGCTCCCACCTGCCCCCAGCCCTTCTCCTCGCACCTCTGCTGGTGCTCTAGATCCACCTGCAAGCCCGAGGTGAGAGAGTGTGTGCACGGGGCCACTTCTCCAGACCCCCCGATAGGATGCAGAAGCCTTAAGCTGCTGGGGAAACCCACTCAACTCTCTGCCTCTAGGACAGGGGTAAGAACCCCTCCTTCCTCCACTGGGAACCTCACCCAGGCTCTGGGGGAGGGGAAGGATCGACATCCTTGCAGAATGGGCAGCGACCCCTTGGGCCCAAGGTCTGCTCCTCTACAAAGCAGAGGTCTGAGGGGATGAGCCCAATAGCCGCCAGAGACAGGAGGCAGAGAGGGCTGCCCTGGAGGGGCTGGATGGGGCCGGAGCAGTGAGAAAGCTTCACCCGAGGCCCAGGATGCCTCCACCCCGTCAGGAGCCCAGCACCAGCAAAGGCAGCAAGAGAGGGAAAGGGACCCCTCTCAGGCACTGATGTGAGCCGAGGGTGGCGCAGGAATGCTGAGAAGACCCTCCGGCAGCCCCAGTCCCGCACCAAGTCCACAGGCCTCTCTTCTGGCCTCTCCTAGTTCTAGACATTTCTCTCTCCAACCTTCACCTCTGTGTCTTCACCCCTCCTCCTTGAGACCAGCTCTACGTCCACCCACCACTCTGTTTTACCCTATCCTTCATCCTGCCCAGCCCTCACCTCCCTCCTGAACAAAGCTTGGAACCCACACAACTACTTCTTCACTCCACTCCTCCCTCCCCAGCCTCCCCCTGAGCTTACTGGGGAAGCTCCTGCTGTAACTGCCAGACACGCCCACAACTCTTCCCCAGTAAATGTCCCTTGCTGCTCTCTGTGGCAACCCCTCTGCACCATTTCCTCTTCTTAAATATCCACTATGGTCCCCTCACTCTCAGCTGATAATCTTACCCCATACTTCATAGAGAAAATATACATTATATCAAATTGACTGCACCTATGCTCCCACCCCACAGCTACAGGAGGAAGTCTCGGCTCCTATCCAGGCCACCCCTCCTCGTGTCTCTGGATGTGGTCTGCCTTCTTGAACTACAGAGGCTGGGCAGCTAGAAGGTACTGTGCCCATTTTTCTCTGTAGCAGACACAACAGACACAACTGCCTGCAAGGTGGAAGGAAGGAATTAGCCCAGGTGGTGATCAGCTCTTCTGGTCTGTTTGGTGGCAGAGGGGTTTGGTCCCATCCCCTTAGCACCACAGTGCTGAGCTCTGCTGGGAGGCAGTGGCAGTGGGTTTCTTCTGGAAAAGCCTCCTGGTGGGGTTGGGTTTCTCTTGGCTGCCACGTTCTTGGACGTGGGGACATCCTTTCTGGTTCTCCAGCCCTTCCAGAGCTTCTGTAAGATCCTAATACCCTTCAAAAAAAAAACCTCTTTCTGCTAAAACTTGCCTGTGTGGATCCTGCAATCTGCAACTAAGAACCCTGAACAATACTCAAAGCAACAAAATAGTCTCCAGATAAATCAGATAAAAAAGATATTCAGTGCTGGGTGCAGTGGGTCACACCTGTAATCCCAGCACTTTGGGAGGCCGAGGCAGGCAGATCACGAGGTCAGGAGATCGAGACCATCCTGGTCAACATGGTGAAACCCCGTCTCTACTAAAAATACAGAAAAAATAAAATAAAAAAGAAAAAAAAAATTAGCCGGGCGTGGTGGCGGGCGCCTGTAGTCCCAGATACTCAGGAGGCTGAGGCAGGAGAATGGCGTGAACCCAGGAGGTGGAGCTTGCAGTGAGCCGAGATCGCACCACTGTGCTCTAGCTTGGGCAACAGAGTGAGACTCCATCTCAAAAGAAAAAAAAGCTATTCAGATCATGTCTGAATTCAGACATGAAAACAGACATGATTATGTCTTTTTCAATGGTGTCTTTTTCAGTGGCCAGGTTTCATGCTTTCTGGCCACAATACAATACAAATAGAACCTGATCATAAAAGATCCTATGTCTGGAAAATGAAACTATCACTTCTAAATAGTTTACAGTTTAAAGAGATCCTAGGCATTATGGCAGCCTAGACATTCTAATAAGCCTCCGTTCACAAAACACCCAGTTGATGGATACATATTTTTAAAAACATATATTTAAATTCATTGCAAAGTTCACAAGGAAGTACAGCGAATCATTAAGGGCCAAGGAAAGCTGCTAACCCCAAAGACGGGTGAACAAAAACCTGAAAGCCAGCTTGCAAAAGCTAATCCTGGGAGGCCAAAGTTTTGCGGATTGATGGTGCTCAGGGGTTGGGAGACTGAGGCACAGGCCTGGAGATCCTGGCATAATGAGCCAGGTTACCTGATGGGCTGTATCTTCAGTGCAAGGCTGGGTGAGGAAAACCTGCATGGCTCTGAGCTCCGGGCTGGGCACAGACCTGGAGCTCATGGCCTGGAGTCTGTGAAACCATTTTGGTTTCTCCATCATGGGACCCCAAGGTGGAGGAACCGAAGCAGCGTCGGGCTGGCAGCATCTTTGGCACTTGGAAGAAGCAAACCCTAATCATCTTCGTAGACAATCATACTCAGTCCAGGCCCCTCAGGATTTCCCCCAGATTAAATTCAGCCAAATATAAGCTCTTTCATGAAATAAAAATCACTAAACACATGAAGAGGCAAGTCACCATAAACATGAGTTGGCAAAAACAAGCTAAGACAGATTTAGACTTCAGATATTTGATATTAGCTAGAGAATATAACAAGATTATATGTGAAATAGTTAAAGTAGACATGTGTATTAAAATGAATGAAAGGCAATGTATAAAATAGCTAAAGGAGTAAACACTGGTATTAAAAATCAGCAAGGAGCAAGATAATACCAGAACTGACAAGTCAGACTTTTTTTTCATTTAAACAAACACATACACTTCCTTGAAATTAAAAATATAATCATTGATAAATTTTAAAACATACAATGTATAGATTAAGCAACAGATGAGACACAGTTGAGGAGAGAGATAATGAACCTGAAGATAGAGTACAACAGTCCTTGTCAAACCTAAGCACATCAGAGCCGCCTGGAGTGCTTGCTAACATGTGGTTTCGTGGGTCCTACACACACAGTTTCAGATGCAGTAGACACGTCTGGCAGAACATAAAGGCGCGGCCTTAAAAGCAGTATCAGTGGGAGCCAGAAGATGGTGGAATGATATTTTTAAAAAATTGAGAGGAAATCACTGTCAATTTAAAATTCTCTACCCAGAAAAGTTACCTTGTGAAAATATGGTCAAATAAAGAGATTTTCAGGCCGGGCGTGGTGGCTCACGCCTGTAATCCCAGCACTTTGGGAGGCCAAGATGGGCAGATCACCTGAGGTCAGGAGTTCGAGACCAGCTTGGCCAACATGGTGAAACACCCGTCTCTACTAAAAATACAAAAAATTAGCCAGGTGTGGTGGTGCGCACCTGTAATCCCAGCTATTCGGGAGGCTGAGGCAAGAGAATCACTTGAACCCAGGAGGCGGAGGTTGTGGTGAGACGAGATCATGCCATTGAACTCCAGCCTGGGTGACAGAGTGAGACTCTGTCTCAAAAAAAAAAAAAGGATAATAAATAAAATAAAAGTCTCTACTCAGAAAAGTTACCTTTCAAAAATATGGTCAAAAAAAGATATTTTCAGATAAAAACTGGGCGAACTTAAGATCATAACTAAAGGAAATACTTCACGGAGAAAGAAAATGATCTCAGAAGAAAGGTCTAAGGTGTGAAGAGTAAAGAAGGGGACACCAAATAAATGACCACTGTATAAAACAGTCTAATGATTAATTTGTGGAGAAAAAACAAGATAGATCTAAAACAACAAATAATAATGAAATGAAATCTAGGGAAAATCGGAGTTAGGGCAACTCAATGTCATGTGCCCTGTAGCGCTCATGAGGAAGTAAGGGAAATCAGTAGGGCCGGGAAAGCTGCTAACCCTACAGGCAGGTGAACAAAACCTTAAAAGCCAATTGGCAAAAGAGAACAATGAAAAGACTGATGAACTTTTGACTTTGTTTTGTTACATACGATAAAATTTCAAGGGCAATTATCACCTATTGGTTAAAATAACAGAAATAGATATATAATTTCCAAACCAATAGTGGGGAAAAAAGGAATTTAAAAAATCTCAATCTGGCCAGGTGCAGTGGCTCACGCCTGTAATCCCAGCACTTTGGGAGTCCGAGGCAGGTGAATCACTTGAGCTCAAGAGTTTGAGACCAGCCTGGGCAACATGGCAAAACTCAGTCTCTACAAAAAACCAACCAATCAACCAACCAACAAACCATAAAAATAAGCTGAGGGTGGTAGCATGCATCTGTAGTCCCAGCTACTTGGGAAGCTGAGGTGGGAGGATAGTTTGAGCCAGAGAAGTTGAGGTTGTAGTGAGCCGTGATCATGCCACTGCACTCAAGCCTGGGGAAAAAAAGAAAAAAAAAAAAACATAATCCAAAATAAGATAATAAGAGTTTAAAAAACAATATAAAAGGCTGGGCGTGGTGGCTCACGCCTGTAATCCCAGCACTTTGGGAGGCCGAGGCGGGTAGATCACGAGGTCAGGAGACTGAGACCATCCTGGCTAACATGGTGAAACCCCGTCTCTAGTAAAAATACAAAAAACAAAATTAGCTGGATGTGGTGGCGGGCGCCTATAGTCCCAGCTACTTGGGAGGCTGAGGCAGGAGAATGGCGTGAACCCAGGAGGCGGAACTTTCAGTGAGCCAAGAGGGCGCCACTGCACTCCACCCTGGGTGATAAAGTGAGACTCCGTCTCAAAAATAAATAAATAAATAAAACGATATAAAAGAGATGAGCATTAAATGAAAGCACTTTTGATGACAGAAATAAATTCATACATATCAGTAATGTATGTAAATGGGTCAAACATCCATATAAATAAATGAGATTATTAGACTGTATTTTTAAAAAAATCCAGCTGGGCAAGGTGGCTCATGTCTATAATCCCAGCCCTTTGGGATTAGGCCAAAGCAGGTGGATCACTTGAGGTCAGAAGTTCAAGACCAGCCTGGCCAACATGGTGAAACCCTGCCTCTACTAAAATACAAAAATTAGCTGGGCGTGGTGGCATGTGCCTGTAATCCCAGCTACTTGGGAGGCTGAGGCAGGAGAATTGCTTGAACCCAGGAGGTAGAGGTTGCAGTGAGCCGAGATCAAGCCACTGCACCCCGGTCTGGGTGACAGAGCGAGAATCCATCTCAAAAAAAAAAAAAAAAAAAAAAAAAAAAAAAGGTCAACTCAGTAGGAGGCTATAAGAGCTCTGAATATGCATACGTTTAATTTAAAAAAGAACCAACCTTGAACGCACATACATATATTATAATAAAAATGGACAGAATAATAAGAAATGGATACATCTACTATTACAGTGAGTGATTTCAACATACCTCTTAGTGATGGATGGGCCAAAGAGACAAAAAGGACAACGAGTTTTTGAAGGGCATAAATAACAAGCTTTTACTCAGCATATGTGGAACCCTTCGCTCAGCCACTGGAGGCTATGCATACTATCCATCCACAAATGGAACATTTATTAAAAAAAGACCACACATCAGAACTCAAAGTATTTCTAAGAACTGATGTCATTCAGATTATATTTTCTGATTAAAATGGAGTTAATTGGTAAATTAATAACTTTAAACATCCATGTATTTGGAAACAAAAGAGAGCACTTTTAAATGTTTTATGGATCACAGAAGGAATCAAAATGGAAATAAAAACTATGGAGAACTGAATTATAATTTTAAAACTACATATCAAAACTTGGATGCAGCTAAAGTGGTAATTAGAAGGAAATATATACTTTTAAATGCTCATTAAGAAAAGAAGAACAGCTGAAATCAGAAAGCTTTGTCTAACTTAAACTAAAGCGGAAGGAATAATAAAGATAAGAGCAGAAATTAATAGAAAATTAATATCAACTAAACGAAAAGTTGATAATTTGAAGAGACTAACAAAATAGGCAAATTCTGGCAAGATTAAGCCAGGAGAAAAATAATATTAGAAAGAAAAAATAAGGTATAAGTATAGATTCAGCAGAGATTAAAAAGATAACAGTACACTATTAATAATTTTACGCTAATAAATTTGAAAACTTGGAGAAAAATGGACAGATTCCTGTAGAAAAGATAAGTCACCCAAACTGACAAAATGAAGATAGCCTGAATGGCTTTATAATCCTGAAAGAAAATTAGCAGTTAAAAAAAATCTTCCTATAAAGCAAATGCTGGGCCTTGGTGGCTTTACAAGCATTTCTACTCAATGTTCAATAAATGGACAGCTCCAATCTTACCCAAATTATTCTGGAAAAACAGAAAAAGGGGATTAACTAAAAATGCCATCTCCAAAGCTAGTGTAATATTGATACCAAAGCCAGACAAGACAGGATGAGAAAAGAAAATTCATGAATGCAAATTATACAATAAAAACTTGCTAACTGAATCCTGTACTGCAAAATCACTTTTAATACCTCATGAGCAAGTTTGGCATATACCAGGAATTCAAGTTTAGTTTAACATCAGAAAGTCCGTTAATGTAATCCGCTATATTGAGAAATTGAACCCAAAAAACTACTTGTGTATCTCAATAGATACAGGAAAAGCATTGGATAAAATTCAACATCTATTCATGGTAAACAGCTCTTAGCCAAATAGGAATAAAAGGGAACTTTTATGCTAGATAAAGAATATCTATTGTGGTCAGGAAATGCTTTGCTCTGCATGGAGTCAGGAAGGAGGAGTAGGCATTGAAAGACACGGGCAGGGGCCGGCAGAAGCAGCAGCAAGCTGAGGTGGGGAAGGCTGAAGTTCAGCCTGGGTGGAGCGTAGGGCACCTGGAGGAGCCTGGGGGGTACTGTGCATCCCCACTTCACCGAGGGAGACACAAGCTCAGAGAGGCTGGGCACCTCCTCCAGGGTCACACAGCTGGATGAGAGCAGAAGCACGACTGAAACCTAAGTCCACCTGCCTGAAGGGTTTTGTTTCCTGTGAGCATCATTCTCACTTCCTAGGGGTGTCTGTTTTAGAAATATCATGTCTAAAATGTTCAGAAGGCCGGGCGCGGTGGCTCATGCCTGTCATCCCAACACTTTGGGAGGCCGAGGCGGGTGGATCACCTGAGATCAGGAGTTCAAGACCAGCCTAACCAATATGGTGAAACCCTGTCTCTACTAAAAATACAAACATTAGTTGGGCGTGGTAGCGGGCACCTGTAGTCCCAGTTACTCGAGAGGCTGAGACAGGAGAACTGCTTGAACCCGATAGGCAGAGGTTGCAGTGAGTCGAGTTTGCACCACTGCACTCCGACCTGCATGACACAGTGAGACTCTGTCTCAAAAAAAAAAAAAAAAAAGTTCAGAAACATTTAGCAGTTCCTTTCCCTAATACATCTGCATATTAAAAGTCATCAAGCAATCACTGTGGGCTGATCTAAATGCTTTGCAAAAAGAGGCCCTTGCTGTGGGTCTATTGTCTTAAGCAATACCCAAGCAGACCCAGTTCCGACTGCCTTTTATCACACGCTTTCTGCAGAGCCACAAAGACCCATCCATTTCCAACTCATGCACTCTGCAAGTTGCTCTCCTTTCCCGAAAGGTTAATTGCACCAAAGGGTTTCAAAAGATGTGTCACTTCCCTCACTTACAGAGCTCGATAAGTCAAGAAAGCTGGCCCCTCACGTTCGTGACTGTTGGATTTTTTAAAGTAGGAGATAAGTTTTTATAATGTAGATAAACCAAGTCATGAAATATGGAGTTAAGTGTAATTTAATATGGTTGAACTGTCCTGGCGTCTTCTGCGAGCTCTTTCAAAAAATGGCATGAGGGTCTAGACATGTTAGGAGTACAAATGACCCCCACGTCACACTTTGCCAGGAAACTCGCCTTCGACCAAGAAGGTCCCCAGCAAAGTAACTCATGCAAGGAGGAAATGCATGGAGCTCTGGGCTTTTGCTGTTGATCAGCCCATCCAGGGGCATTTGCCCCAAGTATAGCACAATCTCTGCTAATCATCCCCCAATGTATTACACTGGTGCAAAAGTAATTACGGTCTTTACTTTCAATGGCAAAGACCGCAATTACTTTAGCACGAACCTAATATTCGTGCCAGAGTTTGAGGTTCTTGATGAGGACTGTATTGGAGACAGGTCAGCTTATTTTTGTTTTTTAAATTTTTTTCCTTCAACAACTTTTATTTTAGTTTCAAGGGTACATGTGCAGGTTTGTTCCATAGGTAAATGTGTGGCATGGTGTTTGCTGCACAGATCATCCCATCACTTAGGTATGAAGCCCAGCATCCATTAGCTATTCTTCCTGATGGTCTCCCTCCTCCCCGACCTCAACAGGCCCCAGTGTGTGTTGTTCCCCCATGTGTTCATGTGTTCTCATCATTCAGCTCCCACTTACAAGTGAGAACATGCAGTGTTTGGTTTTCTGTTCCTATGTTAGTTTGCTGAGGATAATGGCTTCTAACTCCATCCATGTCCCTTGTTCCTTTTTTTTTTTTTTTTTGAGACAGAGTCTTGCTCTTTTGCCCAGGCTGGAATGCAGTGGTGTGATCTCGGCTCACTGCAACCTCTGCCTCCTGGGTTTACGTGATTCTCCTGCTTCAGCCTCCTGAGCAGCTGGGACTACAGATGCGTGCCACCGTGCCCAGCTAATTTTTTTGCATTTTTAGTAGTAGAGACGGGGTTTCACCATATTGGCCAGGCTGGTCTTGAAACCCTGACCTCGTGATCTACCCACCTCAGCCTCCCAAAATGCTGGGATTACAGGCGTGAACCGCTGTGCCTGGCCTCTCATTCCTTTTTATGGCTGCATAGTATTCCACGGTGTAGATGTACCACATTTTCTTTAACCAGCCTATCACTGATGGGCATTTAGTTTTTTTCCTTGTCTTTGCTATTGTGAAAAGCGCTGCAATGTACATACGTGTGTGTATCTTTATAATAGAATGATTTATATTCCTTGGGGCATATACCCAGTAATGGGATGGCTTGGTCATATGGTATTACTGCCTCTAGGTCTTTGAGAAATCACCACAGTGTCATCCACAATGGCTAAACTAACTGACACTCCCAACTTCTACCAACAGTGTAGAAGCATTCCTTTTTCTCTGTAACCTCACCAGCATCTGTTGTTTTTTGACTTTTAAATAGTAGCCATTCTGACTGGCGTGAGATGGTATCTCACTGTGGTTTTAATTTGCATTTCTCTAATGCTCAGTGATGTTGAGCTTTTTTTCATATGTTTGTTGGCTGCATGTAAGAGACACGTCAGCTTATTTTTAGAAAGCCGCGTTTAAAAATAAGTGTTTAATTTGGTTGGGGAAGGGGCTTGATGTGCTGAGGATGGTGAAGTTTTCTTAGTGGACAATTAAAATTGAATTCTCTGTGATGAATGCCAGATATGTCAGCATGTCATTAATTTCTATCTATAATTAGAGTAAAATTTTACTCATTTAGGTGAAATTAAAAAAATCTTTATTAGTAAAACCTTGATTACTTGGCCCCATAGAATAATAAATGCAACTGTATTAATTTCAAAGGCTTATTTTCATTTATGCTAAGAGGAGTATTTGCAAATACAGAGTTTGCTCGGCTTTGACGTGCAATGGGGCAGGATCATTTGGAAACAGCATTTAATTTTGCTTAGCAAAAATGATCACACCAAAATGCTTGAGAAAGGTGATATTTTAGGAATGTTAAACCTGATAGTCACATTCTTAATGTCTTTACGGCATGCATTCTTGGGGCAGTGAGTTCAGAGCTGTGAGTAGAGCCAGGGGTGACTGCGATGATCACGCTTCCCTATGAATACTTCCAAGGCCTTACCCTGCAACTCTGACAAAATGAGACAAGAGGTTGTAATGGCCCAGTTTTGGAGGCGAAAGAGTGACATTTCCACGCAGTGTCTGCAGGGAACTCCCTGGGCTGAGACTGAGCAGAACCAGGAGGAAGGAGGGAGGCAGAGTTGCTTTGTTAAGTATTTGGGGATTTTATGTTTTAGTCTGAATTATTCTCTGGGAATGGGACATTGATGCATTTGAGAACTAGAGAGGGCTTGTAGCTGTGCATTTTCTGAGTGAAGGGAAATCTACTTCTGTAACTGGATCAGTGGTGCTCTGTGTTACTTGGCTGATCAGCCACGGGGCTGCCGAGGACGGTGAAGGGCTGGGGAGTATGGACGCTGTCCATTCAGCAGCATGTACTGAGCACCCACTCAGCGCCCTGCACTGCTTTGGCATTTAGGGCACAGCGAGGAACAAAGCAACCTGGGGCACTGCTCCCCTGGTGCTGGTGTTCAGTGTGACTATGGATGGGAGGCAGGCTGGGCAGGTGCTCTCTTCCCTCCCACAGCTGCCATGGCAAGGCAGACTCTGAGGACGCCACCCCACTGGGAGGTGCTCTTGGCCTTGGAAGGCCATGAAGGGCCATAGCGGCCCAGGGGAGCAGGTTGTCGGAGCCTTTGAGCCACAGAAGAGCTCAGTCCAGTCCTTAGGGGAGGAGGCTGGGAAGAACCTCCTTCTGGGGATTCTGTGATAGGGAGGAGGATCTTAGAGAGGCAGGGCCTGTGTCCAGCCTGTGCACAGTGGAGAGGCCCACCAGGGGTGGCATGTACCCAGCATGCTTAGAGCAGCAGCCCGGAGCATCCCACACTGCCAGCAGCAGCACCAGGTAGTAGCAAGGAGAAGGCAGGTTGGGGTGGCGGGAGGAGCGCCAGCCTCCTGCCAGGGTCTGTGACCCTCCAGGCGTGGGGACCGACTGCCCACCTTCTTTGGACCATGTGGAGTCCTAATTAGGGGAAAGGAATCAGGCTGGTGGGAACAGAGGAAAGCAAAATGAAAAAGCAGGTAAGCCGCTAAGTCTGCCTTTGTTCATGGTCCAGAACACGTAGTCCTCCTGCACAAATAACAACCTTCCTGCGCCCAGCTATCACCAGACCCCCGGCTCATAGAAAAATGCAAGGTAGCTCACTGCAACCTTGGTGTTTCCAGTACTGCACAAAGCCTTCTTCAGCACCCAGCACAAGCACCATCCTATAAAATCTCCAGCAAACCTTTGTCTCTTTGCAGTCAGCTTTTCTCTTGCTGACTTGCCCCTTGCACTCTTGCAACATATTTTCATACTTTTTCTAATACATCTGCCTTTTTTACCTACAACTGTCTTGGTACATTCTTTTTACTGCCTGCGCAACACTGGCCCCAGATAGTTGCTGCCCATGACAGACCCAGACCACATTACCTCCGGGATGCTCCAGGGAAGGGAGAAGGAGTGTGGGAGCCGAAGCGGAGTTGAATTTGATTTTAAAGGCAACAGTGACAGTATTTGTACCCTGATGAAAATGGTGTAATTTATAGTTGTTACATAAACAGAAGATTCCTGTGAATCTTCAGGAAGATTGAAAAACAAAATAACAAAACTGCAAGCATTTTAAAAATAGAGAACAGTCTTAAACTCTGTACATTCTGGCCAGGGACCAGGCTGACGCTCAGCCAACGGTGTGCAGGGTGAGGACTGACTGGCGTTTCTTACCTGTTCGTCCGTCAGGATTTGGACGCGGCGATTACAAATGGCCCTAAACTCCTCTCTGGAGATGGTGTTCGTTTTCATGGTGTCAAAATTCTCAAACTCCTGGGTGATGGCATGGTAATGGGAAGTCACTGCTTTGTGGAGGCGAGCCAGGATGTCTCTGTCGGCTGTGGCCTTGGGAGAGGTAGGCGGCGGGCCTTTGGGCATTTTCTCAGCCCACTCATCAGCTGTCTGGACAAAATAGAATGGAAATTGATCCATGTGAGAAATAATCGACCACCTCTTGCTCTGGGCTCCTCACCCAGGGCAAGTTGCAGGGAGACCCAGCGTGGTGGGGAGGAGAGGCCAGAAGACAGCTACAGCCTGGAGGTGGGTTCAGGCAGCCTCCAGCCCCAGGTCAGGCCCTGCTGAGCAGAAGCCTGGGTTTCCTGCCATGAAGGATCCAGCGAGTTCCCCATGGGGCAGAGCAGTGGCCCTGGAAGGCTGGGCGGCCAGCACAGAGCCCAGCCCTGGGGAGGGCACACCGTTTACTCTCATCTATTCATGCCTTCAGGCTGTCTTTGGGATCGATTAACAAACACAGTGCGAGCCTTCCCTGAGAGGCCAGGGAATGAACAGGGATTGGCACCCACATGCTTTCATTTCAGGATGCCAGTTTAGTTGATTACTCACAGTGGTCAACATTTGAAAGGGGGGTTTTGATGACTGCTGTGCCATTAGACTACAGCTAAATGTTCCTTGAAGCCTGAAACTTTGTGAGACCCACAGGGACTTAACTCTGGGGAATTAAGTGCAGTGGCATCTGCTAAGGGTGACCTCCCCACAGTGGGCACGGGTCCCAGGCCTGGGTTAGTGCTCTGCCCCACTCCTTGGGCACTGGAAGTCAGGGGGTTGGAGTGTGGTTCAGGTCCTCATGACACTGTCCTTGGTGCTAAGGACTCTGGAGGAGGGATGTGCACCTAGCCAGGGCTCAGAGATTTCCTGGGAGGAGGAGGAATTGGCTGTGGAGAAAGAGAGACAGCAGAAGGATTCTTTTACTGATGTGCTGGCAAGAGGGCTTGTGGCCAGGTGAGCTAGGAGGGGCCCGCAGAGGGCGGCATCCCACCTTCAGCATCTGCGGATGCTCACTGTGGCAGACACATATGACAGAGGGAAGAGCCAGCAAGGGAAGTTACTCAGTGAGCAGCAGCAGATGATGACAATTGCAAGGGGCCTTATCCTGGGGCCTGTCAGGAGGAGGCACTGGGGAGACTGGGCTCCACGTTGAAGTCAGGCTTGGGAAACTGGGGCCCAGGGGATGAAGCGAATGGGGCAGCAGAGTCTTGAGCCTCCTGCAAAGAGGCAGGGGTCAGGGGTGGGGGGAAATGGGCAGGGCCTGGGAAGCAGCTCTGACATGCATCTACTTGCTGAAATCAGAGGAAGGCTCCCAAAGCCAGGCCTGTGGCTGCTGCATCAACAGGGCAGCCCGTGGAGTATGCTGACCTGGAAGGGGTGGGGCTAGAAGACACGCGTGGGAGTCGGGAACAAGTGAGATTCCCAAGGTGACCACACAAGAAAGCTGTTCCTGTACGTGGGTATATTCTGAGATATACTGGGTTTCCCCACATCAAAGCCCACCATGGCTGTGAGCTTTGATACCAGCTCCTACCATGCCCCTCAGTGCCATGCAAAGGGTTTCACCGGAGTATCACTTCTAACCCCTCAACTCCTATTAAAACTTGGTCATGTTTTATTTTAAGCAGCTCGACAGCAATGTATATATTAGATGTTACTGTGTTTTATGACAGAGAAGTCTACATAATGTATAAAGTCTTTCTTACTTTCTGAAACTGTGCCAAATACAGGATGCTGCTGGGAATGTCCTCAGAAATCTAAAGCTACACACATACACTAAAGCCAAAGCCCACCACATCCTCCACCATGCAAAGGCTAACGGAGCTTCTATACATCTTCATTTGGAGCCATTTGTGAAGTAAATGAATGTCTTTTTTATTTTAGAAAATAAAAGTGATATTGCTGATGCATTTTGAATATCTTTAGGATTCAAACAGTTGCAAATGCACTTCTCAGACCCAAATACACGAGCATGTCCCTAAGGGATGTTGGCATCAACAGAGTAGAGGAGCCTCTCCTGGACATAGAGCCATACCTCTCAGTCCATCCTTACGGTTTCAGAACTTCAGGGCCTGAGGAGGACAGGGCCTCACGTAAACATTACTGGAAAGAACACAGGTGGATGGAGCCCAGCATGGGAAGATGGGAGTCCTGGGTCTGAGTCTAGACTCTGCCCCTACCCGGCTGTGTGCCCCTCCAGTAAGTTGCTTACCCACTTTTTGCCTTGGTTTCCTCATCTACCCAGGAGGAATAAGGGCTCCCCTGAGATGATGTATATGAATGTTCTCTGAAAGTATTAAAGCATGAAACTAACTGGAAATACTATGAGTCTAACAACAGATATGGAAGAATTCTAACAAAGTATTATGTGCAACCTTAGGTTAATATGCTCTAAACTTCAGACGAAATTGAACAGTTTTCTAGCAAAATTCAATTTAATTGAATTAGCAAATAAAGATTCAATTTAAATTGAATTAGAAAAGAAAGTATTTAAAGTATTAGAAAGGCCTGAATAGACAGGTAACCACAAAAGAAATGAAAAAGGCTGTTAAAAGATCTACCATCTATCATTAAAAAGGTGTTAAGCCCAGATGATTTTAAAGGCAAGCTGTATGGAACCCTTAAGGGATAGATAATTTTTACATTAGTCAAAATATTCCAGAACACAGAAAGAGTCATATTCCAATTATTGTATATTACACAAATACCAAAATATGATAAAGAAAACATGTCAAAAGAAAAAATAAAAGTCAGTCTAGTTATGGCCATTAGTGCAAAAATTCTAAAATAAAATATTAGAAATATTTAGCACCATATTTAAAAATAACACACCAAGATCAACTACGGTTTATTTCATGGATAAGAATGCAAGAATTGGCAAATCTTTCAATTCCTTACTTTAGTGAAGGCCACATGTCAACAGATAGCAGAGGCATTTGACAAAATTCAGCAGCTATTCCTGATAAAATGGTATAAAATAGAAATAGAATGGGATGGATGAACTATATATAAATAAAACATTGTAAACATGAGTATTAATCAAAAATTATCTGTAAAGATTATATTAAATGGATGAACTACTAAAGCATTAAAATCAGGAACAAAATAAGCATGATTTCACTTCTTCTATTCACATTTTTAGAAGTTCCAGCTTTTGAAATAAGACAAGAAAATAAAATCAACATGTAAATGTTGAAAACTGGTATCATTATTTGTGGATATGACTGTATAGGTAGAAAATCTCAATGGCATTTAGGAAAGTGGCTGGATTCAAGCTAAAAGTACAAAAAAGCAATGCCATTCTTTTATGGTCACTGTAAGTAGTTCAGGATTGAGATGTGACAAAAATTCACAGTCGCATTAATGACAAAGCAATTGAATACCTCTGGATAAATGCCATATGAAAGGTACATATGACACAGGCATACCTCATTTTTTTTTTTGCGCTTTGCTTTATTGTGCTTTGCAGATATTGTGTTTTTTATAAACTGAAGGATTGTGGCAACCCTGTGTCAAGCAAGTCTATCAGCACCATTTTTCCAAAGTATGTGCTCATATCATGTCTCCATGTCACAGAGAAATCGTTCATGAAAGAGACAGTCAATTGATGTGGCAAACTTCAATGTCTTATTTTAAGGAATTGGCAGTGCCACCCCAGCCTTCAGCAACCATCGACATTGAGGTGGGACCCTCTACTAGCAAAAAGATTACAAGAAGATTACTTGCTGAAGGCTCAGAAGATCACCACCATATTTTAGTAATAAAGTATTTTTATTAAGCTATGTAATTTTTTTAGACATAATGCTATCGCACACTTAATAGACTACAGTATAGTGTAAACATAACTTTTATATGCATCAGTAAATCAAAAAATTCATTGACTCATTTTATTGCGATATTTGCTTTGCTACGGTCTGGAACCAAACCTGCAAAGTCTCTGAGACATGCCTGTATGAAGAAATGCCACATACATGGGCAAAGACTCCATGACTAAAACACCAAAAGCAATTGCAACAAAAGCCAAAATTGATGAATGGGATCTAATCAAAGTAAAGAGCTTCTGCATAGCAAAATAAACTATCATCAGAGTGAACAGGCAACCTACAGAATGGAAGAAAATTTTTGCAATCTACCCATCGGACAAAGGCCTAATATCCAGAATCTACAAGGAACTTAAATAAATTTACAAGAAAAAAACAACCCCATCAAAAAGTGGGCAAAGGATATGAACAGACACTTCTCAAAAGAAGACATTTATGTGGCCAATAAACATATGAAAAAAAGCTCATCATCACTGGTCATTAGAGAAATGCAAACCAAAACCACAATAAGATACCCTCTTACGCCAGTTAGAATGGTGATTATTAAGAAGTCAGGAAACAACAGATGCTGGTGAGGCTGTGGAGAAATAGGAATGCTTTTACACTGATGGTGGGAGTATAAATTAGTTCAACCACTGTGGAAGACAGTGTGGTGATTCCTCAAAGATCTAGAACCAGAAATATCATTTGACCCAGCAATCCCATTACTGGGTATATACCCAAAGGATTATAAATGATTCTACTATAAAGACACATACACATGTATGTTTATTGTGGCACTATTTACAATAGCAAAGACTTGGAACCAACCCAAATGCCCATCAATGATAGACTGGATAAAGAAAATGTGGCACATACACACCACGGAATACTATGCAGCCATAAAAAATAATGAGTTCATGTCCTTTGCAGGGATATGGATAAAGCTGGAAGCTATAATTCTCAGCAGACTAACATAGGAACAGAAAAGGAGACACCACATGTTCTCACTCATAAGTGGGAGTTGAACAATGAGGACACATGAACACAGGGAGGGGAACATCACACACTGGGGCCTATTGTTGGGTGGGGGGCAAGGGGAGGGAAAGCATTAGGACAAATACCTAATGCATGTGGGGCTTAAAACCTAGATGGCAGGTTGATAAGTGTAGGAAACCACCATGGCACATGTATACCTATGTAACAAACCTGCATGTTCTGTACATGTATCCCAGAACTGAAAGTAAAATTTAAAAAATGCCTGTATAAACAATGTGTATAAATAATATACATATTATATTACAGTTACTGAAGCAAGACTGGAATAAATAGACATATTATGTTCCTGGATATAAAGACTCACTTTCAAAAGAGAAATCCTTTCTCAAGTTATAAATAAGCTTAATAAAATTCTAATAAAAATCTCAATGGATATTTGGGAGAATCATTAGACATATTGATATCAACATTGATATTAAAAAATAACATGTGAGAATTACCATGAAATTTTTGGAAAAGGATAGGAATGAAGTTTTTGACTCACCAGATATTAAAGTTGCCATGAATTTGATATAATCAGAGTAATATAGCTAGGTTCAGAAATACACAAATATATCAATGTACAACTACTCTGGCAGTGAGTGGGAACTAAGTCTCTACTGTGCTGAGCCCTTACATCATAAGACCTGTTTGTTATAGCATTATAAAAGTGTTAGAGAACAGTGTGGTCAACGTAAAGGTAACCTTGGGTAGGGGCAGCCATGCTCTCAGGAGGGAACACCATGCCACAGATGCAACTGGCTGGGACATGGCCCTGGTTGGGGTGGCCACTGCAGGCCTCCTTGAGGAGGAAATGGCTGAGGTGGGTGCCACGGGAAGTGCAGGTGGAAAGAGATTAAAAACCCAGCGTGGGAGGTAACATTATCCTCCTCAACAAGCATGGACGTGAAGGTCCGGGAGGCCGAGAAATGCCTGAAGTCACAGAACCAACAGAGTGGCGCCCGGATTCTACCCAGGCTCCTGGCCTGCAAACACATGCTTTCCTAGACGTGCAGAGAGCTGCAGCCACGGTCCAGGTCATGGTGATAGGTCCCCGCCCTCACTTGGGGAGGCAGGGGACGGACACAGGTGTTGCCACGGAGAAGCAGAAGCAGCCCAACTGCGTGGCGGCGTGGGGAAGGTGCTGGGCACCTATCAGCCTCCATTGCATGGAGGTGGCTGGCCGCCCGTGCAAATACTCTTTTCCTGCTTGCAAAAGGAAGTATTGCGTGTTCACTATAGAAAACTTAGAAACTACAGGCTGGGTGCAGTGGCTCACACCTGTAATCTCAGCACTTTGGGAGGCCAAGGTGGGTGGATCACAAGGTCAGGAGTTCGAGACCAGCCTGGCCAATACAGCGAAAGTTCGTCTTTACCAAAAATACAAAAATTAGCCAGGCGTGGTGGCGGGAGCCTGTAGTCCCAGCTACTCAGGGGGCTGAGGCAGAAGAATTGCTTGAACCCAGGAGGCAGAGGTTGCAGTGAGCCGAGATCGTGCTACTGCACTCCAGCCTGGGCAACAGAGCGAGACTCTGTCTCAAAAAAAAAAAAAGAAAGA
The DNA here is from genome assembly GCF_000001405.40 of Homo sapiens. NCBI lineage: Eukaryota > Metazoa > Chordata > Mammalia > Primates > Hominidae > Homo > Homo sapiens. Next base: position 43,561,376 of record NC_000022.11, read on the forward strand.
AAGAAAGAAAGAAAACTTAGAAACTACAAAAAGGCACAAAGGAAAAATGATCACTGAAAACCCCGCCCCCCTCAGCCACCACTGTCATTGCCTCAGAGCAGAAGGGAGGAACCACCGACCTGGGGTCCCCAGGCCCCATGGATGCTGCCGCCCAGAGAACCACACCGCCCCGCCCCCACACACCCAGTTGCTGGTGGGAGAGCGCCTGGGTTTTCCATCAAGGGCATTTTGGCTGAGAATCTGTTAGGCACCGTATTCTGGTTCCCATTTCACTTTTTAGCAAAGCTGCTCAGCCGCCGCCAGCCTCGCTCGAGTGACTGGAGACGCCAGAGAGGAACAGATGGCTCTTGGTCTGGCGCTTCTGTGTCCCTGGCACTTCTCACGTGATCATTATATCTGAATGGGGGAAAAAATAATGCTTTTTCTATAACTAGAAGAAATGTTTCTCCTAATCAAAAAAGACACCACTATCTTCAGATGCAAATGACACGTTCCAATATTAACTGCGCTTTACATCAAAGGCCCCCTCAGGACAGAAATCACAGCTGCAACAGGAAGAGCAGGGCTGCAGGAAAGGCGGGGGCTCGGCTGGGCCCGGTCCGTGCTGGGCCCGAACACCTCACACTCCCCAGCTTATCTGGCAAAGATAAGCTCCTGGCTGCTTCTGGTGACTTTTAAAGTTCAACAAGCAAACAAACAAACAAAATGGAGTGCAGTCATATGCACTCTAGGTCTGACCTCAACAGAGAACCATTTACGTGTTTTCAAGGGGTTTTATTTCAAGTATTCAAAGATATTCATGGGACCTTGTTTGAGCAAACAATTGCCCTTCTAGATGTGGCAAAGACAGCCCACCACTACCAGAAGGAAAATTCTTGGCCCCTTTGTGACTACACCGTAATATTGGCAAAATACATGAAAGAAATAATGTCCCAATACATGAAGTATACAGTCATCAAAGAGGCTACTCACACCCCACTTTGATGGGGTGCTTCTCAGCTTCAAATGTATCCATGTATCTTGCTAGTAAAAAGCAAGTCACAGCTTCAGAATCTAAACCCCTGGTTCTAAAATCCTGCCATGACATAGGAATCACCCAACAGGCTGCCCCAACGCCACAAGTTCTGGGTTGGGGGTGGGAGGGAGGCAGCCCGGTCAGGGGTGGGAGGGAGGCAGCCCAGTCAGAGGTGGGAGGGAGGCAGCCCGGTGGGGGGTTGGAGGGAGGCAGCCCAGGTCAGGGGTGGGAGGGAGGCAGCCTGGTGCGGGGTGGGAGGGAGGCAGCCCGGTGGGGGATGGGAGGGAGGCAGCCCAGGTCAGGGGTGGGAGGGAGGCAGCCTGGTGCGGGGTGGGAGGGAGGCAGCCCGGTGGGGGGTTGGAGGGAGGCAGCCCAGGTCAGGGGTGGGAGGGAGGCAGCCTGGTGCGGGGTGGGAGGGAGGCAGCCCGGTGGGGGATGGGAGGGAGGCAGCCCGGTGGGGGATGGGAGGGAGGCAGCCCAGGTCACAGGTGGGAGGGCAGTAGCCCAGTGGGGCATGGCCTGCTGTCTCTATTATTGTCCTTGGCTCTGCTCAGGGTCTCTCCGGGTAGGCACAGCACGGCCGCCTGCTGCTATCTGGGACGAGCCCTTCAGGGAGGCACAGTGCTGGGATTCCCAGCCCAGGTCCTGGCCTGCGGCACCAGGGCCAGACCTGCCCTTGTTCAGCGCCTCACAGGGTGCGCTCCTGAGCAGCAGGCAGCACCAGTAACCAAGCGCCGCCTGCCAGGGCAGAAGGAACGCGGCCAGGGCCAGCCTAGGCTGGAAGAGGCGGGCTTGGGCCTGAAGAGTGGGGACAGCCCATCATAAACCCAGGGCTCAGGCTGCCCCTATCTTGTTACCTTGGGTAAGATGCACCCCTAAATTGGCCTCCCTGTCCTCACTGGGGTAAAGTGAAAATAAAAACAGCCACCTCTTTGGAAAGTTCAAGAGGGGAGGACTGCTTGAGCTCAGGAGCTTGAGACCAGCCTGGGCAACATGACAAAACCCCATCTCTACAAAAAATACAAAAATTAGCTGGGCAAGGCATGCACCTGTGGTCTTAGCTACTTGGGAGGCTGAGGTGGGAGGATCACTTGAGCTTGGGAGGCTGATGCCATGGCGAGGCCTGATCTTGCCACTGCACTCCAGCCTTGACGACAGAGCAAGACCCTGTCTCAAAACAAAAACAAAACCAAAAACAAACCAGCCACCTCAACGGCAGGCCTGGGATTTCACCAACACAACCCTCAAGGCATGTGGCCCAGAGCCTGCCGCGCTGCTGCTGCTGCTGGTGATTACAGATATTTCTGCAGGAGTTGGGAACTCAGACAGACGTGGGTTGAGTTCCTGGCTAACACCAGGCTATCATGAATGATCCGAGGATGGTGCATCCTGGTGCCCATTACTGCCTGCAGCTCAAACCACCCAGCCAAGGAGCTGGAGGCACTTCTAAGGCAGAAGCCAGGTCTGAGACTTGGTCATAGGAGCCCAGGCACACAGTGGCCATGCCACAGAACTGCGTCTCTTGACCGGCTGCGGTGAGCTCTGGGCAGCAGGGCTGTGGGGGTCCAATCACAGGCTCCAATTGAGGTGAGGGCCCAATGCCACCATCCTCTAGCTGCAAATCACTAAGGCAATCACTTCACCTCTCTGGGCTTCCGTCCTCCATCTGAGAAATGGGGATAACCACACCAGTTAGAACTACCCTGCCAGAGTCATTCCGGGAAAAGACAGGCATCTTCCAGGACATCCCCCATGCACTTTAGGAAGGAGCTGTTGGCCAGGCACGGTAGCTCACACCTGTAATCCCAGCACTTTGGGAGGCTAAGACGGGTGGATCACTTGAGGTCAGGAGTTCGAGACCAGCCTGGCCAACATGGCGAAACCCCATCTCTACAAAAAATACAAAAATCAGCAGGGTGTGCTGGCCCACACCTGTAATCTCAGCTACTTGGCAAGCTGAGACATGAGAATCGCTTCAACCTGGGAGGTGGAGGTTGCAGTGAGCCAAGACTGTGCCACTGCACTCCAGCCTGGGTGACAGAGCAAAACTATGTCTCAGAAAAAAAAAGAAAAAAAAAAAAAGAAGGTGCTGTCCTCCCTGGCGTCTGAGATAAAGGCAAATTAACTTTTGTCCTGCAAGGAACTCACCTGTGTGGCGGGGAAAGCTCTAAGGGAGAAGCTGCCTTACTCAACCCAAGCCAGGGGCGGGAGCAAGCCCTGAGGTGAGAGTTAAGCCCAGTGCAAGAACTGGCTAGAGAGGGGAGGGCAGGCTCCCTAAGGGTCAAGAGAACCTGAAATTGTTGTTAGTTCACGTTCGGTTTTATTGTCCTCCTGTTTCAGCAGCTCTATGAGGTGGCCCCAGTAAAGAGCCCTCTAATATCCTGTCAGTATGTCCAGCCTTGTTCTTGGCTGGCTTTAAAATCAGTTTTCCACCAAATTGTATCCTGAACGACTTCTATGGATGATCGGGAAGACAGAACTTCATAGAAGGGGGTGGTAGACTTGTCAACTAAAGCCGCAGAGCTGGAGAGGCAGCAGTGCACGTGCGTTTGCTTTCTTGGGGTCTGTCACCTCTATGGCCCCCCTGCTTCTGTTCACCCTGTCTGTGTGCATGCCCTTTGCCAGGGGGGGCTTTGTGGCAGCTCCCACTACAGAAGCTGAGAGTATTTCCCCGCCCCTTGGCTTTGGATTCCGCCATATGTCATGCTTTGGCCAGTGGAATGTGGGTAATTACAATGTGATGGAAGGATGAAGGAGCATTTGCGTAATTGGGCAAGCCCTCTTGCACCTACACCATTGCCTTAGAAGACAGGCTCTGGCCATCACACAGGACCAAGGAGGAGAATGACAGAGATGAAGAGCAGAGTCATCCTAGCGAAGATGGCAGAGCTTAGCCCAGCCTAGATCAGCCCCCACAGCTGTGAAAACTGAATGAATGGATGTTATTGTTTCGTGGCCCTGAGGGTTTATGGTTGCTTGTTACATAGTGATAGCTGACTGCTACAGTTCTGGGTTTCTATTGAGTAAGAAGTAAAAAGGGATGAGCTTAGAATACAGACAGGACAAGTAAGCTGTTGAGCACAGATGGCTTTTTAGGCATCAGTGTTCCACGAAATGGACATATTGCAAAGGGGCTTTGTGGCCCTTGGTGAGTATCCAAGATGGCGGTCACCCACCCTAGAACAACAGGTTGTGACAAAGTGGTTAGCAAGGTCCATCTAGCTGCTAGACTAGAAATATATCTGCATATTAATGTAATTATGAAGTTTATAATTAGCTCATCTGACTGTATGATTCATATACTAAGTTTTGTTCTGAATACTTACAGAGACAATTATATGGTTTTTTTCTATGATTCCTTACAGGAGAAAAAAAAAAAGTCCTGAAACTTCACACAGAATAAGAACTCAGCAGGTAGCAAAAACTCCTAATTAGAAACACTGAGTAAAGAATTCCTCACTTCCTTTTAAAGAATGGTGTAATTACTTCTAAGAATTGAAAAATTACTTCATTTTATCAAATATTTTGATTAGCAAAGAAATTAATTGTACTGTATCTTCATTTGTATTTACAGTGAATAAATGAATGCTAAAAATAACAACAGCAGGAAAACTGCCTGTCAAAAAAAAAAAAAAGATAAAACATTAAAAAATCCAGATGAAAATAAAGTGGAAGCTCTGAGGAAGCTGCCTGCTACAGACCTCGCTGCCGGATCAAGAAACGGACGCTGGCCTCCGAAGGGCTCAGCACATGCCTGAGGGGAGCCTCTGGTGCATCAGGAGGTCAGGCCCAGGTTATTGCCTGATGGGAGTAGATACTCCAGCACGCTGTTTGCACAAGTGAGGCAGTTTCACCAGATTTCCAGGCGCAGTTCCAGGCTTTCTGGTGGCATAACTGCTGCCCAGGCGTGGGATCTCTTACCACACAAGGATTCCTTCTGGGCAATGAACAACAGCTAATCCGAAGATTCCAGAACTTCCTTTGCAAAGGCCATCAGTCAAGTCAAGCTTCAAGTGAATTCAACCAGTGCTTACTGAAAACTGACCCCAGAGTACCAGTGGCCTTCCTTCCTGCGTCTCCTTTACCCAGGCACTGAGCTGGGGAACAGGGAATCTTCTCTGGTCCTCACATCACCCTGAGAGGCAGCCGTGGCTCTCCCTGCTGTATAGACAAAGTAAGTGGGGCTCAGTTCCAAGCTCCTGCCAGCAGGTGCTGGAGATGGAGATTGTCTGACTCCAAAGCCATGCTCCTCCGATTTCACCCAAGTCCAACCACCTACCACATGTGCAAGAACACAGAAGCCTCCTGAAAATCCCAACTCAGCAACACTGACCAGGGCTCATGATGTGCCAGGCACACTCCCATGCAGGAGTGACAGAGCAGTGAGCCAAAACCCCTACCCCTGGAAAAGCTCATGTTTTGAGACGCCCACCCAGGGAGGCAAGCAAGGGTGGAGTGGACCACCTTACTAGCTCGGCCCCTCGGCTCTCCAGACAGAACCCTTTGCCATGGGCCTCCCCCACTGCCCTGCCCTGGCCATGCCCAAAGTGTGGTGCCCTCCCAACCCCTGGGCTCTGGAAGCACTAACTCTCCTCCCAGGAAGCCCCGTCTCCTGGTATCCACCTGGGCTGGCTCCTCAACTCAAGCTTCCAGACTCAGTGCAAGCTCATCAGAAAGCCATTTCTGCCCATCCTTCCCCCACTCAGAGTTAGGTCATCCTCCTCCTCATCATCCTCCTCGTCCTCCTCATCATCCTCCTCGTCCTCCCCCTCCTCCTCCCAGCTCTCTATGCCCTCCTCAGCCATACAGCTTGACGTTCACAAAGGATCTATGCTGAGACCTTTGCAAACACCGATTCACAAATCCTCCAGTAGCATGGAATTGCCATACAATGCAAAGAAATAAAAGGGAAACATTTATGCCACCCTTCCACCCTTTAATGATTCAATAAATTCATGGGTGAAGTCATTTATAAAAACTATTAAAATAAATTCTTCCACCCAAATAAATTCTATGCCACTTAATCACATCATTACTGAACATTAAACATGCACTCACCGAAATAGGATAGAATACAAAAATAATAAGGAATGCAAATGTTTGGTGTTTGCTGTGTCAGGTACCAGGCAAAGCTCTTTCTACATTCACTTGCTTAATCCGAACAATGAGCCTAGGAGGCACACACCAAACAGTTCTCATTGCTCAGGAAGGGAGCGGGGAGCATGGACCTTGGAACTGGCTGGCATTCGAATCCTAGCACTAGCATTTCTAATGGTGTGACTGGGAAAGAATGTTTCTACCTCTCTGTTTCCCCCTCTGGTACCCCAGAGTACCAGTGGCCTTCCTTCCTGCGTCTCCTTTACCCAGGCACTGAGCTGGGCAACAGGGAATCTTCTCTGGTCCTCACATCACCATGCGAGGCAGCCACAGCTCTCCCTGCTGTACAGACAAAGTAAGTAGGGCTCAGTTCCAAGCTCCTGCCAGCCGGTGCTGGAAATGGAGACTGTTTGACTCCGAAGCCATGCTCCTCCGATTTCACCGAAGTCCAACCACCTACCACATGTGCAAGAACACAGAAGCCTCCTGAAAATCCCAACTCAGCAACACTGACCAGGGCCCATGATGTGCCAGGCACACTCACAGGCAGGAGCAACAGAGCAGTGAGCCAAAACCCCCACTCCTGAAGAAGCTCATGTTTTGAGACGCCCACCCAGTTTCCTCCTCTGCAAATGAGGCTCATTGTCCCCACCACAAGCCTGAACCCCAGGGCCTGGCCCAGAGCCAGGCACACATTCTCATTCTCACTTGCTGAGTGTTGAGTGTTGAGATTCGTCCAGTCCAGTGCAGCATCCTGAGCCAGAACATAAGCAGCCACACTATAAGTTACCTTCCTGGGTGTGTGATGACAGTTAAGATGCTGGTAACATCTGTATTTTGGATTTTCTCTGCAAGACTTATTTGGGACAATACGTTCTTGGATTGGTACCTGGCTTCTTGATAGGATCATGACCTCATAGAATCACTGGTGCGACTCAACTCTGATGCTTAATTGATCCACAAATGGTTGTCGTGGCTCTGGAGGGACCAAATGAATGGGGAGCCTGCCTGGGCTGGTTGCACCGTTGTCCATTTAGTTTGAATATATAGAGGGCTTCCCGTGGAGGCTAGGAATCAAGAAGAATCCTGATCCGGGTTCAGGGGAATGAGGCGGGAGTGCTCTGAGGATGCCGGAGTGGTGATTAACACAAGGCAGGTGCTGGAGGAGGTGAGCAGTGTCCCCCGCACCATGCATTTCCATGGGGCCTGGCTGAGGTCCTGCCATGGGGTGTGCTGCATAGGGCTGGGGCACAAGGGAGAATGAGACCTCATCCCTGCCCTTGGGGACATGGGACTCCCAGGTTTGAGAAAATTCAACCACACAAATTAAAACGATTACGAGAAATTCTGTCTGATGTGCTTCTTCCAACTTCACCAACAGGTTCATGATAGCCTTGTCTTCTGCCTGACACAGCTGTGTTTGAAAGGGGGCTTCTCCAGTGGGGAAGGGGGCCCATGTGACCACCCTTCACAGGGCCCAGGTGGGGAAAGCCTGGTGTGGCCCCCTCACATTCCTGCAAGAGGCATCAGAAACTGTGCCTCCCTCCCTTTGGCGGCCGGCCCTGTGCTACTTCCGGCAGAGCTTGCCTGGCACATGCCGAGTGCCTACCCTGTCCATGCTACTGGGAACCGGGGTTGGAGGGGGACTCATACTCCTTTCTAAAGGGAGGCTTCAGAGCCAGGCCGGACCCAGGACACATGCATGGAAGGAGCTGCAGTGTCGCCACAGCCAATCGGGACTTGGGAGAAAGTTTGAACAACAAAAGAATAACTCTGTAGCACGCTAAGTGAGAGTGAATCTCAGCAGCCTGTGCAACCTCCTTGCCAACTTTCCATGATGATGTGACTTTCATTCTGTTGCTTTTATCACTACAGCTGGCTTTAAGGAGGTGATCCATATTAGTGCAGATACTGGGGCAGTGCTAGGACCCGTGTAGTCACAGATGCTCTACAGGAAGCAGACACCACCCATGCCAAGGTGCCTGGGCTTCCCCCAGGAGGGCAGCAAGCTTACCAAGCTCAAAGCCTGAGGAGGAGAAGTGGATGCATGGAGTCTGCCTGGTTCCCACTGAACCACCACGTGATGATGCCTGTAGGCCCTGCTGGGTGGCCTGCGATAATACTCCTTCTGCCTTAGCGTGGCACAGGGGGCCTAGCAGCCCCTGCACCCTGGCCTGTCTCCAAGGCCCCCCTGAGAGTCCAAGTCAGCCTGAGTTACCCCTCAAGACTTGCCACAGTGCCACCCACCTACAGGATGGCAGGTAGTGAATTTTGCATTGGCAAGTAGAGAGTGAGTGAAATTCAAGGGAAATAGTTAAAATCGCTGAAATTACATCAAGAAGACTTAGCTTTTCTTGCCATCAAGAGCAAGGGTAAATAACAGTAATGCTAATATCTTAATAATTTACTTAATTTATTTACAATTATCTTAGAGCCCTTTCCTGAAAAGGAAACTTCCCCATTCTTTACCATATTCATTGAAAATACGTAGACACCATTATATTTACAATAAAAAGAAAGATAAATTGAAGTAACACTGTTGGCAGCGAATATAAATATGATGTTCATAAAAGATTACAAACATTTTGATGTACTTTACCATCCCTTTGGTTGAAAACTACATTCTTCACTTCTCTCTTGGAACAAAAAACATCTTCAAGTTATTTAACATATAACTGAATGACTTTAGAGATTGTATATTTCCACGCAAAGTGAGGAAAGATCTCATTGGCTCTCTGCTTGCTAGAATGTGACAAAATAATTACTCTGTATTGAATAAGGATGTGTTTTGTTAAAAAATTCCATTATTTCCATGGTAATAAAGTAGAAAGATTTTATATGGGTTTCTACTATGTCTTTTAAAAATTCTATTTCTGCACTGAGTGTTATTTTTATACTCACTGAAGAAACTGAAATTGCACTTTAAGATTTAAGGGAAATGTTAAACAGGAACGATTTTCTAAAAACAAGGTGATACTCTACACTTTGCACATGGCACTTTGAATGTAAAATGTTTTTCTAGAAGTGAAGAACGGGTATTTGCTGGGGAGAGAAATCCAGATGATGTTTTCCCAGTTTGTGGGAATCTCATGAGAAGGTGTGTGTGCTGCCGTTTAGGTGTTCTCTTTTTTTTTTTTTTCCTGTTCGGCTTCTTCACCAAGCCACTGGGTAGCATTTTTGCTTCGATGCCTTGTTCCTCTTTTATGCCTTCTAGGCCAGTGCTTCTCATCTTGAAAGGGGATGTGATGGCTTCCAGGCACATGGGACCAACTCCTTGCTCCGGTCTGAAAAGACACACGTCGCCTTCCCTTCCCGGAAGCTCGCAGGCCTCTGTGCCTCCTGGGCTGGTTCTCAAGCCCAGGACAGTGCCAAGAGGATGAGCCCCAGGCCTTCTGCACAGCAAGACCCCTGGACTCCCCCACCATGGAGCCCTGGGGCGGGCTGGTCTGCAGAGCAGCGGCCTGGGACCTGCACTTTAAGAAGCGCTGTCTGATTTGAGTGGTGCTTAACAAAGCAGTATGAGGAAGGAGCAATGACAGGGGAGGACTCATGGTCAAGCCACACAGCAGGGGCAGGAAGCCCGCGGCCCTTGCTGTGAGAAGAGCTCAGATCATTTTCACGTGCTGCTGTGACAGGCAGAGGAGGCTTAAGAATAATAGGAGTTTTGGAAGACAGATTTGATGGCATACCCAATATAAGAAATGGATTATGAGTAGGTGTAAAATTGTCATCTTTACTCTCTGTGTGCTTTCAGTTTACTCAAGGTCTTAGGCAATGTCTTAACTACAATTCCAGTTTTTCTCTCTCTGAGAATGGATTGCTTTGGCTGGGGATTACTCACGGTGAACTTGCTTTGCGGGGAGAGTTGCCGACTGTCTTAATTACATTTTGGTAATCTCCTTTTAATTACTTACCTCCTGTGCATCCCCCAGAGGGAAAGGATGGGTGGTATCATATTTAATGAGCTTAAGGATGATGCATTAACTATTCCTATTATTCATTACTTCTTTTCTCTTCTATTAGAAAAACACAACAACTTGGGGTTAAACTGGAGAAGTTAATGATGAATGCAGTCTGGGGTTCTTCCCCGGCTGCCTTCCCCTGCAGCCGCCCTGGAGGAGGCTGGCTGGCTCGCTCGCTCAGGAGTCCTCAGCGATTCTTCTTTATTCAGACAAAGGGACCTAAACTCTGCAGCCAATGTTGCAGGACCCAAGTGGTCTGTCTCTGCCACCACCTCCTGCTCCCGATGGCAAATAAACAGGACAAAAGGAAACTCTCACCTACTCTGTCATTTACTACGACCAGAACTGCTTGCGGTCACCCCTTGCTCCACGGTCACCCCCCTCCTCCTGCCATGTCATGTTCCTTGCAGTTTCATGCTGCCCTTCCAGCCCAGAAATCATTTGCTCAAGGATTTACTCGTCCTCCTGGTAAATGCATGCTTTTCCGATTTGTCTGAGCTCAGGTGTTAGCTTCTCGGCCAGGTGCATCCTCCTAGGCCAATTTAGGGGGTTGATCCCATTGAATTCCCAGAAAACAGATCGCACACTGATGGGACAGGGCAGGAGGTGGCCGGTGCAGGGATGCGTGCTGCAGGGACAGTGCCACCTCTGCATCCACGGTTCCTAGTCCACCGTGGTTAGTCCCTGTCTCAAGCACATTTCTCCTCTTCACTCTTGCTGCAATTTTCTCATGAGGATGTTGAGCAGGTGCTTCTGGAGGTGAAGGCAACTCTTTGTGATGCGAACTGGGCAGAACTAACCAATGTTGCGGGAGGCAAGCTGACAGCACATAAAGCTTTAGGAATGTTCTCTCCTTGGTCCAGCAATTCCAGGATCAGCAGAGGCTCCTTGTGACTCGTGCATGAGGACACTCAGGCCTCGCTGAGGGGGGACAGCAGACATGGAGCTTCAAGCCCGGTCTTCTCCACTTGCAGGTCCTTTAGGGGTATCTTGCTATAGCTCCTGAGCAGCCTAAGACAGTCCCCATGTCACTCAGAGTCAAAGCCAAAGTCTTTACAAGGACCCCAAGCCTACGGCCGCCTGGCTCCTTCGCTCCCTGGCCCCATCTCCTTAGACCTCTCCTTCATCTGCCCCCAAACCAGTTGGCCCCTTCCTGTGGATGCCATCGCACTAGCAGTGCCGGCCAGTCCCTTGCCCGATGTCACTGCTCACTCCCTCCCCTCCTCGTCGCTCGGATGTCACCCCTCGACAGGCCCTCCCTTCTGCTCTGCTCCATTTTTCTCCCAGCTGCTGCTGGAACCTGACATGTGACGGAGTCACTCACTCCTGCTCTGTCCCCCTCGCTAGAATGGGGGCTTCTGGAGGCAGGGACTGCATTTGTTTACTTTGCTGCTAAACCTGGCACCCAGCTCAGCGCCTGGTACACATGGGCCATAGGAAACACGTGTCATGAGAGAGTGAATGAACCCACACGATGGAATGGCACATGCTAGATGGAATCCATGCTTTAGAGGAAAATGAAGACCCCAGAGAATGCCAGTGCTACCACAGGAGGCGAAAAGGCAGGAGAGAACAGGCCAGGGGACCCCGGAGGTGAGGCCAGCGGAGCTGGAAGAGGAGAGTGGGATCCCTCATCTATCAAATCAGCACATCGGGGAATAACGCCTAAGACTGATCATTTAGGAAATGGCAGGGTAAGAATATTATTGAGAGACAGGAATATATGCAGCTGAAGAAACAGCAAAAAAACAAAATAAAAGTGATTGTTCTTGGGGAGCAGGACTGGAGGTTAAATGGGTGAGTCAAGTGATCTCTGTTTTTAAATCTTTTGCAACAATTCAATTTCATTTCTATATGGGCATATGTTACACTTTGATACAAATGAAAAATGTTTGTTAAAAAAAAAGACTTGCAAGAGTTCAGAACACAACCCCCAAACTCAGCAGTATACATGGTCTGTCCTCAGCCCCACTCCTAGAGGACATTCATATAATAAAAAGGGGCTGGGCACGGTGGCTTATGCTGTAATCCCAGCACTTTGGGAGGCCGAGGCTGGTGGATCACCTGAGGTAGGAGTTTGAGACTAGCCCGACCAACATGGAGAAACCCCATCTCTACTAAATATACAAAAATTAGCCCGGCATGGTGGTGCACACCTGTAATCCCAGCTACTCGGGCGGCTGAGGCAGGAGAATCGCTTGAACCCAGGAGGTGGAGGTTGTGGTAAGCCAAGATTGTGCCATTGCACTCCAGCCTGGGCAACAAGAGTGAGTCTGTCTCAACAAAAAAAAAAAAAAAAAAAAAAGGACTGGGCACAAACATGCCAAAGTATTAATACTAGTTGTCCCAAGGGGTGATTGTAATTATTTTCTTCAAATGTATCAGCATATTCCAAACAGTATATAATGGACATAAACAACTTCTACGAATGTCAGCTTAAATCATATGAAATTGTCAATATTCAATCATTTATGTCTTTAAAAATGGTAATTTCATACAGTCCAACCCAATAGGACAGAATTATTTAAAATATATATAAGGGGCTGCTTTTAAGATCAATAAAACGATTCCTATCCCTTGACTCCAGTTATTTTATTTCTTGGATCTTTCCTAAGAAATGAACCCAAAATGTAGATAGAGATTTACATGCAAAGTGCTCACTGTAAATTACAGAGGCAAAAGCTGGAAAAAAAAAATCCTAAATGCTTAAAAATAAGGGAGTGGGTGCAATGTTATATAGACCTTTTGGCTGATGTTTGGGAAATCTTTAAGTGACAGGGTACAATTTAACGTTAAGTGAAAAAAAGCAAGATACATGAATATATACACACTGTCATCTCCACCATGTAAAAAAATGCGTTAGAAAAAAAAAAACTTCTTTAAGGCAGGGTAGTGCATAGAAAGAACACCAGCTCTGAAGCCGAACCCTCCGGCTTGCCACTCCTTGCTGAGCTCAGGTGGCTACATGACTTCTGGGAGCCTGTCTACTCCGCCTTCCCCAACAGGCATGACAGTGAGATGAGAAATCGCAGGTGAAGGGCCCAGAGCTTAGTAGGTGCTCACCAAATGGTGGCCAAGGTTGTTCTTGTCATCATCCCCATCATCGTGGGGTCTAGATTACTGCTATCCTTTTTTACGTATATTTTTTGCATTGTCCCCAATGTCTCCCATGAATATGTATTCCTTTTAAAATGACAAAAAAAAAAAAACCATAATCATAAAAATAGCAAGGGTCACTATAAAACAAGAGCAAAGACAAGCCATGGACCAGCAGAAGGTATTTGCGACGCACATGACAACCAAGGGCTTAAAGCCTTTCAGGTCATTTGTAGACAACGAGACCTGAATAGTTGACAACCCATGAAAGTGTCTGACCTTACTAAGGATCACATGGTAGAAGTTAAAATGTTTAACAATACCAAGGGACAGCAGGGATGTGGAGTGTCAGGAACTCTCCTGTACCACTGGTGGGGCTGTACATTGTACAACCACTTAGGAGAATGCTGGCCGTTTCTGGGAAGCTGAACATGGACCCGCCCTCCCATCAGCAATTCCATGCAGAGTAGCTCCAGTGTGTGCACACAAGGAGACAAGCACAGAAGGGTGACTGGTGCTTTGCTTGTAATGAAGGAAACTGAGAACAACCTGCATGTTCATTAACAGGAGGGTGACGACCGAATGGCAGCATGTTATTCACAATCATATATTCAGTTAATAGACTGTTTTTGTTGTTGTTGTTGTTGTTTGTTTGTTTGTTTTGAGACAGAGTCTTGCTCTGTCACCCAGGCTGGAGTGTAGTGGTGCAATCTCGGCTCACTGCAACCTCCGCCTCCTGGGTTCAGGTGATTCTCCAGCCTCAGCCTCCTGAGTAGCTGGGATTACAGGCACCAGCCACCACATCCGGCTATGTTTTTTTTTTTTTTTTTTTTTGTATTTTCAGTGGAGATGGGGTTTCATCATGTGGGCCAGGCTGGTTTCAAACTCCTGACCTCAGGTGATCTGCCCACCTCGGCCTCCCAAAGTGCTGGGATTACAGGCATGAACCACCGACTTTTTATAGCAGCTTAAGTGCATCAACTAAAGCCAACATATTAACATGGATAAATCTAAAATGCATTACTATAAGAAAAAATAAGTGCAGATACAACATTCAATATAATATCACTTACATAAAGCTTAAAGGCATGCAACACAATAGTGTATTTTGTTTAGAAACATCCATCTAAATGGCAAAGATGAAAAAAAAAATCACAAAAACCACAGTGTTTAGGAACCTGGAGTCAGGCTTACAAACCAGCCCCATTACTCACTAGCTGGGTGACTGTGGATAATACTTAATGTCTCTGTGCCAAGGCCTCATCTCTCAACTGGGGATAGTAACAGCTTGTATCTCATAGTGACCTCAACATGATTACACATGTTAATATATATACAAAGGACTAGAAATAGTGGCAGGTACATAGAAGACATGCTATAGTGTTTGCTGCTGTTATTATTAACCTGAAACCTTAAAAATGTTCATGCTGTTTGCTTTAGTAATCTCATTTCCCAGATCATCTTCTGGGATCTAAGACTCCTTAGAATGCTAAATCAACCAGAGAAAACAAGCTCCCAAACCTCTTTGAAAATTAAAATAAAATAAAATAAAAATTTCCAACAAAGTAAAGGATGCATATTCACCTTCTAATACTCTGTATATAATTTATACCAGTTTTTCATTTAGAATGAGCTAATTACATGAGGTGATTGCCAATTTATCTGATATGGTTCTAATCAATTATCCATTTTGTAAAAACTAATTTTAGCTCATTTTCAAAGAGATGCTTATGTGCTGCAGACATTCTTACCTCCTCAAGGAAACAGCTAAAGTTCTGGAGAAAATATTTCCAATTTATATAGGGGGTTAGATGAATTCTTAGTTTCCTCAAAAAATAATGATACTGATTGTCCGTTAGTTTGTAACAGAAATCCTTAAGAACTTGTCCGAATTCTGTAGCCTTTACAAATCCTGTATCCTCTTTATCCAATGCAGAAAATGCCTAAAAAGAAAGAAAAGAAAAAAAGATGGCAAATCCTGTCAAATGAATACTTCTAAAACACTTTCCTTAAGTACTGTTTCTGCTGAATGCAAATGAAGCCTAGTGTATAAAAGTACCTTGTAAATTCTAAATTACTAAATAAATGCACCATTATTGAAGGACTGAGACAAGTATGATATGAACGCAGTATGGGAGCTTATGAGTTCTAGAGGAAATTTGCCTTACTTGCTCCTATTTGGATGTGAGGAGGAAGGAGAATAAAGAGGAATCCTGGCCCCAAGCACCCGTAACCTTCCTGATGGAAGCCTCGCCCCTGCTCCCAGGATCCCTGTTTTACAGAGCAGAGCAGAGAGTAACTTGCTCAAGCTCTCTTGACCCTTACATTCTACTTCCTTTAAGTATTAATTAGTTGTAACAGGAGGCTCAGGAGAGACCCCACCGCATCACATCAGGGCTGGTGTCTCAAGACAGGAGTCTGACTTTGGGAGCAGCTGGGAGGAGGGATCAGGGGACCACCCTGACCCCACCCCTGTCCTTCACAACCAGGCTTGTGTGCTGAGGTTGCTGTCCTTTCCTGAGTCTCGGCCAGAGCCCGAGTGGCCTTGCATCATGAGAAGCTGCCCTGGGTCTGCACTGGAGCAGCGGGGGCACACGTTGTGAATCCTACAGTAGAGTAGTTAAACTGAAAAAGTGCAAAAATGTGCTATAAAAAGAAAGCACATTTTTTTCCATCTGTCGAAATAAAATCATTCATTTTTATTACACCAGGAAATCTGCATCCAGGGGTAGATTAAGATCTTTTTTAAAGGAAGAATTTAGCATGCCTGCAAACCCCACACCCTTGTAGTTAATTCTCATTCGGGGCTAATTAGGCACGCCCCATTGGCCCAACAGGGTGATGGCATATGTGTAATCAAATTAACCTTAAAACATCAGATAGCTTCACATTTTCATGTAGTTCATGGTAACATGAGGTAGCTGTGTACAGTGGGAAATCCCCTAGCCAGGAGTTGTTCTGGGAACCTGGGCTCTGCTGCCCACCATAAGTCCTGAACCTCTCTAAACTTTAGCTTCTTTACTGTAAAGATGGACTTAACTCAGAGGGCAGGTGTAAGTTTTCCTAAGTTTGCTGGAAAATGCCCCCATCCAGGTACCTGGCCCGTGGGGATCTCAAATGTTAAGGAGAACGATCATAAGAATGAACACAGACAACTGTGCCGCAGGGGCAATGGCAGCGGCAGGCTCAGGTGTGAAGAGGAGCCTCCTGCAAAGCTCAGCTGGCTGGGCTGCCCCTCCTCACTCCTTCCCTCCCCACATTTAATCCCTCACACCGCACCGGGACTCCGGAGCCCACCTTGCTTCCCTACACCAAGGAAATTGGGATGTGATTTACAAAAAAAAAAAAAAAAGTTTAAAATAGATCTCAGGAGTGGAGAGTGAGTGATTCCCACCTCCAAGAGTCTGATACCCTAAAAGGGTCACTAGCCTTGATTTCTTCAAAAGTCATGACACTAACTAAGGTCGATCCTCAGAAGAAGTCATGGGCAGTAGACATCACATCTCTAGTAAAGATCTTCAGGACTTCAATTCTTCAAACCACCTGGATTTGGAAAAGAAGGGCTGCGACAAGTCCATTTCCCCTTCCTCCTCAGGTTCTGGGCTCTGCTCCATAGTCCCTGTGTGACCCTGGGCAGGTTTATTCACGCTGAGCCTCAGTTTCCCCTCCTGTAGAGTGGAATCAGGAGCCCCACCTTGCAAGGTTATGATCAAAGAGAAAAAGACTCATGAACTCTCATTAGGGCTTGTGGCCCCCCAGCACCCTGGGAAGCCCTCTAGAGTGTGTGGAGCCAGGACTCTGTGACGTTAGAAGGGATGTTCACTGTGGGGATTGAGAGGTGTTGAGTGGATCTTTCAGTCTGGGTTGCTGTGGCTGTTTGGGCTCTGGGTGCCGGCTTCCCACAGGATGATTCCGACGCTGCCTTGTTCTCTTCGATGCCTGCCCTCTGCAGAAAGCATCTTCCCTTCTTGACGCTGACACACAGAAGCTCACCTGGGAGCACCACCTCACCAGGAGGCTGGTTCCAAGCACAATATCCAAGGACACCAGCACAGTCCACAGCATCAGTACTCCACACACACAAGCATCATTCCATACATGTAGGCATCATACCCTACACGCGGTCATCATTCCCTACGTGCAGGCATTATTCTGTACATGCAGGCATCATTCCATACACACAGGCATCATTCCCTACACACAGGCATTATTCCCTACAAGCAGGCATCATACCCTACACGCAGGCATCATTCCCTACATGCAGGCATCATTCCCTACACGCAGGCATCATTCCGTACATGCAGGCATCATTCCCTACACGCAGGCATCATTGTCTACATGCAAGCATCATTCCATACGTATAGGCATCATTCCGTACACGTAGGCATCATTGCTTACATGCAAGCATCATTCCATACACATAGGCATCATTCCGTACACGCAGGCATCATTCCGTACACGCAGGCATCATACCCTACATGCAGGCATCATTCCCTACACGCAGGCATCATTCCGTACATGCAGGCCTCATTCCCTACACGCAGGCATCATTGTCTACATGCAAGCATCATTCCATAAGTATAGGCATCATTCTGTACACGTAGGCATCATTGCTTACATGCAAGCATCATTCCATACACATAGGCATCATTCCGTACATGCAGGCATCATTCCCTACATGCAGGCATCATACCCTACATGCAGGCATCATTCCCTACATGCAGGCATTATTCCCTATACGCAGGCATTATTTCCTACAGATAGGCATCATTCTCTACACGCAGGTATCATTCCCTACACGCAGGTATCATTCCCTACACATAGGCATCATTCCCTACACGCAGGCATCATTCCCTGCATGCAGGCATCATTCTGTACATGCAGGCATCATTCCCTACATGCAAGCATCATTCCATACATATAGGCATCATTCTGTACATGTAGGCATCATTGCTTACCTGCAAGCATCATTCCATACACATAGGCATCATTCCGTACACGCAGGCATCATTCCCTACACGCAGGCATCATTCCCTACACGCAGGCATCATTCCCTGCATGCAGGCATCATTCCCTACATGCAAGCATCATTCCATACATATAGGCATCATTCCGTACACGTAGGCATCATTGCTTACATACAAGCATCATTCCATACACATAGGCATCATTCCATACATGCAGGCATCATTCCCTACACACAGGCATCATTCCGTACACGCAGGCATCATTCCCTACAGGCAAGCATCATTCCACACACGCAGGCATCATTCCCTACACGCAGGCATCATTCTCTATATGCAGGCATTATTCCCTACACTCAGGCATCATTCCCTACATGCAGGCATCATTCCGTACACGCAGGCATCATTCCCTACACGCAGGCATCATTGCCTACATGCAAGCATCATTCCATACACATAGGCATCATTCCGTACACCGTCTAAAGCACCACGCAGATGGAAGCTGTAGAATGTCAACCTACTCAGGTGACTCCCCTTGCTCCTGGAGGACTTCACAATGAAGTCTCTGTGCCACAACCTGGCTCAGTTCAACCTCTTCAAGGCCACCTTGAGTCCTTCATCTCTGTGGACCCAGTGCCTGGCTGCGTTGAGAGCTCCCAGGATGCGCTGAGCCCACTCTTGCCCAAGGGCCTCTGTTTTCTGCCTTTTTTGCCCAGAGCCCCATGTCCTCACCCCAGACTCAGCATTTCTAAATGCTGAGCACTCCCACCTCAGAGAGCACATGCTGGGGTGGAAGAGTGGATACACAACTACCCACATAAAAACTCTGCTCATGGTTAACTAGACACCCCAAGGAGAATGAACAGAGGTGGGAGGGGTTTCAGGGTGGGGCTGAGAGGTGTTTTCATGAATCAAGATGAGTTTTCACAGTAAAGCACTTTCAGCCTGTCATACCGTGGACAAAGCCAGCTGGGAGGACTCAACTACTTCCTGGATCTTCCTCACAGCCTCCTGTGGATTCAGCGTTGCAAAATTGATTGGCATGCTCTCTTCTTTTTCCTTGGGCTGAGCTCCTGTTGACTTGCTGTTCTCCACTGCTCTCAGGAAGTCGAGGTAATTGATAGCATTATCATGCCGGCTGACTCCCCAACTTGTCCCAAAAGGAAGAAAAGAACATATTCATTTTAAAAAGCCACCCTACTGCTTATTCATTCAACAGTTGCTGAGCACATTGGGCAATGTGGGGAAAATGAATAATTTTAAGACACCATTCCCTTCGCTGTACGTGCAGACATGGCAGTTAGCTCTGCTCTCAGGTAGACACACACATCCTGCAATAAGAGGACACAGGGTGATGAGAGGTGAGAGTGCAGTTCACTGACGGCCGGAGGGCCACAGCTGCCCGACCTGAAGACCTGAGGCTTGAAGGCTGGATATCAGGGTTCGTGGCTTTGCAGAAGATGGTAAGGGAGGTGTCTGCTGAGAATCTGGCCCTATGACGGGGGCACGTGAAAGTATGTTGGCAGGGATGTGACATTTGCATAGCAGCATCATGGGAAGATAAATCTGACAGCGGCTCAAAGACAGTGTGGAAGTGAGACTGTGGGGTGGTGGCAGTGGTGGGAGAGCAGCAGTCTGGATGGGGGGCTCCTGGGGTCATGGAGGCCTTAACCAAGAAGGGCCTGGACTTAGAAATTGCAGTGGGATTTAAAAGAGAGGAAACATGTCAAAGACAGTGAAAAGAAGAAGAGGAACTGAGTAAGAAATACATTAAATTCTCTTTCAGGAGTGGTTGAAATGAAGTTGTCAAGCTGAAAGCACTCAAAAGATATTTTACAAAACCTATCTAGCTGAGGATTTTCTCAAATAAAAATCCACCTGCATCGATGGCTCAGCAAGGACATCCCTATGGAAGCAGAGGCTCATTCATCTCCTTGACTCTGACACAGAAGAAATTACCTAAGTTCTGGAAGACTAAATTGTGAGGTAAAATCCAAAAGTCTCACGGAACATATAGCATATCTATTAAAGATGCAAAATAATTAAAATAAAGTTTAATTGCATTCAAAGTTCACATTTCTACAACTTAAATTCCTGGGGAATTGCTGGCACTTAAACACCTAAACTTTCTCTCAGCAGCATTGGGCTCAAGTGTCAACGTAGAAGAGCTTGGAATGCCGGTAAGGTGGAGACAGAAGTTTCCAGTGACTCAGATATCTGCTTCTAAAGAAGATGAGCCAAGAGCTGAGCTTTTCCAACCCACAGCTGCAGAGCCGCCTTGCACAGGCTCTGCGTCGGGTCGGCTTGCATGATGGAGACACCAAGGAAAAGGACAATCAACACTATTTCATCAGCGGGATAAATTGCCAACGTGGTATTAAAATGTAGTAATAAAATCATATGCATATGCTAATCTCAGTAGTATTTAGAAAAGTCTATTTTGGATCTAGAAAAGAATAATCTACATATAATTACAAGTAACAGAGATGTTTATCATCAAGAGGTCTTTGAGAAGAAACAAGCAACTGTGCAATGGATCCTTATTAAGGTTTCAATACATAAAAAAGTTGATCACCCGCATTGAAAGGTGGGCTTCAGAAATCCCAGTCCTTTTGTTGTTGTTTATAAAAGTATCAAGCCTAACTATGTTTTAACAAGAATCTCTTATAATCATTTAGTTAATTTATCTGCTATTTTTCCATGATTTATTCATTGAATGCATATGAATTCTTGTTCAGCTGGAAATAGATTCAGTGAAAAGAGATCCTGTTTAAGGAAGAAAAAAACATATAGGCATTTGAGGATGAAATGGTCCTTCCTTTCTATACACATACACACACACACACACACACACACACATACACACAGGCGTTGGACTTCTCATAGCTCAAACACAATGGATCAATGTCTTCAAACTTTTAAGGGAATTATTTTCTTCCTAAGAGTCTATGCTCAGACAAGCCATCAATGTGTGTGAAGAAGAATTTAAAAAGTTTCAGTTCAATAAGAACTCAGAAAATTTACTTCCTGTCCACCCATTCTTATGAGATTACTTCAGGAAGTACTCCAGCAAAAGAAGAATGTAAATCAAGAAACAAAGAGATGTGGGATATAGGAGACAGGGGATCCAACCTAGATAATAGTGGAGGCAGCACAGGATGGTAGATCGCAGACCTAGAGCAGGAAAATGTGGCAGGGGGTGGGAGGGCACCAGGTTATCAGATACAGATGCCAGGGGAAAAAAACTCAAGAGAGGAGAAAGTGGAATAGAATGCTGGGGAAACCTGAAGGTCAAAAATATTGAACGTTATCTGAGCCCTGTTCTAGAAAAAAGTGATGGTTAAAGAAATCACCCCAACCTTAATGTCCCTGGATAAGGCTACTGCAAACAACTACCTTTTCCCCATATGACTTAGAAAAGATTCATAGATGCCCCAAGGTTTACCTCTGATAGCAAGGACATAGACCCTCCAAATTCCCAGTCTCTGTCTCATAAATTATTAGCTGAACTGTTTGTTCCCACTGACTAATCTGGACAAAATACCTACTAACTGACCACAGTTTAGTTAAGCTACTCTCTTTTCTCCAGAACCTTGAACTTGGACCCACCTCAGCCAAAGCCAGCATCAGAATGTGGAATAGCCCCTCCCTAATTGCTCCTCAGGGACTCTGACCACAGGAAAGATGTTTCTTGCCCAGCTGTCTGGTCATACCATCTATTCATCTTACTCCCCATGCTTGGTTCTTTGTATCCTTGTTTACTCTTCCCCATTAAAGAAAAGCCCTCTTCTGCTTGCTCTTTGAGATGCTTACAGATTTCATGGTTGGGGCATTCTCTCCATTGTAATAATCTTCCTCTCCCTGTTGCAATAGTCGTTTCAGATAAAGTCTCTTTTACTTAAGTATGGATTTGTCTTTATTTGACAAGGTAAAACAAAGGCAGATATCATAAAGAAAATAAAGAATAAATTAAACTCCAGGAAACAACCTATCCAATAAAATCATAGATATGAAACAAATTTAAAACATTGCTATGGCCTATTTGTGTCCCCTCAAAATTCATATGTTAAAATGTTAACTCCCAAGGTAATGACCTTTTAGCAGCGAGGCCTTTGGGAGGTGATTAGGTCATGAAAACCGAGCCCTCATGAATGAGATTAGTGCCTTCATAAAGGAGGCCCCAGAGAGACCTTTGTCCCTTCTGCCACATGAGGTTACAGTGAAAAGACAGACATCTATGATCCAGGACATTTTCAGCAGATATTAAATCTGCTGGTACCTCAATTCTGAACTTCCTAGCCTCCAGAACTGTGAGAAATGAATTTCTGTTGTTTATAAGCCACACAGTTTACATTTTTTTATGGCAGCCCAAAGGGACTGAGACATATGTGAAATGATTTTCAGCAATTGGTGTAATCTACAAGAGAATCTATTTGACACTAAGGCTAGAGGCTCAGGGATAGTACCACTGGAAAACAAGCTAGTTTTCCTTCATTACCTGGATACTGAACAATATTTACATAGTTATAATAATAAAATGGTATTTAATAGTTTTCAAGTTTTAGAATCAACCTATGAACCAAGCAGGAAGGAACTGGTTGTGGCTGCAGGACAGAAGGTTAAATTTAACTACCTATCCAAAGGAAAAATCAAAGTGTAGCTGCCAAAAGCTGGACATGGAAGGAGTGGGGAAAGTGGCAGAGGGAGGAGGAGAAGAAGTGAGGTCACAGGGCAAAATGTCAACCTGAAACCTGGAGAGACAGGCACATGCAGAGAATCACAGCTGGGGCCTGCTTTCCTGGAGCAAAAGCCTTTGGAGGCACAGGCTGGCAGGAATACTCACATGGTAATCTTGGCAAATTCGTAGAGGCTGAGTGTGGACTAGTGTAAGAGTAAGAAATTCTGGGGGCCCAGTCTTACGTACCTCCCCACCCCCACCACCACTTTCATGGGCTTTAACTTCAGGAGTCTCACTAGCTTCTCACAGTGAAGATCTGAGAAAGATCCCCTCAGGGTTCTGGCAGGGGAAGGGGAAGAGCAATCCTGGTGCAATATGTCCCCAGCCTTCTCTATAACAACTTTCCAAGGGAAAAGACTTTCTGAGAGCCTTATCTTAGCTTTAGGGGAAGGGCAATCAGCCAACTCCAGCCCCATCTAGCATTCCTGTTTTACCTAAGTGGAAAAAAAACCCAATAAACATTTCTAAATGTTGTAGCCCATGGACTCAGCCCACTAAAAGACAGAAATGTAATCATAAAACTATAGAATGTTTCCCCTCCCCAATATTTTACCACCACATCAACCCAGCTGTAGTGAAATAATAATGGATTACAACTGAAAGAACTGCAAAACACATACTCTATTTAAGAAGGAGCTCCTAGGGAAACCCAGAAAACAGGAGAGGAAAAAACAAGGACACTGGAGTAAATTGGAGCCTTTGCACCAATAGCTACAGCAAACATTAAACATATCCTAACTCCTAGCCAAATGAACATAAAATCTCTAAAGGCTTATATACCTCAGTTCCTGTCTGGCTTTTGACAACAACAAAAAGTACAATGCATATAAACAGTCAAGAAAAGACACAGTATGAAGAAACCAAGCAAGCTGCAGAAGCAGACTCATATATGACACATATTTTGAAATTATCAGATAGGGAATTTAAAATAACTATGGTTAATATGTAAAGTGTTCTTATGGAAAAAGTAGACAACATGCAAGAACAAGTGGGCAATGTAATCAGAGATGGAAACTCTAAGAAAGAATTAAAAGAAAATGCCAGAAATTAAAAAAAAAAGCCACTGCAACAGAAATGAAGAATGACTTTGATGCGCTCATCAGCAGACCGGACATGGTTGAGGAGAGAATTAGTGAGCTTGAAGTATATCAGTAGAAACCTCTGAAACTGAAATGCAAAGAAAAAAAGAACGGGGAGAGGGTGGATAGGACAAGATATCCAAAGACTGGGAAAATTTCAAAATGTGTAACACCTGCATCATTGGAATACCAGAAAGAGAAAGAGAAATAAGCAAACAAACAAAGAAACAAAACAAGAGAACAAACAAAAACAAAAACCCATTTTAATTAATAATGGTAGAAACATTCCCAAAATTAATGACAGACAGCAAATTACACATCCAGGAAGTTCAGAGAACACCAAGCAGGATAAATCCCCCCAAATCTATACCTAAACATACTATATTCAAACTGGAGAAAACTAAAGACAAAGAGAAAATCTTGAAATAAGCCAGAAAATCTTAGGAAAACACCCTTATCTATAGAGGAACAAAGATAATGAATTATAAACATCAGGCTTCTTGCCAGAAATCATGCAACCAAGAGGAGAGTGGACTGAAATATTTGCAGTGTTGAAATATTTCAACAGTTTAAACCTAGAATGCTAAATCCAGTATTCTCTGTCAGAAATAAGGGAGAAATAAAGACTTTCTCAGACAAATAAAACTGAGAGACTTTATTACCAGCAGCCCTACCCTTCAAGAAATGTAAAAAGACATTCTTTAGAGAGAAGGAAAATCATACAGATCTACATCAAGAAAAGAAGGGTGTCGGAGAAGGAATAAATAACGGTAAAATAACATCTTTTTTTTCTCACTCTTAGTTGATCAATGGAGTAATAATAACAACCATGTGTTGGGTGATTAAAAGCACACGGGTAAATGAATGACAGCCATGTCATCAGGTACAGAAGGGAGAAATTGGAAATACCCTTTTATAAGTTTCCTGTACTTCCCATTAAGTTGTATTATGTTACTTAAAGGTGGGCTTAGGCTAGCTCTAAATGTATACTGTAAACTCTTGAGCAACAACTGATTTTTTTTTTTTTTTTTTTTTTTTTTGTGACGTGGTCTCGCTTTTTTTGTGAGGCTGGAGTACAGTGGTGCAATCATAGCTCATTGCAGCCTTGAATTCCTGGGCTCAAGGGATAAACAATGTTTTAAAGAGGAAAGGGGTGCTAATATTCTCCCCTTACAAAGTGAGGGACGTAAGAGTCATGCATTCTGTCAGCATGGCTCAATTATACAGACAGAAATAGGAGTCAGAGAAGGCAATTAGCTCAAGTTGTTTCAGGGTAAAAGTGTATGAGAATAAGACTTCCAGTTAAATAAAGTGGCTTGAACACACATATCTAGTTCTGTTACCACTCAAAACTCTTCTAAAATGACAGAAAAGGGAGTTTTAAAAAGGTTTAAAACAGTGGTTCTCAAGGTGGGGTGCAAAAGTCCAGCAGCGTCAGCATCACCTGAGCCCTCGTTATGAATGCACACTCCCGAGCCCACTGAATCAGAAACTTTGGGGGAGGGACCCAACAATCTTGAGTTTTAATGAGCCCTTGCAATGGTTCTGATGCTTGGAGTTTGGGGACCGCTGGCATAAACTCCGAAGGACTAGGAGTATGTGGAAGAAGAGAACAGCTGCTGGAGCATCTATGGATAATGGGAATAGATGTATCAGAATCCAAGAAATCACTTCCTAAAACAGAGGGAATGTGGAAGAGAGAAAATCTGATATGTCCTGCAAATACCCTCAGAGGCTCTGGAACTGATGATATCAGGTATATCTAGAAGTGGAGCTAAAGGAGGAGTTAAAATAGGGTTGATTAAAAGACTGGGAAGCAAGCAGACCCCAGACCTCTTGCCAGACTTCACGTGTCTGGGTGCCTGTCCCTCCCAACCCTAATGGAAGACCTGGAGGTATATTCTCCGGAGATGTTGTTTCTGAGCAGGAGGGCATCTGTCCTAGTCCAAGGTAGGGAGGGTTCTTAATGAAAAGGGGAGGATTAATAAAAAGTGTATACACTGACTTGTTAGTTTCCTATGGCTTTGTACCAAAATAGTACATACCTGGTGGCTTAAAGCAACACACATTGATTCTCTTACAGTTCTGGACACCGGAATCTAAAATGAGTTCCCTGTTGTTGGCAGGACTGTACTTTCCCTGGAGATTCTAGAAGATAATCTGTTATTTGCCTCTTTCAGCTTCTGGGAGCAGTTGGCAGTCCCTGGCTTGTGGCCACATCACTCTACTCTTTGCCTCCCTGGTCACATGGCCTTCTCTTTGTCTGTGTCAAATCTCCCTCTGCCTCCCTCTTATAAGGACACCTGTGATGGCATTGAAGGCCCATCCAGATAATCCAGGCTCATCTTCCCTTCTCCAGGTCCTTAGCTTAGTTGTGTGTATCTATAAAGATCCTTTTTCCAAATAAGGTAATGTCCACAGATTCCAGGAATCAGGAACTGTATATCTTTGGGAGGGATGATTCAGCTTACCACAGTGACTGGTGAAATATTCAGCCTTCTGTGACCAGTCAGTTCCTAGAGTGTTGACAACAGGAGACCAAAGAGTCTTCTCTCGTTGGGTTGCCCAATTAGCAAACAAATAAACAAATCAACATACCAAATCTACAGGGATACATAGTTGAATTAGAATTTCAGATAAACAACAAAATTTTTAGTATAACTCAAATATTACATGAGACATATTTAAAAATTATTGTCTATCTTAAGTCCTAATTTAACTGAGAATCTTGTATTTTGTTTGGCAAGTCTATTCTCTGGTAAATCTGAAAAGGCCAAACAAAAAGTTTTAAAGATACTGACATTGGGGGCCCCCAAGAAAACTTCAAGCCAGAGTACCATACATTTCAATCCAAAGTCAACAAGCTCCACCTATCTGTGTAGAACTTCTAATCTGCACCTCAGTGCCCCGTCCTCCACTCTTAGTATGGACATATTTTTGAAGAAAATATCCAACATGAGTAATAGTTTTAAAAAGCAACACTGAGGAGAGACTTATCTGGTAAAGAAAACTTTTTTTAAAAGCCTATTGTTAATACCTTCAGAGAAATGAGATAGCGCATCCATGAAACAAGAGTAGGATGTTATAAAAAAGGAACACACAGAGAACTAAAATGAGCTCTAGTAATTAGAAATATAAGTATGGTAGCAGAAACAAAAATCTCAAAGAAGGACTGGGAGCTAAAACTGAGGAAATCTCCCAGAAGGTAGAAAAAGAGAAAGAAGAAAAAAAGATTTAAAATATGTGAGAGAACAGTCCAGGCAGTTCAATATTCAATAACAACAGGAGTTTCAGAAAAAATAGAACAGGGGAGGAATTCATTAATAAAATAAGTCAAGAAACTTTCTAAGAATTTAGAACATGAAAAGGGCAATCTTCAAGAAGATGAAGCTGACAGATTAGCTGACGTGTCTCGATGGATTGGAAAGAGATTAAATTGGGGATTTAATTAGTAGGAGAATAAGTACATAGGAAACTAAATGAACAGAAGAAATAGGATAATTTGACTTCAGGGAAAAAGTGCTATGTAGAAAAGAAAAGTGATGAGCTAGTCACAGCAAATGTAGATCTAGAATGTGGAGCAAACCAAAACTGACGCAGCAATACGATAGGCATGTGGCATGCGGAGGTAAGTTTTCTTGTGTTTCCATGAGGTAACGGAGGCTGAGGGGGCTGAGATGGTTGGTGGCATGGGATGGGTGAAAAGAGTTAAACCCACATTTTCTTGGTAGTAAGTCAATAGAAACTGCCTAAAAGTGAAAAATCAAGAAGTAGCAATATATGCCTGTCACTTAGAAGTAGGGACATTGGCCGGGTGTGGTGGCTCATGCCTGTAATCCCAGTACTTTGGGAGGCCGAGGTGGGCAGATCACAAGGTCAGGAGATCGAGACCATCCTGGCTGACACGGTGTAACCCCGTGTTACCATCTGGGTAACAGAGGGAGACTTCATGTCAAAAAAAAAAAAAAAAAAAAAAAAAAAAAAAAAAAAAAAAAGAAGTACAGGTACATTCACTATCAAAAAACATCAGTCAACAGGATTGGAAGTTGTTGACTTTGGGTAGTGAAATAAGGGCTGCAGCAGGGCAAAAGGACTGCTGGTTTTAGTAACCAGCCTCGTAGAACTACGTGATTCCTGCCAAAGTGCTGGAATAACTTGGATAAAATAAAAATTAATGTTGGCTGGGCGCAGTGGCTCACGCCTATAATCCCAGCACTTTGGGAGACTGAGGTGGGCGGATCACCTGAGGTCAGGAGTTTGAGACCAGCCTGGCCAACGTGGTGAAACCCCGTCTCTACTAAAAATACAAAAATTGGCCAGGCGTGGTGGTGTACACCTGTAATCCCAGCTACTTGGGAGCCTGAGGCACGAGAATCACTTGAACCCAGGAGGCAGAGGTTGCAGTGAGCTGAGATCGCACCACTGCACTCCAGCCTGGGTGATAGAGCGAGACTCCATCTCAAAAAAACAAAACAACCAAGTAAACAAAAAAAACCCCACTGATGTTAAGAAATGGTGGCACTGCTGCTAAGACACATCAGGAAAAGTTATGCATTTGTCAGGGGGCTTTCTTTTATTGCTTTGGGTAGACTCAAACCCATTCTAATGTAACCCAGCAAACAGGAAGACATGGAGGGTATTT
Organism: Homo sapiens; assembly: GCF_000001405.40. Classification (NCBI taxonomy): domain Eukaryota; kingdom Metazoa; phylum Chordata; class Mammalia; order Primates; family Hominidae; genus Homo; species Homo sapiens. Next base: position 43,589,969 of record NC_000022.11, read on the forward strand.
TCATCTCAGAAGGCTGTTTGGGCGGACATACAGAAGAAACAAAGGCAATTCTCCAGTATGTTTTTCAGGGCCATGAGAAACATATTTAACTGAGTCCAAAAAGACCTGTTTAGCAGATGGGTCAGCTCCCCTTCGGTAAGAGAACATCCACATTCTTCCAGCACTTCCTGCATCTTGCATATGGATATGTAGTTGGTTTTGGATTGATCAGTTTTGGTGAATGCTTTGCTGATATCTTGATGGCGGTCCATAAGCTTATCCCTGAAAGAGAGTACATTGCAGACATACCCTAAAATCAGGAAAACAAATAACTCCTTTAAAGCAAACACTGCATGATTATTCTAATGCAATGAGCTGATGGCTCATCTAAGAACTAATTTTGAAGATGTTTTACAGCCTCAGTGTAATACTGACATTAAAAGATATCCCAGAAATATTATGTCTGTATCATTATCATTTTCTTATTACCATCATTAGCAAAATTACAACATTAGAGAAATTACAACTTTGTCTTTGTACTAGAATCGGTACTTTAAAAACGGAACCAAGAATTGAAAAAGCCAGTGGTTTTACATATAGACATGTGAAATACACACTCATTCTCAATAAACACTAGTTGAGTACCTATGACATGCCAGATGCTCCTGTAGGTGTTGGGACATGTCTGGTGAATCAAAGAGGCATCCCTAGAAGGATTTCCATTCCAGTAGTGGGGAGACAGACAATAAACAGAAGACAGAGGTACAGCACGGTGGGACAGTAGGTTTGAAGGCCAAAAAAAAAAAAAAAAAAGACAGTAGGTTTGTAGGTTTGTAGGTTTACATGCACTTTGGCTATAGGCTCTTTTTCTTGAGCAAAGATGGATGCAAAAGAGTCAGCTGGGGACTGGAGAACAGCCAGTGCCAAGGCCCTAAGGAGGAGAAGAAGGGCAGTGAGCGAAGAGTGTGGAGAGGGACAGGGCCTTGTCGGTGCTGGGGCAAGGGAGTGCCAGAGACCCCATTTTGTTTTGTTTGTTTTTTTTTAACCAGGCACTTTTATTTTTAAGAAACAGCCATCATGTGGTGTGCATCAGTGGACAAATCAAGGGCCATGAAGTGCCAAAGACCCCCTGGGTTTGTTGTTGTTGTTGTTTTTTGTTTTTTGTTTTTTTTTTTTGTTTTTTTTTTGTTTTTTTTACCAGGCTTTTTATTGTTAAGAAACAGCCACTGACTGGGTGGGGTGGCTCACGCCCACAATCCCAACACTTCGGGAGGCTGCGGTGGGTAGATCACGAGGTCAGGAGTTCGAGACCAGCCTGGCCAACATGGTGAAACCCCGTCTCTCCTAAAAAACACAAAAATTAGCCAGGCATGGCGGTGGGCACCTGTAATCCCAGCTACTCGAGAGGCTGAGGCAGGAGAATCGCTTCAACCCGGGAGGCAGAGGTTGCAATGAGCGGAGATCATGCCACTGTACTCCAGCCTGAGCAACAGAGCAAGACTCTGTCTTATAAAAAAAAAAAAAAAAAGAAAAGAAAAAAGAAACAGCCACCACGTGGTGTTGAATCAATGGAAAAATCAAGGGCCGTGCTGCCATCTCAAGTACACACACTCACATGTGACCTCTCAGCCCTGCAAGGCGGTGTCATCAGCCCTACTTTCTATAACAGGAACAGGACAGCATGCAAGCCCAGGGCAGAATCAGGACAAGACTGGACCTTACACTCACAGTGAGGGAGACAGAGACAGCATCTTTCTGTCGCTCCCAGCTTCAGGGATGATTTTCTTGCAGAGATGTGTGATCTCAAGTCTCTGTGATTCAGAGACACTGAATTTTCAGTCTGGGAAATTTTGTCTCCTAACTCGAAAAAAATTACGGTTAAGGAACTCAAAAAGTGTAGAAATCTTTAAGAAGAAACAATCTTGCACTTGATCTATGGTGGACTGGCTGTAAATTCAATAATTTCAACTTACCCAGGTCCCTGAAAATGTCTTCCTTACAAACTGAGTAATATGCCTGTCTGATGGGCTCAGACTTGATCTTGGCTTTGGGGTTATTCCTCAGGGGAAATAATGTGCTATAAATCCTAGAAATGAAATCTTTGGTGGTAATTGTCTACCACTTGAGGTACGTATTTGTGGGAGAGGATGCCTAGAAAAAATAATCCATAGGAAAAGAAACGTCAGGACTCTGGGAGAGGTGAGATTCAGTGGGAATATTCAGGGTGGTGAAGGAGAGCGGTATTAACTTTGAAGCCACCAAGGTGATCAACTCCTTTGCCTTGCTGGCCTCCAGTTTGGAATTGGCTCCCATGACATTTGAGTACTTAATACAAATGAGCTGCAGGAACCGCTCTGTGCATGTATCCCAACAGCAGCATTTTGGATTCCCCTACAGGTGTACATTGAATTCAGTCCCATGTTGCAGAATGATTACTCGTCATCACAACTATTATATTCCACTTAATCCTTCAAAATGAAAGCAAATGAAGGTAGAAAAAAATCCAAACATTTTTTTGAGATACATATTTTTAGAAAATTGAAGCATTCAGCGTTTCTTGGACTGGTTTCTAGGCAGTAATTATTTCCCTTGCAGAGTAAATATGTGCACAGAGTAAATGAGGGTTTAGAGCACAGATCACAGCAGAGTGCCAAACAGAAACGGTGTCAGCCGACACTCCGTGACAAAGCTGCGCTGGGTCTATGTCCAGTTCCTGGTCTGGGCAACAAGACAGAGGCCAGAAGGGGGCACTGTTATGGCCAATGGACGGCCACAGAGCCCCTCACACACACGGCCTCCCCACTCTGGTGCTGCTGAAAAACTGCACACCTCTCAATTTGCGTTTTCGAACGAGCCCGTGTTATGTGGCTCATTTACTGTTGCTATTCTGATTCTGAGATTCTGAATCTTCAACTCAGACTCAAGCAAAAAGAGCAAGGCATGGAAAATAAATGCAAGAAGAAAAAAAGATTTTTCTTAATCTTTAAAATGTATTTAGGGCATTCCAAACAAAATGAATTCCCCTAGATTTAAGAGGCAGATACAAAATTGTGGTCACTTTAATGGAACATGACTCAAATCTGTCAATCTGATCAGAGTGTCAGTATAGAGGAGGAGGTAAAAAAAAAAAATCCTGAAAACATTGAATCTTCATTGGAAAGACCCACTGACAGCAAAATTTAAAAACAGGCCATCCTGAAGGACAAGGTTGTTTGGGAATTTTTACAAGCCGATATTTTTGAGGAAACAGAAATTGGTCATGCATTTGTCTTCTTTACTAAGAGAGCATGGGTGTGGCAAGGGGGAGTGGGTGAGAGTGAACTAGTTAACTGAGCTTGATGATCTGAAATGCATTGTGTCTTGCAGCTCGCAGTTCTTTTAGCTGCATGCCCATGCTCCGTGTGGAACAGAGGCACAGGCAGAGAAAGAGTGTACTGGGAGTTCCCAGGATGCACGGTTTCTCTCCTAGAGCCTCATTACTCACAAGTGGCAGGAAAGACGAGAAGAGAAGACACGAGTGGGTAATGAGGCCAACCCTGTCTAGTAAAGATAAATTCCACTTTTTCATTAGCTTTATGGCATATTTGATTTATACCAATCTTGCACATATTTTACTTCGAATTTCACAAACTCAATTCTCTGCTTTCAGGCTTCATAACTCAGTAACTTAGACGTAATTCAGGGGTGTGTTCGAACTGCTCTTCTCTGAAACCCTGTTGAGCTATTACACTTCATCCCTGTGTCCTTGGCATTCTCAGTTCCTTTGGAGATTCACTCATTCATTCAGGTGCTATAGGAGGTGGTGGGACAGAGAGTGAATCTTGCCTTTTGAAATGACAGACAGGAGACAGACTCACAAACAGGTAAGAGCAAGATGGAGCTAAGACAGAGCTATAGAGCAGTAGGTAAGAGCCACACGTATAAGGAGTGTGGATGGGAGACGAAGGATTGAGATCGTGCCAAGAAAATCTGTCTCATTGCTGTAGTCACATCATATGCAGCCCAATTTTTTTCTCTGTTATAAATGTTAAAAATATGACATGAGTGGCCAGGTGCAGTGCCTCACACCTGTAATCTCAGCACTTTGGGAGGCCGAGGTGGGCGGATCACCTGAGGTCGGGAGTTTGAGACCAGCCTGACCAAAAGGGAGAAACCCCGTCTCTGCTAAAAATACAAAATTAGCCAGGTGTGGTGGCGCATGCCTGTAATCCCAGCTACTCAGGAGGCTGAGGCAGGAGAATCGCTTGAACCTGGGAGGCAGAGGTTGCAGAGAGCTGAGATTGCACCATTGCACTCCAGCCTGGGCAACAAGAGTGAAACTCTGTTTCAAAAAAAAAAAAAAAAAAAAAAAGAAAAGACATGAGTAACTAGTTTTAAAATTTGAAGGTAGACAAAAAGTTGCTAGATGGATTAAAAAACAAGACCCAACTATATGCTGCCTATAAGAAACTCACTTCACCTATAAAGACACATATAGATTGAAAGTAAAGAAATTGAAAAAGATATTCAATGCAAATGGAAACCAATGAAGAGCAGGAGTAGCTATGCTTATATCAGATAAAATAGACTTTAAGTCAAAAACTAAAAAGACCTGAAGGTCATTATTAATATAAAAGAATCAACTCAGCAACAGGATATAACAATAGTAAACATATGTTCACCTAACACCAGAGCACCCAAATATGTAAAGCAAATGTTAATATATCTAAAAGGAGAGCTAGATTGCAATACAGTAATAGTAGCAGACAACACTCCACTTTCAGCAATGGGCAGATCATCCAGACAGGAAATCAACAAAGAAACATCAAGTTAAACTATGGTCTAGGTCTAATGGACCTAACAGACATTTACAGGACCTGTCATCCAATTGCTGCAGAATACAGATTCTTTTCATCAGCACATGGATCATTCTCCAGGATACATCATATGTGGCCACAAAACATATCTCAGCCAATTTGAAAAAGTCAACATCATATCAAGTATCTTTTCTAAAATGGAATAAAACTAGAAATCAATAAAAAGAGGAACTTTGGAAACTGTACAAATACGTAGAAATTAAACAACATGCTCCTGAATGACCACTCATCAATGAAGAAATTAAGAAGAAGATTAAAAATGTATTGAAGCAGATGAAAATGGAAATACAACATACCAAAAATCTATGGGATGCAGCAAAAGCAGTGCTAAGAGGGACATGTATAGCAATAAATGCCTACATTAAAAAAAAAAGAATGACTTTGCATAAACAATCTAACAATGCACCTCAAGAAACTAGAAGAGCAAGAAAAATCCAAACCTAAATTAGTAGAAAGGAAGAAATAAAATCAGAGCATAAATAAATAAAATTGAGACTAAAACAATACAAAAGATCAACAAAATTAAAAGTTGGTTTTTGAAAAGATAAACAAAATTGACAAACTTTTAGCTAGACTATGAAAAAAAGAAAGTCCAAATGAATTAAATCAGAGATAAAAAAGGAAGTATTACAACTTTGGAGATGACAGAAATAGAAAATATCATTAGAGACTGCTATGAAAAACTATATGCTGACAAATGGGAAAACCTAGAAGTGGGTAAATTCCTACCAAGATTGAACCATGAAAAAGTAGAAAATCTGAACACACCAACAATGAGTAACAACATCAAAGCAGTAATAAAAAGTTTCCCATCAAAGAAAAGCCTAGGACCTGATGGCTTCACTGCTAAAATCTACCAAACATTTAGAGAAGAACTAATACCAACTCTACCCAAACTTTTTCAAAAAAATTGAAGAGTAGGGAATACTTGCAAACTTATTCTATAAGGCCAGTAATATCCTGATACCCAAACCAGACAAGAACACTACCAAAAAGAAAACTACAGGCCAAAATTCCTGATGAACATACATGTAGAAATCCTCAACAAAATACTAGCAAACCAAATTCAACAACACATTAAAAGGACCATTCACCATGATCAAGTGGAATTCATCCCAGGGATGCAAGGATGGTTCAACATACACAAATTAATAAATGTGATACATCACATCAACAGAATAAAGGACAAAATTACATGATAATTTCAACAGATGCTGAAAAAGCATTTTATAAAATTCAACGTCCTTTCTTGATAAAAACTCTCCTCACAATGAATATAGAAGCAAAATACCTCAACACAATATAGGCCATATATGACAAACCCATAGCTAATATGATACTAACCAGGGAAAAGTTGAAAGTCTTTACACTAAGATCTGGAATAAGACAGGATGCCCACTTTTACCACTTCTATTCAACACAGTACTGGAAGTCATAACCTGAGCAATTAAGCAAGAGAAAGAAATAAAGCGCATCCAAATTGGAAAGGAAGAAGTCAAATGAGCCATGTTTGCAGATGACATGATTTTATATTTAAAAAAAACCTAAAGACTCCACCAAAAAAATTCCTAGCACTGATAAACAAATTCAGTAAAGTTTTAGGATACGAAATCAATACACAAAAATCAGTAGCATTTCTATATGTTAACAGTGATCAATCCAAAAAAGAAATAAATAAAGCAATCTCATTTACAATATCTACAAAGAATATAAAATACCTAAAAATCAGCTGAACCAAAGAAATGAAAGAGCTATACAAAGAAAACTATGAAACGCTGATGAAAGAAATTGAAAAGGACACAAACAAAAATGAAATGATATCCCTTGCTCATGGATTGAAAGAATTAATATTGTTAAAATGTCTATACTATCCAAAGTGATCTACTAATTCAAGCAATCCCTACAAAAATACCAAATGACATTCTTCACAGAAATAGAAAAAACAATCCTAAAACTCATATGGAACCACAAAAGACCCCAAATAGCTAAAGCAATCCTAAGCAAAAAGAACAAAGCTAGAGGCATCACGCTACCTGATTTCAAATTACACTACAAAGTTATATTTACTAAAATAGCATTGTACTGGCATAAAAGCAGACACAAAGACCAATGGAACAGAGTAGAGAACCCAGAAGTAAATCCATGCACTTACAGCAAATTCATTTTTGTCAAAGGCACTGAGAACACACACTGGGGAAAGAAAAGTCTCTTTAATAAATGGTGCTGGGAAAAATGAATAGCCACCTGCAGAGGAACTAAACTAGATCCCCATCTTTCAATACAGACAAAAATCAACTCAAAATGGATTAAAAACTTAAATGTAAGACCATAAACTATGAAACTACTAGAATAAAACATTGGGGAAATGCTACAGGACATTGGTCAGGGCAAATATTTTTTGGATAAGACCTCAAAAGCACAGGCAACAAAAGGAAAAACAAACAAATGGGATTACATCAAGCTGAAAAGCTACTGCACCATGAAGGGAACAAAGTGAAGAGACAGCCTACTGAGTGGGAGAAGATATTTACAAACTCCCCATCTGACAAGGGATTAATAACCAGAATATATGAGGAACTCTAACAACCCAACAGCATGAAAAGAAATAACCTGATTCAAAAATGGCCAAAAGACCTGAATAGACATTTCTCAAAAGAGGACATATAAAGTGGCCAAGAGGTATGTGAAAAATGCTCAAGGTCACTGATCATCAGGGAAACGCAAGTTAAAACCACAATGAGATATCATCTCATCCCAGTTAGAATAGCCATCATCAAAAAGACAAAATATAAATGCTGGTGAAGGTGCAGAGAAGGTGGAACACTCATCCACTGTTGGTGGTAATGTACAGTACTGTGAAACACAGTACGGCAATTTCCCAGAAAACTAAACACACAACCACCGTATGATCCAGAAATTCTATGATACTGCTGGGTATATATTCAAAAGAAAGGAAATCAGTATATCTGCATTTCCATGTTTATTGCAGCACTGCTCACAATAGCCAAGATATGAAATCAACCCAAGTGTCCATCAACAGATTAATAAAGAAAATGTGGCACACATACACAATGGAACATTATTTAGCCATAAAAAAGAAGAAAATCGTCATTCACAGCAAGATGGACAGAACTAGACATCATTATATGAAGAGAAATAAGCCAGGCACAGAAAGACAAATATCACACGTTCTCATTCATATGTGGGAGTTTAAAAAGTTGATCTCAGCTGGGCGCAGTGGCTCACGCCTGTAAGACCAGCCCTTTAGGAGGCTGAGGCAGGTGGGTGAGCTCAGGAGTTTGAGACCAGCCTGGGCAACATGGTGAAGCCCCATCTCTACTAAAAATACAAAAATTAGCTAGGTGTGGTGGTGTGTACCGGTAGTCCCAGCTACTCAGGAGGCTGAGGTGGGAGGATCACCTGAGCCTGGAAAGTTGAGGCTGCAGTGAGCCGTGATGGAGCCACTGCACTCCAGCCTGGGTGATGAAAGTGAGACACTGTCTCCGGGAAAAAAAAAAAAAAAAAAAAAAAAAAAGGTTGATCTCAGACAGATAAAGAGTAAATTACCAGAGGCTAATTTACCAGAGGTTATCAGAGGCTGGGAAGGGAAGGGTCGGGAGGGGGAAGATAAGAGAAGTTGGATAAGGGGTACAAAAATGCAATTTAATAGAAGGAATAAATTTTAGTATTTGATAGTACAGTAGGGAAATTATACTTAACAATTTTATTGTTACATACAATTTTATAACAATAAAATGTTATATTGAAGTACACAATAATTTTATTGTATATTTCAAAGTAGCTAGATTTAATTGTATATTTAAAAATATCTAAAAGAGTATAATTGGATTGTTTGTAGCACAAAGGATAAATGCTTGAGGTGATGGATTTCCCATTTACCCTGAAGTGATTATTACACATTGCATGCCTGTATCAAAATATCTCATGTAACCATAAATATATGCTCCTACTATGTACCCACACATTTTTTAAAAAATATAGCTAGAAGAGAAGATTTGTAGAATTTGTAGAAAGATAAATGTTTGAGATGATGGATATACCGATTACCCTGATTTGATCATTACACATTGTATACAAGTATCAAAATATCATACATACCCTCCAAATATGTACAACTATTAAATATCAGTTTTAAAAATGGAAAGGAATCATGTACGCTCCCACCATCCAAATCCAGTGGGGTACCTTCTGCACAGCATCTTCTGGTCCCAGGCACCTGCTCCTACATTTGATATTGTTCCACTCATGGTACACATACTGCCCAAAACGTAATGGCCTGTTAGCCCTTTACACAAACATTTCCGTGTCCTTCCACAGTGGCCGCAGCAGGCATGGGCAATTTCATGCTCTTTCAGGCTACTCTTTGCTAAGCCAGTGCACTAATTTGGGACTGGAGGGTATTCCCTTTGTTGTCGTTGTGCTGTTATAGACACACTGCACTTTGGGAGGCTGAGGCAGGTGGATCGCTTGAGGTCAGGAGTTCAAGACCAGCCTGGCCAACATGGTGAAACCTCACCTCTACTAAAAATACAAAAATTAGCTGGTCGTGGTGGCGTGTGCCTGTAATCCCAGCTACTCAGGAGCCTGAATCAGGAGAATCGCTTGAACCCGGGAGGTGGAGGTTGCAGTGAGCTCAGACAGCGCCATTGCACTCCAGCCTGGGAGACAGAGTGAGATTCCATCTCAAAAAAAAAAAAAAAAAAAAAAAAAAAAAAAAAAAAAAAAGACACACTGCAGGTCACACCTTCCCGTTGCTCAGCTGTTGGCTTATTCTGAATTATTTCTTCGGGATCAAGTCCTGAAAGTAGAAGTGTGAGTTAAAGGATATGTCTGGTTCTTTCCTTTATTCATTCAACAGATATTACTGGGTGTGGGTGTCTGTTCGGTGCTAGACACCAGGTAAAGTGACAGACATCCCTATTGAGCCTGCATTCTATTTGGGCCAAGGGCGTGGCCAGGCGGTATGCCATCCACAACTAAATTTAAAGGATCATTTTCAAGGGTGACCCATAAAATATGATGAATGATATAAGATTGTGACTGGGTAAGATGGAATGGGCTATAGCTTTTCAATTACTCTTTGACTTCGCACCAATTTCTAGAATCGACAACTGTGAACAAGCACGATCATTTCCCTGTAACTTTGCCAGCATGGGAAGGTACCATTTTAAAATAACTTGTGCTGTGAGGCCAGATGTAAAAGGGGACTTCTAGATGATGGCCCCGTGATCCTTCCTCACTCACCTGGCTGCCACAGCCTTCTCTGTGCTCTGCTGCAGCTCCTTCATCTCTTCCTGTAGCTGCTGTGGCTTTGTAAAATGACCCATGAAGTTGAAATAATCCTCTGCACAGGGCCGATGGACAGCAGGCGAATAGTTAATACCCAATTTCTGTAAAAATTCCTGGTAAGTAATGTGCCCTTTTCCCTCGGTGTCGTATCTTAAAACAAAAACAAAAACAGAAAGCACTTCTCAGTAGCCAGTAAGGTGTGCTGATGCTCAGGGTTTGGAAAATGCCTGCACCATCCATGAGGAGCTCGTCTTCCATCCCTCACCACTCGGAGCATGCCCTGTGGGCCAGCGGAATCAGCCCCGCCTGGCAGAGCTGGAAATGCGTGAGTTCAGGCCTCACTCCTGATCCGATCCGCATCCTCATGTTAACAAGGACCCCAGGTGACTCACAGGCACATCAGCATTCAGGATGGTCACGCCACACATGGCCTGCCAGGAGAGAGAGCAACCCAAGCCACTCACCTGTCATTCTATTAGAAACACAGTTGTGACTACAGAAAATTAAAGTCAACCCCTCCATACGTTTAGCAGGGTTTTTTTTTTGTTTTTTGTTTTGTTTTGTTTTTGAGGCAGAGTCTCACTCTGTGGCCCAGGCTGGAGTACAGTGGTGCGAGCTGGGCTCACTACAACCTCTGTCTCCAAGGCTCAAGTGATTCTCCTGCCTCAGCCTCCCGAGTAGCTGGGATTACAGCGCCGGCCACCATGCCCGGCTAATGTTTCTATTTTTAGTAGAGACGGGGTTTCAACATGTTGGCCAAGCTGGTCTCAAACTCCTGACCTCAGGTGATCCGCCGGCTTCGGCCTCCCAAAGTACTGGGATTACAGGCGTGAGCTGCCACACCTCGCCCGTTCGGCAGTTTTTTAAAATTGAATACTTACCTGTGAAAGGAATTATGCTAAGGTTTAGAAAAAAATTCTTCAAAAAGCATATTCAATCTTAAAACTCGAATGAGTGAATGTCACTTGATTCAAAGATGGTAAAATTTCCCATTTCCTCTTTGAAGAGATGCCAATTACATACAGCCAATGAGAGAGGCCAGTGAGGAAAACAAGATAAGAATTATGCTATGTACCTTTTATGTCATTTTCTATTATTGAGATTTTTCTGAATTAGAACTCATTAAAAAAGGCATAATGGAGGGTTTTTATCTCCCAACGTTATTCAAATAGAATAGAATTACTTCAATAAAAATTTTAAGGCAAATTGCCAATTTTCTTTAAAGAAAGAAAGCATTTATTTTTACAGAAAGATCTTGGTCCTCATCTAATCGATAAAAATGGCATTCGCAGATGTGATTTTCCCCAGATGAACTCAGAGTTACAAGGAATGAGACTATATTTAAACAATGTTGCCAGCATAATTCTCCCATCAGGATGTTGCTTGGGCATTTGTCTGATGGAGTAGAAGTACAATCAGTTTTCCTTTGAGAGGTACAGCTCCCTTTTGCTCTGCTCGTTAACTGATGAGATCCTGGAGGATCTACGGAACCCACAGTTGCCTGTGACACACTAAGCCCTGTACGACTGTTTGAGCTGGGTGAACAATAAAGAAAATGTTCTTATTGACCACGTTCTTGTCCTCAAGGGGAAGGGGTGGCAGGTAGGAGAGAAAGCAGATAGACGTTTGGGTAAATGTTGCTTCACGCACTTGTGCTAAAACTTGCAGAGGCTCTCAGGAGTTGGAGGACCACCACCCTTCCCAAAGGCCATGTGGGCCTGTCCCCACAGGTGCCCCTGAGGGCTCTCTCCATGCTCCCTTGCCTTCTGTGCCCTGCAGGTCCCCACTCCTCTGCCATGTGTCTGCCACCCACCTGCTGCCTCAACACAGCATTCGCCCCATTCTCCACATGGACTCCACCTGACAAGGTAAGAAAAGTCCCCTTGGACGACGTCCTCCGCTACTTTGCAGGCAGGGTGCAGATAGAGGGCTCTAGGTAAATACCAGTTTGCCGGCTCTTCACCTGGCAAGGCCCTTTCCTGCTCCACGGATCAGTCCCTCAGCTGGGAGCCGTCCCGGGCAGTCCTAGACATGAGGTCTCAGGACAGTGCCCCGCCCAGCTCCTGCTGAGACCATCAGCTCCTTATCCCCTGCAGACCTTTTCAGGTGTCTATTATGAGGATGGCCTTAATTTTGCAACCCAGAAAAGTACACTTCCACCTTTATTCAGTGAATTTTGTTCTTAAAACCCAACAAGACAACACAGCCTCAGAAAGAGGCCTGTGGGCTCTGCAGTTCCCGAGGCTTCTCTTTGGCTGTTGAAGAGCTGTGGTCTCAGCAGCACCATCAGGGGCAAGCGCCTCCAGCAAGGGCTTCCCTGTTGCTGGTAATGCTAAGATGGCTGCAGGGAGGAAGTTGAATTTCACATGGACATACCTAGGAGGCGGAAGGGCTGACATTTCTTGAGCTTCTAGGGTGATCCCAGGGCCATGCCTCTCTCCTTGAACTACATCAGGACTCTAACTAGCCTTGTGGCACCAGGACAATGTAATAATGCAACTCTGGTCAAGACGCCCTCTGAATAAAGCTCCCAGGGGTTCCTCATTCTGACAGGAGGGTTCCTAACAGAATGGTCCACAGCCCACCCACCCACCTGACAAGCAGCCCCCAGGGAGCAGTGCACCTCTTTTGGAAACCTCTCTCTCCTCCTAAGTCAAAAGAACCACAACCGTGCCTTCCTTTGAGCTCCTCAAGGCGCGGTGAGGACCCGACGGGTTAGTGCATTTGCGGATACATGAGGAGTGCATGTTGGCATTTGCTACTGCTCTATGCCACCCAAAGTTTTTCCCACATGCTGCCTCCATCCAGTTCCTAGGTCCATGTCTTATCTGCCTACTAGATGGCAGGTTTCTTGAGGAGAAACTATGGTTTAATCATTTTTACAAATTCACAGCATTCAGCAACACACTTTGCATGAGCTACGTTATCCATTCATGGCTGTTGGGCTAAGAAAAGTGAAGGGAGTGCATTTCTAAGGAAGGACTGCCCTCCTGGTGTGCTGTGCTCAAGGGCTCACTAACAACAAACTTTCCATCATGACACTTGAACTGAATGAAAAGGCATTCTTAATTGCTTCATTAATGAAGATCGTAAACATTCTATTCTCATCCAAAGGAACAGAAGACTAGATTGCACAACTGCAACTAAAATATTGTTGTGAATGTGATTAATAAGAGAGCTAATTCAGCTTACATAACCTCACCCTTCATTGTATAACCCTTTGTGTAACATTTTAAAACACCAACTTGCCTATAAAGGTTGAATTTTCAAATGGTTCAGCAATAGATGTGCCAGGAAAAAGTGTGCACAGAAACAGAGGACCCGTAAAAACTCACATTCGTGGATGGTGACGGCCACTAATTTATGACACAATCAGATTACTCTACCCATTTATTGTGCACACAGCAATTCAGCTATACACATAATTTGAGTATGTTCACATTGATTGGTTTGCTTTGCTAAGAATGTCTTAGTCCTTTCCGCTCAGTTTAGGCACTTAATTCCCACATACATTTCAGAAGTATCTTCAAATGCCACTGTCCCTAGAGTTACAGGGCAGAATGAGGAGGTGTGGTATAAGCCCTGCTGATGGCCTAGGCCAGGCAGCAGAGGCAGACACAGCACCTCATGCAGCTGGGGACACAAGGAATTCTCTCAGGTACCATCTTGGAGGGAGGTCTAATGACTCAAATAGCTGCTCTTTAGAAATGAAAGTGTCTGATATGGTTTGGATTTGTGTCCCCACCCAAATCTCATGTCAAATTGTAATCCCCAGTGTTGGAGATGGGGCCTAGTGGGAGGTGACTGGATCCTTCATGAGTGGTTTAGCATGATCCTCATTGTGCTGTTCTCGTGATATTGAGTTCTCATGAGATCTGAAGGTTTGAAAGTGTGTGGCACCCCCCACCACCTTCATCCTGCTCTGGCCACAAGAAGCGCTGGCTCCCTTTTTTTTTCCTTCCACCATGATTGTAAGTTTCCTGAGGCCTTCCCAGAAGCTGAGCAGATGCCAGCATCACACTTCCTGTACAGCCTGTGGAACCGTGAGCCAATTAAACCTCTTTTCTTTATACGTTACCCAGTCTCAGGTATTTCTTTATAGCAGCACGAGAATAGACTAATATAGTGTCCAATTGCTGGAGCTGAACATGCTCAAAGGGCATATTCAGTATGTTCTGATGAAATCACAGAAGATCAGACACCATCTGCTCCAGTACCCATCAAGAGCCAAATTCCACCCATTACTCTCCCCAGTAAAAAGGGGGCTAGCCTTAGGTAAAGCCATGCCAGACATGAGAACCACACTTCCTTCATGTTGAGCTTAGAGTCTACCTGGCTAGCACATCTCCAAGTCCAACTTCTTTGTATTCAGTGCTTCTAAAAGTCACCCTCTGACATCGCATCCCACTGAATCTTCCCATTTCTAAGCTAATGATCTTGTTCACTCAACCTTTTAAAACCCTTTCCCATCTTGAGGCTCCCTGTCCAGAGGTTCCACCAGCCAGGCACCGAGTAGGTTCTCTCTGGGCACTGCTTTGGTTGAGCTAATAGAAATGGCCTCACTTCTTGTGAACTGAAAACCATGGGTTTTTTTTTTGTCCACACGAGATGCTGTACATGGCACAGCTGCTTTTTCACAGTCTCTTCTGTTTATATTTGAATACTGATATATAACTCACCTGCCATATCAAGAAATGTGCATAAATTGGGCATTAATTATCTTGCAAACTTTCTGGCAGGTCTGCTTGGCTGGCTAGTTTCACACACGCAAGGATCTCCACGGATATTTCCGAGCCTGCTGCTTTTCCTACTCGGGTCGGCCCTTTGGTGAGTTTTCAGAGCACACCCTCTCCCTCTTCAGAGTTTTCTAGCAAAGTTTGTTTTAGATTCAAAGAGTTGAATTCTACCTGGTTAAATGAGGCTACAGCAGGTGCTCGGAATGCCAAGCCCTCCCCAAGGAGGTGCCTCCCATGTCCAGGGTCAACACTGAGCGACACCCTGTGCCTGGCCTTCCAACTGAAACCACCTTTGCAGAAAGTATGACACTGAGAGAAATCGGATGTCGCTGACTCTATCCTGCTTCTAACCACACAAACTGCCCTTGCTCATTCCTGGGTGTAGGCCAAGCTAACTATGGGAAGAATTTAATTCATAATTTAACTTTAAAGCAAAGATGATAACGATCCTTTTGCAAAACTGACCCCTTCCTTGCTCAGGGACTGAAACCACCTTTGTAAAACTCCACAAGGGGCCAGGCCTGGTGGCTCATGCCTGTAATCCCAGCACTTTGGGAGGCCGAGGCAGGCAGATCACGAGGTCAAGAGATCAAGACCATCCTGGCCAACATGGTGAAACCCCATTTCTACTAAAAATACAAAAATTAGCTGAGCGTGGTGGTGCGTGCCTGTAATCCCAGCTACTTGGGAGGCTGAGACAGGAGAATCGCTTGAACCTGGGAGGCGGAGGTTGCAGTGAGCTGAGAATCGTGCCACTGCACTCCAGCCCAGTGACAGAGTGAGACTCTGTCAAAAAAAAAAAATCTCAGTTTCACAAGATGGAAAGAGTTCTGGAGCTGGACGGTGGTGACAGCTGCACTGCATGATGAACGTATTGAATACCACCGAGCTGTGTGCTTAAAATTGGTGAAGATGGTAAACTGCGTTATGTATATTTTGACACAGTAAAAAAGTGGAGAACAAAAACAATAGCAGTGAAGAAAATCTTGAATCAATAAAAACTTGATTTGATTTTGAAAATGTAGATATTGCATGCAATACTTTCCAGGAAGTAGCTCATCTAATGAAGTGAAATAAAAATGATAGGTGCTATAATTTGCAAAGTGTCCTAGGAACTGCACGATTGACCTAAGGGAAAATGAAAAACACGGACACGGGAGGGGTCACCAGGTGAATGTGTGTGCCAACCCAAAGGCAATTCCAGAGGGAAAAAGGGATTCACTGAAGGGAGGAAGTAGAGGAATTACCAGCCCAAGAACTGGACTTTTCTATGGCCTCCAAATGTATTCTCTCTCTAGCAAACCAGATTCACCATCACTCTTCCACTTCCTCATAAATTAATCTTGTATGTGAAATAACTCAGCTTAAAAGCCCAGTTTATTAGCGCTTGATTTCTGAGCCTTCAGAGGTCCTGACAGGGATACAGCACTTAATTACCAAGACTTTCTCTCCTTAAGAGCATTTGAGTGTCTTTGGCGATGAGCTCTGGATTACTCGTTTATCTTGGTCATCCTCAGCCCTGCAAACCTCTGCAAAGGCGCAGACCCAGTGTTTAAGAAGCATTTGCTGGGTGAACAAATGAAGAAAGGGTGTGTTAAATGTACTGAGTGGTTACTGCATGCCACGCCCTGGGCTAGCACTTAATATGACTCCTTACCCAGGACTCAAGTGGCCCTGGGTGACAGGGAACATCATCTACTGCTTTGCAGATGATGAGGAGTATATGGCACAGAGAAGCTAAGTAACTTGATGGAGGCCACACAGCAGGAAGCAGGCAGGAGTCATGCCCACGCATCTGGCTGCAGAGCTGTTGCTCTTAACCACTCACCATGTGTGGCATGAGGTCAACTAAACAATAGTGGACAAAACTCTGACTGCAAGCAGTTGTCAACACAGGGTGAAAATCTGCACATTTCATAATTATGTTCATAAACATGTAAAGAAACTTTAGCCACAAGCCAACAGTGAGTGTCCACCTCCAATTGAAATGGAAACAAGTTCTGTCCCACCCTCAGAAACAGGCTCCGTCCACTCTCATTTCCCACATGGCAACCCTTGTGGGGGACATGACTCCAATACCTCTCATTCCCATGGCCAGCCCCCACTCAGGGGTTCGTCCTCTCCCCCCGGTGATGGTGGTGGTCTCCCAGGGCCAGCACCCCCAGCCATCCTGTCCCCTGAACTGACTCACCTTCCTAAACCGCAGCTCTGTTCACCCCACAACCACACTCAAATTCCATTGTTCCCGACTGCCTGGTCAATAACACCAGAAAGCTAGGACCTGGTAAGGGAGCAGCCCTACCCTTCCTTTCTGACCCTGGGAGCCCCATGCCACTTCTGATAGAACACCTGCCTCCCTGCAGACAGGTGGCCTGCTGAACAAGAATGTCTCCTTCTCCATCTGGACCCATGACAGCTTCCAGCCCCCGCTAGCCCCATGCTCCTGCCTCACTGCCCATGCCACTTGACTTGCTCTCTGCTCAGGGGTTTTGCACAGTTGTTGCTGTACCATAGCTACCTGTGTGAATGCATTCTGTGCCCTGACAGCTCCCCAAAGACAGGGACCATGTTGTCATCTTTGGATTATCCTAAAGTCAACTGAGAGGCAGGGCTATGCATTTGCCTACTCCACAAAGATCTGCCTATACCCAGCTGGAACTACTAGTGTAAGCTACTCAAACAGAAATGGGCAGGGAGTCTAACTGGACCCTGTGTTGGAACTGATCTTTAAAAAGTAAGCATTTTGTAAGAACTTCCAGTTGCTTTTCTAAATTAGACACAAAACAACCCACCTAATTCTAAACTTGGCCAACATTTCAGCCTTCCACTTTGAACAGATGAAAATCTGGGAAATGGTATGAACTCATGGTTTCATAAGTTTGCCTCCTGAGTGGACGTACGATGTTGGTATACCATCCTGGGGGAATACAGGTGACTACGGACATATAATGAAGAAGGAGGTAATTTGAAGTTGGGTCTGGAACTTGGAAATAGACCACATTGTTAGTGGAATGTGAAACTTAGACATCTATCCAGGGAAGACCATAACTGGGGGCCCAATTCCAAAACAGCTAAATCGAAAATACATTTGACAAATGGAACCAACATCGGATAAAATTTTCGGTTTAAGAGACCCTCGGGAAGCTACTCCAAGTTGCTAAAAGTTTGGTTTTTCTTCCCACAAATTACTTACCTATAAAACAGTTGTGCAGCATTAATTTCCATCTATAGGTAATGGGGAGAAACTCCTTTTCCCTTTACCCATTGCATATCTGCTGAGTGAGTTATATTAGAGTTAAGTCCTTGGAGAGTGACTTGTTTTGTTAAAACAGTAAAGGTCTGGGCTTGAGCTCCCAGGTCCTTGGAAATAGAAACCTCTCAAGTCTGGTATGGATGAGCATTTACCCTGGTTCTCCGTGTTACTGAAGACCAACCCATCCACCAAGGCTGCTTGCTATGAGCACCAAGCAGCAAGGAACAAGGAAAGACACAGGAGATGAGACAGATGCAACCAAGAGAAAATACTCCCAGCCCCCAGTTACCCTGATGTAGGAAAGATTAGGCTGAATTTGCCACAGCAAGCACCCCTAGTCCATAAGAATGGAAACCAACCAGTCTCACGTGCCACTTACCTTGCCCAAAGCTTTTCAAACTCTCTTGGTGTGAGGGGAATATCAAAACCGTACAGTGCGTTCTTTATGTCCCGGCGTCGAAGAATGCCATTGCCCTCATTATCGGTTTCTAGAAAATTCTACAACATCAGAATACGGTATTTAGGAACATGTGAAATGTGCGTATGACAGCAGAAAAGATGTTCAATTAGTCAATATGTGGGAAACTCTAAGGCATCTGTATCCCCATCCACCTCCTTAATCACCTTTTAATCTACGTTCCAGGTATCCTCATCATTCCTGGAAAGAAAGTGATAGAGCAAAACGGAAATGAGAATTAGGGGTCGGAAGGGGGTGGTTTCTGAGTTGCCTCAGGGGTTTGACCTGGATTCTTCTCCTGATCAACAACTTGGGTTCAAAAATGATTAGAAATAAGGGCCAACCAGAGCCCAGGAAATGAGATGGAGGATCCTCATCTCAATGATGGTTTGGTTTTAGCCCTCTGGCTGTAAGAGGGGAAATGAGGGACATTAGACTCCAGCTATTATGACAAGATTATATGGTACCATTTTTATGGCCCTGATGGGTACAGAAGGTATTGTCAGGCATATAAGAGGACCACAGACTTGAATAAGCTAACACGTGTGGTTCTCAGCAATGTCTTTAGTTGTTTCCAAGTAATAGCTCATTTAATCTTCTTCATAACAACATGATGAGGTGGATATAACGGGTACATCTACAGAGTTCTCTGCAAGTATGATACTTAATAGTGAAAGAACAAAACATTCCCCCTAAGATCAGGAACAAAGTGAGAATATCTTCATCACCCGCTATTCTACATTGTACTGCGGGGTCTCAGCCCGTTTAATCAGGCAAGAAAAAGGATAAAAGGTGTAACGATAGGACAGGAAGAAATACAATTATTATTATTCACTGACATGACTGTATACACAGGAATACAAAGAATCCACAAATAAATTATTATAAGAGGTGAATTTAGCAAGCAGTCTGGATTCTATGTCAACAGGCAAAATCAATCACAGTTTTTACATATCAGACACAGAAAGTGAAATTTTAAAAGATAACATTTACAAAAGGAATCAAAAATAGAAAGGCCTAGGAATAAATCTGTGATATCTGAGACATCCTTTATACAGAAAAGTATAAAACTTTACTGAAAGATATTGAAGAAGATCAAAATAAATGGAGAGACACTGTGTTCATGAATTAGAAAACTCAAATATAATAGTAAAGGTGTCATTTTCTTTGTGGAACTCGACAAAGCGATTCAAAACTCTTGAAGAACAAGGTAGAGGGAGTTGCCTACCAATTAATTAAGATGTATCACTAAGTTATCACGACAACAAAGATGTGATGTAGGTGCCAGCACAGGCAAGCTGATCAGGGGAACAGAATGAGGAGGTCAGTAATACCCACGGGCTGTGATGTAGGCAGTGGTGATGCTCAGATCGGCCAGGGGAAGGGGGACTTCACAATGACCAGTGCTGGGACAGCTGGACTTCCATATGGAGGAAATGAGACTGGGTCCCTGCCTCACCACACTTGGGAAACATCTAGTCCAGATTTCAAGACCTGAATGTGAAAGTTGAAACTGTCAAGCTCCTGTAAGAGAGTGTGAGAGAACATCTTCATGACTCCAGAGTAGAATTCTTAAACAAGATCTACAGAGAGATGTTAGTAAATTTGACTACATTAAAAAGAACTTATATTTATCAAAAGACATCATATAAAAAAGGTAAGAACACATAATACACACTGAGAGATGATAGTTGCACCACACGTCACTTACAAAACAGCAGGATCCACAGAGCAGTGTATACTATGACCATCGTCACAGTTTCTGTTGACCAATGAGAAAAAGACAAACCAGTAGGAAGACTTAAAGTCTCGAGCAAGCACTTCACAATCAAGGAAACCTGACCAATAAATGACCAAGTGAATATACTCAATCTCACTAATAACAAACAAAATGCCAATCAAATCTGCAATGAGATACTATTACATATCCACTAGAGTGGAAAAAACTAGGAAGTCTGATGGTACCAAGTGCTACAGGGTTGAGCAGTTTTGACAGAAAATCAAAAATATTTACTATCTGGGCCTTTACAGAAAAAGTGTGCTGGCTCCTGGTCTAAGATATTGGCAATATTCTTTTCCTTCACCTGAATGGTGGTTACATGCTGACTACTTTAAACTTATTTAAACTATACATATGTATTTTATATACTTCATTGTAGAGTCATAACTTAAAAAAAAATTATGCTTTAAAAAAAATTGAGTCTGTAGGATTTCAGAGTCCCTTTAAAAACACGTAGCAGGTCTGGCATGTAAGAAACTTGGAAGTTACCACTGTCCCAACAACAAGTAAAAATCTGAACAAATTGGAAAATCAACAACTCTTTTTAAATCATAAGACAAGTGAAGTTACAGGCCAAATCACTGTCCCCAAAACTGGAGAGACAGACAGGTGAATACAGAGAATCACAATTTACTGGGACAGACACCCATAAGCAGAAAACTTTACAGGAACTTATGTCAGAAAGATAGAAGTGGAGGGAATAATTCCTAACTTATTCTATGAGACCAGTATTGCCCTAATACCAAAACCAGACAAAGATATTACAAGTAAAGAAAACTACACACCATCATCTCTCATGAGAGATAATGTCATTGATAGTTCACCAGTCATAGCATTGAACCTGTAAATTGCTTTGGACAGCATGGTCTCAAACTGACAGCAAAATTAGGAATGTAATCCCATTCACAATTGCCACAAAAAGAACAAAATACCTTGGAATATAGCTAATCATGGAAGTGAAAGTTTTCTACAATAAGAATTACAAAACACTGCTCAAAGATATCAGTGATGACACAAACAAATGGAAAAACATTCCATGCTCATGGATTGGGATAATCAATATCATTAAAATGACCATACTGTCCAAAGCAATTTAGAGATTCAATGCTATTCCTGTTGAACTACCAATGGCATTCTTCGTAGAGCTAGAAAAAGCTGTTTTTAAATTCATATGGGACTAGGCGTGGTGGCTCACACCTATAATCCCAGAACCTTGGGAGGCTGAGGTAGGCAGATCGCTTGAGCCCAGGAGTTCAAGACAAGTCTGGGAAACATGGCGAAACCCTATCTCCACAAAAAATACCAAAAATTAGCTGAGTGTGGTGGCACATGTCTGTGGTCCCAGCTATTTGGGAGGCTGAGGTGGGAGAATGGCTTGAGCCTGGTAGGCTGAGGTTACAGTGAGCCAAGATCACACCACTGCACTCCAGCCTGGGTGACAGAGTGAGACCCTGTCTCAAAATAAAATAAAATAAAATAAAATTCATATGGAACCAAAAAGAGTCTAAATAGCCAAGGCAATCCTAAGCAAAATGAATAAAGCTAGAGGCATCAAGTTACCCAATTAAAGTATACTACAGGACTACAGTAACCAAACAGTATGGTACTGGTACAAAAACAGACACATAGACCAGTGGAATAGAATAGAGAGCCCAGAAATAAGACTGCACACCTACAACCATCTGATCTTCAACAAAGCTGACAAAACCCAGCAATGGAGAAAGGATTCCCCTATTCAATAAATGGTGCTGGGATAACTGGCTAACCATATGCAGAAGATTGAAACTGGGCCCCTTCCTTATAACAAATACCCCTTCCTTATAACAGAAAATAAACTCAAGATGAATAAAAGACTTAAACGTCAAACTAAAAACTATAAAAACCCTGGAAGACAACCTAAGCAATACCATTCTGGACATAGGAACTGAGAAATATTTCATGACGAAAGAAAAAATTGACAAATGGGATCTAATTAGATTTGACAGCTTCTGCACAGCAAAACTATCAATAAAGAGACAACCTACAGAATGTGAGGAAAATTTGCAAACTATGCATCTAACAAAGGTCTAACATCCAGCATCTATACGGAACTTAAACAACCCCATTGAAAAGTGGGCAAAGGACATGAACAGATACTTTTCAAAAGAAGAAATACATGTGGCCAACAATCATATGAAAAAAAGCTCATCAGTGATCACTAGAGAAATGCAAATCAAAACCACAATGAGATACCATCTCACACCAGTCAGAATGGCTATCACTAAAAAGTCGGCCAGGTGTGGTGGCTCACACCTGTAATTCCAGCACTTTGGGAGGCCAAGGCGGGTGGATCCCCTGAGGTCAGGAGTTCGAGACCAGCCTGGCCAACATGATGAAACCCTGTCTCTACTAAAAATACAAAAAAATTAGCCAGGCATGGTGGCATGCACCTGTAGTCCGAGCTACTCAGGAGGCTGAGGCATGAGGATCACTTTAACCTGGGCGGCGGAGGTTGCAGTGAGCCTAGATCATGCCACTGCACTCCAGCCTGGCAGACAGAGTGAGACTCCATCTCAATTAAAAAAAAAAAAAAAGTAAAAAAAAACAGATGCTGTAAAGTTGCAGAGAAAAGGGAACGCTTATATACTGTTGGTGGGAGTGTAAATTAGTCCAACCATTGTGGAAAGCAGTGTGGCAATTCCTCAAAGAGCTAAAAACAGAACTACCATTCGACCCAGCAATCCCATTACTGGGTATATGCCCAAAGAAATATAAATCATTCTAAATATATAAATATAAATATATTTATATAACATAAATATATAAATATCATATATAAATATTTTATATAATTTATTTATATAACATATATATTAATATATTTGTTATAGAAATATATTTGTTACATAAATATATTCATATCATATATTTATACAGCAAATATATTCATATCATATATTTATATAACACAAATATAAAGATACATGCACGGGTATGTTCACTGCAGCACTATTCATGATAGTGAAGACATGGAATCAACCTAAATGCCCATGAACGGTAGACTGGATAAAGAAACTGTGGAATATATACATCATAGAATACTACAAAGTCATACAAAAGAATAAGATCATGTCCTTTGCAGGAACATGAATGGAGCTGGAGGCTAACATCCTTTGAAAATTAATGCAGGAACAGAAAACCAAATTCTGCATGTTCTCACTTACAAGTGGGAGCTAAATGATGAGAACACATGGACACAAAGAAGGGAACAACAGGCACTGAGACCTACTTGAGGGTGGAGGGGGAAAGGAGGGGGAGGATTTGGAAAGATAACTATTGGGTATTAAGCTTAGTACCTGGGTGACGAAATAATCTGTATAACAAACCGCCACGGCATGAATTTACTTATATAATAAACCTGCACACATATCCCTGAACCTAAAATAAAAGTTAAAGAAAACTACAATACCATTTACATTAGCACCCCCCAAAATGAAATATTTAGGTATAAATCTAATAAAATATTAGCCAGGAATGGTGGTATGCACCTGTTATCCCAGCTACTTGGGAGGCTGAGGTAGGAGGACCACTTGAAGCCAGGAATTCCAAACCAGCCTGGTCTTATTTGCAAGAGCTCTTATATGCAAGAGCTATATAATGAAAACTACAAAACTCTGACGAGAAATGTTTAATGTTTGCAAAACCTAAATAGAGACATTCCATGTTTATGGATAGGAAGGCTCAATAGCATCAAATATAGGTTCAATTCAATCCAAATCACAATCCCAGCAAATTGTTTGGTAGAGATCCATAAACTTATTCTAGATGCAAAGACTCAGAATAGCCAACACAATACTGCAAAAAAAAAAAAAAAAGAACAAACTTGGAGAACTGACACTACCTGATGGCCAAGATTTACTATAAGGCTACAGTAATCATGACAGTAGTACTGGTTAAAGAAAAGACAAGTAGACCAATGGAACACAATAGAGAGTCCAGAAACAGACCCACATAATCAACATACCCTTGACAAAGGGGCAAAGGCAACTCAACAAAGCAAAGACAGTCTTTTCAATAAATGGTGCTGGAACAACTGGACATCCACCTTTAAATAAATGAATCTAGACACACAGACCTTATACCCTCCACAAAAATTAACTCAAATGGATCACAAACCTAATTATAAAATACAAAACTATGAAACTCTCGTAAGACGGCATAAGAGAAAATTTAGATGACCTTGAGTTTGGCAGTGACTTGTTAGATACAATCCATGAAAGGTTCTAGTCCCGACCCTTTCCTTACCCTGAACCTAGAGGGCTGCTCTGAAAGTGGGCCACACAGAGCTCCAGTCTGTGGGATTGGTTGGTGTGGGCCAGCGCAGACAGTCCACTCCATAGAGTACACAATACAGACAGTTGACTCTATGGAGTTCACAGCACAGACAGTCCACTTTATGCAGCCCACAGCACAGACAGTCCACTCTATAGAGTCCACAGTGCAGCAAGTCCTGTCTGTGGAGTCCACAGCACAGACAGTCTGCTTTATGGAGTCCACAGCACAGACAGTCCACTCTATGGAGTCCACAGCACAGACAGTCCACTCTATGGAGTCCACAGCACAGACAGTCCACTCTATGGAGTCCACAGCACAGACAGTCCACTCTGTGCAGGACAGGAGGTTGGGTAGAGACAGTCCCTGGAGGTTAGCAGGACTTCAAAGACAAAATTCTTTTCACACTGGGCACAGGCCAAGAAAGAGCACACACAGAAAGAAAATGACCAAGTGAAACAAAGTGGAGGTATTTTTCAAAATAATGTGAAAATATTTCCATAATGCAGTTTAAAAAATACTTATTAGAGGGAAGCTATTGCATTCTTGTTGCATTATAAAGTGGTGATCTCCAGCCTAGATTTCAGGACAAACTCGGTTTTGCACATGCAGTTCTATTATCTTGTAGG
Source organism: Homo sapiens (assembly GCF_000001405.40). NCBI lineage: Eukaryota > Metazoa > Chordata > Mammalia > Primates > Hominidae > Homo > Homo sapiens. The sequence goes on from NC_000022.11 coordinate 43,615,280, forward strand.
TCTGGCTGTCATTGGCCCTGCTGGATTAGACAGCCCCATCTCAATACCATAATCACAGTTCACAGGATTGCACGTGGAGGGTATCCACCCTGTAAATGTGCTTCTATAATTTTGGCAAGACAGGAAGAAACAGCTCTTTAAAATGTATGTTTATATTGTATAAAATTAAGTACAACAGCATCTTATATTTTTCATGTATTAGGTTGGTGCAAAAGTATTGCAGTTTTTCCGTTAAAGTAATGGCTAAAACTGCGATGACTTTTGCACCAACCAAATAAATTTTTAATTCATATCCAGCCTGAAGTAATGCCAGGAATTTTGGTCCATGTAACTCCAACAATTCCTTATCTTTCTAAACCTCACTTGACCTTGAATGTGAGAATTTAGTTTGAAAAAGTCTTTTAAGAATAGCAGGAGTCCTCACACTGGGTACACAGAGTTGTTTTCCCATCTTAGCGTCTGGATCTGAACAGCTTCATCATCCCAGTGATCTTGAAACATTGAAATAGATTTTCTTTCCTTTTAAGGAAATAATCATTTTCTTACCTTAGACAAGTCTGACCATCTGTTTTTTGCTTTGGTAACAAGATACTGATGAGCCTGCTCACAAGCTAGTTCTGAATCCGCAACCTTCTGTTTTGGTCTTAAAAGAAAAAAAATAATAAATAACTGTGTTTAAATTTAATGGGCTCATTAATCTCCCAAGGGGTTTCCCTATCCCCCCTGTTTGTTTCAAGGATACCATTAAAGTCTGTTATTTCACTTCTGGTTTAACTTAATTCTTAAAATACAGTCTTATTTCTCCAGCTGCATGTCAGGGAAGTCTTCTTAAATTTTGTAAGTCCTTGTTTATTTTCAGATAAATGCTATTCAACTTTTTTCTTTTCAGCACACAAAACAAACAGGGCTCATTTATTCTCAGAAGGGGGAAAACACAATATAACATTAAGTGTCTTGGGAGGAAAACAGCTAAAAACTTTTATTTCTGAATTTGCAAGTTGGAGAGATAATGGAGACTACAGGAAATGGTTGAGAAACATTGGGGGAACTTCTCAGTCTCAGCTCATTTTCCAAGGTGAGGCTTGTAGGATTTAAAGATAGGGCCGGGTGCAGTGGCTCACGCCTGTAATCCCAGCACTTTGGGAGGCCAAGGCGGGTGGATGACTTGAGGTCAGGACTTCGAGATCAGGCTGGCCACCATGGTGAAACCCCGTCTCTACTAAAAATACAAAAATTAGCTGGACATGGTAGAAACGTGCCTGTAATCCCAGCTACTCAAGAGGCTGAGGCAGGAGCATTGCTTGAACCTGGGAGGCGGAGGTTGCAGTGAGCTGAGATTCGTGCCATTGCACTCCAGCCTGGGGGAGAGCACGAGACTCCATCTCAAAAATAAATAAAAATGATCAAAATTCTATCATATTTACTCACAGGATGGACACTTAAAAAAAGACCCTTTGCTCACAGGTCCCTGCTAGGCCACAGTAAAGCACAGTAAAGGCTGAGGCTGGAGGGGCTGGGATGCCCTAGATCTTTCCACGCACTAGAACAAATTAGGAATGGAGGAAAATGTGTAAAGTCCATGTGCACACCCACATTGGCACCTGGCCAGTGTAAACTGCAGTCACTGTGATTTTCCTTCTTCACCTGACTCCCGCTGCCCTTGACTGTGCTGTCTCTCTCCACTCTCTTCTGAGAGGTCATCTCTTCTGATGTCCCCAACTACAGCCTTGATGCTGCTTGCCCATAAGTCTGCACCACTGGTACTACAACCTCACCTGCTTTTCTGTGCCATCTTTCTCCAACTGCCTACCGGACTCTGCAGAATCATGGAATTTCGAGGGTGGAAAGGGATCCAAAGTTCAACCAGCCAATCCCCTATGACTACTTGACCATGCAAGCTTTGGAAAATTGATGGAATTACGTTGCATTTTTACAATTTTTGCTTAAAAGGACTGTAAGTCCTAATGATGTCTATTTCCCTGCCTTCACTTTTAGACTCCTCCTAAATTCCACCTGCACCAGAGGACTCACCTGAACCTCCCCAAAGTGCTGTCAGAGAGCCCCTGAGGGGCATGTGCTATCTCAGCAAAGTCAGTAGATCCCAGTTGATCTCATGGTCTAAACACATATCCAAACAGCCCTATGCCCCCTACTTTTCACACCCTGATTTCTTTTCTAGAATATAAGGCTTGATTATTTCCTTAGTTATCCATGAGCAAACCAATGAATCCTACTGATTTTCCATCCATTTTCCCCTTCCTCATTTTACATACTTGGCCCTCTTGAGAGATCAGGAGGTTTTCTGGTGGTTACTTAATTCCTCTCCTATTGCCCAGCTTGTTAAATCTTGACAATCAGTCAGATCCAGCCTTCCTTCCTATCAGTCAGCTCGTTAGTCACAGATACATAGGAATAGTCACTATGTGCTGCTCTAGAACCTGCAGACACAATGACTAGCAATGTGGACAGAGTCCACATTCCCAAGGAGCTTACACTGTGATGGAGAAACTTAGAACAAACACACAAGAAAAACAAGTGACTCGGCTGGGTGCAGTGGCTCACGCCTGTAATCCCAGCACTTTGTGAGGCCGAGGTGGGCAGATCACGAGGTCAGGAGTTTGAGACCAGCCTGGCCAACATGGTGAAACCCCGTCTCTACTAAAAATACAAAAATCAACTGGGTGTGGTGGTGCACGCCTATAATCCCAGCTACTTGGGAGACTGAGACAGGAGAATCACTGGAATCTGGGAGGCGGAGGTTGCAGTGAGCTGAGATTGTGCCACTGTACTCCAGCCTGGGTGACAGAGTGAGACTCCATCTCAAAAAAAAAATCTCAAAAAAAAAAAAGAAAGAGACAGAGAGGAGGAAGGAAGGAAGGAAGGAAGGAAAGAAAGAAAGAAAGAAAGAAAGAAAGAAAGAAAGAAAGAAAGAAAGAAAGAAAGAGAAAGAAAGAAAGAGAGAGAAAGAGAAAGAAAGAAAAGTGACTCGGATAACTTCAGATACTGCATGGGACCAAGAATGATGGGGCAGGGGAGACTTCGTCAGGAAGACCAGGGAGTGGCTCTTTGACAGCCGCATGAAGACCTCAGGGAACACACTCCAGGCAGTATGAGGGTCTTGAGAGGTGCTTCCGGTCCCAGTTAAGATGGAGTAGGCACACTTCACCCTTTCTCTCCTTCTTATGACAACCCAAAATCCTACACAGAATACAAAACACAACTATCTGAGGTAAATAATAGAAGGCTGATGGAGGGAGAAATCAAAATTCGAAGAATGACAAAGTTATGAGTTTCATGGGGCTTTCCTCCCATGTTCCCAGCTTAAGAGTCAAGAGCAGTCCTAATTCTGGAACTGTGCAGCAGATGTGAACAGAAAAAGGTCCAAAAGAAAGGCTGACTTTCTGACCAAAGAGCTAGGATAGGATGGAGGGCCTCTTCGGGACAGAGTGGCAGGAATTCCTGTTTTTGTCTCTGTTTACTCTCCCAGCCCAATTCTGAGACTGCACTTTTGTAATGGTGCCAACGATAGCAGTGGCCAAAACGTTAAAATTTTCTCTAACCAGAAAAAATGGGAAAAGGGGCCCTGTGATTCAAGGAATATTGGGAAATCCATGTTAATTTTCTCTCTCTCTTTTTTTTTTTTTCTTCTCTCACTAGGGCCCTGAAGGTGGCCCTCACCATGAGACATGCGGAGCAGCACAGATAGGCTAAAACCTAAGATTTTCTAGCCAGAAGACCCAGAAAAGTAGCCCTTGGGGGCTACAGAGTGTGGGGGAGATCATAGAGAAGAGAGAGCTAGAAGAAAGGACATCTGTGCAGGAAGTTCCAGGTTCATCTCTGATGTGTAAAGGTGTGGAACTGACCCCAAGCAGCATAGCAACCAGCTTTGAGAACATGATTACTGTGTAGTTAAGACTGACTTCTAGGTGGTGCACACGTGGGTTTCCCTGAAGAGCGCTGCAATGACTTTGAAAACAAAATTGACATTAAAACCACAGAAGGCACGTTAGGACTTGCAGTCTAAAACTAACTAGGCTGATTGCCTGCTAAAATAATGACCAAAAACAATCAACACACTACAGAGGATTTTAACAAAATCAGAGTGTCATAATAAAACACTTAAAATATCTAAGATACAGTCCAAAGTGATATAAAATACCAGAAAAATCTCCATAATGCTCAATGTAAAAGACAACAGACACCAACCCCAAGATTAACTAGATGTTGAAATTATCAGATTGTAAAGCAGCTATTATATTCATGAAGAGCAAACATACTTGAAAGAAAGAAGAAGGAAAAAGGAAATAACCAAAATACAGTAACTGAAATGACGTTTACTGGATTGGGTCAATGGCAAAATGGAATGACAGAGGAGTCAGCAAAGTTGAAAACTCACGAACAGAAATCTCTCAAACTGAACAAAAGAGAAAATAAAAATAACATAGTCTCAGAGATACAAAACCTGTGATACAAAACCAAAAGGTCTAAGCTTCATGTCATTGAGGTACCAAAAGGAGAAGAAAAAGATGGGTACAGAAAAAGCATTTTTAAAAATAATAGCTGAAAATGCCATAAATTTGGCATAAAACATAAATTTACACATTTAAGAAGCTCAGTAAATCCAAAAATAGATAAACAAAGACAAAACAAACAAAAACCACCAAAAAACCCATGGTCAAACAAATCAAATCATAAATTATAATCAATTGTCTGAAAAACTAAAGATCAAAAAAATCATCTCTAAAGTAGCCTGAATGGTCTGGCGCAATGGCTCATGCCTGTGATCCAAGCCCTTTGGGAGGCTGAGATGGGAGGATTGCTTGAACTCAGGAGTTCGAGACCAGCATGGGCAACATGGCAAGACCCTGTCTCTAGAAAAAATAAAAATTTAGGCATGATGGTGCTCACCTGTGATTGCAGCTACTTGGGAGGCTGAGGTGGATCACTTGGACCTGGGAGGTCAAGGCTGCAGTGAGCTGTGATCGCACCACCACGCTCCAGTCTGGGTGACAGAGTGAGAGAGCTAGTTAAAAAAAGAAAAGAAAAGAAAAAAGAAAAGAAAAGAAAAGAAGCCTGGGAAAAAAGGCATATTAAATATGAGAAAACGGAATACTTGCATACTTCTTGCCACAGATTATGGAGGCCAGAAGACCATGGAACAACATTTTTAAAGTGCTGAAACAAAAGGAATGTCAACCCCAAACTCTATATCCAGCAAAAATATCTTTCAAGAATAAAGAATAAAGATATTATAAATTGAAGAAAACTAAGACAATTTGTCTCCAACAGACCTGCTCTAAAAGATGTCCTATAGGAAGTTCTTCAGGGGAAGAAGAATGATAGCTGAGAGAAACTTAGAACTTCAGAAAGAGAGGAATAGCAACAGAAATGGTAAATACCTAGGAAATTATAATACACAATTTTTTTTCTCAGAGTTTCAAATACATGAAGCATAAATTAATAGTATTAGAAAAAGAAATAGACAAATTCAAAACTATTGCTGGAGACTTTAACACTCCTCTCTTAGTAACTGATAGAATAAGGAGATAGAAAATAATGAAGAATATAGAAGGCCTGAACAACACTAATAACCAACTTGATCTGACATTTACAGAACACTCCACCCAACAGCACCAGAATACACATTCTTTTCAAGTATACACAGAATATTTACCAAGACAGACCATATCCAGGGTCATAAAACAAACCTTAACTAATTGAAAAGAATTAATATCACACAAGATATGTTCTCTGACCACAACAGAATTAAACTAGAATCAATAAAAGAACAATATTTAAACACTATGCAATTTTTTTTTTTTTTTTTGAGACAGAGTCTCACTCTGTCACCCAGGCTGGAGTGCAGTGGTGCGATCTCGGCTCACTGCAACATCCACCTCCCAGGTTCAAGCAATTCTCCTGTCTCAGCCTCCTGAGTAGCTGAAATTACAGGCACCCACCACCACACCTGGCTGATTTATTTATTTATTTATTGTATCTTTAGTAGAGACGGGGTTTTGCCATGCTGACTAGGCTGGTCTTGAACTCCTGATCTCAAGTGATCCGCCCACCTCAGCCTCCCAAAGTGCTGGGATTACAGGCATGAGCCACTGTACCTGGCCTGAACATGATGCAAATATTTTGAAATTAAACAACACACTTCTAAATAATCCATGGATCCAAGAGGAAGTCTTAAGGGAAATTAGAAAATAATTTGAAAATGAATAAAAATTAAAACTACAACATATCCAAATTTGTGAAATGCAGCTAAATCAGTGCCTACGGGGAAATACATTACATTAACGGCTTATATGAGAGAAAAAATGACTCAAATAAAAACTATGAGTTTCCAATTTAAGAAATATAAAAGATAAACTGAATCCAAAACAAGCAGAAAGAAGGAAATAATAAAGACCAAAAATCAATAAAATTGAAATCAGAAAAATAGAGAAAAATCAATAAAAACAAAAGCTAGTTCTTTTAAAAGATCTGTGAAAGTGGGAAGCCTTAGCTGAATTGATGAAGAAGAAAGGAGAAAAGAGATCAACTATGAAAGTGATAAATGAAATAAGGAATCTCACTAAATACTTCACAGATACTTTAAAAAAATTAAAAGAACACCATGAACCATATTAATTCCATGAATTTGACAACCTTGATGACCAATATTTTGAAAGATGCAAATTAGCAAAACTCACTTGAGATGAAATAGAAACTCTGAATAATCCAATAACTATTAAATTAACTGGATTTATAGGTACAAGCCTTCCAACAAAGGACATTCCAGGACTTGATGATTTCACTGGTTAATTTAATGAAATATCTAAGGAAGAATAACCATTCCATACAATCCAGAAAATAGAATAGAAAGGAATACTCCCAGTTCATTTTATGAAGCTAGCAGTGCCATGATACCAAAATCAGGGCTGGTATTCATGACTTTTATTATTCTTAGATGTCTTACAAAATAAATCACTTATTTTCTTTATAAAATAAAGCTCATTCTGGCATGCAGTGGCTCACGTCTGTAATCCCAGCACTTCAGGAGGCCAAGGTGGGTGGACCACTTGAGGTCAGGAGTTCGATACCAGCCTGGCCAACATGGTGAAACCTTGTCTCTACTAAAAATACAAAAAATTAGCTGGGCATGGTGGTGTGCACCTGTAGTTCCAGTTACTTGGGAGTCTGAGGCAGGAGAATCGCTTGAACCTGGGAGGCGGAGGTTGCAGTGAGCTGAGATGGCACCATTGCACTCCAGCCCGGGTGACAAGAGCGAAACTCCATCTCAAAACAAACAAGCAAACAAAAACAAACAAACTCATTCTATTTTGCAATTATTATCTGGATCCATTTGTTATGTGGTCTTAGCGATGTTGATTTTAATCTTACTATATCTAACCTAAATAATATATTATCCTAAACAATATTTCATTATTACTCTTCAACTCTTCCTAACTGTGCTAAAAAAGAGAGAGAGAGAGAGATAACAACAAGACCAAAATGATAGAATCACCTGGCAGGATGAGATAATGTTGAAATGAAACACCACTAGGACATCACCCTTCAGTTTTCTTGCGGCAGTGCCCAAAGTTCTACAGTATTTCTCAAGAATGTATAAAAGAAGACAACGACACCATGCTCGGGGTGTTGTGTTAGATTTCACTGAATGCAGCTGGAAATTCAGAATTCCTTCTTTATGCCCAAATGGCTAAGGCAAGAAAATTTGAGAAAGGAAGAGATTTCACAATGATGAGATGATTCAGAAGAGGAAGGCATAGAGACAGAACAGCACTCTAGATTCCAAAGATGATGGTGACACTGATCGTATCAGCTGAAGCGCTTGATGACTGAATGATATATTTCTAAGGATAAAAAAGGAAATTTGGTATTTTCATTCAGTTAGTCATCCAACAGGAAGGATCTGATCATGCAGTATTTGGTGATGGACTATCTAATTTTGCTAAAAGGACACATGAGAATATTCTTTCATCTTTTAAGATGTTTGTGCATTAAAATGTACTCCATGCAGGCTGTAAGTGGATAAATGGTCAAGGCAAGTGTGTTTTAAACAAGGACTGGAAGGGAATCGAAGAAGTAGAAAAAAAAGGAATAAGTCATTGGATCAGTCATTCTACTTGGTATTTATATACCTTAAAATGAAAATGTTTGGCAGTTATGAAGCAAACAAGAGAGTGTCCTCTTTTCAGCAAAGTTATGAACTCTCAACATTTTCCAAAGTATTGTGTTTTTATGATACAGGTGGAAAGTGAAGACCCAGAGAGCAGAGGGGCCCAACCAAGAGGGCAGGAAGACTTTTAGAAAGGGGTGGTATCCGGCCAGGCGCGGTGGCTCACGCCTGTAATCCCAGCACTTTGGGAGGCCAAGGTGGGCGTATCACGAGGTCAGGAGATCGAGACCATCCTGGCTAACATAGTGAAACCCCGTCTCTACTAAAAATACAAAAAAAAAAAAAAAAAAAATTAGCCGGGCATTGTGGTGGGCGCCTGTAGTCCCAGCTACTTGGGAGGCTGAGGCAGGAGAATGGCGTGAACCTGGGAGATGGAGCTTGCAGTGAGCCGAGATTCCGCCACTGTACTCCAGTCTGGGTGACAGAGCGAGACTCCTTCTCAAAAAAAAAAAAAAGAAAAAAAAGAAAAAAGAAAAAGAAAGGGGTGGTATCCAGGTCTGCTTGGTGGTGGAGGTGGAACAGGGCAGGCTGTCCAGGCAGAGGAGGTGGCCCCTCCCAACAGACTCCTGAGCTCAAATCCCTGCCCCACTGCTCATTATCTGTGTCCTTATGGACATGTCACTAACTGTTCTCTGAGCCCGCACTCCTTCATCTGTGAAACCAGCTGGGAATGCCTCCTTTCAAGGCTGCTGGGGTATTAAAGGACATGTCTTCAGGAAACACAACACAGGGCATGGCCAGGGTGGGCTTAGCTTTCTGAAGCAGTGCTTTGGTTTGGGTCCACCAGACCCCGGGGACCAAGTCAGTTCTCACTGGGCTGCAGCCTCTCCTCCTTTGTGTCCATCCTCCACTCCAGGGTACAGAAGGATCTTTCTAAAGCACAGTGTAACTCCCTCACTCCATAGCATACGGCCTCCCCTGCCTACTGATAGAAGGTGACGTCCTTCACAGCCCGCCCTCCTGCCCTCCTGGCCTCCTCCCCAACCAGGCCCACCATGCAGGTGGATCCCACACATGCATCCTCTCCCCATTTCCCAAACGTGCTTAACACTCCCGCCTGCCTCTGTGATCTCGCAAATGCTCTTCCCTGGCCTGGAATGACCTTTCCTCTAGCCTGCACCTGGCAAACTCTTACTCAAACTTCAAGGTCCAGCTCAAACGTCCCTCCTTTTCCTGAGCAACTCACGGGCGCCTCCCTCTGTTCCTGTGGCACTTGGGTCATCTATTTCATACCTGTCTCATACTCGACCCTGAGCCCCTCAAAAGGAGCATCTGGGTCTTATTCACTGTTGTACCGTCTAGTCCTGGGACAATGTCTAGCATATAGTAGGCCCTTAGTAAATATTTGATGAATGAGTGTATACATACAATAATAAGGTTGAGTCATCTGAATGGGAAAACTGCACTTTGCGGTTGAAATTTTCCATGTTCGTTCGGCAGAGAATGGAAAATGAACTTTCTCCAGAGAATTTTTTGGGAAGAATTTTGTTTGTTTGTTTTAATGTTAGGCAATCAAGTCTCATATTAAAGCTCCTGAGAACCTGAGCCGTTGGAAGCAGGTGTCCAACTTACATGTTAGATGATCATTTTGCTATCATCATTTTCTTTCTTGCTTGCTTTTTTATTTTTTTAATATAGACAAAATAAAACCTATGAATTCAGGGAGAAAAATCAGCGTGTAAGATCAGAGGGCCTTCTGCAGCCTAGCCAAGTGTCACAACAGTCTGGCACAGTGGCTGTGGCTTCCAGGGGCTCCACTCTCAGGGAGCTGCCCTTGCCTAGGTAGATGCGATACCTGTCTAGAACCCCTGGGGACCGTGAGTGCCTCAAGGACAAAACAGCATAGTGAGTGTCACTATGATGCTGTATCATCACATGGGAAGACACACCTCAGTACTAGCATAGCGCACAGCATTTCAGAATTACTCATGTAATAATAATTGGTCAAGGAGGAGATGACTTGCTACTTCATTCATGTCGGCTCTCGGCAGATCTCAGCAGGGAGCCGATGGGGACGGGTGATCCCCTGCTGCCACTGTTGGATGGGGTTGGATGGTAGCCCCATTGTGCCTTCAAGGAGTGTACGTGCTCCCTGGGAGAAGGCCAAGGAAACAGCACTGAGCCGGAGCTCAGCTGGACACTGAGATTCTCCTGGCTAAGAGTGACGCCATATGGGCTGGGCAGGGGCCTAGGGGGCAGCACTGCCCGGGGAGGGGCTGGAGGAGGTTCTTGCATCTCCTAAGGCAGTTGGCACAGATAGCTTCTCAGTGCCCATCAATTACTACAAGACGGTCTGCATTCCCCAAATTCACAGCCATCACCTAGCTTAACATTTGGAGGTGAAGAGGAGGTAGGAGGCATCAGTTCCCGAAGAAGAAGGTTACTGTGTTCACTTGACAAAGATTTATCTGCACAGAGTTGGTGCACGGCCCTCCGCCTGCCCCTGCAGAGGACGGGCCCAGCCTTGGACAGAGGACAGGCTGTGCTCACAGGTCTCCCAAGCTTCAATTTTAAAAGACTGAGCAAAAAGCATATATTTTTGAACCCAGATTAATACATAGAAAAATAAGTATATGTATGTATGTGTGTATATATATGTATGTGTGTATATATATATTTTCATACACACATGAATATATATGTAAGTATATGTATATGAAAAAGACACACACGTATATATGTATATATTTATATATGTGTGTCACACACACGTATGTAAGTATATGCATATGAAAAAAGACTGAAATGATACCCAGCAAAATATAAAAATGATGCTCACAGGTGGTAAGACCAGGGCTGTATTTTCTGGTTGTTCTACACTGAGTGCATATTTCTTGTATGACTTTTTCTGAACCAAGAAAAAGAAAAAAATAATCACTCCATTCTTTGTATCCCTTTGCGGACGCCATGGAAATGCTGGACGTCACAGTGGCACGGGCCGGCATATATTAAAGACACAGACCCGTGCTGCCTTCTTACCTAATGAGTCTTTGAGGCGCTTCATCTGTTCTCCATGGTCTCTTCTCACACAAATTTTGAAATTCCCGAAAATTTAAAGTGACACTAAGTCTCAAGCCAAGAAGGCCAAGGAAGCGCTCAAACTCGTCGTCTTTGAGATTAAGCAGTAGATGCAGGAGCAGTCTGTGAAGGTCATGCATGTTGATTATGCCATCCCTGTCAGCATCTGTTTTAAAGAAGGCAGAGTAGGGGTCCTAAAAACAAAACACACACGTCAAAGCCCTTCCCCAAGAGCCCCGGACGGCCACACATGCACACCCCCACGTGTAGAGCCTCATCTCCACGCGAGGAGGGGCAGCTTGGCTGGGCCCCAACTATTGCTTTTAGAGACTTGGCTGTTCCAGGAATATCCTTGCCATGCTTTGCTTTTCCCAAGAAATTATAAAGCTCTCCAGCTACCCAGGGGATATAAATGATCCTCTTTGAATGCAAAGAGTTCAGGGAAAGGAACAGGCCACTTTTCTTTTCCTTCCACACTCTCGGTTTGTGGAGCTTGTACTTCTAGTCCAGGAAGGAAGGGAAGGAGAAAGTACTGGAGGTTTCTGCTCGCAATTTTTTATATCACTTTCATAATGTCTGGCTGCTTCTGTCTACAGCCAAACAAATACTGCACTGAATCTCACACCAAGGAGCCACCTGAAGGCCAGGCCTCTGTTTCGATGACCGTGATAGAGATCAGCCGTGTCTGGGATCCACAAGCCTGCCACAACTGAAGGACTTCCACTCAGCCCATCGTGCTGGTTGGAGGGCACAGGGATTCCTATTTTGCAGATGAGGAAACAGAGGCTCAGGGTTCCCAGGGAATCCGTGACTAGAGACCCTGATGTGTGATGGAGCGTGCACTCTGCAGGCAGGTGGCTCAGTGGCAAACCCCAGCTCTGCCACTTACTAGCAACGTGACCATGGGTGAGATAACCTTGTGATGCTTCTGTTTTCTCATCTGTAAAATGGGGACTATGACAGTCCCTGCGTCCTTGGGTTGTTTGTGAGGAGTGAATTTGCTAATGATGCAAAGTGCTTAGAACGAGCCTGGCTTTCCTGGCATTCTAAAATGCTGTTTGTTGCACTTGCCATTTGCCTAGGATCATACAGCAAGTGCAAGGCTCTGCCCGGGGCCAATGCCTGTTTCCCACATGCACCTGCTTCCCGGGTCTCAGGCCTGAAAAGTTGATGTGGCCCCAACCCGCCTCGTTCCATCGGCACCTGATGCAGCCCCTCACCTAGGAGTTACCTGGCTGCTCTGGCGGCATTGCGCTTGTCCCCTCTTGTTACAGGCTCCTCCCACAGAGGTTACTTAGGATATCAAGCAAGACCTGCTGTGACTCAAGTTCCTCATGCAAGTGTGTGGGGATTTTGTGGAAAGCTCTCTCTGTATTCACTCATGTATTCATTCACCAAAAATTATTCAGTACCTAATATGTGCAATCGCCATGCTAAATACTGTGGAAATGAATTTAAAAGATGCCGCCCCTGCCTCCGGAAGACAATACAGTGTGGCAGGGAGGCTGATGTCTAACTCTGCCCGAGGGGGCCTCCTGGGGTGCAGGCCCATCTGTTTCTTGATGATTCCCTCTATACTCTCAGCCCCAAGCCGCCACCCCCCTGACCCACAGCCTCACATCTCCAGTGGTCTGGGGGCATTTTCTCTGGGATGTCAAACTGAACATGGCCCAAATCAAACTCCTGACCTCCACCCCCTGTCCCCACCCTACTCCTCCTAAGTCTTCCCATCTCAGTAAGTGGAGCTCTTTCCTCCTGGTTGCTCAGACACAAACCTGGGAGCCCTTCTGAGCCCTCGCTTCCTCTCACACCCACATCCAGTCTGCCCACACATCCCGCTGGCTCTCCCTTCAGAGTGCATTAGCACTGGACCCCCTCTCCCAGGCACACCACCTCGGCCCCCACCCAAGGTCGCTGGAGTCCTGCAGGAACCTCGTGATGGCTCCCAGCTGCCATCGTCGGCTCCGTGGCCTCTGCTCTGTGCAATCGCTCCCGAGCGATCCCTTACAGCTGACGTCATGCATGAGGCGCCTCTGCTCAACCCCCTTGACTCTCCTTCTCACTCAGAGTCCAAGGCCAAGGCCTGGCCGTGGCCCACAAGCCTGTCTACACCCCCATCCCACCCGTCCCCTCACTGTTCTCTGAACAGGCCGAGCCTGCTTCAGGGTATCGCAGGGAGCCCTCTCCAGTGTCCGCAGGGCTCACTCTGGCTCCTTCATGACTGTGTCTGAGTGTCCCCTCTCCAGAGAGGCACTTCCTGACTCCTCTGTACAATGGCACCAGCCCTGACTGGCCTCCCACGATCCTCTACTTTTCTCTTTGGCACATGTCACCACCTGATCTAGTAGAGGTTTCTGTGTCCACTGCACTTCCCCCTAGAACATAAGCATGAGTCTGGGCTCTGATCTGTTCCCTGTTGCAGCTCCAGCTCTCCGAGCCATGCTCACCATAACGTCTGTGAGATGGGGCTGCTGGACATGAAGGAGCAGCATTTCCTAGGCACAAAGCACTCTGCTGGGTACACAGACACCATAACTGCAACGTGGGCCCTGACACCCAGGTCCTCACTGTCTATCTACTAGGGAAGCAAGACAGGAAGCAAATCATGGCAATCCAGCGTGATTACTGCAGGGACAGAGGTGTGAGGGCCAGGTGGGGCCAGCCTGGATTCTGGACTCCAGGGACAAGCTAGATGCTATGAGATCATACATGGCTAATCTTCACAAGTTTATAAACTAATCATTCCTCAAATCTCAGTCTTCAGCTTCCCCAATGTTAGTGCGTAGTACAGAGGCTTTGGAATCGAGCCGGTGTTATTTCAGTTCCTGACGGTGCCATGTACTAGAGGTGTGGCTTTGTGTCACTTTTTCCCCGTCTCTGACCCTCAGGGTATCCAGCATAACACGGGAACATTAAACCTACTTGACAGGGTGGTTGCGGGTGTCAGAACACACAAGGCCCTGTGTGTGGCCCTCCAGTTCGCTGCCCAGCATCAGGTGTGGTGTGTTCAATCAGCAAATACAAATCGGTCATGTGCATTGTGGCAGGCACTGTGGCAGCCCCTTGGGTTACTGTGGTGAATGATGTAGAAATGGCTCGGGGCTCACTGTTGAATCTAACTGCAGCACCCTGCGGGCTGTGTGCTATGAGGGACGTGAGGAGAGAGGGGAATGTGCAGTGGCAACCTCTCAGCTGATGTGAAGGGCTTGAGAAGGACAGAAGCTTGGGGAGGAGTCCACTGGTCAAAGGGGAGGCGCCATCCAAGCAAAGGAACAGAATGTGCAAACGCTTAGAGGCAGGAAAGGGTGAGGGGGTGAGGGGTCTTGTGGGCCGGCCAGGCGGGAGCAGGATGTATCCTGAGAGCACAGTGGGCACTCCGGTCAGAGATGCACATGGATGAGACAATCCTGCGAGGGCCAGGAGTCCAAGACGAATTGTGAAGTGCAAAGTGAAGTTGCAGAGAACTGAGTGTACTGTGACCCTATTTGTGGGTTGACAGGTTAATCCTATTTGTTTCTAAAAGATATATGAGGCCAGGGACAGTGGCTCATGCCTGTAATCCCAGCACTTTGGGAGGCTGAGGTCGGAGGATCGCTTGAGCCCAGGAGTCTGAGACCAGCCTGGGCAACGTAGCAAGACTTCGTCTCTACCAAAAAAATTCAAAAAAAGTGACTGTACCATCCCATTAAAAAATTGAGACCCGTGCTTTGTCCACTTTGCGTATACCTGCAAGGACACAAGCCAAGTCCTCACGAGCCCCGGACATAACCCGCATCCAGTCTGTCTCACATAAAAACTGGCAATTAGGGGTTCACTCCTCTGTTTCACCCACTAGTTGATAAATTCTCTGGCGGGATAGAGTGGGTGTCGGTGATGGTCTGTTGAATGAATTCATTATTTAAAATAGAGATCTCTTTGGAAAACACAGGATATACGTTGGCTGTAGCCAAGCTTCACTGATCGTAAAGATAGGAAAGCAACGATGTAGCGTGGAGCTGGGCTTCCCACGGCCTCCACTGGGAGACGCGAGGAGTGTGTGAGGAAGAGAGGAGAGAGTCTGAGAGAGGGAACAGGGAGGGGCCTGCATTGCAATGGGCAAGGTGCAGTGAGGCAGCTGCCAGGCCTCTACAGTTAGGGTGCCCGTGGAGGCCCTGCCGACCAGCACAGAAGGGAGTCTGCTCCTGGAGCCTTTGCCTCCGTTCTGCTCTCTCTCCCTGCAGCGGCCGCTGCCTCCCACCCAGCTCGGCTCTCCTTTGGAGGACCAGGCACTCCCCACTTAAATGACCCCTGCCTCCTCCACGCTGGAGCCCACAGGCCAGTGGTTCCCAGAGTGCTCCTCTTGGCTGGCCACTTAGCCTGGATGAGATCATTAGGACCAATCCGTCTCCATGTATGCATATGGCGATCATATTTTTTCAAACCAAAAATTAGGATGCACATTCTGAAAACTGGACAGAATGTTCAAAATCTGAGCCCTGCTAGAAAGTCTAAGCTGGACTGATGTCATAAATACACGGGCATGTGGAAACGGGAGCCTGGTAACCAAAATGAATCTCCAGGGGTGATCAGTCTGGGGAGGTGCCTCAGAGCACAGGAAATGGGGTGTTGCCCTCCCCACAGCCCCCCAGGCTGCTCTGATACCCAGTCTCTCGCCCGTCCCTTCCCTTCTGGACTTCACCCATCTCCATTCTGCCTCTGGATGTGTTCCCTCCACCCACGGGGTGAGGATGCAGTCTAACTCCCTGATACCCTCGGCCCTGTCTCGGGGTTCGCCTTATTGACTTGATCGCCCTAACTTTATTCACCCTCTTTTACTTCTCATCACAAAAAGAGCTCAGATCATCTTGTACTGGCCTCTATGTTTGAATGGCTGCTGTCTACTTCTGTTTTGTCTGTTACAACTTGCACGCGCCACGCACACCTCCACCACGACAAGCCACATGCTTTTCCCCAGAGCCCATGCCTCATCTGTCCCGGCCTGGCTCAGGCTGCCTCATCTATGGCTCCCTCCTTTCCTGGCCAGCCCAGGCTTAGGCCTTACGATTCAGTGTGGGGGCCACCTCCTCCAGGGAGTCCTCCTTAAAGGGATCTTTTCCTTGTGCCTCCAGAGGATGCTCCAGTTCCTTCGACAACAGCCAATTACTATGAATATGACTTGTCTGTTTACCATCTGTGTCTGGGATTAGACCGAGCTCCCTGGGGTGGGGCTGGTAGCTTTCATCCCCAGCATTTAGCACAGATTCTAGCACATAGTAAGTGTATAACACTTGTTTGGTGGGTGAATGGATGAGGGAATCAATGAGGGAATGGATGAACGCGTTTCAAAGTCACTGTACCATGGGTTGTCATGCTTCTTCTCCACCAACATCCACCTCTTGTCAAAAGGGTCTCCTTAGCCTTCTGCCAGCAAAGTGTCCACGGGGGTCCCTCAGGGAGGGAGGAAGCCCCATCCTCCCCACATGCCTCTCCCTGACCAATGCTGGGTCTGCAGAGGGAAATGCTCTGTGTCCCTTGGGCTGACTGGGACATGACCTACACCAGGACTCACACCCACTTGGGCTGCGTGGTTGGGAGCAGGGGAGGCCTAGAGAAGCCCAGCGCCAGACAGTCACGGTTTACCCGGAATGACTCCTTCAGCCTCCTAGGGAAAAGCTTCAGGCATTCTTCTGCGGTGATAAAGTGGCTGTTCACGTAACTTTTTGAAGGAGTTGGAGGCTGCGGCGGAGTGGTTTCCGGCCCTCTCATTGGAGGATCTGGAACAATTACAAAGATCGGGGTTTCCATTAGTGCCCATCAGCTTCATTCCTTCTTTTTTTTTTTTTTTTTTTTTTGAGACGGAGTCTCGCTCTTGTTGCCCAGGCTGGAGCGCAGTGGTGCAATCTCAGCTCACTGCAACCTCCACCTCCTGGGTTCAAGCGAGTCTCCTGCCTCAGCCTCCTGAGTAGCTGGGATTATAGGTGTCTGCCATCACGCCTGGCTAATTTTTGTACTTTTGGTACAGACAGGGTTTCATCATGTTGGCCAGGCTGGTCTCAAACTCCTGATCTCAGGTGATCCGCCCGCCTCAGCCTCCCAAAGTGCTGGGATTATAGGCGTGAGCCACCACACCCGGCCCACTGGCTTCATTTCTACATCAACACTTTATCTCTGCCTGTCCCGAATCCTGTTAAAATCCCATACAGTACCCTCCTGTGAGTTGAACACAGCATTGATTTTCTTACTATCTAGTTTCTTTTCCTTCAGTTTCTCAGACACTTTCCTCCTCTTCCAGGAGGAACCATGCTGCAGACTGTGGGGCCTCCTTTCACCCTCACAGACCGCACTTGGCACCCTGTTTACTTGTCCTGTGTCTCTTGTTCATCTCCCAATTCCCAGAGGAGGAGAATGAGAATTCCTGCCTCTTTTTTGTTTCCTGGAATCATGTCCTAAAGACAAGAATATAGAATTCATTCAACATCCATTAGTTCAGTGGCTATTTCCTGACTGTGTATCTGTTAAGTAAGATGCTGAGGGCTTCATCTATTTTTTGGTCCTTCCAGCAACGCTCAGGAGAAGGTCCTCGTGTTTGTTTACACACAAGAAAACCTATCATCCCATGCACTTTACCTAGGGGGTGGTGAGGCTCAGGGGTCCCCGGCTCGCCTGGGAGGTGGAGCTCATGGACAGCACAGCTGAATCCAGGCTGTCTGATACTAAGACCCGTTGGTTCCCTACTGCCTATGCCCTCTCGCTCCCCTAAAATTAAGGAAGGAAGTGTAACCTCTCCTTAAAAACTCCATGTCGGCCAGGCACGTTGGCTCACGCCTGTAATCCCAGCACTTTGGGAGGCCAAGGTGGGCGGATCACAAGGTCAAGAGATCGAGACCATCCTGGCCAACATGGTGAAACCCCATCTCTACTAAAAATACAAAAATTAGCTGGGTGTGGTGGTGCACGCCTGTAGCCCCAGCTACTTGGGAGGCTGAGGCAGGAGAATCACTTGAACCCAGGAGGCTGAGGTTGCAGTGAGCTGAGATCATGCCACTGCACTTCAGCCTGGTGACAGAGTGAGACTCCATCTCAAAAATCAAAAACAGGAACAAAAACAAACAAACAAACAAAAAACTTCCAGGTCTACCCCGTTTCCATTAGGCTGGGGTCATCTGAGTGTGACCTTGTGTCAAAGCCAGGCTACACACCAGGGACTTGGTTCCAGACGTGGTTCTCTGCACCTGTTGCTCCTGCGCCCTCCCCACGGTGTGGTGGGCAGATGGATGGGGGACAGGGCGCCCCAAGCTCGTGGGCATCCTCTGCCCCTCTTGAGCCTGGCTTCTGCCTCACCTGCCTCACTGCAGAGGCTGCAAGTGGCCTCCCTCTGGTTCCTTACTGCCTGGCAGATAAACACCCCCACCCCACCGCCTGACCCCTCTGCCACATCCCCCTGACCCCTAGCAGGGGCCACACAGGGCCTCACTCTCCACCTTGCTAGAATCTTCATGTGTGAGAATGCAGCTTAGAGGGGCAAGGAGGAGACGGGCAGGGAGAGGAGAAGCAGGAAGTGAGGGGAGGAGAACACAGGCAGCCAGGAAGCCGGGAGCAGGTGACAGAGACGGAGTCCAGTTCCAGCTGTGACGGCCTCGCCAGCACTGGGACGTGGGGCAAGTGACCTATGCACCCTGGGCCCCAATTTCCTTACCTGAAAAATGAATACACCTGGCAGGTGGGACACACTCACTAAAATGCAGGTGAGTTCCTTCTCCTTCTTATTTTCCTTAAAAAATATCAAAACATCTACCCAGGGACGGTGCTGAAATTCTAAAACGCTCTGGCTTCTCATGATGCCATTTTTCAGGAGTGTGGGACCTCTCTAAGGGGTGGCAAATGACAGTCTGACAAGGCTAGGGGGACCTTGGCAAGGATCCAGCCTGAGTCTCTGGGAAACTCACCACCTCACACGGTCATCTCCAGACCCAAGGCTGGGAAAATGAAAAATGCACAGGGCTCCTGCATTCCACCCTGCCAGCCTGCAGGGTATGTGCAGCAAAAGAGAAGAGTATTCCATTGAGATATCTGTGTGATTTCTGCAGCTTCTCTAGAGGGCTTGTTTGTCCACCAAAATGTCTTTGGTGTGTGAGAAAGCAGCATCACTGAGTGGAGAGGCGGCCCCAGGACACTGCACAAAGATGGGTTTCCTAACATCCGGTGGGGGGCGGGCCTGGGGGTGGGGCTGGGTGGCCTTTTATAATCTCTGCAACCTTCTCTGTCCACAGGGAGGAATAATATTCGTGTTGCCTGTGTGTGGTATTGTTAACTACAGATAACCAGCAACTACCTTAGGGGAAAATCTTAAAGGCCGTGAGGTGTGATTGAAGAAACAGGCTTTGGGGCACAAACTTTCTAAACCATTTGTGTTCTGAGTTTGTAGAAGACTCTTTCAGGCAAAGTTCTGCACTCACAGTTCTGAATATGGTCAGATAAAATGAAATAAAAATGGTTGTTTGCAGCCCCAGAAGACACCTCGTTTCAACATCTCAGCTTGTGCTACTTCAACCCGAGTGGCCTGGTGGCACTGCTAGCAAAGACATGCAGTGTCACCCAGGACGCATCCCACAGGGTGTGGACTTGGCCATTAGCTACCTTCAAATCCTGCTGCAAAATCAAGATAGCTCATCCCTTCCTTCTCGAAGCCTATTTTAGTGGTCAGCAGGGCATACTGATCATCGTCCATGGGCATCCCAGTGTCTTCCAGTACCTGACGAGGGAGACAGGGGAGGGTGGAGAGGCGTTAGGTGGTCCGCGGGTCACTACTCCCAGAGCACCTCCTGCCCCTGTGCTGGCTCACAGCAGGGCTCATGATTGTTATTTGTCTGACCCCACCCACAGGCTGCCAGGGGGTGGGACCGAGTCTCCTGTGTCCCTGGGCCTTGCACAAGGCTTGTGTTTGTTGGGTGAGTGAGTGAACGAAGGGACAAGTGGCACAGTTGGCATGGTGCTCAGGCCCACAGGTGCCACTGCAGACTTTTCCAAGCCGTGCCATCCAAGATACCCAAAGCCACACTTGTCACTGCCATGGCTTTAGAGTCTCATACATTAGGTTTATGTTCACATAGATTCAAGAAAACAAAATAAAGCAAGCAAGGTAGTTTGAGGAGGGAAAACTGAAGTTTTCATTCAAGTTTCATTATGCTCCCAGTTTACATGAAAAGCGGCTGTGTTTTTTTAAATGGGGGTGGCCATCCATGAATGCTCTTTTTTCTTCTCCATATGCTAGTCCACTTGCTGAAAGTTATCCCTGATTCCTTCCCTCCAAACACATGACCTACTGTTTCAGTTTTGGGTATGTTGGGGGCAGAGGGAGCACCCAAGAAAACACTCTTCCCTGCCTTGCAAATACTGAAGTGGAATCGTCTCGATGACATCTCCCTAGGAATTACAGAAAAGATGATGCCCTTTGGCCAAAAACCCAGACAGAGCTGCCTGCGTGGATGTGAGCCACCCACAGAAGGGATGCTGGGTGGATAGAGGCAGATGGAAGGCACCACCTCTGCTGATCTCAGAGTATTCACAATCCAAATGGGAAAACATGGGTTTTCCTTCAGAAAAGAACACAGAATCACAGTTCTAAATGCATCTATGGGCCAAGGGGCCAAAGACGTCCAGGATGACCAATCCCACCCGGAACAGGGGACGGAAGGCTTTCTAGGAGAACTGGGTTTGCCGATGGGTTGTGAAGAAAGTGTGTTGAGGGGTGAGGAATACACAGGTTATCATCAACAAAGTCAACAGATGTCACCAGAAGCCAGAGTAAGTTCCAGGTGGTGGAGCAGTGCAGCGGTGCTCACTGCATTCAGCGGAAGAGGCGGCTGGGGAGGGAACGGAGGGACCAGGTAAGGCCGTGCTGCAGTGTCGCCCTCATCATGGTCACTGCGCAGCACCCCTTAGTGCCCGTGTGTGCCAGGCACTGTGTGGGGCTCTGTACAGGCTCCACACGGATCTCATTTAATCCTCAGCAGAAGCCTCAAGAAAGGCACTCTTTCTAACCTCATTTTAATGCTGTGCAAACTGAGTCTTAGGGAGTTTGGGTCACTTTTCTTAGACATATGAATAGAAAGTGGCAGACCTGGGGTTCAAACCCAGTTCTTTTCTTTTTTTTTTTTTTTTTTTGAGACAGAGTCTCACTCTGTCACCCAGGCTGGAGTGCAACGGTGCTACCTAGGTGCACTGTAACCTCTGCCTCCCGGGCTCAAGTGATTCTCCTGCCTCAGCCTCCCGAGTAGCTGGGACTACAGGCACCTGCCACCACGCCCAGCTAATTTTTTGTATTTTTAGTAGAGACGGGGTTTCACCATGTTAGCCAGGATGGTCTCGATCTCCTGACCTCGTGATCCGCCTGCCTCAGCCTCCCAAAATGCTGAGACATGAGCCACCACGCCCGTCCTCAAACCTCATTCTTCTTATTAACCACTGTGATGAGATCTACTTTTGGAGTAAGGTCACAGGGGCCTGGACAAAGAAGAGAGGAGATGAAAATGGACAGGAAATGGCCCAGGGGGAGCGGCAAGCAGCTCTGCCATGGAGCCCTGGTGTCTTCCCTGTATCCAAAGAGGCCACATAGGCAAAATCCAGTCTGAGCCTTTGTGGAGCCTGAAAGGATGGGAGGCCTCTAAGGAGCTGCCCTGAGCCCACCTCCCACCTGCCTCCCTATCTCCCCAGAAAGGCTGTCAGGAGACGGTTTCTCCTGCCTCCAGGTTTTGATAGGGTGAGGGGCTTTCTGCCCGGCCCCTCACACTAGAGCTGTAGAAGGGAAGCCTCTTGGCTGCAGTCTGGACGTGGTTCTTGGCAATAGGGCACTCCACACCTTGTGGCGCAGTCATCAGCTTCCTTTGTTTTGGTGTCATCCTTTTTGGTATTCGGGAAGAGGACCAGGGAGCTGGCCCCTGTGGCTTATTCTCCCTTTCACTGTCTATGTAAATAACAGACAGTCTGATTGTGAAAGTGTGCGCTGTATCTACGCTGGTCCAATCAGTCAGGCCTGGCCTTGGCTTCCTGCGTGTGGAGGTTAACAGTAAACAGGCTGTGTGTGGCTAGTGCCGGGCCAGCAGGTGAGAAAAAAGGGAAGGGATGGAAGTGTTGCAGTGCTGCCCAAGGAGACCGAGGCGGGTGGCAACGCAGGAGTACAAGGCTATCCCCAGGGCCTGCCTGTGGAATTCGGCAGGAAGCACGTGATTGGGAATGCTGAGAGTTCTGTGCCATCTGCACATGGTCCCCGGCCCAGCTCTGCAGAGGAGCCTGTCCCAGCACAGGATGGCACTGGTGTTCAGGTAGAAAGCCGTGGCCCCCGCAGAAGCACACACAGCCGCGGTGAGCCTCTGGTTGCTTGCTTTGAAAAAAACTTTATATTTTGAAAACAATTGCACATGAATTATTCATGGCAAACTCTTCTTGCTCAGTTCTTTCACAAAACCATATGTACTGGATCGTAAGGAAATGTCTGCAGGCAAATGTTCCCCAGCCTAGAGGGCTGTGAGGTGCCAGGGAGATTCGTACTATCCCCCAGGCCCTCAGCAGCCTGTCCAGCGGTCGCAGGAGCGTAATCCCCAGGGGCACGGAGCACCGGAGCACCGCAGAGAACACAAACGCTGCAAGTGCCATTCCCAGAAGAGGCTCAGGGCAGGCCACAGATGCAAAGGCCTCTGATGCCTCTTCCGAGGCTCCCCTTGCACCACTTTCATTTCTAAGATGAACACAGCAGCAAATCAACCAGATTTATCATGACCCTTGGAGGCGACATACAATAAGAAGGAAGGCTCACCAGCAAAGTTTATAAAACAGATTTAAATGTTTAACCATTCAAGTCATTTCCTTTGGTCTTTTCTAGGAGGCATTCCCCTAAGAAAGTTGCTCAAAGACTGACAAACTATGGTCGGGCATGTGTTGATTTACCAGATAGTCGTCACTCCGGCCATCCCTGGGGCATCCCTTAGATTGTAGACCGACTCTTCCCCAGGAGGTCACAACATTTCAGGGAACCGTTGCTGGGCCCTCTCTGTGAAGGAAGACGCCCTGAGAGCGAGCCCAATGATGAAAGTGAGGACTCAGCCTTTCTAAACGCAACCCCTGCACAACATCCTGTGAGAGAAGCAGCCACCAGTTTGTGTGTGTGACACTTGTTTGCTATGTCTCTTTGCAGCACTTTTTTGGTGGTTTCTATGTGATTACACTATACATTCTGAACTTTTCACAGTCTATTTAGACTTAATATTATGCCACTTTACATAGAATGTAGAAACCTTGCAACCTTATAGAGGTCTCCTGCACCCTGTTCTTTTTTTTTTTTTGAGACGGAGTTTCGCTCTTGTTGCCCAGGCTGGAGTGCAATGGTGCGATCTCGGCTCACCGCAACCTCTGCCTCCCGGGTTCAAGCTATTCTCCTGCCTCAGCCTCCCGAGTAGCTGGGATTACAGACATGTGCCACCATGCCCGGCTAATTTTATATTTTTAGTAGAGATGGGGTTTCTCCATGTTGATCAGGCTGGTCTCGAACTCCTGACCTCAGGTGATCCGCCCACCTCGGCCTCCCAAAGTGCTGGGGTTGTCCTGCACCCTGTTCTGGTATAGTTGACATTTGTTTCACATCTAAATATGTTATAAATCCCACAAGACAATGCCATGGTTTTTGTTTTGAATATTCCTATGCGGTTTTTAAATGAAGAAAAATAACAGCCTTCTATATTTAATCAGCAATTTACCATTTCTAATGTTCTTTGTTCTGTCATGGACAGCCAAGTCTTCCTAGTATCAAATTCCTTCATCCTGAGAACTTCTTTTAGCCTTGCTTGTAGCGAAGATCCACTTGCAATGAATTATCTTAGCTCTTGTTTTGTTCAGTTTGAAATCATCACCTTCATTCTTGAAGGAGACTTTGGCTGGGTATAAAATTCTGGGTTGGGAGGTTTACGTTTGGTTTTGCTTTTGCTTTTTTCCTTTTTCCTTTCCATATGTTACTGTTCCACTATCTTCTCACCTCCTCCATTGTTTCTGGTGTGAGGCCAATGGTAATTTAAAATGTTGTTTCCCTGTTTGTAATGTGTCATTTTTCTCATGCTGCTTTTAAGATTTCTCTCTTTGATGTTGCTTTTCAGCAGTTTGTCTGTTATTTTCTTTGTAATATCCTACTTGGGGTTTTCTGAGCTTCTGGAATCTATATTAGGGCTTTTCACCAAAATTGGGAAATTTTAGCCATTATTTCTTCACATATATCCTCTTCCCTAGTCCCTGTCTTTTTTCCTTTTGTGATTCCAATTACACCTATGTTAGACCTTTTGATATTGTTCATATGATTGTGAGACACTATTCTCTCTTTCTCTCTCTTTTAAAAAATTTTTCTCTCTCCTCTTCAGTTTGTATAACTATTAATCTATCCTCGGGCTCATTGACTTCTGTCATCTTCATTCTGTGGTTGAGCTATGTGGTGAATTTTTTGTTTCAGATATCTTATTTTTCAGTTCTAGAATTTCCATATGGTTCTTCTTATAATTTCTATTTCTCTGCTGAGATTTCATATATTTTCATTCATTATGAGTATATTTTCCTTTGTATCACTGAGCATTTTTATAATGGTTACTTTAAAGTCTTTGAGTGTTAATTCTAACATCTGTTCATCTTAGAGTCTCTTAAGAAAGATCACATTTTTTCTGTTTCTCCAAATGTTGAATAATTTGGGGTTATATCCTGGACATTGTGGAGGTTATGGTGTGGGGCCTCTGGATTCTGTTGTAGTTCTCCAAAGAGTGACATGTTTTATGTCTACATATGTTATAAATCTTTATATCTATGTATTTTATATAAATCTATATATTTGGTTCATGTGTTCGAGCAGGCAGTAGGCTTGGTTGGACTCAAACTGAAAAAGTTTGAGTGTGTTGGGCTGCAGTTTAAATTTCAGTTCAGTTCTTGTATCCTTAGCTAGGTTACTTGCAATCTGTTCTGCTCATATGTGGTTTAGAGTCAGCCAGAGATTGAGGAAGAATCTATACACAAAAGCTGGAGCATCTACTCTCTGGATCTCTCCTTTTCAAAATGCCCCCTTTCTCCATCCCCATCTTTACTTTCAGGTAGCATTAGTTACCCAGACCTCTTCCCTCTGGTTCTTCAAGCCAGAAAGGCTATTAGTTTCCTCAAGTAAAAAGCTGTAGAAAATGGGAACTCACTCTTGCTATTCCCATCTTCAGGAGTTGACACCCTCCTGAATCTTCTTGCCTAGTCTAGTTTCATTTTCCAGGACCTTCAGGCATTTGGTTATTTAATAAATTACTGATTTATTGACTTACTTAACATTGTCCAGTGTTTATACTTGGTATCTCTGGGAAGGCTGGTCCAGTAGAAGCTTACATAGCCAAACTGGAAGCAAAACTCCCAGGAATACTTTCTGGGTGCTACAGCAAGCACATCCTTAAGATACAGGTATCAACAGCTCAGGGAGAGCCTTCTCGGTCCTCCCCAGCCTGGGTGACCAGAAAAAAAGTCTTAAGCTTCCATACCCCTTCTGTTTACTTCCATAGATAGTCCCTCGCACAGAACCTAACACATGGCAGGCACTCAACAAATTGCTATTGTGTAGAGAATTACCAACACTTCTTTTTCACTTCTATATGCCAAGAGCACATAGTAGGTGTTCACTAAAAGTTGAATAAGAAGAAGAGCATGGGATGTCAACATACGGAACAGCTGGCAACACTCATCAGGCTCTTGCTATTGTGTCTGGTTGAATCCTGAGTCTGACTAAGAAAGCCCATGCCTATGCAGATATGAGCACCAAGTGGTCATTCAGCTATGGCGAGGAAGGAGTTGGAATATTAAGAATACTGTGGACCAGGCACAGCGGCTCACACCTGTAATCCCAGCACTTTGGGAGGCTGAGGCGGGTGGATTGCCTGAGGTCAGGAGTTCAAGACCAGTCTGGCCAACATGGTGAAACCCTGTCTCTACTGAAAATACATAAATTAGCTGGGCATGGTGGCAGGCACCTGCAATCCCAGCTACTTGGGAGGCTGAGGCAGGAGGATCGCTTGAACCTGGGAGGCAGAGGTTGCAGTGAGCTGACATTGCGCCTTTACACTCCAGCCTGGGAGACAAAAGCAAAACTCCATCTCAAAAAAAAAAAAAAAATACTATGAGGCCAATAAAAGGATACTTTCCTTGTGAGACACACAAAAGGATCCAGGAGGAAAGGGAGACAGGACAGGGACTGTGAGGTGCCAGCTCCTCAACGGGTGGTGCAGACTTCAGTGTGGGTATCTCAGTGTGTGTGCTGGACCAGCCGTGGGATCCTCATCAGTCTTCTCTTAATACTACACTTAGCAAAGTTCTCTTCTGAAAATATCAGTTAAGGGGAGCCAAGGGAGAGATTCCTGTTTATATTTAAGCCAGAGATTTAAAGGATGCACCCTGAGGAGATTCAGGAGCATACAATTTGGAGACTGGCTTTTTTTTTGAGATGGAGTTTCACTCTTATTGCCCAGTCTGAAGTGCAATGGCACAATCTTGGCTCACCACAACCTCCGCCTCTTGGGTTCAAGTGATTCTCCTGCCTCAAGCCTCCTGAGTAGCTGGGATTACAGGCATGCGACACCACACCCGGCTAATTTTATATTTTTAGTAGAGATGGAGTTTCTCCATGTTGGTCAGGCTGGTCTCAAACTCCCGACCGCAGGTTATCCACCCGCCTCGCCCTCCCAAAGTGCTGGGATTACAGGCATGAGCCACCATTCCCGGCTGAGATTGGCTTTTTAGCCATCCCTCCGTGCCTGGAAACCTGTAGCCTAAATTCTTTTGTGATAAAACTAAAGAGAGTTATGGGTTTTATTTTTAATAAGTAATATTATTTTTATTTCTTTACATACCCATTCACAGACAACATGAAACAGGTACCAAAAAAAAAAAGTCTGCCTTGTCTAGAATTTCAGACATGCTCTGTCTCCCCACCTCCCCCATACCAGGGATCCCTCATCTTCCAGCTCCTCCCCCACCTATACACCACCTGCCACCACAGAGCTGCGTCATCCAGAATGCAGGCATGATCTGAGAGTTCCAGTCATCAAGGTTATCTGATCACATGCAAAGCAGGTACTAGGGAGAAGAGTACTATGGCTAGAAAATAATATGAAATTTTCAGAATAGGTCTAATTTGTACTTGAACGGAAAATTCAAACTCTTTTGGCAAATGCTTCCTAGCAACATCAGACACACGTCTGACTGTCCATGTGGCCCCAGCAAAACAGAATCTTCAAAGCTGATGCAAACTGGGGTGACAATCAAGACGCCATGGTCATGTGCACAGGCCGCAGGATATTGGGCTCAGGATGCTGTTGCCAGCTGTGAGTGCAGATAAATAATGGGATTTCCTTTTCAAGTCTTAACCAACAGGAATACTGTGAAGAACACCATGAATGGTCACAGGGCGCAGGGCATCTCAGATAAGAAGCCCCTTGCAGGAAAACAGTGACAGCCACGGTGTGCCTGATTACAGGTACACTTCTCAAGCACAGAGCCCACCAGGAACAGCATAGTGTCAAGAGCCAGAACTGGCTTCTGAGCCACAAACCCTCCTTCTGGCTCCAGACAGGAACGGAAGCTTCCCAAGGATCGCCACGAAAGAGCATTTGATTGAGGAGCTACCAGGGGCCGCCCCAGGACTGAATGACTTCCATCCCTCATTTAAACCTTGCAACAATGCCTCAACAGAAGTATGACCAACTCCATGTTCTAAATGAGGAGATCAAAGTTTAAAAAGGCAAAATAAGCCAACTGTTTTCTAGGAAGACACAAGTGGTAAGAAGTAGAGCAAAGATTTGAACACGAGTTGGTCGGACTCCACGGGACAACATTGTCTCATAGACTCAGCACTGGAAGAAATAACAGAGTATCAGGTTCAACTTTGTCCTTTACTGATGAGAAACCCAAAGCCCAGAGATGCAAGAGCCTGCCTCACGGTCACGTGTGAGCAATAAGGAGCCACTCAGGTGACTGCTGGGTGTGCTGCTGCCCAGGGAAGCCTGGGAGCCAATGACTGCAACCCAGCTCTGGCAGCCAAGGCTGAAGTGCAGCTGAGGCTCTGGCTGTACAAACAGCACATGATGCTGCTTCCTTTTGCACAGGCTCCTCACCCTGGGAGACGCGTTGCTCCCTATCAGTTGATCAGCCTGGCACCGTCCACAGAGGACACACTAGGTTTGTTTCTTCACCAACTGTTGTGTGCCGTATGTTTGGAACAGGTCTACAGCAGGGATAGGGTGTCTATGAGTCAGCAACTACACAACAAACAAGCTGAAATTCAGTGGCTTACAACAAAATAAGCATTTGTTCTTTTTTTTTTTTTGAGACAGAGTCTCGCTCTGTCACCCAGGCTGGAGCGCAGTAGCGTGATCTCGGCTCACTGCAAGCTCTGCCTCCCGGGTTCACACCATTCTCCTGCCTCAGCCTCCTGAGTAGCTGGGACTACAGGCGCCCACCATGACGCCTGGCAAATTTTTGTATTTTTAGTAGAGACGGGGTTTCACCATGTTGGCCCGGCTGGTCTCCAACTCCTGACCTCAGGTGATCCACCTGCCTCGGCCTCCCAAATTGCTGGGATTCCAGGCGTGGCTGCGTGCGGGTTGACTGGGCTTGGCTCCCAAATGCAGGTTGGATTTGGACCTGCTTTATGTAGATTCACTCTCGTGACCAAACGGAAGGGACAGAGCTGCCCTAGGCAAGCTCTTTGAGCAGGAGATGACGGGTGCACAGGCTTAGCACGTTCCAGGTCAAGGAAAGCCACATATTAGTGGTCAGGGGAGCACACGCCATCCACTGAGGGGTTCACGATGGGGAACAAGCAGGGAGGAGGTAACAGTGGTTAAGATGAGCTCTGCAGCCCTTTCGAGCTCTGAACCTCTGGGATTCTGTTTACTTTGGTAAAATGCTATGACCATTAGATCACAATTTAAATCACTCCCACAAATCCAGACATTTCTAGTTCCTAGGCTAAATCTTCTCTCTGATCCCCACATTAATTCTATTTGATCCATAGCGGATGGGACTGCACCACACTTCCAAAAACAATCCTTCCTCCAACCTTACTTAGTGCCTGACTCTAGGCCTTCAGCACAGACTGATGGTTTGCTAATAGCAATCACAAAGTCGAAAAATGTTCATGTTTTCTTTTCTTCTTTGCTGCTGGCATGATCATGACAATGAAAATGATGACAATGATAAGCTGGTTTGGTTTTTGTTTCTTAAATATATTATTCCCATAAAAACTAAAAGACTAGAATTGTGTTTAGATGGCACAGAATGACAAAATGCTGAACCTAAGTGCAAGCTTCAAAAACTGAGACTGAGTAATCTGAACCAGTTCTGCAAGTGACTGTGTTTTGTATTACTGTGAAAATAAGAAAATGTAGTTAATTGCAATTTAAAGAGTGTTCCACATAACTTCTTAATTTCTACATTCCCTCCCTTACTCTTCGGGGGTTTCCTTTCAATAAGCAACTTTTCCATGCTCTTAATGTATTCCTTTTTAGTAGGAATCCGGAAGTATTAGATTGAATGGAAAAGCACTTGCCATCTCTGTCTAGGGGTCACAAATTGAAATGGCTCCTGTATCACATACGGAGGTCTTGTGTATCTGTGGCAACAGGGAGTTTCCTTATTCACTCTTTATTTGCTGCTGTTTAAGTTGCCAACCTCCCTTCCCAATAAAAATTCACTTACACCTCCTGCCTTTGTAGTTCTGGTATTCACTTTACTATGTGATAGAAGTAGCATGTTGCTGCCAGAATACAAGCATTGCTTTTGGCAAATTAAAGTGCATGTCATTTCTTAATACACTAGAAAGAGGAAAAAAAGTACGCAAGTCCAAGTCTAAAACTTTAGTACTTTTCCATGCAGATTTGTGCACATGTGAGAGGGTGTCCAGTTTGTCTAGTGATTGTTATTTAGAGAGTTGGACCACTACTGTGTGTTGCTAATCATTGACTGTAGTCCCAAAAAAGCCTTGTGAAAATGTTATGCCCTATGTAACAGCAGAGTAACATAAAATAAAAGTACATTTTATAAACCATTTACTATGGCTTTGTAACAATTGCATACCCATATTTTAAGGGACAGGTGAATTTACTACTTTCTAAAGTTTATTGATACTTCCCTTTTATGTAAAATGTAGTAGTGATACGTATATTTCCGCATTGTGCATTGTGACACACTTGTCTAGGGATGCCTGGAAATGTATAAAATTGGACTGCATTTCTTAGAGTGTTTTACTATAGATCAGTCTCATGGGCCATCTCTTCCTCAGATGTAAATGATATCTGGTTAAGTGTTATATGGAATAAAGTGGACATTTTAAAACTAAAAAAAAAAACAAAAACAAAAACTGAGACTGAAAGATGAGGTGACATGACCACCTTTCAATGTCAAGGGGAATTCCAGGCATAACTAATGCATTGACCAGACATGTCCATTTTAGAAGCAAAGATCCAGAACCCAGCTTGGGTCTACATACACATGTAAAATCTCAGCGTGTTCTGCGGGCAGTGAATTTAGTACTTCAATGACAGATTTTGAACATGGCAGATAAAAGCAGACAAGTCGTGCCTACTTCAACTTCAGAGGAGACTGTGCTCAAGTCCTGGAGATCAAATCTGTCGTTCAAAGGGTAAGTGGGAAGAAACTCAAAGCTCAGGACAAATGGGCGCAACAGGAAAAGCCGATGCTAAGCAGCCACTTCCCCTGCAGAATCCCAGGGCTCTCTGTCACTCAGCCTCTGCACGCCTTTATGTTCTCTCTTGCTGATTTCAAGAGCAGATACATTTCCAACATATAAATGTAATGTAAGTCCAGTTATGATCCCAGTAATGCATCTGAGGGGTAATTGAATAAAATGATTTTAAAGTCTATATGGTAACATATAAACCTGGCCTGAGAATAGCCAAGAAAATACAAAAAGGAAGAACACTGAGAAAAGACCTGTTTTACTAAATTAAAGAGCCATATTGCATTTATATAGAAATAGATGTATAAATCAGTGGGATGAAAGTTTTCGGATGTAGACCCTAGCATAATGAGAATGTCATAAATGACAAAGGTAATAGTCTAATTCAGTAAGGAAATATAGAAGAAGAGCCCCATCTTACATCGAGTATAAAAATTAATTCCACATGGATTAAGCATCTACATTTAAAAATAAAAATAAATTCTCTGATAAAACAATGGGAAAGAGAAGTTCAGGCTAACTAAAATCAAAGAAATGCAAATTAAAGTAATGACTATAATTCTGACTGATATGTTAGCATATATTAAACTTTTTTATTCTACCCAAAGTTGGCAAACATTTGGAAATTAGTAACTACCAAACACTTGTGGTAGGAATGAATTTGATAGAATCGTTGGAAATGTAATATGGCAATATGCATTAAACATTTAACTGTGCATATTCTTTTGACCTAGACATTTCACTTGTTCTATAAGCAAGAAATTGTAATAATTTCAATGCATGTTCATAGACTGTAACAAATGTAGCATTCTGCTGAGAGGTGTTGTTAGTGGGGGAGGCTGTGCACGTGGGGACAGGGGTATACGGGAACTTTGTAGTTTCCACTAAATCTTGCTATAAACCTAAAGCTGCTCTAAAAACATTCTATACAAAAACAAATAAAATTCTTGTAAGAAAGTCTAGGAGACTGAGGTGGGGGTGGGGGTGGGGGATGAAGGAATAACACCTATTAACCATGGCTACAAACCTAGAATTTATTTAGGGAAAAAAAAGGACAATAGAAATATTTGGTTGTATAAAAACTGAAAACATTGTAATGGCAAAATATGGAACTATAACAAAACAAAAAGACATGATATATTTGGAAAATATATTTGTATTGAAGAAGACAAAGAGCGGATAAATTATTAATTAATTCTACAGATGTTTTGAGCATCTCTGACAGGTTCTATCCAGGAACTGGGAATACAATAGTGAACAAAACAGCCAAGTCCCAGCCCTCAGGTGCCAGGCCCTATTTTAAGGGTTATACATTGTTGTCGGTTGAATTGTGTACCCCAAAAGGTATAATGAGGTCTCAATCCTGGTTCCAGTGAATGTAACCTTTAATGGAGCTGGGGTCTTTTCAGTTGGAATCAAGTTAAGATGAAGTCGTGCTGGATGAGAGTAGTACCTCACCCAATGACTGGTGTCCTTAGAACAAGAGAGAAATTTGGACAGAGGCACACAGAGAGGAGAACATGATGTGAAGACATGCAGACAAAGAAGAAAGAGACCAAAGAGGCCATGTGGAGCCAGAGGCAGAGGTTGGAGCAACGCAGCTACAGGCCGAGGGATGCCGGATGGCAGGCAGCCATTGGGAGCTGGGAGAAACAATGCAGCGTGCTCCCAGAGCCAGCAGATGAGAGCATGGCTCTGCTGACACCTTGATTCCAAACTCCTGGCTTCGAGAACTGTGAAAAAATACATTTTTATTGTTTTAAGCTACCCAGGGTATGGTAATTTGTTATAACTGCCCTAGGAAACTATTAGTTTCCTAACCCTAACCCTATTAGGAAACTATTAGTTTCCTAAGGCTGTTGTAATAAATATATGTTGTAATAAATATATATTAACAAACATAAATATATATCATATGTATATGATATATATCCTCATTTAATCCTTCTAACAATCCAATGATGTAGCTACTACTATTATCTCCATTTTAGGAAAAAGGAAGCTGAGGCTGAGGGGTGTGCCCACACACAGGCACACAGTTATTAAGAAGCAGAGCTGAGCTATTCACAATAGCAAAGGTGTGGAATCAACCTAGGTGCCCATCAATGGTGGACTGGATTAAGAAAATGTGGTACATGCACACCGTGGAATACTACACTGCCATAAAAAAAGACTGAAATCATGTCCTTTGCACAACATGGATGCAGCTGGAGGCCATTATCCTAAGAGAATTTATACAGGAACAGAAAACCAAATACTGCATGTTCTCACTGATAAGTGGGAGCTAAGCATTGAGTACACAGACACAATGATGAGAATAACAGATACTGGGGACTACTAGAGTGGGGAGGGAGAAAGTGGGGTGTGGGCTGAAAAACCACCTGTTGGGTACTATGCTCACTACCTGGGTGGCGGGATTATTCATGCCCCAAACCTCAGCATTCTGCAAAATACCCACGTAACAAACCAGCACATGTATTCCTTGAATCTAAAATGTTGAAATTATTGTAAATAATAATAATAACGAAGAAGAAGAATCAGAGCTGAGATTTGAGCCCTGGCAGCCTAGCTCCAGAGTCAACATTTTTAGCCATAATGCCATGATACTTTATAAAATTGATTCATGCATTTGAAAAATACTTATTGAGCACTTACGATGTGCTAGGCACTGATTTAGATGCTAGAGATAGGGCAGAGGATGAGAAAGACAAAGCTCCCCATCCCCGCCAAGCTTACACATTAGTGAGGAGTGACTTGTGACTACAGGGGAAAGAGTGTCCTCAGGAAAGAACCAGGCTTGAGTTGGTGCAAACGAGCCAATGCCCAGAGAAGAGCTTTGGGAGCTGGGAGAATAGAAGACAGGGTCAGATTAAGAGGGATACAGAGCCCGAGGGGGAAAAAAGTCCCCGGGCTGAGAACCCAGAAGGTGAGGGAGGAACTGGGAGTCCTGGGATTCTTGTGAGAGCAGAGATAAATAATGATGTCCATCATAAGCACATAGGTTTTATAAATTGACAAGAGGGCAAAGGATGTAAATAGGCAACTCAAAGAAGAACAAATCGCAGTGGCAAATAATAATAATAAATTCACTAGTCAGGAAAATAAATGCAAATTAAAGTTTAAATGAGTTACCATTTTAAAACCATAAGACCAGCAAAAATTTAAAAAGCTATAATGCCTATTGCTTATAAAGGTCCAGAGAAAAAGATACTGTCATACACAGCCACTAGAAATGTGAAACATTACAGTATTTTTAAAAAAGCAAATAGATAACATGTTTAAAAATGTTTTTAAAAATCTTCAACCAAGAGTCTTACTCCTGGCATCCATTCCATACAAATGAAAGCATCAGTATGTAAGGACACATAAAGAAAGATTGTTTAAAGAGGAAAAAATATTAAAAATAAAAGAAATGAATGCCCAACAAAAAGAGAATGGCTAATGTTCTGCTTGTTGGAATATCTTGCAGATTTAAGCTTCCACTGAGAACAAATGAAAAAGACAGAAAAAATGCATCAAAACACCTGTTTGAAGCATAAGAGAGCTGCGGAGGCAACCAGGACCCAGAGGGACAAAAATCTGAGAGAAGGGTGAAGCTGGAAGAGAATGAGCCATTTGCTAATCTGGGAGCAGGGCAAGGGGCTCAGGACTGGGGCAGACGGCCCAGGCAGACAGAGAAGCAAGTAAAGTATGTGAGGAGCTCATGAAACTGGAGACAACAAAAGGAGAGACCCAAATGACTGGATTGCTAGTGAGAAAGAAAAATAAGAAACATGCCCAACACTCTGCCCCTTTTCCTCCCAAAGTATTTGGTGAATTCTTAAGCTGTGTGGGGCAGAAGACTAAGTAGGCAGGAAGCCTCTGAGAAGCAAAAGGGATTTTTTGGTCACCTTGTGGTCCTGAGGAAATAAGGACTGGAGTTCAGGACCTCCTGGAGGGGAAGGGGCAGGGCTCAGAGAATAACCCAGTGATATGGTTTGGCTGTGTCCCCACCCAAATCTCATCTTGAATTCCCATGTGTTTTGGGAGGCACCTGGTGGGAGGTAATTGAATCATGGGAGGAAGTCTTTCCCGTGCTGTTCTCATGATAGTGAATAGGTCTCAAGAGATCTGACGGTTTTAAAAAGAGGCGTTCCCCTGCACAAGCTCTCTCTCATTTATTGCCTGCCGCCATCCATGTAAGATGAGACTTCCTCCTCCTTGCCTTCTGCCATGATTGTGAGGCTTCCCTAGCCACATGGAACTCTAAGTCCAGTTAAACTTCTTTCTTTTGTAAATTGCTCAGTCTTGGGTATGTCTTTATCAGCAGCATGAAAATGATCTAATACAGTAAATTGGTACCAGTAGAGTGGGGCATTGCTGAAAAGATACCTGAAAATGTGGAAGTGACTTTGGAACTGGGTAACAGGCAGAGGTTGAAACACTTTGGAGGGCTCATAAGAAGATAGGAAAATGTGGGAAAGTTTGGAAATTCCTAGAGACTTGTTGAATGGCTTTGACAAAAATGCTAATAGTAATATGAACAATAAGGTCCAGGCTGAGGGGGTCTCAGATGGAGATGAGGCACTTGTTGGGAACTGGAGCAAAGGTGACTTGTTACATTTTAGCAAAAAGACTGGCAGCATTTTGCCTCTGCCCTAGAGATTTGTGGAACTTTGAACTTGAGAGAGATGATTTAGGGTATCTGGCAGAAGAAATTTCTAGGCAGCAAAGCATTCAAGAGGTGACTTGGGTGATGTTAAAAGCATTCAGTTTTATGAGGGAAGCAGAGTATAAAACTTCAGAAAATTTGCAGCCTGACAATGCGATAGAAAAGAAAATCCCATTTTCTGAGCAGAAATTCAAGCTGGTGGCAGAAATGTGCATAAGTAACGAGGAGGAGAATATTAATCCCCAAGACAATGGTGAAAATGTCTCCAGGGCATGTCAGAGGTCTTCACAGCAGCCCCTCCCATCACAGGCCTGGAGGTCTAGGAGGAAAAAGCAGTTTCATAGGCTGGGCCCAGGGTCCCTGAGCTGTGTGCAGACTAGGGACTTGGTGCCCTGCATCCCAGCAGCTCCAGCCATGGCTGAAAGGGGCCAATTTAGAGCTTGGGCCATAGCTTCAGAGGGACCAAGCCTCAAGCCTTGGCAGCTTCCACATGGTGTTGAGCCTGTGAGTGCACAGAAGTCAAGAATTGAGGTTTGGGAACCTCTGCCTAGATTTCAGAAGATCTACGGAAACGCCTGGATGTCTAAGCAGAAGTTTGCCCGCAGGGGCAGGGCTCTCATAGACAACCTCTGCTAGGGCAGTGCAGAAGGGAAATGTGGGGGCAGGGCCCCCACACAGAGTCCCTACTGGGGCACTGCCTAGTGGAGCTGTGAGAAGAGGGCCACCATCCTCCAAACCCCAGAACGGTAGATCCACTGAAAGCTTGGACCATGCTCCTGGAAAAGCTGCAGACACTCAATGTCAGCCCATGAAAGCAGCCGGGAGGGAGGCTGTACCCTGAAAAGCCACAGGGGCGGAGCTGCCCAAGACCATGGGAACCCACCTCTTACATCAGTGTGACCTGGATGTGAGACATGGAGTCAAAGGAGATCATTTTAGAGCTTTAAGATTTGACTGCCCCACTGGATTTCAGACTTGCATGGGGCCTGTAGCCCATTTGTTTTGGCCAATTTCTCCCATTTTGAATGGCTGTATTTACCCAACACCTGTACCCTCATTGTATCTAGGAAGCAACTAACTTGCTTTTGATTTTACAGGCTCATAGGCAGAAGGGACTTGCCTTGTCTTGGATGAGACTTTGGACTATGGACTTTTGAGTTAATGCTGAAATGAGTTAAGACTTTGGGGGACTATTGGGAAGGCATGATTGGTTTTGAAATGTGAGAACATGAGATTTGGAAGGGGCCAGGGGCAGAATGATATGGTTTAGCTGTGTCCCCACCCAAATCTCATCTTGAATTCCCATGTGTTTGGGAGGGACCTGGTGGGAGGTAATTGAATCATGGGGGCAAGTCTTTCCTGTGCTGTTCTCTTGATGGTGAATAAGTCACATGAGATCTGATGGTTTTAAAAGGAGGCATTCTCCTGCACAAGCTCTCTCATTTTTTGCCTGCCACCATCTACATAAGATGTGACTTGTTCCTCCTCGCCTTCCACCATGATTGTGAGGCTTCCCCAGCCATGTGGAACTGTAAGTCCAATTAAGCCTCTTTCTTTTGTAAATTTTTCAGTCTCAGGTATGTCTTCATCAGCAGCGTGAAAACGGACTGATACACCCAGGCTCTGAGTTAGAGCTTTTGAAGTTTTATGCCCTAGGAGCAGGAGTAGTTAAAAAAAACAAATGCTAACAGCCTTGCCAAAATTCAATCCAGCCTCAAATCCACCAGTCCCTTACTGGACTAAGGTTATGAGTCCCCACTCTATCTGCCTAGCAAAGCAGAGGATGACCTATTATCCAGAGCCTCTTAATTTTCTTAATAAATAGTATTTGATATTCAATAAAAATCTACCTGGCATTCTAAGAGACAGAACCATATAACCCAATATCCAGAAAGAAAAAAAAACAGACAATAGAAACAGATCTACAGGTGATCCAGATATTGGAAATACCAGAAAAAAAAAAGCTATGAATATGTTTAAGAGAATACCGGAGTATATTGAGACAAAAGAAGAAAAAAACACAGATACAAAATATGTTAAAAATAACCTAATGAGCATCCCACTACTGAAAAATATAATACTAAAATTAAGAACTCGGTGAGTACAACTAACCACAGATTGAAAAATGCAGAACATGGGATTAGCAAACTGGAAGGCAGATCAATAGGAAATACTGGGGCTGAAGCGCTGAAAGCAAAAAGATAGAAACTACACAAAAGAGTGAAGAGAGGCATGTGGGATCCTGGAAAGGAGTCCAGGGAGGGAGGAGAGAATGCGCATAACAACAGGAGAGGAGGCAGTGGCTGAGAATTTGTCACAACTGATAAAACACATTAACCTACAGATACAAGAAGAACTGCAGACTCCAGCAGGATTCATATAAAGAAAGCTGCATTGAGACTCATCCTAGTACAACTGCTGAAATCCAAAGACAGAGGAAAATCTTAAGAGCTGCTAGAGAAAAAAAAGACACATTATACCCAATAAGATACATGGTTGATTTATCAACAAAACTGATAGAAGACATAGACCATGGAACGGTATCTTTAAAATGCCAGAAGAAAATGATTGCCAACCTAGAATGTTTTTCCCAGCTAAAATATTTTTTAAAATAAGGGTGGACTTTTTGCTTTCACCTCTGACATGTAAACAGCTTGGAAGTCATCATTCCCATCCTTACAACAAGAAAAAAGACAAACTGCAAATTAATGACGTTTCACAGAACCATCAGAGAAACATAAAATCTGGAGAGAGAAATGAAGACAGAGAATCACAGCCATGATCAGCTTACCTGGAGCAGAAGCCACTGAGACCAGAAACTGGTAGGGATACCTAAGTGGTAATTTTGACAAATTGCTGGAGGCTGAGTGTGAATTAGCTTGAGAGGGAGCGATTTCTAGTGGCCCTGTCTTTGGAGGAAGGGGCAGGGGGAGGGCGCACTTTCATGGGCTTTCATGCCAGAAGTCCCATCAGGTTCTCAAGGTGAATATCCCCTAAAAATCCCCTTGGGTTTCAAACTCAGGCAAATTAAAGCCAAAGTAGGTAAAGTAAGTAGGAATAAAGAAATAATAAAGATAAAAGTAAAAATCAGTGAAGTAGAATATAGGCAAACAATAGAGGAAATCAATGAAACCACAGCTTGTTTTAGAAAAAGATCAATAAAAGTGATAAACCTCTAGCTAGACAAGTCACAAAACAAACAGAAAATATTTTAAAATTACCAATCAGAAGCGGAAAAGGGAAAAATCATTAAGGATCTTATACCTATTTAAAGGATAATGAGGCATGAGTCCATTCTAATATGAATAAATGGTTGAGTAAGTTAGTAAGTGGAAGAAAAGAGACAAATATCCCATGAAAAAGGATTCCAAATAACACCTGTTGTTGTGGCTTGAAAGAGCTGGAGCATTGTAACTCCCCACTTCTTCCCTGAGGGCTGTGCACCATGGATTTCTTCCAAAGACGAAAATCTTTCCAATAACGAAGAGGGGAGAAAAAGAATAACTTGACAGTAGTGAAACCTCTGCCAGGTGACAAAGTCAGGTAACACACTTCAGCCAGTGACAGGTTCAGCACCAACAGTGATGAGTCATATTAATAGCAGGTGCCCTTGACAAGATGTGATGAGAAGGGCACCCGCCTCTGCGGTCTTCCTTCCAAAAACACATTACCCAGTCTAATCATGAGAAAAATATCACACAAATCCCAATTGAGGGATGCTCCACAAAATATCTGATCAGTAATCCTCAGAACTGTCAAGGCCATCAAAAACAAGGCAAGTCTAGGAAACTCTCACAGCCAAGGGGAGCCTCAGGAGACATGAAGACTCAATAGAATGTGATACCCTAGATACGATCCTAGACAGGAAAAGGACATGAAGTGAAGAGGTAAGGAAACGTGAAGAAACCAGGGACACTTGGAGAGTGTTGCCAGTACATTTGCATTTAAAGTACAAAAGGGAGGTCTTTAGGCAGAATTTAAAAATGAGTCCAGGTGCAAACACAAAATGTGAGATGGAAAGAAGAGCAGCAAGAGTAAATATGTAGATTCATTTGACAAATTATTTACCATATGAAATAATAATGCCTGTGAGATTTAAAATACATGTGAGGCCAGGCGCTGTGGCTCACACCTATAATCTTAGCACTTTGGGAGGCTGAGCCGAGCGGATCACCTGAGGTCAGGAGTTCGAGACCAGCCTGGCCAACATAGTGAAACCCCATCTCTACTAAAAATACAAAATTAGCTGGGCGTGGTGGCAGGCACCTGTAATCCCAGCTACTCGGGAGGCTGAGGCAGGAGAATTGCTTAAACCTGGGAGGCGGAGGTTGCAGTGAGCTGAGATCATGCCACTGCACTCCAGCCTGGGCAACAGAGCAAGACTCTGTCTCAAAAGTAAATAAATAAATAAAATACATGTAAAATTAAAATGCAAAACAACTATCACACAAAAGAGAAGAGGGGCTAAAGGGAGTATTTTAAAAATCTAGCATTGTTAGGGAAGTGGTGAACAATGATTTCTATTTGACAACAGTAACACAGGCTGCGTGTCACAGTCTCTCATGCAGCTTCTATGAGACTAATATAAGAACAAAGCAACTCATAAGCTAATAGACAGGAAAATGAAATAACACAACAGAGCGAGACCCTGTCTCAAAAAAAAAAAAAAAAGTTGGATAATCCTAAAAGAAGGCAACAAAGGACAGAAGAAGAAACATGAGACAGCCGGGTCAAATAGAAAAAAACAAAAACATTACAATGACAGATATAAAGCCAACTATATAGATAATTAAATATGTATAGAACGGACCGAATACTTCAAGTGGAAGACTCAGACTATCAGACTGTATTTTTTTAATTGGCTATATGCTGCCCACAAGAGACTTGCTCTCAATAAGTAACCAGATAGTTTGAAAGCAAAAGGATAGAAAAGGATACGCCATGTGAACACTCATCAAAAGAAAGCCGAAGTGACTACATTATTATCAGATGACATAGGCCTGAAGGCAAATGGCATTCCTCTTTGTCAAAAGAGTTATGACCTAATGATAAAGGAAACAATTCATGGGAAGTTTTAATAAATTCTAAATTTATTTGTACCCAGTAATTAGCTTCAAAGTGAATAATTCAACAGTCAACAGAATGAAGAAAGGATCTCACTAGACAAACCTACAATCGGATGGAAGACCTTAACACACTTCACTCATCACTTAATAGAGTGAGCCCACAAAAATGTGGTAAGGGGCCGGGTGCAGTGGCTCACGCATGTAATCTCAGCACTTTGGGAGGCCAAGGCGGGTGGATCACCTGAGGTCAGGAGTTTGATACCACCCTGACCAACATGGTGAAACCCCGTCTCTACTAAAACTACAAAATTAGCCAGGTGTGGTGGTGTATGCCTGTAATCCCAGCTACTCGGGAGGCTGAGACAGGAGAATCGCTTAAACCCAGGAGGCGGAGATTTGCAGTGAGCCAAGATTGCTGCCATTGCACTCCAGCCTGGGCAACAAGAGCAAAACGCCATCTAAAAAAAAAAAAGAAAAGAAAATTAAAAACAATGTGGTAAGGATATAGAAGTTCTGAAGGACACAATTAATAAAATGAACCCAATTGACATGCTGTTATGGACCGCATAATGGCATTTTGGTCAGCAGTGGACCATATACCACAGTGATGCCATAAGATTATATCATATTTGTTCTGTACCTTTTCTATGTTTAGATACACAAATACTTATCATTGCATTACAATGGCCTACACTGTGCGGTATAATACCATGCTGTACAGATCTGTAGCCTGAAAGCAATAGGTTATACCACATAGCTTAGGTGTGTAGGAGGCTATAGCACCTAGGTTTGTTGTAAGGTTATACCACATAGCTTAGCTGTGTAGGAGGCTATAGCACCTAGGTTTGTTGTAAGGTTATACCACATAGCTTAGCTGTGTAGGAGGCTATAGCACCTAGGTTTGTTGTAACCACACTCTAGGATATCTGCACAACAACCAAATCGCCTAACGATGCGTTTCTCAGAATGTGTCCCTGTCATTAAGCCGCATATGACTGAATGTAGGAAACT
Organism: Homo sapiens; assembly: GCF_000001405.40. Taxonomy (NCBI): domain Eukaryota; kingdom Metazoa; phylum Chordata; class Mammalia; order Primates; family Hominidae; genus Homo; species Homo sapiens. The sequence continues at coordinate 43,656,943 of NC_000022.11, forward strand.
GAACCTCCAGTGGCAGAGAACACACGTTCTTTTCCAGTGTTTATGAGACATTTCTCAAAATTGATGGCCAGGCATGGTGGCTCACACCTATAATCCCAGTACTTCGGGAGGCTGAGGCAGGCAGATCCTTTGAGCCCAGGAGTTCAAGACCAGCCTGTGCAACTTGGGGAAACCCTGTTTCTACAAAAAAAACCCCACAAAAGTTAGCCAGGTGTGGTGGTATGCACCTGTAGTCCCAGCTACTCAGGAAGCTGAGGTGGGAGGATTGCTTCAGCCCCGGAGGTGGAGGCTGTAGTGAGTTGCGATGGCACCCCTGCCCTCCAGTCTGGGTTACAGAGAGAGACCCTGTCCTCCCATCCCCCAAAATGACTATACGTGTTAGGTCATAATCCACACCTCAGCATATTTCAAAGGATAGACTGAAGTCATTTAGACTTTAGAATCTATTCTCTGATCACAATGGAATCAACTTTAAAATCAATCATTAAAAAAAAAACACTAGAAAATCCCAACTGTTTTGGAAATTAAATACATTTTAAAAATAAACCATTAGAAAAAGAAAACAATCACAAGGAGAATTATAAAACATTTTGAATGAAATGATATTGAAAAGATAGTATACTAAAACCTATATTAATGTGGCTAAACCTGTTCAAGCACTTACAGGGCAATGGAGAGCCACAACTTCATACACCAGAGAAATAAAGGCTGAAAATCAATGGTTTAAATTTCTAATTTTCAAGAAATTAGAAAAAGAACAGCAAACTAAATTCAAATTAAGTAGAAGGAAGAAAATAATCAATATAACAGCAAAATTAATGAAATGTAAAATGCATATACAACAGAAAAAAATGACAACACAAAGTTGTGATTTTGAAAAGACTAACAAAACTGACAGACCTCAACGTCTGCCTCTGGATAGGATGGAGCAAGCAAACATTCCCAATTAAAACAACCAGAAAAGCCCACTTGATTACAAAAGTAATCTTTTCAAAGGCATCTAAGGCCAGGTGAGGTGGCTCACATCTGTAATCCCAGCACTTTGGGAGGCTGAGGCCGGTGGATCACCTGAGGTCAGCAGTTTGAAACCACCCTGGCCAACATGGTGAAACCCCGTCTCTACTAAAAATACAAAAATTATCCGGGTATGGTGGCGGGGACCTGTAATCCCAGCTATTTGGGAGGCTGAGGCAGAAGAATCACTTGAACCTGGGTGGGGGCGGAGTTTGCAGTGAGTAGAGATCGTGCCACTTCACTCCAGCCTGGGCGACGGAGCAAAACTCTGTCTCAAAAATATAAAATAAAATAAAATAAAATAAAACAAAAGGCATCAGAGAGCAATGAGGACTAAAGGGAGTAAAACTGCAAGGCGGGGGAACCTTTCAGAGGCGACCTAGGGATGTGTGAACAGCTGGTGATTGTGGGGGTGGACATTAAACAGAGAAATTGGGTTGGTCCAGGCAGAGGCCACTCCCGCACTGTGAGTTATGTGGCCCTGGAGTGACAAAATTGGAGACCCGGGTGGGCCCAAGTTATGACTGGTTTCCCTTTGCAGACAGGAGCCGAACTCTGCAAGGATGGAAGCCCCCACACTTTCGTGGTACGCAGGGGATCGAAGCCCAGGGAGAAAGGCCCTGAGAATACAAAAGTGAGCATATGGAGAGCCCTAGAGGAGGGGTCAGCTGAGGCTGTGGCTGCTTTTGCCCTCAGGGAACGTGCCCTTCGGGGCACAGCTGGATGCCAAGAGAATCTGGCCGTGTCCTCGGTGGAAGGACATTGCTGGAGGATGGAGGAATAAGTAACAACTTCTGAAGGTTGTGTAGGGCTTGGACTGACAAAACTGAAGATGTGAGGGACCTCCAATACAAAGCTGGTCATCCCCTTAAAATATCCACAGAATTAGGAAGCTGTTTGGAACAGGAAGCTCAAGAACTAAACCTATTCACTCCTCCCCCAACACACACCAGCTGCCCTCAGTAATGTGAGGCTGCCACCGGTTTCTCTAGGTGTTTCCTCAGCCCCTGAACAAGGATGGAGAACCTTTGCTCCGTGTGCTGAATCTGACTAGGCCTCACAGCAAGCCTCAGGAACTCCCGCTGTGCCGACAGCAGTCAAAACACAATGATGTCAGCGGCCCTTGCCTGTGGTACCCCTAATCCAGCACATGCGGGAGAAAACTCCGTGAGGATTTCTTATGCGCTCTCTCTGGGTCTCTGGCGTTGTGTGGGTGTATCTGTGACTCTTACTGTTTGTCCCTCTTATTATTCTCTTACTTTTGTGTTTTTCCCCCTCACATAACTGATGTGATACATAACAAAGAGCTTTTAGAATATCTGTTTCCTTTACCAGAGCTATATGTTCCTAACAGAAGATTTACAACTAGAGGAATACAAATACTTAATATTTGACTTTAAAAAAAATCTAATTCAGCTGGGCATGGGCGTGGTGGCTCACACCTGTAATCCCAGCACTTTCGGAGGCTGAGGTGGGTGGATCACTTGAACCCAGGTGTTTGTGACCAGCCTGGGCAATATAGTGAGACCTCATCTCTACAAAATAATGTAAAAATTATCCGGGTGTGGTGGTGCATGCCCGTGGTCCCAGCTACTCAGGAGGGTGAGGTGGCAGGACTGCTTGAGCCTGGGAGGTCGAGGCTGCAGTGAGCCCTGATCACGCCACTGCATTCCAGCCAGGGTGCCAGGGTGATACCCTATCTCAAAAAAAAAACAAAAACCTAATTCACTCTGTTACCATAAACATTTAGTTTGCTTAGATTAGGGTCGTGTCCCCAAGGTGGGAAAGAATATGTGTGGGGAATTCATGGTAGTGAGTAAAGAGCAGGCAAATTCTCTGGATATGTGAGTTTCATCAGCAGCCAAAGGGAGGAAGTGCTCTGCACAGAGGAAGAAGGAAAGCACATCTCGGGCTAAGCCAGGTGAGATGTCCCTGCCGTAGAGCAGGCACAGGAGAAAGGAGCTGAAATCTGGGACACAGGGTTGGGCTGTTCCAGACTCCAGCTCCCTACTGCATGTCTCAGGGGCCCTGAGCAAGCTTGCTGATGAGCTCTGCAGCTCTGCGTCTGTCTCCAGAGGCCGAGGTGGGGTCTCCAGAGGTGGTACTAAGAACAACAGTGAGCTGAACAATGTCCAATGTGTTCACAGAGAATGAAGAAATCAGACACAGACAATTACAAGAAGCTGGGATGATCAAGCTGTCCTCAAATTCCTGATAGATTGTACAGCTCAATTAATCTAATGACTCAATTTAACTAATCTTAGCCCATGTGTCGTTGGGTATTTTGTCATGTTATGTTCCCCGTGGGTCACTGGCCCAAAGCAACAAAATCATTTCCCCTGGTGTCAGAAACTGCACCTTCCACTACATCCCCATTCCCCATGTGCCTGGTGCCATGCTAAGTGTACAACAGGCACCCTCAAAATGCCTACTGAGAGAAAAGGTGGCAGACAGCTACATTTGCCTACCTGATACATATTTCCTCCTCCTCCCATAGGAACACAACCTTGTTTTTTCCATACTAGTAATGCACTCAGCCCCCAATTTTTGTATATAGATATAAAATAAGTATACATATTTATATATTTATAAAATTATACATTTATAATTATATATATATTTTTTCCAACCCCCCTTATAGATAGGTATGGCCACATAACACAGTCCTGGTCAATAAAATGTGAGTGGAAACTTGTTGGGGCAGTATCTAAGAAAGAACTTTTAAAAAAGAAAGACCTGGCTGGCTCAAGCACCTTGCCCTTCATGCCTCCCCATCTTTGTGCCCGAAACATCTGGAATGGCTGGTGCTCTGGCAGCTAGCCTGCATGCATGAAGATGTACCTGGAGCTGTGGAAAGCTAAAAGCAACCAGGGTGTCTGATGACATGCTGCACTGGCCCTGTAGCAGCAATATCTGGACTCCTGTTCTCAGAGACAAAAATAACCACCTCTCTTATTTAAACCACCGTTTTGTGGGTTTTCTGCTAATTCAGCATATGAAGAAAAGGGAGAGGGGAAGAGAAACAATTCAGACAAAGAATATAAAGGTTCCAGATCACCCTAAAGTTTTCTGCCAACTTTACCAGTTCTTACTTGATATTTACGTTAAATAACACATTTAAAAATATACAAGAGTCGGCTAGGCGCGGTGGCTCACATCTGTAATCCCAGCACTTTGGGAAGCCAACACAGGAGGATTTCTTGAGCCCAGGAGTTCAAGAGTGGCCGGGGCAACATAGTGAGACCTCATCTCTACAAAAAAATTTTTAAAAATTATTCAGGCCTGGTGGCATGGACCTCTAGTTCCAGCTACTTGGGAGGCTGCAGTGGGAGGATCACTTCAGCCCAGGAGATTGAGGCTGCAGTGAGCATGATCGCACCATTGCACTCCAGCCTGGGAGACAAAGTGAGATCTTGCCTCTAAATAAATAAATAAATAAAATGCAAAAGTCAAAGAGGGCCATTTCTTTGGTGGAGAATTTCAGAACATTGTTATGTTAAGTGTCAAAGGACAGACCATGAGGTGAATGGTCAGAGCAACGAACGGAGACAGGGTTTCCTGGGAGAGGGAATCCGCATCACAGGGTTGCTGTGAGAAATGATTGCAACTACCCAGAACAGGTCTAGACAATTCCAGAAAGAATAGCGCCCTTCTCCTTCCCCTCCTCACAGTAGATATCACACATCCAACCATGGAAAGCACATGGCCTTCATTCACCCCTAGTGAGCTCTGCCTCCACCAGGAGGCATGCGTCCACTCAGCATGCTGTCCTTCCTGGTAATTCACATGAATCAGAAGCTCTGCTATGTCTTATATTAAACAGGAAAGAGGGGAGAAGACAAAGTCTTATTGATAGTTAATAAATATAGTTCATAGAGTTGGCTGGGCGTGGCGGCATGCCTGTAATCCCAGCACTCTGGGAGGCCGAGGCGGGTGGATCACCTGAGGTCAGGAGTTCGCGACCAGCCTGACCAATATGGTGAAAACCAGTCTCTACTAAAAATACAAAAATTAGCCAGGCGTGGTTAACCAATATGGTGAAAACTTGTCTACTGAAAATATAAAAATTAGCCAGGTGCCTGTAGTCCCAGCTACTCAGGAAGCTGAGATAGAATTGCTTGAACCCAGGAGGCAGAGGTTGCAGTGAGCCGAGATCGCGCCACTGCACTCCAGCCTGGGTGACAGAGTGAGACTCCATTTCAAAATAATAATAATAATAATAATAATAATAATAATAATAATAATAATTTATAGAGTAGACAGAATCTTTCTGGCCACAATGGTGAGGACTTATGACAGTGATCTCAGCAGCAACAATGCAGGGACTTGGATCTGGGGACCCACAGGGCCCCATCCACCTGCAGACTCTATTTCTGCCATTCTCCCTCATTGATCCGGGGTAGGCAGCCACCCTCTGCCATGGCACAGGGAAGGAGATGGCTGGTGGGAATAAATAATTGGCACTTCCAATTTCCAGTATGAGGTTACCAGCCAACATCTAAGTGCAGCCTCTGTTTAAATGATGAACAACAGCATGCATGCTCAGGCAGGCAACCTGAAGTTTGTGACACAGACCTTCACTCCCACCTCCTCAGGGACAAACCTTCACAACCATTTTGCTATACTAATTGGGGTTACACACAAGATGTAGGGGAAGAGGAGGGCAAGAACATTGTATATCCATGACCAAAAGGACAGGAAGAATTAAAAAGCATTGTAATTAAAATTAATGTCCTTCTCACTAAACTCTGAGGCCAGCTACTACCTTGAAACACACGGCCATCAATTACTCAGCAAACCTAGTCTACCCACCAAGCCAGAATTACTCCAGAATTACACCTGGTAAGCCTCTACTACATGCAGCAAGCCTGCGGTACATCCTGGAAGCCTGTTCACATCCAGCAAGCCTATCTCACACCTGCCAGGCCCACATGACACCCAGCAAGGGTCTGAGTCTGACACAGACAGACATGAATTCAAGTCCAAGTTCTTGAACAGCTTAACAGCTGAACAACACTGAGCCAGTATCACAGGTCCTAAGCTTTGGTCTCCTTGTTTGTGAAATGTGTATACTCTATACCTACAGGCTTCCTGTGAGGAGCAGAAATAACATATGTAAAGCAAATTCCACATGCCTGAATATTGGAGGGGCTCAGTCCATGGTAGGTGCAGCTATCACATCACCGTCATCGTTATTATTCCAGCAATGACACTCATCATCATTGTAATTACTATCGCTGTTATTGCCATTACAAAATTACTATTGTCCATTATACTTAGAGCTCTCTTGAGAAGTCAATTTCAAAGGCTTCCACAACACTGAAATTTAACATTCCCAAGCCTTTATCATCTGGGAGCCTTACATCCGGTCTAACCTAAATCCTTTCTTTCTACTGCATAAGCCCATGATATTTCTAGCTCTGATTTCACCAGTAGTAGAAAAAAGCCATTTACCCTGATCTATAAACAATCTCTGCCAGTGATGATAATTTATATTTACATAATGCTTTATAGCTTATGAAGTGCAAACCCAGGTCCATAGTAGCCTGACTGTTGAAAATCACCCCACAGTTCTTGATCTTCAAAGATGGTCACAAGAAGACTTTCCCAAAGCTTAAACCGAACAAATCACTAGGAGGAAAACCAGTGCAAACTGGACTAACTGTGTTCACAGCAAATTGATTGTTACTTTTCATGATAAAACACAACATATCAGTTTGTTATGGACTGAATGTTTGTGTCTCCCCCAAATTCATATGTTTAGACCCTAACTTCCAATGTGAATGGGATTAGAGCCCGTATAAAAGAGATCCCAGAGAGCTCTCTTGCCCTCTTGCTGCCGTGAGAAGTCTACAGTGTACCACCCAGAAGAGGGCCCTTGCCGGAGCCCCAGCATGCTGGCACCTGAGCCTGGACTTCCAGCCTCCGGAATTGTGAGAGAGTAATTTCCATTATCTGCAAGCCACCGAGTCCAGGGTACTTTGTTAAAGCTGCCCAAACTGACTAAGGCAAAGTCCTTGCTGGGTTTCTGCTTTTCCTTTCTCCTCCCTGTGGGCATGCCTTCAGGCAGCAGGGAGGTCTCCAAGAAGCCCGCAGATAGGCAAAAGGAAGGGCTAGGAGCATGCTGGTTGCCACCATGGAGACAGCAGCAGAGCAGCTGTTCAGTGAGCTGACCTTTGGGGTCGGCCAGCACCCAGAGTAATTCATGGGGCAGAGAAGAGCACAGGGGTTGGAGGGCTCTGGCCCAGACAGGTGTAGGAACCAGCTTCAAATGTGCGAATGCCCATGTCCATCAGTCCTCAGGGTGGCATTCATTTAGGGCTGCACTGGGGATGCCAAATACTCTTCACATTCATTCATTCAATACATGCTCACTGGGCCCTACTATGTGCAAAGCACTTGGGGAGCAGCACTACACAAAAGAGATCAAATGTCAACCTTTGGAGCATATTTTATAATAGGGGAGGGCAAGCAAACAGACAGAATGCAGAAACAAATGAAAGATGTGGTGAGTGCCATGCAATACACAACACAGGTGCTGTGAACAGGAAACAAGATGAAGGAGGTGAAGGTGAGGAGGGTGGACTGCATTTGCAATGGGAATGTCAAGGTCACCTTGGTGGAGGAAGAGCAGTTGAACAGAGACTTGAAGGAGGCAAGGGGAGAGCCATGCAGTTACCCAAGGAGCCGCGATCTTGGCAGAGGGCATGGCCAGTGCCAAGGAAGAGCCAGCCTCTGTCTGAGGGGAGAGGAAGCTGATGTGGCTGGAGTTTCTTGAGCAAGGGGAGGATGACCAGAGCTGAGATCAGGGAGGTGGTTGGACCATGCAGGGTCTCCTAGGCCAGGCTCAGGCCCTGGTTTGTGTTTGAGGAGCCCTCGGTGGGTTCCACTGAGGGGTCGCTCTGGCTGCTGGGTTGACGATGAACTGTGGCATGGCCAGGGTGGAAGCAGGGAGGCAGTGAAGGGGATGCTGTGATAATCACATGGGAGATGCTGGGGGGAGCAGTGGAGTGGGGTCATCTCTTCTGGAACTATCTGGAAGGGAGCCAACAGGCTTTGTTGGTGAATTGGATGTGGGTACAAGAGGAAGAGGAGACTCAGTAAAGATGACTAGATTTTAGGCCTGAGCAACTGGGAAAAAAAGGTTGTTGTCTTTGACTGAGAACAGGAAGGATGTAGGCGGAGCGGCCCCTCTTTGGCTGTGCCCACATGGAGAAGGCAGGTAGACAGGTAGGTGCATGAGACTGACATTCAGGAGTTGCTCTGGGACATGAACTCAGGAGACGCTGGTTTATCAATGGCAGGTACAACCGGAAGCCAGAAGAACCTGCAACTGAGCTGATGACCCAAAGTTGTTCTCAGGTGACAGAAGGATGGGCCAGGTAAGGAGCTGCTCTTGGACTCAGATCACAGGTGTGAGTCTCTGCCTTACCAACATCTACTGCCACTTCTCTAAGATAGTCACTTTCCACTCTGAAAAACCAGGGGCAGACTAGGGATTATTAGTTTCCCGTGAATTTGTGAACTGACTTTAAGAATCAAGAATGCAGAGAATTGTGAGAGTTCAAGCTCATTATGCATTACGGACAAGGACCCGTGCCACGTAGCTCAGGGTGAAATAAAATCTAGGACAAAGGGCCCTGCACGGGCAGGGATGGATGGAGTCAGATTGGCACTCGTTTAGTTTTCAGCCCCTGAAATTCAGCTCCCATGGCTACCACTCACTCCATTGAAACTGCTCTAATCAAAATCATCAATGACTGGTTATCGGCCACCTGGTCCCCAAATCAGAAATCTGGGAATGACTTAAAACATTTCCTCTGCCTTATTCCCTTCTTTCTTTCTTTTTGAGACTGAGTCTTGCTCTGTCACCCAGGCTGGAGTGCAGTGGCACGATCTCAGCTCACTGCAAGTTCCACCTCCTGGGTTCCAGCAATTCTCCTGCCTCAGCCTCCTGAATAGCTGGGATTACAGGCGTGCGTGACCACACCTGGCTAATTTTCGTATTTTTAGTAGAGATGGGGTTTCGCCACGTTGGCTAGGCTGGTCTTGAACTCCTGACCTCACGTGATCCACCTGCCTTGGCCTCCCAAAGTTCTGGGATTACAGGCGTGAGCTACCACACCTAGCCTATTCCCTTATGTCTTATGTCCTATCCCTCATTTCCTATCCTCAACTCCTTATTTCTGAGTCCTTCTTGAATCTATTCTCCTGGCTCTCCCCATATGCTCATACAACAAAGGACCCTCCACGTCTTGTCTTGTTCTGGCTGGGGAGGGGAGAGGGTCTGGACTATTTCAGTAGCTACCTAATCCCATTTCTGTGCCTCTAGCCCTGCTCCGTCCTCCAGTCCATGCTCCTCCATGATGCTGCATTCTGGAGGCTTAGAAATAAGACCCATAAAAAGCCCATTCCAATGTCCGGCAGTGGGGCAGGCACCGGATGAAGGGGCCACTAATGTAATTATACTCTTCTTGGAAATATATTTTATTGCCTTCTTCTAAATTTGTCCACATGGACACTGCTACATATTAACTGAAATGCTTTCCTTAAAAATAGCTGAGGATGATTAGCTAGAGGGATCGTAATACGAATTTTAAGCAATCATTTAAATTAATTCCTGAGAAGTCTATGCAGAACCCTTCAAGCTGAGCCCTTTCTGGCAGAAACTCACCAGTTCCCATAAGCACATGCAAATCAGCACTCTGAGTTTCCCATATTTCACTGCCAGATTGTTTTTTTTTTTTTTTTTTTTTTTTCATTCTAGAGGAACAAACCATAGCTCTGTGATTGGAAACTCTCCACTGGCAGGCAGGGGCCGAGTGGCTTTGTACTCTCACCCGCAGGCTGCCCAATGATGCACAGTGCCAGGTATGCAGCAGATAGCCAAACCGCATCAATAAATGCTTCTGATATGTAAAAGCTTAAATATCAAAAGCTGGCCACATCCATATTGAAAGTATTCTCTAAGAAATGTGCCAATGACAATTTTTTGGCCAAAAAAAAAAATCCTTTTAAATTGTTGAAAGATGCCTAGAAATGGATCTGCTGCGTCCTGGGATAAGCCATTGTCCTTTAAAGTATGTTAGTATAAGAAAACAGCTGAACTTCTGCAGGATAGAAACAAAGAGAAACCCATTCTCCTACCTTCTTAAAGTCATGCACGTTAATTTTTCCATTAGGCTCCTTGCTGAAGTCAAGAAATCGTTTTTTGAATGCCGGGTCCTGCTGCTGTATACACTTTTTGAATTTTTCAATCACTTCTTCTGTGGTCATCTTCTTGGTCAGGGTGGTTTTATCCTCCGTGAGCTTGGTTCTAAAATCACAAGCAGGCATTTAGACCCAGTGTCAACTGACACACGCAGGGTGCTTCCTCCAGACTGCACCCATTTCCATGTAACCCATGACAGTAAGAAGGTTTCCCATCCTCGGTTCACTAGCTGGGAAGGGTGGAGTGACTCAGGGGCTTCTTACCCTCCCCTGGCTGGTAGGTTCCAGGGCCAGAACTGGAGGTCCCCAGCACAGTGTCCAAGTGAAAGCCCATGTACAGTGGCAGGCTGGGGACAGGGGAACTTGCAGGGAGAGAATATTATGGTCCTCGAGATTTTCAGTTATGCTTTGAGCTGGCCGAAGGTGGCATGTGACCGGGCACACAGGGTTGAAAAAGGATATTTTTTGTGAAGTGGAAAAATTAAAAGTCAGAGCCCATTAGAAAGCTTTAAATGAAAGAAATAGGCTGTTTTGTGGTAACTAGATCAAGGAAGTCATCAAACATCCACGGAAATGAAGGGAAGTCCACAGTTACTCCACAAATCGGCTTGATTTATAAAATACAAATTGAATGTGCTGTTCTGTGAGTCTCAGCGTGGATGTGTCTGAGCATGTGGGCGTGGGTGTTCGGAGGACAGCTATTTCCTCAGCTCTCTGGAAGTCTCTTGCGCCCCATATTTTTGGGGAAAAAACAGCCCTGAGACAGTCATGGAGAATGGACTTCTATTCCTTCCCCGCTGCGTCTCCTGATTTTTAAGAGCTCTCTGGGAAAGCTACATTTTATGAAATGTTTAATTGCCATTGCTTCTTTCACCAGTTTTAGGAAGCAAACATATCTTATCATGGAATATTTAACCCGTCTCTTAAAATACCATCTTTATGCCCATTTATAAAGCTGCTACTACTGAAAAGCCCAGGTATTCAAATTTAATTAGCATATCATTAAAATATTCCCATTGCTCTTTACTTAAGAACTTTTTAAAAGGGCTATGACAAAGTGAAGTCTGCTGAATAGTTCTACATTTTACCTTTCATTATGAATTTATTATAAGCAATGAATGAGCAAGTTAGAATAATATCTTTTCATTAAACTAAACCTGTATTTTTAAAATGAAGAAGAGCTAGAATATTCATCAGGCTAATTTTTTATAGATTTACTAAGTATGTTTTATTGTTACAATTCAATTTGGAAATCAGTTTAATCATTCTATCATTCATATTAAAAAATGTTAACTGATTTAATGGATGTGTGTTGCAATAAATATTAAATAGTGGCAAGGAATCTAAGTTTCTGGAAGAGAGTAAATGTGAATGCAGGTATGTAATAGAGAAGTTACAGATTGTCCCTGGGAGTCAGGAGTCCCAGATTCTTGACCCAGGCCAGCCACTAAGTTTGTGAGCCAAGTCCCCAAACCTCTCAGACATCAGTGTTTTCATTTCTAAATTTAAAAGGTAAATTCAATAATTCCTAAGATCTCTGCTTGCTCTAAAATTCCCTGACTCTAATTACTGTCTTTCTAGTGTGCCATCTTTCTTATTTATAAAATGAAATATTAAAATACTCAGTTGACAAATAGTTACTAAATACCTATTCCATGACAGACACTGTGGTTTTGATATGTGCATTCATTTTGCTTAATTTTACCTCTCAGAAAGATCTGGCTGCTGCTGTTCATCTTTTTGTAAATGTTCACTTAACAGCTGATCCTTTGGAACAAGAACTGGAGAGACAGTGGGTGGGCCATCAATTCCTATGCATGCCAAAAGTTTCTTGTAAAGGATTCTTCCTGAACCAATGTCCTGAATCTTACTGCAGAGTCTGAATTTTAAAAAATAATTAAAACACACTCAGTAGAGTAATTAAAACGGAAAAGACTGACCCTGCCAAGGGTTGGTGAAGATGAAAGTAACTACAACTTTCATCCACTGCTGGTGGGAATGTAAAATGGTACAACCACTCCATTCTTAGGCATTTACCAAAGAGAAATGAAAATGTGTGTCTACACAAATATATACAGCTTTATTTGTAACAGCCAAACATTACATATACAGCTTTATTGGTAATAGCCAGAAACTAGAAACAAACCATATGCCTATCAAGAGATGAATGTATACACAAACTATGGTAAACCCATTCAATGGAATACTACTCAGCAGTGAAAAGGAAAGAACTGTTGGTATATATAAAACAAAATGAATGAATCACAAAATTGTTATGCTTGGTGAATAAAGCCAGACAAAAAAGAGAATATCTTGTGTGCTTCCATTTACATAAAGTCCTAGAAAACACAAAGTAATCTATCATGAAAGAGAGCTATCAGTGGTTTCGTGGAGGTGGGAGGAGGGAGTGATGATGAATTGCTAAAGGGCATATGGAAGATTTTTGGGGTGGCGAAAATATTTGATATCTTGATTGATATCTTGTGATGGTTTTATGGATATTGACATATGATGAATTTCATCATATTGTATCATTTAAATGTGTGCAGAGTATTGTATATAAAGTATACCACAATGCAGATACAGTAAATGTAAAAAAAGAATTATAAAAAATTATATGACTGAAGGCAGGGGCTCACAAAGTGTGGTCTGAGGACACTTCCAGAGCATCGGCGAGGCCAGAACTAGTTTTCTGTTAACACTGAGGTGTGATTTACCTTCTTCACTCGATTCTTTTATGCATGTAGAGTCGAGTCCATCAGAGGCAACATGTGTGATCATGTCCTCACTCTGACCACAAATAAAATGTATTCTTGTGTAGATTGTGCTTTCTAACATTTTTAAGGTTGTAGGCTTAGGGTGTAAATGAGGGACTAGGGGTAGGTTTTCAGTGATTAACTCAGTTTCTTTATAGCCTTTCTACCAGGCTCTCTGCTAGAGACCTTCAGTTACACTTGCTATAACTGCTGTAACCTCATTATCGTCCAACAAACCACTATTTTGAAACTCCAAAGTTTTCCCTGAGCCTATATGAAAGCACAGCAAGTACACTTGTTTCTGCAATGACACTTTAAAAATGTCTCAGTTTTAATTTCTGATACAGTACATAATGACATACTCCATATGAGAAACACCTTTGGGGTTGTCAATTCTTCAGAGTATAAAAGTGTCCCGAGACCAAAAGTGCTGAGAACCACTGACCCAGGGCACATTCCCTACCTTTGCTCTGCCTCAGTTTCCTTATCTATGAAATGCAGATAATAAAAGTACCAAGGACTGCTGTAATGATCAAGTGGGAGAATCCACATAAAGCTGTTAGCACTGGGGCTGACATGCTCTGTGTATATGTGCTTAATAAATCGCAGCTGTAATAACAGTACTATGGTGTCGTTATGAGGATCTGCATATAGCTGGGGGCTGAGCATGAGCTCTGAAGCCATACTTTGCTCAATAAGTGCTCACTAGTATTATAATCGCTCCCATAAATATTCATGTGGCTACGTATGAAGCACTGTGCTAACTACTGTTGCCACAACTGTGAACAAACCAGAACAACGCCTACCTCACTGAACTTTGGTCAGCTGGGAGAGACTGTTCACTTGGAACAGAAGGAAAGATGGTCTGAAAGTCCAGGGGCAAGAGAGGGCCCAGCGTTTTCAAGGAGTGGAAAGCAGGTCAACATAGCTGGAGCTGAGACCAGCAGCAGCAGCAGCAGCAGCGGCAGCAACAAACACTGGCTGAGACCTCACCATATGCTTGGCCCTGAGGTAGTAAGGCTTTGTGTATAAGATCTCATTTGATCCTTATCACAACTCTAGTAAGAAATATCTGGATGAAGAAATAGAGGCTCAGAGAGGTTAAGTCACTTGCCCAGGTTTGGAGCTGATTCAACCCAGGCAGCCCAGCTGCACAGTCTCAGCTCCTGAGAGGTGAGAGGCTGGTGGAGGGCCTGTGAACCATCTGCATGGTTCCTAATGGCAGTGGGACTGCAAAGTGGTTTTTTTGTTTGTTTGGTTGGATGGCTTCTGTTTTTGTTTTTTGTTTTTTGTTTTGAGATGGAGTTTTGCTCTAGTTGCCCAGGCTGGAGTGCGATGGGGCAATCTCGGCTCACTGCAACCTCCGCCTCCCGGGTTCAAGTGATTCTCCTGCCTCAGCCTCCCAAGTAGCTGGGATTACAAGCAGGTGCCACCATGCCTGGCTTAATTTTGTATTTTTAGTAGAGATGGGGTTTCTCCATGAGTTGATTGTGTATCATTATTTGCTCAGTTATCAATATTTGATAATTGTGGTTTTAAAACGACATGAAACTCTTGCTCTATCAGAATGCAACATATTTAACTGTTGCAACTCACACGCACAAAATGTCTCAGTTCCACAAGAGTTGAGATGAAATCTTTGCTTCTTGAACAATACAAGATATTACTAAAAAGCAAAGGAGAGATATTTGCTTGCAAGAAATGAAGGAAAAAGAGAGCTCAGGAATCATAGAGACCCAGGAGGGAACTCAGGCCTCACAACTCACCAGCTGTGTGAGTTGGAGTGAGTATTTAACTTCTCCAGACCTCTGTTTCTTTGTCCATAGAAAGGAATAATGTTAGCTACCTTACATGGCTGTGATAAGGACTATATCATATAATGCATGTCAAACTCTTAAGCAATGTCCAGTGCTAAGCAAGGATTCAGCAAATAGCAGTTATTATCAATACTACCTATTAATATTTCAAAAACACACAGAAAAGGTTTAGAATTATGGAACAGGCCTGATGAAAAACACGACATGAATTAATTTTGTTACAAAAAACTTACTTTATGAAATGTGCATTCGTTAAAAATGGACAGAAGACGTGCATGATTTTCTTGAAATTATTTCGGCCAATGCGCCCTGTGTCTCCAAGGTCATATGAGCGTAGCATGTTATAAAAAGCTTGTAGGTTCCTAGTAATTGTATCATGAACAATTTCTTCCACCTAACATTAAAAAACAAACATATTTCCTAAGCCATACATCTGTAACCTCTTGTAACAGTAACCTCAAACCATATAGGAAGGCATCCACACAAAGAAGGCAAGTGTTACTTACTGAATCCCAGGCCAGGAGGAAAGGTGTCTTAGCATCTGTACAGGGAGATGTCTTTCTCATCTAATTGGGAAAGAGAAAGTATATAAATAAATACCACTCATGAAAGTCATTAGGAGCTTTGGAGGCAGGTGGACCTGGACTGGAATCCTAGCTCTGTCCCTAATTAGCCATTAGCTTTGAGACCTTGAACAACGGAGCTTGCCCTCTAATACCCATCTGAAAGTAAGGATTATAACACTTAACTTGAAATACTATGCAGACATAAAAAGAATGAGATCATGTCTTTTGCAGGGACATAGACGGAGCTGGAGGCCATTATCCTTAGCAAGCTAACACAGGAACAGAAAACCAAATACCACAGGTTCTCACTCATAAGTGGGAGCTAAATGATGAGAACTCATGGACACATAGAGGAGAACAATGCACACTGGGGCCTATCGGAGAACAAGAGAATTTTCACCCTCAGGAGAATGAGGATGGAGGTTGGGAGGAGAGAGAGGATCAGGAAAAATATAATAACTAATGGGTACTAGGCTTAATACTTGGGTGATGAAATAATCTGTACAATAAACCCCCATGACACAAGTTTACCTGTGTAACAAACCCGCATTTGTACCCCTGAACTTAAAATAAAAGTTAAAAAAAAATAGCATTTAACTTTCACTTAAGGAAAAGTACAATAAACACACAAAAAAACCCATCACCTAGAAATTAAATAAATGCAAAGTAGAAGAATAACGAGATGGTATTTTTGCCTATCAGAATGGCGAAAACGCAAAAGTAAGCAAATTACCTGCACAGGTGGGGGTTTCAGAAATGGTGGGAGTGTAAACTGATCTAACTTTCTGGAAGGTATTTTTGTCTCAAGGTACATTTGGATACTATTTGACAATTTGATAATTTACAGACTCTACAGCAAGGAAGGCTGCCGCTGGGGAAGAGAACCGGTAGCTAGGGACTGGTGGAGAAAAAAAAACTTCCTTTCACTCCATCCCCTCTTGTGTCCTTTGCATTCTGTACTTTATACATATCATTCTCTTTAAAAATTATTAAAATAGTAATAGAATAAAACATATTCTTTGACCCAATAATTCCATTTCTTAAAATTTATAACTAAAGAAATAATTACATAGAGTAATACAAAAAAGCAAGTGCCAAGATGTTCACTGCAGCAAAATTTTAAAAATAAAAAATAAATGAACATCCAAATTATAACAGTTATTTAGTATATTTTAAAATTAGATAGCAGGCCAGGCACAGTGGCTCAAGCCTGTAATCCCAACACTTTGGGAGGCCAAAGTGGGCGGAACACCTGAGGTCAGGAGTTCGAGACTAGCCTGGCCAACATGGTGAAACCAACCCCGTCTCTACTAAAAATACAAAAATTAGCTGGGTGTGGTGGTGTGCGCCTATAATCCCAGCTACTCGGGAGGCTGTCGCAGGAGAATCATTTGAACCCAGGAGGCTGAGGTTGCAGTGAGCCGAGGTCATGTCACTGCACTCCAGCCTGAGCAATAGAGTGAGACTCTGTCTCTAAAATAAATAAAATAAAATTAGATAGCAGAACTTTTATTGACGTTAAGTGTTAACAGTATGTTAATAAGTGACAATATAGACTAAAACGTCATTATATGTGGCGTGAACCTGGGAGGCAGAGCTTGCAGTGAGCCGAGATCGCGCCACTGCACTCCAGCCTGGGTGACACAGCAAGACTCCGTCTCAAAAAAAAAAAAAAAAAGTCATTGTATGGTCTTGCTTTTAAATAAAATAGCTACAATCTACAGAAGTGTGTGTCCAAACTCATCAAACTGCATATATTAAATATGTACAGTTTTTGAATATCAATTACACCTCAATAAAGCTGTTTTTAAAAAACAGAAGTATGGGTATGCATGTATGTGGATTTGGAAGAATATACAGCAAAGTATAACAGCAAATAACAATGCTTTGGTGTTAGAATTAGTGGTGACTTTTATTTTCGCCTATTGCACATCTATGTTTTCTAATTTTTCCAATTCCTTCATTCATGTTTATTCATTCATTCAATAGATTGTGTGAGTGTGGCTGACACTGCCTATCCCCTATAGTACAATGGGCAGTGATAACAGAAAGGTCTCTGCCTTTGTGGAGACAGGACCACATCAGGCCACAAATGTGACTCTGAGACTGGGAGGGTCCCTGCGCAGGCTCCGGGGGTGCTGAGCTCTGGAGATGGTAACCTGGGTCACGAGGAACTGGAAGGAATCCCAGGTAGCAGATGCAGCACAGGCCAAGGCCTGGGAGGGGCAGCCAGGGAGCCTGAGGAACTGGATAAGGAGGCCTTCCCAGAAAGCCACTGGAAAGGTGAAGGCATGAAGACAGGCATGATCTGTTTTATACTAGACAAAGATCACACCACTTGCCACGTAGAGAAGGGATTGCTTACGTGTCTACGTTTTGTTTTTAAAGAAAACGGATTCTTAACATTTTATGCGCATTATCCTGTTAAATTCCCTTAACAACCTTACAAGGTGGTACCATAATCAACCTGGTTTTACAGGTAAAGAAATGAGTCTTAGAGAGGTAAATTATTTGCACCAGGTCACAGCTAATAAGGGGTGGAGGCAAGAGTCGACCGCAGGTGCACAAGCTCCTACCCTGGCTGGCTGCTCACTTGATTCCGTGGCCACTAGGCTTGATCTGACTCTGAAGCACTGGCAGTAAACTGAGTCAAGGCATACACTCAGGCTTCCACAAGACACATACATGGCCTGGGTACACAGGTTCACACACGCATCTACTACCTATGCAGGACGGGTACGGGGTACAGCCAACACCAACTGTCAGCCTATTCCAACGCACTGTCTAGCAAAATAGATCACAAGGCCTTAAGAATGCATAAAGGAATTTTATATATATTATAACTAAATTATAATATAGTAATATAGTTAATATATAATATAGCTAATTTGTAATATATAATATATATCATATAACTATGTATATATAACTATGTTATTATATATTATGTGTATATAATATATTATGCTATAATATAATTATTATATAGCATAATTATATATTATAGTATATTATACTATAATATATAATATAATATACTATATTATACTATAATATATAATATAATATACTATATTATACTATAATATATAATATAATATAGGATTTATAATATATAATATAATATAGGATTATAATATAGTATAATATATGATATAATATATAATATAATATGTAATATTATATAATATAGGATTTAATATAATATAGGATTTATTAAGTAAGCAATAAATCAGTGTACAAATGTCTATATATATCCAGATATAGTATATTTATATGATAATTATACTATATATCTGATATATAATATATTATACATAATAATTCAATTATTGTTATATAAAGTATAATATATAATAATTCCATTTCTAGAAATAGATACTAAATAATCATAAAGTGATGCAAAAAAGCAGGTACCAAGATGTAATTAATTAATGTAATTGTAAAAATATAATAATATGTAATGTATGATGTAATTATATATTATAATATAATATAACTCTATATACAATATGTCTGGATATATATATATCCAGCAACATAAAAATGCCCACATGTTTTGGGCCAGTATTTCTACTTCTAAAATCTATTCTAAGGAAATATTTAGATATGAATGGAGATCTGTGCACAAAGATGTCCAGCATAATATAAGTAAGTAGAGAAACAGCCTAACTGCCCCAGTGACAAGGACATGCGCAGAACACTCTTAGATACCACTGAAAATCTTATTTATGATGAGTTTTTAATGATGTGGGGTGAGGGGGAAAGGCTCATCATATAACGTGAAGCTGAAAAAATGGAATATACAAAGTCATACAAAAATGAGTTCAGGCCAGGCGCGGTGGCTCAAGCCTGTAATCCCAGCACCTTGGGAGGCCGAGGTGGGCAGATCACAAGGTCAGGAGATCGAGACCATCCTGGCTAACATGGTGAAACCCCGTCTCTACTAAACATACAAAAAATTAGCCGGGTGTGGTGGTAGGCGCCTATAGTCCCAGCTACTTGGGAGGCTGAGGCAGGAGAATTGCTTGAACCCAGGAGGCAGGGAGGTTGCAGTGAGCCGAGATCATGCCACTGCACTCCAGCCTGGGCGACAGAGCAAGACTCCGTCTCAAAAAAAAAAAAAAAAAAAGAATGAGTTCAACCATGTAAACAAAAAAATGTGCCCACCCACATACAAAGAGTGGAAGAAAATTTATCAAAATTTTAACTGTGTAACTATCGCTGAGTGTTGGGATTTGGGATTTTTATCATTATTTTCACCTTTGTAGTTTGGCATATTTTCTAATCTACAATGAATTTCTGTTACTTGTGTAATCACAAAACATTTGAATAAGTTATGTACTATGGCCTATTAAAATTACCTCCAGAATGTTGGTAGAAAATGTCTACATGTACCAAGAGGAGGTAATTTAAATATGACACTTTCGCTCCAATAAACTGTCCCATTTTAAACCAAGAAGTATGCCATAAACTCTTCCCAAGACCATGATCAAAAACCACGACAGATGGAAAGGATTTATTGATGATGAATAAATTGCATTTTGCACAGAAACCATCAGAATAGAATGCAGCTGGCTTCAGCTAAACCATCTTAAAGCTTTCCCTAAAGCAAGGCACCCCATTCAGATCCATTCAGTAGAAACATCACCTTTAGGGAAATAGTGCATCTCGTGATATTACTGGTTTGATTTTGATTCATAGGGATGCCAACGTCATAAATCTAAAATTAAAAGCTAATTTGTACCTGTTAAAAGCAGCTTTTTAAAAAACATTTCAACAAGAATCTGTTAAAACCTATTGCATGCACTATCTGAAATTGATAAAGTTCTTAAAATTTTTTAAATGCTAATAGCTATTAAAGTTATAGAAACATTTCTAATAATAAAAGTGTCAACTTTTCAGTCAAAAGAAGCAAATGCTAAAGGCAAATGCTAGTCACTAGAGGCAATAAGCAGTTATTTTTTTAAAGTTGAACCAACATAGGGTACGAAACTCTAAAAACATGAATGAGAACCAGAGTAGTCACTCACAAATACTCCTTTCAAAGACATGGCTGTGGCCAGGCGCGGTGGCTCACGCCTGTAATCCCAGCACTTTGGGAGGCCGAGGCAAGTGGATCACGAGGTCAGGAGATCAAGACCAGCCTGGCCAACATGGTGAAACCCTGTCTCTACTAAAAACACAAAAATTACCCGGGCGTAGCAGCACGTGCCTGTAGTCCCAGCTACTTGGGAGGCTGAGGCAGGAGAATTGCTTGAACCTGGAAGGTGGAGGCTGCAGTGAGCCGAGATCATGCCACTGCACTCCAGCCTGGGCAACAGAGAGAGACTCGACGGAGAGAGACTCCATCTCAAGAAAAAAACAAGAACAACAAAAATAAATAAATAAATAAGACATGGCTGCAAGAGGAGTGCTGTTGAGGTGGCGCCAGTTACATCCTGTATATAAAGGGCTCTCGTTCAGGGATGGGTTTTCAGAAACGTCAATTACCATCCTTTTTTAAGATTCAGAAACTAAAAGTTAAAATCAAAGTGCTTAAACACTTGACCCTCACTTAAAATGATTGAGTTGAAAACTGTAAAGTCGTTAATTTATTTAAACCATATTTCACTTGCATCTCTTATTAGGAATACTGAAATTTCCCAACATAAAGAGAAAACCAAACAGGAAGTTGTTACAAAACTCACCCTACAGTTCTCTTCAATCAGATCAATAAACATGCTGGTGTTGACCACTCCAGTGTCCCCAGGGTCAAGCATTTGCATTAGTTCTTTGAATTCTGAATCGCTTAGTTTTACAGCCATGCAATTTAGAATATATCGAAATTCTTCTCTTGTTATCGGTCCATCGGGTTTCTGAGCATCAGAGTGTATATAAGGGAATTTTTGAAAAAAAAAAAAAAAGGAAGAAAAAGTGTTATGTATGTTTAGCATCATTTAATAAAGAGCGA
Organism: Homo sapiens; assembly: GCF_000001405.40. NCBI lineage: Eukaryota > Metazoa > Chordata > Mammalia > Primates > Hominidae > Homo > Homo sapiens. The sequence continues at coordinate 43,678,259 of NC_000022.11, forward strand.
GCTTTGGCCAAATAGAATTATGATTGGAAATGCAAATACATCGACTGATGATCCTTACATAACATGAGCACTGTGTGTGTGTGTGTGTGTGTGTGTGTGTGTGTGTGTAGGCTGAATGCTAGAACTTTCCAGGTGCAGTTCCTACAATGTTCTCTATCAGGACATGGCTTTGGGTGAGCAATGAGGCCCATTTCTCAAGCTCAGGTTGACTCCCTTCCCCAGGGGCTTGAATGGCTTGAACAGCTCCTCACTTCCCTACCCCACCTGAGAGCTGGGGGTTCAACCACATGGGGCACAAAACTTCCCAGCAGTTCAATTAGTTTGCCAATTTAGTAAGAATAAATTATGAGTGTTTTCTCCACCAACAGTCTCATCCATTACATAAATGGACAACTACTTTGCTAGAAAAATTTCAGCCATGCTGCATAAAGAAAACATATTATGAGCAAAATACCGTGAGAAAAAATTTCTTCCCCCAGAATAAAAATTTATCAATAAGTAGACTGAACACCAAAATTGAGAGATACTGTTTATTGGAAAGACAGGGTAAATAAAGAACCTTTACCTCATACGGAGACAGTGAATATTAACGTGACAAAAGGATTTATTAAGTAAGCAATAAAGCAGTGTGCAAATGTCAACTATTATTTGGGGGTCCAAAATCTGAAAAGAATATAAGGTTCTCTTGAGGGGTAAATTAAGTACTTTAGGGGATATATGCATGCTTACCTTTTGAGAGTCATAATCAATTCTTTAATGCCTAAAGAGAAATCACTGACAGCTAAACTTTAAGTTACTTTAATACATTTAAAGCATTGTGTAACCATCACAAGGATCTAATTCTAGAATAGTTTCAGCACCCCCAGAAGAAATCTCGTGCACATTTGCAGTCTCTCCCCATTTCTTGCCCCAGCCTAAGGCAATGACTCCATTTTCTGTCTCTAGATATTTGCCTTTTTCTGGATATTTCATGTAAATAGAATCATAAATACATGGTTTCCTGCATCTGGCTTCTTTCTCCTAACATAGTGTTTTTGAGGCTCATCCATGTTGTAGCATATATCAGTATTTTGCTCCTTTTTATTCCCAATCGGGCATTACATTGCCAGATTTTGTTTATTTTGTTACAAGTTGGTGGACATTTGGATTGTTTCCAGTTTGGAAATTGTGAATAATGTTGTTATGAACATTTGTTCACAAGTCTTTGTGTGGACATGTTTTTATTTCTCTTGGGCAGATACTTAGGAGTGGAATTGCTGGGTTCTATAAGTCACATTTAATTTTTATAGAAACGGCCATGCTGTTTTCCACAGTGGCTGTGCCATTTTGCATTTTCACTAGCAGTATATGAGAGTTCCAGTATCTCCACATATCCTTGTCAACACTTATTATTGTTTGTCTTTTTGATTATAGCCATCCTAGAGGGTGAGAAGTGGTATCTCGTGGCTTTGAGTTTCTCTAGTGATCAATACTGTCAAGTATCTTTTCACGGGTTCATAAAAGATTGTATTGGCTGTTCACAGATCTTCTTGGGTAAAATGTCTATTAATATATTTTACCCATTTAAAAAATTAGGTTGTCTTCTTATTGAGTTGTAAAAGTACTTGTATGTTCTAGATACAAGTCCTTTACCAGATATATGATTTGCATATATCTTCTCCCAGTCTGTGGCTTGTCTTTTCACTTTCTTAAAGGTATCTTTTGAAGCATGAAATTTAATTTTGATAAAGTCCAATGTATCAATTTGTTTCTTTTATGGGTTATACTTTGGTGTCATTAAGAAATGTTTGCCTAACACAAGGTCACAAAGATTTATATATGTTTTTCTTCTAAGAGTTTTATGAGTTTAGCTTTTATATTTAGATCTATTTGTGTATGGTGTAAGAGGTAAGGGACTGAATTCATCTTTTTGCATATGGATATCCAATTGTCCTCTTAACATTTTAACAGATATTTTCCTTTCCCCCACTGAATTTGTCAAAAATAAATGGACCATAAATGTAAGGGTTTATTTTTGAACTCTCAACTCTGTTCCATTGATCTGTATGTAGGTCTTCAAACCAGTATCACACAGTCTTTACTACTATAGCTTTGCACTAAGATTCAAATTCTGGAAGTGTAAGTATTCTAACTTTGTTCTTCTTTTCCAAGATTATTTTGGCTGTTCTTCCACCTTTGTATTTCCATATGAATTTTCAGACAGCTTTTCAAAAGCAAAAAAAAAGAAAAAAAAAAGCCAGCTGGGATGTTGATAGGGTTTGCACTGAATCTATAAAGCAATTTGGAGAGAACTGTCATCTTAATAATATTGTCTCCGATCTATAAATATGGAATGTATTTTATTTACATATTCTTTACTTTCCTTTAACAATGTTTTGTAATTTTCAGTATAAAAATCTGGCACTTCTTTTGATAAATTTATTCCTAGGTATTTTATTCTTTTTGATGCTATTGTAAATGGAATTGCTTTCAGAAGTTCCTTTTCAGATTGCTCATAGCTAGTTTATAGAAATATAACTGATTTTTGTATGTTAATCTTATATTTCTGCAACCTTATAAATTCATTTATTAGTTCTAGCAGTATGTGTGAATGCACACATGCACAAATTCCTTAGAATTTTCTACACACAAGATTGTATCGTCTGTGTACAAAGACAGTTTTACTTCTTCCTTTTCAATCTTGATGCCTTTTATTTCTTTTTCTTTCTCGATTGGACTGTCCAGAACTCTAGCACAGTGTTGACTAGAAGCAGTGAGAGCTGACATTCTCGTGCTGTCCCTGATCTTAGGAGGAAGGAGTTCAGTCTTTTACCATTAACTGTGCTGCTGGCTATGGGTTTGTTGTAAATTCCCTTTATCAGGTGAAGGTATTTCTCTTCTGTTCTAATTTGTGGAAAGTTATTATCATAAACAGGTGTTGGATTTTTCAAATACTGTTTTTGCATCTATTGAGATAATCATGTAGTTCTGTTCCTCACTCTACTAATGTTGCATATGACATTGATTTTGGGGGAAGTTAAACCAACTTTGCAATCCTGGGATAAATCCCATGTGGTCACAGCACTTAAGCCTTGCCATGTGTTGCTGGATTCGGTTTGCTAATATTTTGTTGAGAATTTTTGCAACTATAGTCACAAAGGATATTGGCCTGTGGTTCTTTTCTTGTGATGCCTTTGCTTGGTTTTGGTATCAGGGTAATACTGGCCTCAGAGAATGAGTCTGGAAGTGTTCCTTCCTCCTGTATTTTCTGAAAGTTTGTGAAGGAATGGCATTATTTCTAAGCAATCATTGTAGTCTTCAATGTGGAGAATTTGCATGTTTTTGTAAGACATATTTCTATGTATTTGATTTTTTAAAATGTTATTAGAAATAATATTTTAAAAATTCATCTTTTTCTAATAGTTTATTGCAGTTTATAGAAATACTGTTGGTCTTTGTGTATTGACTTTGTATCCCATGACCTTCTAAATCCTATTATTAATTCTAATGTTTTCTGGGAAGATTCTGTTGGACTTTCTATTAACTAAATCATGTCAGCTACAAATAACAATATCAAGACTAGGTAAAAAGGCAGGATGCAAATTCCTTCTGGATGACTGAGAGGAAGTAAGCCACACCTGATTTAAATGTAAGTGATCACAGCAGTTGGGTCCACTTGCAGAGTTGGTGGCAGCATCTGGAGGCAGCACATATAGCAAATGGGATGCATGCCTTGGCGTGGATCTAAAGCAGTCTTTTAAACATTCTGCATCCCTCTCTATAGCAGGAGAGAGATTTGTTTCCCATGACTGCCCTGAGCAGCCAGGCAAAACGCCCAGCCCTGCCCACTCCTGGCTCCCACCCTTATTCTCCTTCTTACCTAGTCCCCTCCGTAGTGGGGTGCATGGTGGGGGGATGGGAGGGGAGGGGAATCTCACTCTGAAACCATGCACTATGTAACTGTAAGGCATCTGATTGTTAATGCCATGATGTGATACCCTAGAGTGTGAGCTTATCGGCAAGGACTTAGCATTAATCATTTGTGTGCTTAGCCTAAGTGCCCAGCACGGGGGCCCAGCATGGACTACGTACTCAATTCTTAACCTACACTGTCTGTTTATTGATCTCAAGTTGAATAGCACAACAATGACTTTTAAACAGTCTAATAGTTGGAGTGATTAGCATTATTGTATAGTCCTCCATTAAAGGAAATGAAGGTTTCCCTATTTTTAATTAAATTACTTCTTCAGCATACTATTAGAACCTGAGTGGGGGTGGGTAACACACAAAGGCCTCGTTTATCTTTTCCCACGCGGCTCAGCCAGCAGGGTCCTGGGCAGCCCTGACCAGTGCTGGAGTGTGGCTGCTCTAGAGTCTGGTGGCCTCCAAAACCACTATCTGGGTAGCCTCAGGCGGGTTACTTAGCACAGAGGCCTCCTTTCCTCATCTGTCAGATGGAGATCATAATCATGTTTGCCTCACCAAGGTGTCAAGAGGATTTAGTGAGTGTATATATCGCCGAATCATTTAAGACGGTGCCTGGCACATAGTAAGCACTCAACATTATTGTTCATTCAGAGAGACCAAGTCACATAGGTGTAAAGATTCATTCAAAGAACCCCATGTTCCTGAATCCACACTGTGCTCGGAAATCCCATGCAATAGCATTCTAGTGCGGCAGAGGCAGGCGCTGGGGTCTCCACAGACAGCAAACCACAAACCTGGAAGCCACCCCCAGGCAGTGCTGGCTTCTCCCTGGGGCACCACCCTCCACTCCCAGACACTCCCTCCACGGCAGGTTCTAGGAGGCTGATGCTGAGCTAAGGGACACCTTTGGCCTCTGAAATCATCTGTACACAGTCCTGTGTGAGTCTCAGAAACAGTAATTCACCCTGCTCCTCACTGTTTACTAGAGCTTCAATTACCGAATGTGCTTAGTAAATGTTGCTGCGTATCAAAAGGATCCAAATGCTGCTTTCTAAAACAATATTAAAGTCAGACAGGAGCTAATGGTGAATGTGAGAAAAAGCAGGTTGCAAATTCATGAATTAGCCTCTCTTTGTAGTACAATTAAAAAATTAAGTAGGCTATTTTGGCACTAAGAAAATGCCCCTGTTTTGGGCAATAAGTTGGTTATGAACTGATCAACTCTAGGTTAGGGTGGGGAAGGGTCACCAGGTCTGGGTTGTTTGTTAATTAAACAGTGAATGATGATCAGTCACTGCAACTATTACGACCTTGCCACACATTGTTCCCATCACAACTGGCACCTATGTTACTGTATTGCAATTAATTTTCCATCGTCCGTCTTCCCAACTAGACTCAACCCTTGAGCTCGGGGCTTCTATCCCTAAGTGCTCAGAATAATTCCCAGCATGTAACGGGGGCTCAAGAAGTGTTTGTTGGATGGATAAATGAACGAATATGGAGTTGTTATTGGTCTTGTTCTGAGTGTTTGCATTCTTAGAAACAATGAGTGTTTCACAAGAGAAGGCTTTCAAAATCTTACAGTGTTGATTATCAGTAATGCTTTCTTCAGTGACGCAGAGTGATCTTCAGTGTGTCTAAATAACTTTGTGATGATGTTTTCCTTGTGAGATTCATTTCTAGAGTTGATGCTACAAGAGGATTAGGAGAAAAGCAGGAATAAGATTATGTTCTTGAACTTTGTTCTTTTCTTAATGCAAGAAACAAGCACCCTCACCACAATACAGTAGAGCTTTCTCTGTGCGTGGCTCTTTTTCCTGACAGTGTGCTGCACTTGTGGGGCTCATCTGAACCTCAGTTACTGTGATCAGAGAGATGCCACGAATGCAGGGTGAGCCTTGCTGGACCATCTCCTCTCCCCACGAGACCAACTCATCGGCCATCTTGCACACCTGTGGTTTTGGTCTCAAACAAGACCAATAAAGGGACCATGGACCAGTGCTGAGACCTCAGTGGCTGGGAAGCTGGGAGCCCCCCCTCCTGTGTGTGCAGCACATTGTAGCTGTCTCATCCACATGATAACTGAGGGCACAAATTCCCTATTTAGAACTGCAAGGACAGCAGACTTCTCAGCCTCTCCCTTTCTGTTGACAATGACCATGATGCCCTACGTTGTCAGACCCCCTTTCCCTCTATGGCCTCTTTCATCCCTGAGCTCGGGGCCCGTCAGTGTACATGTGTGCTCCTGAAGGCCAGGACTACCCCCTCTGGAGACCAAAACCAAGTTCAATGTGGACTTGGCTCAGAAAGGGAGACTGTCAGAATCTCATCACAATATACCATTGGGTGCTTCTCTTTTCTGATGTTCTACTAGACCATCCTACCTTTCCCATGAAACAATGAATGACAGTCAGTTTACCTGCGGAACCATTCTAAGATTTGTTTGGGAGTTTTTGTTGCTGCGTCTATACAGCCATCTTAGCTTCTTCCGTTTGTGCAGAAACAATAAGCCTACGCCTACCACCACTTTTCAGAAACATATGCTGGCTTCCTGAGTCTAAGCTCCTCACATGACTTGTTAGAACCTTCTTTTTCTATAGACGGCCAGCACTGGCATGAAGAGATGCTTTTTACAGCAGATTTTATCCACCGGGTACCCCTGACCTAGGGGCTGGAGAGCTCTTTGCTGTGGGGACTCACTGCAGAGTGTTGAGCAGCATCCCTGGCCTCCGCCCACTAGATCAGTGCAGGTTTGGATCTTAATCCTGAAAGATGCAATCCCAAATGCCATAATCCCAAATGTTGAACTCCCAAAAGATCAAAATCTCTAAATTCTAAAGCCCCTAATGCCTAAAATCGCAAAAAGCACAATCTCGAAAGATTAAAACCCCAAAGCCAAATTCTAGGCAAGGGATTTGTGTGTTTTCAGTTGTACACAGCATAGTTGCATCATGTTAGGTGGAACTACAACCTTGCTATTGTCGTTATTTGGAAATTAAGTTTGGTTTAAGGAGATGCCTCTGGGTACCAAGTTGCCGAGAGCAGATTTGTGGACTTAATTTCAGGTGTCAACTTGACTGGATGAAGGCACACCTAGAAACCTGGTAAAGCACTGTGTTGGGCGTGCCTGCGAGGGCGTTTCTGGAGATTAGTGTGTGGGTCTGTGGGGGCAGGAAGGGTGCGGGGGGAAGATTTGCCCTCAGTGTTGGCGAGCACCATCCAATCAGCTGGGAGCCCAGAGAGAACACAGCTCTCCCTCGGAGCTGGGACATTTTCTGCCGCTGCCTTGGACATCGGAAATTTGACTCCACAAAAATGCATTATCACAACGTTGCCTTAGTGTGTGAGCATTGTGTGTGTTGTGTACAAACACTGAAACTCGCTCAGTATATGAAGAGACGTCATTTTTGTTCACTGCATTTGTAAAAGATAAAATTTCTCAAGATCTTGGCTCTTTGGGCAACTGTACAGGCAGTGGTGACCCATCGCGGATTTTGATTGATCTTGCAAAAGACTTAGGTTATCTGTCACGGTATTCTGAATGACTGCAGTTATGAAACTGGGTGCATGCGATTACCCACCATAGGGATATGCATTTACATGTTTCACTTTTTGACCTATTTCTTTAGGAATATGGTTCATCTGCTCATATCTGTCACACCTATGTGATGGTCACTAGTATATCTAAGTGTTTATGCTTGAAAAATATGTGTCATTTTTGCCTATTTTTTGTGTAAAGTGGCCTCTGAAGTGTTCTATTGTGTTTTTATGTTTCTCAAATAAATCCCCTTTTACAATGTAAATAAATATTTTTAAAACAATTTTTTTTTTTTGAGATGAAGTTTTCCTCTTGTTGCCCAGGCTGGAATGCAATGGTGAGATCTCGGCTCACTGCAAACCTCTGCATCCTGGGTTCAAGCAATTCTCCTGCCTCAGCCTCCCGAGTAGCTGGGATTACAGGCTTGCGCCACCACGCCTGGCTAATTTTGTATTTTAGTAGAGATGGGGTTTCTCCATGTTGGTCAGGCTGGTCTCGAACTCCTGACCTCAGGTGATCCACCCACCTCAGCCTCCCAACGTGCTGGGATTATAGGCGTGAGTCACCGTGCCAGCCTAAATAATTTTTAATTTTTTTTTTCAGAATTATATTTTCATGATTTTGATCTTCTGAGGTTTCAACCTTAAGGATGATGGCATTTGTGTCTTTTGGGGTTATGATCAGCTCCCATCAGTAGCTTCCCCACCCTCAGTGTGACAACCAAAAATGTCTGTGACATTGCCAGATATCTCCTGGGAGGAAAAATTGTCCCCATTTAAGAACCACTGTTTTAAAGTAAATAAAACTTTAAGTTTAATTCTGACAGCCTCTCTAGACAACGTGCTATTGGACAAGAAAATTAAAAAGAAACAGAAGTAACTTCACATAACGAATGAACTCAGAGGTTGCAGCTCTGGAGCAGAGAGGGAGCGCTCTGATTACCTGCAAGGCTGTTAACAGGCGCAGTTCATTAAATATTCACAAATCCCCGAGACAGGGACAGGACCCACAAAATGGGAATTAACTCCATGGTATATTTTACTTTACAGTAGAGCACAGCACTTTCAATGAACGTGCCAAGATTATAAAGCCTGTTTTTTTCTTTAAGATTCATAGAGGGCAATGAATACAGGATACGCATCAACATAAAATACTTCTCAGAGCAGAAAGCTAAATTCTAAAATTTCATATTATTAAATTTTTTAAAAAACATTTTGGGGCCCCATCACAAGATATTTGGTATTGCAAATCTGAGGTTATAATAGATATTAAAACGAAAACAGAAATAATGATAGACAAATAATCTCCATGACCCATGATATCTGGGCCACTCAGTGGCTGGAAAACAAATCAACATATATTGTTCCTTTCCATGTAACACCTAACAAATACACGTTTACCTACAATGTTACAAGGATATGCTTAGAGCTAGGGAGCAGTGCTTGCCGTGGCGGCCTGTGTGCCTGGAGCCTTTGTGGTCCATAGCTGTCTCCACCACACTCTGAGCAGGTGATGGAGTTCAGATTGTATCATCTTATGTTTCTCATCTAGAAATTGACATAACAATTATACCAACCTTATAGTTTAAGGCAGTTTTCAATAAGAAAAATTTGTAAGCAGTAAATCACTATATAAAAGTTGGCAATTATTCAATGGAGACTAATCGATCATTCAATAAATGCAGAAAAAGTAGCACAGATATTCTCTGATATTTTACATATTATGATATGTGTAACTAAAATTTGTTTTTTTTTTTTTTTTTACATACCTATTTCTTTTTGTCAGGGGACCTTTACTGCTAACTTGCAACCCCTGAGGCTCATGAAATGATGTTAGAAATTGCTTCCAATTGATTTTAGTGGTGGCTTTAAGTCCAAATCTGGATTTAAAAGTAACAACAAAAAACATTACTTTAAACATTTTTTCTATAACACTGCATGGATTAGGTACTTAATGTTGAATTGAAAATGGCAGCAATGCATTTATATGAAGTTTCAAATCTAATATAAACAAAATCACTTAGTAAAATAGTACTACAAATTGATTTTTTAAAGCAAGGAAAAATCAAACTGATATTAGATCTGCATGCCTCTATATTGTTAATGGTGGCATACACTGAAAGAAGAATCTAAGGGATTTGATTAAAATAATAATGTCCATAAAATAATTCTTTCAAATTCATCATGTGAAGAGCCTCTATGTTGTGGCAGGGAGGACAATGGCCCCCATGGGGTCCACCCTCTAATCCTGAGCCTCTGTGACTACGTTCTTGCCCCAGCAAAGAAACATGGTAGATGTGGTGGAGGGCGGATCTGGAGATGGAGCAACTCTCCTGGTTTATCCAAGTGGGCCCACTCTAATCCCATACATTCTTAAAATTGGAGAGCTTTTCCTAGCTGCAGCCATCAAAAGACATGAGGACAGAAGGGCAGAAGTGTGACGCTGGTGGCTTTGAAAGACAGAGGAAGGGGCTGTGAACCAACAAATGCAGGTGGCCTCTAGAAGCCTCTAGAAAAAGCAAATGAATTTGCCCCCAGATTCCCCAGAAGGAAAAAAGCCCTGCTGATTCCTTGATTCTAGCCCAGTGGACCCATGTTGGGCTTCTAACCTACCAAACATGAAGATAATACATGTGTTGTTATAAGCCACTAGGCTCGTGTACTTTGTTATGGCAGCAATAGAAAGTTAGTATAGATTTAAAGTCTTAGCAAGAATAATTGGAAAATTGTTCAAAAAACACATTTCCAAAGTGAATATGGTCCCATGACTCAGAGTCCAATAATTTCAGAGTTATAAGATTCCTGTGGGAGCAACCTGATGTGAGCATGGGTTTCAGAAAGACCAGAGTACCTGCTCCTGCACTTCCTACTGATGTGACCTCAGACTCGCTGCTCACTATGCTGATTCTGTATTCCTCTCATCTGTAACATGAGAATAATACCACCTCCTAGGAGGGTTGTGATAAGGATTAGAGCTAATAGGTCAAAAAGCCTCGGTTGCAGGCTGGAAAACCAGCAAGCATTCTATCACATACACTGACCTGTGTCACAAACACCTTCTGTGACTTACACACTAAACCATGCCTATCCTTCCCTAACAGGATGGCAAAAAGTAGTTTGGGCTGAGTTCCTTAGATAATTGATGTGAGATCTCAAAGTGGGCATGAAACAGACTGCCCTGTTTTGATTGCTAAAAATTAATGGCTGACAGCGAACTGGTTAGACAAACAAATTCTTTATCTACATCTAGGGTATTAAAAAATTCAGATAATAGAGGATAAAAGAGTGAATTCTGGGAGAAAATCTTTTGGTATGCTTGAGTCCCAACCCCACCACAAAAGAGAGAGTGAAGGATGCCTACTCCTCACCTGAAGCCTTGTTCCACTCAGGGAGCTTGATTCCTGTCACCTGCAATTGGGGGTGGGATGTATCAGTGCCTGACTCCCAGCTAGAAACCTTGCAGGTGAGAGATGAGCTGGCTAGCCATTGAGAACAAAAAATTTTGCGGGGGGGCGCAGGGCCGGAGGCAGGGGGTTGGTTGGATGGCTTGCTCTATCAGAGTCATCAGGAAAATAACTGCTGAGAGTTTCATGGGGATCAGACGTGAGCCACGCGAGGGAGAGTGGGCCACGTGAGGGAGAGCACGTGCACACACACACACACACACACACACACACAGCAGCATCTTCGTCTTTGCCCAAGAAAGCCACCTGGAGAAATGAACAGGCCTTAATAGAGAAGGCTTGCTTTCTCTCTTCCCAGATTCCCAGGGGCTGAGAAGGAAATAGGCAATCAGCGGGGCTAGAGATGCATCTGCCTTCATCAAATGTGAAATCCAAAACCCATCAACAGCGCTCATGAAAGCAAACACCTTTGAACGCTTGATCGGCCCCAAGAACACAGCTTCAAGCTCATGGCAGTGCCAGTCAAATGAGAACTTTCAGCCTCCCCTTTTGTTCCTCTCCTTCCTCTGTGCATTTCAATTCCTAGAGGAGGCCGAAACTTAGTTTACAAAATGAGGAAAGAAGAGAAGTGCAAAGTGGGAAAGGGAGAAGCTGCCATCATGCCACCTCTACTCGTGCCTGTAACAGGCCCTAACAGGGAGGAAATGCAATTCATGTTTCAATCAAGCTTACATGTTTGATGGCTGTGTGAGACTGGAAGTTGCATGACTAAATTAAGTCTCTTTCTATGATCCAAGACAAACCTGGAAAAGCAAGATCTGCTCACGTTTTTATCCAGGGGCAAAAGAACTAATCCAATTGAGTAAATTTAAAGGGGCAGTGGGAAACAAAATTAAGTAGCTGTAAGATGACAGCCCATGAGTCTGCCCAGTTCAACTTAGGTTACATATCCACCCAGCCAGATATCCACCCATTCACACATCCACATATATACCAAGCTTCACTTAAATTATTGCAATAATCTCCTGATGGGTCTTCTTGTACCTACTCTTGCCTTCCTCCAATGTATTTCCATACCTCTACCAGCCTGATCTTTTAAAAATGTAAATCCGGGCTGGGCGCGGTGGCTCACGCCTGTAATCCCAGCACTTTGGGAGGCGGAGGCAGGCGGATCACGAGGTCAGGAGATCGAGACCATCCTGGCTAATAGGGTGAAACCCCGTCTCTACTAAAAATACAAAAAAAAAAAAAAAAAAAAAAATTAGCCGGGCATGGTGGCGGGTGCCTGTAATCCCAGCTACTCAGGAGGCTGAGGCAGGAGAATGGCGTGAACCCAGGAGGCGGAGCCTGCAGTGAGCCGAGATCATGCCACTGCACTCCAGCCTGGGCGACAGAGCAAGACTCCGTCTCAGAAAAAAAAAAAAAAATGCAAATCCGACCAGATTACTCTCTTGCTTAAAATCTTTCCATGACTCCCCACTGCTCTTAGGATAGAAACGACACTCCTTCTGAAACGTACAAGCCTGCAATGGTGTGGCCCTGCTCACCTCCCTAGCCTCACCCCATGGCATGCTCCCCGGGCTCTCTTAGCTCCAGCCACATTGGTCTCTCCGTTCTTCCAAAGAGCTGTACTCTTCCCTGCCCTCGGTCCCTTCTGCTTGTTGCTTCCTTTGCCAACTGCCATGTCGCCCATCATTACCTACTTCCCATAGTTTCCTAGCTAATTCTACTCCTCTTTCAGGTCTCAATGCAATAACTGTTTCTTCAAGGAAGCCTTCCCTAATTTCCATAGCCAGTGCTGTTTTCCCTATTAGACTTTCATTACACTATGTATCCTTCCATTATAGCACTTATTATTTAAATATTATTATTATTATTACAGCATCTAATACTTCTATAGCATTTTTGCTATGATTATGATTATGGCAGCTAATACTTGATAAATGCCTCTTTCTATTTCTGCTGCTAGCACTGTGGACATGATCATGAGAAAGAGAGACGGAGACTGATTAATTGATTTTGTTAGGCACACATGGCCACGTCTAAACAAGTAGAACATGACTTTGGCTTCATGTACTACTATTCACATAAATTCTCTTTTCATTTTTCTGACTCAAATTTGAGTCTTTCTTCACCAAAATTTGCCAATTACTTTGATATAGTTTGTCAATATTATATATGTTCATCTTAAATTTCAGCAAATTGAAAATTAACTTTTTATAATGGAAACTATAGCTGCTATGAAAAATAAAATCAGCTTCTATATATTATGTTTAGGAAATCGCCTCGCTCTTTGGGGAAAATATCAAAGGAGATCTTCACTTAGTATTACATACTAAAATAAATTTAAAAGAGATTAAGAAGTTAAATGTAAAAACTATGACTACAAAAAAAGTAGAAAAAAATCTAGGCATGCGCTTATCTGGTACTTGAATAAGAATGAATTTTTAAGCAAAACTTAAGAAATCTCAAACTTACCTATTTAATTACATCAAAATATAAGATTTTTGTATACCATAAACAAAAACAAAATTTAAAAGCCAAACAACAGATTAATAAAATTATAAATATATGCAATAAATTGTTAAAATTCTTAAAGCATAAAGTGCTTATACAAATTAATAAGAAAATACTAAAATTTGACTTCTTCCAATAATGGTAAAATAAGATCCTACTGGCCCAACCCTCCTCCAGATAATCACGATAAAATCTGGACATAATTATCAAGAGCAGCTATTTGAAAGTACTGTGACCAGAGCAGGCAAAGTCTTGTGGGTAATCCATGCTAACAGGAGAACTGTGGGGGTGTGGTATTTTCAATGCTTTCAGCCTCGGATGAGGCACTGCAGCATGAGGGGTGGCAGGAACATCAGTTAAAAAAAATAATAATAAGTAGCCTTTATGGCCTGGAAAACTAGAAGACTAATCCCAGCCAAAAGAGAGAAAGAAGAAATCCTGGAAGAGAAACAGCCAGAGAGGGATCCCCAAATTCTATCTAACTCACCAAAATTCTTACTGGCTCCTGAACCTCTCCTGCTCAGAATATATACTCAAAATAGCTTAGCTAAACACAAAAGATCTGAACTGAGATCAGAGCTGCCACCCAAGAAACAGAGTATGCAGTTTGAATCCAACAAGATAACTGACTACTAAAATAACAGAAAGAACATTCATTAGAAAAAAATAACTGAATTTAGAGTCTCCACAATTTAACATTCCAAATGTCCAGAATATATTACAAAAATATAGCACATAAGAACAACCAGAAAAAATTGAACTCATACTAAAGAGAAGTGAAAATCAACTGAGATAACCCAAATATTGGCATTAACATGCAGGATTTTAAAAGCAATGATTACAACTATCTTCAGTAAAATAAATAAAAATATTCCCACAATAAATCAAAGGATAGGACATCTCAGCAGAGAAACAGATACAATAAAAAGAACTAATGGAAATTCTAGAAAAGAAAAATATACTATTTGAAATAAAAAATTTACTGAATAGACTTAACAAAAGAATAGAGAAGATAGAGAAAAGAGTGAGTGAACTTAAATATAGACCAACTGAACCCAACCAATATGAAGACTACAGAATACACATATATTTATCAAATGAGTAGACTTAAAAACATGTTATATAATACTAGATGGTCTGACATATATGTACTTGGAGTCACAGAAGGAGAGGAGAGAGAATGGGACAGAAAAAAATATTTGAAGAAATAAAGGCCAAAATTTTCCCAAGTTTGATTAAAGATATACATTTACAGATTTAAGATACACAACAAACATCAAGCATGATATACATGAAAAAGGCCTTGCCAAGGTACATCATAGCTACAAAGCTGAAAGTCAAATTCAAAGGGTAGGTCTCAAATGCAATAAGAGAAAAGTGACTCATTAGGTACAGGAAGATGCCAATTTAAGAGATGACATTTCATTCAAAACAACAGAAGTGGAAAGATGTGGAACAATGTCATAAAGTGCCAAAAGAAAGCAAAAAGTTACTCGAAGATTTTTAAAAGGTAGAGATTATCAGAATAGATTTCTTTATAAAACAAGATCCAAATTTATGCAGTCACAAGAGAGACACATTAATGTAAAGACCCGGATAGGCTGAAAGTAAAAGGACACTACCTGGAGCCATGTGATCAAGGTCAACATCAACAGTGACAAGTCATGTTGACTCTATGTACCTTCAATATGCTGTGATGAGAATGGCACTTTACCTGTATGGTCTTTCTCCCCAGAACACATTACTCCAGTCTAATCAGCCAAATTGCAACTGAGGAACATTCTTTAAAATATTTAACCAGCAATCATCAAAACTTGCAAGGTCATCAAAAAACAAGGAAATCTTAAGTAACTGTCATACTCAAGAGGACACTAAGGACACGTGATGATTACTAAGTGCTATGGGGCATCCTAGATGATATCCTGGAACAGAAAATAAAAATCATGGGAAAACTGAGGAAATATAAATCAATTACAGACTTTAATAATAACGTATCAATATTAGTTCATTAATTGTGAAAAAGGTACCATACTAATGAAAGATAATAATAGGAAAACTGGGGCAGAGTATACTGAAATTCTCTGTACTGTCTTTACAATAGTTCTTTAAATTTAAAACTGTCCTAAAATAGTTATTTTAAAAAAGAATAATGAAGAAATATTATAAATAGCATTATGCCAATACATTTGACAATTAAGATAAAATGGATAACTCAAATACTGGATCAACACACAGGATTTTAAAAGCAATGTTTATAACTATCCTCAATGAAATAAATAAAAATATGCCCAAAATAAATCGAAAGACAGGAAATCTCAGTAGAGAAAATGGATACAATAAAAAGAACTAAATGGAAATTCTAGAAGAGAAAAATACTATCTGAAATAAAAAATTTACTGAATAGGCTTAACAAAAGAATGGAGAGGACAGAGAAAAGAGTGAGTGACTTAAATATTGATCAACTGAACCCAACCAATATGAAGAATACAGAATATACATATATTTATAAAATGAATAGACTTAAAAACATGTTATATAATACTAGATGGTCTGATACATATGTACTTGGAGTCACAGAAAGAGAGGAGAGAAAGAATGGGAAAAACATTTGTTGAAAAACACAAATTACCAAAATGACCCAAGAAGAAAGAGAAAACTCAAATAATTCTATATTAACTTTCTCAAACTAATTTACGATTTAAAATATTCCCTCAAACTAACTCCAGGCCTAAATGGCTTCTCAGGTGAATTCTATCAAACATTTAAAGAATATAAATAACACCAGGCAGAAAGCAGAGTTCAGGAAGGAAACATTTCCCAACACATGTCCCAAGGTCACTGTTACTCTGATCCCAAACTGAGACAAAGATTTTACAAGAAAAGGCAATGTTAGACAAACATCACTCATTTAAAAAGATGAAACAAAATTCTTAACAAAATTTAACAAATAGACTCAGGTAACATATGAAAAGTATAATAATGTATTATCACTAAGTGAGGTTTACTCCTAGGATGCAAGGTTGGCTTAACATTTGAAAATCAAGCAATGTAACTTACCATAGTAATAGAATAATGGAGAAAAACTACATGCTCATTAGGATAGACACAGAAAAACCACTTGACAGAATTCAACATACTTGATAAACACTTTCAGCAAACAAGTAATAGAAAATTCCTTAAACTAATAAAGGACATCAACAACAGCAACAACAAAAACAATCCATTGCTAATATCACACTCAATGGTGTAAAATGGAACGCTTTCTACCTAAGATCAGGAATAAAGCAGGAATGTCTAATATCACCATTTCTGTTCAACATTATACTTAACACTCTAGCCAGTCCTGGCCAGTAAAACTGCCTAGATAGTAAAATTGTCATAGCCAGTAAAATAAGGCTAGAAAACAAAATAAGAGGCATACAGATTGGGAAGAAAGATGCAAGCTTGCTTTTATTTTTAGGTGACATGACTGTACTTACAAGAAATCTACAACAAAAGGTCTAGAACTAATTAACCAGTGAATTTAATAAAGTCATGATATTCAAAGTCAATATACAAACATCAATTGTATTTCTGATTAATAGCCATAAATCGTTGGAAAATGAAATTTTAAAAAATTCCATGTACAGTTTCATCAAAAAACAAAAACACTTAGGAATAAATTTTAGATATTATATGCAAGATCCGAACATTGTAAACAATAAAACTTTGACTAGGAAAATTAAAGACAATTAAATAAGTGGAAAGTAGCATGTTTATGGAGTGGAAAACAATATTGTTAAAGTGGCAAATGGCAATACTTTTTAATGTATTTATAATATAAATCCTAGCAGGCTTTCAAAAACATATACTGACAAACTGATTTTAACATGACTATATAGAAAGACAAAGAACCTAGAATAGTCAAATGATTTTGAAATAGAAAAACAAGTTTGGAGGACTCATACAATCTAATTTCAAGACTTAACTCTTTAGCTACAGTAATCAAGAAACCACAGTACTGATGCGAGAATAGACCGACAGAGACTAAGGAATCCAGAAATATACTCACACTTATATGGTTAGTTAATTTTCAACAAACGTGCAAAGTAATTCATTGGAGAAGGGGCTGCCTTTTCAACAAATGGTGCTGGAACAATTGGATATCTGTATGGAAACAGAATTAACCTTGACCCTTATCTCACACCATATACAAAAACTAGAAATGAATCCAAATGTAAAAGCTAAAATGACTAAACTTCTAGTGGAAAACACAGGATTAAATCTTTGTGATACTAGGTTAGGCAAAGATTTCTGAGAATAGACACCCCCAAAATATTACCCATAAAATTTTGTAAATGGACTGTCTCAAAATTAAAAATGTTTATATTTCAGAAGAAAGAGCTAAGAAAATGAAAGAGCAAGCCACACTGAGGGAAAATATCTGAAAACATATATCTGATAAAATGCTTATACTCAGAGTATATAAAGAACTCTTACAAATCAGCAATAGGAAAATAACCTGATAAAAATGGAAAAATGATTTGTACCATTACTTAACAAAAGAATATATATGAATGGCCAATAATCACATAAAAAGAGGATCAATATCATTTCATCATCAGGAAAATGCAAATTTAAAACAGACTGAGATACCTCTACACACCTCTAGAATGGCTAAAATAAGATGGCAATAGCAAGTGTTGGTGAGAATGTGCCACATCTGGAATTGTTACATACTGCTGGTGGAATTGCAAGATGGTAGTCACTTTGAAAAACAGTTACATAGTATCACAAATTTAAACATACACTCACCATGCAATCCACCAATTTTACTATTAGACATGTACTCACAAGAAATGAAAACATGTCCACACAAAGACTTGTATATGAATGGTCATAGCAGTATCTTCTGTAATTACCCCAAACTGAAAACAACCCATGCATGTGTCTATCAACTGGTGAGCGTATAAACAAATTGTGATATATCAATACTAAGCAATATGACTCAGCAATGAAAATTAATGGGATGTTGAGATATGCAACAACATGGATCAATCTTTAAAACATGGTAAGTCAAAGTGGTCAAACACAAAAGACTACCACTGTATGACTCCATTTATGAGAACACTTAGAAAAGGTAAATCTATAGTGACAGTGACAGAGAGCAAGTCAATGGTTGCCGGAGGTGGGGGTCACGGGAGGGGATTAATTACACAGGGCAAATGTAAAATTATAGGGCTATGAAGTGTTTTAAATCTTGACTGCAGTAGTGGTTACATAAACAATTGCGAAACTCAATTAAAATATACACTTAAAAATGAATTTATAATTTATACCTCTATAAAGCTAGGACCAAAATTTTTAGACATAGAAAATGGACAAAGGACATAAACAATTGTTTACAGAGGAAGTACAGGAAACTTTCAAATGCAAAAAATATGCAACCTCAATATAAATCAAGGACATGTAAATCAAAACACAATGAGAAGCTGTGCTTTCGCCTACCAAATCAGCCAGGGTGTTTAAATGGCAGTGTTCAATGCTGGCAAGAAGTATTCCTGTGAACTTCCAGCTTAAGAATAAATTAACACCTTTCTGAAGTGCATTTTAGCATTACCTAACGTAAACCTTAAAAATCTTCAAACCCTTTGACTTGAGAGTTAACAAAACATCATGGAGCCATTAAAAATTAATTTCAAAGGTTTCTTTAATGACATGAAAAATGCTCCTGATATAATATTCTATGAGAAAACAGAATGTAATCTATACCTCATATGGTCTCAACTATGTTAAGTATGTATGTGACTGTGTGTACATACACGCACAAAAGAAATTCTGGAAGGAAATATATCAAAATATTAATAGTAGCTATCTCTGGCTATTACATTTATGGTAGTTCTTTTTTTTCCTTTATAGTTTCCTTTATTGTCCAGTTTCCATGGCTTTTATAATCAGCATAAATAAACATAATTTTCAAAAATAAAAAATCAGCAGGTAATTTTGCTAAAAAACACATGAATAACCATCCTTAACCAAAGTCACAAAGATAACAGCTGATTATTTTGCTCCTAAAAGTGTCCCAGGGGCTCCTTTTATTGTCTCAGGCAGCAAGCAGCTATCCCTCTGGATTCCGACATGGGGAACCAAGTATCATTCCCAGTCCCTCTTTCCCATCCTATGAATCCAAGTAGAGACATCGTAGCATGTGACTTCACGTACAGAGAGGGCAGAAGAAACATACAGACTTGTCACACTGTTCCCAAAGAGCCTCTAATCCATTCGACAGATGGATAGTGTCAGAAGAGGCAGCAAAGGGTGACAGAGGCAAAGGGACTGATCATATCGGTCATAGGGACCCATGGGAATTCATGGTCTTTTGCCCAGGTCATAGACGCAGAGCCCCTTAACTGAGGGGGACTCTGGATACCTTTGAAGAACACCCTGCAATATAGCCATAGGTACATGCTGAGTCAGCTTCCCCAGAAAACTGCTGCTTGTTCATGGGCTTTCAGGGTGGCAGAAATGGAGACAGTGTGTTGGTTTGAAAACATGAACTTCCTGTCACTAAAGCTGAGCTGGCACTGCTCTGCCAAGTATCCAACCGGTCAACAGCAGAGGCCAACACTGAGCCCTCAGCCCAGTCCCTTTCTCTGGGTGGACTTTGCAGACAGCTGGTAAAGATTACACTGGATCCCTGCCATCATGGAGGGGGCAAGAGTAAAATTCAAGATTTGTGGGGATTTGTGTACATACACATCCCAGATTCAAATCGGGCTTCCTTGTCTGAAATGCTTCTGCCCATTACTGTCATTTGTGGAGCCCCGGGATGCTGTATCCATCACCAAGATATCCCATGCAATATAGCCTTTATCCAAGGAGCTCATTTGTTGAGTGAAGAAGGTGTGGCAATGGTCTCAGACCCACAAAATTCAATTGTCTTACCACATACCCCATATCACCCAGCATAGGTGACATCATAGAATGGTTGAATACTTTGCTGATGACTCCATTACAGAGTTGGCTAAGAGGAAATGTCCTGTGAAGTTAGGGTGCTGTGCTTCAGGATGCATTATATGCCTTAACCCAGCTGTGGTGGCCCAATAAAGAGAACCCCAAGGACTGAGTTCCCTGAGGAAAGGTGGGTAACTCACCAGGTGAACAATGCTGCCCAGCAAAGATGCTGACAGAGAAAGGGAGACATAGAATGGGAAGTGGAGGAAGGGCATTTACAATTATCACTCTAGATCTCATGACTAGCTACAATTATGTGAGTTTTAGCAGCTCAATTGTATGTGGTTTCTCTTTTTCTATTCCCTCCATTGCCTTATACAAAAAGCACTGGTTAAAAGAACATTTTAGATTCTGGGTAGAGGCATAACAGGATTGACATCTCCCTGGAATAATATGGCAGCTGGCAGGACTTTGAGTAACTCCTCTTTTGAGAACACAAGGTTTTCACCCCTAAAAGGATGCTGAGGCTCGGAGGGATTGACTGCACTGGATATTCTTTGTCTGTTCATCTAGATCCACTTTCTGCTCTTATCAACTCTGCATGACACGCAGGTGGGTTGCTTTAACTGGACTCTCATGCTCCTGGCTTTTGGCTGGTTTTGGGCAGTGTGAGGCACCAGCAGAAGGTTGGAAGGTGAGAGGAGAAAGAAGTGAACTATTTATTCCCTCAGTTCCTGCCCTGCTGGGCAGCAGCTTGGCAATAGTCATGTTCTTCTCCCTAAGACCTCATCCCCTGAGGGCAACCCTGTCCTCGTTCATTTCAGTAACTGCTCCCTTTCTTGCCCCCTCAGGCCTAGGAGGGATCCTGGCTTCCCCCTGTTCGTATCCCTGAGATGCTTCCTCAACTACTGGCCTTACTTGAACCTGCCTTCGCTTGGGTAAAAGATCCTTTAATAAACTCACATCAGTCACTCTTTTTAGTGTGCCATCTGTTTTCTGCCTGGACTCTGACCAATGTAATGTTCAAGTTAAGAAGACCATGATAAGCATACAGAATGATTCCATCACCCCCAAGACCTCCCCATGTTTCTCCTCGGGAGTCACACCCTCGCCTAACCCATAGCCCTGTTAACCACTGATATTTTCTCCTTTTCCAAAATGTCATATAAGTAGAAGAGATCCTAAACACGTGGGTTACCACGGTTTCAATAATAACTGAAAATATAACCCAGAGTTTTGCTTCTACACTTCATATAATTTAGACTAAATGGCTTATTTTTTCTGTTTGTATAGCTTCTGCCACGCTACTATTGTTACCAGCGTGAATGGGAACATTCTTAACAGGAGAATGTGAGTGAAGACCTGCTCACATGATGGAAGGACGATGTATGATCTCCGGCGAATACGCAAGTTACAAGTTATAGCATTCATTTATTTCATCATCTCAACTCTTCCTTAAACCTCATCATATTTAAACACAGGTTTTATTTTTAACAGATTTATTTTATAGGAAAAGCTAGGCAACATTGAAACGCACACCATGTTAGTCAAAGGGTCGAGTTAGCAGTTCAATTAAAGTCTACCCTTTTATTAAGAAAATACTACACACATGCACATACACACACACAGAAAACAGCTTTTTAAAGTCTAAAATATTATTTCGATCTAGATTTTTATGTCTTATTACCAAGCTGTTAGGGTTTAAAATTTAAGCCCTAGATATTGTATATTTTAGAAATATCAAGCTCAAAAAGATATCTGTTTTTTGTACTATCCATTATTAAATTGGATGGTAAGAATAGGCACTCTCAAATCATTTTGTTAGGCATAAGATTTTAGATTTTATTTTACTTCCTTCTTTACTCTTTCTTGCATTATTTGCTTTTAGGAAAAAAAACCCATAGCGTATATTTAAATTGTACTTCTTAAGTTAAAATGCAGTAAGCCTGACTTTTTCTCTTGGTGTACAGTTGTATGAGTTTAACACATGCGTAGATTCATGCAGATTCCCACACTCGGGAGACAGAATGACAGAACGGTCCCCTCGTGCTGCACCTGTGGAGACTCACCTTCCCTCACTTCCAACCCTGGCAAATCACTGGCCTTTTATCCATTCTTATTGTTTTGCCTTTTCCGGAATGTCTTGCAAATAGAATCCTACTGTAGCAACCTTGAGACTGGTTTCTTTCACTTAGCACAATGTCTTTGATGAGATTCATCCATGTTGTGCATATCAACATGGCTTATTCCTTTTTATTGATGAGAAATATTTCATTGCATATATTTACCAGTTTGTTTATTAATTCATCCGCTGAGTTACATTTGAGTTTTTTCCAGTTTCAAGTGATCATGAAGAGAGCTACTATAAATATTTGTGCATGGGTTTTTAAATGAACTCTTAAATATTTTTTAAAATACAAAACATATGAAATTTAATAAAAGATAAATAAAAGAGTCTATCTCAATAAAAGATAGCCTCGTCCTGGTAAATCAACAAAATATGAAACCTAAATCTGGAAGATGAATGAATGTTTTTTGTGATCCTCTGAGTGCAAAGGTAGATTTGCTGTCTTCTGGTAATACCAGGTTTTCTGACTCCACCACTTTCTCCCTGGGGCTTGAGAGGGTAGCAAAAGAAAGAGAAACACAGTGCTACCCAGTGGGCCAGGGCAACCCCCAGTACCACTCACTGCACAGCACTATTCCCCTCCTCTAATTCATTGTTCTTAGTCCAATATTTCATGGTAGAATTCAGCAGATTCTTCCTTCTTAGGAGATGACATTATTAGTCATAAGTCCTCAACAATCACCATCTAGACTCAAGAAATAGGTTAAAAACAAATAACTCTGAAAGTATGAGGAACTCAATGTTCTCTGTAAAAATATAAAAGAAAATAAAAAGGCAGTTGGTTGGACCATTGTAGACAGGGCATTGTATAGAAATGCCCATGTACAACAGAAATTTAGATTGATGAAACAGAATAAAAAATACAAATTGGACCAAATTATTGATAAGAATTTAATATATGGCAAAACAGACACTAAAAACAATGGAGGAAATAACATATTATTTAATAAATGATGGTGGGAAAATAGATTATCTATTTGGAAAAATTTTTTTTAATTTGGATACCTGCCTTATATTAGGATAAAGAGTTTTGTTTTAAACAATAAAAAAAAAAAAAAAGCAGAGTCACAGATTTCTTATCAAGCCTGGGTAAGAATGATGAATTTACGGATCTTAAGCAATAAAAGACATTCAGAAGAAGATGCATGTATTTGATTATGTTAAAATGTAAACTTCAAAACAGTGAGGTATCATATAATAAAAGGGAAATAACAGGCTAAGAAAAATAGCTGCAGTACTTATGACAGAAAAGGGTTACCTTTTAATAATTATCTAATTATTTTAAAATATTAAACAAAGAGGTGACAAAATTAAATTAACCAATGGGGGGGATGTGAAGAGAAGAAGAGACCCAGTCAGTGCCCAGGTACATGGGAAGGTCCAGCCTCACACACTACGAGAAACAGAAATTAAAACAATCACAAGGCACTACTTTACACCTCATGAGTTATCAATATTTTAAAACAATGTTAATATTCAATGCTGGGAAGAATATGAAAGTAGAACACTCACACAATGTTGATGGCAATGTGAATCACTACTCTTTTGAGAGAACAATTTGGCAGTCCTTATAAAAAATAATAAAAGGGAGAGGTGAAGTCAGCAAGATGACAGAATTGTCGGTCGCAGGCTCCACTACTCCCTCACAGAAAGTTCAACTAGCAACCATTCACAGACAGGAACACCTTGGTGGAAATGCCCCAAATTGGAAATAGGCCTGAATCACCTGTGTGATTCACAGAACAAAATAAAAACCACATAAAAAGGGTAGAAGAAATGGTCTCATTTTAACCGCATTCCCCTAAGTCGATAAAGTACCACACAGAAAGTGTTTCCCCAGGAACAACAGTTTCTACAGAGGGAAAAGAGAGCTGGAGGTGGACGCCCAGCTTCCTGGCATTCCAAGATGCTTCCCAGGAAGCCCATTCCCATCTCACCTCAAAGGCAACACAGGGAAATGGCATGGCTAGACCATCTGGAGTCAGGTAGAAACAAAGCAAGGAGACAAAGCGGGAGCTCTGTGTACCTGCCAACAGTGGTGCCCAATCAGAGGTACCATCTAACTGCATATCACACCTGCAAAGCTGAGCTAATAACTCCCAGAAATAAAAAGAAGTTCCACTTGGCTTGAATTTATAGATGGCTAGCCTTCAAAACCAGCCTTAGACCCTACCCTGGGGCTTTTAGACATTATCCAAGCAGGAAAATTACCACCACATTGAATTTCAGCAAAGAGCAGAGGCTAGATATGCCATACCCAGTAGTTTAAACAATGTTCAGCCCAGCCTCAAAGCCCACCCCAAGGACCCACATAGGCAGGAAGGCAAACGTGAACTGTGCATTTCTACTAGAGTAAAGTGTCAGCTCCCATCCATCCCTACCAGCAATTCCATCTAACCTTGGGACCCCTCCTGCAACCCTGTCCAACTGTTGAACTGAAATAGCAGTACCACATGGCCAGGAAATCTACTCTGTGGCCCAGCCCAATATAAGGCAACTGTAATGTCCATCCAGCAGCTCAGCCTGATTACTGAGCCCAGCTTGGCTGCCCCACCTGAACTCAGAGCCAACACAGTAGCCCAGCCATCTAGAACACCCAAAAGCAAGCTCTGTCTGCCCATGGTCATTACCAGCTGTCCCATACAGAATCACAAGCTAGACTGAATAATGAATATCTATTTCTGCCAAAGAACACCTGTAAAAGCCAGAAAAGGTGGTTGTCTTTTCAAATGCATGGATACCAACACGATGACAGAAGGGTAACAGACTCAAAAAATCATGACACTTCCAAAATAAACTAACAAAGCTCCAACAATGGACCCTAAAGAAAGGAAGATGTATTAAATGATAGACAAGGAATTCAGAACAATCCTCTTAAAATTCAGTGAGCTACAAGAATAGATAGACTAAAAAATAAAATAAAATTTGGAAAGCAATACATGAAAAAAAATAAAGGTTTGACAAAGAAATAGAAACAATTTTTTTAAAACCCAAATAGAAATCCTAGAGATGAAGAATACAATAACTGAACTGAAAAAAAAAATGCAACCAAAAGCTTCAACAGCATGCTCATTCAAGCTGAAGAAGGAATCAATGAGCTTGAAGATAAAACATTTGAGATGATCCAATCAGAGGAACAAAAGGAAAAAAAGAATAAAAGCAGATGAAGAAAACCTATGGGAATTATGGGACACCATCAAGGGACCTAATATACACATAATAGAAATTCAAGAAGCAGAAGAAAAAAAGCCTAGAAAGCATATTTAAAGAAATAATGACTGAAAACTTCCCTAATTTGGGAAAAGATACCAGTATCCCCAAGTTACAGGAAGCACAGAGGTCTCTAATCAAATTCAACCCAAAGAGGAGGTCGCCAAGACAACATAATAATCAAACTATCAAAAATCAAATACAAAGAAAAAATCCTGAGAGTAGCAAGAGATTAAAAAAACATATCACATACAAAGAGGTCCCAACATGACTATCAGCAGATTTCTCCACAGAAACAGGAGAGAGTGGGATGATATATTCAAAGGGCTAATGGGGAAAAAAACCCTGACAACCGAGAATACTTCACCCAGAAAAACTGTTTTTCAGAGATGATTGAGAAATAAAAACTCTCCCAGACATACAAAAGCTAAGAGAATTCATCACTACTAGGCCTGCCTCACAGGAATTGCTAAAGAGAGTTCTTTAAGTTGAAACAAAAGGCTGCTAATTATTAACATAAAAGTTACAAAAACACAAAACTCAATGGTATAAATATTACGCAGTCATGTTTAGAATACTCTAGGACTGAAATGGTGATGTGTAAAGTGATTGTATCTTCAGTACAAATGTTAAAAGGAATTTAAAAGACAGAACTATTAATAACAACTATAATTAGAATAAATTGTCAAGAAATATATAAGATTATGTAAATTTTGACATCAAAAACATTAAATGAGGGGGATAAAAGTGTAGATGTGCTGTATGCAATCAAAGTTAAGTTGTTATCAGCATAAAGTGGACTATGTAAGTATAAAATTTCTACGCAAGCCTCATGGTAACAACAAAACAAAAATCTATAGTAGATGCACAAAACAAAAATAGAAAGCATACCATTACAGAAAACCATGAAACCACAAAGGAAGATACCAAGAGAGGAAGAAAGAAAGAAAATGCCTACAAAACAACCAGAAAACAATTAACAAAATGGTAGTAATAAGTTCTTCCCTATCAATAATTACTATGGATGTAAATGGATTAAATTCTCCAATAAAAAAGACATAGAGTGACCAACTCTATGCTGCCCACAGGAGACTTGCCTCACTTTTAAGGACATACATAGACTGAAAGTAAAGGGATGAAAAAAGATATTCCATGCAAATGGAAACCAAATGAGAAAGGATAGCTATGCTTATATCGGACAAAATAGATTTTAAGTCAAAAATTGTAAAAAGAAACAAAGGACATTATATAATGATAAAGGGGTCACTTCATCAAGATGATTTAACAATTATAAATTTATATGCACCTAACATAAGAGCACCTAAATATATAAAGCAAATATTAAAGGATCTGAAGGGAAGGTCAGATTGCAATATAATAATAGTAGGGGATTTCAATACCCCACTTTCAATAATGGACAGATCATCCAGATAAAAAATTAATAAGGAAACACTGGACTTGAACAACACTTTAGACCAAGGGGATCTAATAAATATATAGAACATTCTATCTCACAGCAACAGAATATACATTCATCTCAAGCGCAAATGGAACATTCTCCAAATAGATCAGATAATAGGCCACAAGACAAGTCTTAGCACATTTAAGAAGACTGAAATCATACCACGTACCTTTTCTGACCACAATGATCTAAAACTAGAAACCAATAATGGGGAATTTTGAAAGAAAAATCACAAATACATGGAAATTAAACAATATGCTCTTGAACAACCAATAGATAATAAATAACAACAAACAATAAAGAAATTAAAGTGGAAAATTTAAAATATCTTAAGACAAACGAAAGTGGAAGCACAATATACTAAAATATGTGGGATGCAACAAAAGCAATTCTAAGAGGAAAGTTTATACCAATAAATGCCTACACCAAACAAGAAGATCCCAAATGAACAACTGAAACTTATGCCTCAAGGAAATAGAAAAAAAGAGCAAACTAATCCAGTGTCAGCAGAAGGAAAGAAATAATAAAGATCAAAGCAGAAATAAGATACATAGAGACTAGGAAAACAAAAGATCAATGAAGATAAGGGTTGGCTTTTTGAAAAGATAAACAAAATAAACAAATATTTACCTAGACTAAGATAAAAGGAAATGAAAGAGGAGATATTATAATTGATACCACAGAAATACAAAGGATCGTGAGACTATTATGAACAATTATATGCCAAAAAATTGAATAACCTAGAATAAATGAATATAATCTAGACATATACAACCTTCCAAGACTGAATCACGAAGAAACAGAAAATATTTTTTAACTGCCAACTCGGCTCCAGGAACACTGGCTTCTGCCAGGCCCCAGAACATACCACGTGGGGCAGTCCTTGGAGCCAGGGGCCTGCTCCTGGGAGGCTCCTCCCACAGTTCTTCCTGTGGCTGCTTCTCCTGCCTCTCACCTTTTCATAGAAGCCTTTCCAGAAAACTGAATCAGAAGTAGTTCCTCTTTGTTATTCTCCATTGTAGTCCCCTGCTGATTCTTTCCAGAGCACGAATCACATTGCATATTCTAGCTCATTATTCATAGGTTTGCTTTGTGTTGGTCTCCCCCACCAGCAGGCACAGTTCTTTGAGGGCAGCAATCATGTCCTTCTTATTCTCCAATGAGTCTTTGGTATCCAGCACAGTGCCTGGTATATAATAAGTGCTCAAGAATTATTTATTGACTGACTGGGCAAACATATGCAAAATTATAAAGAACCTAAAGGCCCAGATGGCAGACAAACAGTTAAATAGTCTGATGTATAAAGTGCACAAACAATTGATCATGATCCAATCAAACGCAGCTCTTTTAAAAGTGCTGTTTGCTTTCTCTGGATGGAATGGCTTTTTCCAATGTGTCCACGTCAGAAACTCCTATTTAGCCCCCAAAGGTTCATCTCAGTTGTTTACTATAAAAGGCATTGCTAACTTCCCAGCCAGCACGAACACATTAAAGGAGGCCTTTGGCAACACTGGACCTCCTTCCAGCCTGTGGAATAAGTAAATAAGTAAAAAGACTGGAATAAATCTATCAACAAAATGATTTTAAATTCAGAGCTGAAGTGGAAACCAAGAAAGGGAAATCCATAGGTATTAGGAGCAAGGAAAGACCCATGTCAAGGACAGTAAGAACATGAGCTGCTGCAACAAGAGCCCAGGGCTTTATCAAGCCCAGACAGAGCTGTATGTGCTAATAGCAACCCTGAAATCTAGTGTAGGCTCAAAGGGAATGGGGTTTTAATGCACATTTGGGGTTAGAAGACTTGGGATTGTGCAAGACTGGGAGTAGATTTGGCACAGCAGTGAACCAAAATCGATCCTAGAAAAATAGCCAAAATGCAGCCAAGAGATAAAGACATGAAAAATATAAAAGACAGTTTAAGAGACATGAAGAATGAAATGGGAAGACCCAATATTTATGTAATGTAATAGGAGTTCCAGAAGAAAAGACCAGTGAGAATGGGGTGGAGACAATATTCAAAGAATCATAGCTGGGAACGTTCAAAAACTGAAAAATACGAATTCTCAGATTGCAATAGCAGGAGTGTGGGAAGGTTAAATAGACATCTGTACCAAGATACATGGTAGGGAAACTGTAAAGTAACAAAAAGAAAAAAAATCTTAAAAAAGAAATCACCTATAAAGGAATGACAGACAAAGAGCAGAACCTCACAGCAACAGCAGAGGCCAGAAGACCGTGAAGAGTACCTTCGTGGTACTAAAAGGAGATAATTCTCAGACAAGAATTCTGTTCCCTGCTACATTTTCATTAAAGAGTAGGGCAAAATGAAGATATTTTTGAAAACAAAAACTGAACTAAACACTCACAGGACCTTGCTAAACGGACTACCAAAAGATATACCTCAGGAAATTGACTCCAGAAGAAAGGAGAGAGGTTTCTGAGGCAGTAATGAGCAAACAAACTGGTAATCATGGGAAAACCTAAACAGGCATGAGTCATAAAAACAACAGTGATGAATGCAGGTCCCATCAAAACAAGGCAGAAGCAAAGCCCAAGTCAATGACAAAATGGAAGGTGAAGGCGCTTTTTCATTCAAGACAGTAGAAATACTGATTTTTAGACTTTATAAGTTTAGAACACGTGAAAATTTTAAGGAAAACCACTATAAGAATAGAAATAAGATATTTAAGTCTTAAAACAGTGGAAGGGAAAAAAAAGAGTGATAAAGAAAACTAAAAAAAAAAAAAAAAAAAAGAAAGAAAGAAAGTTGGCCAGGCACAGTGGCTCACGCCTGTAATCCCAGTGCTTTGGGAGGCTGAGGTGGGCAGATCACCTGAGGTCAGGAGTTTGAGACCAGCCTGGCCAACATGGCGAAACCCTATCTCTACTGAAAATCAAAAATTAGCTGGGCATGGTGGCGCATGCCTGTAAACCCAGCTACTGGAGAAGCTGAGGCAGGAGAATCGCTTGAACACGGGAGGGAGAGGCTGCGGTGAGCTGAGATCACGCTCCACCTGGGTGACAGAGTGAGACTCTGTCTCAAAAAAAAAGGAAAACTTAGCCAATACCAAACAAGAAAGACGAGGAATAAAGAAAAAAAGAAGAGCAGAAGAAATAATAATACAAAATAAGAGGTAGGGGGAAGAATCCAAACATATTAATCACAATAAATGAAAACAGACTAAACTTGACA
This sequence comes from Homo sapiens, assembly GCF_000001405.40. Lineage (NCBI taxonomy): Eukaryota > Metazoa > Chordata > Mammalia > Primates > Hominidae > Homo > Homo sapiens. The sequence goes on from NC_000022.11 coordinate 43,708,549, forward strand.
GTGAAAAAAGCAAAGATGTTACTCTTGGAATTTTAAAACATATAGATATATGCTATTTAATAAGAAATACCTAAAATATCACAATAAAAGAGTAAAAAGTTGGAAAAAGATATACCTGACAAATACTAATGAAAACTGTTATATTTCAATAGTAGATAAGATAGACCACAAAAGGCATTCATAGGGATAAAAGGGCTATGATATAATAGTAAAGGGAACAGCTGACCAGGAACATATGACAAATCTGTACTTCCAGATATGTGTACCAGGAGAATTGTATATAATACAGCATTTATGATATTAGCACTTGAGTGTTCACTCTGCTATGGTTTCCAGTAACCTATTCCACTGGGAATTTGGGGTGAATGCAAAAAAGAGACTCAGAAATCCCTAGGTCCCTCGCTAGAACAAGTTATAAGAACACCTCAGCCCTGGCCACCCTCAACCCCCAAAACACGCATTCTATGCACCCATCATATTCTTCATAGATATCATCACTCTGGCAAGTCTTTCTAGCTTGGGACAATTTGTTATTTATTTCTTCATTTTTTGGGACAGAGTCGTGCTCTGTTGCCCAGGCTGGGGTGCAGTGGTGCAATCTTAGCTCACTGCAACCTCTGCCTCCTGGGTTCAAGCGATTCTCCTGCCTCAGCCTCCCAAATAGCTGGGATTACAGGCGCCCACCACCATGCCCGGCTAATTTTTGCACTTTTAGTAGAGACAGGGTTTCACCTTGTTGGCCAGGCTGGTCTCGAACTCCTGACCTCAGGTGATCCACCTGCTTTGGCCTCCCAAAATGCTGGAATTACATGCATGAACCACTGCGCCCGGCCTTATTTCTTCATTTTTAGCATCTACCACAATGTCTGATATAGAAAGGCACTCAACAAATGTTAGCTGAATGACATTGTATGCATTCATTACAATTATAATTTTGAAGACTATGAAGCCAACATGAAAAATGTCTATAATATGCATTTCTATTTTAAAAAACACAACATAAAACTGTGATGCAC